>NC_000015.10:77026874-78276874 GCF_000001405.40 Homo sapiens
AGGAGCTGCACTGGCTGCAAAGGCTGTTTTGGACAGAGCATTCTTTCTCCAAGTGGCCAGGGCCCCGCAGGCAGAGCGCTGTGTTGTAGTGTGTGCCATGTGTGTCTGAGCCTGTGTGTGTATGTGCGTGTGCCACAGAGCAAGGACATGTGCTTACAGGATGGTGCACACGTGCCTACGCTCCCCTGCATATGCCTGTGAGCATGTGTCCTTGTCCAGCCCTGTGCACTTGGGTGTTTTGTGCTGTGTGTGTGTGAGTGCCTGTGCCTCGCTGGTCTCCCAGCTGGCACAGAACCCCTCCCCTGAGACCCCAGGCACAAACTGGCTCAGTTCTCCTCCTACCTCATAACCCAGTCGCTGTCCTGGCTGTTTTGCCTTCTCTATCAGAACAGGAAGCCTGGGAGGTGAGGGGAGGCTTTGGCCCCAGACCTCGGCACAGGGGCCCAGTGGCCACTGTGCCTGCATGTGGCCTGTGGTTGTGTGTGGGTGACTGTGGGAGTGTGTACTTGTGAGTGGCATCTGTGGGTGTGCACAGGAATGCCTGTGATCATGCGTGTGGGCAGCTAGGGATGGGGCCTGTGTGCCTCCGAGTTAATGTGGAACTCTGCATGTATGTGTGTGCCAGAGTGTACACACACGTGTGAGCGACTGTGATGCCTGCAGAGGCTCAGGGATGCAGGATGAACGACTGTGTGCGCACGTGTGTTGGGGTGGGAACTCCCCAGCTGGAGACGAAGCTCTGGCCAAGGTCTGCAGCAAGGACCTCACGGCACACCCATGCCCTGTGATTCTCTGTGGCCTTCCATTGTGAGGGTCACTGTGAAGCAGCAGGCTCTGGGGGAGGGAGGGCAGCCTGTCACCCTCTCTCCAGAGCCAGGAGAGGTGCTGCGCCTCATCCCAGGGACACTCCGTCCTCTTGGCCTAGGGGAGCCTCCCGAGGCCGCGGCCCTCGGCTCAGAACCTCGTGTCCCCTGCAGTATGAGGCCGTCATGGACCGGGTCCAGAAGAGCAAGCTGTCGCTCTACAAGAAGGCCATGGAGGTGAGCGCCAGGGCCTGGGGCCGCGGCCTTCCCTCGAGGAGCAGCGCAGGTCTCAGGGTGCGATCCTGGGCTGTGGCCCCGGGCAGGGCATTTGGAACAGGCTGACCTCAGCCTTGGTCCTCGGACCTCGGCCTTGGGCGCACCAGCCTGCGGGGCGCTTGGGCCCGTGCTGGGCGCTATGGCCCCGTGGGGATGGTCCCGGGCCCTTCCCTTGTGGGGCTCGTGAATGAAGGGCAGATGAAGTCAGCTGGGGACTCCAGGGGTGGAGGGAGGAGGGACCCCTGAGCTTGATCCTGCGAGACGCTGGACAGGAAGGGAGAGGGGCTCCTAAGAGGGCGCGGCGTGGCGAGGGGCGTGGCGAGGGGCGTGCCCTCGCCGAAGAGCACAGCCCAGGAGGCGGGGCCCGGGGCAGGCCGCGCTGTCCTCAGTGGGGAGGGCCTGAGAGCAGGACTACCAGCAGCCCCCACGCCTTCTCTATCTCCTTCCGGACCCCCAGATCCCTGTCCCTGGTGAGGATGCCCCCACTCCACCCGCAACCCTCGCCAGGGAAAAAGGGAGGCTGGGCTAAGGGAGCCTCACTCCCGGGGACCACAGAACAGGGCTGTGCAGCCCCCAAGTCACGCCCCTCCACACCCCCAGTCCAAGAAGACATACGAGCAGAAGTGCCGGGACGCGGACGACGCGGAGCAGGCCTTCGAGCGCATTAGCGCCAACGGCCACCAGAAGCAGGTGGAGAAGGTGCGCTGGGCTGCTGGGCCGTGTGGGTCGCCCAGGGCTGGGGGCAGTGGGGGAGGCAAGGAAGGGGTGCCGTAGACACCCCCAGGCAAGATCTGCATCTGGGGATGCTGCTTAGCCCTCTCTGACCCCCAATCTCCCCATCTGTGAAATGGGTTTCCTGGAGAGAACCTCAGGCCATGGACAGGCAGGTCAGCTGGATCCCCTTTGCCACCGTCAGGCGGCACTCAGGGACCCATTCCTCGGTGCAGGCCCACTGAGGCCCACAGGGTGATGAGAGCAGACGCCAACCCTCACACAACCTTGGAGAAGGGCTCAGTAGGCCCATGTCACAGAGAGGAAACTGAGGCTCACAGTAAGTGACTTGTCTAAGGTCTCAGAGCCAGGAAGCAGCAGAAAAGGGACCCCCAACTCAGGTGGTCTAGAGCCCATGCTCCTGATGCTGTGGCCCCTAGGCCAGAGTGGGGGTATCAGAGCTCCCAGAGCCCAGGAAACACATCACTCATTGCACAGACAGGAAGGCTGAGGCCCAGAGAGGGAAGTGGCCTGAGGGTGAGCTGGGGGCAGTCAGTCAGGGGCCAGAGCCCAAGTCCCAGCCAGGGGGCTCAGCAGTAGTTGCACCTCTCCTGTGGGTTGTGGTCTCACTCTTCACAGGCATCCTCCTGGGCTCGGTTCCTGTCTTCGTTCTCTTTCCATGGAGCTAGCCTGTGGTCCTCTGTGGGCGGAGGTTGCTTGTGGATGATGGCATCTGCCCATAGTTGGCTCCTGAATGTTCCCCCCAGGGTGGCCGGGGAAGCTTGACAGTCACTTCAGGTCTGCTGGGGTGGGCCCTGGCTCCTGGGGCAGGGGCTTAGCGCTGCTTCCCCTCTGTTTCCTCAGAGTCAGAACAAAGCCAGGCAGTGCAAGGACTCGGCCACCGAGGCAGGTATGTGGGCCTGGCTGCCCCGTCCGACCAGGGCGGAGGCCTGGGCGGTACTCCCCACACACACCTCCTCACCCTGGGGACACACACACTCCCCCTGGCTGCACAATCATGGGCGCGGCGCTCTCATTCCAGATATGTGCCGTCAAAGTAAACGCTGTGTTCCCCCATTCGCCAGCCCTTCTTGGCGCTTCATGTGTTCAGTCCTCACAGCTGCCCTCCGAGGTGGCTGCTGTTACTGTTCCCTTTCTTAACAGATGAGGAAACAGAGGCACTAAAAGGTCCAGTACTTGCCCCAGGTTACAGCTGCATTTGAACCCAGGCCATCGGGCTTCAGAGCCCAGGACTTGTGCACATAGCCTTCTCTGGGCCTCTGTCCTTCACTTGATGCCCGAATCCTACCAACACTCTTGTCCCTGCTGGTGCCCCACCCACCAGACACAGCACCCACCCTCCTCCCTTCCCCTGGGAAGGCCTCTCCCTTCTGCTCTGCCTTTACTGGGACTCAGCTACTCCCTCGGCTGGGGGACAGGTGACCTCCAGAGATCTGGGCACAGAAGTTGTGACCCAAGCCTGTGGGACTCCACCCCTCCTCCAGCGCCCTCTCAGCTGCCTTCTCTGAACCTCAGTTTCCCCTCTGGAAAGTGAGGTGGGGCGCCCAGAGATGCCCAGAGGCCAATACTCTGGACTTGCATATATGAGGCTCCACTCCAGCCCTCAGGCAGCTCAGAGCACAGTTGGGGAGCAGCAGCAGCACCAGCGTGGGTGGCCCTGACGGGCATTCAGATGAGGCCCCGCCATCTGCTAGGGCAGGTCCCATGGGGGAGGCGGGGCTCCCAGTGGGAGGAGGCATCCAGGATGGGACCTGCTGGAGTACAGGGGTGGAGGAGCTCGTGTCAGGGCCCTCCCTGAGGCTGCCTGCGCTTTCAGAGCGGGTATACAGGCAGAGCATTGCGCAGCTGGAGAAGGTCCGGGCTGAGTGGGAGCAGGAGCACCGGACCACCTGTGAGGTGAGTGGCCCACGTGGAGCCTCGTTTTCCCCAGCTGGGAAGTGTGAGACGCCCATCCCTACTCCAGCTGCTTAAAGGGGCCCAAGTGAGGCAGTTGGGGAAGGTACCTGTTACTCACTCGTTTATTCAGCCTCCTGCTCACAGGCCTGTGCTGGGCCCTGGCCCTGTTGCTTGTCGCCTGGCCTTGAGTCCTGGGCCCCTTCGTTGCAGGCAGGCATTCTTCCACCCTCTTTGTTGAAGCCAAAACTGGGACTTGGACTAAACCCACAGCCTCTCTGGGTGCTGCCGATGGACAGGGCCTGGGGAACAGGGCTCAGGACTCCCGTCCGAGGTCCCTCTCACTACCCTTCTGCCTCGGTGTGGTGCAGCCTGAAGGGAGGCTGGGGCAGGGACCCCCTGGGCATCTCCACCTCCCTCCCTGCAGCCTCAGGGCTGGCCCGGAGTCGGGATGGGGACCCCAGGGCACTCTCTCCTTTGGACTGGGCTTCCAGCAGAGAGGGCTGGCCTGGTCAGCTCCGGCTGAGCTGTGAATGGGGCCCAGCCTGGCCGGGCCCTGCAGCCGCCTCCTCACTGCTCACCTCCCTCCCACTGCCCCCAGGCCTTTCAGCTGCAAGAGTTTGACCGGCTGACCATTCTCCGCAACGCCCTGTGGGTGCACAGCAACCAGCTCTCCATGCAGTGTGTCAAGGATGATGAGGTGGGGGCTGAGGGCCTTGGTGTGGGGTAAGGTAGGGCAGCCTCTAGGCAGCAAAGCACCCAGGTCCATCTGAGCCGGTCAACAAGCACCTGGTCCTCTGTGATCCAAGCCTGGCCCCAGGGGTCTCAGGCCTCAGCAGCTCAGCCTTTGCCCCCAGAACCCCAAGACAGGAGCTCAGTACCACACAGGGCCATGGCTTCTCTGCCTGGAAGATGATGACTCTGTGGTTCCCCTGACTTCCTCCTTATGCCTCAGAGCCACAGAGCACCTGCCCCCTCTGCCGGGGATGGGAGGGGAGGTGGACACAGCTGTCAGAGGTTGGCAGAAGCTGGAGGACCGTGGCTGCTCTGCTCTAGGCCTGGTGCTTGCAGGAGCCGAGGCGCAGTCCTTCCTCTGCTCCCCACATCTCCAGGGTGTCCTGGTTCCCCTTACTGAGCCCAACCTGCTGGGTGGGTCCTCCCCAGCAGAGAGGGCCCCCAGCCAGGGTCCCTGAGCTCTGTGGATGGATGCAGCCCAGCACACGGCTCTCCCGGGCAGCCCTGGCCCCCTTGCCTGCTGTGTTTCCTGCCTGACGCTCCTGTCCGGGGCTGTGGGGGTTGATTTTCTTGTTGTTTTTGCCCAAGTGACTCGAGCCCCCTGCTGCCTCCTCGCCTCCTTGAGGTAGAAGGGCGAGCTCTGGACCCACTCTCCTAGCCCCAAGGCCTGGCTGTGCTGCATTCTCGCTGTGACCTTGGGCAAGTCACTCTCCTCTGAGTTTCCTCATCTATCCAATGGGAAAAGTGGGGTCTACCTTAGAGGACAGGTGTGAGTTAAGTCCCTTGCACAGGGCCTTGCACACAGAAGGTGTTCAGGAAACAGGAAGCTGTCAGCCAGGGCCGTGACCCCTCAGGATCAAAGACCCCGAGCCGCGCACAATGGCCTGTGAGGAGGCCGGTGGGTGGGGGCCGCTGGTCAGAGTTCAGGCCCACAGAGGGGCAGAGTGGGCATCGGGCTGCGGCCTCTGCTCTTTCCTGCCCCAGCTCTACGAGGAAGTGCGGCTGACGCTGGAAGGCTGCAGCATAGACGCCGACATCGACAGTTTCATCCAGGCCAAGAGCACGGGCACAGAGCCCCCCGGTGAGGTCCGGCTTGCGGACAGCGCAGCCTCTAGGTGCATTGAGCCCCTGGGAAGGCCCGGCCCTGAGCCTCAAGTGCCAGGACCGGGCTGGGGTAGCTCACAGCTCCCTTCAGGGCAGAGAAGCCCTAGCAGGGGTTGTGGGGAGTTGGGTCCCAGGCCTGCTGCCTCCTCTCAGGCAAAGCTAAGGGCATGATGGCACTCAGAGGAAGAGGTGGGGATGGGGATTGAGGTGAGGAGCTCCCACGGCCCCCACTCCCCGCCTGTTTGGTTCCACTGGATCACGGGTCCAGAATATTAGGTCTTGATGGTACCTACGGTGGGGTCTCTCATGGGAGCAAGACAGGCACCTCCTCAGGCACCAGGATGGGCCAGGGCCAGATTGGGAATGTAGGGCCCCAGCTGAGTCTGGCAGGGCCAGAATGGGGTGTTGGGGGCCGCCCTGGGGCTCACGGCTTGCTGTCTGCAGCTCCGGTGCCCTACCAGAACTATTACGATCGGGAGGTCACCCCGCTGACCAGCAGCCCTGGCATACAGCCGTCCTGCGGCATGATAAAGAGGTGAGGCCCCGACAGACGGAGGGAGGGCCTAAGGCTGGGCCAGGAAGTGGGTCGAGCCCCTCCTCTGCACCTGGCCCTTCCTCGTTCACTGAGCACCTACTATGTGTCTGTATCTGGTGCCCAGTTTAGGTGCTGGGCACTCTGTGGAGACAAGATAGGCTCAGTTCAGCCTATGGAACCCTCAGCCCAAGGGACCCAGACACTAGAATAATCACACCCCAATTATTCACTAGGGGAGGTGCTCCGAGCTCTGGGGAGGCCCCTATGCTGGCTTCCTTGTCCCTGGGGCCTCATGTGAGCCTGGTGCCCTGTCAGGCTGCAGTGGCAACGCTGTCTGGCTGGAGCAGGACTGGGGCATCTGGAGAATTCTCCAGGCTTTTCCAGGGCTCCTTCCCCGGCCTGGCTGCAGTCAAGTGCCAAGGTCCTAGTGCTGGGCCTCAATGTGTGACCTGGGCAAGTCATTCACACTCTCTAAGGCCAGGGCCCTGAGTGTTGGGGTCAGATTCAGAATCTAAGGACTCTCCTGGTTCAGGCCTTGAGTGACGAAGGTGACAGCCCATTGGGAGCACTATAGCCAGCTTAGGGAGCCCTCGTAGCCAGGCCTTTGAGGGAGGCCATGTGCCCTGTGAGCATCCACAAGGGTCTGTGGGTTTCACATGGTGCCTGTGCCCCCACCGCCATGCCACCACTCTTCAGCCACCCTTCAACCAAGAAGGCCCTGCCTCTGGGAGGTAGTGGACTGTGGGGAGAGGCTGATGCAGTTCCCGGCCCTTCCCAAGGACCAGCTCATTCCAGGGCCTCAGGAGCCCCTGGAACTTCCTACTCCTGGGAGGCAGAGGCTCGTGGGAACCACCCGTGCTTAGAGAGGGCACACACACACCCTCTTTGAGAATCTTGTGCAAGCAGTGACCCCAGGAGGCAGCACACCCGCAGCCTCACATGCTACAAAAGCTTGTGAGACAGGCTTCCCTGTGCCTGGTGAGGACCTGGATCCCAGCAAAGGTGGTCATTTAAGCAACTGGACAAAAGAGCTCACCTGAAGCAGTATCAGGAAGGGGCAGAAAGGAGTGGCCCCAGAGAGGATTAGAGAGAGAGAGAGAGATGTCCTGCAGGGCCGAGGGAGGCCTGGCTGCTGGAGGGGGCTGGTCAGGCCTCTGGATGGGGCATCTAGAAGCCAGGCAGGACTGGGAAGAGGCGGGGGTCAGTGACTGGGAGTCAGAAGTGTAGACAGTCTGGGGAAAAGAGGTGTGGGGGCACGCAGCACAATGGCTCAGCAAGCCCTGCACCCCTTTCCCCCTGCCCTGGCCGCTTCCTCCACCTGTCCCCAGCCCCTGCTGGCTTGCACCCTGTCCTTTGCTGCCTGGGGAGCTGGCACGTGTGTCTGCCCGCCTGTGTTGGTGTCAGGCCCTCCCATGTGCTGGGTCCACGCATGTCCACCCTGCGCATGTGTGTGCACTCCTGGGGCCTTGGCCCTCGGCGCCTCATGTGGGAAAGGCCCCCCACATGCCACCTTGAATTGCAGGGCTGCCCCCCACAGGCCCCTGAGTCATGGCTCAGCCCCTCACCTGCATTCAAGATCCCTCAGGGTCTGGTCCAGTCTCTATTTCAGTCCTGTCCCCCACACACCCAAATTGGTCCACTCCACTCCACAAACCCCACCTGTGCCATGCCTCCTCCCCTGCACCTGAGCCCTCCCTCTCCTGGTCACCTGCAGTGCCTCGCTCCCCCTTCTCTCCTAGTAAAGCTTCACTCATCTTTGAAGACTCAGCCCCACCCCACTAAGAAGCCCTCTTGCCTTGGAGGCAGTGTCAGCCTCTACTTGTTGAGCCCTCACTACTGCCCACTTCAGGGGGTGCCCCCAGCATCTGCCGCATCTGCCTCTTCTGTTTTATTTTCCTTTATTCAGTAAACCTTCATGACCCCAGCTCAGTCCAGGCCTAAGCCTGGTGCAGGGGCAGGGGTAAAGTAGCCCAGCGCTGTCCCGGAACTCCTGTGAACAGGGTGGCTGAGCTGGCCTGATCACCGTGGGCCCACAGGGAGGAGGGCTGGCTCGGCCCAGGCAGTGGAGGCCTCAGCAGGGCACGTGAGCCAGGCTTTGTGTGGCAGTGCACCCCCCACCCCTACCCATGGGGGAAGCTGCTAGGGCAAGCTAGAGCAGGGGCCTGGAGGGTGAGGACTGGGCATCTTCCCACGAGGCCTCAGTGCGGAGGTCCTAGAACCCCCAAAGGGCCATGGGAGTCTTCCAATGAAGCTACAGCTTCGGGGGTTCTAGGATCCTCCCAAGGGCCCTGCAGGGAGCAGGTGCTGAGATGGCCTGCAGAGGGCGCCAGTGGAGGGCGTAGCTGGGGAAGGAGGAGCCACCAGGACTACTTTCTGGGGAGCCCTCCTGCCTGAGGGGCACCTCATAAATGACATCCATGCCTGGAGGCTAGGGGCAGTCCCAGCCCTGGCAGAGCGCGTGCAGCTCTGAGACCTCTCCCTGTCTAAACCCTCCCTCCTGGTGGGTCCCTGAGTGTGGGGCGGGGACACTCACCCTCTTTCCTCCCTGTTCCCAGGTTCTCTGGACTGCTGCACGGAAGTCCCAAGACCACTTCGTTGGCAGCTTCTGCTGGTAAAGGGGGTCAGGAGGGGACCCCCAAACACACTGATCCTGGGGGGGAGGAGAGGTCTCCCACATGGCACAGATGGGGCCACTGAGGCCCTCAAGAGGAAGTGTGTGTCCCCCAACAGCAAGTGTGGACAGCAGAAGGAAGAGGCAGGGCCCAGCATGGAGAAACCCCATTCTAGTAGGACTTCCAGGGGCCAGTGTCCCCAGAAGGGGAGGGGTCTATGTCTCACCCTGCTCTTAGCGTCCACAGAGACCCTGACCCCCACCCCCGAGCGGAATGAGGGTGTCTACACAGCCATCGCAGTGCAGGAGATACAGGGAAACCCGGCCTCACCAGCCCAGGAGTACCGGGCGCTCTACGATTATACAGCGCAGGTGAGGCCTCTATACCCCAAACCCACCTGTGCCACCTCCCCTGCACCTGAGAGCTCCCTCTCCCATCCAGTGCCTTGCGTCCTCATCTCTCCTCATGGTTTCACTCATCTTCGAGCATCCTCTCCTCCTCAGGAGGGCACGTGTGCCCGAGTGTGTCCACACTAGCAAGGGTACCTGGGAGTGTGCTTGGATGTGAGCTCTGAGAACAGCACCCAGGGCTTGCGGGGCCTCAGTGTGCATGTACTGACTGGAAGCTGGTGTGCAGCAGGCCTGTGTCTGCCCGGGCCTGTACACAGCACACACGTGGAGCACATGTACCTATGCCGTCCACACAGGCTGGGCGCTGAGTGGTGCACACGTGCGGGGAGCTGGCAGAGCCTGGAGCTGCCTGCAGGTCATAGCTTGAGGGCCAGGCTCTGTGCCTTTGGGTCAGGGCCCTGTCCTTCGTGGCCATGGGTGTGGAAAACTGTGGCCAGAATGAGTCTTGCTATCGTGCCAGGATTGATTTTCTGATGTCCATAGGGTGAGGATGAACCAAGGCAGCCACAGGGCAGCTATGAGAGTCCTTTCTGCTCCCTGCTTGAGGGGAAGAATGCATAGCCAGACCTCACATCCACCTGGACTGAGGCCAAGCACCCCCACATAGCCAGGCAGGCTGGGTGTGGACTCCACTGATGAGGCCAGGGCTCGGGGAGGCAGGGAAGCCAGGCCAGGAGAGTGATGGGGTACTTGGATGGCAGTGGCTAGCTGGGGCTGGGGACCGCAAAGGGGAGGCTTGTGGTAAGCTTAGGCATGAGTGTGCCCTGGGCTTGGGGTATGATGAGCACCCGTGACCCCTGACATGCTCCAGTCACTGCGTCTCCAGAATGGGAGAGGGGAGGTGAGGCTGGGAAGAAACCCAGGTTGGGGGAGAACTATGATGACAAACTGAGGGGGATGGGAGGCCCGGTCCGTTGGGTTACCCCCATCCTGTGTCCCCAAGGGGCTGCCCCTGCCCACCCTGGGAGACATGCCGCATTTACTGCTGGGTGGGGGAACGCCAGGCCCCTCCCTGCAGGCCCTTCCCTGCAGGCCCTTCCAACGTCATGCGCTTTCAATCTCTTGGCCAGAACCCAGATGAGCTGGACCTGTCCGCGGGAGACATCCTGGAGGTGATCCTGGAAGGGGAGGATGGCTGGTGGACTGTGGAGAGGAACGGGCAGCGTGGCTTCGTCCCTGGTTCCTACCTGGAGAAGCTTTGAGGAAGGGCCAGGAGCCCCTTCGGACCTGCCCTGCCAGTGGAGCCAGCAGTGCCCCCAGCACTGTCCCCACCTTGCTAGGGCCCAGAACCAAGCGTCCCCCAGCCCCGAGAGGGAGCCTGTCGTCTCCCAGGGAATAAAGGAGTGCGTTCTGTTCTCCTTGGTGTGCTGGGGTCCCGTTCTCTTTTTCTCCTGCTCCAGTGTCCGAGTGCTCAGTTCAGAGGAGGCAAAGGAACAAGGGAAGGAGCCTGGATGTGGAGCTCCCCAACTCAGCCGAGGCTTCAGCTATAGTTGGAGAAGAGGCCTGGCCCCAGTTGCTAGGAGCTCCCAGACTGCCAAGGAGACACATTCACACCTGGACAGAGGACACAGGGGTGCAGGAGGATGTGGCAGGGGCAAGAAGGGGCTCAGCAGGGCTGCAATGGGGAGAGCAGGCTTCTTGGGGGCGGAGGGTTGAGCAGGTCCATGGCTGGGCAGCAGTGGCCAGGCCAGGGCAAGTGCGTGGGCAAAGGTGAGGTTGGGGGTACACCCAGGAATATTCGGAGGACTCAGTTTGGAAACAGGAAGCTGGTGATGGATCTGTTGGAGAGGCCATGGTGGGAGCCCAGGAAGACAGGCTTGTGGCTTGTGGGTGCAAGTGGGGCCTGGGGAAGCCACTGCTGCCCATGACACTCCCCTCAACATGGCAACCCCGGCCGAGCAGGGGTCCACAGCCCAGGCACGTTGGCCCCGGGCACAGAGGGAGCTGTTCTTGAAGGCCTTCAGCCCCTTCTCTTTTTAGTCCCAGGAACATAACTTTCACTGCTGGCCAAGCCCTGCTCCAACCATGATAGGCTTCATCCATGCCAAAGGCATTGGGAGTGGGTGTGGAGGAGAGGGCCCCTGGCCATTGACCACTCCTCAGTCCTGGGAGTGGCCAAGCCGGCCCACCTCACACCCTCCTGGGATCCCCACCCGGCTTCGGAGCCAGGCAGGCCCAGGACTGTAAGGGGCGGGATGGGGGACACAGTGGTCCTCCTCTGCTGGGACCACACTGATGAGCTGCTGCAGGGCACTGCTGTTCCCCATGGGGAGGGGGGAGAGAGAAAGGAGGGAGGGGGGAGAGAGAGAAAGGAGGGAGGGGGGGAGAGAGAGAGAGAGAAAGGAGGGGGAGAAAGGAGGGAGGGGGAGAGAGAGAGAAAGGAGGGAGGGGGAGAGAGAGAGAAAGGAGGGAGGGGGAGAGAGACAGAATGCCCATCTTTATACCCTGATCTTTACTTGAGCAAAAAATTGGGTTCAGTTAAGCAAGCATGAGACATGGACATTCTAATGACTCATGTGTGGCCCACACTGTACCTGATGATGGGGGTGTGGTGCTAAAAGGGGCCTCAAAGAGCTCACTCAGCCCAGGAGGACAGACAGCCACCCTCTAGGCCCTGAGATGTGAGGCAGTAAGTGGGGGGAGTGGTTCCAGGGGCTGGTGCAGGCCATCCAGCAGAGGGGAGGGTGGCTTGTCTGGGAAGTGGTGACTGGGCTGGAGAGCAACTCTGGAAGAACACAGGGAGCAGATGGACAGGACTTGGTAACTTACGGGATGGGAGATGGGTGGGAAGAGAGGGAAAGTGAGGAGGTGAGGAGTGACTTCGGAGCCCAGACTTGAAGATGGGCTCCTCCCCAGGTGGAGGAGCTGGAGGGGAGTGGTGCGGGAACAAAGCCTGGGCGAGGGCTGGGAGAGGCGGGACAGCCGCGTAGGCTTACCACTGGGTGGGGCCATGTGTGGGCAGGGAAGGGAAAGGAAAGAGTAAAAAGGTATCAATACTTTACTTATTCCTTGAAGATGCCTTGTCATCTTGATTGAACATTCCATTCCACTGCAAAGATTTTTTAAAAAACCTTTGGCCTAGATATTTATCATCATCTCTGACAGGTGCCGCAGTGTCTGTGGGCCCCAGAGCGTGATGGGTAACAAGTGCTAGATAACAGAGTCTGTTCTCCAGTCATTCGGGTGGCCAGAGAATAGAACTGAAAGCAACTCTTGGGTCACAATTTATGCCAGGGGGAGAATGCCCACAAATGAATCCAAGTCAGATTCACTGCTTCTGCAGCTTTCTCCGTTCTCCCATCACTGGGCACCACCTCAGCTGCTGGGAACCAACTGCATGGATGGATGGCCTTCCCAGCAGAGACGGTGCCAGATAAAGAGGGAGTTAGCGTGTAATTGGGTGTATAAATAACTGCAGCCTCTTCCTGACCGAGGGCCACTCAAAGACAGCAAGGAGCAGGAGGACAAGCATGGTCTCTGAATCACAACATCAGGGCCTGAATCCAGGCTCACGCTTTCTTGGGTGGTCTTAGGCAAGTCACAATTTCTCTGGGCCTGTTTCAGCATCAGTAAGATGGGTGCAATATGCCCCCATGCAAAATCTCCTAAGGTTCAAATTAAACAATGATTAGGTATTACTTACCAGCAAGGGATACCACTTTTAAGGAAAAGACCCACAACCTCTGAATCTTGGCTACACTCAACAGCAGCTTTGCGCTTGGCATAATCCCCCTCGCTCAGCACACCCTCTGGGACAGCTGTGGTTATGTCAGTGAATCCTTCGCAATGATGACAAAAAGCAGCAACTCACGTTTGGCCAAACTGGAAGCACGCGCCACTGGTGTCCAACACCTAATTCCAACCACTCTCACAGCCTTTCCTAGGCCAAGAAACCTCAGCATAAGGGTCACCTGCTTGCCTTGGTCTGACTACCTGGGTGTCTGCCTATTTCTCCATCCCGGCTTTTGAGCCAACACAAGCCCAGGACAAGGTCGCACCAGCAACTGGGCTCGCTGCCCTCAGCACCCTCACGGGATTATCAAACTGTGCTCAGTAGAGCCCTCTTAGGGGCCAGTGGGAGGAGAAAGGGGGCACCCACTCCACTTCGAGATCTACTTGGAGAGTTTACATATTGCACGTGCAGTGGTTCTCAACCCAGCTGCTCAACGGAGTCACCTGAGCAGATTTTCAAATGCTGATGGTTGGGTCCCACCTCAGACAAACTGAAACCAAATCCCTGCAAACTGAGCTTGCGCATAAATATTTGAAACATTCTCCTGGTGATTCTGATACGCAGCCGGAGCTGAGAAACCCCTGGCTAACAGGATCTTCAGCTAAACATTTTTAAAAGTTTGAAAAACAGTTATGGCACCATAGTGACTTATCTCAGGTGATAGTGCCCACTACCTGCCAGATGGTGGGATAACAAAGATCAGCAAGTAGGCCGGGCACGGTGGCTCACGCCTGTAGTCCCAGCACTTTGGGAGGCGGAGGCGGGCGGATCACGAGGTCAGGAGTTCGAGACTAGCCTGACCAACAGGGTAAAACCCCGTCTCTACTAAAAATACAAAAATTAGCCAGGCGTGGTGGTGCGCGCCTGTAATCCCAGCTATGTGGGAGGCTGAGGCAGAACTGCTTGAACCCAGGAGGCGGAGGTTGCAGTAAGCTAAGATCGTGCCACTGAACTCCAGCCTGGATGACAGGGCAAGACTCTGTCTCGGGGAAAAAAAAAAAAAGATCAGCAAGTCTCTTTTCTACCCTATAATTTCTACATCTGTCTTACTTTCTTCATTGGATAAACTCAGGGGAGCAGGATTTATGTATGACTCAACTTCCCCACAAATAGCAATGCAGCAGCACCATTCAGTAGATACGAGGTTTCTGCCACGTCACTGTGTTACACCCTCAGGAGACCTCACAGATCTCACAGGCACTGCAATAGAAAGCCACGTGCAACACACAAGTTATTTTCAAGAACTGCAAGGATGCACCCAAAAAGCAGGTGCTGTTACACACCAACAACCACCAACTCGGAAATAAGTTAGGAAAACCATTGCATTCACAATAGCTACAGACATTAAGCTTCACAGAAAAGTTTCCTAAGTAAACTCTGTTAAGATCCGAAAGAAAAAAACCCAATAACCAATCAAACCGGGCAGAGGACAGAAGCAAAATTCAGAAGATACAAATGGCTGAAACACCTTTAAAAGCATCCTGGCCCTAGCTAACAGTCAAATAAACACATATTTTCATCTCTCAGAATGGAAGAAAAGATGAAGGCTGATCACACCAAAAGTGTCAACAAGGGTGTAAAGAAATGCACATTTCATTCACTGCTGGTGGGAATAGAAATTGATATAAGCTTTCTGGAGAGCAACCAGATGTATCCATGAAAATGTTTAAACGTGACTTTTTTTTTTTTTTTTTTTGAGACAGAGTCTTGCTCTGTCACCCAGGCTGGAGTGCAGTGGCATAATCTCGGCTCACTGCAACCTCTGCCTCCCGGTTCAAGCGATTCTCCTGCCTCAGCCTCCCAAGTAGCTGGGATTACAGGTGCATGCCACCAGGCCCTGCTAATTTTTTGTATTTTTAATAGAGATGGGTTTCACCATGTTGGCCAGGCTGGTTTTGAACTCCTGATCTCAAGTGACCCACCTGTCTCGACCTCCCAAAGTGCTATGATTACAGGCATGAGCCACTGCACCCAGCCAAACATGACTTTTCCATCCAGAGTAAATCCAACTAACAAGAATCCACCCTTGGAGTTCATGTAAAAATACATGACACAGGGTGATGAAAGTGCTTTGAAACTAGATACAGGCAGTGGTTCTATAGCATGGTGAATGTACTCAAGGCAACTTCTTTACTTTAAAATCGTTAATTTTATGCCATGTGAATTGCATCTCAATAAAAATTGTTTTCATTTTAAAAATTGTAAATGACTGCAGTGTGTGTATAGAGATGATCACTGTGGCGAGTAGTGGAGGCACTGGAGGCAGCCTGCAGGCCTGCCCTTTATACACCTTGGTTAATCATGGTACTAATGTACCCACACAGCTAACACAATGGAATGACAAATCCTACAGTTAGACATGGAAGGAGCATCAGACTATGTTGTGAAGACAGAAAGAGGATCTTGTAGGATAAAATTCCTATTAGCAAAAAGCAAAAACCAAAACCCAATACCAAGTCTGTTTCTGTGTATGTAGTCTGCAAAGACACATGCCATTGCTGAACTGCTGAACTTGCTTCCCTGTGGGTACTTCTTTACAGATGTCTGTATTGTTCACATTTTTTAAAGCACCAATTACTTTTGTTTAAAAAAATACACTTAAAAAAGGCAGTAAGACAAGCTCTGTCAATCATCTATAGGACAAGAAGCAAAGACACCCCAGCTGCAATAAGCACACCTAGTGCCAGGGACCAGGGCTCCTGGGACAAACACTGATCCATGGCTGGTGCCCAGGGGCCTGGAACATCTTGTTAGATCAGAAATTAGGGGAGTGCTTCCAAAAATGCTGGGATATAGGAGGCACTCGAAGGGGCTCTCGCTGGCCAAGTCGGGAACTATCTGAGGAACTCTTCCCCCATCCCCAAAGGTCAATGATGAAGTCGACTTTTGAAAAAATGGGAATCCATAGTGGATATATGAAAATAAATGAAGGAGAAGGGAGGGATGACTGGCAAATGAGGAAGGAGTGCTGGGCTGCAGAAACGTCGCTTGGCAGTCATCATAAAGATTGAATCAGGCCAGAATCAGCAACATTTGCTGAACCTGGTCGGGGAATGGGGAAGAGTCTCATGAGGAACAGGGTATGTACATGGAGACAGTGTGTCTCCAGAGATTTCTTATTAGTTGAAAAGAAAAAAACAGTAACCATGCTATGGAGAAAGTGGACACACCTCGACTAGGTGTGCCAGGTACTCATTTATTGCCTCTTAACTCCAAATTTCCCTGACCTTGCCCTTCCTTGTCACACTGAAGAGGGGGCTCTGAAAACTCCTTTACCCTTTGCCAGCCTGACCCACAGTGGGCTCTGAAGGGGCTAACAAGGCTAGAGGAGGAAGATGGCCTTTTTCTTCTGTCTCCTTTCGTCCTGCACGGGTCCCAGCAGCATTCCCCACCGTGACAGCTCTCTGCTCCTGTGGCTTGGCGGGGGGGCACCTCCAGTAAGTTGATTCTCCAGCATGGGACAGGCAGCATATCCCAGGCAACCACAGCCACCCCTCGGAGGTCTCTCCACCTTGGGGAACCTCCTCTGAGTTTCCACGTTCCTTCTCTGTTTTCTCTTCCCTTAGCCCTAGGGGTGATGGCTGTTCTCTGCTAAGCTGCTTTAGAGCTCTTTTTTATCCCTTTTAGTAGTTAACTACCTTCTACACAGTTAACAATTACTTATATTAAAACCTTCCTGTTCACATTTCCTCCTCCTTGGACTAGATGATCAAAACGAACATCCCCACTGTGGGGCAGATGGGCATTGTGTGCCTCGAGATGCGATGCCCTGAGAGGCCGCGTGACGCAGGTAGTGGTTCAGCCACCTGGAATGCAAAACCAAATCTAATCACGAGGAAATCGCAGACAAACACAGATAAGCAGCACCACCTAAAACGAACTGTATCCTTACAAACTGTTCCTATCATCACAGACAAAGCTATGGAAATGATCCAGATTAAAGAAGACCAAGGAGACATGACAACTCAACTGATTACCTGATCCAGACCAGATCCAGCACCGCAGAGGGAAAGGTGCTATAGAGGACACGATGCGGCCAATGGGAATATGAGTGGTGAGGTATTCTATCAGTGTTAGATGGACGGAATTTGACAACTGTACTGCAGTCGTCAGAGAGTATCTTCTTCTTGGTAAGTACCCACTGAGGTATTAGGGGTAAAAGGCCATGACAGGTGTGGAGGCAGCAGGAGGGAGGGAGAGGGAGAGACAGGGGGTTGGCGCAAGGGAGAGAGAACGCACACACATTTGAGAACACACATGACAGATAGAATGGGACGAAATGTTAATAGGTGTATCTGGGCAAAGGATATTTGAGCCTCATTTGTACAGTTTTTATTCTTGCAACTTTTCTGTAGCTTTGAAATCATTTCCAAGTAAAATTAACTTTTTTAAAAGAGGCCATACAATATAGCAGTGGTCCTCAACCAGGGCTGTGTCCTGGACACACCCTAGAGCACCTTAGATGCTCTGGGACCCAGGCATCTGTAGTTCTCAAAGTGCCCCGGTGCTTCCAATGTGCAGCCACGGGCAGGAAACACCAGCCTAGTGGGTGAGCTCACTCACTAAATTTCAGACATGACGAGCAGTGCTTTTGCTCTCTGAAGAACAAGCACTGGGTAATGCCAACACCTAGCCTCAGCTACACGGGGGAAGGGCAGAAACAAGATGTTGAATTTGCATGGCCCTGGCCAACACAGACAACATCCCCTTCTAGTGGTTCCCAGGCAAGAGAAAAAGGCATTTCCAGGACAACTGTGCCAGGAATTAAACACAAGTTAAAACTGGCAGGAGCTGGAATGGTTTCCCAGACCTCAGAGCTACCTCCCCACCTCCATCTTTTTGGTCTCACTGGTAATATGGCCAGTCTGGGTCCAGCTGGCAGAGCACACGGGAGGAGGCTGCTCTCTCACCAGGCAAACTGAGGACTGAGTACAGGAAGGGTGTGGAGAATTATCCTCTTGGGCAAGTTGAAGAACAAGGCTACTGCTTGGCATATTTCCCAAAGCCATTTCCCACTCTAGAGGCCCTGTTCTGTCCTGTAGAAAGAGTGGAGAACAACCAACATCACAGTCCAAATATTGCTCACCTCAGGGCCAGCCTGTGACAGGGTACCCACAGGATGGTTCATATTGAAAACTGGGGGGACCATGCTCGGGGGAGGTGGTGGTAGTGAAAGGTCACAAACATTCTTGCCCACTGTGCAACAGGCAGGGGCAAGAGGTGGGATGGGTCAGTAGTCACATGATAAATCCCCCGGGGCCTCTGAAATCACATTCTGGTAACTTCCACTTTGTGAAAAGGAGTTAGTTTTTACTCCTCTCCTTTCCCGTGTCTTCTCCATTTTCAGGTGGGACAGATCTGCATGATATTTGGGCATCTCAAAACTGACGAGCCCAAAACTGACCATGAGTCACACCCCCAGATGTGTTCTCTAACTACTCCCTAGCTCTGTGACTTTGTTTCCCCAGTTGACTGAGCCAGAAACCTGGGACTCATCCTAGATGAGTCTTCTCTTCTCCCTTCTCTGTCCCACGTCCAATCAATGATCGAATTCCACCACTGTCCTGCCTCCAAACAGCCAGAATCCACCGCTCACCACCGCCCCCAACAGTGCCCTGCTGCCCACTGCTAAGCTCTCTCAACTGCTATGCCAGCCTAACTGAAGCCCAGTCACACCAATTCATCCTGGCTTCAGCACGGCCGGCTTGCATCACCACCTTCTTCTCAGTTCACCTTCCAAATCAAACCTCCAAAGAGCTGCTTCCACCTACAAGTCAGCTCTCACCTCCACAGGATGTTCCGTAAGACACTAGAGGGCCTGGGCTTTCCTGCTTCTCCAACTTCTTTCCCCAGCCTTGTATTTTAAGCTCCCTGCACACACAATTTTGTTTCACACTCTTGTGTACCATCTTTCAACAAAGCCTATCCAGCCTCCAAGCTTGGGCATCTCCTCCAGGAAGTCACCCCTGACCTCTCCGGAACTCCCCTTTGGACTCCCATTCTATTACTACAACCACTGCAGTGTGAAAATTATCTTCTCCTATGTATGTCTCCTATACTAGGACTCCGAACTCCTTGAAGACAAGGACAGTATCGCCACTGTATCCCCAGTGCATTGCACAAAGTAGAGCTCTATATTTCTAGGATATACTGGACTGAAAGCATCTGTGGTTTTTTGAATATCAAGCCCTTTAGAATCTGGCAACAGCTATAACGAAAACACACGTAAACCATGATGAACTATAGACAGCACCAACAAAGAAAACATGATACTGCTGCTCTGGAACTGAAATATCCCCCAAATAATGAAAAATAATATGTTGGGGGCTGATACAGAGTTTATTGAATTAGATTTTTCTATTTACAACTGAGATCACATCTACATACTATTTTGCTAGTCTACATGGGTACATTATTTCCAACAAGCTTAAGACTTACCATGAATGGGCTCATTCATACAAAAACACACTCACACTAATTCTTTTAAAACAGTAGTGCATACATTATACTCCTCCTATAAAGCCAACTTTGATTAAAAACCACTAGTTTCAAAGCTCAGTCTCTGATTTTGAAGATGAACCAAGATATACGCCATATGATCCTACAATCTATTTTAGTCATTTTGTACAGCTGCTATCTTATTGGACTACAGTAAATATTTTTTAAAAGGACACCAATGAGGGGCACCATCTGGTGTTAACCTTAACCAGAAAGCTGGTTTCCTCCTCCTCCCCGCAAAAACCTTTGGCCAAGAGTTCTCCACTGTGAAGACTGAAAGGACCTGGTGACATTTCGGCATCAGTCCTGTTACCACTTGGAGGTAACAGAAGCAGGCTCGTGTCCTCCTTTAATTCTACCACACTACATGACTCGCAATTGGTTCTGAAATTAGAACGTTCACCATCGTACTTAAAATCTTAGGGGCATGAAGAGTCAGCTAGAACAAGGAAAAAGAAAGTCGCAGGTAGTAGGTAAGTAGGTGGGCACATGAAAAGCCAAGCTGCTCTGTCCAACACCAGTGTACATGTGCTTTAACTAAATGAACTCCAGAGGCCAACAGCAGCAGACCTGCTCAATTCACCTTCCAAATCAGAACAAGACCAAAAAGCTCAGGCTTGAGTTGTCAACTATGCATAGGTTCCGCCAGTGATGAGGAGCTCGTAAGCAGGATCTCTACTCCTTCTGCACAACACGATGCAAGCACACAGCATGCCCAGCAGCTGTTGAAAGAAAACAACAATGGGGAAAAAAGGCTGAAAACCCTCTCATGGCAGGTGTGTATTTCTTTGTTGGTAAAAGAGCTGTTTCAAAGTTCAATGACTTCAAATCATCAAAAAGGCAGTAACAACAGTGATAGAAGGAATTTCTTATGAGTACATTATTTTTTAAGGAACTAAGTCCTAAGCTTCAGCTTCCCTCCCAGGAACTCTTCGTAAAGCCAGCAGGGAATCAAGTCTCTCTTATTTGGCATCCCCACTACTAGTCTAGCGAGTGCTGTCCGAAAGAACTTTCTGCAGCGATGGAGACATACCACATATGCACTGTCATGTGGCCTCATGTGACTACTGAGCACCTGAAATATAGTTACTGCAACTGAGTTGCACTTTTAATTTTATTTAAATTAATTTAAATGTAGACACATGTGGCTAGTGGCTACCATTCTGGACAGCAAAGGCCTGGGGAGTAGAATGAGCAAGAATGTGTGTGTTTAATAGTGGTCTTTTCAGGTCTTTTGGTTTTTGGAAAACGAAATTCAGTATGTGAATAGCCCTATGGTAGAAAACAAATTCTGATGCCAAAAAAAATGTAGTTGGAAGGTTTTTTGTTTCCTTCACATTCACTATTTTTGAAATCCACGGTTCTGTGGTATTACATACATATTACTTTTGAAAGGTCACTCTTCCGTCATCATTTTATTTCAATAAGTCCTAAACCTTCTGTGGTAGCATATTGGAATAGTAATAAAGTCATGCCATGTTATTTTGGATAAGCAAAAGGATTAAGCTGGATTAAAGAGAAAATGATTCTAGAATTTTTGACCTACCTTCTCCCAAAATATAATTTTTTTGTGAGATAATTTGCTGTTCTAACTTCTCATTGATGAGGAAAAGCCTCAGTTATTTGATTTTAAAAGACAGGGTCCTCTGTACATTTGGGGGTCAATCTAATTTCCGCAAAATGTACCCAATCCATAAACAGACTCTCAAAGTTTGAAGTGGAAGATTAACCACTACTAAGACACACATACACATAAGGATGTCCTCAATCTGAATTCTCCATGGTATAAAGTCACCCACTCCAATTTCTACCCTCACATTAACCTATATTCTGCCCATTCGGGATATATATTTCCTGCTCAAATCCATCAGTTTCACTATTTCACCACTTGCACCATTTGCACCATTTCACCATTTGCAAAGCACCTTAAACACACTTAAGAGGTGAATATTATTTAAAGTTTACTAAACAATTTAAGTCAATTCTAGACCGATGAAGTACCTAATTCCTAGAGAAATACATTTCTGTTCTCTGTACATCAAAACATTGTTAGAACAGCTATAAACTCAAATGCAATTATGTTCTCAGGCAATGTTAAATTGAGCAATAAAAATGCTAAGCTCAGAAATGACTGGTTTGCTAAGGGAAAAAAAATCTCTCTTCCCACCCCCACCTCCCCACACTCCTTTCAATTGGTTAACTTCTATTAGAGAAGCCAGCATTCTCAAAATGAGGTCTGAAATAAGTATTTCTTTCCCAATTTGTTTATTTCAATGAAATCAACTTGTATTGATTTTAAAACAAATAAACTTGATAAAATTCTACTCATGCTTGGGAATCAGTCTGCTTAAGAATATTAAGCTCTACATAATAATTTCTTATCCTCACCATTAACTATTACAGGCTCATTTCCAAAGGCCTGCTATACTGAAATTCCATTGATTTTTGAAACATTCCAACAACATACTTGGAAACATTACACAAATATTTTATCTCCAACATTATTTCTTGCAATGAAATACTCTCTTGCAATATTCAAGGCATGAGAATTAAACTTCACTTAGCCCAAATATAACACCCAGCAACTGCAAAAATTGAAAAAAATGACTAGTGGTGATTAAAAAAACTGACTGGCAAAGTAAAATGTTCTATGATATACCATGTTGCTGGTGGTATGGGGAAATAGGCATTCTTATACAAAAATAAGAACTTTTGCACATTAGAAACACTCTTTTCTGAGAAAAAATTGGAAATACCTATCAAAATTCATTCATACATTCTGATACTGTAATTTCATAGTTACAAATTTTTGCTATAAACAGCCCATCAATATTGATTAAAGTATGCCTATAAAATGGAATACTATGCAGACATGAAATTAAAAAGGCAGATCTATATCCAAAATACACTAATTTGTTTTTAAGAAGGTACAAAAGGTTGCAAACTATATGAATTCATTTATATAACATTTTGCAATGTTGGCCAGGGTGTGAGGGGAAGGAGGAGGAAGTTTCTCATTTTAACGAATAACTGGTAATTGAGGAGGAGGAGGAAAGAGCAGTCTCCACCGGCTTCACATGCGGCACAGAGACCAGAAAAAAAGCAACATGGCCTTGGGAAACAGTTCTTTATGAAATCTGCTCTTGATCGTTCTATCTTGAGGATATGCCAACTTCATGAGACCCCAAAGTAAAGACTTAGAACATTTTCCCCGTATTGCCTTTGTAGAGAGACAGCCTTACTCACAGCAGATACTCAGGAGCTTGACAAATCAAAATCTAGATTTTTGTCAATTATTATGACCAGATTCTTTAAATATAAAATTCATAATTGATCATGAGTTAAGAGAGTGGCTACTCTCAAAGAAGTGAAATATCCTGCTAATTAATAAGGGGTACATCAAAATTTTTAAAACCTCATTCTTTTATATTCAAAAGTCCTGTTATTATAATTAATTGGTATTTTTCAGGTTTTTCTTTCTTGGTCACTTTGGTCCTACCCAAATCTAGATTATTTAATGGACTAGAGCAAGAGTCACCAAACATTTTCTTAAAGGGCCATATCATAAATATTTTAGGCTTTCCAAACCAAGACAAAAATCAATCAATATTGTAACTACTCAACTCTGCCATCTTACCTCTGTATTTTATCCAGCTAAAGTGTCAATTAACTGTCAGGTTTCCTGACAAAATTTAGGAATTTAATCTTCTGCAAATCTTATACTTGTAATTGGAGGCAGAGTACAAACAAAGGCAGGGGTCTCTAGAGTTGACACTCTGTGTGATGGTCATGCCACACTATCCTTGCTCACCCAAAATTTTGTGGCTAAACAAAGAGGGCCAAGACTGGAGACTCTCCAACCATCCTCTCCAGCTCTAAATGTCTATATTAGGATCAGTGTATAAGCACAAAAGCTCACTGATCTTTCAGTTATTTCTGCCTTTGTTCAGGTTTTCCACACCCAGGGCACCAATCTATCAGATTTTGAATACCAGAAGCTTAGAATGTTTACAGGTACTCTTAAAAACAATTAGGGAAAATTATTAATTCAGATAAATTTTCTCCCCTTAAAACCCAAGTTTTTAAAATTTTCAAAACCACTAGGTTTTGAGTCTGTGAAAGCTCTGAATCCCTAAACTTAAGCAGCCTTGCTGAAGTGAAAAAATCAAGCTTTATCAGCTTTTACTTAAGTCAGGGTGACTTAAGTATAAAACACATATGGCAGTCATATTTAAATTAAGAGACTAGTTAAAATATTTATTAGCCCCTATTGAAAAATATTTAATAAAGAAATGTCTGGCAGGCTAAGCCGCTTAACTAGATGAGGGACATAGCTAAAGTGATTATTTTTATCAGTCTTCTATATACATGTTGCATATTTCATGACCACAAGTACCATACAGTTCCAAAACTTTTTTGCTGCATGCTAGTACATGTGGCTTTATTACTGAACATAAAATCATTAAGAATGCACAGTTCAGAATTCTATTTGGGAAAAGAGACCTTCCTCATATTTCATTATTTTTAGCTAAATGAATGTGTTTGCATAAATAATCAAAATATGAAATAAATCCCTGCTGATCATCAGATTACTGCTATGCAGAGCTACAGAGTAAATGCTTAGAAGGGCAAAGACCATGGCAAATAAAGAGGTAGGCTTTTTAATGAATCATTTCAGGGCTGTCTGAATATCAGCAAAGTAAACAATCATCCTTTTGCCATTTTAAAAGGCCTTTCCCATTAAATACACTAGCTTCTGTTCAAATATACAAAGAGCAAGCAATCCAAGCAACTTACATTTAAACTAGCAATTACATTGGTTTTATTTAACAAATAAAAGTTATCTACATTTTTCTTTTTTAAAAAAAATTTTTTTTTTGGTAGAAATGGAGTCTTATTGCCCAGGCTGGTCTCAAACTCCTAACATCATGGGATCCTACTCCTCGGTCTCCCAAAGTGCTGGGATTACAGGTGTAACCCATCACACCTGGCTCTTTTAGCTCTTGAAATAGGTTTCAGGCTTAAGAAAGCATAAGCTGAGGCTGGGCGCGATGGCTCACGTCTATAATCCCAGTACTTTGGGAGGCCGAGGCAGGTGGATCACCTGAGGTCAGGAGTTCAAGACCAACCTGGCCAACATGGTAAAAACCTGTCTCTACTAAAAATACAAAAATTAGCTGGGCATGGTAGCGGGAACCTGTAATCCCAGCTACTTGGGAAGCTGAGGCAGAAGAATCACTGGAACCTGGGAGGCAGAGGTTGCAGTGAGCTGAGATCACACCATTGCACTCTAGCCTGGGCAACAAAAGCAAAACTCTGTCGTAAAAAAAAAAAAAAGAAAAGAAAAGAAAAGAAAGCATAAGCTGGGTGCGGTGGCTCACGCCTGTAAATCCCAACACTTTAGGAGGCCAAGACAGAGGATTGCTTGAGGCCAGGAGTTTGAGACCAGCCTGGGCAACATAATGAGACCCCATTTCTGGAAAAAAAAAAAAAAAATTAAAAATTAGTCTGGTGTGGTGGCCCGTGCTTGTAGTCCCAGCTACTGGAGAGGCTGAAGCAGGAGGATCGCTTGAGCCCAGGAGTTCAAAGTTACAGTGAGCTATTATCATGTCATTGCACTCAAGCCTGGGTGACAGAGTGAGACCTTGTCTCTATTTTTAAAAGTTGTTGTGTTTAGTGCAAGAGACCAGTGCTGTAGTACCAGTTCTTGATTTACGTATATGAATATATAAAACCTGTGAGGACAGAAAAACAAGAACTAGAGGGAGAACTAGCATACAAAAAAACTGAATAAAGCTTTGTATTCCCAAACTGAAAGAAAGAAGTACAATTTTTAAAAATTTTGTGACATTCTAATAAAATATCTTCCAAGAATACACTAAGACAACAGTTCGTTTATGTTTTGAACAGGTCACTCACTAATCAAGAAAGACAGTAAGACGAGGAGTTCCCTCAACACGTGGTCCCTCCCCATCCAGATTTCTGGTTTCTTTAGACCATTCCGGGTCTAGGTGTATAGACAAGAAATGGAAAACATGGGAAACTGGAGGCCAGTACCTCAGTCACTTCCACATTACCTACATACACAAAGATTCACTGTGATGGGGATTAAAACCATTCAGGGCTGACAACAGAGAACCAACTCACTCCGATAGAACTCCTTGGCAAGCTGTGCTTACCTGAATAGCTGCAAATGCCAGTGCGGCCCAGATCACATGCATCATGATTTCTTGTAGCTTCTTCACTACTAGAGCCTCACACCCCTGTAACAAACACAGTCATCCTCGTTAGAAGTGTTCTTTAAAAGTTAAAGCTGCAGATTCACAGGCCACTACCCACTTACAGAAAGGAAAATGACAGAAACTGAAAGAGTGGAAAAAAGATTCCATGATTGGTATAATTTACAGACATGTAATTAAAACAAAGACATGCATTTTATAATAATTTACAGTAAAACAATATATGACATTAAAGACAAGCAAGGTGGCAGAAAAGAAGTCCCAGATGGTGATAAGACATGGTGAAAAACAGGTTAATCAAGCTAGACTCAAGTCGTGGCCAAGAGACTCACCTCAGCATAGAGGTCGGAAGGGTGGGCCAGGCTGCCATTACAATTGCTGGCAGTCTCTCTGCAGCAGCTAAGAGGGACACTCTGGTTTTTGGTTTCTTTGAACCAATCTGTATTTTCCCAGTCTGAGTAGTTGTGAATTCCACAACAATGCAGCTAAAGGAGAAGAGAATAAGTATTATTTCTCACAAAAACCAAATACCTGAAGTTCCATGTACTACAGAGCTTTAAAATAAGCTACTCTAGACCAGTGATGTCCGATACAACTTTCTATAATGGAAAGTCTGCATGATCCAATATAGCAGCCACTAGCCACATGAAGCTCTACTGAGCACTTAAATTGTGGCTAGTGTGACTAGAAAACTGCATTTTAAATTTTAATGTAAACAGCCAGACATGGCTAGTGGCTCCAGAATCTCCATATGAAAAGTACATTGCCAGGCCGGGTGCAGTGGCTCACGCCTGTAATCCCAGCACTTTGGGAGGCCGAGATGGGCGAGTCACCTGAGGTCAAGAGTTCAAGACCAGCCTGACCAACATGGTGAAACCCCGTCTCTACTAAAAATACAAAGGCTGAGGCAGGAGAATCACTTGAACCCGGGAGGTGGAGGTTGCAGTGAGCCAAGATCGCGCCACTGCACTCCAGCCTGGGCAACAAGAGTGAAATTTCGCCATCTCAAAAAAAAAAAAAAAAAAAAAAAAAAAAAAAAAAAAAAAAAAAGAAAAGAAAAGTACATTGCCTATAAGCGGTAGTTTCTAACTAAGGAAAATCTTCATGTCTTACATGTTAAATATCTGGTTCCATGTTAAATATTATTTCCAATGACAAAGTATTTAAAATATTTGGTCTTAAAAATTTTGAGATTTGCTTTAAGATAATGAAGCAAAAAGTAAGTAGGGGCAATAAGACTGACGAAAAGTTGATATTACTGAGGCAAGGTCGGGGTGCAAACATCTATTACACTATTCTTTCTACCTTTGTGTGTATCAGACTGTCCATAACAACTTTTTTTTGACAGTTTTTCTGTTGCCTTTTCTTATCTTGTTTTCTAAAGGTATATATAGACCTCCCACCTCCCCTGGAGTCAATCTGGACTCCCACCTTTCCTGTGACACATACCTCTCTCTTGCGTCATCACCCCTTTGGCTAAGTACTTTGGGAGAGTACAGACTGGGGTCAGGGAAGGGGAAATCAGATGATAAAAAAAAGTTCAAGATGTTTCTCATCTGGCTAGGTGATGAAATAAACTTTTCAAGGGTGAAGGTTGGGGAAAAATATTGGTCACATCAGGATAGCCATGTATGTGAAGAAACATGGCTAATTTACACAGAAATAGCAGTTAGTTTAATGTTGACCCAATCGTGATTGGTCCTCAAAAACAAATCTGCCTCAAGAAAGCTCACCTGTCTCTGTACATAATCAATAGCCCGGCTAGCAGCATCAGGGTTGGTTCCATTGTAGGTCTTATACACTTTCTGAATGCTGCGATCAACCTCATTTTCCACCTGAATCAGAACAAAGAATTCAGTCCCTCAAAAATACTAGTAAAAGTAACATTAGTCAAGGCTCCTACTAAAATACTTAAATGAAATGTTTGCAAGTTGCCAGATATCTATGAATTTCCTGTAAAGTTTTCTCCCTTCCTGCCTTCATCTTCATATAGATATAGATGAAGGCAGGAGGGAGAAAAGTGACAGGTAAAAATTCAGACATATACCACATACATTCAAGCATTCAAAGAGAAGATTGTGTGCAAAATGGCAGGCTAACAATGTATTCAAAAGGGAGAAAAGTTGAGGCTTGGGATAGATGTCCTAAATTATAAATGGATGCCTTCCTTTTACAAATAAGTTACTCATTTTCCTTTCCTAAAGGAGGTAAAACAAAGTAACTCTGAAGCTCCTGTAAGATACTTTTAGGACAAATGCCAACATTATTTCCATTTTATTTATTCAACGTTTAGAGTTGGCTAAATGTGCAAAAGTAATCGGCAGGTTTAAAAAAATCAGTCCTTAGAAATGGCACTTTATGAAAAAGCTACTGTTCAATGTATTGCAAAAAGGAGACAGGAAACAAGCTTCATAGCTTATTGCTGCCAATTACTAAAATGGCAAGCAAGTATCACTTAGTAAAGTTTGCTTGTACCAGATCCTCCTTACCCCTCGGAGGACTGGACTTATCTGGTAATTACAACAGTAATATCATAAGTCCATAAAATTGATAACCAGATCATAGGTAGGGACATAATCCATTGCATTTTTTTTTTAGCACAGCTTTACAGTACCTTACGTATCAATGATCTGAAAATTAACTTGGCATATTATGCCCTTGACTCAAAACCATTAAGTTATAATGAGAATGAGTCTATTATGTCTTTACCATGCCTCTAAAATTATACCCATATTAATTAATTTAAAGCAGCCTGTTTAGCCTTAAGTAGTACTACAGGTAGACAGCAAAATCAGGCAAAATAGAAAGGAAGGAACGGTGAAATGATTAAAAAGAATGAAGGGCAAGAAAGGAGTGCTGGCACCAGCTGCCTTGGTGTTCTAAGTTGGCAGGACCCCTTGTTCCTCAGGACAGGGGTGGAAGGTGGGATCACAACTCACAACACCTTTTTCTATGTTTAGGACCAAAGCATTTTTTAAAGAGACAATGGAAAACGCAATTCTGAGTTTGGTTCTTCTAAAGCAGAAATCAGAAAATTATGCCTCCCCTCATATAGGCAATCTGTGTGCTGAGGAAATCTGAACAAACTTCTCAGCTAATTATTCATTTGCAGCTATAAATACCTATAATCAAGAACAATACATATATAACACTCTGCTATATTAAATGAGGTAAGGAGTCTTGACATGTAAATATTTGCCAATTAACTTTAGATATTTGAAATACAGATTAAACAAGTAAGGCAAAAGAAAATGTTTACTCTGATAAAATGAATGTGTTCTATTTTACTTGAAACACTTAAACCACCTTTTAAGGCATTATGTGAATTACAGTAGACAACATACCTTTGCTCTGTAAACATATCCCAAAACCACTACAACAACTTCTGTGACAAAAACCAAGAGCAGGATGATGACAAACTGTAAGAAAACATGGTTTAAAATTATATACAAATGAAAAAATAACTTTAAATACACTCTTGATTTAAAAAAAGTTATCAGAGATAATTGCTAGAAGTTTAAATGTTAACTCTGTTCCAACTATAAGAGCCAAGGAGTCTCATGTTCAAGGAGAGTAGCATAGACTAAATACTCCTGCATGTTCTCACAACACATCTTACCGTGGCAAGTCCACAGCGACTTTCCCGGATTGTGGCACAGCAGCCAATTAGCCCAATGATGAAAAGCAGGGCTCCTACAGCTATGATCACTACAGCAGGGATGAGCGTGTACACATCTTCAAAGAAGTGGTCATAGTCATCATAAGTGATGAAGACATAGGCTCCCACATAGCATAAAATGCCAGCTGCCCCCTGTAGAAAACAAAGTCAGTACTGGTCTCTAAGCACTGCTGGTAAAAATTTCCTATTATTGCTTAGTATGGTATAATTTAATGAGAGTTACCGTAACTGTTATAGACTTTTTTCAGTAAAGCTGAAAATTCTATGATTCCTTGTTAAGAGCATTTCTATACTAGATAAAATTAAAAAGTTATCCACACTTCACCTACTTTTCACGAATTGATGGTTCAGCTAGGACCAAGAAACCATAACCAAATAATAACAATGATGATGACACACACCTACACATCCCTAAAGGCTTACTGTAGCTCAATTCCACATCCAATACGGATCAGTATGGTGGTAGGGGGATCTTTGCTCACTACAGTTGCCCTCAATAAGTGGGGAAATTTGGTAGAAATGACAGAGCTTGGATTTGAACTCAGGCAATCTGACTCCAGAATCTACACTTCTAATCTCTATCTACCCCACCTCAAGGAAAAGAAAATACACCAACTAGTAAGCATGATACCCACCCCACTTCCAAAAATCTTGCTGTCCTAGAGACAGTGAAATGGCAAAGCTAGAGGGCTCAGTCATTAAAGAACACTGCAAGTCCTCTATCAATTCTTTAGAATGGTGGTTCTCAAACTTTGAAGTGAATAGGAATTGCCTGAGGATCTGAATAACAAGCAGATTGATTCAGGAGGTCTGAGGAGGAGCCTGAGAGTCTGCATTTCTAACAAGTTCCCAGGTGATGCTGGTGCAGCTTCTTCTTGGAGCGCACTCTGAGTAACAAGGTATTAAAGACCTAAAGGGAAAGTGAACACACAAAGACAAGTGATAGGTGTGTCTTATTTCAGCTGCTGCTCCAGGCATCATTCTCCAGCTGCAGAGTCTTACTTTCTCCGCTATTGTCAATTTTGCTATCTTTGGGTACCAGCTCTGTGCTGACAGCCCAATGCCACTGGCTCATATACAAACAAGCAAATGCAGTGTCAGAGTAAGTGTTAAAACATTTGGTTATCACTTGGATAACAATGAGTTATCATTTGTAGAGTACTTTGAAACTTTCACAAGAAGTATTTCATCATCCTTTAAAATTTAACATATAAATCATCTTCAAACTAGAAACAGCTGCCACAGTGATACTGGAAATATCATTAACTTCTCTGAACCTGAAAACCCAGATCATTTAAGTTTATGAAATTCAGTAAGCTTGGGGATCATCAGTATATTTTTTTACACTAGGCCATTAGGATCACTGTCAGATGAGGAAGAAAAAGACTCCATTTATGTAAATTTGGGAAAGTAATTTGATTTTTTAAAATGTAACATGAACTTTTTAAAGTGAGAAGACAACTAGAATAATGAAGGCAATTTTTAAAAACATTGTTTTAAAACTCTCTTCCTCTGGCTTCCAAGAGGCCCCACTGCTGGTTTTCTTCCTACTTCCCCAGGTGCTCACTTTTTCATTCTCTTCACGGACTCTGAGATGTTAGTGATCTCCAGGATTCTGTCTTCGGCCTTATTCTTTAGTCATTCTCTGGGCTCTCCGTGGGCTACAGCAGCTATGGCTTCATTAGTCATTGTAGCTCACTACCTGAGCTATCATCTCAGAACTACACATTTCCATCTGCAAGTTCCAGAGACATGTCATCCTCAACCTGTCTCAAACCCTTTCTGCCTTCCTGCCCAGCCCATCTAATCTTCCCTTACATTCCTATCATAGCAAAAGGTACCAGACATCTAATTTTTCTGGTCAAACATCTGAGGATTAACTTTCCTTGCCCCACCTCTATAACCCATAAATCACAAAACTTCAACTTTACTTCCAAAACATTATTCGAATACCTCAACTCCTCTTCAACCCCACTGCAGTGCTTCTGTCTTAATTTGGGCCTTATCTTATCCCCCTAAATCTTACTTATTGACTCTCCCTGCATCTTAATACATTCTTTATACTACCAGGGTTATATTTATTAAAAATACAAACCAGATCAAGCCATAGCCTTACTTAAAATCAGGATGAGGCAAGTGAGTCCCCGATGAACCAAGCTATTCCTCCTTTTCAGCCCCAGATCTCATTACCCCTTGTGAACTATGAACAATATAGAACTGTTATACCCAAATGGACCACATATTCTCTCACTTCTTTGCCTCCGCTGTTCTCTCTAGAATGCTCTCTTCAAATGCCTGGGAACTCCTTGTCGCTCATTAAGATGAAGCTTAAATGTTACCTCTTCCTTTTGGAAGCCATTCTTGACCATTTCAGGCTGGATTAGCTGCCCTTGGTGGACACAAACATCTCCCAGTGCATGGTTCTAACAGAATATTTATCGAAACGGTTGCAATTATAGCTATACCTGTCTCAACACACCTTGAGAGCACGAATTGTACCCATCTGTCCTTCACCCTTGTATCATCTAGAACAGTACTTGGCAGACAGCAGGTATCAGTTAAAGTTTATTGAGTACACCTCATCTCACCCCTTTCCCTTGAAATCACCCTCCCAACTCTATCATAAGCTTTGGTTTGTATTTGCGTTGGTTTGTATTTGTATTTGGTTTGTATCTGGTTTCTCTTCAGTTCAATGCTTATAGCTTTTAGTTCACTATTCAATTATTTGGCAACTGAATCCAGCTTGCTGAATTCTGATGGCCATTACATCTGGAATATGTTAATATATCGTAAATATGTCATAAATATAAACACTGTACTTACAGCAAACTGCCTGTTCAAAGGTTCTCAGAGTTCACTGACATATTTGCTTTTGGGGCATGGTACTAGAGAATGAAGGTGAGCACAAAAGTGGGGGGGAGTGGAGAAGAGAAATAGTTTAATTTATCTTAATTTTATTTTATTTTATTTATTTTTTGAGACGGAGTCTCACTCAGTCGCCCAGGCTGGAGTGCAGTGGCGCAATCTCAGCTCACTGCAGGCTCCGTCTCCCAGGTTCACGCCATTCTCCTGCCTCAGCCTCCCGAGTAGCTGGGATTACAGGCGCCCGCCACTACACCTGGCTAATTTTTTGTATTTTTAGTGGAGACGGGGTTTCACCGTGTTAGCCAGGATGGTCTCGATGTCCTGACCTCGTGATCCGCCCGCCTCGGCCTCCCAAAGTGCTGGGATTACAGGCGTGAGCCATTGCGCCTGGCCAGACATAGCTTAATTTTAATTTGGGTGCATTTATTACAGAAGTATGTCAACTACTTAACACTCTTCCCAAATACCCCTTTTTATTGACTACTTGTGTGATATATATTCACACACATGTACACACACACATTTTGCTAAAGTAAATAGTATCAGTCCTCACGCTAAATTAGAAGCAATCTGAAGTGCAAATTAATCAAATTTTGTCATTTGTTTTTATTAGACGTTTCTCTATCCTTTAATGTTGTAGGTTTTTTTTACTCTAAAAGGCAGTATTTATTTCTTAAAAGGCTTGAGTTAAAATGAATTCCATTTCTGAGCTTTCGGTACACCTACTGAAACTTCACTAGCTTTAGCCTATGTAAATTCGAATGAAAATAAGAGAAAACTGGAGGCCATATGTACTTAACAATCAACCTGAAGCACAGTTCACTGAAGAACTACTTGCATTTTAGATATAAATTGATGAGTTTTCAATCTAAAGAGGTTCCTATGAGACTCACACTTAGTGCTGCTTGGAGGTGGGCCAAGGGAAATGTTTCCTCTGCTGCCACTGCCTCTCCCCCCTAAAAGAGGCACTCATCTGAAACTGAGACTACAAGAAAGCAGAAAAACCAGCAACAGAGACAACCAGATGCACAACAAATGCAATGGAGGGCTGTGGGGAGATGCCATTTGTAAAGCTGCCTCTTCTTTTCTGATAGACTCTACAACAGTTTTTTTTCCCAGGCTGCAGTCAACATCCAAGTCACACAACAAGATGAGAACATAACAAAGCTCTATTTGGCAACATATAGTTAAAGGAACTTACTAGTTGCACACACCAAAGAGAAAACTGCACGGATTGCTGATATGAAACTATACACATCAAATTGCTTATAAATAGACGATGTGTTTCCTAAATTGAAAACAGCTTCAAATTTTGCTTTTACTGAAATCTGTATATGGTGCTTATATCTTAAGCTGTATAATAAACAATTATGAAATGACACTGGTTACTTTGAAAATATAGAAGAGGTATCCCAGTAGCAGCTGAAGACCTAAAAACAGCCAAAAGTAATTGTTGTAATGATATCCAACCATCAATATGAAAAACACCCAAAAGAACATGGGAAACAGTATAGTAAATGGAAGAGAGGTTCTAAGAAATTCCTAACTAGTATGCATAGGGACTTTGTCATCCCTCAGATTTTTAATGCAGAAATTGTGGCTATCAGAAAAGCTATATAAAAGGTGAGCTTAAATTCTTCTTTTGAAGGGCCATGATGGGATTGAGATCTATCAAAGGATCTGAGCTTTGCCAATAAAGCAGCTGCAAAGGAGGGGGCTGGGGAGGAGGGAGGTGCAACAGAAAAGGAGATGAAATGTAGAACTTGGAAGCAGCTGAACTGCTTTAGTCACCACTGAGAAAATCTGAGCCTGTAAGGAGGATTTGTGCCAGGACAGTGTACTAAAAATATTCATCCTTTTTACAAAGAAGTGAAAGGAAATTTAGGCAAAAGGCTGAGGTCTGAAATTACAGAAAGAATAATTTTTAAAAAACCATTATTCTTTATCTTTTAATAAGCCTATACTCTAAATTAAGTCACAACATTTTAAAACTTTAGGAGAGCCAGTGCTTTTCCACTAAGCTGTCTAAAAAATAAAGCCATCTTGTTATAAAATTTTGCAAGTATATGAGTTCCAAAAGTATGATACTTCATTTTATGCTTTTACCCTTCCTCTACATATGCACAAATGTGAAATATCTTAAAGAGATTTCATTCTTATATGAGATTGCTTTTTCCATAGCTTAGAAACTAGTTTTTGGGGGGGTAATTTTCAAATATTCTATGAAAGAGACAAGTAGATAAAATGTTAAAATCTGGGCCAGGCGCAGTAGCTCACACCAGTAATCCCAGCACTTTGGGAGGCCAAGGCCGGCAGATCATCTGAGGTCATGAATTCGAGACCGGCCTGACCAACATGCAGAAACCCCGTCTCTACTAAAAATACAAAATTAGCCGGGCGTGGTGGCACATGCCTGTAATCCCAGCTACTCAGAAACGCTGAGGCAGGAGAATCGCTTGAACCTGGAAGGCAGAGGTTGCAGTGAGCCGAGATTGCGCCACTGCACTCCAGCCTGGGCAACAAGAGCAAAACTCAGTCTCAAAAAATTAAAAAAAAAAAAGTTAAAATCTGTAAAACTATTAAATTCCTTTTCATCAACCACGGTGTAACCTGCCATTGGAATGTGGCAATATTAAAAATGAAACAGATTTGCTACAAGTGGGGAGATAAAGTAGCTCTGTTGCCAAAAGTATACCTACATGGAGATTTAGAAATACAAAGGCGAAAGCATCCCACAGGACATTTTGGGCGAAGCTGAAGCAAAGAATAGAAGTGATTTTCTTGCAGTGGTATGTAGTAGCCATTGATGATGATTCCCATCTAGAACTGGCAAGAATCAAAACAATGTAAAGACAAGGCACCATCTGGACTTTATTCACCTAAAAGCACAGTGCCTGACAAATTCTTGCTTGCCTGTGTGAACTGCTCCCTTCGGAGTGATTTTTGCCAAAGAATCAATTAGTAAAGTAGAAGTGACTGGAGTGTTGAGAGAAAGGAAAAAAGTCAAGAAGTAAAAGACTGAGCAAAAAATGCTGTACTCTAGACTTTGTAAGAAAGCAGGTTTTAAAAGCAGAGGGAAAAAATAGGCAGGAATCCATCTTATGCATATATCTTTTTAACATTAAATCCAGAGTTTCCTGTACTGTCATATTATTTTTCATATACCTCTTTTCTCTCCTGGGAAGAATCGTTGGTAATTCCACACAGTGGATTTCTGAAAGCTTCCCCAAACTTCACCCTTATGCCATTACAAGTGTCTTAAAATCATCTTAAATCGTTTAGCATTCTACTTGCCATAATGTATATTCTCTAATTCAACCATGCTTTCACCTCTGACTTAATCTGATAGAACAGTTTACGTCACTAAACACAACTACTTCTTATGTAAGTCCACTACCTGAATATATCATTTACTCTCCTACCAACTCTCAAGGAAAAAAGGCCATTCCAAAGACTCCAAATCCTCTTTCAGAAATTAAAGCTACTCTTACCAAGAATTTCTGAAGCTATTAAATACTATCATTTTCTACCTAACAAACTGATCAGCAATAAAGTTAAGGAGTATTCAAAGATGTGTGAGGGTGCAGAGAGAAGGGCCCTCAGATGGGCGGAAGCACAAACTAATAGAGAATCATTTTTTTGGAAACAATCTGGCAATACATATCTGCCTCAGCATTGATGCCTTTATACCTACTTATTCCACTTCCAGGAATCTATCCTTTAGAAAGTTAGTCAGAAACACAGATTTGTGTAAAAGGTAATTCATCGAGATGTTGTAATGAAATTGTGGCTGCAAAAATGAAAATGAAAAAGCCCTGGTATTCAGAGGTGTGTCTGCATTCAGCCCTGAAATATTTTCTTAAAGCATCATTTAATAATATGCTTGTGGTGTGATAGGGGAAAAAACACATATATCACATATTGGAAACAAACCAAAATGTTGATATTGGTTGTCTCTGGGTGGTAGAATTATGGGTGATACCAGTTTGCTTTTTAAAATACTTTTAGTGTCTTCTTTAAAATATATTACTTGCATAATTAGAATAATAGTTAAAATTATGTCTGAAATTGAGGCTTTAATGTTCTCTCACCAATGAATTCATTCCTGGATGTGTCCTTAACCAACCAAAAACAGACACCTCTTCCATCCTAAATATTTTAGGCACCTCTGCCAATCTCTCCCACTTACCACTTTTCTCAGGTCTGTGTGGCTTTGACTCATCCTGTACATGTTTTCTGATTATCTAACACAATTCTTTCAATGTACATTATGTTCCTTTTCTCATAAATATTACTTTTCAAGGAGACAAGTTTTTTTTAAAGTCCTACTTAAATTGGGGTGTAAAGTTTTATGTGTGTTTTTTTAACTCACCACTATACTAATGAGAAAATTCTATTTTTTTTTTTTAAGACAGGGTCTTGCTATGTTGCCCAGGCTGGCCTCAGACTCCTTCCCTCAGGGGATCCTCTCATCTCAGTCTTACTTGTAGCTAGGATTACAGGCATGTGCCACCAAGCCTGGCTAAGAGTTTAAAGTTCTGACAAGCCACTTTTGCCATCAACATCACTATTATTATTGCCATTATTCTTAAATTAGAAATATTTTAATCCTTTTTACTGCTATTACTCTGATGATATGCCAAAGGTCATGCTCCTCAATTCTGCCTTATTTTCACCTTTTCTCTATTTGGTTTTTCATAATCATTATTAAACCAGCTTAACAAAGTTGTTCTATTTAATCCAATATCTACTGGCTGAACAACTCAAAATTTCAGGTGGCAAAGAAACTGGAGATTAACCAATTGCCATTGCCAAATTATTGTAACAGCATGGAAACTGGCTGTTTCCAGACAGTAGGGCTCCAGAGGTTATCTGAGAAGCCTGAAATTTAAATATGCATTTTCTTTGAGACCCTCTGTTACCCCACCCTACTCTAATTGTAAAAAGAGTCCATTACAACATCATAGGAGCCTGAGGTGCTTAAGCTTTGTAATGCTAGAGTTCATCCACACTTGGGTTATGTGTTTAATCAGTAGCAACAACAATGTAAGTTACAAAATGTCAACATTTATTCTAGAACCCCTTTAGTAGATTACAAACTACACATAAATGCAGATAATTTTTCTTACCTATTAACTCTGCCTAACTACTAAAAGGAAGACAGTGAGGAGAAGGAAGAGGAAGAAGATATGTCAATATTTTTCAATAAAGACTTACTTGAGACCAGCCATGAGTAAGATTTCTGGGGGAAAGGTGCATGTAGAAATTTAATTCGATGAAAAGTCTACCCTCTCTCCCCATTAGCTGTCAGACTACAGGGACTGTGTTTACTCTATTTCTCAAAAAAAGGTCAAGGGTAGATATTCAACACACATTTACTCATGAATGATTCTTAGTACACCCGTCTGGTCTAAGTACAAACTTTATGGAATACATTTTCTGAAAAAAAAAATCAAACAAGCCTAACCTGAATTGGATCTTATGGAATAAAATTCATTAAATTATTTCAAAGCATGATAAATATCCTAGAAAGCTAATAACCCATTCCCTAAACTGCAACTAGAGAGAGCGCCCCTGCTGATTCCAAGTTCTAAATGATTACTCAGGGCCACAAGGCTCTTGGTCAGTGGACAGGTGACTAAGAATGTAGTAAGAGTGGAAACATTCATTTTCTTAACTGTTGAAGACAAACTAAGACAGACACTTCCTATTATGTACTTGCTTCCTGACAAGTTAGATTTTCTTCTAGTGAATTGAAAACAAGCATGAAAAAGCAAAGTTAGCTGAAGGTGTGTCCCATGACATATTCTTTGTCAGAGCAGTCATTCATGATAGGAGAAATACAGGAAGTAGAGAAACAAATTCCAGGATATCAGATGCAGGTTCCGGTTTAAAAGTATCATATTACCACCTCGAATGTGTAGGATGTGCTGGAAAACACAAAGTATGTACAAGATTTGTGACAAGGGAGAACCACACTTGAAATACCTCATTATAAAGTTTTATTTTTTAAACAAAAGCATGACGGTATAAACCTCTTAGTAATTTGAACATAGCAAGTATATTTTTGCCTTACAGCCTACAGCCTGTTCCTTCAGTTCTGAATCCCCCCAGTCTCCCAATCTCTTCCAAATCACCCAAGTCAGCAACTTCTTATACTCCAGATTTTTTTTGCCAACATAAAGCACGACCCAATCACTTTATCACATCACCCTTTAATTCTCTGCATAACACATCACTCTGATCATTTTTCTTGTTTATTTTTGTGTGTCTTGCTTCACCGGAAAGTAAGTTCTGTAAGAATAGGGATTTTTCACTGTCTTTTCATCATTTATCAACAATATAAGCACAAAGTAGGTGCTCAAATAGTAGTGTTATATTTAACAAAGCAAATTTTCCTTAATTATATACATTCACAGACATAAGCGTGATAAGTTTTATTTATTTATTTATTTTGAGATGGAGTCTCGCTCTGTCGCCCAGGCTGGAGTGCAGTGGCTCGATCGCCGCTCACTACAAGCTCCGCCTCCCGGGTTCACGCCATGCTCCTGCCTCAGCCTCCCGAGTAGCTGGGACTACAAGTGCCCACCACCACATCTGGCTAATTTTTTGTATTTTTAGTAGAGACGGGGTTTCACCGTGTTAGTCAGGAGGGTGATCTGCCACCCTTGGCGTCCCAAAGTGCTGGGATTACAGGCATGAGCCACCGCACCTGGCTGATAAGTTTTATTTTTAAAGGCAGGATAAGTTTTAAAGGTTACATATGGCTTTCAACTACAATTTATATGTGTGAAGTATTTCATATGAATGAATGATGGTTAGTGAAGGTGCCACGTTCCAAAGCTATTTCTAAAGGCATTTATTTAAAAGGCGTTTGACTTTTTTGCGGTACTTCCCCCACTCTACAGGTGTCTCAGTTTTATACTATCACCTCTCAGATGAAAAACAACAACCTAAATAGATATTTAAGATTATAAATTCTATAAGCATGGACAAAGCTTTCTGTTCCAGTCCCTGTAATGCCTAAGATAAATATGAGCAAAATAAGTATTAGCCAATTAGTTTTTCTAATAGGGTTTAAAAAAAAAGTAAAGGTAATTTGTATAACATAGGACTTGATTAAATAATCAATTAATTTACCGGAATAAAAACTTAATGGTAGGAAGTACTGATTTAAACTTGTTTTAGACGAGCCCTCTTTGGTCAGATTAAATGACTTACCAAACTAAAAATCCTGTCTGACCTTGGTACAAAGGTGCAGTTTACAGAATAGGCTAATGCCTATTTAATACAATAGCCTTTGCTGGGCGCGGTGGCTCACGCCTGTAATCCTAGCACTTTGGGAGACCAAGGCAGATGGATCAAGAGGTCAGGAGTTCGAGACCAGCCTGGCCAATATGGTGAAACCCTGTCTCTGTTAAAAAAATACGAAAATTAGCTGGGCATGGTGGCGCACGCCTGTAGTCCCAGCTACTCGGGAGGCTGAGGCAGGAAGATCGCTTGAACCCGGGAGACAGAGGCTGCAGTCAGCCAAGATCGCACCACTGCACTCCAGCCTGGGCGACAGAGTAAGACTTCGTCTCAAAAAAAAAAAAAAAAAAAAAAAAAAAAAGCCTTTAAAATTTAGTCATTTACCTAAAACACTTCTAACCTTCTTCAATAAATCCTCATGGGTCCAGCATGAATACACTTATATTTAAAGCCTCATCATTCCATAAAAACAGAGATCCAAGATGATCCAAGCTGTACATCCTTTCACTTGTCCAAGATTATCTTTCAAGCTACAAATCTTAATATTCTAGAATTTGGTGAGAAACTGTCTTAGTCTGTTTTCTGTTGCTTAGAACAGAATACCTGAAACTGGGTAATTTAAGAAATTTTTTTACATACATGGAGGCTGAGAAGTTCAAGGTCAAGGGGCCGTAGCTGGTCAGGGCCTTCTGCAAAGTCCTGAGGTGGCCCAGGACATCACACGTGGTGAGGGGGCTGAGTATGCTGGCTCACGTCTCTCTGCCTCTTCTTATAAAGCCACCAGTCCCATTCCCATGAAAACCCATTAATCCATTAATCCATGAATGGATTAATCCATTCATGAGGGTAGAGCCCTCATGACCCAATCACCTCTTAAAGGCCCCATCTCTCAATACGGCCACATTGGGGATTCAGTTTCAACATGAGTTTTATAAAGGACAAACATTCTAACCATAGCAGGAGTTCCCTATTTCCATTAAGACAAATTTCAGGATTTTAGAAATGATTGTTTCTGCTTTTGGTTTGTGCCTTTCCACAGTAACATTATTACAGCATTGTTCCAAACTATCTACACCAAATCAACAGTAACGATTTTAGCTGTCAGATAATTTACAGCCTGAGTATTTCAGGTATATATCTATCTCCATGTCACAGTTCAATGAACAAAATGCCAGCAGAATCAGGATATCAAGACATAAGAAAGTGTAGTTTAAAGGTCTTGCCAAAGCAATTAAACTTTGACCCTTGTTAACAATCAGCCATTACCATCTGACAGTGAAGAGCCAATGCAACATAGTTTTTATTGCCTACAGTTGCCCAAGGGAACCTAGGTAAACATTTGATAAGCTCTATGGAGAGTATGTTTATTCTTCCACTTATTCATCATCTCAAGGCATTAAAAGGAGGGAGGGGCCAGCATATAAGAATACATTTATTAGAACTGAAGAATGCATTACAAATTCCCAGGAAGAACCTTTTAACATTTTTTAATGTACTTCCTCATAATGACTTAATTCAAAACCAAACAAAGTGTCATGTAAATTCTGGTACAGTTTCTAATTTTAGCAATCTCAAAATCAGCATGCTTTAGAGAAGTGATTCTAACAACTTTCTTCTCTTTACAAATCTTCTGAAATCACACTTTGTCCTAACATCACAGTCTCTAGAGTATGGGACAACCTGGGTTTGAACGCAGGCTGTATCACACCTTGGGTGTGCTACTTTGGCTCAGTCAACCTTAATGTTCTCCTCTAAAATGTACCTAATATTCCCTGCTAGATGGGAAAGCTGTGAGGATATGCCATGTAAAGTGTTTAGCACAGTGCCTGGGGTATAGTAACTCAAATGTTAGTTGCCATTACCCATCATCATCAGATTCCCACAGTTAGTCCACAAACTAATACTTTCTTGGGAGACATACCTAATGCTGTTTCCTCATTAGCTACATTGCACTGTGACACATTTGCCCCCAGCGTATCTGCTTAACTTCCTTATCACAGCTCACAAAAACTTTACTACCCTACTAACCAAGATAAAGCATATTTTTACTAAACATTACCACTTCAGTCTTGGCAATAACCCGCTATGAAAAGCACCACTGAAGTTCAAAATAACTTTCTTCACTGGAATAACAGTACATATATTTACACAATATCCAAAGATTCAGAGGAGTCACTTAGAACTGATATTTTAGAGTAAATAAAAATCTAATTTAAAGAAAATGGTTACTGTATTTCCAATATTTTGTTACATGAACAATTCCAGTCCCTGAGCTTGAATAACCTAGAATTCACCTAATATTCTTCAAAATCAAATAGTTATGGCCATAAATTCACAAGGAACTGTAAAGAGTACAAAGCCACATCTTTACCTCTTAGGTAGCTTACTAGCTGACAACGTGTTTCTCATTTGGGGACCCCTGAAAATTATTTTTCCTTTTAAAAAAGCCTGTAACTCTTAAAAAAGATAAATAAAAAATAAGTGAGAACACACGGTGCTTGGTTTTCTGTTCCTGCATCAGTTTGTTGAGGATGATGGCTTCCTGCTCCATCCATGTCCCTGTAAAGGACATGATCTCATTCTTTTTTGTGGCTGCGTGGTGTTCCATGGTGTATATGTGCCGCATTTTCTTTGTCCAGTCTACCACTGATGGCCATTTGGGTTGGTTCCATGTTTTTGCTATTGTGAACGGTGCTGCAGTGAATATATGCGTGCAAGTGTCTTTATAACAGAATGATTTATATTCCTTTGGGTATGTACCCAGTAGTGGGATTGCTGGGTCGAATGGTAGGAGAACGTCATATAATTTCTACATGCCAAGAAATAGTATTCTTCTTTTCATTTGTTTTCCAGTCATTTAGAAATGTAAATATTATTCTGGGCTCTCAGGTTGTAGAAAAACAGGTAGCTAACCGTTTTGTGCTCTTGGGCCAGAGATTGCTGACTCCTGGTTTATAACGAGATGCTATGAGAATTAATGACTTAATCATTGTAGAATACATTTCTCTTTATGGAATAAAAAATGTTATGGATGCATAAGTAGCAGTAGGTATATAGATACGTATTAAATTAGCAAAAGATGCCCTTATAATGGTCAGATTCACAAATCATGCCACATCTACAAAGAGAAGACTGATACGACTTTTGCTAATGGAACTGGTTCTATATGTGCATTTCATTCTTCACAATAAACTCAAGAAACTGAAAAAATAAAATAAAATAAATAAATAAGCCTGTAACTCAAATTAAAGTATAAGAAACACTGCTCTAATTGGAAAAGAAGAAATCACGGAAATGCCAATGTCGCCTGGGTGTTTGCCAACAGCTACTACCTCCCAGTTAGGACTCTTCACACACAAACGCCCCGAAGGACTCTGGCAATACAAGTGTGTAGCAAGTGCTTTTTAACATATAACCATCCTTTTATGAGACAGCTGTCAGGATATGAAGTTTTATCCCTTGTTGGGGGGTCGGGGGAGGAGGAAAGGATTCTTTCCAGAACAGGTGTGCGTATGCGTGGGAGGGAGGAGCTGAATGGGGAGGAGGAAGAGGCACAGTATGGTTAACCGGAATGTTCAAGGAGTGCTCTGGCGACTGTGGACAGAGCAATCTGTCCAGGGCACTCAAGTGTTTAAGGAAATGACAAGTTCAGAGAGGCAAGGTGATTTGGGACCAGACTGAGGACTTCTGCTCCAAGACCAGGGGAAGGAGTTGAACCTTATTCTACCGCTGAAGCTTCTGTTTTCCTTATTTTCAGATCAAGTGATGTGATAGAGGAAACGTTTTAAAAGATTTATCCGGGTGCAAAGTCCAGATGGGCTGGAGGGTGGAGAGACGGATAGGAACAACTTAGGTTACTATAAAAGTCCCTGATGAGATAAGGACCCAAACTAAGATGACATAAACATTCCTTTCAAAGAGGGTGTACCCCTTAAAAATTCATAAGCCACCTTTTATTGAAAGTGAACTCATCACTTTCAAAATCTTGTGACATCTCCATCATATATTTAACCAAGAGTTATAATCTCACAGTTTGGTCACCCCCATGACCAAAACAAATAGACCGATGTTCTTGGTCAATGGATTATTTGGCTCCTCGAGTTGAAACCCTTCATTTTCTGGGCTGGTGACAGTCAGCCGGTTCTCCACACACAAAGGGCGTTAAGTGGAACCCCCGCCCCGGCTCCGCAGCGTCCCCGCGGATCTGCCCGCCTCGGGACGGCCACTCGTCTGCGAGGCCCCGACAAAGAGCGCGGAACCTGAGCCTCTGGCGAAGATCCTATTTCGAGCCCGACGTCCTGCTACAGTCTGCAATAAGCGCTCTCCGTCCAGCCGGCGACTCCGGGGGGGGGAGACTGGGGCGCCTGGCACGGAGCCAGCCCGCGTGGGCCGAGCGCGGAGGCGCCGGCTGGAGGCCGTGGAGTCCCTGAAGGCCTCCCCTCGCTGTCCTCCGCGCCCAGGCTCCCGGCTTGGTCCGGCAGGGACCTCGCGAAGCGGCCTCACACCCGGCCCTCCCCTCGCCTCAGCCGCCTGAGGGCCCGCGCGCGGCCCCCGCGCGCCCGCCCAGGCCCAAGCCCGGCCCCCACGGGCGCCTCCGCCGCGGCCTCGCCCGGCCCCGCCGCCGGCCCCTCGCTCTGCCCGGCCCCGCTCACCCAGAAGATGAGGTTGAGAAAGACCAGCACGGTCTTGGAGGAGGTGATGCCGCACTGGCCCATGGCGCCGGTGGCCCGCGAAGGCCCGGCCCGGAGAGCGGGGCTGCGCTCACCGAGAGAGCGGCAATGGCGGCGGCGCCTCCTCGCTAGGAACTGCACGGCCTGCGCGGCGCTCCCCGCAGCCCCTGCGCCGTCGCGCAGCCCCGACCCCAGCAAGTGCCTCGCTCCTCCGCGCAGCCGCCGCAGTCCCCTCAGGGCTCCCGCGCCGCTCCCTGGCAACCGAGTCCCGCCCCACGCGGCCGGTAGCTTCAGCCAATCGCCTCTGCGGAGGCTGCAGTGAGGCCACGCCTCTTAAAGGAGCCAAGGCCTCAGCGCCTTTTCTTGGCCTCTGGCCGCCCTTGGACGCAGATGGCTCCCTAGGGAGGTTCTGGTGGACCAAACCCACTCTCCTCCTATGACTATGCCACCCTTATAGATGATTCAGAGCCCTCTGAGTGCTATCTTTCTACCTAGCCCATTCTCCCCTAGGAAGGTTGGAGACACTAATCTCTGCCTGACCAGATTCTCCTGACCAGGTTAAAATCTTGGCAGCACTGTTGGTGAGAAGTGCAAAGAAAAACAACAAATACTTATGGAGAAACTTATTGTACCAGGCGCTGGGCTAGACCTCAGAAGAGTCAGAGAGGAGAAAAGGCTGGTGATGGCGTTAGCAAGGCAGAGACATGTTTGTGTGGGTGAGTGGTTGGGAACAAGTTCTATTCCAGGGTAGTAAGTTTTGGACCAAGATTCGCAACGATTACAGAAACATCTCTTTGCATTGCAACATTTCACATTCTTCCCCCAATCTTGAATCCGTCATAGCAATTAATTATTGGGTGCTCACCCGGTGCCAGGCTCCATTAGTTCATTTAACCCCCACCACAACCCTGGATGGAAGGCACTATGGTTATCAGCCTCATTTTACTGATCGGGTAATTGAGGCTTAGAAAGGTTAAGAAGTTCGCCCAGAGCCACACATAGTAAGTGGTCTAGTGCAAAAAACACATCATCAGTCACACAATAAACTGCCTCTGTTTGCTGTCTTTCCTGCCATTATAATCCTGCACTCCCTCCTTGACCGCGCCCGTAAGGATTTCCATTTACTGGTCTTTATCAGCTCGCTCTCATGCAATCTCCCCCACTCATCACCTTTCCCAGGCACTCTCAGAAGTACCTGTTAATCTCAGCATCCTGTGCATTTACACCAAGCAGCAGCAACAGCCATTTATTCACTCATCAAACTTGCCGCGTGTCCCCTCTGGGCCTCACTGTTGTCGGTGGTGGATATTCCACTGTGAGCAAGACGTATCCTTCCTTCCATGGCTTACATTCGTTCGGGCAGAGGAGGCAGACCATAAACAAACGGGCAAGTGGGTATATGACATGAGGTAGTGTTAGGAAACAATTCAGAGGAAAGGAATAGAGTGATGAGAGGAGTCCTCTCTGAGGAGAGAACATTGGAGGGGACCCAAGGGAGGTGAGGGGAACAGCCCAAAGATGAGAGCAGCAAGGACAAAGGCCCAGAGACCGGAACATGATCACTGTGCTGTAGGAAGGGGAACACAGAGAGCCTAGTGTGCTGGAGGTGAGCGAGGCCGGATCACCAACAGCCTACTACGCCAGGCAGAAGCCTTTGAGCAGACCAGTAACACCATCTAAGTGTTTCAAGTGCCATTCTTGCCATACCATGGAGGTCCTAGTTAAAGAAAGAAAAATGATGGGCTCTCAAACATGATTCCCTTTGAACATCTATCTTCTTGACGCCTCTGCCCTCTGTAAATTTCTCTGTCTGCTTTGCTCTGAGTGCTTTTCCTCCTTTTCCAAAACATCCCCTTTGCATTTCTTCATCCTCATCGTGTCCCTTCTCATTTCCCTGTGAAGGTCTCATCAAGTCCTTCTTGTGCCTTCTCCTTGAGTGGGTCTCAGACCCCCCCCCCCCCCACATTACAATCATCTGGGCCACACAGACAAACTCCATCAGATTCTCTGGGGGCGAGCCTCAGGGAATCAGGTGTTTTTCAAAAACACACCAGGTGATTCGAATATGCTGTTGGGGCTGCAAACCACAGTTCTGAGTTTACAAGCATGGTCATGCCTCTCCTATCCTAAAAAGAAAAGCCTCTCACTTAAACACCATGTTTTACTTTTTCTTTCTTCTCTTAGCCAAAGTTCCTAAAAGAGTCATCTCATCCAGTGCTTCTCAGACTTTGCCTTGCGCACAGATCACCTGAGGATGCAGACTCCAGGTGGTGGGGGTGCAGCTGGGCCCCTCTTTGTAGCAAGGGGCTGGACTTCTGCCCTTGACTCTTTTGCTTCCCACTCACTTTTTTTTGTTGTTGAGATGTAGTCTCGCTCTGTCGCCCAGGCTGGAGTGCAGTGGTGCAATCTCCGCTCACTGCAACCTCCGCCTCCCAGGTTCAAGCGATTCTCCTGCTTCAGCCTCCTGAGTAGCTGGAATTACAGGTGTCCACCACCACACCTGGCTAATTTTTGTATTTTTAGTAGAGACGGGGTTTCACCATGTTGGTCAGGCTGGTCTTGAACTCCTGACCTCATGATCCACCTGCCTTGGCCTCTCAAAGTGTTGGGATTACAGGCGTGAGCCATCGTGCCTGGCCTCACTTTTTGACTCACTGCCATGTGGCATCACCCCCACAGTGCCACCGATATCGCTCTTGTCAATGTTACCAGTGACTTATCTGCTACCCCTTCTCTGAGGTGGCATATATCATGGTTAAGAGCACAGGCTCGGGGACCAGGTAGCCTAGCTGGGTCCTCTCTCTGTGCCTCAGTATCCCCATCATAGGGAGAAAATGATGATGACATTACTTCCCTAATTATCATGTGATTGCTGTGAGAATTAAGTGCATTCATATACATATAGCTGTCAGAAAAGTACCTGGCACACAGGTGCTTTGTAATCACCGGAGTTTACTGTTTCCGAGACCTAACCATATTTGGCTCCGTTGACTTCTTCGTACTCAGAACTCTGCCTTTCCTTAGCTTCCATAACACCATCATCTCTTAGTTCACTGTCTGCCTTTGCAGCAGCACCTGTTCCTTGCACCCATTGGATGTTGGTGTCTCCCAGAGTTCTGGCTTAGGTCTTTTGATTTTCTCAACCAACCTGGGCCAGCTCACCCAGAGCACTGGATTCCGTTGCTATCCACGTGCAGGACTTTCCTGAACCTACAGCTTCAGCCCAGGTCTTTCTCTCAATTTCCTTTCCATGAATCCGACTGCCTGCTGTGTTGCTCCAGGTGGATTCATTTATTGATTCAACACATTTATTGGTTACCTACTCTGTGCCTGACCCTATGCCACGTGGTGGGGGGTGGTTCTAGCAACATAGTGGTTAGACCTGGGTGTGTGATGGCCCCAGGGAGCTTGCAATCCAGAGCGGAGATTCAACGCTAATTATGAAATTATTTATCTAATTGCAACTGGGATAAGCAATACAAAGGAGACCCTCAGGCTGCTGTGAGAGTTTATAACAGGGACCATACCATAACCTTGTATGGGGTTAACTTATATGTGTGCCAGACCCGGCAGGTCCCAAACTGAACTCATAATTTCCCCTCAACCTGCCTCTCCTCTACCTGTGTTCCTTAGCTTCATGAATAGTCCACCCATCCTTTTCCCTGGGCCAAGACTTGGATATTATGACCCACAGTCTCCCTCACTGACCCCTTCTACCCACCGAGAGGATCCTTCTTACTGGAAAATTAGCCTTCCTGGGTAACTCTTGGAACTCCAAATTCCTACTGCCCAGTGCTCAGGAAGTCTGATTTTACCTCCACTGACAAAGTTGCTAAGAGAGCAACTGAGGGCATGAAGTCCCTCCCAAGGAAGCACAGACCCACTCTGTCTTGCTGCATCTGACAGTGGCACACCTGTCTGGGGATGATGGGAGGATGGAGCAATTGTGACTTCGCTTACTGACCCCTGGCCTGTAACTTGCCCTAATAAACTCTGTTCTTCAACCCGTACTGTGTGAAGTAAAATTCACTCTGATCCATGTTGTATGACACAAAGAGTCTATCTTTTACCAAAAAAGAAAAGGTTTATTCATTTTCTTTCCATTGTAAAGCAATGCCTGCTTGTGGTGGTTTGTGCCTTCCATTTTTTTTTTTTTTTTTTTTTTGAGACGGAGTCTCACTCTCTCGCCCAGGCTGGAGTGCAGTGGCACGATCTTGGCTCACTGCAAGCTCCGCTTCCCAGGTTCACGCCATTCTCCTGCCTCAGCCTCCCGATTAGCTGGGACTACAGGCACCTGCCACCATGCCCGGCTAATTTTTTGTATTTTTAGTAGACACGGGGTTTCACCGTGTTAGCCAAGATGGTCTTGATCTCCTGACCTCGTGATCCGCCCGCCTCAGCCTCCCAAAGTGCTAGGATTACAGGCGTGAGCCACCGTGCCCAGCCTGGTTTGTGCCTTTCTTAAATCTGCTCTGTAGTATGATTTGGGCCATTGCAAATAATAATAATAATAACAATACCTGCTTGTGGCCATTTGTCTTTTTTTGCGCTATCCTGCATTGGATCGCCCTGCCTGTTTGGGAAGATCCCCATTGTATGAATTTTGGGGGCACCCAGACTGGAGCCTGACAGTCTTTCTCCCTGCACTCAGGCAGCTAGAACATGGCCATGTGATAGATACTGGCAAGTCAGATGATCCTGCCCAGAAATCTGGACCTTCAGGGAGTGACGCAAAGACACAGGGACAGTAAAAGAGAGTATTTACGGTGGCAGTGCAGGCATTGAGTCTGGCAGCAGCGCCGACTGTGTGTGCCGGGGTGGCAGTGCCGGCAGCAGCCGCCTAACCACACCATCCCTGTGGTTTGACCTTGGCTGAGATCCCTCCTACTAAACCTTCCACAGCTTCCAGCATTCCGAAGGATGCTGGAACTACCTAATGTTCTTACAATAAATCCTTTCCTGCTCAAGGTAGCTGGAGTCTATTTCTGTAATTTCTCATCAAGAATCCTGACGAATACAATGATTGTTATAGAAAAATCGGAAAATTCCAAAAAGTAGAAGAAAGAAAAATATTCATTTCTCTACATCCAGGAAAACAAAAAACAAAAAACAAAAAACTATGAACAGTTTCTCCCAGTCTTTTACTATGTACACGTTTCAATATAATTGTAGTTATGTGATTTTATAAAACTTTATATATTTTAACCTGATTGGAAAAGTGCTTTCTGCATTCAAAGTTGACATATATCCATTATAGAAAATTTGAGTCTACAACAAGAACAACCCAGAGATAACTATTATTAATAATCTGGTGTATTTCCTTAAAACTTTTCTCTGCATTTTTATAGAATACACTGATTACTCCGAATTTTTATGCATAGTGAACTGAGACATTTTAACAGTTCCTAGAGAAAAGATGACACAAAGAGATGCTGGGGATGGATAATACCTTCCATTTGCTTCGTGTATTACTCTTTACCAATTAAAAAGCCTTAATAGATTCAGGCCTTTAAAGAGGCAGAAAATCATTATGCAAGTTTCTTGGCAGTGAAAATGCATATTGTGCTACCCCACACAACTCCACTTCTACTGACAAAATACAGAAGACCTTTGGTTCAGCTATTTTCCTGGCACCATGTCCCAAGCTCTTTAAAAGTCTGTCTCTTATTGGCAAGTGCTGGAATACAATAGGAGTCATTATTGTTTTTCGTGTCATCAAACATGGCAAAGATGTCGCATGAATTGCAGGATGAATTATGTAGCTTGGGAAACACTTTTCCAGGAACTGGGAAAGGAGTGGAACAGACACAGCTGACAGGCTGAGTCAGTGCGGTGGCAAAGAGCATGGGTCCTGGGACCAACTGCTGAGATTTCACTCTTGGTTCTTACTCCTCAGGTGACCTTAGCCAAGTTACTTTAAACTCTCTGGGCCTCAGTTTCCTCATCTGTAAAATGAGGAATAATATTTGCTAGTATAGAATGGGCACAGTGGCTCACCCCTGTAATCCTAGCACTTTGGGAGGCCAAGGTGGGTGGATCACCTGAAGTCAGGAGTTCAAGACCAGCCTGACTAATATGGTGAAATCCCGTCTCTACTAAAAATACAAAAAATTAGCCAGGCATGGTGGTGCATGCCTATAATCCCAGCTACTTGGGAGGCTGAGGCAGGAGAATCACTTGAACCTGGGAGGCGGAGGTTGCAGTGAGTGGAGATGGTGCCACTGCACTCCAGCCTGGGTGACATGAGTGAAACTCCTCTGTCTCAAAAAATATATATATATATTTATATATGTGTGTGTGTGTGTGTATATATATACACACATATACATATATGTGTATACGTATATACGTGTATATATACATATATACATATATGTGTATGTGTATATATACATATATACATATATGTGTATGTGTATATATACATATATACATATATGTGTATGTGTATATATACATATATACATATATGTGTATGTGTATATATACATATATACATATATGTGTATGTGTATATATACATATATACATATATGTGTATGTGTATATATACATATATACATATATGTGTATGTGTATATATACATATATACATATATGTGTATGTGTATATATACATATATACATATGTGTATGTGTATATATACATATATACATATATGTGTATGTGTATATATACATATATACGTGTATGTGTATATATACATATATACGTGTATGTGTATGTGTATATATACATATATACGTGTATGTGTATGTGTATATATACATATATACGTGTATGTGTATGTGTATATATACATATATACGTGTATGTGTATGTGTATATATACATATATACGTGTATGTGTATGTGTATATATACATATATATGTGTATGTGTATATGTGTATATATACATATATACATATATGTGTATGTGTATATGTGTATATATACATATATACATATATGTGTATGTGTATACATGTATATACGTGTATATATACATATATACATATACACACACACATTATATATATATATTTATATATATATATATTTATATATATATATTTATATATATAAATATATATATATAAATATATATATATATATGCTAGTATAGCAGTCCCCCTTATCCTCAGGGGTAAGTTGCAAGCTCCCCAGTGGGTGCCTGAAGCCAAGGACAGTACGGAGCCCTATGTCTACTGTGTTTTTCATCTAATTACCAAGAGGGCTACTGAGTGACCAATGGGTGAGTGGTGTATACAGCGAGGGTACACTGGACAAAGGGAGGATTCATGTCATGGGCAGGATGGCGAGAGATTTAATCATGCTACTCTGAATGGTGCAAAATTTAAAATGTATTGTTTACTTCTGGAATTTTCCAATTAACATTTTCAGCCCATAGTTTACCGTGAGTTTCTGAAACCATGGAAAGTGCGACTGCAGATAAGAGAGGACTGCTGTGTTTTCTTCAAAATGGGGGTGGTGATAAGAATAATACCGATTTCGGCAGGGCGCAGTGGCTCACGCCTGTAATCCCAGCATTTTGGGAGGCCGCAGCGGGCGGATCACGAGGTCAGGAAATCGACACCATCCTGGCTAACACGGTGAAACCCTGTCTCTACTAAAAAAAAAAAAAAAAAAATTAGCAGGGCTGGTGGTGACGGGCGCCTGTAGTCCCAGCTACTGGGGAGGCTGAGGGAGGAGAATGGCGTGAACCCGGGAGGCGGAGCTTGCAGTGAGCCGAGATCAGGCCACTGCAGTCCAGCCTGGGCGACAGAGCTAGACTCCGTCTCAAAAAAAAAAAAAAAAAAAAAAAAGAATAATACCGATTTCACAGAGTGCATTTAATCCGAGAGGATTACACGATAAAACAAACACAAAGTACTCAGCTCTACTGCTCAGCAGCACATGACACGGACGGCAGCCAGGTCACTGAGTTTGAGAAGCCTTAGAAGTCCTTTGCGTCACAATTTGCCACTTCCTACTTTTTTTTTTTTTTTTTGAGACGGAGTCTTGCTCTGTCACCCAGGCTGGAGTGCAGTGGCACCATCTTAGCTCACTGCGACCTCTGCCTCCCGGGTTCAAGCGATTCTCCTGCCTCAGCCTCCCAAGTAGCTGGGACTACAGGCGTGGGCCACCATGCCCTGCTAATTTTTTGTATTTTTAGTGGAGACGGGGTTTCACCGTGTTAGCCAGGATGGTCTCGATCTCCTGACCTCGGCCTCCCAAAGTGCTGGGATTACAGGCATGAGCCACCTCGCCCGGCCCCTACTTTTTTTAATTAAAATTCTTACTGAATTAAAACATACACTCAGAAAAGTACACAAACCATAAATGCATGGCTTCACTGTTACAAAGCGAGAGCAGTTGTGAAACCACCACCCAGATGAAGAAATAGAGGGTGGCCAGCACCCCAGAAACCTTCTCTCCTGGGCCCTTGCCGTTGTTACTCCCCAGCAAGAACCACCACTATCCTGATTCCTAACACCAGATCAGTTTTATCTGCTTTTGAACTTTTTATGAATAAAATTTTACATATAAATGAATCACAAAGAGTCATGATCTTCTGTGTTTAGCATCTTTCACTCCACATCATATTTACGGGATTCATGTATGTTGTTGCATGAAGCAGAAGTGTATTCATTTCTTGTGAATATTCATATTCAATTGTATAATTATAGCACAATGAATTTGTTTATTCTATAGTTGAGGGACATTTGGATTATTTGCAATGTTTGTTTGTTTGTTTTTTGAGACAGAGTTTCGCTCTTGTTGCCCAGGCTGGAGTGCAATGGTGCGATCTCAGTTCACCGCCACCTCCATCTCCTGGGTTCAAGTGATCCTCCTGCCTCAGCCTCCTGAGTAGCTGGGATTATAGTCATGTGCCACCACACCCAGCTAATTTTGTATTTTTAGTAGAGACAGGGGTTTCACCATGTTGGCCAGGCTGGTGTCGAACTCCCGACCTCAGGTGATCCACTCCGCCTCGGTCTCCCAAAGTGCTGGGATTACAGGCGTGAGCCACCATGCCCAGCCAATTGTTTGCAGTTTTCAGGCTATTTAGAGTAGCGCTGCTATGAATATTCTTGAGTCCTCCAATCCATGAATGTGATATATCCCTCTCACCCTTTATTTAGGTCTTCTTTAATTTCTGTCAGTGATGTAGTATGTAGTTTTATACATCTTTTATTAGATTTATTTCTAGATATGTCTTGCTTTGATGTTATTGTAAATGGTCTCATTTTTAGAATTTCACTTTCTAATTGTTTGTAGCTATTAGTAGAAATACTACTGTTTTTGGCTGGGCACGGTGGCTCACACCTGTAATCCCAGCATTTTGGGAGGCCGAGGTGGGTGGATCACCTGAGGTCAGGAGTTCAAGATGAGCCTGACCAACATGGTGAAACCCTGTCTCTACTGAAAATACAAAAATTAGCTGGGTGTGGTGGTGGGCGCCTGTAATCCCAACTACTCAGGAGGCTGAGGCAGGAGAATCTCTTGAATCCAGGAGGAGGAGGTTGCAGTGAGCTGAGATTGTGCCATTGCACTCCAGCCTGGGTGACAGAGCAAGACTCCGTCTCAAAAAAAAAAAAAAAAAAAAAAAGATTAAAAAAAAAGAATCTACTGTTTTTTGTATATAGAGAGGGTATCCAGCAACCTTGCTAAATTTTATTGATTTTAAGGGTTTGTATGTAGATTTAAAAAAATTTTTTTTTAGAGATGGAGTCTCACTATGTTGCCCAGGCTGGAGGACACTATTCACAGGCATGATTGTAGTGCACTGCAACCTTGAGCTCCTGGGCTCAAGCAATCCTCCTGCCTCAGCCTCCCAAGCATTGGGACTACAAGCACATGCCACTGTGCCAGGCTTTATCTGTAGATTAAAAAAAAAATCCTATGTACATAATCATGTTGCCTATGCATAATAGCAACTTTATTTCTTTTTTTCCAATACATAAGACGTAAGATTTTTATTTTTTTTCCTGCCCTATTGCACTGGTAAAATCCAAGCACAATGTTGAATGGAAGTAGCGATAGCATGTCTTCTTGATTTATTTCTAATATCAGAAGAAAACATTCAATATTTCACCACTCAATGTGATGTTTGCTATAGGGCTTTTACAATGCCTTTGTAAGATTATTTTTAAGAATTACTTGTTTGCTAAGAAGTTTTTTATTTTTAAACCATGAATGAGTGTTGAATTCTATCAAATACTTTTTCTGCATTCCAGCCTGGGCTACAGAGTGAGACTCGGTCAAAAAAAAAAAAATCCCTCCTTGCAGGGATATAGACACTTTCAACAGCATCTCAGTTGAACTGCCTACTAAAGCAAAAATTCTTCTGTAGAAAGACCACCTGACTTTAATGAATGGCCCTGTAACCTGAGGGGAGAAGGGAGAGAAAAGAAAGGCACTTTGGGATCCCTTAAAAGAGGAGGTGACCAGCCAAGCATGTTGGCTCATGCCTGTAATCCCAACACCTTGAGGCCAAGGTGGGCTGATCACTTGAGGTCAGGAGTTCGAGACCAGCCTGGCCAACATGGTGAAACCCTGTCTCTACTAAAAATACAAAAAAAAAAAAAAAAAATCTCTGGGCGTGGTGATGGGTGCCTGTAATCCTGGCTACTTGGGAGGCTGAGGCAGGAGAATCGCTTGAGGCAGGAGAACCTGGGACACGGAGGTTCCAGTGAGCTGAGATTGTGCCACTGTACTCCAGCCTGGGCAACAGAGCAAGACTCCATCTCGAAAAAGAAAAAGAAATGTGGAAGAAGGAGAAAAGAGTAGATAGGAAGTGTTATTCCAAGAGGGAGGCGCAGGGAGCCCTAATGGCCAAGGTGGGGCACAAATCCACCGAGCACTGGGGATCAAGTAGAGGCAGGGGAGTGAGGGCACTGCCCAGGGGCCAGGGAAGCCTGAAGTTTGGGTTGGAGACAGAGGCAGGGGGTAGAGATCCCTTCCCCACATCACCAATTGCCAGTGATTGTACCAGGGTCTAGGAATCCAGATAGGGCTACTTGAGATGCTGTGTGTCCACCAGAGCCCAGGGAGAGAGCTGAACTGTGCCTCCCCCATGGCCCCGGATGGGCCGAGGGAAAGGGAAGCTGCCTGTCCTGGGCCCACATTCCTGGGTACTGCCCGGATGGAGGCCATGGGTGAGGGAGGACCCTTGGGAGCAGGGAACAGAGGTGGGCCCAGCAGTACTGGGGACAGGGAGAGACGGGGGAGGTGCAAGGGAGGTTTTGACAATGTTTATGTTTTCACAGCTGCCAACTCAGGGTCGGGGAGCAATTGCTGGGTGAGAGAAAAATAAGCTGAGCAACTTGAGCTGGTTGAGAAACTCATTTCTGAACTTCACAGGAAGAGTTGGGGGAAGCTGAGGAGTTGCCTAGGCCAGCAGGCCTTGTAGAAGATAACAGTGATGGGCTTTTATCCCTGCCATGACCAAGCCCTAGGCCAGGCATCTCCTGACTCCTGCAGACACCAGTTGAAGCTTCCTCTACTCAGTTCTTCCCACCAGGAGACAGACCAGAAGCAGCTCTGGATACTGCTGCACTTTTGTCTTACGTGAAGTCTCTGGGGCTCATCTCACCCTTTGGGGGGTCAGCTGGCTTCCAGTGAATTGACCTTTTGGCTCAAGGGTTCCCAGAGAGACAGTCTCCTGCTTTGGGTTCCCACTTTGCTTATGTAGGGTTTATACAATGTAGGATCTTCTCTTTCTCCAGAGTTTCAACCCCAAGGCGGGGTAAGCCCCCTGGCAGCTGCTCTTCACCCTTGTCTGAGCACAGGCCCACACTCCTCTCACTCCTGTATGTCTCTCTGTCATCTCCCAGCTCCTGGAGAGCATCCACTCCCTCCCTCCCACATGTGACTTACAGTAGACTAGACTGCACACCTCCAAGCATTGCCATGGAGAGGAAAAGAAGACTTTTGGAATTTTGGAAATACTGAAATTCCCAACAAAATTTCTCTTCAGCCTATGGTATCTCTATTGTCAGGAGCCCAGGACATAATAATTTCAGTGGAATTTAAAATGCATCATTTCAGAGCCAGGCATGGTGGCTCACACCTCTAATTCCCAGCACTTTGGGAGGCCCAGGTGAAAGGATTGCTTGAGGGCAGAAGTTCAAGACCGTACCCTAGCTCTACAAAACAAAAATACATCATTTCATGATATGGAAAGGTCTCTAGAATTGCTAAGTGAAAAAAGGCAAGGCACAATGGATGCTTCTTTTTCAAGGAACACAAATAAATGCTCCCTTTGGGCAAGGAGGGTAGAGTAAGAAAATATATTGGGGCCGGGCATGGTGGCTCACATCTATAATCCCACCACTTTGGGAGGCTGAGGCAGGAGGATCACTTGAGGTTAGGAATTCAAGACCAGTCTGGCCAACATGGTGAAACCCCGTCTCTACTAAAAATACAAAAATTAGCCAAGCGTGGTTTTAGCTGGGCGTGGTTGCATCTCCCTGTAATCCCAGCTACTCGGGAGGCTGAAGCAGGAGAATCACTTGAACCCGGGAGGTGGAGGTTGCAGTGAGCTGAGATCGTGCCACTGCACTCCAGCCTGGGTGACAGAACAAGACTCTGTCTCAAAAAAAAAAAAAAAAGAGAGAGAGAGAGAAAATATATTGGTATTTGCTTATATCTGCATCAAGAAATGCTGGAAAAGACTGACCAGAAGTGAATAAAAGTGGTTACCCATGGGGGACTAAAGAATAGGATGTCTGGGAACTGGAGTGGGAATGAGACTTCCTAAGGTATTCCTTTTCATTTGGCTTTGATTTGTGAACCATATAAATATTAGCCATCATTTTAAAATAAAAATAAATTAATTCTATAATGTCTAAATTGAAGGGCACAAAAACCCTCTCATGGGACTCCGTGGGGGAGTGTGTTAACGCACAGACACAGGGACTGCTAAGGCTCATGGGATTGGGAACCTTACAGGGCGGCGGCTGTCTCTGGGGGCCTCCTCGCTCCGGTTGGTCGGTCGGTCGGTGCCTCTGCGCCTCTGCCAGCGGGCTCTGCATTTGCATCCGTCCCGGCTTCTCTCCGATCACTCAGGCTTGCCACCTACCCAGTCGGCTTTGCTCAGACTGGATTGGCTCTCCCGGATCAGGTGTGACCCAATCAGCTGTGGCCATGGGGACGTGGTTACTCTGGGCTCTCAGGGCTGCTTGGCACCCGTCTCCCTCTTCCTGGGTTGTGGGTGGAGACAGTTTCAGAGTAGAGGAGTCTACTCTGGAAGTAGAGGAGTCTACTCAGGAAGACAATCATAGGATTGCTTGGTCCAGGCTGTTGCTGGATGGGTCACTCAAAGGTCGGGGTAAAAGTCCAGCCTGCAATGGGGACCCCTAGACACGAGGGAGCAGATGGAAGGTTCTCGGGTGCCTGAAGGAGAGAGGCAAACCAGACGGCTGAGTAAGGCATCCGTCCCAACTTGCTGTATGACCTGGCTTCTCCTCTTGGCCTCGGTTTCTCATTTGTGGAAAGGGGATTGGGCTGGATGATACTCCGAGGTCCCGTCCATCTCTAAAGCGGGAGAAGCAAAGTTCAGCAAAAAAGCATTGAATTAGGAGTCCGGAGACCTGACTTCAGGTGCCTCTTCCTCGACTCCTAATCAGACCACGTGACCTCCATGAGCCTCTGTTTCCTCCACCAGAGCATGGGGATAACACTCCCTGCACACTGCCATGAGAGTTAAATAAACTCCTGTGCACCAAACGTCCTGTCGACTGTCCTGTGGGTGCAGATGGGTGAACACAAAGGCCATCACCTCTATGAAATGGGGATGTGACTCCTTCCCTGCCCCCTGTCAGGATGACTATGGGCTCAGATGAGGCAGTAGGACCCTGGTGGAGGGATTGAGCGCCGGACTGGGACACCAGAGAGCTGGGCTCTGTCATTTGCCAACTGTGTGACCCTGGCCTAGGGTTCTTCCTCTCTGGGCCTGCACTTTTTCTCCGTGAAGTGGGAATGACAAGGCCTGCCTGACAGGGTTGTAGCAAGAAAATAAGAAGGTGAGTGTGAGGGTTGTTGTGTGAACTGTGGAGAGTTTGTGGTGACAGGAATGATGAATGCGACTGTTCCCTGGTTCCCCAGTTCCCACTCTGGCAGCCCAAGCCAAAGGAGGATAAAGTGTGATGTTAATTAAGCTCAATGACATCCCCCTCCAAAGCCCTGGGAGGGGTACTAGCAATGTATTTACATGGTCCTAACGTTTCTGTAAAACCTATAGGAGTAAAACGTTTTGACTACAATCATTGAAGATCACGGTCTCTTCCACTCCAACTTCTGTGTCATATTTCCACACATGTTGGATGGTTTGGAATGGCCATGGCATTTTGGGGATCTGGCTAAAGGGAAGTTGAGTTAAAGACATATTTGTTTGGCTTAGTGGGATCTATTTACGTGGCTTACAGTGTAAAGTTATTACTAGCCATTCTGGTTTAGGAATGGTTTCCAGGAATACTCCTCCTGTCCACCAATACTCACCATGCTGACTCACCCGTCATTGTGACATGATGGTGCAGGGCCAGATGCCACATTGAAATATGAATGTCAGCTCCCACCACTGGCAGTTTGTGGAAGAGAAACAAAGTTTGAAATGTACAAATCCAGAAGTTAGTCTGTAGAAAATTCTTACACTATCAGAACATGGGACTCATTTCTCATGCCCAGTCAAAATGAAAGTTCTCTCTTGTCAAGAATATATGCAATAATGTAGCATACACCATGACACATGTGCCACACATTAGTTTCTCTTTAATGAGATTCATGCAAAATAAAATTGATCAGAATTCCATTGTTAGGCCAGGCACAGTGGCTCATGCCTGTAATCCCAGCACTTTGGGAGGCCAAGGTGGGAGGATCACTTGAGCCCAGGAGTTTGAGACCAGCTTGGGCAACATGGTGAAACCCTCTCTCTACAAAAAATACAAAAATTAGCCAGGTGTGGTGGTGCATGCCTGTGGTCCCAGCTATGTGGGAAGCTGAGGTAGGAGGATCGCTTGAGCCTGACCGTCAAGGCTGTGGTGAGCCATGATAGCACCACTGCACTCCAGTCTGGACAACAGAGAGAGTGCCTGTCTCAAAAAAAAAAAAAAAAGAAAAGAAGAAAAAAAAAATCACTGCTTATAGTGAGTGCTTGAGTGTTACAGCAGTTCTACAAGCAACAAGTACTTTTGTGTGTGAAGATAGATGTTTTATGCACTCCAGTATATGGAATCACATCTTGGTGCAACTGATGGATCTTGTCCTGATAAGGTCTGGCAGTTCCGGATGAAATGGCACATGAAATTGCCACCAACACAGCAAGACAGCCTGAAGAAACAAGTGTTCCTGTGACAAAACTCCTACATGTGCTCATCAATAAGTACAGTGTATGTGACATAAGAGTAATTTTATTACACAATTATGTAGCTCAAAGCAATGTAGTAGCAATTTAAGAATGCATCTGAATTGCTCTCCTTAACGAGCACCATCAATTCAGAGTATTTAAGATTGGTCCGCAACACAAGAAAACTTGAAAACCCTGAAATCTTACAGCTCATTTATAAAAGAAATTTGATAAAGGTTTCCCTCAACTTGACAACAATCCTAAAAATGTACACGACTTTACCAGTAAGTCATGAAGCCAAAATAGATTTTTGTAAACTATCACTAATAAAATAACAAATTAGTCAACCATACCACGGCAAGCAGTGAATTATCTTTCCATTCTCTTAATAGAAAATGGCAGCACGAAAGTACTGTCATATGAAAAAGCAGCCAAAAGATATGTAGCAAAAATGAAGGGAAAAAAGATATTATAAATGTTTATTAAGCACTGAATAAAAAATATACTGCTATTGGGGGGATTTTATAATATTTGTAGTGTCAACTTTTCTGATTTGTAGGTTGTTTTATTTTCTCATTTCAAGTAACTATTCATGTCTGTACCTAATAGTGTCTTTTTTTATTATTTTTTTTATTTTTTTAGACAGGATCTCACTCTGTCGCCCAGGCTGGAGTGCAGTGATGTGATCTCAGCTCACTGCAACCTCGGTCTCCCAGGGTTCAAGCACGATTCTTGTGCCTCAGGCTCCCAAGTAGCTGGGATTACAGGCATGCACCACCACGCCCAGCTAATTTTTGTATTTTTAGTAGTGACAGGGTTTCACCATGTTGACCAGGTTGGTCTCAAACTCCTGGCCTCAAATGATCCACCTGCCCGACCTCCCAAAGTGCTGGGATTAGAGGCGTTTGAGCCACCGTGCCCAGCTGTTAATTTTGTCTTTATGATTTTTATTATTTTCCTTAAGGAAGGCCTCCAAATTGTACAAAGTTAGGGACCACAAAACTTGCATCTGCTGTGGCCTGAGGGGCTGCAGTGATTCACACTCCACAAGAGACCCTTCCAATACCCCAGGCCCTCCTGCTCTCTCCTTTGGCTCCAGTGGGTGAGACACCCCCATCTCTTACCAGAGTGCACTGCAGCTGGCACTGCCATGGATCTGAGCCATGCCCAGCCCCAGGCCCCTGCACAGGGGACAGCAGCAGGCACCTCCCCGGAGGAATGAGCCTGGCCTTGGGAGGTCCCACCCTCCTGCACACTTCTGCAACCAGGCTTCCTAACACTGGCCTCGCTGCTCTCACACCTTCTCTGGCTGCTCAGCTCCTCCAAGACAAAACAGTTGGGCATTTAAGGCCTTTCTGGGTCTGGTTTTATTTTACATTGAAAATAGTTTTTTTTGTTTTTTTTGGTTTTGTTTTTTGGAGACACAGTTTTGCTCTTGTTGCCTAGGCTGGAGTGCAATGGTGTGACCTCAGCTCACTGCAACCTCTGCCTCCCGAGTTCCAGCGATTCTCCTGCCTCAGCCTTTCGAGTAGCTGGGATTACAGGTGCATGCCACCATGCCCGGCTAATTTTTGTATTTTTAGTAGAGATGGGGTTTCTTCATGTTGGCCAGGCTGGTCTCAAACTCCTGACCTCAGGTGATCCACCCGGCTCAGCCTCCCAGAATGCTGGGATTACAGGTGTGAGCTACCGTGCCTGGCCCAAAATAGGTTTTAAAAATTAGATTTTCTTTCAGAATAAATCTGATAAACAAGAAAGCAATCTTGTATCTGGCCACCACAGTAAATTCTTGACTTTTAAAAATATTGACACATAGTAATTGTACATATTTGTGGGGTACAGTGTGATGTTTCCATACACGCACACATTGTGTGATGACCAAATCAGGGTAGTTAGCATATCCATCACCTCCAACATTTATTATTATTTTTTTGCACCACAGTAAATTCCTTAATGATTTCTATTTTTTTTTTCCTGTTGATTGGGAAGACAAACATGTTATCTGCAAATAGCCATGTGGTCTATTCTTTACCAACATTTAGACTTCTGGATCAGTCAGAGGTTTGGTTCGCAAACAGCAGAAATCAACTCTACTTAAACTAACATGGGAAGGCTACTGGGAGAATCAAACTCTCGGCAGGCAAAATAACCAAGGTTTTATTACAGTTCTGCCTTCTTTCTGTGACTTAGCACTCCTCCCTCAGAAGGTGCAGCCTAACATCTGAAAATATCTTCACTTCTTTTCTCAGTTACTGATATAGCTTGCATTGCATGTTCCCTCCAAATCTCATGTCGAATGTAATTCCCAGTGCTGGAGGTGGGGCCTGGTGGGAGGTGTTTGGATCAGGGGGCAGATCCCCCATGGCTTGGTGCTGTCCTCGAGACAGTGAGTTCTTGGGAGATCTGGTTGTTGGTTCTTGCCATGTGAGATGCTTGTTCCCCCTTTGCTTCCACCATGAGCAAAAGCTCCCTGAGGCCTCCCCAGAAGCAGACGTCAGTGTTATGCTTCTTGTACAGCTTGCAGAACCACGAGCCAATTAAACCTCTTTTCTTTATAAATTTCCCACTCTCAGGTATTTCTTTGTAGCAGTGCAAGAACAGCCTAATAATGGTTATTCTGTACAACTCCAAGTCCAGTAGTTCTGGGTGAGATCCATTCCTTCTCTAATTCTGTCCCACTCCTGTCTCAATATTCTGCAACAATGTATACAATAGTGGATTAAAGGGAAAGACAAAATACATTTATTAAAATATATAAATATACCCATGGCACAGCAAGGAAGAACATACAGGCTCTGTATGGTTGTGGTTAGGATGTGTGACCTCCCTCCTCATTTATTCCATGTTTCCTGTGTCCTCCACCCACACCTTGGGTGGCAGGCATTCTTTACTGGTAGGGTGACCTAGACCATTATTCCCAAGGGGGCTAAGCCCTGGTGCCCTTGCCTAAATAGGTTTGTTGTACCTTCTTCCATGTTGACCACTGTATGAGGATGAGCATTGTAGGAGGATGAGCAGACAGGACAGAGGGATCCTGGAGGTCAACCTCACTTCTTCATGCCCCCATCGCAGTGACCTCCCCATTACCTTTGATAGTCTAAATCAATGCTGTCCAATAGAACTTTCTGCAGGGATGGAAATGTTCCATAGCTGCTCTGGCTAATATGGTAGCCAGGAGCCACATGCGGATACAGATCACTTGAAAGGTGTCTAGTGTGTCTAAGGAACTGAACTTCTGATTTTGTTTAATTCAAGATAATTTAAATATAATAGCCACGTGTGGCTAGTGGCCACAGTATTGGGCAGCACGGGTCTAAATCAGTCATTGAAGCCAAAGCCTTGACCTCTCTTTGGGCCTGTTTGTCCAGTACCATGGAGAGCCCGTAGTGGTGGGCTGTCAGTATTAACTTCCTGTTTAGGCAGCCATTGTGTTTTACTCACATTGAAGCTTTACTCCTTTGGATATCAAAACCTGTAAACCAACAAGCGCAGAGCTGTGGGAACAAGAAGCGCATTTATTGAAAAGGTGTTATTAGTGAAGGGCACCATTCCCACATCCATGCTTTGGTGCCAAGATTGCTGTGATCAGTATAAATTGGTTGCTGGTTGTGCTCACATACCAAACGCTGGTGGACAGTGTCCCAAATTCACAAAATGTTGTCTACCAGGGTGCTGGGACTGATCCTTTTTTTTTTTTTTTTTTGAGACAGAGTCTCGCTCCGTCGCCCAGGCTGGAGTGCAGTGGTGCGATCTCAGCTCACTGCAACCTCTGCCTGCTGGGTTCAAGTGATTCTCCTGCCTCAGCCTCCCGAGTGGCTGGGTGTACAGGCATACACCACCATGCCTGGCTAATTGTTTGTATTTTTAGTAGAGATGGGGTTTCGCCACGTTGCCCAGATTGGTCTCAAACTCCTGAGCTCAGGCGATCTGCCCACCTCGGCCTCCCAAAGTGTTATCATTACAGGTGTGAGCCACCGCACCTGGCTGGGACTGATCCTTTAACAGCCCATTCTACTCTTCTATAGGGCCAGCTGCTCCTACATGTATGAAAAGACCAGTGAATCCCATGACTATCAACCCACTGCTCCATTTCTTTGACTGTACACCTGATCCTAGGGCAGAAACAGTGTTGTATGGGTTGCTATGATGGAGTGGAGGACATTATTCAGGCCACTGATGGTGGTGTTGATGGAAACACAGTAAAGACAGGATGCATATTCAACTCCAATATAAGTAGTTATTCCAGTGACGTCAAGTTCCTGCCCCTCCACGATGGAAGGAGCCCCAGTAAAACTAACTTTCCATCAAGTAGCTAACTGGTCCTCCTCACTGTGGTATAATATCAGATTTGCAGAACTGGTTTCTACTGCTGAAAGTTAGACCCTCATCGGTGCCAGTGGCTGCTTCACCTTTGGAGAGGCCATTAGGTCCTCACTTGGATAGGTGGCTGCTGCATCCAAAACTACTTTATTCCTGAGTGGGTACAAGGGTGACCGAGGAAAGAGACTTATAGACATTTACTCATCCACTGGGTGGGTCTTCTTGTCCACCTGATTATTGAGAACTTGCTCCACAGTGAGGACATTTTGGAGAGAATCCACATGGCACACAAATACTCATTGCCTCTGGGTCAGTTCTGAGCGATCCATGCACATTCTCTTCCCCAAACCATCCTGTCTCCAATCTCGCATCTTGTTCTGGAGTCCTTGTTTGTCCAGCAAAACCATGACCTACTGCCCATGAGCCAGTGTAGATCTATATCTCAGGCCATCTGGCCTTTGGGGAAAGTGTTCAAGATGTAACGCTCTAAATTCCACTCCTGAGAGGATTTGTTCTCCACACTGTCTTTTGGGGCCACTCCTGAGTGGGAGAGTAACACTGCAGCTGTGCACTTTTACTGAACCAGTTGGGGTAAACTCTACTCAATTATTATCTTCCTCTGTCAACTGGCCACAAGGAACACCCCTGAAGCCATAGATGTGGAGCATAGTTTGAGTGACAGGAGGACAGGACCACAGGAGGTGAATTATCCCCACAGCTGTGTTTGGGTGACAGGCCACCCATGTGTCCAAGTGAACACTGCTTGGCGCTTCCAGCTGCAACAACGGCAGTGTGTGCTCCAGCCTTCCTGCTTGGAACTGTAATTCCTTTGTGTGTTTTGTGTATCAGATTTTGGTATGCAGACTTGCAAAAGAGTGTATTTCCATCTTTATGTTCTATATAGTTTAATAAGATTATCAGTGTGTTGAAAGTTTGTCAGATTTTGCCTTCAGTCATCTAGGTATTTATGTGTTTTGGTTGGTAGACCCTGAACGATCTTTTCAATTTCTTCTCTAGTAACAGGGCCACTCAGGTTTTGTTGTTGTTATTGTTGCTGTTTTTTGAGACGGAGTCTTCTTCTGTCGCCCAGGCTGGAGTGTAGTGGCACAGTCTAGGTTCACTGCAATGTCTGCCTCCCGTGTTCAAGTAATTCTCCTGCCTCAGCCTTTCAAGTAGCTGGGATTACAGGAGCACACCATCACATCCGGCTAATTTTTGTATTTTTAGTAGAGACGGGGTTTCATCATGTTGGCCAGGCTGGTTGCGAACTCCTGACCTCAGGTCATCCACCCATCTTGGCCTCCCAAAGTGTTGGGATTACAGGAGTGAGACACCACACCCTTCCACCACTCAGGCTTTTTATCTCTTATTGAGCCTATTTGGTAATTTACATATTTCTAGAAATATATCCATTTTTATCCATAATATCTGCTTTATCTAAGTTTTCAAATTTTAGCATCATGTTACACATATTATTTGCTTATAATCTATACAATTGCCTCTGTATTTGCAGTTGTGTAATCCCTCTTGCCTTTACTAATGATAAATATTTGTGTTTTCTCTTTTTTCTTAGATGCAATAGAGTCTAATCAAAGCTTAATTTTATCAGTTCTACTTTATTTTTCTAAATCATTAATTTATATATTTTCGTTTTTTGTTTTGTTTTGTTTTGAGACAGAGTCTCGCTCTGTCACCCAGGCTGGAGTGCAGTGGCGCGATCTGGGCTCACTGCAACCTCCACCTCCCGGGTTCAAGCAATTCTCTTGTCTCAGCCTCCCAAGAAGCTGGGACTACAGGTGCACGCCGCCACGCCCAGCTAATTTTTGTATTTTTAGTAGAGATGGGGTTTCACCATCTTGGCCAGGCTGGTCTTGAACTCCTGATCTCGTGATCCACCTGCCTCAGCCTCCCAAAGTGCTGGGATTACAGGCATGAGCCACCGCGCCAGGCCTAATTTATATATTTTCTTTTGTAATTTCCTTTGCTTTTCTGAGAGTATTTTATTGTACCTTTCCAGCTTCTTGAATTGAATGTTCAGGGCATTCCACCCTCCCCCGCCCCCTAATTCTTACCATTATCAATTTGAATGTAAGCTCTACAAAAAGAATCTCTCTTTCTGTTCAATCCCCAACACCTAGAGCAGTGCTGGCCTATAATAGGCACTCAGAAAATATTTGTGGAATGAATGAGTTATTGACTTTACACATAAGAGTTTAAGACTATGACCACTGCTCTGAGAAAATCTTTAGTCTTATTATCTAGGTTTTAATATTTCAGTTACTAACAATGATATTCTCATTGTTAATAATAATTTCTGACAATTTGTGATTTTTTTTTTTTTTTTTTTTTTTTTTTTTAGAAATGGGGCGTCACCATGTTGCCCAGGCTGGTCTCAAACTCCTAGCCTCAAGTGATCCTCCAGCCTTGGCCTCCTGAAGTGCTGGGATTACAAGTGTGAGCCACCATGCCTGGCCTCAATTTTTATCTTTTAATTTAACTTGAGCTGTGGAGAAATGTTTGAAAATTTATAAGTGGTTAGACCTGGGGTGAAGGTATTATCTGTTTGTTGTTAATTTCTAGATGGATTACATTGTGATCAGGAAATGTGGTTCATATGATTTCTACTTTTTGGTTACTGAGTTTTTTGTGGACTGGTATGTGGTCAGTTTTTGTCATTGTTCCATGAGAATTTGAAAAGAAAACAGGTAGTCTGTTTTGAGAGTACACACAAAGCTTATTTAATTTGATATTCAAACCTTCTCTTTTCTTTACTCAATTTGAGTCTGAGAAAGTTATGATAAATCCTCCCACTGAGACGATTGCTGGGTAAAAGACCTCTTCATTTCACATCTTCTTGGCACACTGTACTTTTATTTGAAAAAAAAAAAAGTTCTTTATCTTGTTTAATGCATCTTGCCTTGAATTCTACTTTGTCTGATATAAACATATCCTACCTTGCTTTCTTTATGTCAGCATTTGCCTGAGATATCTTAGCCAGGCCTTCCGTGTGACTCTTGTTGTTTTGAGTGAGTATTTTATAACTGGTGTGTAGTTGGAGTTGTGTAAGTCTGTGTATGAGTGCATACAAGAATATGTGGGTGTCTGCCCAGTATTAGGATCTTTCTCATTAAATAGAGGTACTTAGCTAAGTCACAGCTATCCTGCAACAAGGACATGTTTGACCTTCCTGCCATTTTATACATTGTTATCATTCATTTTTGACTGGCTTTTTCTAGTCTTTTTGGACTAGTTTTCTATAGGAAGATTGTATGGAGGGCCAGGTGTGATGGCTCACACCTATAATCCCAGCACTTTGGGAGGCCGAGGTGGGAGGATCACTGGAGCCCAAGAGTTTGAGACCAGCCTGGCCAACATGGCGAAACCCCATCTCTACCAAAAACCCAAAAATTAGCTGGGCGCATGCGCCTGTAATCCCAGCTACTTGGGAGGCTGAGGCAAAAGAATTTCTTGAACTCTGGAGGTGGAGGCTGCGGTAAGCCAAGATTGTGCCACTGCACTCCAGCCTGGGGCACAGAGTGAGGCTCCATCTCAAAAAAAAAAAAAAAAAAGAAAAGAAAATGAAAGATTGTATGGAGGAGGAGCCAGAGACCAAAGCAGTGAGTTGAGCTAGCGTGCAGCTTACATTTGAGCTTTGTCTTGTGATAGTTTCTGTGGTAGACTGAATAATGGCCCCAAAGATATCAAGTCCTAATCCCTGGAACCTGTGAATGTTACCTTAAATGGCAAAGATTTTTGCATATGTGGTTAAATTGAGGATCTTGACATGGAGAAATTATTCTGGATTATCTGGCTGAGCCCTAAATGCGATCATGAGTGTTTTAATGAGAAAGAGGCAGGAGCAGATTTGACATACACACAGGAGAGAGGAGGGCAATATGACCACTGAGGCAGAGATTGGAGTGGTGCAGACACAGGCTAAGGAGTGCTGGCGGCCCCCGGAAACTGCAAGAGGGAAGGAACGGATTCTCCCCTAAGCCTCCGGAGGGCGCCCCACTGCCAACACCTTGATTTTGACCCAGTAACACAGATTTGGGACTTCTGCTCTCTAGAACTGTGAGAGAATAAATCACTGGTGTTTGTGGTAATTTGTTTCAGCAGTCATAGGAACTAATACACTTTCTAATCCACAATTTCCCCAGGGTGTGACTTCACCCCAGACTAGCAGAGAACCCACGGTCAAGCCCCCACAGTGTCCCAGGTTTGTGTGTGGTGGTTCGGCCTTTGTTTCTCTTCAGCCAGCAAGACCAGCAGTGGCAGGGCTGCCAGTCACCCACCAGATGGTCATCCAGCTTCCTGCAAGGATGGCAACTTCTGCCTTCCCGTTTTCAGCGCTCCCTCCACAGCCATGCCACACGGCCAAGCAGCATTCAGGAAAGTTCAGAAGCCCATCCAAATACTCTGACCTTTGCTGTTCCAACAGAGGGGTCTTCGGTTTTATCCTTCCTGGTCTCTAGGGGTATATGGTCTCTCAGAATCCTCTCCAGATACTATACTATCTGGAGAGACCAGGATAGTAACCAATTGTTATAGTATTCATACATTATGTTTTGGTGTTATGAGTGTCCAAGTTTTGTGCAAAAGAGCATTTCTCTCCTATTTCTCATTCTTCTTAAGGTTTTACTTGGTTTCAGAGAGGAGAAAGGGGTGGAGACGCCTTTACTCCACTGTCTTTAACTGCAAGTGTCACTAGTTTGGGGCAGAGCTTATTGCGTAGTTCATTAATTCTCAAGTTTTTCATTTTGGCAGCCATGTTGGTCGTTTCCAAATTCTCTTTCTCTTTCATTGCAGCCTGCTCCATCTAGTTTTATCTATGTGACATCCTCTTGAACCTCACAGTTAGTCTGATTGATTGTACTCATTCCTTTTCATGGGAGGCCATTTATTCAGCTTTTTCAGCCTTGCCCTCTCTTTTGAGCCTCTCCTTCTCATTGATCTGGTGATTTATTGTTATAGCTAATATTTTTGTTTCTCCTACTTATAAATAAAGATCTAGATTTCACTCTCCAAAATAAATTTTACAGAACACTTGTTCCATTATATGTTAAAAGGGATTATTTTATTAAAGTACAGCTGGGCGTGGTGGTGTGCACCTGTAGTCCCAGCAACTCTGGAGGCACAGTGTCATGAGCCCGAGTTTGAGGCCAGCCTGGGTGACATAGTGAGGCTCCGTCTCTAAATAAATAAGGAAATACTAAATAAAAAATTTTAGAAGTTCAATGGCTCAATTAGTGTGGGAAATGTTAAGTTAAACCAATTTTTTATAAAAGTTCCTAAAGAAGCAATATGAAATAATGATGAGGATGTGGAGCAACAGTAACTCCCATACATTGTTTTGGAAAATAGTTTGGCAGTGTGCACACACTTGCAAATTCCATTTCTAGGTACACCTGCCTAGGAAAAATATGAAACATCTGTTTACAACAAGACTAGCACACAGTGTTCATGGCAGCTTTGCTCACAGTAAAAACTGGAAAAAAACTAAATATTTACCAGCAGGAAAATAGATACACAAATTGCAATAAGTATATTCTTACAAGAAAATATGGTCAACAATGAAAAGTGATGAATTACTGACACATAGCAACATGGATGCATTGCACAGATATTATGGTGAGTGAAAGAAGCCAGACCGGAAGGGGTGCATGTTTTGTGAGAATCCATTTCTGCGAAGCTTCAGAACAGGCAACATGAATCTATCATTATAGAAGTCATAACGTGGTTGCCTGTGGGGTGGACCTGGGGAATTTCTGGAGTGATGAAATGTTCTACATATTGATGTGGGTGTGGGTTATATGGGTGTAATCTGTTGTCAAAATTCATTCTACTGAATGCTTAAGATCTGTAACTGCATGGAATGTAAATTATACAATAAAAGATGCTGCAAGACTTCTCAGAGCCCTTAACAAGCTAAGACAGATTATGAATGTCAAGAAGGGGGCTGCAGCACGCAGGTTTTCCTGATGTAATTGGACCCTTCTTGAAGGGGTGTGGGCAGGAAGTGTTCGTTTTCCAAGTGCATGAACTGGGGGCGAATGGCCGGGGTGAGGACAGGAGCCCTAGGATTCCTTTTGCCTCAAGTCTGAGGTGTCAGGGAGTGCGGTTGGCACTGAGGCTGGGGCTGAGGGGTGGGTTGAGGGAGTGGCAGGTCTCCATGCATTTCTTCAGCTGAGTCCAGGCCATGCCATCTGCTTCCCTCCACCCACCACTGCTATTGGGACCTCAGGGTGTCTTCGTAGGGTCCAGGCTGTGACAGCCGTAGCAGCAGGCTATGGTAAAAGCTGCCACTACTGGGCCAAGACCCTCTCCTGCCTTCCCTCTATGGGGATTGTGGAGTCCTATACCTTTGTTCCACGCAGGCTGCCCAAACCCCTTTCGGACTCAGCACGCAGTTCTAACCCAGTAAAGCCTGGGACAAAGGCCGGGATGGAGACAGCTCCTGAGGCCTCCTGCAACCCCTTTGCTCAGCTCTGCTGCCCAGAGTTGGGGAGCTCCCTGGGCTCTAGTAGGGAAAGCAGCCCCCCGACTTGTCTAGCTGTGCAGCATCAATGGGCCTCTCGTTTTGCTTGTTCTCATCTGCTTCTAGGAATCCCTCAAAATGACTGCTTTAGCAATGATACCCTTTTCTGTTTTCCAACACTGCTAAATAGATGTTCTTATTTTTCTCTTTTGTCTGTCAATGCAATTGGGGCACAGCAGGCAATTTATGAATGAATCAGAATGATTGTGTATGGATGAGAGGATGTGAGTGTGCGGGGTATGAGCATTTGTGAATGCCTGTGCAGCCTGAGTCCAGGAAAGGGGAAGCGGCTTTGGGGAGCTTCGGAGGGGCGGGTGGGCAGCCAGGCAGGCGGTTGACAGTCTGCCCCATGAAAGGTCCTTGCTGCACGCAGGAATGACATTGCTGTGTAGTGGGGCTGACAGATGCTCCAAGGGAGATTAGGAAATAAGTCTGCATCTCCCCTGGGCCCTGATACCATCAGCGGTTAAGAGGCATGTCTGATTTCATTACAAATCTCCCATTCCTGGGGCTTAGAGCTCAGCCTCCAGGCTCACAGGTGTGGGAGGAGAGTGGGCCACAGCAAGGGCATTTTGCTTTTAATTGTGGCCATTAATCTGGCCCCAACAGCTGGTCTATCCTGCAGGAGAGGGAAGGGGAAGGGTGACAGGAAACTTGTCAATTGGGAACCAGTTAACCCCACTGCTGCTTTGCCCTCTAGCAGGCTGGGAGAAGAGGGAAAAGCTTCTTAATTCTGCTTTTCAGGGCCTACTTTCCTGGCCTCCTTGAGAAGGATCTCGGTTTGCTTCCTCCATGTTTTTTTTTTGTGGGAGTCTCCTGGAGCCAGTAGATGACAAGCTCCCAAGCCATGTTCCATTTATTTTCCCAGAGACAGGGCCACTGTGGTGTGTAGTGACAGCTTGCCTAGTGCCAGCCCCTGCCCCAAAGTCAGGGCATGTTCCAGTGGGAAGGGTGGGGTGAGAATGTCCCAGGGGCTGGATAAGCATCTGGAACAGCCTGATGAAGGATAGGACAGAGTGGGCAGAGGTCCCAGAGCCACACAAGGCAGAGCTAGAGAGAAGGCCAGCTGTGGCCACAAAATGGGAGAGGGACCATATGTGTCGGGGGGGGGGGTGGGGGGGGTGTGTGTGTGCGCGCACACACACGCACATGCGGTGGGGAGGGTGAATTTCTTCCCTTCTCTAGCCATCCACAGTCTTCAGCTGGAGCTACCCAGGGGTGGGCTCTGGTGGGCTCTGGCAGGCTCTGGGCGAGTCAGAGGCATAAGCCTGCCCTGGGAGCTCTCCAGCATCAGAAAAGTGCCCAGTGGCACAGAAGGGCAGAGTGGGGCCAGATACTCATAGGAAGCACCCAAAGGGCAGGGGGTAGGGAGAAGTCTGATGGGGTTGGGGAGGAGGTGGGCTAGACTGAGGCCTTGAAGGGTGAATATAGTCCTGCCAGAGATAGTGGGGGCATGTGGACGGGAAAGAATGTGCCTCTGGGGTTCCTAGCAAACTAGGGATTTGCAGAGAAAGGGTTCCTATTGAAGAAAGAAGCTCTATAAGCAGTGAGCTTGCTTCTTGGGTGGCAGAGCCTGGGAGCCAATTTCTAGGGTTAGTGGCTGCCCCTGTGAAGACACTTTTCTGTGTCCTGTGTCCTCGAGAGAACCAGGAGCAAGGCCCAGGCAGCCTTAATCACAGCAGCCATCAACTACCATGTGCCCGAAGTCCTACACATGTGGCTTTCCGGATACTCCATGGCAGCCCTGGCAGGGGTGATGCAGACCTGGTCAGTTCCTGAGGCCTGGAGAGGGAAAGGACTTGCCCAGGATCACACAGGGAGGCAGCGGGTTTGAACCAGGCCCTTCTTGCTATACTGTGGGATCTGCAAAAAAGCAGCCCAGCCTGGACTCCTCGCCTACTCCCACTGGAGAGCAGGGGCCCTGGGCATGGATGAGAAAGGGACAAGCTGCCAAGGTCCAAGGCCCCCATGCTTCTGGGGAATGATGTTTGGTGCTGGAAGGCCTTTTGATTTTTCAAAGGAAAACCTAGACTCTTGTTGCCTGTTACAATGGATAATTTGGGGTAAAGAGTCAAGCAAGCCCTATTTGAATGTGGAGCACACATCAACTTGGGGTAGATCAGAGAGGCCCTAGCTAGCCTGGGAGAGCGACCGCGCTGCTACTTCCTTGGCGTGGTGACCTTGGGTGGGTCATTGTCCATCTCCATGCTCAGGTTTCCTCCCTGGTGACATGGAGTAGGAAAAGAAGCCCCCTTGCAGGATTGTCCTGAAGATAAAGTTCATCATGCATCACATGTAATGGTATCTGGCCTAAGGAAGTGGCTCAGTGTGAGCTGTCACTGCTACTGCAAGTCTTGTCACCTTGCAGCACCATTCAGGCGAACACAAGCCATTTAGTTGCCAAAGAACTTGTCTGAGAGGGCATCACCCTTCCTTTATCCTCACCTGCTCTCTCTTGGGGCCTCCTTGGGAGGCCTGACCCTCTGGGAAGCTGGGAACTGTTGACTCTACCTCCTAAATATTTCTAGAATCGGCCCCTGCTCTTCCATCTCCATGGCAGTGAGCTGGGCTAGGGGCGCCCAGCCTGTCTCCCCTGGTTCTTTCTACCCCTCATTTCTCACTGTGGTCTCTCCTCCACTTCTACAGCCTGAGACATTGTTCCTACAGTGCAAATCTGAGCATGTCCTGCCTCTGCTGAGGGCTTCCTGTGGCTCTTACATGTTTGCCAGCATGTGCCAGAATGAACTTGGCTTTGCATATACTGTTGCCTCTGTCTGGAATAACGTTCTCCACACTTTGTCCTCCTGGGGAACTCCTATTCATCCTTCAAAACCCAGTGCAGACTCATCCCCTCTCAGAAGGCTTCCCAGACTGCCCTTCCTATCCACAAGTCAAGGTAACATGCCTGGCCCCTCACACTGTCTTCTATGTTGTATGGATCCCTCTGGTTGTTTCAGTTTACACATCATGGCTGTCACTATTTTGCAACCTCCTTGAGGACCTTGGACCTACCTCTGCCCTCTCACATAGCCAAGGGTCTGGCTCATGTCAGTGCTGGTTGACCCAAACTGAATTTGATACTAGTCAGAGATGCTGGGGGATGTAGGTGTTACTGTCCCAGGGCCACACTGTGCGGCCTTGGGCATGCCCTCTCCCTCTCTGGGCTGCAGCTGCAGCATCTCTACAATGAGGAAGCTGCCAGGGTCTGTTGGCTGTTCTGAGTTTCAGTACCTACCCAAGTCCTGCCTGCCTGCTCCAGGGATGGACGAAAAGCTCGGGAGTTTTGGCTGCCTTGCAGACCACCTGCCTCTCAGGTCAGTCACACCTGTGGGAACCAACAGCATCACTCCCCAAGGTGACTAGTATCCTTGAGATAAAGGCATGTTTGTAGAACTTAAAACTTCTTTCTTTTCCCAAGAGAAATGGAGAAACTTCATCAAGCCAAGATGGAGAACTGGGTCACGCCCCAATGATGCCAAGCAGAGGCTGCCACTTGGCTCTGTGAGCGAAGCAGACTACTAAATTTCAGATATAAGAAATAATCTGCTCCCTGCATTCGCCTGATCACTTTATTAGCTGAAAAGATAAATTTAAACCACAGACTCATAGCAAAAAGAAATAAGTCCACATTCACCTCCTAATTAAACTGAGAGAAGCCAGCTACATCCAAGGACACTCGGCCCACTCAATTAATTAACATCTATTACAATCAGAAAACAATCTAATTCAATTAAAATGTTTCCACAAAAGGAGTTTAATGACTTTCCCCAAAATAAAGTACATTCAACTGAAGCATTTATTATGCAAGGCAGTGTCATGAGGGGAGCTGAAATGAGGGCTCTGATGTGGGCAGCAGGCTCCGAGGAAGGGTGAGGGCCTGGGCCAGCCCCTTGCTGAGGGAGGGAGGGGGTGCTTCGGGACACAGACACCCTCTAAAGAGCACACCGGCCCAGAGCTAGAGGGGCCCTCAACAGCTGCTTTCATCCTCACCCCCCACTTCCCATCGCAGCCCTGTCCCTTGTCAGTTTACCACTGTGCCTGACTCTCCCCCAATAAAGGGTCCAGGTTGTGTAGGGAGGAAGGCAGGCTTGGATTCAGAGGCATGGACCCATTTCTGCCTCTGATGTGCTATGTCACCATCGGCAGGTAGGAGGTGTTCAGAGAAACGACTGTTAACCAGGCTTTCTGAAATTCAGCCAGGAGATATTTGGAAAGCTGGAGAAATTGCCACTCAAAAGCTGCAAGCAGTTTTCTGATTCTTACGAGGCCGAGATTTGAATTCACAGTATCTTTGTTCAGCAAAAATCCCCCGATGAGTCCTTGGTTATAAAAACAGAAAGTAAATACCCACTCAGAGTTTGCCTTTTTGATCAACAATATTTGAGCACTTACTATTGCCTGGCAGTGGACTAAATACACTTGCTAGACTGTGTCCTTTCATCCTGACAATGACCCTGTGAGGTAGGAATCCCCATCAAAACCAAGGCTCAGAGAATGGCTGAGGACACAGTTTGTCAGAGGTGGAACCTGGAGCTAAATCCAGATTCAGGCAGAGAGGCCCCTTACAAGCTCAGAATAGCTGAAGGACCCTGGGGAGGAGGGGGTCTTGGAGTCACTGGACTTGGGTGGTCTTTCCTTTTGAAAAGCTCCCCTGGTGACTCTGTCACTTTGACCTTGGAGATCTGAAATCTCTATTACCCACCACCATGCTGACTACTGGGGTCAGCCCTTGCCCAACACCCCAGGACAGGATGAATCAAGCCCCTTTCCATCCAATTCAATTGCACCAACATTGACTGAACTGTATACCCTGTCACCAGCATGGAGTATAAGCTTTAAAAAAAAAGCTTTGTTAATTTGATAGGTGGAAAATGAGATGCCAACAATATGATCTTAATTTAAAAAGAAAAAGGCAGAGTAAACAACAGTTGCAGGATATACAGTAAATGTTAATGGTGGTCATTTCTAGATGGTGACCTAGTGGGTCAATTTTACCTTCCACATTTTCTACTGTAAACAGGCATTATTTTTATAATCAATCAGAAAAAGCTGTTAAAATTTTTTTTTAGATATGCCACCTTAGGTTATTTCTCTTGTTTCTAGAAAGCTTAAACATTTGGGTTCTTCTGTGACTTCTCTGTTCTCATCTATTAGTGTTTTATGTTCCTAATGATTTGTATCAGCTCTTTATAACTCAGAATTTTAATCCTATGTCTGTTATATGTGTTGAAATCTTTTTTCTGGGTTATTTACTTTTCAATTTTGTTTCTGCTGTTTTCCATGGACAAAGGTTTATCACCTTTAGTCAAACCTATTGATCTTTCCCTTTCAGACACCTTCCACCGTCTCTTAGCTTACAAAGTCCTTTCTCAACAAGAGATAAAACATGCATTGACTTGGCATTCTTCTAGTTCTTGAGATTTTTCTTTCCTTTGTGGCATGTAACTCTGTTTGATCTGTTTGGATTTGTATTAGCTTATAGTATGAAGATTAATATTTTCCAAATAGCTAACCAATTGTACCAGCACATTGGATAAACTTCCTTCCCTTCTCATATAGTGATGTCTTACTTATCCTATATTACATATACTAGTTTCATACTGATACTATTTTTAGGTTACCTATTCTATTACATTGATCTGTTTTTTCTTGTACCTGTATCACACTGTTTTATTGATCATAGCTTTTTCATATGCTCAATTATGCCTTCAATTTCAAAAATTTCTGGGTTTTTCATGTATTCGTTCCTCCAACTGACTCTGAAAACCATTTTGTAAAGTTTTTCACTCCAGAAAAAAAACCCATTGAGATTTAAAATTCAAATTTCACTAAAATTTGAGACAACCTGATAGTTCATCTCTGTATCTGTGCATCTTTTATACTTCTCAGTAGTTTCTCATATTTTGTTGTTTAGTCATCCCTATGTGACTGAACGCCTGAAGAAGTGGAAATAATAATAATAAAATTTGTATATATGTATGTTATGTAATGCTATTATTTTTAGTGCGAGAAGCTACCTTTTAAGAAATACTTTGTCCATGATTTTTTTGCTTTTGTTTTTGTTTTTGTTTTGAGACAGGATCTCACTTTGTTCCCCAGGCTGGAGTGCAGTTCACGGCTCACTGTGGCCTCGACCTCCTGGGCTCGAGTGATCCTCCCTCCTCAGCTTCCTGAATAGCTGGGACCACAGGTGTATGCTACCACACCTGGCTAATTTTTGTATTTTTTTGTAGAGATGGAGTTTCAACATGTTGCCCAGGCTGGTCTAACTTTTGAGCTCAAGTGATCCTCCCAAAGTGCTGGGATTATATGCGTGAGCCACCACACCTGGCCAATGATATATATTGTTAAGTAAGAAAAGCAATTTGCAGAGTATTGTACACAATAAGATCTAATTTTTGTAAGAGAGTGGAACCCTACAGCTATATGCGTATGTCTTGTATATATTTGCTCAAGCATGGAGCTCTTAGGGGTTGAGGACTTTACAACCCTGATTTACCATGACAGGGTGGGAGTGGAGGGGGTAGGTGAATGGAAAGCAGATTATTAACCAAAAAGAAAGAAAAAGACAAAAAGGAAAAGAAGGTTGTCAGTTGCTCTGTGGCAGCTGTTGGCCACTTAGTTGCCTTTGTGGTTCCAGAAGCAGTCCTGGGAGGCCCCTCTGTAGGGAAGATGGAGAGCAAACAGGCAAGTCTGCTCAGGGGCCTTGAGAGGAAATGTCTCAAAGACGGCCAGTGCTAATGCCTTGTGTTGGCCTGGCGATCCCATAGGAGTTCAGTGAAGGTCTGACAGGGAAAGGTGCTGGCCCTACAGGGAAGCTACAGATCTGACTGCTCAGCCTAGCCAGCGCTTTCTTCTCACTCACACTCTCTGCCCACATCAGGAAGCACTCCTTGGCTACCCCAGTCTGTCACAATTGGAGCAAACACCCATAGGCCTGGGCCTATCCGCTGGCACAAAAACAAGCCAATAGACAAAGACTCGTATGGTGGTGGGGAGAACTGGCTTCAAGCCTAGGTTTGAATCTCAGCTCTACCACTTACCAGCTATGCAGCTTTAGGCAAGTTTCTTACCCACTCTGAGTTTCCTCATCTGTAAAATGGCTGTAGTGGAGAGCAAATGAGGTTAATGTGTGGGAAAGCCTGGACCAGGGCCTGGCCCAGTGGAGCAGCCAGGGGTGGTTCTCTTCCTCCTCTCTTCCTGTTAGTTGAGTCAGACACCAAGGACAGCAGGCAGAGCAGCTAAAGCCATGGCCTCCCTGGAGGAGCTCACGAGAAGGGAGGTGCACACACACAGACACACACACACACCAGGCCAGGAGCTGAAGCTGGGGAGTGAGTTGGTGATTTCAGATGGCTATCATCCCAAAAGCTTCTTGGCTGAATGGGGCCCTGAAGAACAGAGAGAAAAAGAACAGGAACGATGCGGGTGCAGAGAATTTCAATGCATGTCTCCCAGGCCAGCCTGGAGAGTGGAGCTGCTGCAACATCTGGTCAGCAATAAGCATGAGAGGTGGAGGACACAGACTCAGCAATTGGATTTTTCTTCTTTGGACACCAAGAAGCCACTGATGATACTGGGGTGACAGCTAGAGAGTGAGGGAGGACTGTCCCTCACTCCAGGAAGCTGGGAGGTGGAGTACGGTTGCTGGATGACAAATCGTAGTTCCCTTACTAAGGATCTGGGGCAAACAAACCCTCTCTGACTTGTTTTCACAAGGGTAAAATGGGGATAATTCTAGAAACCACCTCACCAGATTGTGAAGATAAAATTAAGCTGTTAAGCTAGTTCATGGGAAAGCACCCCCAGGGCTGGCTTTCTAGAGACAGACTCCTTCACCCTGGAAGAGGAGCATCTCAGCTCTTCAAGGCATTCAACTTTGCCCCTCCCTGGGGGGCCTGGTGACTTTATCCCTCCACATTCTCTTTACCTGAGGTACAATTTGCCTCCCATCCCCCAACCCTGGGCAAAGATGAACCATAGGCTTGGAGTTTTTTGCTCTATCTTTGACTCCAGCTCAAGTGTGGGCTGGTGAGCATTGGGTGGTCCTGGTGGGGAAAACCCAAGTCCCTATACCCCCCACTTCCTGCATGAGAGTTACTTCTCTAGAGGACCCTGGTCCTTATAATTGCAGATTCCTCAGAAGCCCTCACAGCATTATCACTCAGCTTTCTGGTTGCTTCCATGCAGCTCCCAGAGGGCAAGGGAGCCATTAGTTGGTGTGTGTGTGTGTGTGTGTGTGTGTGTGTGTGTGTGTGTGCGCGCGTGCGCGCACATACCTGTACAGAGGTTTATCTGGGATCTCAAGGAAGTCAGTTTGTGTCCAAAAAGCCTATTTCCTTTTAGAGGTTTGCAAATTTGAGAGAACTGGATCTTGGCAACAAATTCCCTCCTACCCCCCCACCCAGTGTGAAATCCAGTTTTTAAGTTTCAGCTGTAATTGCCTTGAGCTGCTCTTAACAACAACTTGTGATCTGCCAACTGCAGTTCTTGGCTCCTATGGCACTAATGAAGTTCTTTCCCTTGTAGAAGAGAGTGCGAACTCACTTATAAGGAAGCATAATTTGCTAGGCCTTGGAGAGGAGGCAAAGAGTTCCTGGAGCAGAAGGTACACACTTACAACCCCAGGCAATGGAGAGCTCCCCACACCAATTCACTCCGGGCAGGAAAGAAATCAAGATTCTCTGTGGCTTAGGTTGAAAGACAACACTCTGCAGGCATGGAGCTGCCAAAGGCCCCATCCAACTGTCAGTGGCCCATCACCTCCGGACAACCCAGAGTCAGACAGGATGGCATCACTGAGGACCACTAATGGAATTCTCAGGAATGAATCCCACGCTGGGTGATGTGATGGGGAAGGGGAATAGGATAATTTATCTCCAGGCTCTCCAGTTACACCAAAGGACAAAGTGATCCCACTGAAGAATAGAAACTTAGTGTTTTTTCTGGCCTTGTTCCACCTCACCTGGAGTCTGGCTTGGGCAATCCTGAACTGGTCCCACCATCCACTGGCCTGTATCCTTTCAGGGCTCCAGGTGTTTCTGGACCAAACTGGGGGTCAGGCTGCTTATTTTTGCGGCCCAGTAACGAGATGCAGATGAACCGGGAGAGAAGGGAGTTTTTATTTCTGTAACCAGTTACAGGGAGAAGGCCTCGAAGTTATTGCCAGATCAACTCAAAATTACGGTTTCCCACATCTTATATACCTTCTAAGCTATATGTCTACGTGTAAGTGTGCATTCATCTAAAGACATAAGTGACTATTTATTTATTTATTTATTTTGAGATGGAGTCTTGTTCTGTCACCCAGGCTGCAGTGCAGTGGAGCAATCTCGGCTCACTGCAAACTCCACCTCCTGGGTTCACGCCATTCTCCTGCCCCACCCTCCTGAGTAGCTGGGACTACAGGTGCCCACCACCAAGCCCGGCTAACTTTTTTGTGTTTTTAGTAGAGACAGGGTTTCACCGTGTTAGCCAGGATGGTCTCGATCTCCTGACCTCGTGATCCGCCCACCTCGGCCTCCCAAAGTGCTGGGATTACAGGTGTGAGCCACCACATCCGGCCAACTTCTTTCAATCTATAACTAAGGTCTGAGTCTTGAAGACCTTCCTCTGGAGCCTCAGTAAGTTTACTTAATCTAAATGGGTCCAAGTGCTGGGGTGATTACCCTTAATCTTGTCTCCTGCTAAATCATGGAGGTATGGGGAGTTCCTTCAGACCCCCGATAAACTTGTTTAATCCTAAACAGGTCCTGTTAAGAATTCCTTCGCTATTTTGTCATGCTTCAAGGCCCAGGAAAGGTCTAGGCAAAACTCCCAGTGGAGCTTTTGTTACACTTCAGCCTTCGTATAAGGGCAGTGGCCCCTTCAGCTTTTAATATTTAATTTAATCACTCAGTCAGTACTGAATCAGTTGTTATGGAGTCCTGCATTAGTGAGACCTGGCCTGGCACACACGGTGACCACTCAGGCCAGCAGAGCTTCACACAGCAGCCCGGTCCTGGTACGCTCTGTTTCTGTGACCTCCCAACCCCAACTGCCTACTTTTTTCTTTGCTTCCTTTCCCCCAGAAGCCAGTGTGTTGTGCTGACAACTAGAAGGGAAGTTCTCTAGGCTCTTCTCCAGCAAGCAGGCTACACAGCTGCAGCAGGCAGGGCCTGTGTCCCTGGGGATTGTCTGGTCAGGCTTGCTGTTGACCCTTCCTCCTGGGCCCAGGCAACACACAGAGAGCTTTTGGGTCCACACCAACATGGGTTCTGTTATGTTGCTCCTCAGCAACATAAACCTCAAGTCTGGCAGCCACTCTTCTGGGGTATGCCTTAAAAACAGCATCTGCAAATTCCAGAGTGCTTGCTAGTGGAGAAGAGCAGAGACACCGGGTTGGAGACAGTGTCCACTGTAAAGGGTTTGGTGCTCTAAAATCTGCTCTAAATTTAGGATCTACATGTTTGCCTTTTCATCTATTCTCCTCTCATAATGCGGCAGTTGTTGCTACCACTGCTGACTCTTCCTGCTTAAGCCAGGAGGCCTCCTCTGCGCTGCTGAAGTGTCCACACATTAGCTTGTCTGCCTTTGTGAGGCCCCTGTGTATCACTGTGTCAAAGGCATGCGAATCTTGCAGATGATGCAGTACCAGGCCCTGTCCCCGCTCATATTACCTGAATAGCTCTGATTTCCACGGAGAGGGTCAGCCAGAGCCAGCTAACCAAGCCTCTCAACATGCAGTACAAACCCAGGAAGCCTGCAGGTGACTGCTCACCAGAGGGCGATCTCACACAGCAAACCTGCAGCCTTCTGAGGTCTGGGAAAAGCAGAATGCCTTTGCTTTCTCTTTGGGGCCTGATTTCCTCAGATTAGACAGGGAATAAAGAGAAATATAATCCATGTCAGCAGGGGATGAGGACCCAGAGTGCAGAAGACACACAGGCTGAAAGCCATCATTTCCTGTGTTATGGACAGGGCACCTACCCTGGGGGGACAAGACATAACCATGTCTGCAACCAAACCCTCCCCAGCATGTCAGTGTGGAAGAGTCGCCAAAAGGACAAGCATTTGTCTGTTTTTTAGTGTGTATTAAAATGAATTTATTTACACAGTAACATGATGCCACGGAGTACACAGCAAAGTACCACAGCAAACCAAAGGGTGGCACCACTGCTGGCAGAGAGGACCTTTCAATGATAGATTTATACAACTTTACAATATGTAAGTAGAGGGGTGAAGCTCCGGAAAGAGCAAAAACAAGATTTTCAAATACAGAGTGTGGGCAGGGCCAGAGAGAATTAAAGAGAGATTGGAATGAGGACTGTCATGATTCAAATCACCAAGTAGAATGAAATCTTGCTTCTGTATTTGCCTCATGCCAAAATGCCCTGCATATCCTCAACAGAAAATCCCAACCCAGTGTGTTCATACATCACACTCTTTAGTTCTAACTGGTAAAGGAAGGGATAACCAAGTAGTATTTGGAGCAAGTTCCTGAAACAGTGTGGTTTAACCTTTCAAAAATGAACCCTATGTCTGGTTCAACATTCAAGTTATCATGAGTGCGGACACACACATACTATCCACACACTAACGGGCAAAGTGGGTTTTCTGTACTACAACAATATTCGTAGCAAAATATATGACTCTGTACTTCTGCTAGGTTAAAAAATGTCCGACCTCTTTTGATTCCCTGAAACTTTCTTGATTTAAAAAACAAAACCAAACCAAACCAAACCATGGGGGTGAATGGGACACGTCAAGATAAAAAGCTGGAATAAACCCAGAGACTTTCTGGAGTGGGAAACATGTAATGGGATGTTGGGAATGCAGGCCCTTGCAGCCCACCTAGGTGGGGAAAGCTTCTAGCAGTGGTTGATGCAAAAATCTATTCTAATTTTAAACAGTTGCAGGGAGGGGGTGTTTAACGGCTGTATAGCACCTTGTACCTTCTGGGCACTTACAGATATTAAATGATGGTGATGATGAATGGTACACAACTCTGTAGGAAGGTTTATAAAAACAATTACAATTTGTTAAGAAATTTCCCAAGAGTTCTTTAAACAAACCTATTTAAACTACCATATCTCTTTAAAAAAATCTTCCGCTCTCAGTATTATATGATGTTCTCAAGCTGAGGTTTGGGCAATAGCCACAGTCATGTCAAGGGGACATGGAAGAGATCCTTCTCCTTAAATACTGAGGAACTTTGTATCTGCCAGGGCTTTCTTCATCTTCATCATCATCATCATCTTCTAATATACAAAATGGACTTCTTTTTAAAAAGGTGCTTTTCTGAGGATGGATTTATCAGCTAAATGCCTTGACATGGAATGTATGTGAACTCCCCTCCCACAGCATCTGTCACAGCTCACCCTCATCATCTTAGAAGCATCAGGATAAAAAGGCTTGATTTCTTTGGTATAATCTCTCCCAGGATCTTGCACTGCAACTCTTCTGGCTTCCCTTATGGCACCGTTTTTGGTCCATGGAATCCCCACTTTTGGCACTGCTGTAAGCACGGACAGCTGGACTTCAGTGCGCACTTCAGCAAGAGCAGCACTTGGATTTGTCTCGGCACAGCACTTTGGGCCTTTGAGAATATGAGCTTCGATGACATAAAGCTAATAACTTGGTTTTGTGGGCAGCCATCCTGTTCACTCATTAGGCTGGAGCGGAATTTTCAATCCTTGTCAACTAGTGAGGAGAATGAAAAACATGCCAGGGTTGGCCCAGCAAGTCCAGTTTGTCTCACCCCTCTCCAAGAATGTTCATACTATATTTACACATCTAGAATCATTTGAAATATAGTGTAGTATCCTAAATCCATCTCTATTTCTGTGACTAGCCTGTACTTTTTCAGATCACTGCTGGTAAAATCTAGAAGAAATCCTAATTGCAGTCAAATCTAGCGAAAACCCTAATTCCAGCAAAACCAAATGTCAGGTTACTTCCCTGAACCAAAGTATTCATAACTCAAAATTGAGACGCTTAGTAGGACCCAAAGATCTTTCCTGGAAACTTTTTTTTGAGACGAAGTTGCTCAATCTCCCAGGCTGGAGTGCGATGGCGTGATCTTGGCTCACTGCAACCTTTGCCTCCTGGGTTCAAGAGATTCTCTTGCCTCAGCCTCCCGAGTAGCTTAGATTACAGGTGCCTGCCATCATGCCCGGCTAATTTTTGTATTTTTAGTAGAGATGGAGTTTCACCATGTTGGCCAGGCTGGTCTCAAACTCCTGACCTCAGGTGATCTGCCCACCTCGCCCTCCTAAAGTGTTGGGATTACAGGCGTGAGCCACTGCGCCTGGCCTGGGAACTTCATACTACTAGAAACTTTTAAGATATAATTTTTAGTAGTTTTACTCCCAGAAATGTCATTAATATTTCTAGAGCTTTAGATCTCTTGGCTTAGACTTTCCCATGTTTACAAACTTATTCTGAGTTTGGAAGCAAAAGTGACCCCCACTTAATCTGATAATGGGAGGCTACTCCAACTGTTAAAATCCTAACCAATATGTTTTACTTCTAGCTCCTCAACAGCAGCAGGGTAGGTAGGATGAGTGCTTGTGCCCTCACCTCAACCCATACCTCACCCAGTTCATCTTCTGAGGGCAAATCTTGAAACTCATTGCCATATTCCTGGCTTCCAGTTCTAGCTCAGCCTAGGGGTTGGTGATTCTTACGTTGTTGTTCCACAGGTTACAGTGACTCTTTTTCTCATCCTGCTGTTATTCTTCATGAATTGGCTTCTAGGCAACCCAGTAGTGTACATATACCAAAAGGGCTCACCTCAGCCAGCACAGGAGGCTTCTTGAAGTTCTAGTCCTCTTTATGAAACATCCACTGAATTGCTTCCAAGACTAGGTTACCACTCTAACAAGGCACTCTGCTATACATTCAGTCTTGCTCTTGGCTACTTTAGCCACTGTTGTGTTTCTCTAGCACCCAAGTGTCACAGAGATTGTTCATGCTCATGTGGCTTAAGGAAAAGTTCCAATAGGAGCTTAATTGTTCAAACTCTCAATATAAATGGAAAACTCTACAGTATAGACTTCAATAGAAAACAATTTCCAATCAATATTGAAGGCAATAACTTCCTGTTACTTGAGAAAATGTAAAGTGCTATACTAGTCACAATTCAAACACATAGATATATAAATGTGTGTGTATGTGTCTACAGAGGGTAGGATTTCTTTCCAGTTGATGAACAAATTCAAAGGTCCTACCACAATTAAAATGAAAAATATTTGTGATAATGTTAAACTGACTGAATTTCATTTTTTTGGAAAAATATTCTGAAGACCAACTCATGTAGTACTTTTTGCCTAGAAATATAGTTTCTTTCTCTATTCTGCTCTAACCTGTAACACCCCCTTCCCTCTCTATCTCACATTCTTTGGCCATCACCCAGAGAAAAATTAATCTAGCCACCTGTCTCTGGGAAGCCTGAGGCTTTTCTCTGGCTAGTTTGCATTCATCTTTTGCCCTTAACAAATCTGAATATAAAAACAGTACTAAAAACATCTGATATGAAGAGGTGCTTGGTTTACCAGTGCTGTAAGATAATGGTAGTGGAGGTGTCCATGCTTATTATACCATAGAGTTAAAGTGAAGACTGGATCCAAATCATAACAGAAAAAGAGAAAGAAAAAAAAAGATAAGTAGAGACATAACAAATAGAGGGACCAGGAAACATTCAGCATTAAATATGTAACCTCATTAAATAGTCAACATTGAAATTTACATGGGCAAGGCACCACGAACATGACATTGAGAAGGTATATCTCAATATGCAAGACATTGCAAGATGGGAGGTGGGGGAGGTTAAGGGAATGTGCTGGCTGACATGGTCAGTGGTCTGTGTGCTGCCCTTCAGTGCATAATCAGGCAAGGAGTTATGTGCACATGTTCTATGCTAAGATGAACCAAACACCAACCTTCAAGGCAAGGCGCGGCCATGCCACAGGACACCAAGAGCAGACTGCTGGCCTGCAGCAGCATGCCCACTCCATGGCCATTCCTAGGAGCAGAGCCCTGCACTCTGGCTAGAGGAGGCAAGACTCTTTGTGGGCTAACCAGCCTTCTTTCCTGTGAGTCCTATATTGCTGGCCAGGGGATAAGGGACATTCTCCAAATAGAGCCTCACATATTACAATCACTTAAAAAAGTAATAAGAGCACAATAAAATACATTATTTTCCTTTCCTGATCCTCTTTGTTATACATGAATCACATGAAAAGCTGTTAAAAATGTTAAAAGTTTAGAAATTTCCAAGGCCACTAATGTGCTATGTAAGTAATACTGCACAGTCAGTCTTGGCTTTAAGGAAACTCTGCACTGGTAGATGAGGGGCCTCAGGGCTCACTCACTCACTAGGCACAGAGAACATGTCTGTCAACCCTGCCACAGGTTGCTTTTCTAGAGGCCTGGCCTCTACTTCCAGCATGCGTGTGCACGCACACATGGGCACACAAGTGTACACACACATTGTTCGAGTGACTCTTGGGATTTCAAGGTCAAAGTAAACACATACTCACAGTTTTGAATAAAACAAGCACAGGTGAACATGTGTATACATACACACACACACACACACACACACACACACACACACACACACACAACCCCAGTGGAAGGAACGCTCATCTCTTAGCGCAAATATGTGCCAAGGGAAGAAGGGGGAGGGTTTCTGTAGACTCGCTTCAGGTGAAGTTGCAACATAAACACTGTAATATACAGCTAAAAAAATACATACAAAAATTGCACACATATCCATAGAAGGGGAGCACAGGCTGCACACATGGTGAACAGCTCTCAATCACCCACCTCAGCAATCAGAATTCCTGTGAGCTGTCCTCCAGAGCCATTTTACAGAGTCAGAAGGAGCAATGAGCCACTTAAACACTGGGAGGCAGTCTCTCTAGAAGAGGTCAACCTTCTGAGGAGGTCAGCAGTCTCATCAGTGGCCTTCTTCCTCTCCCCTGCCTACGGCCATCCCAACAGCCCACCTCACTGTGCCCTCTAAAGGAGATCTTAGAGCTCCACTGACAGCTATTTCATTCAGGGCAATTGTTTACAGCATTTGGTAAACTAGTTAACACTGGCTACTGATAGAAGGGAGCTGGCCAATTACTGCTCGGGGAAAACTGCAAATGCTGACAGTTCTGACAGTAATCAAAGGGTACTTTAAACTCTGTTTCCTGATGGCCCCTAGAGAATTGCACATGCAAGAAAATCATCTCCTCATGCCCTGCCAGCTATTTATAAGCTCTGAACTGCACTCCACCCTGCTGAGGCATTGGTGACACCACCTTGGGTCAGCTCTGTAATGGGCCACAAGTGGCTGATAAATCCAAACTTCACTGGCAAGTGGGGACAGAGTGGAGAATCAGGCAGTGGCAGCAGAGGGGAGACTATTAGGGCTGTCCTCCATGCAGTGCACATACTTACAGATAATGGCAATGAAAATGGGTCTATGACCCAAGGATGGGATCTCTCCTTTTCTTTCTACTCTCTCCTGGAACAAAAGATATAGTCCCTGGTAACCAAAACTGGGCTGATGCTAAGGATGGCAGTCCTGCCTAGTAAGTCAGTTGTTGACACCTTAAAGGAAGAGTCTGTTGTCAGAGTCTACTGGGTCGTGGTAGAGACTGGTTAAGTCTGTCTACTGCTAGTGAGAATAAATACTTGGTGCTAAAAAGATAGGTGATATCCAGAATTATGGAGGAAATGGACACAGCTCACTGGCTGAGTTCATACCAAAGAAGCTGTCCCTTCAAGAATATGGATTTTCATTTTTACCTGCATTTATGGGACTATTAGGATAGAAGGTGTTTCAAGGGAAGGCAACTGCAAGTTTGTGCAGCTGAATTTCTGTAAAGTTAAGACAGACTCAGCTTCTCATTCAATCTGGGGCAGTGGATAACCTTTCTGAATAGACCCACTTGTTCACGGACAGGGATAGAGGTTTGCCTTTCTTCTTTCCTTGAATTTGGAGTGAGCACTAGGGAGGGGAAGTGCATGGGTGACATGAAGAAGGTGAAGATGTAGTAAAAGCATCATCCAGGTACACATTAACGGTGCTGCAGAATTTTCACAATACAACTGAGGGAGTCTGTAGTGGCAAAAGCCAAATACTGAGCACAAAGCCAGTCCTCAAGGCTGATTCCACCTTCCCTGTCCAGGGACTTCTCAGCAAACTTGATCATGAGCAGTGTTCGCTTGATGTCTAGCCAGTTTTGGAGCAGGGTGTTCCTCTGTACTAGGCTAGGGCAGGCGGTGAAAGTCTGGAAGAGATCTTCGCGGGGGCCCCAGAGCAGACACTGGAGGATGCCTTTGGCGTCTGAAATGAGGATCCGCTCAGAAGGGTTGGGATTCAGGAGGCAGCTGGCCAGCTGCTGCAGACCCCGGGAGTAGGGGGAGCGGAATGGGATGCGAGGCAGGTCTGCTCGTGTGTATTCCCTCTCCTTCAGCTCTGGGTTCTCATCAAAGGGGTTGGGTAGGTGCAGCATCTCATAGATGAGGATGCCTGTCTGGAACTCATCACACTTTTTATACTGGGTAGCTGTTATGATCTCTGGGGCAAGGCGAGACTGGTCCCGGAGGATCTCGGGGTCCACCAGATGGCTCTTCTGCTTGGCCTGAGAGAAGTTGCTCACTATAAGCCTAGTGGGATAAGATGAGGTGGGGCTGGGCTCTGCAGGCCCAAAGCCTTGGGCAGTCCCCCCAGGCTGGTAGTGGACAAGTAGCAGGTTCTCTAGGCGTAGATCGCAGTGAGTGACATGGTAGGGTTTGAGGTGCTCAAGACCAGAGCATAGCTGTAAGAGCAGCAGACACACCTGCCTCTCATACAAATCAGGGCTTTTCCCATGCTGGGCCAGAGAGTCTCGCACAAAATCAGCCACAGTAAGACATGGAACCTCCCTGGTGATGACCACAACGTGGCTCCTCTGCTTCTTGCTCATGACTCCCTGATTCTCTTTCTGGGATGATGCTGCTTCAGAACAGGGCTTTGGGTTTTTCCCATCCGTTTCTCCTTTGGCGTCTTCTTCAGTCTCTTCCATGTCATCCTCATCCTTTTCAGGGTCATCTGGATCCTCCCAGGGAAGCAGACGGTTAGGGACTTCAGCAAGGAAATGACCACAGTCCTGCTGAATGTTAAAATGGACAGCCAGACTCTGCCGGACAGCCAAGCTGTGATAATACTGCTGAGATTCTTTAGCTTTGCTCTTACAGATCTGAAAGATAATAAAACAATTCAAAACTCACACTCTCATAACCAGGTTTATGATGTATCAGGGAAGATTAACTGGAAGGTGACTGGTTAGGGACAAACGATCATATAGTAAAGTTGTTCGCAAGGCTTGCCCCATGTTAAGTGGCAATAATAATGGTGGTAACCATTTCTCATGGTTGTCTACATGCCAGGCTGTGGTGAGCACTTTAAGTGTACCATTTTTAGTCCTCACATTAACCTTTCACAGTAGATTGAGGATCTAAGAATTTAAAAAAGAAAAAAAGCCCGGGGTTATGTGTGCAAACCTAAGTTTGTTTAATGCCAAAGCCTGCTCTTTCCACTATAACCTTGCACCTCATCAGAACAACAACAATGAAATAATTTTTCTCTTACTTCTGTAGAGGTTTGTAGCCCAGAATGATACAGCAGGCCAATGGACTCATAATGGAGACCAAAATACCTTATTTCATCACCCATCGCCCTTTGTGTCAACATCTCACAGCTTAGGAGAGTGATATAACATTGGCCAGGTAAACTGTGGGTTTTCCTAACTTTTCAATGAATGTCATTGTGATGGTCACAACACTGGCACTCATGGTTCACTGGTAGGGTTGAGAGAGTCACTGGTCTGACCTAGTCAGAACAAAGCCAACATTTCAATGGTGGTTTTCTGAGTTTTATGCTTTCTCTTAACAGGCCTCATTTAATACCCACTATTGAGGCAATAAAACCTTTCATAAAGAACTTTACTAAGTGGTTATGGATCAAGGAAGAATTTTTTGATCAAAAAAAGTTAGCCAAGAGTTCTACATACTGTGACGATTCTATTTCTACTCTTAAGGGGTTATCAAAGCAAAAAGTAAGTAAAACCACCCCCAAATGGGTTATTCTCATGCTATAGAGAGGCTGACCGTGGAAGACTGAGTCTCTAATACTAGTTCATGGATCATAATAGTCTGGTCTGGAGTCTGCTCCACAGCCCTGTTAACTGAGGGTCATTCTCTGCTCTCCCTCCTCAGCAGAGGCACACTGCCACATTACAAATATCAAAGGCTCCCAGGAACATGCACTCTCTGTAGTGTTTACACTGCATGTTTATTACAATAATACAGAAAAGCAAAACTTAAAAAAGCAATTTCTAGTCATTTTTATTTAAAAAGAAAAATGTACACATTCTTAGGAAGATTCAGATAGGACCCAGTTCTGAGAAGCAGCACATTCTGATTTCCATTCAAATAGATTAAAAAAAAAAAAAGATCAAAGACAAGGGAGTCTCAGCGGAGAAAAGCATCTCTCTCTCTCTTTCTCTTATTCTCTAGTTTATCATATTTACTACAGTTAAAGAAGCCTGATATCAGTGATCAGTGCCATGGAAATCAATCAATCTATCTATCTATCTATCTATCTATCTATCTATCTATCTATCTATCTATCTATACCTCAGCACAAGTTCCTTCAAGTCTTCTACTACCTATCTAATTCAGTTTGAGGATATACTAAGTATTTCTTTTTTAAGCAAACTTCTGGTCTTGAACAGACATCCCCAGCCTGAGTTCAAGTTCAAACATATATCTTTCAGAAAATATTATCTCTGGAAAGCTCTCGAAGTCTTAGTATATGCAGTATAATATATAATCCTATATGCTCATCAATCATAACATTTGTTATTTTTGTAACTGCACTGTTGGCAATATTTCACATTTAAGTGTTACCAGGTATTTAAAAATTCTATACTAGTCATTGTTTAGTTGTATAGGAGTTGGATCCAGCACATGGCACCATTATCCCCATTGCCAGTTAAATTTGCTCAATATTATATTGTCTTCTGGAATGAAAGCTCAAGGGTCTCAACTCTTCATACCACTAAATTTGGCTGAATCAGATTGGATGGTTAAACTCTAGCTGTTACATTATAAAAAATGACACTCTCCAAGGGCTTGGGAGGCCTGGGATTTAGCTTTGCTACTAGCTGTATAACCTTGAGCATTTCACTAATTTCTCTGGGTCTCAGTCTCCCTATTAAAGGAGACAATATGAAGAACACTGAAATCTACTTCACAGGGCAGTTGTGAGGATTAATTGGGATCAAGTATATAGCGTACATCTGTAAACTACAAAGTTGTACAAATGCAACACTGATAATGACTAAAGCAGTTAACAACTTGCAAATGTCAAACTAATGCAATCTTAGAGAATCCTAATTTTTTGAAACAATGAGCAAAACAGAAAAATAGATCTTTATTTTGAGTCCCGACAGCCACCTGCCACAGCAGTGAGGCTCTCTGATCACAAATTTGATAGAGGACAGACAAAAAGAAACTGCTAACATTCAATACCTCCAAGCCAGGGTCAGCCCTGACAAACAAGTTAACACCAGCAGTATGTTAGAATCCAAGACAGGGCAACCTAAAGCTATGAGAGAGAATTGTTTGGCCAAGTCTAGTTTTTAACTATGTCAAGTCAGGCTGAAAAAAAAAACTGTGACCTTGTAGTTTAATATTAGAAGCAGAGAAGGTATTCTAATTGTGACTCGTATTTTAATTGTGATATTCTAATTATATCTAGACATTCACACAGACACACACATTTTTATAAGGTCCTCCAGAGCTTTGTGAGTAGACAAGAATGTGGATACTACAATAAGAATTTATGTTTAGCTTCACAGATCTACTTGAGATAAAGGATCAAAGTGATTTACGAAGAAGAAATGATAAATTGTTTCACGATTTTGGATGCTCTAAAGGAAAATGGTCTCCCTAGATAGATAACCTGAGTGGGCAGCACTTCCTTATCTCTTCATTTTATAATACATAGACAGGTTGAAGAATAATGAGTCACTCTAGCTTTAAGAGCAAAGGCAAAAGGGAGAAGACTAGAGTGTAAAAGAGGAGGGAAAAAGAGTGATTTTACTTGGTTCATAACCCTGAAAACAGTTACAACCCAAACACAGACCAATGGAGATTTCCATAATAGGATTTTGCTTGATGGGTATCTCATAAATCTTTATTATGGAGCCTGCAATGATGTTAATTTAGGTAGGAGTATTATATTATTCTAGGTACCACATTGTAGCCATTTTTCAAATATTAATAACTCCTTTAGTTAAAAAAAAAACCTCAAAATGACCTGACTTCAGATAACAAATTTCTAGTTCAAAAGTTATTTCAGAAAACAAACCAATTTTTCAGAACAAATGGATAGGGTTCTTCCTGTCAAATTTTTTCCTTCTGCCCTTACCCAGTATTTTCTCTACCAGGGATTAAAGTAACTTCTTCTTGGCTCTCATTATCTTTCTTGAAAAGAATTCACATTCCTTCTTTATAAAGAGTAGCTGGCATCTCAAGAGTAGCAGGAGGAATCTCAAGAAAGATTCTACTTGTTCATGCCAGCTACTCTTTAATCTATAAATGATTACTTCAGGACTCCTCCTAGGACCCCCAAAATTTAAAAATAGGAATAAAAATAAACTAGAACTGGAATGGTCCTACATCTTCATTAAACATTCCCTTTTCTAATAGGGGAAAAATCACCTCATATTTGCCTTGGCTATGTTTGGGAAAATCTACTTAAAATGCTGTGAATTTGGCAGATTCTGTGCTGTCTATATTTTCTGAAAGGCAAGAAAAAATGCTATGAGAGCCTGAGCCACAGTGACACTAGAGGGAGCTGCAATATCAATATCCAGGAGTCATTTACTTATAAACTGTGCAGCAGGAGAACAAAACCAGGCTGCTGAAGGTTGAATCTTCTTGTAAAATACACCATAGGGCCTCTTTCTGGATAAGCTTTTGCTTCTATGATGCTGGCAATACCAAATGCATGCCAAGGGAACTCCTCGTGTGAAGAGCACAGACAGGAAGAGAAGCCCATCCTGGGCACAGTGACCCTCGCCCACTTGCCAGCTCACAGGAAATGCCCGCTTGAGCTATTCTCCAAAGGAGTCAGAGGAACATCAAAAGGGACAGCCAGTCAGCTGGTATATACATATGCACCAACATGAATAACCTACAGTTGCAAAAACAGAGGCTTGAAGGGAAACTGGCTGCTTGTCTGGGTTAATAAAGATCAGTGAGGACAGAGAAGGGAAAAATATTAATTCATTATCAATTGATCATTCAAACAAGTATCTCATGGCTCCTGAGCACTTCCCATCTGTAAGACACAGCATCCTGAAGCATTCTGACCAGATTCCTAAATACAGAGGGTGGGGACCCTTTAACCACTGATAAATCATCTGTTGGAAAACTGGGGGAGAGGGGAAACAACATATTGTCTTCCAGAATCATAGCCAAATTACCCTCTCCTGAGACCTTCTCAGACTCGGGTCAAAGAACCCAACATTTACAATCTTAGCAGGGAAACAGAGCTTGAAAATGATTCATCATGCACAACCTGAAAAGTTTAATTCCAAACATACATTTCAGTTCAGGGGCTCATTTTCCATGTTGCTCATGACAACTGCCCTGCATACCTTTAAGGCAAATTTGTCATTAAAAAGCATTTATGTTTGTAATAACTTCAACCTAGAGAGCTAACTTCTAAAAAGTAGACCATCAGGGGCTTTGACTGTAAAGTCCCATTAAAAATAGCTGGGGAGAAGATAGTGCTGTCTAACACTACTGAACCTTTCAGAATGATCACAAAGCCTGGGACCTGTGAGAGGACATACCTCTTGATGCTCTCTCAACAACAGATACTCTGTTTAAGGCAACTAAGTCAGAGGGATAGGGGGAAAGGTGGACCTGTGCAAAACTGGATGATATGACTATGGAATTAATCTGTCGTTGAATGGCATGGTGTTACTCATTCTTCTTCATTGACCCTTTTTCCCAAAGGTTCCGTGAAGTGCTGGTGTTTGGAGTGCCTGCTCTCCATCCTAGTTTTTCATTGACAAACTCTCTTCCGCAAGCTTGCTCATAGCTTCAACCATGTCATATACACTACTGACTTCCGTGTCTACATTTGTAACGCACCCTTGTCTTTGGGCTTTAGGCTCATCTATACAATGACCTACTTGATTTCTTCCCATATATGTCCTAACCCATAGATTACTTAAACTCAACATAACCAAACCTGAACTCTCCGTCCCACCAAACTCACTGCTTTCCCAGTACTCCCTCTCTTGATGAATGGCTTTGTTACCTGGATGAGAAACCAAATTCACTTTGGATTTCTCCTGCATCTTCACTCCCTATGGCTAATTAATTATCAACTCTCATTGACTTTTCTTCTAAATAACTTTCAAATTATCCTCTTTTCTCCATCTCTATTGCTACCTTCATCACTTGCCTGGACAACCACAAAAGCTTTCCAACTGGTCTGCCTGCCTCTAATGTGATCCCCTCGAATACATCTTCCACATGGCTACAGAGCCATTAAAAAACAACAGCTGGTATTTCCTCCTTATTTAAATTTCCTAGCGGCTCCGCTTTATCCTCATAGGAGAAAGTCCTGGCCTTGCCTCCCTTTCCAGTCCTACTTCCCACCTGTGTTCCATTTGCTCTTACTATATTGAGCTATCTGCAGCCGGCCACCCACTCTACCCTCCAGGTGTTCTCTCAGTTTGGGGCTCCTTGTCACCCCTCATCTGCCTGAGGGATTCCTACTTCTTTTAAAGCCCTTCTCAGGCATTACTTTATCAGAGAGAGGAAGTGCTAAATACCCTAAACCCCCTTTCTGTGTTACTTCTATATCTTGTACATATCTCTATTATTGCAGTTATCACATTTTTTATCTTTAAAAAATTTTTGTTTTTTATAATTTTTTTCAATTTTATTTTAGATTCAGGGGGTACATGTGCAGGTTTGCTACCTGGGTATATCTCATGATGCTGAGGTTTGAGGTACAACTGATCCCATCACCCAGGTACTGAACACAGTACCCAACAGTTTTGCAACCCTTGTCCCCTTTCCTCCCTCCTCTGACATTTTTTTGTCTATCTTACAAGCAGATACTTGTATCTTTAGGGCCTAGCACAGAGCAAGGCACGTAGTACTTGCTCCATATGTCTGTAAAAGATTCTGAGAAAAGGCAGCATCTGATCCAGTGCTGCCATAGGGCTTATTTACTCGGAACAGGTAGAATATATGAACAGCTTTTATGAAACAGATAAAAGTTGGCAAGGTGATGGGGTGGGGGCAACGGCAGATAAACCTGAATAATAAACACTCATGAATGACCTGACTACACAAATGAGTGAAATCTGATCAGTGAGGGCTGTCTGTTGAGTCCAGGCTGCCCTGGGGGCTTGCTGATTTTGTACTGCACAAAACTACAAAACAACATGGCTCTCTGTCATTCGATTCAATTTTCTCTCCTTTGCCCCAAAGAAAGCAATAATTACAAAATATAAGACTCTTCAAAAATATTCTACATTAGCTCTGATTTTTCCATTATGGGCCCAGTATGCCTTCAGCCTACTTCCAGTTTATCAGCAGGGAATCTCATTTCCATCTCACTCTATGCATTCTATAGTGCCTCAGTGAACCTTAAGTGAGATGGATGCTATAGGGAATGAATTGTGGAGGGACAAAAATGAGAAACATTAACAATCATACACATTACACCATCTGTGCCATTTTGTCATATCACACAAAAGTACAACTGCAAATGGGAGTGAGCATAGAATGAAACCCTGCAACTTCTAAATTGATATCCAGTATTTGGTATAATCCCACTCTAAGAATACAGGCTGATCAGTGATTGACCTCAATTCCTTGATCTGCCTAGGAGGAGTATTGCTATACTTGCTGCTACAGAGCTAAGACCCACACACACTCAATGCTGTTACAACTATATTCAAAATAGATTAAGTGTTTAATATATAAAACGCTGTGTGGGCCCAAAGTACTCAGGACTCCATGTTGTAGGAATCTGCTATGAGAACTGTTGGGTAGGCCAGATAATTTACAGCTTGAATTGCTGCAAAAATGTTCACATGCCCAAGAAAGTGATTTTGGATCCTAGAAGAGAAATTCAAGAAGGTAACTGTGTAAGATTTCACCATTTTATTTGTGACTTGTACTCACCAAAGCTTTTCACTCTCCCACTCAGCATGTGTATCCAATGAAAATAACTTGTGTTCCTGAGCCAGTAATTTAGGCTGACAGAATGATGCCCAGGATGTTCACACTAGAGAAACTGAGGCACAGAGTAGTCCAATAACCAGCTCAGGGCCCACATTAGGAATTCAATTAACTTGAATTCCAACTTGTGATTCTCAACTATATCCTCTCACCTCATTAATTAAAGCCATGCTCCCTTTTCCCACCAGACAACTCATTTTGATTCCAGGTTTACACAAACATCCAAAACCTCTCCTTCCTAAATCAATTCCCAGTTGAGACTCAGGTGCTTCTGTATGCACTGAGCCTGAAACAAAACGGACACAAAACTAGGATGGCCATGAGTATGTGTAGTTGGCTGCTGATCAATCACTTTCTGTAAAGTTTCACTGTTAAAAATATTTATTTTGAATTATGAAAGTGGAAGTGGTTTCCCCTCTAGTTTTTTCCTCACCACTAAGCCAGTAATTAATTGTCTGTATATATAGTCTGAACTAGTTGTAAATTCCTACCAATCATAGTTGTTCCTGTAATGCTTTTTCATTTAGTATCTTGTTTTGTCAGCATCCACCCAAATGAGATAAACGGAGACTCTGGAGTCAAAAATGCAGTAAAAGATGTTGGTCTCCACAGTTCACCTCTACATTATTACAAGCTTTTAACAAGATTCTGGCATAGCCGGAAGAAAGGAAGCAGCCCCGCTTTTGTAACAGGGAAGTGTACATCTTTACTGAGTTTTGTGTGTTCTATCCTTGAGAACAAAGACTGGGACTACTTTAAAGATACCTACTATCCCAATTCTGGAACTGTTGGAAAATAACTAAAAAATTTATACTTTTTGCTTATGTGAAATTTTTAGCATCCTCTTCAAAGTAACTGCATCCAAATTTCCTCTGTGGTCTCGCATGGTAGTACTTTTTATAAAATGATCTCATAAGTGCAATGAAAAAACAATATCTCAGTGATACTAAGCCATAATTTTGCCAACTGTCCATCCTGATTCTAAGCAAAAGGCTGTCATTTTTCCATCAAGAAACAACACTGAGACACAGCAAGGTCAGTTTACTGCTTCAGGCATGAAATAATAGGAGAGGTTCTACCTAGGAGTCAGGAGGTAGCCTGCCACGAAGATGGTGTCCCCATGCAGAAGTGATTGTTCCTCTCTGGCCTTAGTTTCCCACTGTGTAGAATGGTGAAGGCCCTTCTAAAATTGGCTTTAGTCTACTATGAGGATATGAGGGATTAGTCTACTATGGATTTAGATATGAGGATTTAGTCTACTATGAGGATATGAGGATTATGTACTTGGTCAGTGCTTACCCAGATTCTTTGAAAGGGAAAAAGCAAGGTAGATTTTTATTTAGAGAACAGGGAAGTTAAGTTCAGGCTTAAGTTTATGTTAAGTTTTACTTTGCGAGCAGGAATATTTAAGTTAACGGCAGAAGGCCAGCCAATATATAGCCCACAGAGACAGACAATGCAATCTGGGTGGTGGCTCATCAAATGGGGAAGAGAGGATAAAAGAAGATATGGATGAGATGGAAAATGGGAGTTGAAAATTAAATATTGTTTGGAAATCAATTTGGCTCTTCTTTCACCAAAACATTTATTTAAAAAGTAGGCTGTGCTCACTGCCTCCACAGCTTCCTCTTCCTATTCGCTCTTTAACTCACTGTGTCTGGCATTCACCCCAATTATTACCAACATTGCATTTTCTTGAGGCTTACAAGACATTAAATTCTTGCCTTCTTCTGAGTCTTCATTCTGCACAAGCCCTCTGCAACCTTGGACTCTCTGGCCTGTAGGGCCCTGCCTTTTGCTACAGATTTTCCAATTGCTCCTGCTTTGGGTCACTTAGATGTGTGGGCCTTTTCCCACTTTGCAGACTCTTCCATTACAATCTCATGTAGTCCCACAGTTTCAACTAAATCAAGTCTATGACCACATTTCTAGGCTTGAGCTCTCTTCTGAGTACCAAACCCATATTTTTACCTGGTTCCTGGGGTTCTTTCAACTTGGCTGCCCTATGGGCATAACCCATTGAGATCTCATCTTTCTGGCTTTTCTGATTCATATTTCAACTAATGGCATCACCATTCTCTTGGAGGTTGTTCTACCTTGAAATTTTAGCATCACTGCCCTAATCCCATACTCACCAGACATGGTCTACTGCCTTCCTCAGCTCTTTAGCCATCTGCCCCTTCTTTTCCTTTGCCTTACATCAGGTCTCATTTTACCTGGACTACTGCAATAGCATAATGACTGGCTTCCTTGCTTCCAGTCCTTCTGACCTCTCTTACCATAGTTGTCATCCAAAATCTTATGTTATTTCTGTTTAAAAATACTTAGTGGCTTCCCACAAAACACAAAATAAAGTCTAACCTCTTAAGCTCATCACTCAAATCTCTAAATTTGTTCTCTAATCTCTCCGTAGCCTAATTTTCCACTATTCTCTCAATGTACTGCATTTACCACAAAGAATAGCAAAGTGGATACAAAAGGCCCTTTCTTATTGGCCCCAAGATATGTGTTAATAACTTATTTCATTCATTAATCTTCATTTATCTTTACATCTCTGCATACCACTCTGAACTTTCATTATAATCTGTTTTAAGAGCTATTATTTATGCCTTTGTCTTTCTTACTGGAATATAAGCTTCTTGAGGGCAAGGCCTTTGTTTCATTCATATGTATTTCTGTAAACTACAACAAATATCACAATGTTTTATACAGTAAACATTTTTTGAAGGGTCAAGAAATATTTATTGAATGCCAGCTATGGACATGATATTATAATAGATGCTAAGGATATAAGAATTAATAAGCCATGGTCCCCGCCATGGAAAAGGTCAAGTATAATAGTGGGGAGAGGGGAGAGGAAGCATGTTTTTGTTTAATTATACAACTGTCTCATGATAATGCAATGATCAAGAAATCCAGTAGGTATAGCGTGCAACATGTGCTCAGAAAATTAAAGTAGAAAATTCAGAGCTGGATTCTTTAAGAATACATAGGAGCTTTCTAAGTATGTGAAAAGGAAGGAATAACCAACTTTTACTAAATGCTTAACTTTGTGCCAAATGATGCTCTCAGCACTGTGTGTGTGTGTGTGTGTATGTGTGTGTGTGTGTATATATATCACCACATACATATTAACTTCTGTGATTTTTTACAATGGTTTTAAGAAGACCTGAAGTATTTTTTCCATTTTACAGATAAAGACACTGGATATAGAAAAGGCAAGTAATGGCAAAGGTAACAGCTAATATGTAGCTAAAGCACAGATTTAAACCCAGGTCTGTCTGACTTAAAAGCCTAAATTCTTAGCCACTTTGTTAACAGTCCTCACATTTTGTACCTAGGCACCGCTTGGGGTACTTGCTACAAATGCAGTTTCCAAGGCCTTACTGCCAGTCATTCTGATTCTGTAGGAAATGACATTTTTAATGAGGATCCCTCAGGTGATTCTGAAATAGGTCACAGCAGATCACAATGCAGAAGTTCTTTATTGTATTATACTGCCTCCCAGGAGAAGAGCAGTCCAGAGAGAGGAACCAGAGTGTGCCAAAGCCGAGTAGCATTAAACAGGTGCTGTTTATAATTGGTACTAGAGGATGGGACTACAGAGATGAATAACTAAGGATACCTGTTTTCAATAAGCTTAGTGTTTAATGATCCAAAATCTGATTCTTGTTTTTTAATTGAAAAGACATTAGGACATCATTTTTTAACTAATCAAAATAACTGTTACCAGCTTGACATAGGAATTATTTGAGTATTACCATTTTGTAGGTCAATTTTCTTAAAGTTATGATCATGTTATTAGTATTCTGCTACTTTCATGTGACATTTAAAAAATGTTTTTCATAATTTTACGTAGTCTTCATAATTACTGCTTTTAGCAGCTACAAACATTCCATTGGACTTATGTGCCATAATTTATTATATTGGTTCCTTAATATAAGGTACCTAGTTTGTTTCCAATTTTTGGAAATACTTAAATTCTTGAAGCTGTCTGTAGCTTTCTCTCATAATTTTAAGGAAAAACAAAGATGTTTACATCTCTGAAGTAAAGAGAAAGAATACCTAAGTGCAGAACCTATCTAATATGCTCAAGCCAAAGCCTAATGTTAAGAAAGAATAATAGTGAGTGATCTATAAGATGTTGAGCAGCAATTTTCCATTATTGTTAATAACAATAATGCATTATTTTATATGTACTTTACAGTTTATAAAACTGTTTCACTACATAAACACATGTACTATAACAATCATCTGAGATAAGTAGGGCAGTTAATATACACTGATGTGAAAACCAAGAGAGGCGCATGACTTGCATAAAAATACACAGTGATATCTTCAGAACTTGGACCCAGGTCAGCTGACTCCAAAGCTCTTTATTCAGTGCTGTGATGCCTTTTCATTTAAGACCAATACAAATAATAAAGCTAATCATGTTGAATGAAGATTAGAATAAATATGAAAGAGGAAAACCTTCAAATCCAGGAAAAGCCCTGAGTTAAAACCACTTACTTTATAACAAAGACAAACATGACACCTGCTATGGACAGAATTGTCTCTCTCCCCAACCTCTTCATATGTTGAAGCCCTAGCCCACAATGTTACTGCATTTTGGAGACAGGGCTAACAAGGAGGTAATTAATTAAAAGAGATCATAAGAGTGGGGCCATGATGTGACAGGATTAGTGTCCTTCTAAGAACAGACACTGGGGCGTGCTTGCACATGCTTCTTGTGTTCTCTCTCACGCTCTCTCTCTCTCCCTGTCATGTAAGGGCACAGTGAGAAGAAGGCTATCTGTAAGCCAGGAAGAGAGCCCTCACTAGAAGCCAAATCAGCTAGAACCTTGATCTTGGGTCTTCCAGCCTCCATAACTGTGAGAAAATAAATTTATCCTTTTCAGTCTATGGTATTTTGTTATGGCAGCCTGAGCAGAATGAGATTTTGATACTGAGAAGTGGTGTGCTGTTGTAAAAATACTTTAAAAGGTAGAAGCAGCTTTGGAATTGGGTAGAGGCTAGAAGAGTTTTGAGATGCATGTGAGGAAAAGCCCAGATAACCATGAACAGATAGTTGCTAGAAATATGGATGCTAGGGGCGATTCTGATGAGGTTTCTGATAGTAACAAGGAACATTATTGGAAACTGGAGGAAAGGGAATCCTTGTCATAACGTGGCAAAGAACTTAGCAGGACTGTGTTTTGTAGAAGACAAAACTTGCAAGAGATGCAATTGAGATTTCTAAGCAAAGTGAAGGAGTGGCTTGGTTCCTCCTGACTGCTTATAATAAAATGTGAAAGGAGAGAGACGAACTGAAAAAGGAATTGTTGAGCAAAAAGAAACCAGAACGTGAAGACTTGGAAAATTTGCAGTCTATCCATACTGTGAAAACGGTGAGGCCAGGCGTTGTGGCTCATGCCTGTAATCCCAGTACTTTGGGAGGCTGAGGCGGGTGGATCATCTGAGGTCAGGAGATTAAGACCAGCCTGGCTAACATGGTGAAACCCTGTCTCTACTAAAAATACAAAAAGCAGTTGGTGTGGTGACGGACGCCTGTAATACCAGCTACTTGGGGGGCTAAGGCAGGAGAATGACTTGAACCTGGAAGGTGGAGGCTGCAGTGAACCGAGATCGTGTCACTGCACTCCAGCCTGGGTGACAGAGTGAGACTCCATCTCAAGAAAAAAAAAAAAAAAGGGAAAGCTTGTTCTAAGAGAATACCAAGGGTGTGGCTAAACAACTATTTGATACAGAGAAGATGGATATGACTTATGGACTTAACCAGCCATCTCAGCACAAGTCAGGGATAATAATGGGATTATACCAGCAAAGACATTGCCAGTTTGAATTAAAAGGGACAAAGTGGGACAAAATAAAGGAAGGCTACTGAACTTGGATTCTACAGGACTAGCCCAGAGAGCTATTTGGCTGCAAACATGTACTGTTCTTCAAGGAAAGGGAAGAATGATCCTGAAAGTGATACAGAAACATCAGGGCTGCTTTTCCCACCAAAGGACCAGTAGGCAAGGCTGTTCCATCCTCAGTTTCAAAGGGTGAAGCTGCCTCTTGAGATCTGGTAGGCTAGGATAACCATGACCAGTGCCTCAGTATTGCGCCACTATGCAGAGCCATGGTGGTGATGGTGCCACCCCAGTGGGCTTGCAGGGGAGAGTATCAAACCAAAGAGGATTATTCTTGGGCCGAAGATTTAATAGAACTTGACTTGCCAGGTTTTGGAATTGCTCAGGATTTATCACTCCTTTCTTCCTTCTGATTTCTTTCTCTTGGAATGGGAATGTCTATCCTATGCCTGTTCACAGTTGTATTTTGTAAGCATGTAACTTGTGGTTTCACAGGTTCACAACTGGAGAGCCTCAGGACAAATCATACCTTGAATCTCACCCATATCTGATTTAGATGATATTTAGATGAGACTTTGGACTTTAGACTTTAGAGTTGATGCTGTCATAAATAAGACTTTTGGAGCTGTTGGAATGTGTTTTGCATGCTATAAGGACAGATATTCTGAGGCAGGATGGGTTAGAGGTAGAGTGCTATGGGCTAAATTATGTGTTCCCCACCACCAACTCATATGTTGAATCCTTAACCCCCAATGTGAGACAGTACCTACAAAGAGGTAATTAAGGCTAAATGAGGTCATAAGCATAGGGCCCTGATACAATAGAACTGGTGTCCTTATAAGAGATACCAGTGCATAGCCTCTCCCTTGCACTCTCTTCCTTCCTCTCTCCCTCACTCCTTGCCATGTGAGGACACAAAGAGAAGGTGGCTGGCTGTAAGCCAGGAAGAAAGCCCTCCCCAGAAAGCAAATAAGTTGGAACCATGAACTTGAATTTTTTAGCCTCCAGAAATAGGGAAAATAAATTTCTGTTGTTTAAGTCATATAGAATATGGTGTGTTGTTACACAACTTGAGCAAACTAAAATAACATACAGTTAGTACTCTATGACTGCAGTGGATTTGGTATTTAAGGATGAGGGGTGATATCCTTTGGCTTTCAAATTGCTAAATTCTACCACTGATTTTTTTTTTTTTTTTGATATGTTGTCCCACTCTGTTGCCCAGGCTGGAGTGCAGTGCCTCAGCTTACTGCAACCTCCGCCTCCTGGGTTCAAGCAATTCTCATGCCTCAGCCTCCCGAGTAACTGGGATTACAGGTGCCCGCCACAATGACTGGCTATTTTTTTTTTTTTTTTGTATTTTTAGCAGAGACGGGGTTTTGCCATGTTGGCCAGGCTGGTCTCCATCTCCTGATCTCAGGTGATCCATCTGCCTCAGCCTCCCAAACTGTTGAGATTACAGGCGTGAGCCACCACGCCCAGTCTACCACTGACTTTTTGTTTGCAACATTTTAAAGAACTTTTAGTCTCTTTAAGAGACAGTTACACCCTTTAGACTATTATAAATTCCCTTAGTATGGGAAGGGAATTTAAGAAGATAAACAGAAAAAGTTGTTTGTGTGGGCCAACTGTTAGTGTCTTTTGCTTATCTCTGCAAAGACAGGGTTCACAGAGCCCTAATAGTACAATCAATTGGGCACTTCTGGCAATACCAGAGGGTCTTAAAAGAGACATTTATATTTAGCATTTAGTGTAAAATATCCTTTTCCAAACCTGCCAACAACTCCTAGTATATAACCACTTGCCATCTGTTCTTTGGAGATTGGTTTTACATCATTATAAGCAAAGAAATCAATACCAGACCACTGATTTGGGAAAGAGACAAGATTCCACGGCAATAATACATAAAGTTAGTCAAGTCCTACTTCTCAACTGTTTTGAAAGAACAGATAGTTCAATGTCCCTTTCTGAAACAGGTACTCATCCTGCATTGGTGATTTTGCAGCAATAAGGGCCCAAGATAGATAAGGCACCATAACCTCAATTTATATAACAGCTCTTAAGTGCTATATAGAATCTCAAAATACCTTTTTAAACTCAATAGTAATGTATTAACTTGAATCCAGATCCCCCTCTTTACAGTTTATCCCTCAGTTTAATTTAAAAAGTGTGAGCTGGAGCACAGGGTTACTCTGCCAGTGACATCAGACAGTCAACTGGTGTAGATACTGTAACTGCAGAGGGTAGCTAGCTGAAGGTCTGTTTCAAACATACATTCTGTCTTGATAGACAGGTAAGGCCAATCGTTACCTTATCCATTAATTTGCTAAGATACCATCTGGTCTTTCTAAGCCTAATTAACATGTAAAAGTCATTTAGATATGTTAATTGGTTTTGAACCAGTGAATAGAATCAGTAAAAAGGGACTATGGGAATGGAGGACACTACCTTAAGTTTACATATAGGGCTTTGTGTTCTTCAAAAACCTTTCATATGCATTATCTCACTTGATCCTACACTCACTGTAAACATCTGAAAGAGGAGGAAATTGAGGCTCAAAGATTGTTACTCTCTTAAAGTAACCTAGGGAAGAAGCTAGTGGCTAGTTAATGAAATGAACAGTTATTAGGGACATTTTGTTTTCTTTTAACCAAACAACAGCTCCATAAGATGGGTGCCATTATTGACAAAGCTACTAAGAGGCAGAACCAGGATCTGAACCCAAATCTTTTGGACTTCAAAGTCCACACTTTATTTATTATATTGATGAAACCTATGGCTTTCTGCTACAGTGAATGTAACTGGGCAAGAATTCTTGATGTCAAGAGTTTAGCTGTCTTGAAGAAGTGGGTTATCTGAAATAAGCAATCCACATGTAAGAAATTGATAAGTGGCACAATGGACAAAATACAGCTATGGAGTCAGAAATATTTGTGATTAAAACTCAGCTCTGGCCAGGCATGGTGGCTCACGCCTGTAATCCCAGCACTTTGGGAGGCCAAGGTGGGCGGATCACGAGGTCAAGAGATTGAGACCATCTGGCCAACACGGTGAAACCCCGTGTCTACTAAAAATACAAAAATTAGCTGGGCATGGTGGTGCACACCTATAGTCCCAGCTACAAGGGAGGCTGAGGCAGGAGAATCGCTTGAACCCGGGAGGCAGAGGTTGCTGTGAGCCAAGATCGTGCCACTGCACTCCAGCCTGGCAACAGAGTGAGACTCCATCTCAAAACAAAACAAAACAAAAACAACAACAAAAAACTCAGCTCTACCACTTGCTAGCTGTGTGATCCTAACCAAGTCAGCCTACTTCTTGGAGCTTCATTTTCCTCATATGTCAAATGGAGAAAAAGATCTTAATCTCATAAAGTTGATGTGAAGATTAAATTACATAACAAAAATATAGTTCCAGGAACATCAATAAACATTAGTTATCCTCCTCTATAAAAATGTTTCTCTAGGGAGCAAAGGAGTTACAGAGCAGAGGTAGACAAGCATTTCTTAGCTGGTAAAGGGTAAAGTCAGAAACATAAACCAGGTATGATGGCTCATGCCTGTAATCCCAGCACTTTGGGAGGCCAAGGTGGGAGGATCACTGGAAGCCAGGAGTTTGAGACCAGCCTGGGCAACATAGTGAGACCACCACCTCTACCAAAACCAAAAAAATCAGTCATGTGGTGGCACACACCTGAGGCTGCAGTGAGCTATGATCATGCCACTGCACTCCAGCCTAAAAAAAAGACAGAAACATGCAGTGAAAGGTACATAACAGACCTCATATTTTTAGGTAGCCCTTGCAAAAAGCAAAGCTCAAGGGTTACCTACTTTTTTTTTTGAGACAGGGTCTCACTTTGTTGCCCAGGCTGGAGTGCAGTGACCCGATCATGGCTCACTTCAGCCCTGACCTCCTGGGCTCAGGTGATCCTCCCACCTCAGCCTCCTGGGTGGCTGGGACTACAGGCATGAGCCACTACATTTGGCTAATTTTTTCTATTTTTTTTTTTAGAGACAGGGTTTCACCACGTTGCCTAGGCTGGTCTCGAACTCCTGGGCTCAAGCTATCCACCTGGTTTGGGCTCCCAAAGTGCTGGGATTATAGCCATGAACCACCATGCCTGGCCAGGTTACCTACTTTAAAAGGACTTCTTTGGCTGGGCATGGTGGCTCACACCTGTAATCCCAGCACTTTGGGAGGCCAAGGCGGGAGGATCACCTGAGATCAGGAGTTTGAGACCAGCCTGGCCAACATGGTGAAACCCCATCTCCACTAAAAATATAAAAATTAGCGGGGCGTGGTGGCAGGTACCTGTAATCCCAGCTACTCGGGAGGCTGAGGCACAATAATTGCTTGAACCTGGGAGGCGGAGGTTGCAGTGAGCCGAGATTGCACCATTGCATTCCACAATGGGCAACAAGAGTGAAACTCCATCTCAAAAAAAAAAAAAAAAAAGACTTCTTTGACTTCTTGAGTTTGGGTTAAGGTATCTCCAAGATCCCATAGAATTCTTGTTTACCTCTATCTTTGCATGCAGTATACTGTTGTAATTCTGTTAAGTTACGTATCTGTTTTCTTTAAATAATAAATAAGCCCCCTGCTTAATCTAGTATCTGGTAAGAGGTAGATGCTCAATAATTTGCTGAATGGAAGAATGAAGGAAAGAAAGGAGAAAAGCAGAATGAATCCATCCCAGTAACAATGTAGTGGTTAAGACTTAACATGAGATTTATAATATTTTCTTACCTTGACTGCATAGTTATTAAGTGGATCTTTTGCATATGAAGCAGTATAGTAAACCGCATCACCTGCCTCACAACATGGTTTGTCACTGGTTAGCCTGAAGTCTGACCAGCTGTCCACTCCAAAACGGAGCTGGTCTTTCTGCCCAGCCATGAAAAGGTCTTCGCATTTAACAGCCAGTTTCTTCAAGGCATCTGTATGAAGGCTTCGGATTTTACCCACTACTTCCTCCCGATTCTCAAGTCCTCGATAAAGTGCTTGTCTCTGCGGCTTCTGGATGCCTCGGCCCTGTCTGCAAGAGGGCCCACGCCGGCTGGAGAGGGATTCCATGCTGTTGGAAAATCTATCCTTAATACTGAGAGTGGTTAAGCTGGAAATGCTGTTTGCTGCTGAGGGGACAGGTCTCTCCTTGCGCAAAGGCCTTTCCAAGGAGTCATAAGACTCAATGTCCAGTCCTTTGAGTTCATAGCTGATGGAAGAACCAGCACTGCTGGCATCCCAGTTGGGGTCGATATCATAGGTGGGATTAGCCATGACACAAAGACTACTTTCCATGGATTTTTGGAGGTCCTTGGAGATTGGCTCTGTATTGGCTCTTATGATCATCTTCTTTGGCAGTGGGGGTGGTGTAGGTTGGGAAGCATTGGGTGCTTCTTGGTCTGTTTTCCCTCCAAAGGCGATGGCATCGTCCACAGCTCCCTTGGGCTGTCGTGGCTGCTTGGGAGGTATCATGGCTGCTCTAGATTGCCCTGTATTGTTTTTAAAGCAATAAAAAGAAAAGAGTAAGTAAAGTTTTCAATCTAATTTTATAACTGAAACTTGAGCAGAAATGAGTGAGGTAGCCATGGGAATGTAAGAATAAGTCAACTCTTTAGTTCAAAATGGGAAAAGAGAACAACCAAAGAACAAATACCTAAACATTGAAGTATCCAAGCCTTGGTGGGAACGACAAATATGCATAATGTCTTGGCCTTGTCTAGGAACAGGGCACTGGTTTGGGTGATGAGTTTTGTTTTCAAAAAGGAAACCAGATTCTCCAGTCCCACCCTTCAGAGTGCTATATATTCACCACACCAGAATATTAAGGGATGACAGACACTCGAATATACTTGGATTGTGACAGAGTAGAGATGATAGCATTGTGGATAAAGAAAATACTTGGGAGCTTTATTACAAACAGAATTGAAACTAGCAATGTGACCATTAGACAGGGGCTCAGAAGATACTATTCTGTTCTTTTTATTCCAAAGTTACATTGTATTATATATAGCATTTGTCATGCATATAACATTTTCCAACACATGAATACAATTTCAAAAGCCATGCTATTTATTTTACTATAGAGATGGATTCTGACATTGCTTAAACTGGTCTACGTAAAAGATTCCTGTGATTGTGGTAAGGGGAACAGTGTATATGAGCAGTCAACTTCTGTTCTGAACACGAATTCCCAAACTCTTATGTGATTCTCTTTTATTTTGGTGGGCATATACATTGTGATTTGAGAGATACTATCTTTCAACATCTTTTATAAGCCCTAGTTAGAGAACCATTCATCTGTGCTTAGTTTCCAGCATTTATGATTAGAAAAAGATAAAACACATGTGTGTTTGAATATACCTTCAGGGCTTATTGTATAACAGAGAGAACACATTATTTTTTAAAGACAGAAAAATATACATGAAACTTCTATAAAGGCTATTAAAAATTAGTTCTGTTATTAAAATGAGGCCTCTACTCAAGATCTCAGAGTTATAAGGCTCTGTTATGGGTTGAATTATATCCCCCAAAAAGGTATGTTGAAGTGCTAACCCCTGGTACCTATGAATGTGACCTGTTGGAAGTCTGTAGATTTAATAGTTAAGATGAGGTCATTAGGACGGGCCCTAATCCAATATGGCTGATGTCCTTATAAGAAGAAAAAACACCATGTAAAGACAGGGACAGAGAGGGAAAACACTACATGACATTGGAGGCAGAGTCTGGAGTGACACAGGTGCAGACTAAGGAATACCAAGCATTGATGGCCACTACCAGATGCCAGACAAAGGCAAGAAAGGAATCTACCCACTGTCTCAGAGGGAACACAGTCCTGCTGACACCTTGATTTCAGACTCCTAGCCTCCATAACTGTGAGAGAATATATTTGTGTTGTTCTAAGCCACCCATTTGTGGTACTTTTTTACAGCAGTCCTAGGAAACTCATACATTCTCCTACTATTGTTCATATAGAGTAGAAGGTGCTGGATGGTGCTGAGGATGACAATGAATAGGGGTGGTGGTTTGTTTTGTTAAAATCACGTCCTTGCAGCATGTCAACGGTAAGCACCAATATAATCTGGGATTGTAATAGTAAGTGTTGCTTATGACAGGGATAAGTTCTGAGAGAGTTAGGCAATCTCATAATTACGCAAAAATCATAGAGTGTACTTACACGAACCTAGATGGTACAGCCTACTACACACCTAGGCCATATGGTATAGCCCACTGCTTATAGGCTACAAACCTGTACAACATGGTACTGTACTGAATACTGTGGGCAATTATAACACAATGTTAATTACTTGATATGGTTTGGCTGTGTCCCCACCCAAATCTCATCTTGAATTCCCACATGTTGTGGGAGGGACCCAGTGGGAGGTAACTGAGTCAGCACAGGTCTTTCCCGTACTGTTCTCATGATAGAGAATAAGTCTCATGAGATCTGAGGGTTTTAAAAAGAGGAGTTCCCCTGCACACGTTCTCTCTCTTTGCCTGCTGCCATCCACATACGATGTGACTTGCTCCTCCTTGCTCTCTGCCATGATTGTGAGGCCTCCCCAGCCATGTGGAACTGTTAAGTCCAATAAATCTCTTTCTTTTGTAAATTGCCTGGTCTCGTGTATGTCTTTATCAGCAGTGTGAAAATGGACTAATACAGTAAATTGGTACCAGTAGAGTGGGGTGTTGCTGAAAAGATACCCGAAAATGTGGAAGCAACTTTGGAACTAGGTAGCAGGCAGAGGTTAGAACAGTGTGGAGGGCTCAGAAGAAGACAGGGAAATGTGGAAAAGTTTGCAGCTTCCTGGAGACTTGTTGAATGGCTTTGACAAAAGTGCTGATAGTGATATGAACAATAAGGTCCAGGCTGAGGTGGTCTCAGATGGAGATAAGGAACTCGTTGTGAACTGGAGCAAAGGTAACTCTTGTTATGTTTTAGCAAAGAGACTGGAGCAATTTGGCCCTGCCCTAGAGATTTGTGGAACTTTGAACTTGAGAGAGAAGACTTAGGGTATCTGGCAGAAGAATTTTCTAAGCAGCAAAGCATTCAAGAGGTGACCTAGGTGCTGTTAAAGGCATTCAGTTTTATAAGGGAAGCAGAGCATAAAAGTTCAGAAAATTTGGTTTGGCGCAGTGGCTCATGCCTGTAATCCCAGCACTTTGAGAGGCTGAGGCAGGTGGATCACTTGAGGTCAGGAGTTTGAGACCAGCCTGGCCAACATGGTGAAACCCTGTCTCTACTAAAAATACAAAAATTAGCCAGGTGTGGTGGCAGACACCTGTAGTCCCAGCTACTCAGGAGGGTGAGCCAGGAGAATCGCTTGAACCTCGGAGGTGGAGGTTGCAGTGAGCCGGGATCATGCCACTGTACTCCAGTATTGGTGACAGAGTGAGACCCCGTCTCCAAAAAAATAAATAAATAAAAATAAAAATAAAATAAAAATCAGAAAATTTGCAGCCTGTCAATGTGATAGAAAATAAAATACCATTTTTCTGAAGAGAAATTCAAGCTGGTTGCAGAAATTTGCAGAAACTTGCATAAGTAACGAGGAGCTGAAGGTTAATCCCCAAGACAATGGGAAATATTTCTCCAGGGCATGTCAACGGTCTTCACGGCAGACCCTCCCATCAGAGGCCCGAAGGCCTAGGAGAAAAAAGTAGTTTCGTGGGCCAGGCCCAGGGTCCCCTTGCTGTGTGCAGCCTAGGGACTTGGTGCCCTGTATCTTAACCACTCCAGCCATGGCTGAAAGGGGCCACTGTAGAGCTCAGGCTGTGGCTTCAGAGGGTGCAAGCCCCAAGCCTTGGCAGCTTCCATGTGGCGTTGAGCCTGTGAGTGCACAGAGGTCAAGAACTGGGGTTTGGGAACCTCTGCCTAGGTTTCAGAGGATGTATGAAAACACCTGGATGCTGAGGCAGAAGTTGGCTGCAGGGGTCGGGCCCTCATGGAGAACCTCTGCTAGGGCAGTGTGAAAGGGAAATGTGGGGTCGGAGCCCCCACACAGAGTCCCTACTGAGGCACTGCCTAGTGGAGCTGTGAGAAGAGGGCCACTGTCCTCCAGATCCCAGAATGGTAGATCCACTGACAGCTTGCACCATGTGTGTGGAAAAGCCACAGACACTCAATGCCAGCCCCTCAAAGCAGCTGGGAGGGAGGCTATACCCTGCAAAGCCACAGGGATGGAGCTGCCCAAGGCCATGGGAACCCATGTCTTGCATCATCATGACCCGGATGCAAGACATGGAATCAAGGGAGATCATTTGGGAACTTTAAGATTTGACTGCCCCGCTGGATTTCGGACTTGTGTGGGGCCTGTAGCCCCTTTGTTCTGGCCAATTTCTCCCATTTGGAATGGCTGTATTTACCCAATGACTGTACCTGCATTGTATCTAGGAAGTAATTAACTTGCTTTTGATTTTACAGGCTCATGGGTGGAAGGGACTTGCCTTGTCTCGGATGAGACTTTGGACTATGGACTTTTGAGTTAATGTTGAAATGAGTTAAGACTTTAGGGGACTGTTGGAAAGGCCTGATAGGTTTTGAAATGTGAGAACATGAGATCTGGGAGGGGCAAGGGGTGGAATGATATGGTTTGGCTGTGTCCCCACCCAAATTTCATCTTGAATTCCCACATGTTGTGGGAGGGACCTGGTGGGAGGTAACTGAATCATGGGGGCAGGTCTTCCCCATGCTGTTCTCATGATAGTGAGTAAGTCTCACAAGATCTGACGGTTTTAAAAAGAGGAGTTCCTCTGCATAAGCTCTCTCTTTGCCTGCTGCCATTCACATAAGATGTGACTTGCTCCTCCTTGCCTTCCACCATGATTGTGAGGCCTCCCCAGCCATGTGGAACTGTAAGTCCAATAAACCTCCTTCTTTTGTAAATTGCCCAGTCTTGGATATGACTTTATCAGCAGCGTGAAAATGGACTAACACACTACTTGTGTATCTAAATGTAGAAAAGGTACAGTAAAAATACAGTATAAAAGATAAAAAATGGTATGCTTGTATAGGGCACTTACCATGAAAGGAGCCTGCAGGACTGGAAGTAGCCCTGGGTGAGTCACCGAGTGAGTGGTGAGTGAATGTAAAGGCCTTGCATATTATTACCATACACTCCTGTAGACTTTATATATACTGTATACTTAGGCTATACTAAATTTATTTAAAAATTTTTCTCCAATAATAAATTAACCTTAGCTTACTTAACTTTTTAACTTTATAAGCTTAAATTTTGTTTAACTTTATAAATTTTGTTTAACTTTTATAATAACACTTAGCTTAAGATACACTGTACACTATTTCAAAATATTTTTTCTTTGGGCCAGGCACGGTGGCTTATGCCTATAATCCCAGCACTTTGGAAGGCCAAGGTGGGTGGACCACTTGAGGCCAGGAGTTTGAGACCAGCCTGGCCAACATGGAAACCGTGTCTGTACTAAAAATACAAAAATTAGCCAGGCATGGTGGCGCATGCCTATAGTCCCAGCTACTCAGGAGGCTGACGTAGGAGAATCATTTGAACCTGGGAGGCGGAGGTTGCAGTGAGCTGAGATCATACCACTGCACTCCAGCCTGGGTGACAGAGCGAGACTCTGTCTCAAAAAAAAAAAAAAAATTGTTTTTTCTTTGTGTCTTTATGCTACAAATCTTTCCCTATTTAAACAAAACTTTTTTTTTTATAAACTTTTTTGTTAAAAACGAAGACACAAACACACATATTACTAGTCCTAACCCCTGGTACATGTGAATGTGACCTTATTTGGAAATAAAGTCTTTGTAGATGTAATCAAGTTAAGATGAGGTCATTAGAGTGGGCCCTAATCCAGTATGACTGGTGTCCTTATAAGAAAAAGCACCATGTGAAGACAGGGACAATGATGACAAAGGCCTACACAGGGTCAAGAATATCAATATCACGGTCTTCCACCTCCACATCCTGTCCCAGTGGCAGGTCTTCAGGGGCAGTAACACACATGGAGCTGTCATCTCCTAAGATAACAATGCCTTCTTCTGGTATACCTCCTGAAGGACATGCCTGAGGCTGTTTTACAGTTTTTTAAAAAATAAGTAGGAGTACACTTTAAAGTTATGGTAATAGTACAGAAAATGCACAAACCAGTAACTCAGTAGTTTATCACCAAGTATTATGTACTATACATAATTGTATGTGCTATACTTTTATGACTGGCAGTGCAGTAGGTTTGTTTACACCAGCATCACCACAAACACGTGAGTAATGCCTTGCGCTGTGATGTCACAATGGCTATGTCACTAGGTAACAGGAGTTTTTCAGCTCCATCATAATCCTATGAGACCAGTGTTGTTTGTGCAGTCCATTGTTGACCAAAACATCATTATATAGCACATGACTATATCCATTTCCCATGCACACTACTTTCTTCAAGAATATCTAAGAATTTATATAAGCTACAGCAATATATATTGCAAACTCAAGGACCTCTTTTCTCCACCCATGTCATGTAGTAATATTTTTATAAGTAATAGAACAATATTAAATATAAACAAACAACAACACACATATATATACACATATAATATATATATAAATTGTGTCTATATGTATATATTTAGAGGGAGGGAGGGGGAGAGAGAGAGCAAGAGAGTAAGAGAAGAGAAAAAATATGAGAATGCTAAGCTTCAAGGCGGCCAGAGCTTTTGTTTTATTCACTGCTGTAATCTCTGTGCCAAGAACAAGGTCTAGATAGAATCAACAATAACAACTTCTTGAATGAAGGAATAAATATTTACTACTGAAAGACAGAAAGTAGTAAAATTGTATAGATATCTATAATAAGGAAAGAAATTGAATTAGTATTTTAAAAAATTCCCACAAAGAAAACCCAGGACCAGATGGCTTCACTGATGAATTCTACCAAATGTTTAAAGAAGTATTAATACCAATCCTTTGAAAACTTTTCCAAAAAATAGAACAGGAGGAAGGAATGCTTCCCAACTTGAATTCAATGGAGCCAATATTACCTAAATACTAAAACTAGACAAAGACATAAAAAGAAAACTAGAGACTGTCTTTTATGAATACAGATGTGAAAATCTACACAATATGCTAGCAAACCGAATCCAGCAACATATAAAAAAGGATTATACACCACAACAAGGTGGGATTTATTCCAGGAATGCAAGGTTGGTTTAACATCTGAAAATCAATCAATGTAATATACCATGCCAATGGAATAAAGGGGGAAAAAAGCTCACATAATCACCTTAATAGATGCAGAAAAAACATTTGATAAAACCAAACACCTTTCCATAATAATAATACTCAATGAACTAGAAACAGAAGAGAACATCCTCAACCTGACAAAGGAAAGGGCATCTTTGTAAAAGAGCTAACATCATACTTAATGATAAAAGACTGGAAATTTCTCCTGTAATATCAGGAACAAGACAAGGATTTGCGTTCTTGCCATTTCTTTTTTTTTCTTTTTCTTTGTGTCTTTTTTTTTTTTCCCAGACAGGGTCTTCCTTTGTCACCCAGGCTGGAGTGCAGTGGCACAATCTCGGCTCACTGCAGCCTTGACCTCCCAGGCTCAAGTGATCCTTCCACCTCAGTCCCCCAAGTAGCCAGGACTACTATTTTTCATAGAGACAGGGTTTTGCCATGTTGCTCAGGCTGGTCTCAAACTCCTGAGCTCAAGTGACCTGCCTGCCTTGGCCTCCCAAAGTGATGGGATTACAGGTGTGAGCCACTGCACCTCACCCATTTCTATTCTACGTTGTACAGGAGGTTCTAGTCAGGGATATTAGGAAAGAAAAAGAGATAAAGACATCCAGATTGTAAAGAGGAAAGTAAAACTATCTCATCATTCACAGATAATATAATCGTGTATATTGAGAAGCGTAGCGAATCCACACACAAAAAAACTATTAGAATGAATATACCAGTTCAGCAAGTTTACAGGATACAAGATCAACATACAAAAACCAATTCATTTCTATACATTATAAATGAATGATCCAAAATAAAATTAAGAAGACAATTCTATTTACAACACCATCAAAAAGGATAAAGTAACCAGAAATAAACCTAACAAAACTAGTGTAAGACTTGTACTTTGAAAACTATAAAACATCGCTGAAAGAAACTAAAAAGCAAATGGAAAGATATCTTATGCTCATGGATCAGAGACTTTATATTGTTAAAAGGGAAATATTCCCAAAATTGATCTACAGATTTAATGTAATCCCTATCAAAATTCCAGTTAGACTTCTTGCAGAAACTGGCAGGCTCATCCTAAAATTCATATGGAAATAGAAGAAACCTAGAGTGGTCAAAGTCTTTAAAAAGAATAAAGTTGGAAAAGTTACACTTTCCAACTCCAACTTATTACAAAATTATAGTAATCAAGAGTACGTGGTACTGGCGTAAGAATAGAAATATAGATGAATGAAATATATTTGAGAGCGCAGAAGTGAACACTTATATTTAAGGCCAACTGATTTTTGACAAGATTGCCAAAACAATTCAACAGGGAAAGAACAGTTTCAAGCAAAATAATGCTATTGAATCCCTACCTCACACTATACACAAAAATTAACTAAAAATGTATGAAAAATTTAAATATAAGAGCTAAAACTAAAAACTCTTAGAAAAAACGTAGGAATAAATCTTTGCAACCTTGGGTTAGGTAATGGTTTCTTAGATATGATACCTAAAGTATAAGTAACAAAAGAAAAAGTAGATTGGAAGTCAATAAAAATTATAAACTTTTATGCTTCAAAGGACATCTTTAAGAAAGTAAAAAAGACAACTCACAGAATGGGAGAAAATATGTTCAAATTACATATCTGATAAGAGACTTATATTCAGAATATATAAGGAACTCTTTTGAAAAAGATAAATAACCCAAGTAAAAATGGGTAAAAGATTTGCATAGCTATTTCTTCAAAGAAGATATATAAATGGCCAGTGTGTGTGGAAAGATGTTTGGCATCATCACTCATGAGGTAAATGCAAACTGAGACATCATTTCACATCTACTAGGTTAGCTGTAATAAAACACACAGGCAAGTGTTGGTGAGGATGTGGAGAAATTCAAATGCTTATACATTGCTAGTAGGAATCTAAAATGGTGCCACCATCTTGGAAAATATTTTGGTAGTTCCTCAAAAAGTTAAACATACAGTTACTATTTGACCCAGCATTTCGACTCCTGGGTATATACCCAAGACAACTGAAAACATGTCCACCAAAACTTTATATGCAAATGTTCATAAGCAGCAGCATTTATAATAGCCAAAAAGTAGAAACAAACCAGATGTCCATCACCTGATGAATGGATAAATTAAATGTGGTACACCCATACAATTGACTATTATTCAGGCATAAGAGGAGTGAAGTACTGATGTATGTATGCTAAAACATGGAAAAACCTTGAAAACATGGAAAAACCTTGAAAACATTATGCTAAGTGAGAGAAGTCAGTCAAAAATGACCACATATTATATGATTCCACTTATATGAAATTTCCAGAAATATATAAAGGCATAGAGACAGAAAGTAGATTAGCTGTTGTAAGGGGCTGGGGGAAGGGGAGAATGGACAGTGACTGCTAATGGGTTTCTGTTTGGGATGATGAAAATGCTCTGAAATTAGACATTAGTGATGCTTGCAAAATTCTGTGAATATACTAAAACTAACTGAATTGCACACTTTAGTAGGGTGAATTTTATGGAATATAAATTATATCTCAATAAAGAAAATCAACAATCCATTCTTAGAAACAACCATCAATTCAGTTTCCAGTCTTATCTTCTCATTCCTCTGTGCCCTTAACTAAGGATGTAGGGGCTTGGCATTTACTGAATGTTTCCTGTGATGGTGGGGTCTCCTTCCCAAAGCTGCCCCAGCCCTATTTTCTCTTGGCTAATGTGAGACGTCAGACCATGGTTTATTTACAAGACAACAGAAGTATGCTTTGTAATAAGTCCTAATTTTTCAGTTGCTTACCTAGACCTTTCAGAGATGAAGCACCACGGAGAAGGTTAGAAGCAGTGAATTGCACCAGCTGAGGCCCTATCATCCTTGCCTGACAACTGTGACAGTCTCCTATTATTGCTGTCTCCAGTTTTACCTCCCTCACCACACAAACCACTAGAGAGATGTTTTTCAAACGCCAAAGCATTTCATGACACTTCTCTGCTTTAAAAAATTCTGTCCTAAAGATCGTCTTCAAGCAAAGAAAGTGAGCCTTTCATGATCTGGCCCCGATATACCTGTTTCTCGTCGCATTTCCTCTTATATCCTAAGTCAGAGCCACCAAACTACTTGCGGTTTCTCCAGCACTCTTGGCCAATTTTACGCTTCCTTTGTGCTTTGTGTCTTTGCTCATGCTGATCCTCTTCCAGGAATAGTTTCCCACTCCTCTCATCTTTAAATATTCTGCTTCTAGGGAATATTTCTTACTCCACTCCCCAGAATTGACCTTTCTTGGGCCCTCAGATAGACCCTGTGAATATTTCTCTGTAAGCACTTACAACCCTTGACTTGTGTTCCATTCTGAATTCCCTACTGGTTTGCTCATTGAGGGAATGGACTGTGTCTCATTTGTGTACCCAAGACCAAGCAAAGAATCTGGGCTGAGAGCAGAATGGAATAAATAAGAAAACTAGAACATGAACCTATTCTTACCTATTCCAGTGTGGGCCCTGTAAGAAGCTTTATGGGCAGCCATGTTCTGCCCATTTCTCCAAATTAGAAGAAACAAAAATAATCACAGACATGAGAGAAATGGAGAATTCCAAAAGTACCTTTTTTTCTTTTATAACCTCAGAACTGACAAGGGAGAGAAGGTCTATCATCATCAGCAGCTCTTTAATGCTTATCAGAGGAGGTGAAGAACGGCTGATCGTGTGACTTTCTGCCAGCTAGAGAATGAAGTTCAAACTCCTCAGCAAGTTGGTCAAGGCTCTCTGTCTTATCTACCACTATTTCTCATCAACCCTTCCTATGAATCACTCATTTCCTGTTAATATGTTCCATATTTTTATTTTTACATTTTTGCCTTAGCAAGGGTGTCTGTCCTTGGCCTAGCTCAAATGGCACTTACCAAATGAAGCCTTCCCTACTCTCTACTCCTCCACCTCAAACTGGAAGCCACAGCTTCTTCCTCTGTGTTCTCTTAGCACTTTTTGCTTTACTAAAGCATTTTTAGCCTTTTATAAAGTGTGTGTTTTTACATCCCCTCAGAACCTGATGTGATGTAAGGCGCACAGCAGGTATGCAGTAAGTGGCTGCTGGACTGAGAGACAGAGTCAACAGAGTTGGTCATCAATTCAAAATGGAAATGGACAGCCAAGGTAGCAAGGAAATAAAGATAAGTAATGTGGCTTCTCTTCCCAAATAGCAGGATACGATCTCCTGGGAGCTAAGGAGATTTCCACATGAGAATCAGAAACTTATGCGTTCCAAATGAAACCACAAACATTCCACAGCCCATGCAAGTAGGTCAAGCCATTCTCCTAAGTCTAAAACTGGTTTGCGCTTTTAGTTTTTTTCCTCCAAGAAAGACAAGTTCTCCTAACTGAATTCCAATCATTTGGGTCAATGTTTTAAAAGCTTGGTATCTTAGCTGTTTTTATTTTAAACTTTTAATCCTGTACATTCCTGTCAAGCCCCTGGGACCAGACACCAAGCTCAGCTTTCAGCAGGCCTAATATAACATCACATACTCTACATTTTTGTGGCATACCAGTGTTCTAAACAGAAAAAAATAGATTGTGTTCTAAATCTTGCCTTGCTATATGCTAAAAACATTCTTTTGGACAAATATGTTTGACTAAACCACACTCAAAACTTACTTTTCTCTTTTTCTGAGCTTCCATAATCTACCTCTTTACTTTCTCCCCACTTAAAAATGTCTTCAGGCCAGGTGCGGTGGCTCATGCCTGTAATCCCAGCACTTCGGGAGGCCGAGGTGGGTGGATCGCCTGAGCTCAGAAGTTCGAGACCACCCTGGGCAACATGGTGAAACCCCATCTCCACTAAAATACAAAAAATTAGCTGGGGGTGGTGGCATGTGCCTGTAGTCCCAGATATTCGGGAGGTTGAGGCATGAGAATCGCTTGAACCTGGGAAGTGGAGGTTGCAGTGAGCCACCATCATGCCACTGCACTGCAGCTTGGGCTACAGAGTGAGATTCCATCTCAAAAAAAAAAAAATGTCTTCAGACTGACGGGCCCTATATCATGTTCTGGAAAGCAAACAAATGTTTGCTTATGACCTGGTAGGTAATCATTACAGTCTTAGGGTGCTAGGGATAAAGAACACTAACAATGACCCACTTGTGCAGGAGTAGCATGATTTCCTGGTTGATCTCTCTGCCTCCTGTCATCTCATAGGTAGCTCACAGAATCTTTTAAAAAATCCTGATTGTGCCTCTACTCAAAATTCTTCAGTGGCTCTCCATTTGCTACAAGTAAAAGATATGCCTTTTGTGACCCTCTTCCAGACTCCTCCAGGCAAAGGCTTTCATTAAACCTTTAAATATCTGCATCACAGCAACTATCATGGTCCTAAGAGTCCAGCCCCATGTCTATCTCTCCCAAAGATCAGAAGTCCTTGAAAAATACATTAGTATTCCCAGCACTTAGCCTGGTACCAGGGAGATAGTTGGTGTTCAACAAATGTTTGCTGAATAAAAGCATTAAAACCCAAATAAATAGAACTTATCTTCCTATTTAAACTATAATTTCAATCTTCGTCCCTAATTTTCTCCCCAGGGCTCAAAACAAGTAATACAGATGAGAAAGAGAAGGGAGAACAAAATAAGAGACCATCGCCTCCACTAGTGCATAGCGGGGAATACAAAGAGTTTATAAACCACACACCATCACTGTGCAGCAGCCTTGTCAAATGAATAGGGTATCTCATTGGCTGAACCTAGCGCTCAGTGCATCATCCCCCTCCAGCAGGCATCAGCAGCTTAGGAGGAAGGGGCCTAATCTACCTAGGCATTATTACTGTGCTGAGGCCTACCATAGTCAAATATAAGCAACAACTGGCAAATCACAGGGGATATCAACTTCATGCCAAACAATAAAACGAACCTGATTTCCAAAGAAAACTTTGGGTTTAGCCTCAAATAAACAGATATAAAGACCATTTTAAAGAATGTCAGTCGTATAGCAGCTGGCTGACTTAATTTTTGTAAGTCCTCATTAGTGGAAACCTCTCCAAAAACAGAGATTATTTTTTTGGGGGTAATTTATCTACATAATTTAAATACTGCACTCTCTCAACTAATTCTAGTATATGGAAAACTATTTTTAAATGGGAATGCAGCTAACTTCGGGACAGAGTGTATGATTTCTTTTTAAATAGAAATAATTACAATTTTAGGAAGTACAACTGCTCAAACAAATGTTCAAAGCTCTCAACCTCAGTTTTTTATTTTTTAAGCATCTAAATGAGCTAAAACTGTGCAATTCTTTAGCCATTGGTTCAAATCATTAGCTATGCAGTGTGTGGAATAATGTCTGCTCAATAATTATTTGTTGAGGAAATGAGTGAATGATAATGTAATCCTCAGCATAATTTTTTTTAAAAAGCTGGCATTTATAACAACATTATTCTATAATTACAACATCAAGGCCAGCAAGGTAATGACATTCTTTTAAGTATATCCACCCCGTAAAATTTAACACTAACAATCAATATTAATGCCAAAGGAAGTTCTGGAGACAGAAGACTTATGTGTTTTCTTTCAGTGTTTGAAGGATAAAGCCTAAAGGAGATGCTCAAAGTAAGTAAAATGAGAAAATGTGCAGTTTCTTGTGTTGATCTATAGAAAGGAAACAGAGGCATGGTTTACATAACTCCTTAATTAGGAAACCTATGGACGAAGCCTCATATTAGAAAAAGAAAAGCCAGCTGATTAATGGAGCACATAGACTTGAAATTTTCCTAGATGAACTTTCCTGAGCAGAGCCAGATTTTCCTAATCTGGTAATCTTCTAAAGTCAAATCCAAAAGTCATTTTTAGCTCGTTCACTCAAACACATTCTTAGTACCTACTGTGTGTTTTAGATAATGCTCTAGGATGTTGGGATGCAGAAAGAGGAACAAGCCAAAAATCGGTTGAATAAAGGGAGATATTATAGATCTTTCTAAAAAGGAATGTAGAAGATATGAGTACTTGATTACAAAGTGATTGAAGGAGCGCTATCTCATTACATGCTCCTGATTTTCGCAGTCTGATAAAGCAGTCAGATATGCCACATTAAAAAAACAGTGATCTCTGTCTATTTTGAGATAAACACAGAAACACAGGGAAAATGTTCAAGGTCTGATTCAAACAAATTTTATTACTTCTTTGGGGAATCATTTTGGGGGACAGACACCCTATAAAATTCAGCTTGGGGTCAGTTAAGGTGTTACAGATCAGAGTTCATTAAGTGATCTTATATGATCACCACCCAGAGTAAAATCATCATTCTGTGAGGGGCAACCTTCTTAAGTTGTCAAGTTGCATAAAGACCAATGTGATTTTTGTGCAACATAGAAGACAATATAAATCCCCCAAATAACACATTCTTTAAAGCAGAGCTGTTCAATAGAACTTTGTGTAACAATGGAAATGTTCTATATCTTCACTGTCTAATGCAGTAGCTACTATCTACATGCGGCTACTAGGCATTTGAAATGTTGTTAGTGAGACTGAGGAAGTGAATTTTTATTTTTATAAATTTATATTTAAGAAGCCATATATGCCTAGTGGTGACTGTATTGAATAATAATTCAGTTATGAACAAAATAAAGTTTGCATTATTTACATTCAGGACAACAAGAATGACATCTGAATTAATCCTGGAGGTAGATGCCTAAAGTAAAAAAGAAAAATATATGGGTTGCATAAATCAGGAGCTCTTTGTGGGAATGGTTCAATCACAACTCCTATTGCACCACAGTGGAAGTAATAAGATGGCTGAGAGGGTAGAGGACTCACGGGAGATTCTGAAGGAGGGTAATCAAGGCCTATTCCAGTTGAGTGTTTTTTTTAAATGGAGTTTTTTAAAACTATATAAGAAATGTGAGAATTACACAACAAATTGTCCATGTCCCTTTGTTTTGTTATAATTGGCAGATCTTAAGGAACTGGATCTGCACAGCTGTCACTATTTGTCACCTCTCCTCTGTTCCCTGTTAGCTACCTTGGGGATCCTGTAGTCTGTTTTTCATTTCACATCTTTGGTCATGAGTTGTGCAGGAAGCCCACAATATTTTAGATTTACATTTTGTTGTTCTGCTTATTTAAGCCATTTAGTAAGCATTTTAAATCCGTTCCACTTTACATTTTCTGGCTACCATATCTAACATATTTAAAGGAGAAGGAAGCCAGGTATGGTGGCTCACCCTTGTAATCCCAGTGCTTTGGGAGGCCAAGGTTGGAGGACTGCTTGAGGCCAGGAGTTTGAGACTAGCCTGGGCAACATAGGGAGACTCTATCTCTACAAAAAAAAAAAATTAAAAAATTAGCTGATCATGTGGTGCACGCCTGTAGACCCAGCTACTCGGGAGGCTGGGAAGGGAGGACTGCTTAAGCCCAGGAGTTTGAGGCTGCAGTGAGCTATGATAGCGCCACTGCACTCCAGCATGGGCGATAGAGCAAGACCCTGTCGCTAAGAAAATTTAAAATTTAAAGTATTTTTTTAAAAGGAAAAAGAAGAGTATATTTTTGGGGAGAAATAAAGGAATTCACAACTAGTAAGGACTTCTATGTACCAAGTACTTCTCTGCCACTAGCTCTATAAAGCAGATGTCACTATTCCTTCATTTTGGATGAGGAAATTGAAGCTCAGGGATGTTAAATAGCCAGCCCACAATCATGCAAGTGGGCAATGACACAGCTCTTATAGAAACCTAAATCCCATGGATCCGTCAAATCTATCTTTTTTCCTGCTATAGTACACTGCTTCCTAAACCTGCTTCACAATGTAATTTTCAGAAACAAATTCCACAGTAAAAATGATGGTAAGCCTTGAATTTTTCCCCCTTAGTTTCTTCCACATCTGTCAATCCATCCACTGCCTTATTAAAGAAACAAAGAAAAGAAAAAAGAGAAAGTGGTCTTTATGGACTGGTTCTGGAATATTTAAAAGGATCTAAAGCCATTGCGTTAGGAGGTTTTGCTGTCTTTTAGTTTTTAAACACACCATTTTTAAAAGTTATCAAGTCTTTAAATCATAAAACATTACTGAAAGGAGTAGTTTAAAACTGCATGCAAATGACTTGTTGAACGTATTAAAAAAGGAAATTTCCAAATGCCATCTAAAATACTTGTTTCATTAGGAAAAATAACAAAACAAAACCCCCTTAGCTTAGAACTATTGGAGTCAACTTTATTACCTTTCCAAAGAAGCAACCTTGTATCATAATGTATTATACCCTACAGAGTCAAGTATATAGACACTTGAGCACTTAAGGAAAACTGGACAATATCTTATTGGCATCACTTTTTTTTTTTTTAAGACAGTGTCTCCCTTTGTCACCCAGGCTGCAAAGCAGTGGTGCAATCTCAGTTCACTGTGTCCTTGACCTCCTGGGCTCAAGGATAATCTTAACTCAGCCTCCCAAGTAGCTGGGACCACAGGTACATGCCTCCACACTCGGCTAATTTTTGTTATTTTTTGTAGAGATGGGGTTTTGCCATGTTGCCTAGGCTAATCTTGAATTCCTGAGCTCAAGTGATCTGCCCACCTTGGCTTCCCAAAGTGCTGGGATTACAGGCATGAGCCACCGTGCCTGGCAGCATCACATACTTTTAAAAGGAAGGCAACAGGTAGAGAGAAAGCTATCTTTCTGATAGGGCATCTATAATCATTTTAAGTTTTTGAATGCAAAGTGATGATGTTTTTTTTAAGTCTTAAATTTTATGTCTGAAAGTACATGACTTCTTTTTTTAAAAAAAGGAAAACAGTAGGAGCCCTTCAGCATTTTACAAGAATTTAGTGATTAAGGACATTAAAGTCTAGTGGCTAAGATCGACTCGATTCCAGCTGGTTAAACTCCTACTGGTTCTGTGACTTTAGGAAAAGCACTCTGCCTCGCTTTCTTTATCTGAAAAATGGGGATAATAACTCTTAGGATGGTTGTGAGGATTAAATGAGCTAATATATGTTAGGCACTTAGAATATTCACAGAGGCAATGCTTTATTTTTTTTCTACCAGTCTTCATAACTGAGAATACAATGAAATAAAATAATTATTTATTTATTTTATTTTTATTACACTTTAAGTTTTAGGGTACATGTGCACAAAGTGCAGGTTTGTTACATATGTATACATGTGCCATGTTGGTGTGCTGCACCCATTAACTTGTCATTTAACATTAGGTATATCTCCTAATGCTATCCCTCCCCCCTCCCCCCACCCCACAACATTCCCCGGAGTGTGATGTTCCCCTTCCTGTGTCCATGTGTTCTCACTGGTCAATTCCCACCTATGAGTGAGAACATGTGGTGTTTGGTATTTTGTCCTTGCAATAGTTTGCTGAGAATGATGGTTTCCAATTTCATCCGTGTCCCTACAAAGGACATGAACTCATCATTTTTTATGGCTGCATAGTATTCCATGGTGTATATGTGCCACATTTTCTTAATCCAATCTATTGTTGTTGGACATTTGGGTTGGTTCCAAGTCTTTGCTATTGTGAATAATGCCGCAATAAACATACGTGTGCATGTGTCTTTATAGCAGCATGATTTATAATCCTTTGGGTATATACCCAGTAATGGGATGGCTGGGTCAAATGGTATTTCTAGTTCTAGATGCCTGAGGCATCGCCACACTGACTTCCACAATGGTTGAACTAGTTTACAGTCCCACCAACAGTGTAAAAGTGTTCCTGTTTCTCCACATCCTCTCCAGCACCTGTTGTTTCCTGACTTTTTAATGATCACCATTCTAACTGGTGTGAGATGGTATCTCATTGCAGTTTTGATTTGCATTTCTCTGATGGCCAGTGATGATGAGCATTTTTTCATGTGTCTTTTGGCTGCATAAATGTCTTCTTTTGAGAAGTGTCTGTTCATATCCTTTGCCCACTTTTTGATGGTGTTGTTTTCTTTCTTGTAAATTTGTTTGAGTTCATTGTAGATTCTGGATATTAGCCCTTTGTCAGATGAATAGATTGCAAAAATTTTCTCCCACTTTGTAGGTTGCCTGTTCACTCTGATGGTAGTTTCTTTTGCTGTGCAGAAGCTCTTTAGTTTAATTAGATCCCATTTGTCAATTTTGGCTTTTGCTGCCATTGCTTTTGGTGTTTTAGACATGAAGTCCTTACCCATGCCTATGTCCTGAATGGTATTGCCTAGGTTTTCTTCTAGGGTTTTTATGGTTTTAGGTCTAACATGTAAGTCTTTAATCCATCTTGAATTAATTTTTGTATAAGGTGTAAGGAAGGGATCCAGTTTCAGCTTTCTACATATGGCTAGCCAGTTTTCCCAGCACCATTTATTAAATAGGGAATCCTTTCACCATTGCTTGTTTTTGTCAGGTTTGTCAAAGATCGGATGGTTGTAGATATGTGGCGTTATTTCTGAGGGCTCTGTTCTGTTCCATTGATCTATATCTCTGTTTTGGTAACAGTACCATGCTGTTTTGGTTACTGTAGCCTTGTAGTAACCAAAAACCTTTGTTCTTTTGGCTTAGGATTGACTTGGCAATGCAGGCTCTTTTTTGGTTTCATATGAACTTTAAAGTAGTTTTTTCCAATTCTGTGAAGAAAGTCACTGGTAGCATGATAGGGATGGCATTGTACCTATAAATTACCTTGGGCAGTATGGCCATTTTCACGATATTGATTCTTCCCACCTATGAACATGTAATGTTCTTCCATTTGTTTGTATCCTCTTTTATTTCATTGAGCAGTGGTTTGTAGTTCTCCTTGAAGAGGTCCTTCACATCCCTTGTAAGTTGGATTCCTAGGTATTTTATTCTCTTTGAAGCAATTGTGAATGGGAGTTCACGCATGATTTGGCTCTCTGTTTGTCTGTTATTGGTGTATAAGAATGCTTGTGATTTTTGTACATTGATTTTGTATCCTGAGACTTTGCTGAAGTTGCTTATCAGCTTAAGGAGATTTTGGGCTGAGACGATGGGGTTTTCTAGATATACAATCATGTCATCTGCAAACAGGGACAATTTGACTTCCTCTTTTCCTAATTGAATACCCTTTATTTCCTTCTCCTCCCTGATTGCCCTGGCCAGAACTTCCAACACTATGTTGAATAGGAGCGGTGAGAGAGGGCATCCCTGTCTTGTGCCAGTTTTCAAAGGGAATGCTTCCAGTTTTTGCTCATTCAGTATGATATTGGCTGTGGGTTTGTCATAGATAGCTCTTATTATTTTGAGATTTGTCCCATCAATACCTCATTTATTGAGAGTTTTTAGCATGAAGGGTTGTTGAATTTTGTCAAAGGCCTTTTCTGTATCTATTGAGATAATCATGTGGTTTTTGTCTTTGGTTCTGTTTATATGCTGGATTACATTTATTGATTTGCGAATGTTGAACCAGCCTTGCATCCCAGGGATGAAGCCCACTTGATCATGGTGGATAAGCTTTTTGATGTGCTGCTGGATTCGGTTTGCCAGTATTTTATTGAGGATTTTTGCATCAATGTTCATCAAGGATATTGGTCTAAAATTCTGTTTTTTGGTTGTGTCTCTGCCAGGCTTTGGTATCAGGATGATGCTGGCCTCATAAAATGAGTTAGGGAGGATTCCCTCTTTTTCTATTGATTGGAATAGTTTCAGAAGGAATGGTACCAGCTCCTCCTTGTACCTCTGGTAGAATTCGGCTGTGAATCCATCTGGTCCTGGACTTTTTTTGGTTAGTAAGCTATTGATTATTGCCACAATTTCAGAGCCTGTTATTGGTCTATTCAGAGATTCAACTTCTTCCTGGTTTAGTCTTGGATGGGTGTATGTGTCGAGGAATTTATCCATTTCTTCTAGGTTTTCCAGTTTATTTGTGTAGAGGTGTCTGTAGTATTCTCTGATGGTAGTTTGCATTTCTGTGGGATCGGTGGTGATATCCCCTTTATCATTTTTTATTGCATCTCTCTGAATCTTCTCTCTTCTTTATTAGTCTTGCTAGCGGTCTATCAATTTTGTTGATCTTTTCAAAAAAACAGTTCCTGGATTCATTGATTTTTTGAAGGGTTTTTTGTGTCTCTATTTCCTTCACTTCTGCTCTGATTTTAGTTATTTCTTGCCTTCTGCTAGCTTTTGAATGTGTTTGCTCTTGCTTTTCTAGTTCTCTTAATTGTGATGTTAGGGTGTCAATTTTAGATCTTTCCTGCTTTCTCTTGTGGGCATTTAGTGCTATAAATTTCCCTCTATGCACTGCTTTGAATGTGTCCCAGAGATTCTGGTATGTTGTGTCTTTGTTCTCATTGGTTTCAAAGAACATCTTTATTTCCGCCTTCATTTCATTATGTACCCAGTAGTCATTCAGGAGCAGGTTGTTCAGTTTCCATGCAGTTGAGCGGTTTTGAGTGAATTTCTTAATCCTGAGTTCTAGTTTGATTGCACCGTGGCCTGAGAGACAGTTTGTTATAATTTCTGTTCTTTTACATTTGCTGAGGACTGCTTTACTTCCAACTATGTGGTCAGTTTTGGAATAGGTGTGGTGTGGTGCTGAAAAAAATGTATATTCTGTTGATTTGGGGTGGAGAGTTCTGTAGATGTCTATTAGGTCCACTTGGTGCAGAGCTGAGTTCAATTCCTGGGTATCCCTGTTAACTTTCTGTCTCGTTGATCTGTCTAATGTTGACAGTGGGGTGTTAAAGTCTCCCATTATTATTGTGTGGGAGTCTAAGTCTCTTTGTAGGTCACTAAGGACTTGCTTTATGAATCTGGGTGCTCCTGTATTGGGTGCATATATATTTAGGATAGTTAGTTCTTATTTTTCAATTGATCCCTTTACCATTATGTAATGGCCTTCTTTGTCTCTTTTAATCTTTGTTGGTTTAAAGTCTGTTTCATCAGAGACTAGGATTGCAACCCCTGCCTTTTTTTGTTTTCCATTTGCTTGGTAGATCTTCCTCCATCCCTTTATTTTGAGCCTATGTGTGTCTCTGCATGTGAGATGGGTTTCCTGAATACAGCACACTGATGGGTCTTGACTCTTTATCCAATTTGCCAGTCTGTGTCTTTTAATTGGAGCATTTAGCCCATTTATATTTAAAGTTAATATTGTTATGTGTGAATTTGATCCTGTCATTATGATGTTAGCTGGTTATTTTGCTCGTTAGTTGATGCAGTTTCTTCCTAGCCTTGATGGTCTTTACATTTTGGCATGTTTTTGCAGTGGCTGGAACTGGTTGTTCCTTTCCATGTTTAGTGCTTCCTTCAGGAGCTCTTTCAGGGCAGGCCTGGTGGTGACAAAATCTCTCAGCATTTGCTTGTCTGTAAAGTATTTTATTTCTCCTTCACTTATGAAGCTTAGTTTGGCTGGATATGAAATTGTGGGTTGAAAATTCTTTTCTTTAAGAATGTTGAATATTGGCCCCCACTCTCTTCTGGCTTGTAGAGTTTCTGCCAAGAGATCAGCTGTTAGTCTGATGGGCTTCCCTTTGTGGGTAACCCGACCTTTCTCTCTGGCTGCCCTTAACATTTTTTCCTTCATTTCAACTTTGGTGAATCTGACAATTATGTGTCTTGGAGTTGCTCTTCTCGAGGAGTATCTGTGGCGTTCTCTGTATTTCCCGAATCTGAATGTTGGCCTGCCTTGCTAGATTGGGGAACTTCTCCTGGATAATATCCTGCAGAGTGTTTTCCAGCTTGGTTCCATTCTCCCTGTCACTTTCAGGTACACCAATCAGACGCAGATTTGGTCTTTTCACATAGTCCCATATTTCTTGGAGGCTTTGTTCATTTCTTTTTATTCTTTTTTTCTCTAAACTTCCCTTCTCGCCTCATTTCATTCATTTCATCTTCCATCACTGATACCCTTTCTTCCAGTTGATCGCATCGGCTCCTGAGGCGTCTGCATTCTTCACATAGTTCTCGAGTCTTAGCTTTCAGCTCCATCAGCTCCTTTAAGGACTTCTCTGCATTGGTTATTCTAGTTATCCATTCGTCTAATTTTTTTTCAAAGTTTCTAACTTCTTTGCCATTGGTTAGAATTTCCTCCTGTAGCTCAGAGTAGTTTGATCGTCTGAAGCCTTCTTCTCTCAACTCGTCAAAGTCATTCTCCATCCAGCTTTGTTCCGTTGCTGGTGAGGCACTGTGTTCCTTTGGAGGAGGAGAGTGCTCTGCTTTTTAGAGTTTCCAGTTTTTCTGCTCTGTTTTTTCCCCATCTTTGTGGTTTTATCTACTTTTGGTCTTTGATGATGGTGACGTATAGATGAGTTTTTGGTGTGGATGTCCTTTCTGTTTGTTGGTTTTCCTTCTAACAGACAGGACCCTCAGCTGCAGGTCTGTTGGAGTTTGCTAGAGGTCCACTCTAGACCCTTTTTGCCTGGGTGTCAGCAGCGGTGGCTGCAGAACAGCGGTGGCTGTAGAACAGTGGATTTTGGTGACCTGCAAATGCTGCTGCCTGATCGTTCCTCTGGAAGTTTTGTCTCAGAGGAGTACTCGGCCATGTGAGGTGTCAGTCTGCCCCTACTGGGGGATGCCTCCCAGTTAGGCTGCTCGGGGGTCAGGGACCCACTTGAGGAGGCAGTCTGCCCGTTCTCAGATCTCCAGCTGCGTGCTGGGAGAACCACTACTCTCCTCAAAGCTGTCAGACAGGGACATTTAAGTCTGCAGAGGTTACTGCTGTCCTTTTGTTTGTCTGTGCCCTGCCCCCAGAGGTGGAGCCTACAGAGGCAGGCAGGCCCCCTTGAGCTGTGGTGGGCTCCACCCAGTTCGAGCTTCCGGGCTGCTTTGTTTACCTAATCAAGCCTGGGCAACGGCAGGCGCCCCTCCCCCAGCCTCGGTGCTGCATTGCAGTTTGATCTCAGACTGCTGTGCTAGCAATCAGTGAGACTCCGTGAGCATAGGACCCTCTGAGCCAGTTGCGGGATATAATCTCCTGGTGTGCCGTTTTTTAAGCCCGTTGGAAAAGCACAGTATTAGGGTGGGAGTGACCCGGTTTTCCAGGTGTCGTCTGTCACCCCTTTCTTTGACTAGGAAAGGGAACTCCCTGACCCCTTGCGCTTCCCGAGTGAGGTAGTGCCTCGCCCTGCTTCAGCTCGCGCACGGTGTGCTGCACCCACTGTCCTGCACCCACTGTCTGGCACTCCCTAGTGAGATGAACCCGGTACCTCAGATGGAAATGCAGAAATCACCCGTCTTCTGCGTTGCTCATGCTGGGAGCTGTAGACCGGAGCTGTTCCTATTCGGCCATCTTGGCTCCCGAAATAAAATAATTTTAACTAATGTCAGCTAATAAAAATTTATAGAGATGCCATCAAACATGGTACAATTAGTAAAAATTAAATATTTTACTGAGGCTATCATGAAAGAAATTTTGGTTTAATAAGAATGTCTAGAAGATATTATAATTTCTGATATATTATGCTGTCTGAGGGTATACAGTAAGTAAACAGTACATTTTCATTTTATAATATGCCTCACAAAATATCAAATAATGGGAAAAGTCCAATAAGCTGTTTGATGATAAAATCTGTTCCAAGTTGAAAACGGTATCCAAGATAGTAGTTTAGGTAAACTATAGTATGTTTCCCCTACTCCCAAATCACAAAAAGCTTCTGGAACTTAGAATGGAAGTCTTCTTCTTACACAATGTATTTTCAACTGCATATGGGTTGTTATGATTGTGTTTCCCAAAAAGAGATATTAAAGTATTATCTCCCACAGTGTTACCATAATTTTCTGGCCTTCTTAGGGACTCCTTTATTTCCAAGTACACTAGCTAGTGTTAGAATTATTTTTCCTTAGAATAACCTGACAAAGGAAAAGGACAAAGAAGAAAGGAGATGAGAAATGAGGTAAAAAAACTTCAATGATAGATGCCACTGGTTTCCAAACAGTCTAAGGATTGGTCAGTAGTTCATATGAATCTTGCTTGTGCTCTGCATGTAGTAGTCCAGGCTACTCACCTCTCTCCTGACTTCATGGAAGAAGAGCACTGAGAAATCCTTATTCTGCCTCAGGCTTTGCTTTTCAGAAGGAAGGAAAGTGTGTGGCACTCAAGGGAGACAGGTAAGAAGTCACTGAGCATTCAAGGAAGACGAGTGAAGATGATCAGAGAATTGCAGAATCTTTGCATTGGCAGGCACCTCTGAAGTAATTTAGCTCAACCCTCTTTGCAGTGCAGCATCCTCCTCACAATATCTCTGAGAGATGGTCCATCAGCCTCTGCCTATATACCTCCAATAACAGGGATCTTTACTTTTTTGAGTCTGCTTGATCCAAGCCAGAAATCTGGGATACATTATAGATTCTTTACATTATCCAATCTTGTGTATTTTTCGTCTTAAATATCTCTCAAATCTGTCTACTGTCCCCCCTCCCACTATCTTAGTTGAGGCCTCCCTTTCTCATGCCTTTGTGTGATCCTGCAATAGTATCTAACTACCAAATTTCCTGCTACCAAATAATCCACATACACATGGCAGCCTGCAGGATGGATGTTTTAAAAAACAAATCTAATTGTGTTATTCCTCTGCTTAAAAACCTTTGATGGCTCACTAACATAAACAGCAAAAAGTCTAAGGTTTTAGCCTGAAATGCATGACACTGGCTAACTCTCCACTTCACATTTCAGCAACACTAAATGTTTGTGGTGCCTACATGCATCTCCATGATTTTGCTCATATTGTTGTCTCTGATTGGAATATTCTTTCTCCCCTTTGTCAGCTAGTTAAATCAGTTCAGGAATTATCTCCAGAAAGGTATCTTTTGACACCCTCCTCTGTGTAATATTAAAAATATACCATGTGTATATCTCTATCACTGTATTTATATTACACTGAAATAATTAACAAGTTCACCTCTTTCCCCCCAGGTGAGTCCCTCAAAGCAGTGTTAATAACCCTTAGCACTTGGCACAGGGCTCATGGGTGCAGGTGTTTAATACATGCCTAGTAAACATCAGAACGTTTTTCTGATGTGACTTAAAATTTGTAACTCCAATGGTCCAAATTCTGCTTCATGGAGCAATAAAAACCATCTCTCCAAGAAAACAGAACATTTGGCTAGTACAGAAAAAGGCAAAGTTTAAATACTACTTATTGGACATTTGCACTTACCTAAGTTGCTGTATGTTGCACTACAAGGGTTCGGGTCCATAGGATCTGAAATGTCTTCTTTTCCATCTTCCCTTTCCAGTTCAGGTAGGGACAATGCTGTTGTGACTGAAGTGCAGCCCCTGCCATCTTGCTTCCCAACAACAGTTCTTGGATCCCGAGGAGAAAAATCCTCTGTTACTTCATGGGTCATGTGACTGAAACAAATCAGACCACTTGTCACACTGGTATTGGAAGGTTCTACTAAAATTTAGATTTATGGAAGGCATATACTTCCCATAAATGTAAATAACTGGTCCTATAGTCACAATACACTTGTCTGAACACAAGGCAGTACTTCATTTAGGCAGATACTTCTATTTACCTTGATTCACACATATTGAGAACCCAATTTGATAGAGCAGGTATGGTAGCCTGCAAGGGAACTTGAGAATAACAGTCAAAGAGTGAAACATTTTATTTAGGTGGGAGGTGGTGATGTTGGTGGTAGAAGGAGCTGAATGTTTAACTGGCTAAAGACAAATATACTCAAGTATTTAGTAAAGTATTTACTATACTTACTAATTATAGTATTCTAATACTATGGTAAATATCAAGTACTTTACTACATAGTTTTAATTTATATATAGTATTTAGTACACACTTTAGTGTGTACTAAATCAGGATCAGGAATAAAGTTGAGATTAAACTAACTGCATAAGGAAGTTAAGCCATTGTTTTAGTAGGTACACTGAGGCCAGGAAGGTCTTGTTGCCAAGAGAATAGAAGCATCAACCTTTGCCTGTCTGCATGCAGCAGGGAAGGCAAATGGAAAAGAAAGTTCGTAGTCTAGTTAATCTCATTTATTAAAATGAATCTGAAGCATCCTCCTGGCTGCATACCAGTATATGACCAATCTTGTTTTACCATTGCCTGCTCATATGCTTATAGCTACTTCTTCCCATCTTCCCCACTCCCCAATCTGCCTGAACTGTGCCAATTCTGTTGCTGGTGGAGAAAACTGGCCTAGTTAGAAAATCTCAATGGACTGGTCAATTAAATTAATTCAAAATCATGCATCTTTAAAGTTTGCTGGGCCCACTGAAAAGTATTCCTAGATTATCACACATTCATTAGCTATTTTTCCTGGTTTCTTTATGAAAAAAAGAAAGAAGGAAGGAAAGGAAACATATATGATTACAGGTTATTTGTGGATTTTCAATTGGCAGTGAGTCATGGTGACATTTACCAGTTTCTTTAAAGAGGTACTTTGTTTGATCGTGTGCCATCAGAACATATATCGCCTGTGGATTTAAGGGAGTAGATCTAAAGGCAAAGGAGTACCCTCTTATCAATTTTTCATTATGGAAATTATGCATGTGCCTGGACAGAAAAATAAGCCTTGATGTCTGCTGGATATACAACTTCAAAAATATCCTTTCAAAGTTGGCAGAGCCAGAGGTCTCTCTATACTGGGAATAAGCAATGAGCTGGAAGTTCCATTAGGGGATCTGGCTCTTGAGGACAGTGGTGAGGTTGGAAGGAATCACTTTTCTAGCAGTCAAGAGAGTAGTATATATAAAGGAGGCCTCACACAGTAAAGCATACTGCCTCTTCTCGATGGGCTGCCCTCGGTCATCAACCCAAAAGAGGGGCTCCACACAAAGTTGGTTTCTCATAATATGGAGCACCATAAAATCAAGATAACATGGGGGATCTATCTCCACGCATTAGGGAAGACAAAACAAAGTGACACTTCCAAGACACTCAGGTACCACTTCGTGTCAAGAGTGTATATTACTGAGTAGTTATCAACATGCTTCAAGAAAGGGAAAATGTTTTCTGGCAAAAGTTAATAGAAACCATTTCTAGTTTCAAAGCAATAAATATAAAGTCCCTTAAAAATATCAGCCCCCTGGCCAGGTTCAGTGGCTCGCACCTGTAATCCCAGCACTTTGGGAGGCTGAGGCGGGCGGATCACGAGGTCAAGAGATGGAGACCATCCTGGCCAACATGGTGAAGCCCTGTCTCTACTAAAAACACAAAAATTAGCTGGGCATGGTGGTGCACGCCTGTAGTTTCAGCTACTGGGGAGGCTGAGGCAGGAGAATCTCTTGAACCTGGGAGGTAGAGGTTGCAGTGAGCCGAGATCGTGCCACTGCGCTCCAGCCTAGCAACAGAGTGAGACTCTGTCTCAAAACAAAATCAGCCCCCACACTTGAAAGAAAAAAAAATGTTAAAGCTCCAGACATTTCCTGCTCTAAAGTCAGCTTTAGAGGTTTCCTGAATAGCTGTTTCTTGGCTCCTAATCTCTTCAGACTTACTCCTGCCTTCTTTCTTTCTCCATCTCCTGGTTATTACTAAAAGAAAGTGTTCCTTCCCATTTGTCAAAAAGGGTTGGTGAAGGGTTCAGAAGCCACGATTCCATCCTCACTTGCCTGTTTTCATCCTAGGCAATGGGCTATTAACAACAAAGCTCAGTTATAGTGAAAACCACAGAAAAAACTGCAGCTATTAACCTATGAGGAACTCCCTGGGCCCGCTGCACATGTGTACATATAACACAGCTCTGTACTCTGAAGAGCTTCACAAAATAAAACATGAATACTTAAAAGCAAGAAATATTAGAAAACTCACCCGCTGTGCTCACTAACACAATTCCCCATTAAAGGAAAATTTCACAGGGCCTTCTCGAGTCTGTTAATCATGCTCTGACACTCAGATAAACCATAGATTCCACTGAGTTCTGGAGAGCTACAAGTTAGGCAAACCATGAGAAAAGGCTTGATTCTGTTCCTTAATATCACTCACTGCACCTTGACCCTTACCTTACTGGTTTGGTCTGGGAAATGTGCCAAATTACCTTTGGGGAACCAAGCAAAGTGAAAGCTAGTTTTATTAACCCTTTGCAAACTAAGGCAGCACAGCCTATATTCCAGATAAAGATTGGTTTTTATGAGCACATTTTAAATAAGTGCACTGGTATATTAAATCATCAATTAAAGTAATTGTCAACTCTAAAGAACTACGCAAATAGAGTTGATAAAAGTAAAATCACATGGATTTGCAAATGGATGCTAAAAGGTTTAATCTGCATTTACAGTGACAGCAGTCTCTAAAAGGAGTAAGAATTTAAAAAATGCATCAGTGATATGTCATGTCTTAATGCTTAAAGGAAGAATAGCTCTTTGTATGATTAAAATGATAAAAGAGGCCAGGCGCAGTGGCTCATGCCTGTAATCCCAGCACTTTGGGAGGCCAAGTGGATCACAAGGTCAGGAGTTCAACACCAGCCTGGCCAAGATGGTGAAACCCCGTCTCTACTAAAAATACAAAAATTAGCCGGGTGTGGTGGCAGGTGCCTATAATCCCAGCTACTCGGGAGGCTGAGGCAGGACAATTGCTTGAACTCAGGGGGCAGAGGTTGCAGTGAGCAGAGATCATGCCACTGCACTCCAGCCTGGGTGACAGAGTGAGACTCTGTCTCAAAAAAAAAAAAAAAAAAAGATAAAAGAGAGACAGGGGAAAAGGGAGAGGTTCTCAGAGTTTAAGGTTAGATATAACAATATACTATGACTAAAAAATAAAAAAAATTGAGAAAAGTAGCAGAGAAGGTTGATTCAGTCACTAAATATAAACAACATAAACAGACAAATCATTCAGGAAGAAAGAAAAAAAGGAAAATCTCTGATTAATTTATCATTAGGCACATTAATTTAGTAAGGGAATTTAAGGCTGGGTGCGGTGGCTCAAGCCTGTAATACCAGCACTTTGGGAGGCCGATGCAGGTGGATCACCTGAGGTCAGGGGTTCGAGATCAGCCTGGCTAACATGGTGAAACCCTATCTCTACTAAAAATACAAAAATTAGGTGGGCGTGGTGGCGGGTGCCTGTAGTCCCAGGTATCGGGGAGGCCGAGGCAGAAGAATCGCTTGAACCTGGGAGGCAGAGGTTGCAGTGAGCCAAGATTGTGCCACTAACACTCCAGCCTGGTGACAGAGAAAGACTCCATCTCAAAAAAAAAAAAAAAAAAAAAAAAAGGATTTACCATTGATTTGTTCCATATTTGGACATAAAATCAGAAAACTCAAATACTAAAGTGATACTTTACAAATATCAGCTTTATCTCCTAACAAATGTTTTACCACCAACATTTCATTAGGAGATGTTTAATGTGATGGAGAAAACAATAAAATGGGAATTCGAACCTGGGTACTGTTTCTCTATTGCTTTGATTTTCTGAATGCTTTGATTTTCTGAACAAACTTGATGGCATCAAGAAAGAGTTAGTGGAAAAAATAAAAATTTCCCCCATTTCATCCATGAGACAGATGGTAAAAAAATTATTTAGAGTGAAAATTACAAGAAATCTGTGAGAATTTCTTATATACTATATGTTAGCACGTCTTAAAATGGCAAATAATGACCAGTGTATCTAATTTTTTTTCAGCCTAAGTACAATTTGATATTGATTACTATAAAACAAAATTGTTAAGTGACAAATGGCCCACTAAGAGGAAGTTATGGTTTTTACATTTCTGCTATTTTAATTCATGTTGAAACACTCCTACTTCCGTAATAACTATGGTGTTGATATCTAGGTCCTTGATCTTCAGGTTGGGTCAAACTCTGACTTGGCCTACTTTTTGTCCTGAACCTTCAGCGTTCCTTCTGCTTTCACAGACAGACAACACAGAAGACAACATATGTGTGACTATAAATTCTTCAACCAACTTTCCATTAATGACCAGTTTTTAATTGAGATTTGGTATGTCTGACCTAATACTTAAAAAACCATGTCATAATCTCCACAAAGACAAATCATTTTCTGAACATGCAGAATGAATATAAGGTGTTCAAAGGAAATAGTTACATTGTTACAGATTTGTCTGTTATATAAACAAATCCCTTGGAAGGTTGTATCTCATCAGTCTGCCATATTCATACATAATTCAAAGCTGCAGAAGCAATCTCCTGTGGGAAGCTCACTTGGTTTACCCAGGTGGTAGAGATTAATCATTACACCATCTAATGAAATAATCCTTTTTTTGTTTCTCTGGGATATTCGTTCAAGACAGATTTTTGTAAAAATTATGTTAAATGTCTGAGTGTACTTTTTAAAAAGGCAAATCAAATTCCACATTAGAACAGGATAAGGCCTTTAAATATCCAAGTATTTCCACAATTTCAGTTCAATCCTATCTTCAAATTCAACCACCTTCACTCAGCTTCAGATGAGACAATAAGTAAAATCTGACTTCTAGAGACTACCTGCCTCTTGGGACAAATGTTATTCTGAATTCCATTTGTTAGCTCTGTTCAGCAGGTACACATGTCTCTAGTTGCCCACGACAGCCAATAAGCAAATGTGTGACTTTTAAAACCTCCTTTTACCCCGAAAAATCAGACTAAAGCACATTAGAAACAAAACGTCATCGTTTTGTTACTGGTTTCCAGAGCTGCGTATTTCTGGGGTTGCTGGGGATAACGGAACTCTGCAGATGTGGGATCTACATTAACACATGAAAAGGAGAGTTCAAAGTTATCAAATCTCACACCTTTGTAATCTACTGAAAGGGAGAAAAAACAAAACAAAACAAAACACTCCCATTTCTTTTTGTCTCTCTACCTTTAGGACCTCCTACGAATGTGACATTTCTTAATCTTTAGTTTCCAGGTCATCAACTTGATTTTGCCACACTTTCCAATCATTGACATTCTCAGATAGAGAAGTGTGTGTCTACTGATCACTATCTAGTGTCTCCAATTTTCTGCTAAGCCTTCTGTAGTCTTTAACTGAAAATGTTGAATTTCTTATCCTGAACTGAGATTAACCTTTATCTGATATCTGATGAGTTCTGCTAATATTTCTAACATAGTCTGGTCAAACAAAGGTAGCTCTTACTGGTGTGAATGAAGTAGCTAGGTCTCGAGATGGGGAAGACTGGCAGCAATGTGCAAGGTCTTGAATGAACTCTAATTTTCTGAAATTGTACAGATCCACTTTTTTTAAAAAACAGACTCAAATAGCAAATTAAAAGTGTCTTTAAGGCACCAGATTACAAGACAACAAAGCATATAAAAACATAGCCCTCTGTAAATCACTGTCACTTTCACAATACTAAGAAAAATTACAGTTTTAAAATCCTATGAAATACAAAGTCAGAATGGCATCTGTGCAAATTAACAGAAAAGATCAATTAATTTTGGAAAACAGCAATAAAATATGGTTGCCATTCTCAATAAGAATAACATTCTCAATAACAGAAGTAGCTCCTTAGCATCATAATTTTGGCCTTGATTCACTCTAAAGAATGGGGTGAGATACTGATATGCATTTCCTGAAAAGGCAAGGTATTAGAAGAAAACACCCATAGCCTTCTCCAAGGGGACTAACCCAGGAAGGATGTTGAACAGGCTTTCTTTCTTTTTTTTTTTTTTTGAGACGGAGTCTCGCTCTTGTCGCCCAGGGTGGAGTGCAATGGCGTAATTTCTGCTCACTGCAACCTCTGCTTCCCAGGTTCAAGAGATTTTCCTACCTCAGTCTCCCGAGTAGCTGGGATGACAGGTGCCCACCACGCCTGGCTAAATTTTGTATTTTTAGTAGAGACGGGGTTTCACTGTGTTGGTCAGGCTGGTCTTGATATCCTGACCTCAGATGATCCACCTACCTTGGCCTCCCAAAGTGTCGGGATTACAGGTGTGAGCCACTACGCCTGGCCTTTTTTTTTTTTTTTTTGAGACAGTGCTCTGTGGCCCAGGCCGGAGTGCAGTGGCACGAACTCAGCTCACTGCAACCTCTGCCTCCCGGGTTCAAGCGATTCGTCTGCCTCAGCCTCCCAAGTAGCTGGGACTACAGGTGCCTGCCACCATGCCCGGCTAATTATTTTGTATTTTTAGTAGAGATGGGGTTTCGCCATGTTGGCCAGGCTGATCTCGAACTCCTGACCTCAGGTAATCCGCCTGCCTCAGCCACCCAAAGTACTTGGACTACAGGAGTGAGCCACTGCGCCCGACCCTTGGAACAGCCTTTCTGGGGCCCCGGACTTTTTTTCCCTAATGCCCAGAAGCAATGGAGAAGCAAGTCAGTGCACCTTTTTTCACTTTCCTCTTATCTCCCTCTGCTCTTTGAGTCAGAGTAGGGAGATGCTGAGAAATGATAACATACACTTAACTCCAAAAACACTGCAGGCTGACCGAGGAAATGGATGTAGGGCAGGAATGGGACCTATAGGTACTCAGAACACCCAGCTACTCAGCACTGCACAAGCTGTGCATTTTTCCACTTAATTCATGAAAACTCTTCAGGAGGTAGCTACAATAATTCTCATTTTACAGATGAGGAAACTGAGATTGAAAGAAGTTAAATCAATTGCCTAAAATTACATGGGTAGTAAGGTGGTGGTAGAGTTGGGATCTGAATAGATACCATGCAACTCTAACGTAAATGTTCCTTCCACCACACTGTTAAGATAAGGCAAGCTTGGCATACTGCAGAAACCCAGCAATAAATACTTGATTGTGAAGATGAAGAAATAAAACTGCTTTTACTTTTAGTTAGAAGAAAAAAACAGCTATTATTGAAAGGTAGGGTATTAATGATTACAGATGTATTTTACTTTTGAAAATCCTAAATAAACAAACCAAAAAAGTTAATAATTTACATTTCCAAAAAAATTTTCCTTAAATTGAAGCTGCTCTAGCTATAGAATGACTGTGTTTCTAGATATTTGGCTTCCTAATAATAATCACTACCACCACTATCCCTACATTTACCGAATGCTAGGCACTGTGCTTAAATATCTTCAAACAATAACACTGAGTAAGGCTTATTATTCCCATAACAGCAAATAATAATAGTGGCCAAAATTTACATAGTGCTTATTATGTGCCTGTTTTAAGCCATGCTTATCAAAAGTGGGGCTATTGACATTTTGGGCCAGGTGATTCTTTGTTGTGGAGGGCTATCCACATGGCAGGATTATAACAGCGCTTCTTGCCTCTACCTGCTAAAGGCTGGATGTTGGAATTACCCCCTCCCAGTTGTGACAACCAAAAAAGTCTCCAGACATTGTCAAATGTGCCCCGGGGGGGAATCCCATCCCCCTTTAAGTCTCACAACAACTTACTAGGCAGGCTATTTTCTGTGTTTTATAAATGAAGAAATTATAGCCCAGAGAGATTAAGTTACTTGCTTCAGGTAACACAGCTAGTAACTGGTGGAGCTGAGATTCAAACCCTGTAGCTTAGCTCTAAGTGTTTGTCCTTTAAGCAGTTACATTATTTGCTTCTCAGTTTCTAGATGAGAAAACTGGTAAGCAGAGCTCAAGTAACTTATCCAAGATGACACTAATGTGACAAAAGCAGGATTCAAACCCAGGTCTCGGTGACTTCAAAGTCTACGTTCTAAAATATTATGCCAATGGCTACCAAACTTTCATGTACCTAAGAATTACCTGGGGAGCTTGTTAAAATTGCAGGTTCTCAGCTCCCATCTCTAGGGATTGATTTAATAGCTTTGGGGCATTGCCCAGGAATCTGCATTTATATACTCCAGGTGATGCAGTTGGTCCCAGGAACACATTCTGAGAAACTATTTTTCACTGCCTTCCTCCTCCAGAAAGAACACAAGAATAAGTATACAAGCAGCAAGGTGTGAAAAGTGAATAGAAAAATTTTCTTCAGAAGTGATATAAGCAGGAAAGGGCAAATAAAATAATTTGAATAGTCACAGATGAGAAATTCATAATGAACTATGAAAAAGCAGGGAGGGGGTAATAATTTGGAACCATTCCTAACCTTCTGAGGTTTATTCTTAGTCAGTTTACTTCTCTGGGATTATATTACCTCCCAAAAGGAAAAGAAACAAAGCTGTCTGAAGACTACCCCATTCTGGTACATATAAACATAACCATACTGTATCATTCCATGATTACGATAAAGTAAGATATTTATCAGTTTTCTCTAAAACATGATTATTTAAAAATTTAACAGTAAGGACTTCATGAACTCATCTTAACTTTAGGAAAAATGTGTCAGCAAATGTAGATGTGATTTTTATAAGTGCTGATAGTCCAGAAGTTTCTTTACAGCAAAATAACATGTGATCAGGAGACAGAGCAGCTATTTTCAGCTTCTGTTTTCAATTATTTTCTCTTTATGAGAAGTAGAAGTTTGATCTTGGGGCCAGTTTCGTCCTAAGCATGAAAAGACAACTTTGATAGGATTCTCTTAGTAAAAAGGAGAGGTAATGCAAATTTTTTTTCTTTTTCATTATACTTTAAGTTCTAGGGTACACATGCACAACGTGCAGATTTGTTACATATGTATACATGTGCCATGTCGGTTTGCTGCATCAATTAACTCGTCATTTACATTAGGTATTTCTCCTAATGCTATCCCTCCCCCATGCCCCCACCCCACGACAGGCCCCGGTGTGTGAGGTTCCCCGCCCTGTCTCCAAGTGTTCTCATTGTTCAATTCCCACTTATGAGTGAGAACATGCGGTGTTTGGTTTTCTGTCCTTGTGACAGTTTGCTCAGAATGATGGTTTCCAGCTTCATCCATGTCTCTACAAAGGACATGAACTCAAGGGAGAGGTAATGCAAATTAAGATATAACTGGAGCATTAGCATTAAAACAATTGAAGCTTCTAACTGAATTTTCCAGAGAGAAGGACATGACATTTTACCAGTCTAAGAAGTGCTGGGATTTTCATTTTCCATGCCATATGTACATGCACATATGCATGTGCGCGCGCACACACACACACACACACACACACACATATTAATAGGCCTATATTGGTTACTATAGAGAGTACCAAACCTTTCCAGTATTTGGCTGGAATGGCTGTATGTCATTAACATGCCTGACAACCACAGACAAATCTGATATTATGGCTTACCAGGGGTAAGCGAACTTCTGTAAAAGGCCACATGGTAAGTATTTTAGGCTTTGTGGGCCGTGTGGTCTCCACTGCAATTATTCAACCCTGTTGTAGCTTGAAAACAGCCATAGACAACATGTAAAAGATGAGTGTGGCTATTTTCCAGTATAACTTATTTTACAGAAACAGGTAAACAAGTTGGATCTGGCCCATCGGCCATAGTTTGCCAACTCCTGGTCTACACCCTTGAACTCTGGAGTGGATTAGGGGGCTCTCAGGATTGACTCCTGGATTACTGAGGAATACAGTTTAGCTATGTAAGGTCTTTGAGAAGATCCAAAAGGACTTGGAAGGGTAAAGGAAGGTTGATACAGATGCATAGCATTCCTAAGTGTGCAAAGAAAGGTATGTCAAATTCAGTCTGCCTGTCCAAACCAGAAGTTGGGGTTTGGACAGAATCCCAGCTGTGCTAGACATAGTTGGATTCCTGAGATGATTCTGGAAGTCCTAAAGAAACGACTTACATCGTATCCCAGATGTACATGCCGGGGGTCTTTGCTAATTAGCAGCATGAAATTCAGGGGTGGTAGATTTAGAAAGGTTAGCTAAAGGCCATTCAGGCAGCAAATGATACCCTTAACTTTAGCTGGAGTGTTACTTTTATTTTCTTAATGTCTACATTAGATTTTTCTCATTAGAAAAAAACTGTTTGAATTAAATTTTAGTTCATATTTTAGAGATGGTGAGAAGGGGGCCTTGCTATGTTGCCCAGGCTGAACTTGAACTCCTGGGCTCAAGTGATCCTCCTGCCTTGGCCTCCAAGTAGCTGGAACTACAGATGCACACTACTAGGCCTGGTTGAACTGAAAATTTAAGCACAGGTTGGCAATAGGTCTTGTCAACCAAGTATGAAAACAATTATTTACGTAAGAGTGAGACTGAGTGTCTAAACTGGGCAATTTGTGTTGGGAGGTATTCTTACATTGAGGAACATAATTTGGACACAGAATTTATGCCTGAAAACTAAATTAACATGCAAGTAACTACGGCCCATTGGCCATAGTTTTAATCAATAACCAAGTGTTATTGGTTAAATAACACTAAGATAACCATGATTTTAGTCACTAACCAAGTGTTTACCACCACAGCTTATTGAAAGAACCACTAAAAATGGTATTTGTCAAGAAGAAGGAAACTGAACCCAGAAGGTAGGAGTAAAATGAAGAGGGTACTTGGCTGTTCTAAAGCGATTAGGTTACCAGGGGCAAGAGATTAGGCAGAGAGCTCAATCAGGAAATACATTAGTAAACAGGTCAGAGATGATGGTAGTTTGGACCAAGGTAGTAGAAGCAGAGGTTAGAGAGAAGTAGATAATTTGGGATATATTTTGGAGGTTGAATCATCCAACATTTTGGATGTTGGGGGTGAAGGAAACAGAAGAATCAAAGATGACCCTTAATTTTCTGGCTTGAGCAACTGAATGAATGGAGGGCCATTTACCAAGAAGGGAAGAGTTGTGATGGAACAGATTTGTAGGGAAAAATTAAGAGTTCTGTTTTGGATATGTTTCATTTGAAGTGGAGATATCAAGTGGAAAATTGCACATGATTCTTGGGGGAAGAGATCAGGGATGAAGATAATAGGGTCATCCGAATATTTATAGTTTTAAAATTTTTGATACCCGATGATGTTTAGCCAGGGGTTAGCTACTAGGGTTTAAAGAACCCCTTTTTCATATATGACTATAATGGAAATAAAAAGTTGCTTCAAGATAATGGGGGGAAGTGAATAGAGGCAGAGACAGAACAAGATTGGTTATAAATTGATAACTGTTGAAGTGTGGTTTTGTGGTAAACGGTGGTTTACTATACTAGTCTATCTACTTCTGTACATGTTTAAAATTTTCAATCATAAAAAGTTTAAAATAAAATGAAAAAAAAAGAGAGGACCAATTTTAAGATAGTCCCAATTAAAAGGTAATCCAGTAGAACTGATTGCAAAGTCAATATTATAAACAAGGCACTTAGAAGAAAAGGAAGCCAGAATAACTAGAGGTTCATGAATAAGAGGATAAGATTAAGCCCAAAATGTTAGGATTAAAAGGTAGGCAGATGCCACATATGTAGGGCCTTCTTCAGTGTGGGGAGTGTGGGGATATAACTAGATTTACATTTAAGAAAGAGTAGGTGGCTGTTCTCAGAATAGATATCAGGGGGCAAGATATTAAGCAAGGATGATATTAAATTCTGGTTCCTTAGGCATAGTTTTGTAATGAGGTCAACTCCTATTGCTAGATATTATGCTGACGTTTTACAGATATTATACATTTAGTACTCAAAATATGTCCGTAAGGTAGGTATTATTATTCTTATGGTATAGGTAGGGAAACTTTAGCTCAGAGATACTAAGTCAAAAGTTACAACTACTCAGGGTAAGTCAGAATTCAAATCTTTGGCTACAGTGCTGGCATTCTTCCCACTGTGCAGTATTATTCCCCCATGTGATGGACACCAAAGAGTTGCAGAAATGGTAGGTAGGTAGGTACCATTTTAAAAATGATAGTTGAGAAATTCCTAACTGGTCACAGACCAGATTAACCACCAAATTAGTTTCTCTGAATCCAAACTTGCCACATAGAAATGGTGCCTGGGTACACGTTCTTGAACTAAAATTTGACCCACTAGTGTCCCATCTTCTAACCTATTTTCAATATTAGTGCCAGAAAATATTTTATTAAAAAAATCATGCTACTTTCCCGCTTAAAAACTGTTTCCTCTACAAAATCTACAAGATAAAAGCCAAACATTTCAACATGTCATTTACAGCCTGTCTCAGCACTTCTCAAACTTTTTGGTCTCAGGATTGCTTTGCACTCTTAAAAATTGAGAATCACATGGACTCCTATTTGTACAGGTTATATCAACTGACATTTAAATGAGAAACTGGAACTGAGAACATCTGAAAATAATTAATCCATTTTATTTTAAAAAAAACTTGTTTTGTGGCAACATAGATGGAACTGGAGGACATTATGCTAGGTGAAATAATGCCAGGAACAAATGTTAAACACCACATGTTCTCACTCATATGTGGAAGCTTAAAAAAAAAAGTAGATCTCATAGGAGTAAAAAGTAGAAGAGAGAATACGATAGGCTGGAAAAATGGGGGAAGAAAAGGATAGGCAGATATTTGTCAAAGGACACAAAATTACAACTAGATGGGAGAAATAAGTTCTAGTGTTCTATGGCACTGTAGGATGACTATAGTTAACAGTAACATTATTATATAGTTTCAGATAGCTAGAAGGAGGATACTGAATGTTGCCAACATGAAGAAATGATAAATGTTTGAGATAATGGATATGCTAATTTCCCTGATCTGCTCACTTTACATTATATGTATTGCAACATCACTACGTACACCATAATTAAGTGCATTATGTATAATTTAAGTATTAAATAAAAATTTAAAAATTAAGGAAATAAACCCAGTAAATAGTACCTAAATAATATTTTTTTCAAATCTTTTTAATATCTGGCTTAATAGAGGACAACTGAATTGCCTTATTTGCTTCTGCATTCAATCTGCTGTGATATGTTGCTTTGATTAAAGTATATGAAAAATATCTGGTCTCACCCAGATTCATAAGCGGAAAAAGGAGGAGTATTTTAATAGCTTTTTAGATAACTGTAGATATTCTTTGGTACCATACCAGAATTTGATAAGTGGTAGTTTCTTAAAGGTTAGTTGCAATGTGAAATCTGAAACCATATCAATAAACTTTTTGTACTCAGTTACATTCAAAGCCATTGATCTATCTTGCAGTTTGAATGGATTTTACTCATGTATAATTTTATAATATCATGCATTGGGTTATTTGGAAATTATTGGTTTACTGAGTTAATGCAGATCCTCTAAATGTTGACATATTTCATTATATAATACTTTTAAAAGTTTGCAAATTCAACCATCAATCTCATCAGAAGAATGTTTAAGTATTAGGAAGCTGTTGAGGTCATGGTGGCAGATATAAGTTTTTAAAAATTCTTATTTCTGCTTAAAAATTTGGATTTTATATCACTGACAACAAATACAGTTAGTTGTTTTCCTTGAAGTAATAGGTTTGTTTTGTTCATTCTTAAGAAAATATCTGCCAAACACTCTCAGATTTGAATAACCACAGTTTGTCTGTCAGTTGTTCTTTCAAGGTGGTTCATGAAAGAGGGGGCTAGTTCAGCTTCACAACTCAAACTATTTCACAAGTATTTTTCTTTGAGAAAACCATCATACTTTGTTACACAGCAGAAGTATTCTACGTGTACTTCCCATTTAATTACGCAGAATTTTTAAGAAGACAGGTACTCCTGGGTTGAGATTTAATTTACTTCATCACCAAGGGAATTCTTACAGGGTCTCACCCTGTCACCCAGGTTGGAGTGCAGTGGCGTGATTATGGTTCACTGCAGCCTTGACCTCCTGGGCTCAAACGATCCTTCCACCTCAGCCTCCTGAGTACCTGGGATCACAGGCACACACCACCATGCCCAGCTAATTTTTAAAATTTTTAGTAGAGACAAGGTCTCATTATGTTACCTAGGCTGGTCTTGAACTCCTGAGCTCAGGTGATCCTCCTGCCTCAGCCTCCCAAAGTGCTGGGATTACAGGCATGAGCCACTGTGTCTGGCCCACCAAGCACATTAAGTGAAACTCACTTAAAAACAACAACAACAACAACAAACTCTCCTAGTACAATATGGTGCCATGGCTTTGATTTATGCTAAGATGCAAGTAGTTTTAACCACTGTTGTTTATGCACCAACAATGCAACTGTCAACACAATGAAAAAGACAAGTGTCTTTGTATTATAAAAATAGTAACGTTGGCATGATCACTAATTGACCTTACATGGACCATACTTTAAGAACCAATGGACTATTTTTAAAATTTAATTTAAAAAATTTTAAATTAACAAATAATAATTGTATATATTTATGGGGTACAATGTGATGTTTTGATATATGTATATGCTGTAGAAGATTAAATAAAGTTATTAACAAATCTATCACCTTACCTATTTATCTTTTTTTGTGGTGAGAACATTTAAAATCTACTTTTTTAGCAATTTTGAAATATGTACTATGTCATTATTAACTATGGTCACCATGCTGTACAATAGATCTTTAAAACTTACTCTTCCTGTCTAACTGGAACTTTGTACCCTTAGCAAACACCTCTCCTTTCCCCATCAACCCCACCTCACCCAAAAGCCTCTGGTTATCATCGTTCTATTCTTTCCTTCTGAGTTTGAATGTTTTACACCCACTGGATTATTCATTATCCTTTTCTAGCCACATGTCCTGCTTCTGTTTGCCACCAACCTCACCTCTGTGACTTTGCATATATTGTTGCTTTGGCCTACAATGTCTTTCCCAGCCAGCTGGCAAAATCCTATTTGTCTTTAAAGATCTGCTTTGGATTTTATTCCTGAGAAGTCTGCATTAAGCTGAATTAATCACTCTGAACACATTGTTTTAGCATTTATCCATTGAGGGTAGAGGGCCTAATAACATTTTTAAGCAGTCAATGTCTGCCAGACCCTGGGATAAGCTTTTTATATGTTTTCTAATGAAATTTTCAAATTACTTCTATGTGATAGGTATCTTTATAGCCTTGTACACTGAAGGATCAGACACATATTTGAAGTTCAACCCAAGCCCGTTATTTCAGGATAATGTTTCCCCCTATTTGTTCCAGGGCCTGATGGCAAATACATGGCACAGTTAAGACACTCAATTTATATTTCCTAAACAGTTAAATAAATGAACTTAGTAACAATCTAATCCCATAATGAAGGGCTCTATAAAGTTCCTCATCTTTCAGAGCCTGGGGTCTGGCCTTTAGTACAGTATTTTTTCGTTTTTCATTCTTCATTCCTTATATACAGTTTAGACTTGAAATATTCATTTATTTATAGAAAAACTGTATTTTCATTTCTTTCAGCAGTGAGCTCCCAGCCGTGGGGTGGTAATTTAATGATCACACTGCCATCAAGCCTGAAACACAAATGTTGACATTTGATGGTAATGTTTTCCTTATCAAAGTTGCTTCAAGTAAATACCAATGGTGTATCCAAGTAAATGAGGCAATTATTGAAAAAGCAAATGGTATATATTTTTCAATGTGCATATTCATGCTTTAAACTTTTCAAAAAGTTAAAAAAAGCTACTGAATACCTCTTTTTCTACTTAGTCTGGGACATTATGAAATGTGAAAACTCCAATGTGCCTTAAAGAAAAGTTTAATATCTCCCAAGGTAATTTACAGATTCAATGCCATCCCCATCAAGCTACCAATGACTTTCTTCACAGAATTGGAAAAAACTACTTTAAAGTTCATATGAAACCAAAAAAGAGCCCGCATTGCCAAGTCAATCCTAAGCCAAAAGAACAAAGCTGGAGGCATCACGCTACCTGACTTCAAACTATACAACAAGGCTACAGTAACCAAAACAGCATGGTACTGGTACCAAAACAGAGATATAGATCAATGGAACAGAACAGAGCCCTCAGAAATAACGCCACATATCTACAACTATCTGATCTTTGACAAACCTGAGAAAAACAAGCAATGGGGAAAGGATTCCCTATTTAATAAATGGTGCTGGGAAAACTGGCTAGCCATATGTAGAAAGCTGAAACTGGATCCCTTCCTTACACCTTATACAAAAATCAATTCAAGATGGATTAAAGACTTAAACGTTAGATCTAAAACCATAAAAACCCTAGAAGAAAACCCAGGCATTACCATTCAGGACATAGGCATGGGCAAGGACTTCATGTCTAAAACACCAAAAGCAATGGCAAGAAAAGCCAAAATTGACAAATGGGATCTAATTAAACTAAAGAGCTTCTGCACAGCAAAAGAAACTACCATCAGAGTGAATAGACAACCCACAAAATGGGAGAAAATTTTCACAACCTATTCATCTGACAAAGGGCTAATATCCAGAATCTACAATGAACTCAAACAAATTTACAAGAAAAAAACAAACAACCCCATCAAAAAGTGGGCAAAGGATATGAACAGACACTTCTCAAAAGAAGACATTTATGCAGCCAAAAGACACATGAAAAAATGCTCATCATCACTGGCCATCAGAGAAATGCAAATCAAAACCACAATGAGATACCATCTCACACCAGTTAGAATGGTGATCATTAAAAAGTCAGGAAACAACAGGTGCTGGAGAGGATGTGGAGAAACAGGAACACTTTTACACTGTTGGTGGGACTGTAAACTAGTTCAACCATTGTGGAAGTCAGTGTGGTGATTCCTCAGGCATCTAGAACTAGAAATACCATTTAACCCAGCCATCCCATTACTGGGTATATACCCAAAGGATTATAAATCATGCTGCTATAAAGACACATGCACACGTATGTTTATTGCGGCATTATTCACAATAGCAAAGACTTGGAACCAACCCAAATGTCCAACAACGATAGACTGGATTAAGAAAATGTGGCACATATACACCACAGAATACTATGCAGCCATAAAAAATGATGAGTTCATGTCCTTTGTAGGGACATGGATGAAATTGGAAATCATCATTCTCAGTAAACTATCGCAAGGACAAAAAACCAAACACTGCATGTTCTACTCATAGATGGGAATTGAACAATGAGAACACATGGACACAGGAAGGGGAACATCACACTCTGTGGACTGTTGTGGGGTGGGGGGAGAGGGGAGGGATAGCATTAGGAGATATACCTAATGCTAAATGACGAGTTAATGGGTGCAGCACACCAGCATGGCACATGTATACATATGTAACTAACCTGCACATTGTGCACATGTACCCTAAAACTTAAAGTATAATAATAAGAAGAAAAAAAAAAGAAAAGAAAAAAAAAAAGAAAAATGCTAACAAATAAAGTTTTACATTTTTCAAAAAAAAAAGAAAAGTTTAATATCTCAATCACTGCTTTACTCAGACTATAGCATGTATCTTTATAATGGTGGTGAGACCAGCAGTTCTAAGTGTGACCCAAGGACCAGCAGCATCAGTATCACCCAGGAACTTATTAGAAGTGCAAATTATCAGGACCCACCCCAGACCTACTGAATAAAAAACTCCAGGGGTGGGGATCAGCAATCTGTGTCTTAACAGCTCTCTAGATGATTCTGGAACATGGTTAAATTTAAGAACCAATGGGCAAATGAACTGTGCTATTTGGATTCATGGATGTTAACTTCAAAAAACGGATACATTTTGGAAGACCTGACTGGCCTATGTATAACCTAATTGTGAAAATAAAAGCTGTATAGTAAGAGGTCTGCCAAGCCCAGGGCCTGGGCTGCCCTCAAGCCTATATACCGTGGCATGCAGCCAAAGGAGAGAGTCTCTTTCCACAGAAAGAAGCCGAACATTTCTTGACTATGCCTTCTAAGATGTGGATAGATACACTACAGTGGTACTTAATCAGGAATGACACCATGTAAGAACTGTCTACCATTCCCTCCTATGTAACTCCAACCATTTGCTGTTTAAGCTGCCTCTTTTCTAAATAAATCAGGCACCTGAAATACATGTTTTTTTTTGAGATGGAGTTTCACTCTTTTTGCCCAGGCTGGAGTGCAATGGTGTGATCTTGGCTCAGTGCAACCTCCACCTCCCGGTTCAAGTGATTCTCTTGCCTGAGCCTCCCAAGTAGCTAGGATTACAGGCACCTGCCACCACACCCAGCTCATTTTGTATTTTTAGTAGACATGGGGTTTCACCATGTTGGCAAGGCTGGTCTCGAACTCCTGATCTCAGGTGATCTGCCCGCCTTGGCCTCCCAAAGTGCTGGGATTTCAGGTGTGAGCCACCACACCCGGCCCTGAAATACATGTATTTTATTACTACTGGAGTACATTCTGTCATTGAATACCTTACCATGGAATATAACATTCAACTACCAATGACAAGACTGTTCTTTCTAGGACTACCATCCTAGTTGCTTTGTTACTACATGGATTTAAGGAAAACAGAGACTTGTTAGCATTTTGACAACAATTTGGAGGTATGTAAAAAGCTCATTTTAGTAAAGAATGTGTATAAAACTTCCTAGCATTTTGCTAGGAAAAGTAAAAGCATTAAGTGTTCACTTCATTTTTTATTATACTTTTATAAAGAAAAACGGGTAAATCTGCCCCATCCATCAGAATTTGCTATGTTTGTAAGAAAGAAGGGCAGGCCCTTCTTTCTTTACTTCTTACTTTAAGTAAGGAGGGAGAAGGACTCAGAATCAGATGAATGGAGTACTCAGGGCATATCTTTAAGAATAAAAAGGACAGGAAGCATAGGGAAATCATCCTATTAGTCACAAACTTGGGATAAAAGTTCCTTGTTTTTACTGGCAGTTAATTCATTTTGTTTACAATATAAATAAGAAAGAAAAACTTAGGCTTCCTAAACATATGTATTTATGTGAATGATTACAAGTGAGAATATAACAATTTTTATTGATCTTGTGTTTAAGAATGCAAAATTATAAGGAGGATACATGCTTTAGAATGAGAGATCGAGGTTTGAATTCCAGCTCTGAAAAGCACTAGCTTTGTGACTCTGTTCAATTCTTAACTTCCCGGGTTTTCAGTTTCCTCATCTGAAGAATATAGCAAATTTATAAGGATTTGAGATAAATATTTATTATATACCTTGCACAGAATAGGTGATCAATAAATAGTTATTAAGGTATTCAAGAAAATGAATGCCTAGAGAACTGATTTGGGTATGCAATCTGTCTAGCTGAACTGAATATTATACTACTGGGTCTCAGTCTCAATACTCAACTTCTCCTATTTCACCCACATGCTAAATAACTATAAATTGCTTGCTTACCACCCTCCATTTTTTTCCACAACACTTGGAAGGAGGACAGAAAGAGACAGCAATAAAAAAACAAATATTCCCTTAAAATAAGTAATGCATATAGAGATAACACCTTCATAAAAAACAAAAAGAATTGCTGGAAGAGCTTTATTTCATTTACAGTGAGGGAAAGAACAGTACCACCATTTATTCATTTGATCCTGTTTCTTCCTCACACTACCATCACATTCCAAAACAACACATTATTTATTGCTATTAAGGTGTTATGGATTTGCTTTTCTATGCTAAAGTTCCTCTGCATTCACCAGAATGCAGTAGGCTACTTAAGCCAAAGATCCAGGGCTATAAACCTTGTTCAGTGCAGTAAGATCACTTTAATACTATTCTAATCTTGGAATGCAGTTATAAAGATAGATGATGGCCACAGAGTGCTACTTACAAACAGAAATGGTTCTTATGCAATCTTAAAAGATATAAAAAACTTAGCACCTGAAAATGTGTTAAAAAATTCCCATATTCTTCCAGTCTATTTTACATACCTGAGAATCTTTTTAGGAATCTGTGATGGAGAAGAATGACTCCTCTTCTTCTCTGAGTCCTGTAGTAATGCATTCTCTGCTCTACCCTTCTCCATGACTGCTGCCTGGTCTGTCCTAGCCTTGCTCTGATCCACACTGAGCTGGCCTTGAGCAGGGTCGCACCTGTACATGAAGACAATGGCTGGTTTCTCACTGGACTCTCCTTTCGCCTCTGTGAACCAGTGATGGCGCTGAACTGGAGGAGGAGGCAGCATGTGAATGACTGTGCCATCCAGGCCCACCAGTTTCCCTTTCTCTCGCTCTTTCTCTTTGTCATCCTCCTCATCTGTTTTCCGACGGCGGAAGAAGCTTTTAAATGATATCCAGCGCTTAGGTTTTGCATCAGCTGCCCGCCTGCTGCCTTCAGAGTGCAAAACTGATTCAGCTTCTGTTGACCTGGTAGGGCTGGTTGGCTTGGTCCAGTTGGTGAAATGCCTCTGCAAAAGGTTACCTGCATGGTAAGGAGAAGAAGTAGAGCGTGGCGGGGGAAAGGGAGCTGGTGGCTCACTTTGGGGGCTAGTCACTAATTTGGAGGGAGAGGGGGTGACTGGCTTTATGGATGGGTCTTTCTGTACTTTGGTGGTAGGACTGTCTGTGGTCTGAGGTGCTTCAGCCTCACCACTAGGCTGAGATGTAAAGAGAGATTTGGGCCGGACTGGCGTACTCTTAGGTGTGCTCTTAGCAACATCAGCATCTGGAGGAATGGCATAAAGCTCTTCCACACTGCAAGCTTTAGGGCCAGATTGAGGTGTTTCTGGAGGAGACTGTGGGGGTTGGATTGAAGCCACAATCTGAGAAAGCACTGTGCTTGCTTTCTCTCTGGTGCTGCTGCTGCCCACCATCTGAGACTCCTGAGTGCCTTCTATTTTGGCCACAGGCTCTTGAGTGGCTCTCTGGATCTTTGCTGGGGAGCTGTGGCTGGAACTATAGCTTCTCTGTGGTGAAGACTGACCTCTGTTGAGACAGTTGTTAAACTCTTGAACCTTCTGAGCCACTGAGCCCCTTTTATGCTCTGTGCTGTTTGAAAACCCTTTAGTTTGAAGACAGTCAGTGGTTTTGCTAGTGGTGTTATCAGGCACTTTGCTTTCTGTTTCTATTTCTTCATAAGTATGGCTTATTACACTTGTGGTTTTTTCCTTCACTGAGAGTTCTCCACTTGTTCCCAGAAAACTTTTGTAGATAGCTAGATTGTCATATGCATTTGGATTGATAACAATGGGAACTTTGATAGCATTTTTGGAACTCCGAGCATAAGTTGGCTCGTCATGAATGATAATTGGAAAAGGTGGCATACCAGCATTGTTATAACTATTAAATTTAATTTCAGACAAATTAGGTGACTTAACAGGGATGGTTTTGGAGGAAATGTTTGTAGCTGTGGGTGATGTAGGTGCTGATTTGTGACAGTTTTTCCTTGGAGGAACATTTGGTCCAGTTCCACTAGTAATTAGTTCTACTTTAGGTATCTTTTGTCGTGGACTGGTGCTAGAAGTCCATACTTCTTGGTATCGAATTGCACTGGATTTTTGGAAATGGGCACTTATTTGTCCTGGTGTCAATGAAGATGATGTAACTGGAGAGTTTGGAGTAGAGGATGAGCTTTTTGTCTTGGGGCTGTTAACAGGGCCCTCGAGGTGCTCACTGGCCATGGCTGCTGACACATCCACGACAGTATATGGCTTGCACAATGGCTGTTCCAGGTTCACAACTCGGTAAGGTTTTGCTTGCTCTTCTGTGGGGACAAGGTTTATGGTTACTGCTTGCCCAGCAACATCTGTAGAGGCTTTACTTTCTTCCTTCTCAGTTTGTACAGCAATCTTGCCATCTTTCTCTTCTAATCGGAGAGCAAGGACTGCTTTGTGGGTCTCTGGAACTTTTATTGAGCTTTTGGAAGCCTGTGATGAATCTTTATCCTGATTATTACTAGAGGGACTTTCATAATTGGGCTCAATTTCCTTCATGTCCTTAGAATCTCCTGGGTTACCAGGAGATAATCCCCCATTACAAATCTTCTGGGATAAACTACTGGCTGTCTCAGAACGTGATTCTTCTGTTAAAGAAGAATCTGGTGATGTGGAGTCAGATGACACCATGCTCTGAATGCTTCCTTGTCCATAAGAGACCACAGAATTTTCCTCATAACCATTCAGGATTTCATCATAGCTGTCATCATAGTCCACAGCACAGATTCTCTGCAGAGACTTGTTTCGCAGGGGGATGGTATTCCATTTTTTGTCCACAAAGAATCGAACAGGAGACAATGTGTTTGCTCTGAAGTTGGCAAAGCGAGGTTGCCCTCTCATGCGAATCTCCATGGCCAACAGCTCTTCATCACTCTCATCCCAACTCTCGTGCTCCTCCTCCATGTTACTGAAAAGTACATCCTCTTCACTCTCCTCGCCACTGGAAAACTCTGGGTAACAGAACCGGCCCCCTTCATTACTAATCACTTCTGTGCTCCCACTCAGAATAACATGCTTGCCCTGAGTTTCCTTTATCCCACCTATCATGCAACTTGGTGGAAGCTTTCTTTCCAATGATCGTTTATAGCAATCATTTATTCTTCCCAAGAATGTTTCTCTGGAGTTTGTTTCATTTCCTCTTATCTGAGGGGCAGTATCCAAGCCTGCTATCTCCTTTAACACTTCAGTTAGTCCATTATTGTTATCTGACATCTTCTTTGCACTATCATTATTGCCATAAGGCTTAGGAACATGGCTAATTCCTTCATCATCTTCATTATTATTGTTAAGTGGTTTCTGACTCAAGGCAGCTCTGTTTCGGTTCCACCCTATGATGACAGGTTTGTTCTCACAGTGTTCTTGGATGCTAAGCTCACCACATATACTTTGCCCATCTGCCACTATCATAGTGGGCTTCACAGCTATAGTGGGTTTTTTAGCCACAGGAGGCCGGAAATTGCCCGTGTTCCTGATGCGGTGGTTGTTACTGTGATTGGCATTAGTTTTCACATTGCCATGGGTGATGGGTGCCTTCTCAGGGTCTGGGGGAAGCTGGTGCAAACTTTTAGGTTTAAAGCAATTCTTGCATTCACCAGGTTTCCAAACATGTTCAGTAAAGGTGTTACAAGCAGACATTTTTAAAAATAGAACTTCACAGACAATGCTTTTCTTTCAGTGCATGACAAAACTTTCATCTGTTAGTTTTCACTTCCCCTATGTGTTACAGCAGCTCTTCTAAGAATGATCAATCTGTGGAGGGGAAAAGAAGACAAAAAATCTGAATGAAAAAGGCACTATGAGACTTACCATTATTAGTGACTTGAAAAAACTGACTCCATTCCTAAACTTTTCCTTAAATTAAAAGACTGAGAGCTAAACTAATTTGTGTACTTTGTAATTTCCCTTTAGCCAATCAGCATTTGGAAAGTGAGCTTTTTAACTATAATTTTATGCACTCTTATCTATCCATACATAATCTTCAGCTTGATGTCTCTGTTGCAATGATTCTGTGACCTTCCCTCCCAGAAATGCCTTTGATACCACTCCTTCTGTTATCCACCAATTTCTCTAACACTTCCCAGCCCATTATAGATTCCTCTTCTTCCACCTACCCTTGAATGTTTTAGACATTTCGTAGACTCCTCAAACTCAATGCATTGAAAATGAAGCTTCGGGGCTGGGTGCAGTGGCTCATGCCTGTAATCTCAGCATGTTGGGAGGCAGGCCAAGGTGGGAAGATCCCTTGAGCCCAGGAGTTCAAGACCAGCCTGGCTAACATGATAAAATCCCATCTCTAAAAAAAATATAAAAATTAGCTGGGTGTGGTAGCACACACCTATAGTTCCAGATACTCAGGAAGCTGAGGCAGGAGGATTGTTTGAGCCTGGGAGGTGGAGGTTGCAGTGAGCAGATTGTGCCACAGTACTTCAGCCTGGGTGACAGAGTGAGACCTTGTCTCAAAAAAAAAAAAAAAAAAAAGGCTGAAAAGGAGACCAGGGGCCAGATCATGCAAGGCCTTTTAGGCTTTTAAAGATTATAGAGTTTATCCTAAGAGCAGTGGGAAGCCACTGAAGGGTCTTGAATAGGGGAAACAACATAATCCAATTTGCATTTTAAAAAGACAGCTCTGACCAAAACCCATGAAATTCTTACGTATATAAGTCCAACAAAATATGTGTAAAATCTAGAATCTATATGAGCAAAACTATAAAACACTGATAGATGAAGGGGGGAAGAAGGGGGAAAGGTAAGCAAATTATAGCCCAGAGGCCAAATGTAGCTTATTCCTGTTTTTGTATCCCAAGGTTAAGGATGCTTTTTATGTTTTTAAATGGTTGGAAACAAATCAAAACGAGAATAATGTTCTGCAACAAGTGAAAATTATATGAAATTCTAAATTCAGTACCCACAAATAAAGCTCCATTGGAACGCCAGTCACACTCATTTGTTTACATACTCATTTGCCTATGGTGGCTTCTGTGCTACAATGGAGAGATGAGTAGCTATGAAATGTGTGACACACAGACTGTATGCTTCACTTTTACTGCTTTGTGGCACTCTACAAATTGCAGGATTTCCACTGGTGCATCTATCAGCTGTGTGAAATTACATTTTTCAAAGATAATACATAAAATTATAAAATAAAATTATGAAATACGTAAAATTTCATTACAGATATGAATTAATAGATGAACATTTGTAATCAATTTTGATGAGAGGAAGTACTAACTTTGAACCCCCATCAAGCACAATGTTATCCTCCCCAAAATGGAATTTCATTCTTCTCACTAGCAAACCTCTGTTATAAAATATTGTACCTAAATATATTTTGCCTTTTATCAAAAACATTTGCCAAAAAAAAAATGACAAGAGAATGAAGACAAACCCCAGAGTAGGAGAAATTATGTGAAACATTCATATCTGACAAAGGACTTTGTATTTGGAATATATAAAGAACTTTCAAAACTCAACAAAAAGAAAAACCCAATAAAAAACAGGTAAAAGATTTGAGCAGACACTTAACCAAATATATATGATTTTTGATCTTTTTTTTTGAGACAGGATCTCACTCTGTCACCCAGTCTGGTGTGTAGTGGTATGATCACAGCTCACTGCAGCCTCAACCTCCCTGGCTCAATCAAGCCTCTCACCTCAGCCTCTGGAGTAGCTGGGACTATGGGCACATGCCACTATGCCTGGCTAATTTTTCTATTTTTTTTATAGAGATGGGGTTTCTCCATGTTGTCCAGGGTGGTCTCAAACTCTTGGGCTCAAGGGACCCAGCTGCCTCGGCCTCCCCAAAATGTTGAGATTACAGGCATGAGACACTGTGCCCAGCCAAAGATACATGGATTGCATTTAAACAATATAAAAATTGTAAATATAATTTACAATATTTATAATATTGTAGTAAATAAAATTTATAATATTGTAAATATAATTAGCCACATGGAAGTGCAAATTAAAACTACAATGTGCTACCACTACACATTTATTAGAATGGTTAAAATAAAATTAAAACAAAAACAACTGATGCTAGCGAGGATGTGAAGCAATTGAAACTCATATATTGCTGGTGGGAATGTAAATGGTTCAGGTATTCTGAAAAACAGTTTTGCAGTTTCTTATAGAGTTAATCATAAACTTACCTTGGAGCCCAGCAATCCCACTCCTAGGTATTTACCCAAGATAAATAAAAACTTTTGTTTACACTAAAACCAATACACAAAGGTTTACAGCCAAAAGCTGGAAACAATCTAAATGTTAGGTGGCAGTGGTTACATAACTGCATACATTTGTCAAAACTCACAGAACCGGCAGGTAGGCTGGGCGCGGTAGCTCATGCCTGTAATCCCAGCACTGTGGGAGGCTGAGGCGGGTGGATCACTTGAGGCCAGGAGTTTGAGACTAGCCTGGCCAACATGGTGAAATCCTGTCTCTACCAAAAATACAAAAATTAGCCAGGCATGGTGGTGTATGCCCGTAATCTTAGCTACTCAGGAGGCTGAGGCATGAGAATTGCTTGAACCTGGGTGGCGGAGGTTGCAGTGAGCCGAGGTTGCATTGTGCCACTGCACCACAGTCTAAGACAAACAAACAACTCATAGAACTACGCACTTAAAAAAAGTGAATTTTACTACATGTAAATTTACCTTCAATAAACCTGACTTTAAAAAGACAGCTCTGCTGCTATGTAGAAAATGGACTCGGGAAGAACAGGACAGGAGGCTTAAAAGACTGACATAGGCAAACTAAGATCTGATGAGGATCTGGATTAGGATGTGGTGTCAGGGAAGGCAGAGAAAGATGCAGGAATGACTGGATTTTGAAGAGTAAAAAGTATTGAGGTTTTAGGTTTATGTATTCAAATGATTATGGAGCCATTTACTGAGATGACAACATTGGAGGAGGTGCAACTTTTGAAGGGAAGACTATGAGTCCATATTTTGTCACCCTGCATACAAGACAGTATATGAATTTAGGAGTCTGAAACATGGATGAGAATTCTGTGGTTCTCCTCTGCTTAGGAATTACTAGTATAGAGATATTTAGGCCGAAAAGAAAATAGTGAGCTGAGGAGGTGGCCTTGGTGGGTGAACCAGGGAGAAGGGGCTACTTCCTCTCCCCTAACTGAAAACTAACAGCCAAGGTGTGATGACACAGAAGCCAGATGAGGAAATGTCATGAAGGAGAAAGACAATAACTATTTCAAATGCTGCTGAGAGGTAACGGAAAATGAGGACTTACATACATGCCCATTGGACTTGGCAACATGAGCTCATCTGTGACCTTAGCATGAACTATTTGGTTCAGTGGTGGGGATGGAAACCAGACTGCAGTGAGTTGAAGAGTGAGATAATAGAGCAATGGTAGATAACTTTTGGAGAAGAGTAGGCAGGAAGGAGAAGCAAGAAGGAGCTAGGAGGATGGGGGTCCAGAAAGGATTTCCTTATTTTAAGATGGGAAAACCTAGATAATGTTGAATGGTAATATTGGGGAAAGATACAGGCCAGGGTGAGAGGCTGAAAAAACAGGAAAGAGGAAAGAATCACAATACTTAGAATGTTAAAACTGTGCAGGTTTCTAATTCAACTGTGTTTTATGGACAAAGGAATCGAAGCCTAGAAGAGACAGTGACTTTCCTAAGGACACACAGTAAATAAGAAAGACCCAGAACTGGGACTCAAGGCTACAACTACCTACAATATGTTTTGTTTTTACCTTTTTTGGTAGATGTTTTTTTCTTTTGTTGTATATGCTCACTGTGGAAACTCAGAAAAGCATAAAGAAAATAGAAACCATATGTAAACTTATTATTCAGAAGTAACTTTTATTAACAGTTTGGGGGCAGTTCCTGTCAGTCACCAAGAATTTAAATTAAAAAATTCCCTGTGTACTTAGCACTATGCAGCACTGAATACAAAAAAGAATAAGGCATCTTGGCATAATATCTTGTTAACCAAGTTAAACAGACTCTGATAAGAGTGGGATTAAGTTTTCTCTTTGTAAGTAGTACAATATATTTGCTTTTTCAAAGACTAGTAGATAATAGTAAAAATAATTCCCCACTTTGAGTAAAAGTAAGTTAATTCAGTCAAAAGATGGCTAAGCTGATTAACAGCTATCACTTATCAACAGAATAGCCAAATGAGACTCACCAGGAACACCATTTGCTTATGTCAGTGTTGTGTGCACTAGGAACCCATGTTGCATATGACATTCGTTTACAAGTTTGTGTCCATCTGTATTCATCTGGTTTAAAACCGAGACACTTATACATATGTAACAAACCTGCACATTGTGCACATGTACCCTAAAACTTAAAGTATAATAATAAAAAACAAAAAACAAAAAAACCGAGACATGAACCAGGCAAACACCTTTAGCAAGCACCAGATGGAGCTGCTGTCTAAGCCACAAAACCTTAACCACGAGGGCTTCATTTTAAACACTAATTATATTTGGAGACAAAGAGGTGCACTTAAAGACACTGTCAAAACTATTTTAACCTACAACAGTCTCATAGAGGGGGAATCTGTACCAGATGCAGGTCTGTCCAAAGAGCAATCCTTGGGTTTTACAGCCTTTGTGAAATGACTTCAGTGGCAATCAATAACTAGCAGCTTTCCCTGCTCAACACCAACGCTCCCCAAATGGGAAACTCCAGTCTCCAAAGTTATGCTTGAGAAATAAGAAATGTGTCTCCTGAGGCACTTACACAAGGAAATAAAACAGTCTATCCTGGTGTCTTCTATTTATTTGCCAGAACAGGTCTGATACAGAGCACCCAAATGGAATGTTTGATAAGAAAAGCTCATTTACCTCCACATTCCTTATAATCTCAAAGCAAATCTTCTAGATGAAATAGTCTATGGGAGAGTTTAATGGCTGAAGCTGCCCCTAGGAGGTAGCCAGGATTCCATGATCTAAAATCCTATTTCATATTTGACAGTTTTCAGGACCAAAGCCCTTCAGGCTATAGATTAAGCTATTCAAGAGTGGCCTATTTCACTTCAAGTCATGACAGCTTTTTAAGAACCTATTACTGTTTTTTATTCTCTCTACTGCCATACAATGACAATAATTAGTTTGCTTCTAGTCCAACAGTTTCAGGCAGATTTGATACCAAAAAAAAACCCCACAAAAATACAAAAAAACAACAAACAAATCCACAATGGATTTCAATCTTGAAATAAACTGGCCAGCAGAAAGAGCTGGAGCTCCTCAAGCTGGATTCAATTTCCATTAGTGAAGAAAAGGAAAGTGTGTAGGTGGGAGATTAAACACCATATATACAGCATTTCCTAAAGGCACCCAAGGAGAATCTGTTAATAATAAAGGAGGATGGAGAATGAACTGCTAAGCTCCTCCAATTCTGTGACTCCCGAAGCCCACCATCTCTCTCCATAAAATCTGTCACATTGCCATGGAGGCAGAGTCAAGAATCCTCACTGCTGTACGTGGGCTTTTAAGGACACTCTCAGTGAGGATCTATTGCCTATATGTCATCCCACATATTAGTCCATCTCCAGGATGCTAGGGAACAATTTACAAGTCAAGGTTCTCACTAGGCTTTTGTTAAAGAACATGTGGGTCACTTAAAAAAAAGGAAAGGAAAATGTGACAACCATACCCACGTCACTGTTCCCAACCTTTCCTTCTTCCACAGTGAAAAATGCTGACCTGACACCTCAACCAGCTGCCAAACTCTTCAGTATATGACTAAAAGGGTGGGGAGAGGAAGTGAAAGCAAAGCTGCAGGAAGAAGTTTTGCAGAAGATAAAACACAGCTTAAATTTGGTACACAAATGGAAATTCCATGAGTAAAAGGGACTTTCTTGAGATCTGACTGAAAAAAAAAATTATCATTCCTTGCTATCACAAGAACATGAGGTTCTCCTATCTAAAGAAGAAACCAAAGTAAAATCTGCTTAATTTTGGAAACTTAATGAAATCTCCAGAAGCCCATCCAGTTCCAATTGTTCTAACCACAACAGTTTTTCTAACAGTTCACTGCTCCTGTCACATGGTAGTCATCTCAGGATAAGAATCATGTAACAACAAATGCACCCCTGCAAAGCAGCACCGCTCAGTTCCAACTAATTTTTAAATTCAAACTCTTTGACGAATCAGTTAACTACTACTAATAATAATTATTATAAACTTGGTAATAACTAGTTATAAGATTAGAAGTTCCAAAATGTTCCCTGAAACCACTTTAGACCCCTATTTAAGAAGGTATACATCAGAGAAGAAGTTAAAGTATTATCTAATAACAGCCAAGACTCCATAGTCTTTTATAGTTTTATTTTATTCACAAGCTTTTTCTTCTGCTTGGAATGTATTTCCTCTAATGCTGTTCCATTTGTTGAAACCCTATTTATCCTTCAAGATGCAGTTTAAATTTTACCTCTGTGATGAAGTTTTGCCTAACTCGATTATACCACATTGTTTTGTAATTATGTAAGTCCCCAGAAGGCAGGTCTAAGTGTTTTTCCTCTCTATATCTCTTGAATTGTTTGGAATACATTGGATACTAAATAAATGTTTTCACTCAAGAATAATTCTAGTTAGCATTTACTACTAAGTACCAGGCCCTTTACCCATAAAAACTCATAATTCGGCCAGGTGCGGTGGCTCAAGCCTGTAATCCCAACACTACATTTTGGGAGGCCAAGGCGGGCAGATCACCTGAAGTCAGGAGTTTGAGACCAGCCTGGCCAACATGGTGAAACTCTGTCCATACTAAAAATACAAAAATTAGCCAGGCGTGGTGGTGCGCGCCTGTAGTCCCAGCTACTCAGAAAGCTGAGGCAGGAGAATCACTTGAACCTGGGAGGGGGAGGTTGCAGTGAGCCGAGATCGCGCCACTGCACTCCAGCCTAGGCAACAGAGCGAGACTCTATCTCAAAAAAACAAAACAAAACAAACACCTCATAATTCTCACAAAACTCTATGATAGACATACTATTATTTGCCCTACTTTACTGATGAAGAAACTGAAACTTGCCCAAGGTCACATAGCTAGTAAATGGCAGAGCCAGGATGAATGCATGCATGCACGTATGCATGCATAAATGGTATAGCTTCATGGCATCTGGAGGCTGCTTTAAACATAAACATGGCAGTGTCTGAAAGACAGTCCACACAGCAGCAGCAGCAGCAGCAGCACTGTCCACCATAGTGGAATTCCACCATGAATGAAGAAGTGTAAGAAATAGGCACACCCACACCTTCCCCTCCTCAGCTCTAAGATGATCAGTCCAGGTGCTCACTGCAGAATAAGCCAGAAGGAAACAAACAGGCATAAACTTAGCTAGTAGGCTGTCTCAAAGTTGTGTTTTTTGTGTTTCAGAGTGTTGAGGAAGTAATATTACGAGGCAAATTAAGCATGATCTTTCATCCAGCTCTCCAAGTCAGGAACCACTCTGATTTGGAGGGGCCACTGAAGTGGCTGGTTGAGAGTGAGTTGGTGAGATGTTGCTATCAGTCACCTTGCTCTGTTCCTCTTCTCCATTGCCCTCAACCTCAGAGCCAACTGCCAAGTGAAGAAAGCTGGACTGCAGGCTAAATTAGGGAGTCACAGCTGATTGAGATGTGAGAAGACAGGGAATAAGAAAGAGACTAAATAAGGGCAGAGCAAAATTCAAATAAGAGAAGGTGGGAAAAAGGAAATTGGGAAGGAAGGAGAAATAAGAAAATAGTTAATGATTCTAAGAAAAATCCTGCTTGAATGTTTATAGCCACATAATCAGAGTGAGCAATGTCATTTTCTACCACTCTTCACTCATTTTTGGAGGCTTTATTGTCTTGTGTTACTTTATGTTTGGCAGGAGGCATTATTTTTCCAATTAAAAGAAATTTTACCTTTCCCAGCTATAGAAAAGAGTGAACAATACATACTGTAAAACATTTATAATTTAGACTTTTAAAGGGAAAAAGTACTTCTAAATTAATGAAAGTCTGAATTACACAATACTTTGAAGAAGTATAGATTTATTGCTTTTGAGGAAATACCATAATAAACTAGTCTTTCCTAGTGCAGATATTTGGACCTGTTCTAATAAATAAGTTGGAATTATTTTCTTAATGGTTGTAAATACATAACTTAAAATGCAGTCAAAGAATACTTCTCACACTGGAATCTGGGATGTGTTTTCAAGGGTCTATGAGTTCTCCAAAAGAGCTGAATATTAAACTGAAAGTAAAGTTTACATCTAAAATAAACTAATGTAAACACAGGCAGGATCATTGCAATGGCCATATTAACTAAGCACAGCAATATAATTTCCAGGACTACAAATACCTTTCTGTTTCTAATATGAGCTGACACCAAGCACACTACTTTAACTGTAAGAAATAATGAGAAAAGAAAGGCTCACTTAATATGTAGATGATACAGTTCTACCAAGTAAAGACCAAAATGACATCATGGTGCAACCACTGTGTATTGTACCAATCTTGAATTTTCAATACCGTAGAAAGAAATGTGGCATAAGAAGACAGCCAATGGTAATGAAAACTGCAAAGAAAACTAGGGTGGCTGGCAGCTCCTTACCCACACAGTAAGCAGCAATTTAGTTTCAGCAAAACTTCATCTATTATATTAAATTGCTGTTAATTTGCATTTCATTAGTTTTGCAGGGTTTTTTTGTACTTAACTTTCAAATTTGTTTTATAGCTAAATGACAACTATAAGCATAAAGAATTTATACCTAACTTTATGTTTTTTGTATTTAAGTAAAATTATAATAATGTACGTCAACACTGACAGAGCACAGTTATTTTTTTCAGTTAAAAGGAGGTCTATAAATTACCAAAGTTTGAAAAGTAGTGCTTAAAAACAATAATCTCTTATGTCAGGTAAGCATTCCTCTTGTGATCTTATTCACATTACTAATTTGCTAAGAATCTGTTAAAGGAGTATAATAACTACCGTCAAACAAAGCTCTTATGAAAATGAATTAAGATAAAATATATAAAATGCCTAACTCGAAGGCTGATTCATAGTAAGCACTTAATAAATATTAGTTATTTTCTCCTTTTATTAAATTTCTACATCCAGCGGAGGCCAGGAAGGGGTATGATCCCTCTAATCTCCTCCACACATATCCACACCCCATCTTGACATACCAATTGGGCACTTGGGAAGCTATTTCAATGGGAACACTGTTAACTATGCTTAGGTTAGACTTCAGTTATCATGGATGATTTAATTGAAAGTTTTAGCTGCCTTGTAAACCTGTTTAAGACTTATTGCTTCTACAGGGAAAACATACTCCAAGTTCTGAGCAAGTGACTTGCAAGGAAACTTTAGCATTCCATCTTGGACTTGTGTTTTGCATCAATTTCAAGAGATGCTGTCAGATTCTATCAGGAAGGAGTTGCTGAGCAATAAGGTAATGTGATACTATTGTGCTTTAAGAATTCAGGTGGAAATGGAAAGAATATATTGACAGGAGGCAAGGTGAAAGGTAATGTAGTTGTTTCAACTAGTATAATACTAGTCCAGAGAAGGCCCCAAACTAATATAGTGGCAGTGGGAATTAACAAGCAGGGGCTGATGTGAGAGGCTAAATTGATAATTTTTATCAACCAGTGGGATAATAAGAGTGACTAAAGATGACCCTGTGGTCTGTATAGATCAAAACCCAGGATCAGTTTCCCAGAGATATACTGAAATGTGGACAATCAAGCTAGCACCAACTGCACTACTTTAACTGTAGAAAATCATGAGACAGATGATGTCCGAATGGAAATAACAAACACATTCTAAAACAAAATGTGTGATTTAAAATTCTTCCCATTGAGAAATATCCAGATCTTTAATTACTATTTACTTATGTAAACTTGACTCTAAACCTTGACTGCAAGTGGTTTAGTGAGAGCAGTAAAGAAGATGCAGGATGCTGAGGTGGATGAGAGAGAAAATGAAAAAGGCAAAGTGACAATTCTTTAGTTAGTTTTATTTTATTACAGAATAAAGTTAGAAAAATGAGACTTGGGTTTAGTAACTGAAGTGATGAGGCCAGTGATGGACCATGAAGGATGGGAACTGTGGCCAGGGCATTCGAGAACTCCAGATGTGCATGAGCACATGACAATAGGTTTCCACAGGACTGTTCTCAAGAAAACAGCAGAAGCTCAGACTCTGGGGAGTTACTGGATATTAATATACAAGGAGACCGCAGTCTGACAGAGGAAAAACTAAACTATCCCCCAATAAAAATATGCTGGGTCTTAATTCTCCTCATCAGTGAGATATCTACCTGTGGTTTGTATCACTGGACTACTAAAGTGAGCCCAAACACCTCCCAGTGGAAAGTGAGAGGTGGAATGCCAGCCATTCTTGAAGAGGTGCTGGGCCCCTGGCCCTTGTGGGTGCCAGAGCACTAGGAGTATTTCCATTCCTATCGTAACCACTCACCAATTAGGAGAACCCTCAGAGGCACAAATCAACAACACTCAAGGCCATTGCTAATAAGATTTGTAAAAACAGACAACTTATCAAACTCTCTAGGCCGAACGGTCCTTACCTTTTTTTTTAAATGAAAAAAAAATTCTTTATATTATACAAGTAATCAGAAAATAAAAATATGCAAAAAGCAATGAAGAAACCCCCAAATCTGACTACATACTCTTCTGTGTCTTTTTTCTGTACACAGATCAAGGTGTATACGCACAGACACACAGACATATTTCACAGAATGAACATGCTGTTTGGTAACAAGAGTACCTTTAAAGTCTTTCCCCAAATTTACAATCTATTCAAAACATTATATACATGCAAATTTGGGTTAAAATACCATTTTGAATTATTCAAACAAATTTAACAAGAGACAAATGAAGTTGGAGTCAGAGATCTTTAATAACCTGAAACAAAAATAATTCTCACATATAAGAAACACCTCTTCTCTATGGATATAGTTATCTGGCAAGATTACCTATTCAGGATACAGCTGAAAACTAGACAAAGTAGGAAAGCACCTTTTATAGTTTCATTTATAGACTCATTTTACACACAAATTTAATTTGATCAGCTTAAATTAGTTTTATTGATCTTGTTTGTACAGAAATAAAGGTGAATGCTCTACTTATAATTTAATGAATTATAGCTGTCTCTCTCAGGCTGCCTTATTTGTATATCCCCTATCCACTTTACTATGAACCAAATGAGACTCTAATGTTAATTTGAGTGGAGATACGTGTCCACCGCTCTTTTAAAAAAGGTACCCAAATGTCCTTTCCGCAATTACCCTTTTAAAAAGACTGTCAACCAGGTGTGGTGGCTCACTTGAGGTCAGGAGTTCGAGACCAGCCTGGCCAACATGGCGAAACCCCGTCTCTACTAAAAATACAAAAATTAGCTGTGCACAGTGGTGCGCGCTTGTAATCCCAGCTACTTGGGAAGCTGAGGTGGGAGAATTGCTCGAACCTGGAAGGCAGAGGTTGCACTGAGCAGAGATTGCACCACTGCACTCCAGCCTGGGTGACAGAGTGAGACTCTATCTTAACTAAACTAAACTAAACTAAACTAAACTAAACTAAACTAAACTAAACTAAACTAATCTAACTCTCTAGCCATCTCTTCTGTGATCTTGTCTATTCCCAAATATTTAAGGGTGGAACAACTTTCCAGAGTTTGCCATATAACATATACTTTATAATCTATATTCCAGAATTATACCTCTTGCTCCTGTCGTCTGAAGCTCCAGACTTCGGCTGCCTACTAGACCTTTCCAAACACAACTAATTACATCTTTCCTCCAAAACACAGTATGCTCAACCTTTTTCTAGGTACCATAACAGTAAATGGTATCAAAACATTGGCAGACATTCAGACTGGGTCAACTTTTGACTCCTCCTGGTCCTTCTCATGCTATATCCAATCAATTGTCAGGTTTTATCTTTCCTAATCTGTCCTCTCCCTTTGACCCATCTAGCTATAACTTGAGTCCTGGATTTTCATTGCTCTTTGTCTGAAATACTGAGATAGTATATTTTGTGTCCCAGTTCCTCTAAAATACAGCTCCTTAACTACTTTAACTCTTCATAAAGCCATTAATTGTTCTCAGTTGCATATATAATACATTTAAACTCCTTAGAATAAAATTTAATGCTCTTTGTGATCTGCTACTGACTTACCATTTTTAAAGCAGCCATTATCTCCTCCATGTCCACTCATATAGCAATTGTTCAAAATCCTATAGATCTTTTGATCCTCCAGTCAAATTTTAATTCCCCTGTGAAGTCTCACATCCTCCTCTTAGAATTAACTGCTCCCTTCCCCAGATTCCCATCATATGGCTTTTGCATACCTTACTCCACCCCCCGACCCCCACTAGTCTTAGCTCCTTGAGTGCAGGAGATATATCTTATTCAGTCTTGGCACTGTATGTTTCTTGAACAGATGAATAAATGATGCTCTGCTATCTGGTTTCATAGACCAAAATAACTTAGAAGGAGACAGCAGCATTCAGACAGAAGTGGCAAGTGACAAGTGACTACCTGACAGCAAAGGGGGAGAAAGAAAAATACAAGAACCAAACTTAAGAACTGAAAAAGCTTTTCCATGTGGGCAAATAGCCCTATATCCCTTAAGGGCATCACTATATTTTAGAATAGCACTGTAATTGATGTTGACACCAATTACAGCAAGATAGCAAGAAAATAGTAAATTATGTTCGGGGTTCTGTGTTTAAGAAGGGAAGCAAACAACTAAAATGTGAAATGTATTTTGGAAAGATTTTTAAACAACTTATTTTATTTACTATAAGTTTATTTAATTATAAAATAATTACTCTTTATAGAAAACTATAAAAATAAAGACAGAGAAAAAAAGCACCCTAAATCTTAGTATGCATTTTAAAAACAATTTAGGTCACATAAGCACCAAATGACTATTCAAACTGAAAATATTTTAATGCTTAAAGAGCTCAAACCCACAGTTATCCAGAAACTTTGGCCAACTAGAATTCATTCTTTCAAAGGAACATAGAGAACTAAAATTTTACTGTATCATTAAAGTTATTAACCCAACTCTCCTGTCTTAACTAGTGACTGGAAAACGATGAGGTGGGGAGGAGATGAGGAAGTGGGGAACAATAACAAAAGATAAAAAATAGAAGGTGAGAGAAAAAGAAATGAACCCAAAATAAATAAAAGGTAGGAGGACAATCAAGACAAGTGAGAGGAAGAATAGAAAAACAGAGAGAAAGCATAATATCTGAGCAGACACATTCAGAAAAAGGACAGCTCTTCTTTCATTTTCCCCTCTCTTGACTTCTTTTGTTCTAATTGACTTCAGGCTGATGTGTGTAACCTTAGATGCATGCTGAATTCCAATGAAGTCCTCCTACATGTATACTTTATACCAAAACCATTCAGTTAAAAGGATTTTAATTGGTGTGCACCATTCCCTGCAATTTCAACATTTTAAAAATGAATAGTCTCACTAAGTACCAGATGGTGACATGTACTAATTAATCAGGCCTATTCAATGAATGAGCATATTAAAATGAATGCACCTATTAGACATGTGTTGCCGACGCTCCATCCTGAGGAAGCCTCCCCTCAAATGAGTGCCCACGGAAGGTGCAGATTTACTGTGCAATACTCACAAGTGTCTTCTGCAATTATTTGCAGTAGCAATGCCATCACTCTTGTGTCTCCCTCCAGATCACTCAATATTTCATGCTAAGCAGCTGGTGAGCCTTGCTATCCCTGTATAATCTGTTTAACCTTCGTAAGCAAGAGCCAGCTAAATATTGGGTCTATAGTGTTTCTACTAAAGAGAAGATCTTACAGACTCATCAAGGTCATTTGTTAAATGGACAATGGGTGAAGGACAGATCAAATGAGGCTCTTGATCCAACTCCCTTCCTCCTCAATTTGTCTGTCAGCCGGTGAAAGCCTGAGCACTGCTAGCTGAAGGAATAAAATAGTGCAAATGGCAATCCTGCACGACAGGTTGCCATGCTCTGATTTTCCTCAAATGTTGTTAGCATTGGAGAGAAAGGTATATAATAACCTACTGGTAGGTCTCGGAATCCTACTAGGTACTCTTTTTTGAATGTGACAGAAATCTTAGAAGTCATTAGTTTTCTTAGCTCCTCATACTCATCACTCTTCTATTTTATACTATCTTGGATCAACATAATTTCAAATGTATTCTAATAGTAGGAAATTCCCCAAATCTCTCTAAATTTACTGAGAAACACTGGTTTCTTATTTGTTGAAGGCACTGAAAACTGAGCAGCTGATTAGGTAGGGAGACAGCAAGGCATACATAAAACATGGGCTTTGGAGAAAAAAGGGTGTTGTGACACATGCATGTTAACTGGTATACAGCAAGCACTAACAAATGTTAGTGTTTTCCCCCAGATAATAGCAAATGGTAGGAAAAATAATCAACTTGGAAGGAAACATCACTGAATAACAGCCTAAATATGATTACTTTCAGAGAAACTGAGAGGTTATAATAGAAAATGTGATTTTTTGGTATACTTTAAAAATTAAAAACAATATACTTTAACCTTCTAAGACAGCTTAATTAATTAATTAATTAACTAATTTACAGACAGGGTCTCACTCTGTCACTCAGGCTGGAGTGCAATGGTGCGATCATGGCTCACTGCAGCCTCGACCTCCCCAGGGTCAGGTGATCCTCTCACCTCAGCCTCCTGAGTAGCTGGGACTACAGGTGTCTGCCACTATGCCTGGCTAATTTTTTTTTTTTTTTTTAAGATACAGGGTTTTGTCACATTTCCCAGGCTGGTCTCAAACTCCTGGGCTCAAGTGATCCACCTGCCTTGGCCTCCCATAGTGCCGGGATTACAGGCATGAGCCACCACACCCAGACTAAAACAGCTTGGAAGACAGAATTTTGAGACATTTGTGCTTGTTTCTGATACATGGCAATAGATATTGCTTAAAATGAGAATATCACCCAAAAGAATGCTTAGGGAAGGATAGCCAATGACAGAAACAACAAAATTTGTAGTTACCAGAAAAGCCTCCTTCATGACAAAGGCCATTTTATTACTTTCCTTGGGATCTTGCCTAAAAACAAGAGGTGAAATTTATATATTATCCAAACAGAATTTAATTAATTTGGACATAATTGAAAGTCCAAAATAGCAAGAACATATTCATCAAGAGGTTTCTATGCAATGATTAAATAATCTTTTGAAAGTTTCTGTTACTTTGGTCTAATAATTTTTGATAGATTTCTGTTATTTTTAAATTTTTGGTTCTACCTTTACCTTTTTTCTACCTTAATAATATTTTGATACAGCATCTAGCAGAGAAGTAGGTTTTTATAAGAGTCTTGTGTTCTGAGATAAGACAAAACCCAGGAAAACAAGACATCAAAACCAAGTGTAATTCCTAGCCCAAACATTTAAAAGAAACCATGTTAGGGAACTAAGAACTCTGACTAACTGAAAGGAAAGCAATGATTTATAATAATCTAAGTAGACCACGACAATTTTCAGACTACAGTTGACCCTTGAACAACATGGGTTTGAACTGCGCAGTTCAACTTACATATGGATTTTTTCAATAAATATATTGGAAAATTTTATGGTGATTTGTGACAATTTGATAAAACTCGCAGACAAACCATGTAACCTAGAAATATTAAAAAAATTATGAAAAAGATAGGTATGTCATGAATACATAAAATATATGGATAGTATATTTTATCATTTACTATCATAGAGTATATACAAATCTATTATAAAAAGTTAAAATTTATCAAAACTTAAATGAGAGAAATGTAAACAAATGTAAAGATGTAGTATTAAATAACTGCATAAGTATATGAATAACCACATATTATAATACATACTATACTACTGTAATAATTTTGTAGCCACCTTCTGTTGCTACTGAGGTACACTCAAGTATTCTATCTGCTTAAAAGGCCATGCGATGCTAATCATCTCCACATGAACAGTTCATCTCTCCAATAAATTGTGTATTATAGTAAAAAGTGATTTCTTGAGGTTCTTGTGTATTTATCATATCATGTTTATTTTTAGTGCAATGCTGTAAACCTTAAATAACACATAGGACCCATATGAAATGCCACCAGTGATGCTGGAGGTGCTCCCAAGAAGCAGAGAAAAGTTATGACACTTTAAGAAAAAGCTGAATTGCTTGTTATGTACTGTAGTTTGAGGTCTGTAGCTTTAACTGCCCACCATTGCAAGATAAATGAATCTAGCCTAAGGACCAGTATAAAAAACAGAAAATGAAGTTCATGAGCCATCAATGCAGCAAGGCTAGCAGGCATGAAAATCTTGCATTTTTTGAGAAATACCTTTTTGTATCATATTGAAAACAGCATTTGTATGGGTGCAGGATTGCTATAAGAAAGGTATACTTAGAGACTGTAATATTATTCAAGAAAAAGTGAGGTCATTATATGACAACTTAAAGCAAAGGGAAAGTGAAGGAGCTAGAGAATTTAATGTCAGCAAAGGATGGTTTGATAATTCTAGAAAAAGATTTGGCTTAAAAAATGTCAAGATAACAGGAGAAGCAGCTTCTGCCAACCAAGAGGCAGCAGATAAATTCCTAGATGCTATTAAGAAAATCATTGAGGAAGGATATCTGCCTGAGCAGGCTTTTAGTGCAAATGAAGTGCCCTATTTTGTGGGGGGAAAAAGCCACCAAGGACATTTATTTCATCTATTTGTATGGAAGAGAAGTAAGCACCAGGATTTAAGGCAGGAAGGGATAGGCTAACTCGACTGTTTTGCACAAATGTGGTCAGATTTATGATTGGGACTATCCCTATCTATAAAGCTAGTAATCCCCAAGTCTTGAAGAGAAATGATAAGCCCCAGCTGCCACTCTTGTTTATACAGCAAGAAGGTCTGAATGAGAACCCTTTTTCCAGATTGGTTCCATCAATGCTTTGTTCCTGAAGTCAGAAAGTACTTTGCCAGTAAGAGACTGCCTTTTAAAGTTCATTTGGTATTAGGCAATGTCCCTGGCCACCCAGAATACCATGAGTTCAACACTGTAGATATCGAAGTGGTCTACTTGCCATCAAACACAATGTCTCTAATTCAGCCTCTAGATCGGGGGCCATAGGACCTTTAAGGCTTATACAAAGTTCCATGTGGAAAGGACTGCCAACATTGTGAAAGAGAGCTCTGATAGAGAGAACACCATGAAAGCCTGGAAGGATTAAACTGTTGAAGATGACATTGTTGTTACAGAAAAAGTTGTGAAAGCCATCAAGCCCCAAACAATAAATTCCTCTGGAAAACTCTGTGTCCACATGTTGTACATGACTTCAAGGGATTTATGACAGAGTTAATCAAAGAAATCATGACAGAGACTGCGGATATGGCAAAAATAGTGTAGGGTGTGTGTGTGTAAAAGGTGTCGAGATATGGCTCTTGGAGACACTGAAGAGCTAATATACCTCACATCAGAAGAATTTACGGAAGATGACTTGATGGAGATGACTGCTTCCAAACCAGCGCCAGACAATGAAGATGAAGATGTAGAAGAAGCAGTGCCAGAAAACAGATTGAGGTTAGACAATCCAGTAGAAGGATTCTGACGATTCAAGACTGCTATTGACTTCTTTTACAACATGGACCCTTCTCTATGATACAGGCACTAAACTAAAGCAAACAATGGAAGAAAGATTGGTACTGTATGGAAACATTTTTAGAGAAATAAAATAGCAAAAAAATTCAGACAAATTACAATATATTTCCATAAAGTTACATCAAGTGGGCCTATCTTTCCTGCCTATTTCCACCTGTTCAGTCTCTTCTGCCTCTGTCACCCTTGAGATAGCAAAACCAACCCTTCTTCTTCCTCCTCCTCGGACTACTCAACGTGAAGACAAGATGAAGGCCTTTATGATGATCCACTTTCACTTAGTCAATAGTAAATATATTCTCTTCCTTATGATTTTCTTAATAGCATTTTTTCTCCAGCTTACTTTATTGTAAGAATATAGTATATCGTACATATAGAATACAAAATAAGTGTTAATCAACTGTTTATATTATTGATAAGGCTTATGGTCAACAGTGGTCAGGTTTTTGAGGAGTCAAAAGTTATATGCAGATTTTTGACTGTGTGTGGGGTCAGCATCCCAACCTCTACATTGTTCAAGGGTCAACTGTACATTCTAAAATTCACTACTCAATGTATGGTCTGTAGCCCCAGACCTACTGAATCATAATCTACATTTTTACAAGATGCCCAGGTACTTTATAAACATATTAAAGTTTAAGAAGCACTCTACTGAAAACCACCAAGTTTTATCAAACTGTGAATATAGCATAGTAGATTCACATTTTACAGTTTAAAAGTCCCCTCAATTTGAAAACCATATTCAATATCTAAAAGGCTTTTGTTTATTTATTTTGAAAATCTACTCATTTCAGAACTACTGACAACAAAATTAGAGGAGGAGATAAACTGAATAAAGGGCATATTCAATAGAAACTTTAATGTTAGCAGGTGATTGTTTCATGTTTGAAAGATCTTCCATTAGGGTCAAACGTGCTTCATGTCATTCTGCTTGGTAGGGAAATGGTTAAATTTCTTCTTTCTTTCTATATTTTTCCTTCTAACTAATTTTAGGTAGTACATATACATATAGACTCATACTTTACCATAACTTACCTCTGGAGTAAAATATATTATTTAAAAAATTTCTTCATATACTGTGATGTGAGCTCTTTATCAACTATGTAGATGCTACCAAATGTTTTAGCATTTCTCCTCAGATTTACATGTCATACACTAAATGCATCAAGTTGAGTTCAAGCAACTCAAGACTAATGTTATTGATTTCAGGGAACAGATTAGTAAAAAGGGGTTCTACCACTCCATGTCTTTCCAACTTTAAGACATATATCAACCCTTAGTTTTACTGTATAAATTGATAAGCCTTTGTGTCTTTTTTTTTTTTTTTTTTTTTTTGAGATGGAGTCTAACTCTGTCACCCAGGCTGGAGTGCAGTGTTGAAATCTCAGCTCACTGCAAGCTCCACCTCCCGGGTTCACGCCATTCTCCTGCCTCCGCCTCCCGAGTACCTGGGACTACAGGCACCCGCCACCACACCTGGCTATTTTTTTTGTATTTTTAGTAGAGATGGGGTTTCATCGTGTTAGCCAGGATGGTCTTGATCTCCTGACCTCGTGATCCTCCTGCCTCGGCCTCCCAAAGTACTGGGATTACAGGCATGAGCCACTGCGCCTGGCCCAAGCCTTTGTGTCTTAATGCCACTGTTTTCCTATTTCCAAACATCACAGGCCAAAGTGGCTAATCAAGAAACTAAAGATTTACCTCATAAAAAAATGATCATTTCTGCCTCCCTTTGATTAGTCAAAGGCTCTTTCTAGTGTTGATATGCTAGATATACTGCTTGAAGTTCTAGCATATCCCAAATATTGCTTTTTCATCATTTTGGTATATCATATGGGAAAAGCTAATTCAGAGTTTGTTTTTATGTTAATATATTCATGGCCACATTCCAAGGAATGCCTAGCACCTTGGAATACAGCCTGTCACTTAGCTAGGGGCATAAATGACTAACTCAGCATTGTATCTTAAAGACAGAAGCAGAAGCAGAATCTCCAACCCTAACTGTGTTAGATGTCATACTTAGATCACACTGGCTCCCTTTGTGCATCTGATTCATCTGCTTTTTGTCAAACTTGGTATTCATTTTAGACTCCAATATTGTTCCAAATCAGGCTAAGCTTTAATATTAAAGCAGTCTTCTAGTTAAAGCTGCCTGTAATCTAAGACTGGGTGCAGTCTTAGATGCAGTTTCACATTTAGTCTTTTGGATGCAGTTTCACATTTAGCTATTTAAAACCTCTATGTTCAAGAAGCATCATGTTTTCTGCCTGGATTTGTGGGGTGTTGCTCAATTGCGCACCTTGCAATTTAGCACTAGATTATTTCTCAGATCCTTGAACAACATGGGTTAGGAGTGCCGACCCCTCATGTGATAAAAAATCTGCATATAACTTTTGACTACCACAGAACCTAACTACTAATAGCCTGCTGCTGACCAGAAGCCTTACTCATAACATACAGTTGATTAACACATATTTTGTACATTGTATGTACTATATACTGTATTTTTACAAAAAAGTAAACTAGAGAAAGGAAAATGTTATTAAGAAAATCATCTTTGGGGCTGGGTGCGGTGGCTCACACCTCCTGTAATCCCAGCACTTTGGGAATCCGAGGTGGGCGGATCACGAGGTCAGGAGATCGAGACCATCCTGGTTAACACGGTGAAACCCCGTCTCTACTAAAAAAAATAAAAAAAAAATAGCTGGGCATGGTGGTAGGTGCCTGTAGTCCCAGCTACTCAGGAGGCTGAGGCAGGAGAATGATGCGAACCCGGAGGCGGAGCTTGCAGTGAGCCGAGATCATGCCACTGCACTCCAGCCTAGGTGACAGAGTGAGACTCCATCTCAAAAAAAAAAAATGAAAATCATCTTTGGGAGGCCGAGGTGGGCAGACTGCTTGAGCTCAGGAGTTCAAGAGCAGCCTAGGCAACATGGCAAAACCCTGTCTCTACCAAAAATACAAAAATTACCTGGGTGTGGCAGTGCGCACCTGTAGTCCCAGCTACTTGGTAGGCTGAGGTGGGAGGATGGCTTAAGCCCAAGAGGCAGAGATTGCAGTGAGCTATGATCATACCATTGCACTCCAGCCTGGGCGACAGAGCCAGACCCTGTCTCAGAAAAAAAAAAAAAAAAGAAAAACATAAAAGAAAATGTATTTATGCATTAAGTGAAAGTGGATCATTGTAAGGGTCTTCATCCTCATTGTCTTAATGTTGAGTAGGCTGAGGAGGAGGAAGAAGAGTAGGGGTTGGTTTTGGTGTCTGAAGAGTGGCACAGGCAGAAGAGGAGGTGGAAGGGGACGTAAGAGAGGCAGGCACTCACAGCATAACTTTTATTGAAAAAAATCTGCATGTAAGTGGACCCACGCCGTTCAAACTGGTATTGTTCAATAGTCAATAAAACATAGAGACAATAAAAATCTGGGAAATAGTAGCTGTGAAAATTTAAAAATCATTTATATTATTGCTTGAATAGGTAGGCAAAGCAGAATACAATGATGAAGTTTTATTCTTGTGTTTTAAAATCAAGAGCACAACCCAAAGAATAAACACAATTTTGATGAAGAGCAAAATTGGAGGACTGACATTACCCAACTTCAAGACATACTATAAAGCTACAGTAATCAAGACAGTATGATACTGGCAAAAGAACAGACAAATAGATCAATGGAACAGAACAGATAGACCAGAAACAGATCCATACAAATACAGTCAATTGATCTGACAAAGGAAATTCAGTGGAGAAAGCATAGCCTTTTTCACAAATGGTACTGAAACAACTGGACATCCAAAAAAAAAAAAAAAATCTCAATACAGATACTATATCCTTCACAGAAATTAACTCCCAGTGAATCAATGGCCTCAATGTAAAACATAAAACAATAAAACTCCTAAATGATAACATAGGAGAAAATATAGATGATGGTGAGTTTAGTGATGACTTTTTAGATTTGACACCAAAGGCATGATCCTTGACAGAAAGCACTGGTAAGCTGAACCTCATTAAAATTAAAAACGTCTACTCTGCAAAAGATACTGTGAAGAAAATGAGAACACAAGCCACATAGTGATACGAAATATTTGCAACACGTATCTGCAAAGGGACTGTTATTCAAAATACAAAAATAACTCTTAATTCTCAACAATAAGAAAATGAACAACCAATTTAAAAAGTGTGCAAAAGACCTGAAGAAACAGATAAAGACAATATACAGATAGCAAATAAAAAGATGCACCACATCACGTTATTAGGGAATTGCAAATTAAAACAGTAAGGTACCACTACACACCTATTAGAATGTATAAAATCTACAATAGTGACAAAACCAAATGACAGCAAGGATATGGAGCAACAGAAACTTATCCATTGCTATCGGGAATGCAAAATGGTACAGACCCTTTGGAAGACAGTATGGCAGTTTCTTGAAAAACTAAACATAACTCTTACCATACAATCCAGCAATCATACTTCTTGGCATTTACCCAAAAGAGCTGAAAACTTATGTCCAAACAAAACCTGCATGTAAGTGTTTATAGGAGCAGCTTGGGTGGTGAGAGGAGCAGCAGTGTCCAGGCAGCCCAGCTTCACAAAGGCTCTCATTGCGCCGCAGCCTGCAGGCACCAGGTCATACCCTCCCCACTGCCAAGATGCCCAACTGAAGGAAGAGCCCAAGGAGATTGGCCTGGTGGTCAGCTAAATCTGCTCCTGCAAAAGTGGAAAGGAAGCCAATCCCAGCACTTTGGGAGGCCGAGGCAGGTGAATCACAAGGTCAGGAGTTTAAGACCAGCCTGGCAACATGGTGAAACCCCGTCTCTTCTAAAAATACAAAAAAATTAGCTTGGAGTAGTGGTGAGCACCTGTAATCCCAGCTACTCAGGAGGCTGAGGCAGGAGAATTGCTTGAACCCAGGAGGCAGAGGTTGCAGTAAGCTGAGATTGTGCCACTGCACTCCAGCCCCGGCAACAGAGTGAGACTCTGTCCAAAAAAAAAGGCAGCAGGAAAGGACAAATCTTCAGACAAAAAAGTTCAAAAAAAGGGAAAAGGGGAACAAAGGGAAAACAGGCCAAAGTGGCTAATCAAGAAATTAAAGAAGATTTACGTGCAGAAAATGGAAAGACTAAAAACGAGGCATGTCCAGCCTTTGATGAAGCCAGAGAGAAAGAAGCCAAGTCTGATTAATATCTTATAACATGTCTTATCAGTGGTCACTATTTCTCTTCTTGTACAATTCAGAGGAATATTTTTATCAACTATTTTGTAAGTGCAAGTTTTTTTAGTAGCTCTAGACACATTTTCAAGAAGCATGGAATCCCATCTCATCCCATTTTTTTTTTAAGATCAAATGCCTTTTTTTAAAAAAAAAAAAAAAGAAGTTAAATAATTTGCTAGTTTTTGGTACAACAGAAGATGGTGTAGGATATTGAGTTATGGGAGGCTCTGACTGTCTTGGGTTTCAGCTTAACATTCCATAGATGAAGGGTTAGTTTTAGGATATAGTTATATCCTATAATACAAAGCATACTAACTGGCAATATGGAGCCACAGTTCTGCATTTAATCTCTTGAACATTTTAAATTACTCCTATTCCCATGTTGTTTTATAGCAGAATTGATTCCTAAAGAAAAATACTCCTGGCTCATGGCTCTCCTTATCAGAATTGTGTGCACTCTGTAACATCTTTGGTTGTGGCAGTCCTGTTTCCCTAATAACTGTTAATGTGCTGTGAAAGATGAAAACTTTGAGTATATAGTGTATATGCTATTAAATTGTGAATTGGTAGGATGTATGTAACAGCTTATGAACATGTGAAGATGCTTGATAGCCAGTACTTGATAGCCATGTAAGGAAACTGCCTCCAAATTTTAAGCTGGGAAGTCACTGGAATAACTTTATTATTAATTATTTTTTATTTTTTTTATTATACTTTAAGTTTTAGGGTACATGTGCACATTGTGCAGGTTAGTTACATATGTATACATGTGCCATGCTGGTGCGCTGCACCCACTAACTCGTCATCTAGCATTAGGTATATCTCCCAATGCTATCCCTCCCCCCTCCCCCCACCCCATCACAGTCCCCAGAGTGTGATATTCCCCTTCCTGTGTCCATGTGATCTCATTGTTCAATTCCCACCTATGAGTGAGAATATGCGGTGTTTGGTTTTTTGTTCTTGCGATAGTTTACTGAGAATGATGATTTCCAATTTCATCCATGTCCCTACAAAGGACATGAACTCATCATTTTTTATGGCTGCATAGTATTCCATGGTGTATATGTGCCACATTTTCTTAATCCAGTCTATCATTGTTGGACATTTGGGTTCGTTCCAAGTCTTTGCTATTGTGAATAATGCCGCAATAAACATACATGTGCATGTGTCTTTATAGCAGCATGATTTATAGTCCTTTGGGTATATACCCAGTAATGGGATGGCTGGGTCAAATGGTATTTCTAGTTCTAGAGCCCTGAGGAATCGCCACACTGACTTCCACAATGGTTGAACTAGTTTACAGTCCCACCAACAGTGTAAAAGTGTTCCTATTTCTCCACATCCTCTCCAGCACCTGTTGTTTCCTGACTTTTTAATGATTGCCATTCTAACTGGTGTGAGATGGTATCTCATAGTGGTTTTGATTTGCATTTCTCTGATAGCCAGTGATGATGAGCATTTTTTCATGTGTTTTTTGGCTGCATAAATGTCTTCTTTTGAGAAGTGTCTGTTCATGTCCTTCGCCCACTTTTTGATGGGGTTGTTTGTTTTTTTCTTGTAAATTTGTTTGAGTTCATTGTAGATTCTGGATATTAGCCCTTTGTCAGACGAGTAGGTTGCGAAAATTTTCTCCCATTTTGTAGGTTGCCTGTTCACTCTGATGGTAGTTTCTTTTGCTGTGCAGAAGCTCTTTAGTTTAATTAGATCGCATCACACTACCTGACTTCAAACTATACTACAAGGCTACAGTAACCAAAACAGCATGGTACTGGTACCAAAACAGAGATATAGATCAATGGAACAGAACAGAGCCCTCAGAAATAACGCCGCATACCTACAACTGTCTGATCTTTGACAAACCTGAGAAAAACAAGAAATGGGGAAAGGATTCCCTATTTAATAAATGGTGCTGGGAAAACTGGCTAGCCATAGGTAGAAAGCTGAAACTGGATCCCTTCCTTACACCTTATACAAAAATCAATTCAAGATGGATTAAAGACTTAAACGTTAGATCTAAAACCATAAAAACCCTAGAAGAAAACCCAGGCATTACCATTCAGGACATAGGCATGGGCAAGGACTTCATGTCTAAAACACCAAAAGCAATGGCAACAAAAGACAAAATAACTTTAAAAAAGAACTGCAACACATAAGCTTTTTAGATTCTTGGTACGTATGTTAAGAATTGTGTACAAATTGAGATATCTGTGGACTGGTCCTCAACACAACCAACAAAATCTCAATTATGAAAGGAAAAATGCTTACAGTAGTTTTAGTCATAATTGCTAAAACTTGAAGTAAGGAAAGTGAATGGACAAACTGTGGTATACCCATACAACAAATACTATCTAATGACAAAAATGAGTTACCAAGCCAAGAAAAGACAAAGACATAGAAGAACCTTGAATGCACATTATTAAGTGAAAGAGGCCAATCAATCTGAAAAGGCTAGATATTGTATGATTCTAAATATATGACATTCTGGAAAATGCAAAACCAAATGTTGAGATAGTAAAAAGATCAGTGGTTGCCAGGAATAAGGGGGAACGGAGGAATGAATAGGTGGAGCAGAGGGGAATTTTAGGGCAGTGAAACTATTCTATATGATACTATAATGGTGGATACATTACACAGTTGTCATTATACATTTGTCAAACCTCATAGAATGTACAACAAAAAGAGAAAATCCTTATGTAAACTATGGACTTCGGTTGATAAAGGGGTTCTAACAAGAAAACCATGTTTTACATTTCCAGTTAGGCTTCCAATTTTTCTTTCAAGACTCTCACAGTGCTCCTGCTCAGCTCCAGGCTCATACAGGTCTAGGAACAGGTTGGGCTAAAAACGGATCCATGCTACTCTGAAATAAGGGACAAGGCTCTGAGTGTGGCTTTTCCCCAAGACTTTCAACAGAGTTGGTGAGAAAATCCAACATTAAGCAAACTGTGCTTTGCATCTGCCCGTCAACTTAAATCTGTTGCTTTTATCTTTACAGCTACTATATACAGTGCTTCAGGTACTACTATGTATGACGCATCTTTAATTCAATACAATAATCTTGAGGGGCAGTAACTATCATCATTTTAGTACATTTTAATAAAATGGCGGATTGAAGATATTCAATTCCTTGTGCAATGCTATACCACTTTTAAGTAGTATGCTGGGATTTGAACCCAGGCCTGACTCATTACAAAGTCCCACTCAACTCTATGCAATCATGCTGTTTCTATAATCTTTGGTAACCACATATCTTCTCTAGTTTCTGATCTCAGGACATCCCATTCCTCTCTGTACTTGACCACTCCCTTGTCTAGAGTCACTAGTATCTTTGGGAAAACGATACCGTCACTCTCAGTATTGTTTCCACAGAACTTATATCAGTGAGGCCAGCAACTTCCTCTTAGGGCGAATATTATGTTCATCTTTTCCTCTACTTTCTTAATTACAATGCTTACATTAACTAGAAGAACTATGAATTCTAGGCAATGTTGTATAGGGAAAAAACACCATTCTTTCTGCCAAAGTAAAAAAGCTAGGAAAATGAAACAAAAAAACCAATCTTCTATTTAGAATAAAACAATATAAAATGATGGGTTATAAAACAGCTAAAGCCTAATGTGTGAAATGTGTGAAAATACCTGGTTTTGGTAAGACAGAAATACTTAACTATAGAGAACTAACTCACTGGTGAAAAACTGAAAGAATGGCCTAAGAAAAATAGGAAGTCATGACCAATTATTAAATAATAATATTTGTCTTTACCACCTCCATTACTGCTTTGTATAGCAGCAATAAAACATAGATGTTATCTAAAGGGTTTCTTTCCATTGTACTAATTTTTGAAGGACTATCTCCAGTCTGTTCTTAACTATTTTTGGAAGTTAGGGAAGATTTGTCTACAGACTAGCAAGTAAACTGACAGTATAGATTCAACTACTTACTGGCATAATGGAAAGCCAGGAAATGAGTGTTGAAAAAAGTTCTATACAAAGAAAATTGAAACCAGATCTAAAAAAGTCTAGTCTAAGATAACCCTTTTATGTCTCTTTTTTAATATAAAAGAAAAAAATTGTTTGTGACATATAAGAGAGGATATAGAAAGTCCAAGATTTCCATATATGTACCTTCAGCTATTGAGTCTAAACACTAGCAAACGGAGATTTTCAAAGTAACCCGAATGAAGTCAAGACACTGCATCCATTTTATCCTGGGCTTATTTCTTTATCCTTCAGGAAAAGATGTCTTTTATACCAGAAACTATCAAACAAGCTAACAGATGGCAAGGGCACTGAATCAAGTCTAATTTGGGTTGAATTCAAATTTGATTATCTAGAGACATGAAAGCAATATACCTATATTAGCATCAGATGTGTAATGCTGATAAAAATGTTATGGAAGTATGATACAGCAGAGAACTTTCTGGACTTAAAAGATCCCTTTGGGCTAACTAGTTAGAAAACTCTGGCAAAGTCACAAATTCCTTCTGCCTCAGGATCCTTTACCTGCACAATGGGATGATAATAACTGGTCTTCCTTTCTGTGAGATGCTGAGAGGATACAATGGAATATTTTTAAAATTTTTTCTTCACTGGGTGTGGTAGGCAGAATAATGACCCCACAAAGATGTCCAAATCCCCAGAACTTGTGAAATTGTTACCTTATATGGATTCTCCCTTAGAGCCTTCTGAAGGAATGCAGACCTGCCAAAACCTTGATTCTAGCCCAGTGAAACTTATTTCATATTTCCGGCCTCCTGAATTCCAAGATAATAAATGTATTGTTTTAAACAATTACGTTTATGACAATTTGTTACAGCAGTAATAAGAAACTAACACACTGAGTTTGGTCTCAGCTCTGACACTTTCCCTTTCTATGTATCCCTGGGCCAGTTACTTATGTCTTTGAACTTTAGTTTCCTCATCTATCAAATAAGAATTAACAATAGCAACTACCAGTTGTTACAGAGATCAAATAGGATAACTAAGTGCTATAGCATAAGTGATTAAAAATGGTAACTATCCTTATATTTACTTCTTATGTTACACTAAGGCAATATAATGCAATTATTTTTACACAACCTACATTCAACTTATAGTTTCCATATATACCAGAGATGTATATTAAAGCTTCTATCACTAAAGTTATTGGTAATATATTGATGGACAAGTCATTAGTTTGTTCTTGCAGATCATAAAGTTGAAGTTCTTTTAGATCTCAAAGTTCCCAAAGGGAAGAAGCAATATATATGTAATTCATTTGAAACCCAGCATTTTAAATCCAGTAAAAAGTCCATTTTAAATCCAGTAAAAAGTCAAGACTCTACACTGATTTTGTCCTTAGATTACCTCCATATCCTTCAGGAAAAAGTGTCTTTTAAACCAGAAAACTTTTGATGACCAAAGATAAAATTTAAATAGGAATCTGAAGGAATAGGAAGAGAAATCATTGATTAAGAAAATAAATTCAGGCTGGGCGCAGTGGCTCACGCCTGTAATCCCAACACTTTGGGAGGCAGAGGTGGGCAGATCACCTGAGGTCAGGAGTTTGAGATCAGACTGGCCAACATGGTGAAACCCCATCTCTAGTAAAAATACAAAAATCAGCCAGGTATGGTGACAGGTACCTGTAATCCCAGCTACTCAGGAGGCTGAGGCAGGAGAATGGCTTGAACCTGGGAGGTGGAGGATGCAGTGAACCGAGGCTGCACCAATGCATTCTGGCCTTGTGTGCTCAGGGCGACAGAGCAAGTCTCTGTCTCAAAAAACAAAAACAAAATTCACAAGGAAGTTTAATGATTTGGGTTTTTAGCAATATTCAGCTAGTTTATGTCAGGAATGATTATCTCCAGGGTTTTCTACTTCTAGATCTGTGCTATTTTATTACAGTAGAGATCAGCAAACTATGTCCCATGGGTAAAATCTGGTCTGCCATCTCTTTTTGTAAAGAAAGTTTTATTAAAACAGGCAAACACATCCATTCACATACTGCCTATACCTGCTTTTGTGCTACAAAGGCAAACTGAGTAGTTGCAACAGAGACTATGCCCTGTAAAACCTAAAGTACTTAAAATTGGCCCATATACAAGAAGTATACTGTCCCTAGTGTTACAGCATATTACTTCGCAAGGCATGTAAGCTTATTTTATCTTATAAGGTGTTTCAAAACAATAGATTTTTAAAATGAACTTTCAGCAAACTATTAAGTTTACACAAATAAAGGAATACTGTGGCTTGATGTACCATATAATATTAAACATGGATGAAATTCTGGGTAGTACAGGTTCTACGGCTCCACTAAGATACCATGGAGGTGAGTTCAATTCTGGCTAAATAATGTTGATTTATTAACAGCAAAATCACTCAGCATACAAATGCTGAGCAAAATAAAATAATGACTTATGACTGCTATAATTATTATTCAATAAAAGTGACTGTAGGCCAGGCACGGCAGTTCACGCCTGTAATCCCAGCACTTTGGGAGGCCGAGGTGGGTCGATCATCTGAGGTCAGGAGTTTGAGACCAGCTGGCCAATGTGGTGAAACCCCGTCTCTACTAAAAATACAAACATTAGCCAGGCATGGTGGCAGGCACCTGTAATCTCAGCTACTCAGGAGGCTGAGGCAGGAGAATTATTTGAACCCGGGAGGCACAGGTTGCAGTGAGCCGAGATCACGCCACTGCACTCCAGCCTGGGAGAAAAGAGCGAAACTCCATCTCAAAAAAAAAAAAAAAAAAAAAAAGTGACTGTAAAGATGTTTGATCATAATTTATATTCAAAATTTATCATGATTAAAAATGCAAAATACTGTTTCCTTCTCTGGTGTTTTCATAAAACATTTATTCATTATTATTTACTGAGTTCCTCATCTTATCCTTTTATAAGACTCATACATTATGTTTTCTTTATGATCAAGTATGGGAAAGAACTAATAACTATTGGATATGAAGATGTTCTAGAAACTAAAATATATAATCATTGAATTTTCAAAATAAACTTATAAAGAAAGATTTTTCATTTCCATTTTATAGATGAAGAAACAGACTCAGGGAAAGTGAACATTCCCTCCAAGGTTAAGCTATTAAAGCCATTAGGGTGCCTAAGCTGGGAATTCAGCCCAGGTTTTTTAGTGGCCAAGGTTCTCTTTTTAGTACTTTTCCTAATTCATAATATCTCAGATTCAATGACCTCTTTGGTATATTTGGTATAGAACTGTTGGTCCAGTTAACTACTTGTTCAAGTTATTTGGATTTAAAGCTCCTTTTGAGAAAATAAAAAATTAGCCTTGCTTACTTGGGGAAGTGGAATAGCCCTAACTTTCGGAAAAAAGGTAAGTCAGTCTCCTAAATTTTAAAATAAATATCAACTCTGCTATTTATACAATTGTGTCATCTAAAGCACATGGATCTCCTCTGGACTCAACAAGACAAAATACAGACATACCGGAGACTCATAACAGAATTTGATAAAGTTTTATTCAATCAATTTTCTTTCTAAAGTTTGCTTGTTCCTATTCAACATAGGCCAAAGGACATTTTATTTATCTGCTCCCTTCACTAAACTCTATACTTGTATGTAGGTCATCTATAAACAACAAACCAGGGCAATATTATCTCAAAAGTCCTATGAAAAAGTCATAAATTAATTCAGATTTAATGTTATGAGCCTGGCTTTTTATAGAGTGATATGAGAAACATCTCATCAGAGAGCATTTCTAGCTCTTTTACAAAACCCCAGCTTGAGATATCTGAATTCTTATACCTGATGTCTCTTATATAAAGATCAATGTAATACCTCCTAAAGTTCAGTGTTAGCAAAAGTGAATTTTTCATTTATTAGCAATAAACATCTTTTTAAAGGAACACATAAGCTTGAAATCTGAAAAAAAAATCTTTTGAATAAAGAAAATTCTGAAAGATCATAATTCCCTAAGATGAATGTATTCTGAAAGCAGTATGTTTGCAGTCAGAAAAGACTGAAATCCAATTAACTGGAACCCTTCATTAACTGGAATAATGTTCTATGCAATGCTTTTGAGAAAAGGAAATAGAAAAAGACATGCAAAAATTAGGCTTTGGGAGAATCAAGGTAAAATAAAAAATGGTCCCTATACACAAAGAAATTAGCCTAGTAGGGGAGTAGAAATTTATACATAAAATGACAAAACACAGAAAATGATAATTAGGACCCTAAGATTTACAGATAAAGAGTTCTGGGAGTTCAGAGATCATTTCTACATGGCTTCCAGTAGAAAAAATAAAGGTTTTGAAAACAGATGGCAGCCGGACGCGGTGGCTCATGACTGTAATCCCAGCACTTTAGGAGGCCGAGGTGGGTGATCACGAAGACACGAGTTCAAGACCAGCCTGGCCAAGATGGTGAAACCCCATCTCTACTAAAACTACAAAAATTAGCCAAGTGTGGTAGCAGTTGCCTGTAATTCCATCTACTTGGGCAGCTGAGGCAGGAGACTCGCTTGAACCTAGGTGGCAGAGGGTGCAGTGAGCCGAGATCGCATCACTGCACTCCAGCCTGGGTGACAGAGTGAGACTCTGTCTCAAAAAAACAAAAACAAAAACAAAAAATAGGTGGCACAAACCTGGGCTTACATGATGAACAGGATTTATTTATTTTCCTTCTTGTTTATTAAGACATTATTTACATACAATAAAATTCACCAATTTTAAGTGTACAGTTTGATAATTTTTATTATTTGTATACAATTGTATAACCAACATAACAATGAAGATATAGAACAATTCCCTCACTCAAAAAGTGTCCTTGTGTCCCTTTGCACTTGATCCCTTCTCCCTAACTCCTGGCCTCAATAACCACTTTAATCTGCTGTCAGTCACTATTGCTATTCCTTTTCTAGAATTTCATATAAATAGAATTATATACTACATAGTAGTCATGTTTGACTTGCCTCACTTACCATGTTGTTTTTGAGATACATTAATCTTGTGTGTATCATTATTTCGCTCCTTTTTATGGCTAGTATGATTCCATGGAATGGATACACCACAATGTATTCTTCACCAGTTTTCAGCTATCATGAATAATATTATTATAAACATTCATGAACACATTCCTGGGTGGGCATGTGTTTTCATTTCAGTTGGGTAAATACCTTTGTATCAGTCCATTCCTATACCTCTATAAAGACATACCCAAGACTGGGTAATTTATAAAGAAAAGAGGTTTAGGCTGGGCGCGGTGGCTCACGTCTGTAATCCCAGTACTTTGGGAGGCTGAGGTGGGCAGATCATGAGGTCAGGAGATGGAGACCATCCTGGCTAACCCGGTGAAACCTCGTCTCTACTAAAAATACAAAAAAAAAAAAAATTAGCCGGGCATGGTGGCGGGCGCCTGTAGTCCCAGCTACTCGGGAGGCTGAGGCAGGAGAATGGCGTGAACCCAGGAGGCGGAACTTGCAGTGAGCCAAGATCGCACCACTACACTCCAGCCTAGGCGACAGAGCAAGACTCTGTCTCCAAAAAAAAAAAAAAGAAAAGAAAAGAGGTTTAATTGGCTTATAGTTCTGCAGGCCGTACAGGTTTCTGTTTCTAGGGAGGCCTCAGGAAACTTACAACTGTGGCAGAAGGCAAAAGGGAAGAAAGCACATATTCATATGGCCAGCAGGAGAGAGAGAAGTGAAGATGAAGGTGTCACACACTTTCCAACAACCAGATCTCTCATGATAACTCTATCATGAGAACGGCAATGGGGGAGTCCTCCGGCCTCATGATTCAATCACCTCCCACCAGGCCTCTAACACTGGGAATTACAATTCGACAAGAGAATTGGGTGGGGACACAGAACCAACCATATCAACCTTAAAATGGAATTGCTAGGTCAAATGGTGAGTGGCTTAACTTTATATGGTATTACCATATTGGTTTTCAAAGCTGTGTACCATTTTTGCATTCCCACTTGCGATATATGAGAATTCCAATTGCTCCATAACCTCATCAACACTTGGTATCGTTGGTCTTTTGCTAAAATTCACATTTGTCAGATAAGTGATGTTAAGTGTCCCCCCATGTGCTTACTGACCATTCATATATTTACTGTGAAGTTCATGTTCAAATCATTTGCCCATTTTAAATTGGGTTTGCTTACTGAGTTGTAAAACTTCATGTATTCTAGATACAAGATCTTTATCACATAGGCTTTGCAAAAATTTACTCCCAGTTTGTGGATTGCCTTTTTAATTGTCTTTCGAAAAGCTAGTTCCCAATTCTGATAAAGTATAGCTATCCCTCAGTGTCTCTGGGTGATTGGTTCTGGGACCCCTGAGGATGCTCAAGTCCTTTATATGAAATGGTACAGTAATTGCATATAACCTATGCACACTCTCGTATACTTTAAATCATCTCTAAATTACTTATAACACCTAATACAATGTAAATAATTGTTACACTGCACTGTTCAGGGAATGACAATAAAAAGTCTGTACATGTTCAGTACAGACACAACCAACCTTTTTCAGAAAAATATTTTCGATCTGTGGTTGGTTGGTTGAATCTACAGATGCAGAACCCATGGCTACAGAAGGCCCACTGGACATTTAAACGATAACTTCTTTTAGTTTGTGCTTTTGATTATCTTTTTCTTTTTTTGAGATGGAGTCTCGTTATGTTGCCCCTGCACCTAGCCAATGATCTTTTAAAGAAATTTTTGCCTAACACGTGTAACAAACACATTTCCCTATGGTTTCATGTACAAGTTTAATAGCTTTGTTACCTGTAGATTTATGATCAATTTTGAGATATATTTTATATTTATATTTATATTTATTTTTGTCAATACCAGACTGTTTTGATTACTACAGCTTTACAGTAAATCTTGAAATCAAGTAATTTGTCTTCCAACTTTATCAAAATTGTTTTAGCTATTTTAGGCTATCTTCCCATATAAATCTAAAAACAGCTTGTCCATATCTTCAAAATACCTGTTGCAATTCTGATTAAAACTGCAGTAAATTTATGTCTATTTGAGGAGGATTGCCATCTTAACAATTTTTGAGTCCTCTGATCAATGAAACAGTACACTGCTCCATTTATTTAGGTCTTCTTTAATTTCCCTTTGGAACGTTTTGTATTTTCAGTGTGTAAGTCTTTAATATGAGGGATCTTCGAAAAGTTCATGGAAAATGTGTATTATGGAAAAACTGCATGGATTTTCAAATTTTTCTGCACCAAATAAACTCATACTAAGTTGTGATAGCATGTCTGAATGGGATCTAGTTTAAGGTGTTAAGAAGAATAAGACATCAGTTTGAAAAGAGTCCCTATCAGAGAAACATTAATTCTGCTAAAATTGAAGCAAGAACAAACATCAACTTTATAGTAAAGCTTGGGTGGAAGCATGGTGAAGTAACTGATGCCTTATGAAAGTTTATGGGGTCAATGCCCCAAAGAAATCAGTAGTTTACAAATGGATAACTTCTTTTAAGAAGCGACAACACGATGCTGAAGATAAAGCCTGCACTGGCAGTCCATTCACACTTATTTGTGAGGAAAAAATTAATCTTGTTCTGCCCTAATTGAAAAGGACTCATGATTAGCAGCAGAAACAATAGCCAATACCATAGACATCTAATTAGTTCAGCTTACACAATTCTGGCTGAAAAATTAAAGTTGAGCAAACTTGCCACTCAACGGGGGCCAAAACCATTACTCCTAGATCAGCTGCGGACAAGAGCAGAGATTTTAATGGAAATTTTAAACAAGTAGGATTGAGATCCTGAAGCGTTTCTTCGAAGAATTGTACAGGAGATGAAACACGGCTTTACCAGTATGGTCTTAAAGACAAAGTACAGGCAGGGTGCGGGGGCTCACACCTGTAATCTCAGCACCTTGGGAGGCTGAAGCGGATCATTTGATCCTAGGAGTTCAAGATCAGCCTGGGCAACATAGGGAGACCCTGCCTATACAAAAAAGAAAAAAGAGCTGGGCATGGTGGCATGCACCTGCAGTCTTAGCTGCTCAGGAGGCTGAGGTGGAAGGATCACTTGAGTATGAGATGTCGAGGTGGCAGTGAGCTGTGCCACTGTACTCCAGCCTGGGTGACCAAGAGAGACTCTGTCTCAAAAAAAAAAAAAAAAAAAAAAAAAGGGCAGGTTGTGGGGAGCACAAAGTACAGTTGAAGCAATAGCTACCAAGATGTGGAAATGGTCCATTCAAAGCAAAAGTGGGCTGGTAGACAGCAAAGGTCATGACAACAGTTTTTTGGGATGCTCAAGGCATTTTGCTTGTTGACTTTCTGGAGGGCAAAAGAATGATAATATCTGATTATTATGAGTGTTTTGAGAAAGTTAGCCAAAGCTTTAGCAGAAAAATGCTTGGGAAAGCTTCACCAGAGAGTCCTCCACCACAGCAACGTTCCTGGTTCATTCTTCTCATTAAACAAGAGCAATGTTTTGACAGTTTTCATTAGGCATCTACCTCATAGTTCTGGTTTGGTTCCTTCCGACTTCTTTTGGTTTCCTAATCTTAAAAAAATTGGGCAACTCATTTTTATTCAGTTAATAATGTAAAATATACCGCATTGATGTGGTTAAATCCCCAGGACCCCAGGTTCTTTAGGGATAGACTAAATGGCTGATATCACTGCTTATAAAAGTGTTTTGAACTGGATGGAGCTTTTGTTAATAAATAAAGTTTATATATTTTTTCATTTCCACAAACTTTTGGAAGTCTCTTCATATTTTTTGTTAAATTTATCCTAAAAAGTTTGTTTTTTGATGCTACTGTAAATGGAATTGCTTAAAATTTCATTTTCCAAATGTGTATTGCAAATATATAGAAATGAAGTGATTTTTGTCTATTGACTGTGTATAATGCTACCTTGCTAAATTTATTTTAGTATCTTTTAAAAAATTCCTTAGCATTTTCTACATATATGATCACGTCATCTGGAAATAAGGCTAGTTTTAATTCTTCCTTTCCAATCTGTATGCCTTTATATTTTGCCTTATTGCACTGGATAAGTCTTCTAGAACAATGTTAAATAAAAGTGGTAAAAGTGGACATCCTTGCCTTGTTCCTGACATTAGATAGAAGGCACTGAGCTATTCATCATCAAAGATGAATATAATGCTATCTGTAGATTTTTTTGGTAGATAACCTCAATCAGGTTGAGGAAATTTCTTTATAATATTAAAGTTTCCCCATTACTTTGATACAAACATTTTATCATGACAAAATGTCATTTGACTTTGTCAAATGTTTTCTCGCATTTATTGAAATAATCATGTTTTTTTTTTGGTCTCCTATATTCTATTAAAATGGTGAATTATGTTGATAGATTGTCAGATGTTAAACCAACACTGCAACCCTGGGATGATTTTATTATTCATTTTATTTATTTAGTTAGCTAACATTTTGTTAAGGAATTATGCCTCTATTTTCATGAGGAACGTTGGTCTTTAATTCTCTTTTCTTTTTTTTTTTAAAGAGATGGGGTCTTACTATGTATCCTAGGCTGGAATACAGTGGTTATTCACAGGCACAATTATAGTGCACTAAAGCCTTGAACTTCTAAGCTCAAGTGATCCTCCTGCCTCAGCCTACTGAATAACTGGGACTAATGGCACACACCACTGCACTCAGGTATATTTTGCATTATTTTTTTTCCCAGTTTCTCTTTTCTGATTCACTAGACCAGAAAGGCTATATGTTTTTCCATGTGTGGGCCATTGCTACCCATTTCACACTGCACAGACTGCACTTAGTTCCTGGTTGCAAATGAGTGTGGGGGTGGTGTGGAGAAAGGAATGACATACTAAACTGCTCAAGGAAAGGTATGAAGGTAAGAAATCATATGAACAGTGAGATGCAGTGAGATGAACAATAATATAATTTGAAGTTAGGATTAAATCATGTAAATTGTTGAATACCAGCTAGATCTAAGAGTATGGCTAATGAAATATATATTTTAGACAGAAGGATAACATAATCATATCTATATTCTAAATTAAGATTAATATATGTATACTGTATATAATGAATTGCAATACAGACAATGACTGGAGGTAGGAGAATAATAAAGAGGCAGTTCCAGAAGTGCAGGTGGGAGGTAATGAGGTTTTAACTAGGCTAGCGGCAGAAAGAATAGAAAGGAAGGATTGGAAATGAGATGATTCAGCAATGATTGATGACCCCGAAATTTTTCAATAATCTGAATTATCACAAAAAGATAAGATTTTTAAAGTTATTTGGAGGGAGTGTACACATTGTTTATTTAATAGTGAGGGCTATTATACAAGCAAATCAATGTAAAATAATCCCTTTATATGTATGAGCATAGTTAATTTGGTAAACAACAGACAATTACATACTGTGATCATAAGGACTTTAGTATCAGTTACCATATAGCAGGTACTCTTTAGTCAGGATATACCTATATAGGTGCTAAATTAAAAATCAACCTTATATCTCAAATTTACTTCCTAGTAGAGTGTAACGCTGCCATAATTGCAAGCCTAATTATGGGGTTGTCCATACTGCAGTCCCATCAGTACTCATACACCAAAGGGTCGGGCCTGTGAAGACTGGAAAAAGAATAAAATATCTTTTGATTGAGATACTACAAGCAAAAATGACTTTCTGGCTACCATTACTGCAAAGAACAAAACTCAACTGAAAACAATATGTAGCAATTAAAAAGTACTCATTATCTTCAAAACACACTTTTTAACTAATTGAGACTCTAAATTCATTGGTTCTACTATAATTTTATACCCTAGTAATTTTATATGCTAAAATTCATTTATTAATAGGCCATACTTTAGTTGAATAGTTGTTAAATAATTTTATTTTGACTCATATGCAAATTTTTAAATACATATTGAGAAGCATGCAGACATCAACATTTCCTCCCTCTTCCACAAAAAGAATTTACAGATGTTAGCAATTTAGGTATGACAAAAGCAAAAGATACTTTGTTTTTCAAAGTGGGGCAAGACGGGAGGAAGAAAAGATGGTCATAATTAGCTAGTAGATAAAAGAGTAAAAGTGTGCTCCTCAATGAAAAGACTGTCAGTTAAAATTCTTCATGAGAAACTTGGTAAAAAATGATGCAGTCTTGGTAAAATTATTTGGTTTTAGAGAGTTGATTAACAAAAATGTACTATGCATTGAGGTTTGATTTACTTAAAAGTTGCAACTTTTACTCAGAAGCTTCAAGGCATTTCAGAAAAAATTAAATGTCTTTTAAAAGTTGCCTTCTTACCACTTAGATGTTACTTGACTACGCAATACATCCCTTTTATCAACATATGATTGGAGCTGATAGGTATATGAGAAATTACCTGAGATACCTTAGTAAAATTAATTATAATGTTGCCAATACAATAGCTCACTACAATTCATACAAGCTAAAATTCAAAAAAAAAAAAAAAAACGGTGAGGAACCAGTTAATCATCTATCAAACTGCTTTTAAAATAGGCAATATGTATCAAAACATCCCCAGGCAAAAAAAAATGAAACAAAGTAAAAGCAAACAAAGTACATTAAAAATTCACATGTCTTTTTATCTTGCAATTAATTTCTAGGAATTTAAAGGAAGGCAATGATATGTTCAATGATTAATCTATATGCACGAATAAGTTTCCTCAGATATTTCTTATGTGTTTTTTATGACAGGGAAATGACAATCTATATGTCTCATAGACAGTATAGCGATAGGAGAGAATATTATAGTTATTGAAATGGAGATGATTACTTAGTTGAAAAATGTTCATAAAATATTACTAGGTTTAAAAAGTAGATTAGAAACTAAATACAGACAATCCTAGTTTTGCTAAAAACAATGTATATAAACTTAATAAAAAAGATTGAAAGACTAATAAATAACAAGATATTGAATGGAAATGTATGTCTTCCAAGTATTCTACTATGAGGATAGAATTCATTTAATATTTATTGTTTTCATAATCAGAAAAAATAAGTTCGAGTTACTAAAAAACTGTAGCATATGCCCTTTACCCACATGCAATGTACTCTAGATATTCTAGGTCTGATGGTTATACATAAACTTTCCACTCTGTCATTGCAGTCGTGAATGAGCCCAGCAAAGATCATTTTAACATCTATCACGTGGTCAGTCACTTGGGAGGGATTATATAAAATTATTATGAGTTTGGGGACCTAAATGATTGCCCTGTTGTAGACCAACACTAAAGTAAGACTATGGATGTCCTAGGCAAGATTTCTTCTCTAGAGGTGAAAGGGTAGTGCATTAACCAGGTTTTATATTAAATGTCTTCATCATTTGTGAGCAGCCAGATGGTTGGTAATACGTGTAGATATTTTGAAACATAGGCTGGCTGATTTCAATTAGCTTTGAAGTGAGACAAATGATAGTATTGCTAAGCCCAGGGGTACTGAGAGAATATTTTCTTACAGATGAATATCCCATCAACTAGAGTTCCCATTTATATAATATAGCTAATAGGTTATCCTGGAACACATGTGCTGTTGGAAAAAATCTCTTTTATGAAGCACCTAACTGGGCAAACATTTTAGGCACACTATAAGAAAACCAGTTAATGTGAGAGAGAAAAAGGAATTTAAAAACCATTATAGCCTATATGCTTGTATTTCAGAATGTACTAAGAAGTTTTGTGAAGGATTTTGGCTGCAAATAAAAATACTTCTGTGATAATCTGCAGGAATTTTGGGCCGAATCAAAGGCTCTGCCTGAAAAGATTACTAACCAAACAAATGTTGGCTTGCCCAGGTTTAGCATGCAACGCCAATTTTAAGTCGTGCTCCTCAAGGTGCCAGCTGTGTTCCTGATGATTCTCCTCTATACTATACTCAGTAAAAGAGTACAGTAAGAATGTCACTACTGGGGCATATCTTGGCCTCAAAAATTCAGGTGAGTTAGGATGGAATGGAATTAATTCTTTTTTTTTCTTTTTCAAAATAAAGTTGAGGATCTAAAATTTTTCTGAATCACAGGAATTCTAATGGACATTCAGAAGAATGATTTGACCCAAGTTTTCCAAAGGAAACTAATGAATAATTTTTTAAAACATGAAGTAGAAACATAAAAAAATGAAAACATACATTTAACCTTTTTCTTTCATAGAAAACAAATCACAAAATTTGTTTCTCCTTCTTTCTCTCTTCTTGTTTGCTGCCTTACAAATGAAATGCCTCACACTGAGAAAATTAAACAGTTTTTAATGCTTGTTTCATTCCACTCAGTGACAAGGATGTTTGTTATTAACTATTAAATGCCTACTATAATGCAGACAGTATACTATCCAAGTGTTTCATATATATTACTGCTAATCACTAATTATCCCAATGATCTTATGCATTTTACAGACTAAGGAATTTTCATTTTATTTTGATTTTATAGACTAAGGAATTGAGAGTCAAATAAATTAAGTAACTTGACCAAGGTCACACAGGTTCTACTGCAGAATCCACACTCCTTTCACATAATGATAGTTAAGTGGGAAAATCTCTGTTAATCAACTGGTCTTGGTGATTGATTTTTCTTGCAAGCAGAAACAATGAAAGGCTCTTCTGGGTCCCTTCACTATAGCCCTCTGGACAAACTCCAGACAAAGCCTGCTGGAACTCCAGAGAAAGCATGGAGCTCCCACTAATAAAAGGGCATGTCTTCCAGAGGCTATTTTCTTTGCCATAGAAAGCATAGCATTATGAAATAGTTCAAAATGGCAAAATAAAGCGCAAACAGATTTAATCTTACAGGCAAAAAGTCAAACAGAGTAAGAAGACAGGTGACACAGGTAACAAGGACAACTCTTTAGACTTCTGCCACTCAAAATACAGTCCACGAACTAGCAGCATTGGTAATACCTGCGAGCTTGTTAGAAATGCAGTGTCTCAGGCCCCACTCCAGATTTAGAATCAGTCCATGCTTTAGTATGTATATGAAAATTTGAGAAGCAATAATTTTAATTATAATTAAGTCACTAGTGACTAAATGACGGCCAAAACTGGTCTAAAGAGCTAGAAATTAGCCTATAGCCAACAAAGCTTCCAGAAACAAGATATTCTAATGCATTTCCCTCATTTGATTAATACTGTAAATTGTGAATTCACTTGCTAAGAGCCCTTTTGAAGCAAACTTGGAAGTCAGTATTCTATTATTTCAGTTCTACCTGGTAAGAACTTAGTTTCATTTGCACCTTTCACTCACTCACTCATAGCTTCCACCCAAGTACAAGCAAAGCAGCAGCACATGTTTAGTAGAGTTTTACCTTAGAGTAATCAGAGCCAAGATATGTTTTGTGGGGATAAAATGCATTTGTAAGCAAGAGCTGTCTTCATCAAAATTCAAGGTTTTCCACATGATTTAACTATCATAGCAAGCAATCTGGATATTACCCCACAAAACACATTTGTGTGTGTGTCGACAGTAGTCTCTAATACTGTGGCTAGTGGAAAGGAGTTATGGATTATTTTGTCAAGACAAAAGGTCTTGTAAAAATAACTTACTTCTCTTAAATAGCAAGCCAATACTCAAACTATTAGACTAGTGGGAAGAATGGTAATGCATTTGACCATAGAGAGAATACTTAATTAAATCTGCTAAGTGATTGATGATACTACCACTGTCCTGTTATATAAACTAAAACATCAAATCACTGTTGGATCCCTCTCTTCACTGAAAACAGTAGCTCTGCCAGATAGTTAAAAACAATTTCTGGAAATATCTGACCAGATGATGAGTTAATTTTGAAGGAAACCAATAGCCTCATTTGAGAGATTTTTTTTTTTTTTTTTTTTTTTACTTATTTATTGCTTACATCTGTTAGGTTTAGAAAACACTCATATGGAACAACAATGAAGACTGCTGTCAAAATCTGTCCCTTTGGTTATATTTTAAGAGAATCCTCTTTTAAACAAATTTTATTCATTTTCTTACTTTTTTGGACAGGGTTATTCTTTATCTCTCATAATAATTTAAAATATCTGAATCAAAATCCTCAAAATGTTTACAAAATAAGTAGTAGTTTTTTTTTTTCTACTTTAAGAATCTAACCAAAGGAAAACAAATTCAGACCAAAAGACTGAGATATTTTCTGGTTTCTAATTAGACTCTTCTACTTTATAACCTTGTAAACTAACATTCTTAACATTCCATAACAAAAAGGGCTGAAAAAAGGTTGGTTCACACAGATACTATCATAATGCAGGAAAAGGATTTGTGTTAGAATTCAATGTTCACATTAAATAAAATTTTCTTAATTATCTGGTTTTTACTAATACACTGTTCTTTTGTCTGATGGTGCCTTTCTTTCTGTGCTTTCTTTTCTCTTGCACTGACTGTCAACCTTGCTTAGAAGAGGGCTGATTTGTCTCTGACTTATCAGATGGTTAAAGTCTGCCTTATTTGAGTAAGCTCTTTAAAAATGCTGTTTTAGAAAGGTCAATTAGTTCTAAACAAAGATATTCAGTTCAGTAAGCAACTCCTATAGAGACACTTCCTACAGAGATAAGCCAATATTTCCTGTTGTGCTCTAGTGTACAAAGGGGCAAAGGAAGCTGTAAGTGAATGCACACTGTATCAGCTGGAGTCCCCAGAATTTATAATTTCTCACAGCACTTACGGGAGATTTCCACTGAGCTCCTACACCAGCATTTTCTAGAATTTTGCTGAATTATTTCATTTGTATGGAGAGAGGTGTTTCAAAATACATCCAATCTATCATGAAATCTGGATGATTTTTTTTCTCTGTGGTGATTTTTGGTTTTGCCCATCTCTTTCCATTTCCACAGCTGCACCTTTCACGTCTAGTTTGTTCTGGTGGTCTCCTATCTAATGTCTTTGCCTCTAGGTCCTCCCACTCCATCCATATGCAATCACAAATACAATGTTCCTCAATTAATTTCATCATGTGACTTGCTTGTTCAAAAATTTTAAGTAGCTCCCTATTTTTCAGCATATCAAACCCACATTTCTTAGCTTAGGTTTCAAAATCCTCCACATTTCAAATCAATGGTTATTTTGCAGAGAAGAAAACGGAGGCACTTTGAAGTAACTTGCCCAGGGTTACATAGTTAGAGGAATTGAGATCTCAGCTCAGGCAATCTCATTTCAGAGTTTAGGCTTTCAAGTATCACACTACATTATTCCTGTTAAGAGTCTGGTGTGTAACTGTTATGTTGCAATTGCATTGTATTTGTCTCCAGATATTTCCCCAACCACATTATTCTGAGACAGTACATTTCATTTGTATGTTCACACAAAACCTATATATAGCAGACAATTTATTTCATTAACTGGTGCTATACTAGAATAGTTTTTCAGATAAACCATAATGCCAAGCTTGCAACTGCTTGGAGTCAAAGATCGATAAAGATATAGGTGGTTAAAACTGTTTCCATCTATTTATATCCTCATCTGCTGCAGTTTCTGCTTAAAAATAGTTGTGACATGAAATTTTCCTATAAGGTGTTCTGGTCCAGAAGTAAGCAATGGTGAAATCTGAGCAAGACTTTCTACAGATGTGTGTGTGTGTGTGTGTGTGTGTGTGTGTATAATTTATATATATATATATATATATATATATATATGACAATTCTAGAAAGAAGTAGAAAGGGTACACCAAGCATGAAGTTATGTAATCTCTAACACTCGTAATGTTTACATTTGAAATAGTTAATATACTCTCTGTTTTTCAATATATGACGAAACACACAGTCATAAAGAAATGGCCCCTTCACTGAGAAGATATTGTGAATGTGTATTTCATAAGAGAATGCAGCTAGCCATAGTCTTGTTAAATGCTAGGCAAAGTTCATGTAAATGAAATGTTTATGCTGAGCATTACGCTCTAAGTATTTAATCGATCCTTAACCAAGAAAAAAAAATCAATGCTTTCTTTTTAATTCTGTCAGTCACAGCAACTGAAAATAAAGGGATATATATATATATATATATATATATATATATATATATATATATTACACACACATACACACATATATATGTGTGTAATGTAATACAGACAGGAAAGACCATTACCAGGAAACAGAACAATAGTTCTCTTTTCTCTTGTGGCTTTTTGCATTACATTATCAGTTAAACATTCTAAAGATATTTCAAGAAAAAAAAAAAACCCTGTCTTTGATATTTGATCTGAGATGTTTGAAAAGAAAATCTGAAACATTATCATTTACAAATCCAGACACTGACAACATAAACATATAAAGATGAAGTTGCCATGATAACGAATTAGGTATTCATATGTTTCACTGACAAAAATCCATTGTTCTATGGTTTTGCAACTAGTAAGTTTATGTCCCAAGTTCATGATATACCAGTATATCTGTTCTTAACATAAGACAATGAATAACTTTGTAACAGGGTCCAGAAATAATTAGCCACTCCAGAGAGTGTTGTGGAATTTGAAAACCGAGATGCCATGTATTTTCTCTGACACTATTTTCTGAATAGTCCAAATAAAAACTTGGAGGAAAGTTCAAAGCCCAAAATAAATCTGTCTCACGAAAAGATAGCTTGAGAAGTTCTGCATACTCTTCTGGATGCAGAAAAGAGCTACTGTGAGAAACACCTCACTCTTCATAAGTCAAGATGAAAACTGAGGATAATGTCATGCTACCAGAATAACAATAGTTACCACTTAACATATGCCAGGCACTTTTTATCTACTGTTTCCTTTAATCCCTCTACTTCCTTATAACGTATTACCACCCCTATTTTATAGACAAGGAAACTGAAGTTCAGAGAGATTTCGTGATTTGCTCATAGACCTAGGACTGGATCATACACTTAGATCATGGTATGTCTGAACTCTGGACTTAGATCTATCTAGCTCCAGAGTCTACAATTCTATTTTACTATATGGCAGTTGTCCTCAACCTTTAGTGCCTGTCACAATCATCTGTAATCTTTATTAAAATACAGATGCATGAGTTGCATTCCCATAGATCCTAAGCCAGCAGGTCTGAGAGGGGGCTCAAACATCTGAAACAGTTCAGGTACTTCTGATGTATATCAAAGGAAGAGAACTTGTATTTATTACTAGACTGGAAAAACAAAAATGGCAATCTAGAATAAGTTTATCATTTTGTAATTACTTGTTTTTCAGCAAATTTACCATTCTTATTACATATTTTGTAGGCATCCATTAAATCATCCCATTTTCTAATACATGATATCCCTAAACAAATAAGGGGGGTGGAGTAGTATAAGTAACACAGAGGCACATTGACTATAGTAGGAAGATCAAACAGGGGCTGATGGTTTTCTACCCATAATATGAAAATGAACAACATACAGACAGGAAAAGTAGAAGTAAGAGCAATATTGCTCTAATATATTAATATAGCACATACTTAGGATTAGACCAAGAAGAATAAAACCAAATAAATATACAGAAAACAACAATTTAGAAGAGTTCTGGGCTTAATCTTCAGAAGTTTACAATTTATAGAAATGAGATTTAAACACTTTAGATACAACCATCTCCAAAATGTTTTATGCTGTTTTGCTGCAGAGAATAAATAAGAAAAAAGTCCTATGATTTAATAATTTTTCTAGTAAATATATTTTTCTCTTAAGAAAATGAGGCTGGGCACAGTTGCTCATGCCTGTAATCCCAGCACTATGGGAGGCTAAGGCAAGAGGATAACTTGATCCCAGGAGTTCAAGACCTTCCTGGACAATATAGCAAGGCTCCAGGTCAACTAAAAAAAAAAAATTAGCCTGGTATGGTGGTGCTCACCTATAGTTTCAGCTACTTGGGAGGCTACTCAAGAGAATCACTTGAGCCCAGGGGTTCAAGGTTGCAGTGAGGTATGATCACATCACTGCGCTCCAGCCTGGGAGATACAGTGAGACACTGTCTCAAAAAAGAAAAAAGAAAAGAAGCTAATATTCTACATATATATTTTATCTATTCATAAATATTTGTTGGACACTTACAACATATAAGGTATTTTACTACTTTTTTATTATTTCTATTTTTTATTTATTATTATTATTATACTATAAGTTTTAGGGTACATGTGCACAACGTGCAGGTTTGTTACATATGTTTACATGTGCCATGTTGGTGTGCTGCACCCATTAACTCATCATTTAGTTACTTCTAATCTTTTACCAGTTGCATTATAATACCACGATTCTCATGTTCTAACATTTATGAACATGTACTTTCGAGTGGGCTCACAAAAATTATAGGGTGGCTAGCAGGCCTGTTCTGGGTCCCTATGGGTCATCAAAGATATGAGTTGACAATAAAATCAAGTTAGATAATTTGCTTTGGCCTGGAACTTGTGCAGAGCTTCTGATGCAGGACTTCATTTAATAAAGTTTGACCTGCAAGGGCCCTTAATGTTGCCTGGTCCACAGTCCTCATCAAACAGATGAAGATATTAAGGTGTAAAGAGAGAGAACAACTGGATTAAAATATCACACCTTTGCCCAGAACTTGCTGCTCTTTCACAGTCTAGCACAAACCCTGAGAGGATGGGTAGGTCCCAGGCAGGGCCCAATTATGACTTTTATGGGCTTTTGATACTTGTCTTTTTGGTGCTTTCCCCATTAAAAAAATTAAAAACTATACTTTATGACTACTTTGGTATGAAGACAAATATATTAATGTTATATATTAAAATACTTTGTTCAACAGTAAAAGGTATTTTCCTTCTAATTTTAAAAGACATTAAGTATTTTCATGTGCCCCTAAAAGTATTGAGGACTCTAGGTTCTAATGGGATAAGCTAGCCCTGGTTTCAGGTCCTTCATTTGACAGTCTGAACAGCATTACTCTCCTCTAGAAGACTTAGTTCTGCCATAGGGGACTCTTTATGTGGCTTCTCTATGACTCAGGATGTATTGGCCCTAGAAAGTTTGGCCTTTTATTATCAGGCTACTCCAGAGGTTCTCATTCCAGCAGCCAGTCAGGACCTACTTCCCCATTCTGAACCAGGCAGTCCCCTAGAAAACCATTCCAAGAGACTGTGGAGTACTCAACAGAGATCAGGTACCAAGTCCCTGGGAAAGAAAACAATCTCCAGGGCCTCAAATAAGATATACCTTTCTTAAGGCCTTTCTACTACATTTGAAAAAAACATGAGGCAGAGCACTTCATTGAAGTTTAGCACCTTTCACAATGTGGCTAGTAATAACCTGCAGAGACATCCTTACTCTAAGAACACAATGAAGATTTTCTGCACTAGGTATGATTTTGTTTCCAATACATTCAACTGTGTGAAAGGCTGTATCATTCATAAAATGGCAAGCAGGGAACAAATAACAAATTTCCTCTATTTACCCAATTTCAGAAAACTGCCATCTTAAAGCAGAATTTATTATTCTCATGGCACTCATCATTCTTATGGGTTTTACTTTAGGGTCCCCATGCATGAGGCTCAGCTCAAGTCCTCTCCTCTCCAGTAAATCAACATTAATAACTTCTCTCATGACCAGAGGTATCTGATTCCTGACCATTTTTGTTACATGCATTCCTCTTCTTTAGCTGTTTCTTTCTTTTCTTTCTTTTTTTTTTTTTTTGAGATGTAGTTTCGCTCTTTTTGCCCAGGCCAGAGTGCAATGGCACAATCTCGGCTCAAAGCAACCTCTCCCTCCCGGATTCAATCTATTCTCCTGCCTCAGCCTCCTGAGTAACTGGGATTACAGGCGTCCACCACCATGCCCAGCTAATTTTGTATTTTTAGTAGAGACGGGGTTTCACCATGTTGGTCAGGCTGGTCTCACACTCTCAACCTCAGGTGATCCGCCGGCCTTGGCCTCCCAAAGTGCTGGGATTACAGGTGTGAGCCACGACACCTGGATTTCTTTAGCTGTTTCTAACCTTTGATTCAACAAATATTATTTTGTGATTAATATGTGCCAGCTATGACATGGTATATACAAAGATTAGTAAAACAAGACACCATTCTCAAAGAGATAATTTCAAGTGAGGGGGAGAATAATATAAAATATACCAATATTTAAGACAGGGAAAACATTATAAATGCTATTATAAAATACTTATTGGGTGAAGGAAGTGTCTGGAAAGACATCATGCAAGTGACAGCATTTGAGATAAGTCTTTTTTTTTTTTGACACGGAGTCTTGATCTGTTGCCCAGGCTGGAGTGCAGTGGTGCGATCTCAGCTCAATGCAACCTCCACCACAGCTGTTCAAGTGATTCTCCTGCCTCAGCCTCCCAAGTAGCTGGGATTACAGGTGTGCACCACCATACCAGGCTAATTTTTGTATTTTTAGTAGAGACAGGGTTTCACCATGTTGGCCAGGCTGGTCTCGAACTCCTGACTCAAGTGATCCACCCGCCTTGGCCTCTCAAAGTGCTGGGATTACAGGCATGAGCCACTGTGCCCAGCCTGAGGGGAGTCTTAATGAGGACAGATTACTCAGAATTGGAAAGAAGGTGGAAGAGAAACAGCACAGAAGAGACACAGAAACAATGAGTGGGATCTATTTATCAAACAACAAGAAGTGAGCTGGGCACAGTGGCTCATACCTGTAATCCCACCAATTTGGAAAGCAAGGTGGGATGACTGCTAAAGGCCAGGAGTTTGAGACCAGCCTGGGCAACACAATGAGATTCTGTCTCACTGTGGCGGGAGGATCACTTGAGTCCAGCAGTTTGAGGTTACAGTGGACTATGATTGTACCACTACACTCCAGCCTAGGAGACAGAGTGAGACCCTGTCTCAAACAAGACAAAACAAAACAAAAAACCAAACCAACCACAAAAACCCAGTAAGAAGCATAATTTGGTTTATAGCATGTAGTACTAGTATGAAGAAGTAAAAACCAAAAATTAGGGGATAATATACACATCTAAAAGGAAAAAAAAAGATCTGAGACTTTATTGTGTTTAGTTTGTATTCTCTATAGGACCAGCCCAGTGTTGGGTGTAATATATAATATTTGATGACTGATTTAAGCTGTCATAAAAAGCATCAACAATGTATACAATAATCCAAAGGCATCTAATAATCACAGTAAATAAACAGTGATATGAGGTACTTGAAAAAAAGGCCCCCACCAAATTCATAATAAAACAGCTACAGTTAATTGAGAATAGATGTGGGGGAAACCATTCTAACCTTTCTTGCAATATAAATTCAGTAGTTAAAAAAAGTATAATAGGCTCCACTAATTTCATGATGTTTCTTCAGTGAAGCTCAGAAATAAATGCTACATATAAGTGGGTTTCAATAAAAAAGGAATCTCTACTGGTTTAACCTACTCTGTCCACTTTTCATCAAGTCTTTCAAGACAGGTGCAAATTGAATTTAATAAGAAAATTGCAATAGCTTTGCAAGCAAAGGGAAGTAGCTAAAATTAGACAAAAGTTTTACTGAGAACAAGTTGCACTTGCAGAATTAGGTATAACTCAGGTAATTAAAGATAACATCTTCCCTTTGGTTAACTGCCCAAATGAAACTGAAAGATCAGAATTTTCTTGTAAGTAAAAAAAAGTTTTAGAGTATAATTTTCTTTTCAGATATGGTCAAAAACTTCAAATTTGAAAAATAAATATAGATTCAAACCTCCAGAAATAAATGACAGGTTAAATATTTGAGTAATTAATTGCATATGAAATTGTAACATATGGAGGTAGAATGCAACAGCTGTTCATCTAATAATATATTTTAAAAGCTAAATTTATATGAGAATAATTGTTACACTCATTTCCTCCAAGCAGTAGTCTATTCACTACTGAAGTCTTGATAATCAGTATCTTCCTACACACTCATACAAATTCATTTTCTTAAAAGTACTTCTGACTATGTTTAAATAGATATACAGTGAAATTTGAAAAACAAAACAAAACAAAACACAGGTATTACTTTAATACTACTATTATGACCCAAAGCAATTGTGAAGGTTTCTTCAAGAGTGGCCCACAGCCCACAGGAATCATACTCACCTGAGATGTTTGCTTAAAATGTAGAGGCTTACTCCAACAATTCTTGGATCTCACTGAGATACAAAATCATTGCCCTTATCATTTTAATCAGTATTCTCACTTCGCTCTTTACCCATATTAAATTCCATGAACAATCATCATGTTTTCCATTTTGCAAACACTCTCTTGACTCTCCTTCCCTGTCTTTACTAGTAAAATGCCAACCCAACCATGAGCTTACACTAAGCCTGCTTCTGAGCAGATGAACAGTGTCAGGAAACACACACACACACACACACACACTGTGCCAACTGTGCTCACTTAAAATTTATTATCACAAATCTCAAATGGGGATTTAACACTGTCAGATACAGAATCCAATCACTTCTTTCTATATATTTACCTTTCCATTTTGAGATAAGAGTTTCACCAATCTTCTAGTCTTCTCAAATCTCTAACATCCCTTCCCCAGGTCACTCGCTACTTAGCCTCATACTTCAGCGGAAAAATAGATCCAACCAGATGAATTTCATCTCATGTTCCCCAAAATTCTACCAACCTAACTGCATCTACTCTCACACACACTGCCTTTTCTACCTTTACAATGGAAGAAGTGTTAATGTTCTTCTTTAAGGATAACCTTTCTACTTGTGGCCAGGATCTCATCCACTTGTGACTTCTCAAGGAATGTTCTTGAAATACCTTTCTTCTCTCTCTGTTTTGTTTTTAGATGGATTCTTGCTCTTGTCACCCAGGCTGGAGTGCAATGGTGTGATCTCTATTCACTGCAACCTCTGCCTCCTGGGTTCAAGCGATTCTCCTGCCTCAGCCTCCTGAGTAGCTGGGATAACAGGCACCTGCCACCACACCCGGCTAATTTTTTGTATTTTTAGTACAGACGGGGTTTTACATTGTTGGCCAGGCTGGTCTCGGACTCCTAACCTCAAGTGATCCACCTGCCTCGGCCTCCCAAAGTACTGGGATTACAGGCGTGAGCCACCGCACCCGGTCCTTTTTTCTCTTTTGCATCATCAGTTTCTCCATTCCAGATAATTCCCACTAGTGTATGAATGTGCCATAATCCCATTCATCCTAAAAAACAAAATAATTTTCCCTTGTACTCCGGTTTCCCTCTAAGTACCACTGCATTTCTCCATTACCTTCTAAAGCAAAACTACTTAAAAAGAGTGCCCTTCACTTTCTACCTTCCATTTTCTCCTCAATCCACTTAGTTCAGGTTTTTGTTCCCATCAGTTCAACAAAACTCTGCTAATTAAGGTGTCCAAAGACTGTATTTCCCCTAAGACCACTGGCTAATTCTCTGTTCTCACCTTATCAAACCTTTTATTATCATTTCATATAGTTGATTACTCCATTCTTCCTGGAGTATTTCCTTCTCTAGCTTCTGGGTTACCACACTTTTCTGGTTTTCTTTCCAACTCATTGTCCAGTTCCATCTTAGCCTATTTCATTGGCTTCTTCAGTACTAGATTTCTCAGTGTTGGAGTGACCAAAAATATCCCTATCTTCCTTTTCCCATCTTTATCCATTCTCTTGCCCTAAGGGATTTTATCCAATCCTGTGTATATCATCTAATTTATATTCTTATTACTCCCAAATTTTATTTCCAGTCCATTTCTCTATTTTGAACTCTAGTATTTTTTGTATAACCGTCTTCTTGACATCTCCACTTGGATATCACACTTAACAACAGTTCCTTCTTATAATTATTAATTCAGAGTTTTTACCATTCCTTATTACAATTTGAATAAAACATATTTTTCTGAAAACTACCCATTATGTCTAAGCATTCATGTTTATTTTATTAAACCTCTCTTTTTTTTGAAAGACATAGGGTCTCACTTTGTTGCCCAGGCTGAAGTGCAGTGGCATGATCATAGCTCCCTTCTGCTTCAAATTGCTGGGCTCGAGTGATGCTCCCACCTCAGCCTCCCAAGTAGCCATGACTACAGGTGGGTGTCACTGTACCTGGCTAATTTTTAAACTTTTTGTAGAGATGGGATCTTGCCAACTTGCCCTGGCTGGTCTTGAACTCCTAGACTTGAGTGATTCTCCCATCTCAGGCCCCTCAAAGTGTTGAGATTACAGGCATGAGCCACTGTGCCCACACAGCATTCACATTTATTACTGTAAACCTTATGCATAAAAGTTCTTATAATTTTACAAATTTCTGTAGTTTTAGTTATGCTTCCTTTTTAAATTACCAATATCGATTAATATATTTTCTTTCTTTTTCAGACTTGCCAAGATTTATCTATTTTATTTATCTTTTAATGAACACTGCTGTTGGATTTCTGCATTCATCCTTATTAATTTGGTCCTTTATTTTCTTTGAATTATTTTGTCATTCGTTTTAAAAATCTTTAACACAATTGTTTACTTATTTAAGCAAATAATTTAATTTTTATAAAATAAAGCATGCTTCCATGAAAAATGTAAGAAATACATAAAAGCACAAAATAGTAAAAGGAATAAATCAACCAATGTCCCATTACCCAGAAAGAAAAGGTGTTAATATTAGTGGAGTACCATTCCACACATCTCTCTAAGTATACACAGAAATGAATGGATGAACACACAGAATTGGAGAGATACTGAGATTACAGAAAATTTTTTTTTTAATTTAAAAAAAATTTGTGTAAGATCATAGCTCACTGCAGACTTGAATTCCTGGGCTCAAGAGATCCTCCTGCTTCATCCTCCTGAGTAGCTAGGACTACAGGTATGGACCACCATGTCCAGCTAATTAAAAAAAAATATATATATTTTTTTGAGACAGGGTCTTGCTCTGTTGCCCAGGCTGGTCCTGAATTCTTAGCCTCGAGAGATCCAATCCTCCCTTGAGAACTGGATCAAGGGGCGGTTTCCTCCATGCTATTCTCATGATAGTGACTGAGTTCTCATGAGATCTGATGGTTTTATAAGCATCTGGCGTTGCCCTTGCTTGCACTTCCTCTCTCCTGTCACCTTGTGAAGAAGGTGCCTTGCTTCCCCTTCACCTTCCACCATGATTTTAAGTTTCCTGCAGCCTTCCCAGCCATGCAAAACTGTGAGTAAATTAAGCCTCTTTCCTTCATATATTACCCAGTCTCAGGTATTTCCTTCTAACAATGTGAGAACTGGCTAATACAATAAATTGGTACCAAGGTCACAGGGGACTGCTGTAAAGATACCTGAAAATGTGGAAGTGACTTTGGAACTGGGTAACAAGCAGAGGATGGAACAGTTTGGAGGGCTCAGAAGAGGACAGGAAGATGTGGGAAAGTTTGGAACTTCCTAGAGACTTGTTAAATGATTTTGACCAAAATGCTGATAGTGATATGGACAATTAAGTCCAGGCTGAGGTGGTCTCAGATAGAGATAAGGCTTGGGAACTGCAGCAAAGGTGACTCTTGTGCATTACGCCTGTCCTAGAGATCTGTGGAACTTTGAACTTGAGAGAGATGATTTAGGGTATCTGGCAGAAGAAATTTCTAAGCAGCAAACTATCCAAGAAGAAGCAGAGCATAAAGGTTTGGAAAATTTGCAGCCTGAAATGTAATAGGAAAGACAAACCCATTTTCTGGGAATAAGTTCAAGCCAGCTGCAGAAATTTGCATAAGTAATGGGCAGCTGAATGTTAATCACCAAGACAATAGGGAAAATGTCTCCAGGGCACGTCAGACCTTCAAGGCAGCCCCTCTCATCACAGGCCTGGAGGCCTAGGAGGGAAAAATGGTTTTGTGGGCTGGGCCCAAGGTCCCCCCTGCTCTATGCTGTGTTAAGACATGGTGCCCTGCGTCCCAGCTGCTTCAGCTCCAGCATGGCTAAAAAGGGCCAAAGTATAGCCTGAGCCATTGCTTCAGAGGGTGCAAGCCCCAAGCCTTGGTGGCTTCCCTATGGTGTTGAGCCTGTGGGTGCACAGAAGTCAAGAAATGAGGTTTGGGAACCTCTGCCTAGATTTCAGAGGATGTACAGAAACACTCGGATATCCAGGCAGAAGTTTGCTGCAGGGGCAGAGTCCTCATGAAGAACCTCTGCTAGGGCAGTGTGGAAAGGAAACGTGGGGTTGGAGTCTCCACACAGAGTCCCCACTGGGCACTACTTAGTGGAGCTGTGAGAAGAGGGCCACCATCCTCCAGACCCCAGAATGGTAGATCCACTGACAGCTTGCACTGTGCGTCTGGAAGAGCGGCAGACATTCAGTGCCAGCCTGTGAAAGCAGCTGGGACGGGGACTGTACCCTGCAAAGCTGCAGAGGCAGGACTACCCAAGGCCATGGGAGCCCACCTCTTGCATCAGCATGACCTGAATGTGAGACGTGGAATCAAAGGAGATCATTTTGGGACTTTAAGATTTAATAATTGCCCTATCGTTTCCGACTTGCATGAGGCCTATAGTCCCATTGTTTTGGTCAATTTCTCCCACTTGGAATGGGTGTATTTACCCAATTCCTGTTCCCTCCATTGTAACTTGGAAGGAACTAACTTGTTTTTGACTTTACAGGCTCATAGGTGGATGGAACTTGCCTTGTCTCAGATGATACTTTGGAGTCGGGCTTTTGAGTTAATGCTGGAATGAGTTAAGACTGGGGGACTGTTGGAAGGGTAAGATTGTCTTTTGAAATGTGAGGACATGAAATTTGGGAGGGGCCAGGGATGGAATGATATGGTTTGGCTGTGTCCCCACCCAAATCTCATCTTAAACTGTAGTTCCCATAATCCCCAGGTATCATAGGAGGGACCTGGTGGGAAGTGATGGGATCATCGGGGCAGTTTCCCCCATGCTGTTCTAGTGATAGTGAGTGAGGTCTCATGAGATCTGATGGTTTTATAAGGGGGTCTTCTCCTTTCACTTGGCACTTTTCCTTCCTGCTGCCTTGTGAAGAAGGTGCTTTGCTTCCCCTTCGCCTTCTGCCATAATTGTTAAGTTTCTTGAGGTCTTCCCAGCCATGTGGAACCATGAGTCAATTAAATCTCTTTCCTTTATAAATTACTCAGGTGTGAGCTGCTGCACCTGGCTAGAAAATAATTTTTTTTAAAGTGGGCTTATACTATGAATGCAGTTTTTACAATAAGGAGATTTAATTTTACATGAATTAAACAGAAGAAACAAGTAACACTGAAGATATTAGTTACTTTTGGATAAATGTTTCACTAAAAAAGATTGTAAATCCTAAAATATTTCTACAAGATAAAGTACAAAAAGTTATAAAAATGATTAAAAATTTAAATTTCTCTAATATTCTAAGAAATGCATTAAAAACTGTAAATTTCTTCTGAGTAAATTTTGACACCATCCCACAGGTTTTCATATGTAGGGCTCTTGGCATCATACATTTCTAAAATGTTTGTTATTTCCCATTTTTACTTTATTTTATTCCTGCTATTTAAACTTTTTTTTTTTTCAAATATCCAGTTTTACCTTCTGTGGTCTGTGAACATGGCGCCTATAATTTTCTTTTAATATTTGTTTACATTTCCTTGTGTTTTAATATTTGATCAATTTTTGTGACTGTTTCTTGTATACTGAATGTTTATCTCTACATATCAATTACATTAAGCTCATTAACTGCTCATGTTACATAAATATATGTATTTATTTTTTTCTACTTTGTTCTGTCAACTTCTGAAAGATGTGTGCTAAAATCTCCCACTATGATCTTGGTTTTTATCACATTAAAAAAATTATTAGATTTCTTCTCTTTATGTCAAAGCTATATTGCTAAGTGAATTCATATCTATAAAACAATTTACCAAGATGATAATGAAATATCTCTTCGTTTCTTTTAATTGAATGAGTTTTTGCTTTGAATTCTCTTGCTATGCCTACTACTTTTTATTTGCCTGATTAATCTTTTTCTCAACCTTCTAGTCTATGTTTTATGTGCTCCTTGTAAACAGCAAACATTTTTCAAACTGATTTGAGAGGCTACCCTTTAATAAGTGAATGCAACCATTCTACATTGTATTTCTATTTCTCATGTTTTCTTATAGCTTCTGTATTTTCTTTTCCAGCTATATGCTGCCTTTACTGAATTTTCTATGTTCCATTTTTCTTTCTCCCTAATGGTTTTGAACGAAAATATTGTTTCTTTTCGTCTAGTAATTATGCTTATCATGAGTACTGCATGTCTAAAAAATGTCAGTTTTATAATTTGGGCAGGTATTGAACTCTTAAGTACAAAATTATTTTCCCAAAGAATTTTAAAATATACTATCCCACTATCTTTTTGCATCCAGCATTAGTAATTATAGGATTATTGCTGGTTGCTACTCTTTCTGTCTATCCTCAGTGTCTCTCAACTCGCCTTTTTTTTCTTCCTGTTTGTCCTTTCTTTTGAATTGCTAACTTCAAAAAGCTCTAAAGTTTTCTTTTTTGATGAATGCAGTGTCATCCTGCATGTCTCTGAGGACAGTAATTATATTTATTCTAAAACTCTTGTTTTGCTTTCTTTATTAACTCTTATCCCTTGGGCATTAGTTCTTCCATTTATATAGTTTGGTACTCTCCTTCATGATATTAGTTTTCTTCAAATATTTTGTGATTCTGGGTTGTGACCCTATCTTTTTTGGACTTTAGAGATATCCTATTAGTCTGTGATGGCTGTATGTGATTACAGTAGCATGAGTCGGGGGAGAAAGATGTGCCACCGGGTAGTTAAAATGGATAGTTAGTGTTCTAGGGGTTTCCTATCTGTTCTGGATATTGACAGCATTGGGAGTACTCCCTTGGCTTTTAAATCACCCAAATTTCTTGTTTTTGCATGTCAAACACCAAGAAAAAACTGTGAAGGTAGGGAGAGGTAGTTCTACATGTCTCCTTGTCCAGGAGGCTAGACATAAAGAATCCCCAAATAGCCATTCATACCTTTTGCAGTATTCCAGTCCTACACATATTTTAGATTATAGTTCTTATCTGCATTCTAATGCCATTTATCAAGGGCTCTCCATGGTTTTTGGAAGTTTTGCTGTTTCCTATCACAGTTGTATTTAATTGGTACTATATATTCTATAGAGAGGGAGAGGAGGATTATTTTTAGGAATGTGTAGTAGCAAGGAGAGGTTGCAGCATGTTCTCAATGTACCATCTTGTACTGAAGTTTCAAATAGATATGTTTTGGCAGAGATAAATGGACAATATTGTACATACTTTTAAGGGAAAATGTGCTTTTTTACTATACGTTCCCTTCTACTAAAATATGATCTCATAATAGTAAGAAGGGGGTGTTTATCCAGTAGTTTCTAACTCTAGATGCACATTACTCAAATATCAAAGTGTAACCCCAGAAATTCTATTTTAATTGAACAAGGGTAAGAAACACTGGTACAGTAGCAGAAAAACTGCAGGTTAGGGATCAGACTAATTTGAGTTCAATCACCACTTACTAAATTATATGACTTTAGGCAAAAACAACATTTTGAGCCTTAGTTTCTTCAGCTGTAAATTGGGTTTACAAAATTGTGGTGAGGACTAGAGATAATATAAGAAGAGAGACTAGTATCATGCATGGCAAACAGCATATGCTTATTAAATGTTAGCTCTTCTAATGCTATGTATAAGTAAGTAGATGAAAAACATGGCATAAAGGAAGATCAAGTGAAATAGGATGTCCCTTCATACGTCAAAATCTTACAATGACTAAAATTTAATTCCAGATGTCACAGGAGCTGACAATCATTACCAGATTTACAAACTGAGCAAGATTATGGGATTTACAGAGTATTCCTGTCACATATTACATACCTCCTGGGCTCTTTTAACATTCTTCTTTCAATGCATCTTTCAAAGACCACTCTCTAGGAAATCACACAACTGCTCAATTCCACATTTCCAAATTTGAGAGAGTAAAATCTGTCAATAATAATGGCAACCTAATTATATGTTTCTGTTTGTATTTTTTAAAATACTATGACAAATAGATGAGCACTTTTAAGTTGCAGGAAATAAGAATAACTAGAAAGCTGTGGATCCCAGAAATTAAAGAAACTTTAGTGTCTTCCAGGCAGGAAATTATCCAAACCTAATTACAACCAGCTGGAGACAGCTCCATTTTCAGGAATGCTTAGATACTAGCAAAACACAGTGATGCCCATTTGCTGACAAGTAAATGCTCATATCTTTATCATCTGTGTCATTCAGAAACATTCATATGCCACTTGGCAAAACAACTTCTTAATAGGTAATATTCATTGAATTCTTATAAAAGTTTTAATTCATTTCCAAATACAACTATAATACTTCACTATTTCAACATTAGAGAAAAATTATTTTCTCTTGTTTCTTTACAAATGTTTTGTTTGGCTGGGTGTAGTGGCTCACACCTGTAATCCAAGCCCTGTGGGAGGCCAAGGTGGGAGGATCATTTGAGCCCAGGAGTTCAAGACAAGCCTGGGCAACACAGGAAGTCCGTCTCTACAAAAAATAAAAAAAAATGAGCCTGGTGTAGTGGCTTGTGTCTTTAGTCTCAGCTACTTGGGAGGCTGAGGTGGGAGGACCTGCTTGAGCCCTGGAGGTTGAGGGTGCCGTGAGCCTGGGCAATAGAGTGAGACCCTGTCTCAAAAAAAAAAAGCTTATGTTTATAAATTATTAATGATCATATACATTAAACAATATGGCCTCAGTTTTAAAAACTTTATTGTAAAAGTAAATCTACGGGTGTAATCATAGTAAAACTGACAACACCACCTTCATTTAGAGACCTAAACTAAACCTTAAGAGGGCCCAACTCTGGCTGAATTCAATATATATTAACATAGTAAGTCTGACACTAATCCTCAAAAACAAATTCTGTGGCCAATAAGCACATGGAAGAGTATTCAATGTCATTATTCTTCAGTGACATGCAAATTAAAATCTCAATTCTGAACAGTCTATTCCAGAAGAGGAAGATATACTTCCCATTCATTTTATGAGATCTGCTTCACCATGATGCTAAAATCAGGCAAAATGTTTGGTATAATTTGTTTGGCAGAAAAAAAAATTTAAAAGAGGCAAAACAGTACTAAAAAAATCAATAAAAACTATACACCAATATCTCTCATAAACACAAACATCTCAACAAAATGTTCCTGTTGTATGTAAAAAGCATAATGCATCACAACCAAGTGCGGTTCATCCTGGAATATACAGAAAGTCCAAAATTTTTTTTAAAAATCCATAAATGTAAACTACTATATTAACAGCTCAAAAAATAAAATCCATATGATCATATCAATTGATACGGAAAATCTGACAAAATCCAACAGCCATTCATAATGAAAACTCTCAGCAAACTGGAAATAGAAGGGAACTTCAACATAATTAAAGGGCACCTACAAAAAAACTACAGCTAATATCGTATTTAATAGTGAGACTGACTGCTTCCTCCTGAAAAGGGTGCAAGACAAGAATGCCTATACTACCATCATTCCTGTTCCACGTATCCTGAAAGTTTTAGTGCAATAGACAAGAAAAAGAAGTAAAAGGCATATATATTGGAAAGGAAAAAATAAAACTGTACCTATTTGCATATGACATGACTATGTATGTGAAAAATCCCAAGGAATCTACAAAAAACTTCTTAGAATTAATACGTATTTTAAGATTGCAGGATACATGGTCAACATAGAAAAATCAATTGTATTTCTATATACAAGCAATGTACTAATAGAAACCAAAATTAAAAAAAAATAACTTTCAGATCAGCTCCAAATAAAAAAAAAATTTAAATAAATCCTTGGGTATAAATCTAAGAAAGCCAAGTATAGGAGGGGTATGCTGAGAACCATAAAATGCTAATAAAAGAAATCAAAGACCAAAATAAATGGAGAGATAGACTATGTTCATCAACTGGAAGACCCAACATAGTAAAGATGTCAATTTTCTTCAAACTAATCCGTAGATTTAATACAATTCCAATCAAACTCCCGCTTTTTTTCACTGAATAATATATAACAAATATTTTTCCACATCAATATTTTTCTATAATATTTCAAATAGCTATACACTCAATTTCTGGATTTATCCTAACATTAATTAACCATTCTTTTGTACTTGATGTTGAATTCTAGTATTTACAGTATGTTCCATATTTCTCTATTATAAACAGGGTTTAGTAAATATTCTCCTAATTCAGTATTTGCACACATCTTTATTTCCTTAAGGTAAATTGTTAGAAGTACATTTTTTGGATCAAACAGTATGCACATAAATACATATATATTTATGCATGTGTGTGTACATATATATTTTAAAGTTTTGATAATACATGTTGTTAAAATGCCCTCTAGAAAGGTCTTTCACCTTTTAAATTTTGACTTAAAACTTAACTCCTCTGAAAAGCCTTCTCCAATTAGCCTTTTCCCACCAATCTCTATTTGGTCTCATTAAATTACTGTATCATTTATTGCACTATTTAAACAATTACTGCTTTAATAAGACATTAAGCCTCTAGGCTATCTGCTCAAAGTGCATGTCTTTGAGGAAATGTAACAGGAGAAAATACACAGGATGATAAACTGATGCGCTATGAAATCGCTAACAAAGGTGGCATGAAAGGATAAAGTATTAGAGTTAAGAGGGTATCACTTTTTTTTCCACAAAAGGGGTCTATTCTAATTGTTTTTAGATTTTCCTATTTTTAGTTTGTGTGCCCATTAAAAGGCAGTAGTTGCAGGTATGGTTTGCATTTTCTGTCTTATCCTTGGAATCAGTTACTGAAAAAAGTTCAAGCTATGGAAAATTTTGTCAAATTCTCCATATCCTCAAAATCCATGTATGCTTTCTCTAGAATTCTATCATGCCTCACTTATAACACATGAAATTGAAGTCAACTGATGTCTTCCAACAGGAAAGTATAACAATCATTCAGAAACACTGCCTATTGTGCCTTACTCTACTTATGAAATGAAATCACATATATTAAATAAGAAACTATCAAACTATGCATATTCAGCATTTGACATCACTCACAATTAGCCTGTACCAATTAACTAGGCCCAACATTGTGAATATGTTTCAATTAAGAAAAATTAATTACCCCTGTTAATTATGAAAGTCACAATGGGATTGTGCTGCTATCTTTCAGGAATTATTTGCTGAGAAATGCTTTCCCTAGTTTATTTCTGTGCTTCCAGTATATGATTTTAAAACATGGCAGCCAGTGTATTGCTAGATTCTTGCAAATATTAAGCAAATATACTAAAGCAGGAGCATATTTTACATAACCATATGTGTCAGACTAAATTTGAGCCAAGAACAAGAATGAATGCAACTCATATCTGATTTATATTTGACAAATACAGAGATATCATAAGCTCCTGTTTTGAATGCCTACATGTTGTTTCCATGGCAACTGCATAAACATTTTCCTCATAAAACACAGCCATCTTCATTCTTTACATCCGATTATTTATTTCTTTCCACTTTCAGGAAAAAGCCTAATTTATTTCCCAGGAAAAATCGATCAATGATTTTCTTAATCAGTAGGATTTGAACAGTAGGTGGCACAGTTATTTTTATGGAAAAACAATTTCCACCAACGCTCTTGCTATGTGATAGAAGGCCGAGGGAAAATAAAAGTAGTTCTTGCTTTAAGGAAAGTGTGACTACAAGCTACAATGAATAATCCTTCAAAGAGGGATGAGAATGTGTATTAGAAACCCACAGATGGGCCAGGTGTGGTGGCTTACGCCTGTAATCCCAGCACTTTGGGAGGCTGAGGTGGGCAGATCACCTGGGGTCGGGAGTACTAGACCAGCCTGACCAACATGCAGAAACTCATCTCTATTAAAAATACAAAATTAGCCGGGAGTGGTGGCACATGTCTGTAATCCCTGCTACTCGGGAGGCTGAGGCAGGAGAATCTCTTGAACTTGAGAGGGGGAGGTTGCGGTGAGCTGAGATCGCGCCATTGCGCTCCAGCCTGGGCAACAGAAGTGAAACTCTTTCTCAAAATAAAAAAAAAAAAAAGAAAAAGAAACCCACAGATGGTTGGCAAAAGTGATCACATTCAACTCCTACTTCTCTTTTCCACATCTGTGGAATATGATGAAGACTCCTTTATGAAAAAAATTATCTTTCATTCCTACAGAGTTTGGTAGTCTTAAAAAAAATACCTTTGCTGTGTGATAGAGACTGTATAGAATGGCTAGCAACTACAGGCAAGAGAAAGACTAGCCCACTTTAAGTAGATCAAATGACAGCAAAAGGAGGATAAAAGGAAACCACATCAGGTTGTTTCACTTTATCTATTATTTGAGACTGAGGTAATTATCACAGATTTCAGTGGCAGCAGATGGAAGAGATCCCATATTGGAGTTTAGCTATCAAATTAACAACAATTTCTCAAAGTCCTCAAAGGGACAGTGGATCTATTAACATTTTTCAGTGCTCAGAATACTCCAGCCTTTACTTCCCTTCTGCACTTGGAGCTCATTGGGCTAGCTAGGGAAGCCAATAGGGATGAATATAGGTATTTACTGCCCTCTCCTCTGGGCTCTCCTGGTCCAACTATAATAGCATTTATCAGTGTTTTGTTATTACTTATATATGATTTCCTCAAGGGACTTTTCTTTTTCTTTTTTTTTTTGAGACAGACTCTTGCTCTGTCACCCAGGCTGGACTGCAGTGGCACAATCTCGGCTCGCTGCAGCCTCCACCTCCTGGGTCCAAGCAATTCTCATGCCTCAGCCTCCCAAGTAGCTGGAACTAAAGGCATGCACCACCATGCCCAGCTAATTTTTGTATTTTTAGTAGAGATGGGGTTTCACCACATTGGGCAGGCTGGTCTCAAAACTCCTGACCTCAAGTGATCCACCTGCCTCAGCCTCAGGTGTGAGCCACCATACTTGGCCTCAAAGGACCTTTATAACACCCTCCCAATCTAACAAAATGTTATGTGAATTGTAAGGTGCTGAATAAGCTAGTGGAATAAAAGAATATTTATTCATAATGTATACACATTTTCTACAATACATAATGCCTCTCAGTCAAAACACTGAACTGTTCCAATAATTCCCCCTACCACTTCAATGTTTCAATTCTCTTCACAGTCTTATTTCTTCCCCTACTTCTACAAAGTGAATCTCTTAATAATCTACTCTTTTTCATTTATTTCCAAGGCCTACGTCAAGGTATAGGCCAAGTATCTTTCGTATGTTTTTGTTTTCGGTCTTAAATGGATGCCTATTACCTGGGCATGGTGGCACATGCCTGCCATCCCAGCTACTTTGGAGGCTGAGGTGGGAGGATCACCTGAGCCCAAGAAGTCAAGGTTGCAGTGAGCCATGATCATGCCACTATACTCTAGCCTAGGCAACAGAGCAAGACTCTGTCTCAAATAATTGAAAAAAAAAAAAGGATGTCTAACTCTTCTTGTACCATTTCTTGAAAAAACTAATCTTTTTGGCCAGGCATGGTGCCTGTAATCTGAGCACTTTGGGAGGCCAAGGCAGGCGGATTGCCTGAGGTCAGGAGTTCAAGACTATCCTGGCCAACATGATGAAACCCTGTCTCTACTAAAAATACAAAAATTAGCCGGGCGTGGTGGCACACACCTGTAGTCCCAGCTACTTGGGAGGCTGAGGCAAGAGAATCACTTGAACCCAGGAGGCAGAGGCTGCAGTGAGCCAAGATTTTACCACTGCACTCCAGCCTGGCCTGGGAAACCGAGTGAGACTCCGTCTCAAAAAAAAAAGTAAAAAGAAAAAACTCATCTTTTTTCATAGATTACCTCTGCATCTTTGTTAAAAATCAATTGAACATATGTGTGTATCTATTTCTGGACTATTTATTCTGTTTTACAGATCTATTTACCCTTTTAACGACAATATACTGCTCAAGTACTGCAGTTTGATTAGTAAGTCTTGAATCAGGTAGTGTGAGTCGTCCCACTTTGTTTCTATTCAGAATTGTTTTTGGCTTTCTAGTTCCTTTACCTTTCCAAAAAAATTTTAGAATCAGCCTGTCGACTCCTATAAAAAAATACCTGCTAGACTTTTTTTTTTTTTTGAGAAAGAGTCTCACTCTGTCGCCAGGCTGGAGTGCAGTGGTGTGATCTCGGCTCACTGCAACCTCCGCCTCCAGGGTTCAAGCAATTATCCTGCCTCAGCCTCTCGAGTAGCTGGGACTACAGGCGCGTGCCACCATTCCCAGCTAATTTTTGTATTTTTAGTAGAGACAAGGTTTCATTATGTTGGCCAGAATGGTCTTGATCTCTTGACCTCATGATCCGCCTGCCTCGGCCTCCCAAAGTGCTGGGATTACAGGCGTGAGCCACTGTGCCTGGCCCCTGCTGGACTTTTGATAGGGATTTTATTCAATCTATAGAACAATTTGAGAGAGCTGACATCTTAATATTGACTAAGCATGGTGGCTCATGCCTGTAATCCCAGCTACTCAGGACGCTGAGGTAGGAGGATCACTTGAGCCCAGGAGGTTGAGGCTACAGTGAGCGGTCTGGACCTCCAGCCTGGGTGGCGGAGTAAGACTTTGTCACAAACCAAAAAACAACTCCAATATTGACTCTTCCAATAGTTGAGCACAATATCTCTTTACTGGGATTTTCTTTGATTATTTTCATGAGTGCTTTGTAGATTATCAGCACAGATGTTGCACATTTAAAAAAATTTACACCTATGTTTTTGTGTTTCATGGTGCTATTATAAATGCTATTGTAAATTTTATAATTTCAATGTCCAATTATTAATTGTGTATAGAAGGACCAGGCATGGTGGCTCACGCCTGCAATCCCAGCACTTTGGGAGGCCGAGGTGGGCGGATCACGAGGTCAGGAGTTCAAGACCAGTCTGGCCAACATAGTGAAGCCTGTCTATACTAAAAATAAAAAAAATTAGCTAAGCATGGTGGTGGGTGCCTGCAATCCTAGCTACTCAAGAGGCTGAGGTTCGAGAATCGTTTGAACTTGGGAGGCAGAGGTTGCAGTGAGCCGAGATCGTGCCAGTGAACTCCAGCCTGGGTGACAGTGTGAGACTCCGTCTCAAAAAAATATAGTGTATAGAAATATGATAGATTTTTATATAATTATTTTGAATCCTGTGACTTTACTAATTCACCACTTATCATTAGTTCTAGTACACTTTTTGGTAGATTCTCTGGGATTTTGTGCATAGAAAATGATTTCATTTGCAAATACTGAGAGCTTACTTCTTCCTCTTCAATCTGCATTCCTTTGATTTCTTTCATTTTTCTTTTTTTGCTTAACTGAACTTGCTATGACTACCTTGTCTTGTTCTCAATTTTAGGAAGAAAGCATTCACTTTTTCACCATTAAGTGTTACATCAGCTCTATGATAGTTATCTTTGCCCTTTACTAGGCTGAGGAAATTCCTTCAATTCCTAGTTTGCTGAGATTATTTATTATGAATTAATGCAGTATCTAACCACTGAGTAATTATATGGGTCATATGGGGTTTTTAATTTTTTTTTTCTCTTTTTTCTTTTCTTTTCTTTTTTTTTTTTTTTTTTTTTGAGACAGAGTCTCACTCTGTCGCCCAGGCTGGAGTGCAATGGCACAACCTCCACCTCCTGGGTTCGAGAGATTCTTGGGCCTCAACATGCCCCAGAGTAGCTGGGATTACAGGTGTGTGCCACCGCACCTGGCTAATTTTTTTATTTGTTTTTTCAGTAGAGACAGGATTTCACCACTTTGGCCAGGCTGGTCTGTCTCAAACTCCTAACCTGAAGTGATCTGCCTGTCTTAGCCTCCCATTCATTTAATTTATTGATATGGTGAATTGCATTGATTCATTCTGAAGATTAAAACAACCTTGAATTTTTGGGATAAAACCTACTTTCATAATGCATTATCCTTTTTACATATTGCTGGTTTTGATTTGCCAATATTTTCTTGAAGATTTTTTTGTCTATGCCTGTAGTTTTCTTTCTTGTAATCTATTTGACTTGTTTTGATATCACAATACTACTAATTTTATAAAATGAGTTGGGAAGTGTTAAATCTTCTTTTATTTCCTGGCATAATTTGTGCAGAACTGATATTATTAAATATTTCCTTGGTAGTATTAATTTTGTTTTTTTTTGGTAGAGATGGGGTCCTTGCTATGCTGCCCAGGCTGGTCTCAAACTCTTGGCCTCAAGTGATCCTCTCACTTTGGCTTCTCATAGTGCTGGGATTACAGGTGTGAACCACTGCACCTGGCCAATCTATTATTTTCTCAAGTGAGCTTTGGTAGTTGAGATGAGGTTGTGGAGTCAGACAAGCTTAGCTGTACCACTAAATAGTCATTTGATACTGGACAATTAACTTTGAGAATGATATCCTCATATATAAAATGGAAATATTAATAACAAGAGCTATGTCAAACAGATTTGTAAGGTTTAAAGATAATCCGTATTCCGTTGAATGAATATTTGTGTCCTCCTCAAAATTCTTATGCTGAAACCTAATCCCCAATGTGTTGTCATTTTGAGGTGGAGCCTTTGGCAGGTGATTATATCCTGAGGACAGAGACCTCATGCATGGGACTAGTAAGAATCCTTATAAAGGAGACTCCAGAGAGCTCACTTGCCCCTTCTGCCATGTGAGGACACAGTGAAAAGACACCATCTATGAACCAGAAAGCAGATGCACTCACCAGATACTAAATATGCTGGTACTTTGGGACTCCCCAGCCTTCAGAACCATGAGAAATAAATTTCTGTTGTTTTCAAGCCACCCAGTTTAGGCCCAATGGACTAAGAATATTAAAAGTGAATCTCAATGTTTCATATATAGTAAGCACTCAGTACACATTATTACTACTATATTTTATTTTATTTTATTTTATTTTAATGTTAAGTTATTTTTGAGATGGAGTCTCACTCTGTCACCCAGGATGGAGTGCAGTGGTGCCATCTCGGCTCACCGCAGCCTCTGCCTCCTGGTTCAAGTGATTCTTGTGCCTCAGCTTCCCGAGTCACTGTGCAGATGTGCACCACCACTTTCGGCTAAGTTTTGTATTTTTTTTGGTAGATTCGGGGTTTCACCATGTTGACTAGGCTGGTCTCAAACTCCTGACCTCAGGTGATCCTCCTGCCTCGGCCTCCCAAAGTGTTGGGTTACAGGCGTGAGCCATGGTGCCTGGCCTATTACTACTATTGAAATTTTTTTTTTTTCTGGACAAATTGCACATAGGCTTCCCTATAAAAGGAAAGTTTTCCTAAATGAAGGCATTGTAAATAATGCTTTAAAGACCTATCAAGTGTTATGAGTTTAAGATTGTAGACAGAGACAGATATCAAATTATTCTTTGTCTGTAAGAATATACTCCCCTACCCACAAAGGCCATAATTTTCAGCTAATGAAATAAACTTAGATAAAACTATTTGACTCAATCTTAGCATTACATAGCTAGAATGTTACTCTTTAAATTTTAGCTTCTTTAGTGGCCATGATAGTTCACACCATTAAAAATCTAAATTTCTAGTTGTGCAAATTAGAAATTCTGTGAATTGCACAATTAGAAATCTGATTCTATTCTCTCTTCAAAGTCACGGTAGATTATAAATTTTGGACACAACCAGCTTGGATGGGGCCAGAAAAATATGTAAATGTAGATGGTCTGCTATGTACCTCATGGATGTGTTATATGATTTCTGAACTGGGCTAGGTGGGAGAATCAGTGCAGTTATTTTACAGTATAGAGAGATGAAGTTCTTATCAAATCTGTTTCTTGATAATATTATAATCTTGAAAACAAACTGGTCTTGAACTCCTGACCTCAGGTGATCCACCCACCTCGGCCTCCCAAAGTGCTGGAATTACAGGTGTGAGCCACTACGCCTGGCCCTGAAACAGATATAATTAAATAGGTACACTTAAATCAATAACAGAGAGACAGGGAAATCTGATCACTTTCTATGTATTATCTCACCTGCATAAGTTAACACTTAACACTTTAATTTCTGCAGTGTTTTAAAAGTTCCTTTCTTCAACAAAAAAAATTTTTTTTAAATAGTTGAGAACCAGAAAGAATTTACTGGATATTTTAGAAGGGTGAATGTGGCCACATGTCTACCAGTGACAAGGGCACAAAAAAGCTCCAATAATGCCACAAGTAGAGGTTTAACCCACAATTAGAGATTTTTTTTTAAAGAAATCACTGTTAAGATATATATATACATATATATACATATATATGTATATGTATATATATACATATATATACATATATATGTATATATATACACATATATATGTATATGTATATATATATATATATATTTTTTTTTGACAGAGTTTCACTCCGTCACCCAGGCTGGAGTGCAGTGGCATGATCTTGGCTCACTGTAACCTCTGCTTCCTGGGTTCAAGCAATTCTCCTGCCTCAGCCTCCTGAGTAGCTGGGATTACAGGCATGCGCCACCACACCCGGCTAATTTTTGTGTTTTTTTGTTTGTTTGTTTTTTGTTTTTTGAGATGGAGTCTCGCTCTGCTGCCCAGACTGGAGTGCAGTGGCGCAATCTCAGCTCACTGTAAGCTCCACCTTCTGGGTTCACGCCACTCTCCTGCCTCAGCCTCCCGAGTAGCTGGGACTACAGGTGCCTGCCACCATACCAGGCTAATTTTTTTTTATTTTTAGCAGAGATAGGGTTTCACCATGTTAGCCAGGATGGTCTCCATCTCCTGACCTTGTGATCTGCCTGCCTCAGCCTCCCAAAGTGCTGGGATTACAGGCGTATGCCACTGCACCTGGCCTAATTTTTATATTTTTAATAGAGATGGGGTTTCACCATGTTGGTCAGGCTGGTCTTGAACTCCTGACCTCAAGTGATCCGCCTGCCTTGGCCTCCCAAAGTGCTGGGATTACAGGCCACCGTGCCCCATCCAAGATATTTTTAATCAAGGTTAATGTTAGTACAGGGAAGAATAATTAGAACATTCATTCTTTGGTATATAATTTCTCCTGTCTCATATTTACCAACATGAAACAGGTTCTGCATTCCTTAGAATTATTAGAACTAGAACATGATGCTATTTGATTGACTTTTCATATCTCCTGCATTTCAAAGCAAGAAACTAGTTTCGGTCCATCATACCCATTCACTATCAAGACATAGTGACTCAAGCAAATGATTATCTCTCAAAATCAAATTAGTAGAAATCCAATGATTAAGAGTTATAATTGTTCACTAGGATTTCAAGTAAAAAATTGGAAATATTTGAATCTTTACAAAACATGCATTGAAATAATTCTGGTCTAGGACTAAGAGGATTTAAGAATGATAAAGGATCTTAAGCCTTCATATAATTGCTTTCTACACTACTTGAAATCAAATAGTATTTTCAATTTCACAAGAAGAAAAAATCTTATAATCCTTCAAAATTTCCCTCTCCTTTACTATTTTGGATTCTTGTCCATTTTATAACTCCCAATTCTTTCGAAATGATTTTCAAAAGGTAGAAAGAAAGAAAGGCAAAAGAGTAAATAAAGATTATATTAAAATAAGATCTCTAGAAACTAGATGTCAAGTAAGGAAAATAAAACAAGAAATAAAGTTCAAAAAATAACACCAAAAAATCCTTTGCATACTGAATAGGAACTACTACCTATGTTGCTTGATTATTTCTATGAAACGAAAAAATAATTGTTGAAGGATGTGAGGTAGGAGGCGGGACTTTACTCCAGAGGTGGGGCTCAGACACTGGACCAGATACAGGACTAGCTAAAATGGGGATGTCAGGGGGGACAGCAGCCTTCAATCATGCCATGTGAATGTACTGTTGCCATGGCAACACCCAGAAGTTACCGCCTCTTTCCATGGTAATGACTCAGTGATTACTACCCTTTCCCTAGAAATTTCTGCATAAATCATCCCTTAATCTGCATGCAGTTAAAGGAAGGTATAAATATGACTGCAAAACTGTCCTGAGCTGCTACTGTCTGCCTACAAAGTACCCCTGCTCTGCAGGAGCAGTCAAAGAGCTGTGATACCACTGGAGCTGTAACACTGCCTGTTCAGTAAAGCTGTTTTCTTCTACCTCTGGCTTGCCCTTTAATTCTTGCCTTCGCAAAGCCAAGATCCCTCATGGGCTAAGCTCTGCTTTAGGGCTCACCTGCCCTGCATCAGATGGACTTATAAATATACTAGTATTTTCCATATTCTTTCTCAAATAATCTTACATTTCTAAATTAAGTTTATAACTAGGGGAAAAAATTCTTTTGAGCAAACATTAAGGACCAAAGCCTGGTTATGCTAAATAAGTTATAAAATGTTCAGCTTTATCTATAGTTTGGCATTTAAGTTAAACATTTAAACTTAAAAAGAAATTCTTTCCAGTCATCTAAAATTCTTGGTGGAAATGTAACATGTTAGGAGAATTCTGCTTACTATTTAAATCTGAAGCACTTCATTCATTCTGGTGACAAAGGTGGTTTTAGCAGCTAGCAAAACATTCCTTCCAAATTTCAAGGTGCTTTGGGTCTTTCCAAGATGAATGTCCTTTCTTCCTTGCCTCTCATTCCTTAATTTCTGAAGATAGCAATGTTTACTGCAAGAGAAAAAAAATAGAGCAAAACTGGAGAGTAATATAATTTCAAATATATTGGACATCTTTTCTTAGATATTCCTAATATCACCCTCACTCAACAGTTATAATTCATCTAATTCATTTAAGGAATATCTTTTCTACTTAGGTGGAGACACGCATAGAACCTCACACACTCAAGACCTCCCCATGGCATACCAAAGAACCAGTAACTTACAAGAACCGAAAGAGCACCGATGCACTTGAGATTTTCTAAGTCTTCATTTGATTGTTTTTGTAGAGACTTATTCTACTGGAAGTATATGAATACTAACTCAATGACAAGTCATTAAACTCGAACTTTATAAAAATATGATTCTAAGGGCCACAATGTCCAACTTCAGTATAAAGACCTCTCTAAAATATTGAAAGCAGGTATCTCCAAATGTAAATATTTCACTAGCCACTTTGCAGTTTTAGTTTAGGCTCAAGTATGATTTTTAATTTCGTTTTTAAAAATATCACCCAAAATTAAATACATGTCTACCTATTTCTGATTCTTGAGCATCTATCTTATACATGTTCAAAACTGACCCAACCCCTAATTTGTTTCACTGTAACACCAAACACAAGAAAAATAACTGAGTTATTGTATACTATATACAAGAGGATGTATATAGATTATATGCAAACACTACATTTTATATAAAGAACCTGAGCATCTGTGAATTTTGGTATGCGTTGGGGGGGGGGTGGTCCTGGAGCCAATCTCCTGAGGACACATCAAGGATGACTGTAATTCCATTTATTATAATATTCTTTTGCTAGTGTGATCATATATTATACCTCTACATATATTACAAAACCTCATAATGATACCATTCAACTTTTGTTTTAAAAAGTCAGCTTTCTTTTAAAGAAAGTGACAGAGGAAAAACAAAAAGCCATTTGTATTTATCACCTTGGTGGTATTCATTTCTTCCTGTAGAACTGAGTTTCCATCTGATATCACTGCCTTTCAGCTTAGAAACTCTTAGTAGTTCTTATATTGTATGTCTATTAACAATAAATATCTAAGTTTTTAAAATGTGAAATTGTCTTACTTTACCTTCATTTTTGAATGATATTTTCATTGGATATTGCATTGTGACCTAAAGGTTTTGTTTTTTCTTCATCCTTACAACTTTTTACTAATGTCATTCCATAATTTTTTGTCTTCGATTTTTCTGATAAGTCAGCTGTCAGTAATATTATTGCTATCCTGTATTTAATGCTTCTTTTGTTTTCTGGCTATTTTGAAGATTTTCTCTTTATCTTTGAACTTTATTTCTATTTTTTTGAGATAGAGTTTTGCTCTTTTGCCCAGGCTCAAGTGCCACGATATTGGCTCACTGCAACATCCACCCTCTGGGTTGAAGCGATTCTCCTGCCTCAGCCTCCTGAGTAGCTGCGATTACAGGTGCCTGCCACCATAACTTGGCTAATTTTTGTATTTTTAGTAGAGACAGCATTTCACCATGTTGGCCAGGCTGGTCCCAAACTCCTGACCTCAGGTGATCCACCTGCCTTGGCCTCCCAAAGTGCTAGAATTACAGGTGTGAGCCACTGCGCCTGGCCTATCTTTGGACTTTAGTAGTGCGACTATTATATGTCTAGATTTGATTTTCTTTGCATTTATTCTACTTGGAGTTTACTGACCTTCATTCTGTGAGTTATGTTTTTGCCCAATATGGGAAATTTTTAGCACTTATTTCTTAAAAAAAAATTGTTCTATCCCATATTCTCCCTTCCTCTTGGGGATTCCAATATACATAAGTTTGACTGCTTATTATTTCACAGGTCATTCAGGATATGTTCTTTTATAAAAATTTTTTCTCTTTATTCTTATTTTTTATTTTCTAACCAAGTAAGCAGCAATGAGTATTTATTATTTTGTTTGTTTGTTTAAAAGGCAGGGTCTCACTCTGTCATCCAGGCTGGAGTACAGTGGCATGATCACGGCTCACTGCATCCTTGACCTCCTAGGCTCAAGCAATCCTCCTGCCTCAGCCTCTTGAGTAGCTGAGACTACAGTCACACGCCACCATGCTCTGCTAATTTTTACATTTTTTGTAGAAACTGGGTCTCACTACATTGCCTAGGCTAGTCCTGAACTCCTGGGCTCAAGCTATCTTCCCACCACAGCCTTTCAAAGTACTAGAATTACAGGTGTGAGCCACCATGCCCGCTGACATACTTTTATTTATGCATCCTTCTAGTCAACCACATATGAATTATATACTTAAGAACTACTGTGTGAAAGGCAGTGTTCTAAGTAGTAGAGAAACAATAAAAATGCAAGATCTCTGCTCTCACAGAGTTTACGTTTACCTTCTAGTACAGAAACATGGACAAATAATAAACTGATTTCAGAGATCTTCAATGCTCTGAAAAAAATAAAATTGACTGTTACAAAGAGAATGGGAAGGTGAAGATGCTGTTTTAGATAGCATATAAACTAAAACTCTCTGAGGAGATGATGCCAAGTTGAAATTGAATAAAATGAGCCAGACATGTAAAGATTTAGGAGTAGAATTTTCCAGATATAGGGCACACATGTATTAAGATAGGAAGGAGTACCTAATGCTCCTAGAAAAAATGTTTCTAAATTATCAAAACAACGAATTAACAATTTGTGAGAAGATATCTTGAATATCATACCAGTACCATGCCCAAAATTTAAAAATTGGCCTGATTTTAAACCTATTAATTATTTATTCCTGTGTAATAACAACAATGAAATAACAATTATTTAAAATTGTTAACTTATTTTACTAACAATGGAAATTCTGTTTGGGTTCTGACTCTCCATTTATTCCAAGCTTCTGCCGGTACCAATCCTTATTTTTATTTCATATTTGAAAACAAAAGTTCTTCTCTCCCTGCATTAGAAAAGAAAGAAGTTACCTTTCTGTTTTATTTCTTGACAATGTTACAACGTTTTGGGAAAACATCATGAAGACATGCAAACAAGAAAAATATTCCCAAAATATGCGGCCATATGCAACTATGTCACCAACCATTTATGATGCAATAGCAGCACTCACCTAAATTAAACCTAAGCCCTTTCTTCCAGAACATTCATAGTACTGGATTTTGGCTACTGGTAAAGAACAACATCAACTATACACCTTAAGGAGGAAGGAAAGAAAATACACTTATGGTTATAAACCATGAAATGCATAATAATTCTTCTAAACTAGGGACTGAATTAATGTTATGGATATAGCACCAAACAAAATAGTAGGGCATATATTTCAATCCTGCTTCAGATAGATATTAGATAACAAATTCTGAGCATTCTAACAGGGGACTGACCAGTATGCTAAGGCACATCAGGTAGAATAAAGAAAATATGCTTTGAAATGTATTTTGTGTTGTAACTGGGTAATAGGGTCATGTGAAAGACATTATAGACACAGGTAATGCAGAAAAGAAGCTATTGTCTCAAGATTGTGAACTAAGAGGAAAAAAATCCAAGATCTTGTAGGTGGGGATAGCATGAAGTTAAATATAAGGTGAAGGGACTTTCTGTTCATGAGTACCCAGACAACTTCATCCAAAAATGACTAAATTCAGGATAAAGAACTATGTACTAATTTGGGAACATTAATAAGATAAGCATAATAAAACAAAAATAGGGAGGAAGGAATTAGCCTTGCATGACTGAAAAATATAAAATGTGCAGGCTTGGTAGTAAGATAAATTAGACACTAGCCTCAACTCCCCAACTGGCTGAAGAAACTCAGACACTATAAATGATTTCAAACCTTTGACACTATATAATCTTTCAAAGCCCTACAGGCTAAAATTGGTGTGATCTTATTTACTCTGCTATTTAACTTAATAGTAGCGAATAGTTTCAGGTAAAAAAAAAAAAATCATATAGAATGGAAATACAATGGTCTACTAGGAATCTGATAGCTTACTGAGGAGATTTTTAATCATAAAGTAAGGGTTGTCAAGCCTTTACCCATAGGTCAAATACAACCTGCCACCTGCTTATATATGGTTTGCTAGGTAAAAATAGTTTTTACATTTTTAAAGAGTTGAAAAAAATCAAAAGGAGAATATTTTGAGACATAAAAACTAGATGAAATTCAAATGTCATGGTCCATAAATAAAATTTTATCAGAACATAGCCAGTTCATTTGTTTATATATTGTCTATGGCTAATTTTTTTTAAATTTTATTATTATTATACTTTAATTTTCAGGGTACATGTGCACAATGTGCAGGTTACTTACATATGTATACATGTGCCATGCTGGTGTGCTGCACCCATTAACTCGTCATTTAGCATTAGCTATATCTCCTAATGCTATCCCTCCCACCTCCCCCCACCCCACAACAGTCCCCAGAGTGTGATGTTCCCCTTCCTGTGTCCATGTGTTCTCATTTTTCAATTCCCACCTATGAGTGAGAACATGCGGTGTTTGGTTTTTTGTCCTTGCGATAGTATACTGAGAATGATGATTTCCAATTTCATCCATGTCCCTACAAAGGACATGAACTCCTCATTTTTTATGGCTGCATAGTATTCCATGGTGCATACGTGTCACATTTTCTTAATCCAGTCTATCATTGATGGACATTTGGGTTGGTTCCAAGTCTTTACTATTGTGAACAGTGCCACAATAAACATACGTGTGCATGTGTCTTTATAGCAGCATGATTTATAGTCCTTTGGGTATATACCCAGTAATGGGATGGCTGGGTCAAATGGTATTTCTAGTTCTAGAGCCCTGAGGAATCGCCACACTGACTTCCACAATGGTTGAACTAGTTTACAGTCCCACCAACAGTGTAAAAGTGTTCCTATTTCTCCACATCCTCTCCAGCACCTGTTGTTTCCTGACTTTTTAATGATTGCCATTCTAACTGGTGTGAGATGGTATCTCATTGTGGTTTTGATTTGCATTTCTCTGATGGCCAGTGATGATGAGCATTTTTTCATGTGTCTTTTGGCTGCATAAATGTCTTCTTTTGAGAAGTGTCTGTTCATGTCCTTCGCCCACTTTTTGATGGGGTTGTTTGTTTTTTTCTTGTAAATTTGTTTGAGTTCACTTTAGATTCTGGATATTAGCCCTTTGTCAGATGAGTAGGTTGCAAAAATTCTCTCCCATTTTGTAGGTTGCCTGTTCACTCTGATGGTAGTTTCTTTTGCTGTGCAGAAGCTCTTTAGTTTAACTAGATCCCATTTGTCAATTTTGGCTTTTGTTGCCATTGCTTTTGGTGTTTTAGACATGAAGTCCTTGCCTGTGCCTATGTCCTGAATGGTAAGGCCTAGGTTTTCTTCTAGGGTTTTTATGGTTTCAGGTCTAACGTTTAAGTCTTTAATCCATCTTGAATTGATTTTTGTATAAGGTGTAAGGAAGGGATCCAGTTTCAGCTTTCTACATATAGCTAGCCAGTTTTCCCATCACCATTTATTAAATAGGGAATCCTTTCCCCATTGCTTGTTTTTCTCAGGTTTGTCAAAGATCAGATAGTTGTAGACATGCGGTGTCATTTCTGAGGGCTCTGTTCTGTTCCATTGATCTATATCTCTATTTTGGTAACAGTACCATGCTGTTTTGGTTACTGTAGCCTTGTAGTATAGTTTGAAGTCAGGTGGCGTGATGCCTCCAGCTTTGTTCTTTTGGCTTAGGATTGACTTGGCAATGCGGGCTCTTTTTGGTTTCATATGAACTTTAAAGTAGTTTTTTCCAATTCTGTGAAGAAAGTCATTGGTAGCTTGATGGGGATGGCATTGAATCTATAAATTACCTTGGGCAGTATGGCCTTTTTCATGATATTGATTCTTCCTACCCATGAGCGTGGAATGTTCTTCCATTTGTTGGTATCCTCTTTTATTTCATTGAGCAGTGGTTTGTAGTTCTCCTTGAAGAGGTCCTTCACGTCCCTTGTACGTTGGATTCCTAGGTATTGTATTCTCTTTGAAGCAATTGTGAATGGGAGTTCACTCATGATTTGGCTCTCTGTTTGTCTGTTATTGGTGTATAAGAATGCTTGTGATTTTGTACATTGATTTTGTATCCTGAGACTTTGCTGAAGTTGCTTATCAGCTTTAGGAGATTTTGGGCTGAGACAATGGGGTTTCTAGATATACAATCATGTCATCTGCAAACAGGGACAATTTGACTTCCTCTTTTCCTAATTGAATACCCTTTATTTCCTTCTCCTGCCTGATTGCCCTGGCCAGAACTTCCAACACTATGTTGAATAGGAGTGGTGAGAGAGGGCATCCCTGTCTTGTGCCAGTTTTCAAAGGGAATGTTTCCAGTTTTTGCCCATTCAGTATGATGTTGGCTGTGGGTTTGTCATAGATAGCTCTTATTATTTTGAGATACGTCCCATCAATACCTAATTTATTGAGAGTTTTTAGCATGAAGGGTTGTTGAATTTTGTCAAAGGCCTTTTCTCCATCTATTGAGATAATCATGTGGTTTTTGTCTTTGGTTCTGTTTATATGCTGGATTACATTTATTGATTTGCGTATATTGAACCAGTCTATGGCTGATTTTTTACCGTAAAGGTAGAGTTAAGTAGTTGTTACAGTAACTAAATGCCTACAAAGCCCAAAATATACATTATTTGGCCCTTTACAGATAACACTTACCAAATTTCTAATACAAACTACATTCAAGATGGCTATTTGCTAAAATTTTAGAATTCATATTTTAAATGACTAGATCAAATGGTTTATTTTAGTCCTTACACTCTGGTAATGCCATTCCTTCATATTTCTAATGAATGTTAATAATTTTATATTTAAAATTAGTATCTCATAATAGAGACAATTTTTATATTCTCAAGAAATCAATTTTCCTGATTCATAAAATTTATTAAGTATGATATATCCTTTTCTTCTGATCAGTTTCTGATTTAAAGTTTGTAATGGGCTCTCTGATTTGAAAAATAAATAATAGTTCCCATAGCAGACACAGTTCATTTATAACAATACTGAGAAAAAGTACATCAATGGATAAGTGTTAGGAAACAATTTCTTGGGAGCTTCTGAATTCTGCAAAGGTGTTAGCCTTAAAACCTATTCTACAATAATTCAACTTCTGCTTCTGACCATGAGGGATTAAACAGTTCCAGGATGATCCTCTCACCATAAACAATTAGAATACAGCATAAAATACTGGAAAGGACTATTTTCAGACACAGGCAATGCAGTATTATGATCCCTAAGAAAACAGAAATAAGGGGAGTCCTACCAGCAACTCAGGCTCTCAGCCAGAAAGAAATTTACCACTTCAGTAGAGGGAGGAAGAATTTACACAGAGCCTGGCAATCTTGTTTACTTGGAGAGATAGAAAAAAGTGCAAGGAGGCCAAGAAGGCTAGAATTTATGGAGCAGAATTCCAGAGAAGAGGGAGACAGCTAAAGTAATCTGAATAAGGGTTCTCCTGAGCATTTAGCTAGATAAAAACGTTACATTAAGAAGGGTAAAATTTTTTTTGAGACCAGAGAAAAACATCTAAGGAAAAAATGTTACCAGATAGTTGCAATACAAAGATTCTCAGAGCTGACATAGGACCAAGAATTCAACAAGCTCCCTTCCGCAAGAAGAGAGAAACCCAAATATACAAAGCAATCAGCAGGGTCCCCAGAAGGGACAAATCACTGAGTGAGGGGCCCTAGAATAAAGGCCACTCTAGATATGCCTGAAAGGAATGTTTAAGCCTAGAACTGAACAAACTAATCTGTACTTAACAAAAATGCTTTTCAGGAAGAAGTCCAACATTCTTTAAAGATATAAAACAAGATTAAGGACTCAAATATTTAAATTCATAAATATTTATCATTTAATAAAAAAATTACTGAACACAGTAAGAATCAGGGAAATGTGGCCCATAACCAGAAAAATATCAATCAATAGAAAGAAACCCAGAAATGATAGAAATGATAGAAATGGCAGGCAAAGACATTAAAAGGGCTGTAATAACTATGCTCTATATTCAAAGACATAAATGAAAAAAGCAATATAATGGTGACAGAAATAGAGGATTTTCAAAAAGAACCAAAAAATAACTTCTAGAGATAAAATATATAGAGACAAATGAATATTTCACTAGACAGATAAGCAGTAGTTCATACACAGAAGAAAAAAAGGTGGAGCCAAGATGGCCGAATAGGAACAGCTCTAGTCTACAGCTCCCAGCGTGAGCGACACAGAAGATGTATGATTTCTGCATTTCCAACTGAGCTTTGAAGAGAGTAGTGGTTCTCCCAGCACGCAGCTTGAGATCTGAGAACGGACAGACTGCCTCGTCAAGTGGCTCCCTGACGCCCAAGTAGCCTAACTGGGAGGCACCCCCCAGTAGAGGCAGACTGACACCTCACATGGCCGGGTACTCCTCTGAGACAAACCTTCCAGAGGAATGATCAGGCAGCAACATTTGCTGTTCACCAATATCTGCTGTTGTGCAGCCTCCGCTGCTGATACCCAGGCAAACAGCATCTGGAGAGGACCCCCAGCAAACTCCAACAGACCTGCAGCTGAGGGTCCTGACTGTTAGAAGGAAAACTAATAAACAGAAAGGACATCCACACCAAAACCCCATCTGTATGTCACCATCATCAAAGACCAAAGGTAGATAAAACCACAAAGATGGGGAAAAAACAGAGCAGAAACACTGAAAATTCTAAAAATCAGAGCGCCTCTCCTCCTCCAAAGGAATGCAGCTCCTCACCAGCAATGGAACAAAGCCGGATGGAGAATGACTTTGATGAGTTGAGAGAAGAAGGCTTCAGACGATCAAACTACTCCAAGCTAAAGGAGGAAGTTCGAACCCATGGCAAAGAAGTTAAAAACCTTGAAACAAGATTAGACGAATGGCTAACTAGAATAACCAATGCAGAGAAGTCCTTAAAGGAGCTGATGGAGCTGAAAACCACGGCACGAGAACTATGTGATGAATGCACGAGCCTCAGCAGCCGATTCGATCAACTGGAAGAAAGGGTATCAGTGATGGAAGATCAAATGAATGAAATGCGAGTTTAGAAAAAAAGAATAAAAAAAAAGAACAAAGCCTCCAACAAATATAGGACTATGTGAACAGACCAAATCTATATCTGATTGGTGTACCTGAAAGTGACGGGGAGAATGGAACCAACTTGGAAAACACTCTGCAGGATATTATCCAGGAGAACTTCCCCAATCTAGCAAGGCAGGCCAACATTCAGATTCGGGAAATACAGAGAACGTCATAAAGATACTCCTCCAGAAGAGCAACTCTAAGACACATAATTGTCAGATTCACCAAAGTTGAAATGAAGGAAAAAATGTTAAGGGCAGCCAGAGAGAAAGGTCGGGTTACCCACAAAGGGAAGCCCATCAGACTAACAGCTGATCTCTTGGCAGAAACTCTACAAGCCAGAAGAGAGTGGGGGCCAATATTCAACATTCTTAAAGAAAAGAATTTTCAACCCACAATTTCATATCCAGCCAAACTAAGCTTCATAAGTGAAGGAGAAATAAAATACTTTACAGACAAGCAAATGCTGAGAGATTTTGTCACTACCAGGCCTGCCCTAAAAGAACTCCTGAAGGAAGCACTAAACATGGAAAGGAACAACCAGTTCCAGCCACTGCAAAAACATGTCAAACTGTAAAGACCATCGATGCTAGGAAGAAATTGCATCAACTAACGAGCAAAATAACCAGCTAACATCATAATGACAGGATCAAATTCACACATAACAATATTAACTTTAAATGTAAATGGGCTAAATGCTCCAATTAGAAGACACAGACTGGCAAATTGGATAAAGAGTCAAGACCCATCAGTGTGCTGTATTCAGGAAACCCATCTCACATGCAGAGACACACGTAGGCTCAAAATAAAGGGATGGAGGAAGATCTACTAAGCAAATGGAAAACAAAAAAGGCAGGGGTTGCAATCCTAGTCTCTGATAAAACAGACTTTAAACCAATAAAGATCAAAAGAGACAAAGAGGGCCATTACATAATGGTAAAGGGATCAATTGAACAAGAAGAGCTAACTATCCTAAATATATATGCACCCAATACAGGAGCACCCAGATTCATAAAGCAAGTCCTTAGAGACCTACAAAGAGACTCCCACACAATAATAATGGGACACTTTAACACCCCACAGACAACATTAGACAGACCAACGAGACAGAAAGTTAACAAGGATACGCAGGAATTGAACTCAGCTCTGCACCAAGCAGACCTAATAGACATCTACAGAACTCTCCACCCCAAATCAACAGAATATACATTTTTTTCAGCACCACACCACACCTATTCCAAAATTGACCACATAGTTGGAAGTAAAGCAGTCCTCAGCAAATGTAAAAGAACAGAAATTATAACAAACTGTCTCTCAGGCCACAGTACAATCAAACTAGAACTCAGGATTAAGAAACTCACTCAAAACCACTCAGCTACATGGAAACTGAACAACCTGCTCCTGAATGACTACTGGGTACATAATGAAATGAAGGCAGAAATAAAGATGTTCTTTGAAACCAATGAGAACAAAGACACAACATACCAGAATCTCTGGGACACATTCAAAGCAGTGCGTAGAGGGAAATTTATAGCACTAAATGCCCACAAGAGAAACCAAGAAAGATCTAAAATTGACACCATAACATCACAATTAAAAGAACTAGAGAAGCAAGAGGAAACACATTCAAAAGCTAGTAGAAGGCAAGAAATAACTAAGATCAGAGCAGAACTGAAGGAAATAGACACATAAAAAACACTTCAAAAAAATCAATGAATCCAGGAGCTGGTTTTTTGAAAAGATCAACAAAATTGATAGACCGCTAGCTAGACTAATAAAGAAGAAAAGAGAGAAGAATCAAATAGACGTAATAAAAAATGATAAACGGGATATCACCACCGATCCCACAGAAATACAAACTACCATCAGAGAATACTATAAACACCTCTACACAAATAAACTAGAAAATCTAGAATAAATGGATAAATTCCTCGACACCTACACCCTCCCAAGACTAAACCAGGAAGAAGCTGAATCTCTGAATAGACCAATAACAGGCTCTGAAATTGAGGCAATAATTAATAGCTTACTAACCAAAAAAAGGCCAGGACCAGATGGATTCACAGCCGAATTCTACTAAAGGTACAAGGAGGAGCTGGTACCATTCCTTCTGAAACTATTCCAATCAATAGAAAAAGAGGGAATCCTCCCTAACTCATTTTATGAGGCCAGCATCATCCTGATACCAAAGCCTGGCAGAGACACAACAACAAAAAAAAGAATTTTAGACCAATATCCCTGATGAACATCGATGCAAAAATCCTCAATAAAATACTAGCAAACCGAATCCAGCAGCACATCCAAAAGCTTATCTACCATGATCAAGTGGGCTTCAACCTGGGATGCAAGGCTGGTTCAACATACGCAAATCAATAAACATAATCCAGCATATAAACAGAACCAACGACAAAAACCACGATTATCTCAATAGATGCAGAAAAGGCCTTTGACAAAATTCAACAACCCTTCATGCTAAAAACTCTCAATAAATTAGGTATTGATGGGACGTATCTCAAAATAATAAGAGCTATCTGTGACAAACCCACAGCCAACATCATACTGAATGGGCAAAAACTGGAAGCATTCCCTTTGAAAACTGGCACAAGACAGGGATGCCCTCTCTCACCACTCCTATTCAACATAGTGTTGGAAGTTCTGGCCAGGGCAATCAGGCAGGAGAAGGAAATAAAGGGTATTCAATTAGGAAAAGAGGAAGTCAAATTGTCCCTGTTTGCAGATGACATGATTGTATATCTAGAAAACCCCATTGTCTCAGCCCAAAATCTCCTAAAGCTGATAAGCAACTTCAGCAAAGTCTCAGGATACAAAATCAATGTATAAAATCACAAGCATTCTTATACACCAATAACAGACAAACAGAGAGCCAAATCATGAGTGAACTCCCATTCACAATTGCTTCAAAGAGAATACAATACCTAGGAATCCAATTTACAAGGGACGTGAAGGACCTCTTCAAGGAGAACTACAAACCACTGCTCAATGAAATAAAAGAGGATACCAACAAATGGAAGAACATTCCACGCTCATGGGTAGGAAGAATCAATATCGTGAAAATGGCCATACTGCCCAAGGTAATTTATAGATTCAATGCCATCCCCATCAAGCTACCAATGACTTTCTTCACAGAATTGGAAAAAACTACTTTAAAGTTCATATGAAACCAAAAAAGAGCCCGCATCGCCAAGTCAATCCTAAGCCAAAAGAACAAAGCTGGAGGCATCACACTACCTGACTTCAAACTATACTACAAGGCTACAGTAACCAAAACAGCATGGTACTGGTACCAAAACAGAGATATAGATCAATGGAACAGAACAGAGCCCTCAGAAATAACACTGCATATCTGCAACTATCTAATCTTTGACAAACCTGAGAAAAACAAGCAATGGGGAAAGGATTCCCTATTTAATAAATGGTGCTGGGAAAACTGTCTAGCCATATGTAGAAAGCTGAAACTGGATCCCTTCCTTACACCTTACACAAAAATCAATTCAAGATGGATTAAAGACTTAAACGTTAGACCTAAAACCATAAAAACCCTAGAAGAAAACCCAGGCATTACCATTCAGGACATAGGCATGGGCAAGGACTTCATGTCTAAAACACCAAAAGCAATGGCAACAAAAGCCAAAATTGACAAATGGGATCTAATTAAACTAAAGAGCTTCTGCACAGCAAAAGAAACTACCAACAAAGTGAATAGACAACCCACAAAATGGGAGAAAATTTTCGCAACCTACTCATCTGACAAAGGGCTAATATCCAGAATCTAAAGTGAACTCAAACAAATTTACAAGAAAAAAACAAACAACCCCATCAAAAAGTGGGCGAAGGACATGAACAGACACTTCTCAAAAGAAGACATTTATGCAGACAAAAGACACATGAAAAAATGCTCACCATCACTGGCCATCAGAGAAATGCAAATCCAAACTGCAATGAGATACCATCTCACACCAGTTAGAATGGCGATCATTAAAAAGTCAGGAAACAACAGGTGCTGGAGAGGATGTGGAGAAATAGGAACACTTTTACACTGTTGGTGGGACTGTAAACTAGTTCAACCATTGTGGAAGTCAGTGTGGCGATTCCTCAGGGCTCTAGAACTAGAAATACCATTTGACCCAGCCATCCCATTACTGGGTATATACCCAAAGGACTATAAATCATGCTGCTATAAAGACACATGCACACGTATGTTTATTGTGGCACTATTCACAATAGCAAAGACTTGGAACCAACCCAAATGTCCAACAATGATAGACTGGATTAAGAAAATGTGGCACGTATACACCATGGAATACTATGCAGCCATAAAAAATGAGGAGTTCATGTCCTTTGTAGGGACATGGATGAAATTGGAAATCATCATTCTCAGTAAACTATCACAAGAAAAACCAAACACCGCATATTCTCACTCATAGGTGGGAACTGAACAATGAGAACACATGGACACAGGAAGGGGAACATCACACTCTGGGGACTGTTGTGGGGTGGGGAGAGGGGGGAGGGATAGCATTTGGAGATATACCTAACGCTAGATGACAAGTTAGTGGGTGCAGCGCACCAGCATGTCACATGTATACATATGTAACTAACCTGCACATTGTGCACATGTACCCTAAAAGTTAAAGTATAATAATAAAAAAAAATAAAAATAAAATACAATAAAATTTAAAAACTAATCAAAGAACCAAATAATTTTACTCCTAGGTATTTACTCCACAGAGTGGGTATCATCAGAGGCCTAGTACGAAGCTGAAACTCCCAACTCGGCCCAGAACAGGCGCCTCCTGCCAAGTGTCACTGGAGGATGATTAGGACCCTGAACTTACTCCTCTACCTGACAGTAATGAGGCAACATCCTTTCCCCCTGCCAGGATACTATTTAAAGAGACCTGCCAAAACAGAAGACTTAAATGAAATGCAAAATCTCATGACATAATGTCCAAAATGTCTAGGTTTTGATTGAAAACCATTTGCCATATCAAGAATCAGGAAAATCATAACTTGAATGAGAAAAGACAATCAATGGATACCAACACCAAGATAACAGACATAAGAATTATTTTACAAGGGAGGAAAAATGGTAGATAGAAGGCAGGACTAACTTCAGCTCCCAGTTGGATGGTTACAGCAGCATGTAGAGACCCACATCACGAACTTCTGCTCCAACAACTACCACAAGAACATACCAGGAAAGCCGAGATAATCCACAGACCCTTTGAAGGAGCTGGATTGCTGCTGTAGGCTCTGTGGGACAGCCAAGGAACTCTGAGTCAGCTTGTTTTCTCAGTGGGGAGGCTTGTAGCCTGGGGCAAGTTCTCAGCCCTCCTCACTGGTTGCCTGGAAATCAGCTCTGTGTTGTTGGTGGGGGTGGGGGCAGGGGCACAGTGGGAGTGGGACCAGCCTTTTGGGCAGTGGGATGCATGGGAGCTGTGTGAGGACTCTGGCTGCCGGCATTCTCCACTTCCCTGGCAACCTGTGTGATGCAGCAGAGGCAGCCATAATCTTCCTGGGAACATAACTGGGAACATAATCTTCCTGGGAACGTAATTGCATTGGCCTGGGAAACACACCCCCATCCCCTACAGCAGCCACATCCCTGCCCAAGGAGAGTCTGAGCTCAGACACACCTAACCCTGTCCACATCTGATGGTCCTGCTGGTAGCTGAAGACGAAGGATATAGCCTCTTGAGAGGTCTATGGTCCCAACCTTCTCCTCATCCTCCCTATACTACCACAGCTATTATGCTCTTGAAAGCACCACCTCCTATCTGAAGGCCAATCAACACAAAACCAGCTTGTGTAACAAAAATACAACCAGGAACCCTCATAGTATCCACTTCATGCCCCTGCTACCTCCACCAGAGCAGGTGTTGGTATCCATGGCTGAGAGACCTGAAGACAGATCACATCATAAGACTCTTTGCAGATACTCCCCTGTACTAGCCCAGAGCCTAACAGCTCTGCTGGGTGGCTAGATCCAGAACAGAAATAACAATCACTGCAGTTTGGCTCTCAGAAATTCCCATCCCTATGGGAAAGGGAAGAGCACCACATGAAGGGAGCAACCCGTGGGACAAAAGAATCTGAACAGCAGCCTTTGAGTCTCAGATCTTCCCTTTGATATAGTATACCCGAATAAGAAGGAACCAGAAAAACAATTCTGATAATAGACAAAACAAGGTTCTTTAACACCCCCAAAAAATCACACTAACTCACCAGCAATGGATCCGAACCAGGAAAAAAAATCTCTGAATTGCCAGAAAAAGAATTCACAAAGTCGACTATTAAGCCAATAGAGGAGGCATCAGAGAAAGGTGAAGTCCAAGAAATAAAAAAAAATGATATAGGATATGAATGGAAAAATCTCCAGTGTAATAGATAGCATAAATAAAAACTAATCACAACTTCTGGAAATGAAGGGCACACTTAGAGAATTGCAAAATGCAATGGAATGCCTCAGAAATAGAACTGAACAAGTAGAAGAAAGAATATCAAGTTTGCAGACAAGGCTTTCGAATTAACCCAATCTGATAAAGACAAAGAAGAAAAAAGAATTTTTAAAAAATGAACAAGCCAGACACAGTGGCTCACGCCTATAAGCCCAGCACTTTGGGAGGCCGAGGTGGGCAGATCACTTGATGTCAGGAGTTTGAGACCAGCCTGGCCAAGATGGTGAAACCCCATCTCTCCTAAAATACACAAATTAGCTGGGTGTGGTGGTGTGTGCCTGTAATCCCAGCTACGCAGAAGGCTGAGGTAGGAGAATCACTTGAACCTGGGAGGCAGAGGACGCAGTGAGCTGAGATCACACCACTGCATTTCAGTCTGGATGACAGAGCGAGATTCCATCTCAAAAAAAAAAAAAGAACAAAGCTTCCAAGAAGTTTGAGATTATGTTAAATGACCAAATTTAAGAATAATTGGTGTTTCTGGGGAAGAAGAGAAATCTAAAAGTTTGGAAAACATATTTGAGAGAATAATTGAGGAAAACTTTCTTGGCCTTGCTAGGGATCTAGACATCCAAATACAAAAAGCTCAAAGAACTCCTGGGAAATTCATCGCAAAAACATCACCACCTAGGCACATAGTCATCAGGTTATCTAAAATCAAGATGAAGGAAAGAATCTTAACAGCTGTGAGGCAAAAGTATCAGGTAACCTATAAAGAAAAACCTATCAGATTAACACAGATTTCGCAGCAGAAACCCTACAAGCTAGAAGGGACTGCAATCCTATCTTTAGCCTCCTTAAACAAAATAATTATCAGCCAAGAATTTTGTATGCAACAAAACTAGGCTTCATAAATGAAGAAAAGATATGGTATTTTTCAGACAAACAAATGCTGAAAGAATTCGCCACTACCAAGCCAGCACTACGAGCACCGCTAAAAGGAGCTCTAAATCTTGAAACAAATCCTCCAAATACACCCAAATCGAATATCCTTAAAGCATAAATCTCACAGGACCTATAAAACAACAACACAATGAAAAAAAAAAAAGGTATTCAGGCAATATATAGAACGATGAATAGAATAGTACCTCATATCTCAATACTAATGTTGAAAGTAATGGGCCGAAATGCTCCACTTAAAAGACAGAGAATGGCAGAATGGATAAGAATTCAGTAACTAAGTATCTGCTGTCTTCAAGAGACTCACCTGACACATAGGACTCACATAAAGCTAAGGTAACAGGGTGGAAAAAGATACTCCATGCAAATGGGCACCAGAAGCAAGCAGGAGTAGCTATTCTTATATCAGACAAAACAAACTTTAAATCAACAGCTGTTAAAAACGACAAAGAGAGATACTACATAATGATAAAAGGTCTAATACAACAGGAAAGTATCACAATCCTACATACATATGCACCTAACACTGGAGCTCCCAATTTATAAAACAATTACTACTAGACCTAAGAAATTAGATAGGCAACAACAAAATAATAGTGGGGGACTTCAATACTTCACTGACAGCACTAGACAGGTAATCAAGACAAAAAGTCAACAAAGAAACAATGGGCTTAATAGACATTTACATAACATTCTACCCAACAACTGCAGAATATACATTCTATTCAACACATGGAACATTCTCCAAGACAGACCATATGACAGGCCACAAACTCTCAACAAATTTAAGAAAATCGAAATTATACAAAGCACTCTATTAGACCACAGTGGAATAAAATTGGAAATCAACTCCATCTACACACTGCTTTAAATGTGTCCCAGAGATTCTGGTATGTTGTACCTTTGTTCTCACTGGTTTCAAAGAACATCTTTATTTCTGCCTTCATTTTGTTATGTACCCAGTAGTCATTCAGGAGCAGGCTGTTCAGTTTCCATGTAGTTGAGCGGTTTTGAGTGAGTTTCTTAATCCTGAGTTCTAGTTTGATTGCACTGTGGTCTGAGAGATAGTTTGTTATAATTTCTGTTCTTTTGAGGAGTGCTTTACTTCCAACTATGTGGTCAATTTTGGAATAAATTAGGTATTGATGGGACATATCTCAAAATAATAAGAGCTATTTATGACAAACCCACAGCCAATATCATACTGAATGGGCACAAACTGGAAGCATTCCCTTTGAAAACTGGCACAAGACAGGGATGCCCTCTCTCACCACTCCTATTCAACACAGTGTTGGAAGTTCTGGCCAGGGCAATCAGGCAGGAGAAGGAAATAAAGGGTATTCAATTAGGAAAAGAGGAAGTCAAATTGTCCCTGTTTGCAGATGACATGATTGTATATCTAGAAAACCCCATCGTCTCAGCCCAAAATCTCCTTAAGCTGATAGCAACTTCAGCAAAGTCTCAGGACACAAAATCAATGTGCAAAAATCATAAGCATTCTTATACACCAATAACAGACAAACAGAGAGCCAAATCATGAGTGAACTCCCATTCACAATTGCTTCAAAGAGAATAAAATACCTAGGAATCCAACTTACAAGGGATGTAAAGGACCTTTTCAAGGAGAACTACAAACCACTGCTCAACGGCTAAGCTCATAGGCTTAGGATTGACTTGGCAATGAGGGCTCTTTTTTGGTTCCATATGAACTTTAAAGTAGTTTTTTCCAATTCTGTGAAGAAAGTCATTGGTAGCTTGATGGGGATGGCACTGAATCTATAAATTACCTTGGGCAGTATGGCCATTTTCACAATATTGATTCTTCCTATTCACAAGCATGGAATGTTCTTCCATTTGTTTGTGTCCTCTTTTATTTCGTTGAGCAGGATGTAGGCATGGGCAAGGACTTCATGTCTAAAATACCAAAAGCAATGGCAACAAAAGCCAAAATTCACAAATGGGATCTAATTAAACTAAAGAGCTTCCGCACGGCAAAAGAAACTACCATCAGAGTGAACAGGCAACCTACAGAATGGGAGAAAATTTTTGCATTCTACTCATCTGACAAAGATTCTGTATCCAGAATCTACAATGAACTCAAACAAATTTACAAGAAAAAAACAAACAACCCCATCAAAAAGTGGGCGAAGGACATGAACAGACACTTCTCAAAAGAAGATATTTATGCAGCCAAAAGACACATGAAAAAATGCCCATCATCACTGGCCATCAGAGAAACGCAAAACTAAACCGCAATGAGATACCATCTCACAGCAGTTAGAATGGCGATCATTAAAAAGTCAGGAAACAACAGGTGCTGGAGAGGATGTGGAGAAATAGGAACACTTTTACACTGTTGGTGGGACTGTAAACTAGTTCAACCATTGTGGAAGTCAGTGTGGCGATTCCTCAGGGATCTAGAATTAGAAATACCGTTTGACCCAGCCATCCATTACTGGGTATATACCCAAAGGATTATAAATCATGCTGCTATAAAGACACATGCATATGTATGCTTATTGTGGCACTATTCACAATAGCAAAGACTTGGTACCAACCCAAATGTCCATCAATGATAGACTGGATTAAGAAAATGTGGCACATATACACCATGGAATACTATGCAGCCATAAAAAAAGGGTGAGTTCATGTCCTTTGTAGGGACATGGATGAAGCTGGAAACCATCATTCTCAGCAAACTATCACAAGGACAAAAAACCAAACACCGCATGTTCTCACTCATAGGTGGCAACTGAACAGTGAGAACACTTGGACACAGGAAGGAGAACATCACACACTGCGGCCTGTTGTGGGGTGGGAGGAGCGGGGAGGGATAGCATTAGGAGACATACCTAATGTAAATGACGAGTTAATGGGTGCAGCACACCAACACGGCACATGTATACATATGTAACAAACCTGCACGTTGTGCACATGTACCCTAGAACTTAAAGTATAATAATAAAAAAAAAGGAAATCAACTCCAAAAGGAACCTTCAAAACCATGCAAATATATGGAAATTAAACAACATGTTCCTGAATGATCACTGAGTCAAAAATGAAATCAAGATGGAAATTAACAGATTATTTGAACTGAACGATAATAGTGACACAACCTATAAAAACCTCTGGGATAAGCAAAGGCAGTGCTAACAGGAAATTCATAGCATTAAATGCCTACATTGTTAAGTCTGAAGGAGCACAGACAATCTAAGGTCACACCTCAAGGAGCTAGAGAAAGAAGAACAAACCAAACCCAAGCCCAACAGAAGAAAACAAGCAACCAAGATCAGAGCAGTACTAAATGAAATTCAAACAAACAAAAAAATACAAAAGATAAATACAACAAAAAGCTGGTTCTTTGAAAAGATAAATAAAATTGATAGACCATTAGTGAGATTAACCAAGAAAGAAGAGAGAAGATCCAAATAAGCTCAATTAGAAACAAAATGGGAGATATAACAGCCAATACCAAAGAAATACAAAATATCATTCAAGGCTACTATGAACACCTCTATGCGCATGAACTAGAAAACTAGAGGAGATGGATAAATTCCTGGGAATATACAACCCTCCTAGATTAAACCAGGAAGAAACAGAAACTCTGAACAGACCAATAACAAGCAACAAGCATGAAATGGTAATTTAAAAGTTACCAACAAAAAAAGTCCAGGACTAGATGGATTCACAGCTGAATTCTATCAGACATTTAAAGAAGAACTGGTTACCAGTCCTATTGACACTACTCCAGAAGATACAGAAAGAAGGAATCCTCCCGAAATCATTCTATGAAGCCGGTATCACCCTAATACCAAAACCAGAAAAGGACATAACCAAAAAAAGAAAACTACAAACCAATATCCCTGATGAACATAGATGCAAAAATCCTTAACAAAATACTAGCTAAACGAATCCAACAGAGATAAAAAAGATAATCCACCATGATCAAGTGGGTTTCATAACAGGGATGCAGGGATGGTTTAACATCTGCAAGTCAATAAATGTGATACACCACAGAAAAAGAATTAAAAACAAAAATCACATGATCATCTCAATAGATTGCACAAAAAGCGTTTGACAAAATCCAGCATCCCTTTATGTATGATTAAAACCCTCAGCAAAATTCGTAAAGAAGGAACATACCTTAAGGTAATAAAAGCCATCTATGACAAGCCCACAGCTAACACTATACTGAATGGGGAAAAGTTGAAAGTATTCCCCCTGAAAACTGGAACAGGACAAGGATGTCCACTTTCACCACTTCTATTCAACATAGTACTGGAAGTCCTAGCCAGAAAAATTAGACAAGAGAAAGAAATAAAGGGCAGCCAAACTGGCAAAGAGGAAGTCAAACTGTCACTGTTTGCTGATGACATAATCATATACCTAGAAAACCCTAAAGACTCATCCAAAAAGCTCCTGAACTAGTAAATGAATTCAGCAAAGTTTCAGGATACAAAATTAATGTATACAAATCAGTAGCCCTGCTACACATCAACAACAACCAAGCTGAGAATCAAATCAAGAACTCAACCCCTTTTATAACAGCTGTTAAAAACAAAAACAAAAACAAAGAACTTAGGAATATACTTAACCAAGAGGTGAAAGTGAAAGACCTCTGCAAGGAAAACTACAAAACACTGCTGAAAGAAATTATAGATGACAAAACAAATAGAAACACATCCCATTTTCATGGATGGGTAGAATCAATATTGTGATAATGACCATACTGCCAAAAGCAATCAACAAATTCAATGCAATTCCCATGAAAATACCACCACCATTCTTCACAGAACTAGAAAAAAAATCCTAAAATTCACATGGAACCAAAAAAGAGCCCACGTAGCCAAAGCAAGACTAAGCAAAAAGAACAAATTTGGAGGCATCACATTACCCAACTTCAAACGATACTATAAGGCCATAGTCACCAAAACAGCATTGTACTGGAATAGAAACAGGCATAGAGACCAATGGAACAGAATAGAGAACCCAGAAATAAAGAGAAATACTTACAGTCAACTGATCTTTGACAAAGCAACAAAAACATAAAGTAGGAAAAGGAAACTATTCAACAAATGGTGCTGGGATAATTGGCAAGCCACATGTAGAAGAATGAAACTGGATCCTCATCTCTCACCTTATACAAAAATCCACTCGAAATGGACCAAAGATTTACATCTGAGACATGAAACCATAAAAATTCTAGAAGATAACATTGGGAAAAGCCTTCTAGACACTGGCTTACGCAAAGACTTCATGACCAGAACCCGAAAGCAAACGCAACAAAAACAAAGATAAATAGATGGAACTTAATTAAACGAAAAAGCTTCTGCACAGCAAAAGAAACAATCAGCAGAGAAACCAGACAACCCACAGAGTGGGAGAAAATCTTTGCAATCTATCCGACAAAGGACTAATATCCAGAATCTACAAGGAACCAAATTAGCAAGAAAAAAAAAATCCCATCAAGTGGGCTAAAGACATGAATAGACAATTTTCAAAAGAAGATATACAAATGGCCAAAAAACATATGAAACAGTGCTCAACATCACTAATGATCAGGGAAATGCAAATCAAAACCACAATGAGATACTACCTTACTCCTGCAACAATAACCATAAAATAAAATAAATCATAATCAAAAATTAAAAAACCAAAAATAAAAAAACTCATAATCAAAAAATAAAAAAACATAGATGTTGGTGTGGATGTCATGAAAAAAGGAACACTTTTACACTGCTGGTGGGAATATAAACTAGTACACCACTATGGAAAACAGTATGGAGATTCCTTAAAGAACTAAAAGCAGATTTACCATTTGATCCAACAATCCCACTCCTGGATATCTATTCAGAGGAAAAAAAAGGTCATTATACAAAAAAGATACTTGCACATGCATGTTTATAGCAGCACAATTCAAAATTGCAAAAATATGGAACCAGCCCAAATATCCATCAATCAATAAGTGGATAGAGAAAATGTGGCGTATATATACCATGGAATACTACTCAGCAATAAAAAGGAATAAAATAATGGCATTTGCAGCAACCTAGATGGAACTGGAGACCATTATTCCAAGTGAAGTAACTCAGGAATGGAAAACCAAACATAGTATGTTCTCACTCATAAGTGGAAGCTAAGCTATGAGGATGCAAAGACATAAGAATGATACAACGAACTTTGAGGACTTGGAGGAATGATAAGAGGGAGGTGAGGGATAAAAGACTACACATTGGGTACAGCGTGTACTTCTAGGGTGATAGGTGCACCAAAATCTCATAAATCACCACTAAAGAACTTATTCATGTAACCAAACACCACCTGTTCCCCCAAAACCTATTGAAATAAGACAAAATTCCAAAAATAAAATAAATATGTACATCTTGGTAACGTACAGTCAATCCTTAAACAACATGGGTTAAATCAAGTGGGTCCACTTATACACAGATTTTAAGAAACAAATGAGGCTGGGCATGGTGGCTCATGCCTATAATCCCAGCACTTTGGGAGGCCGAGGCGGGTGGATCATGAGGTCAGGAGATTGAGACCATCCTGGCTAACACGGTGAAATCCCATCTCTACTAAAAATACAAAAATTAGATGGGTGTGATGGTGCGTGCCTGTAATCCCAGCTACTCAGGAGGCTGAGGCAGGAGAATTGCTTGAACCCGGGAGACGGAGGTTGCAGTCAGCTGAGATTGCAGTGCAGCCTGGGCGACACAGTGAGACTCTGTCTCAAAAAAATAAATAAATAAATAAAATAAAAAAATTTAAAAAAAGGAAAAAAGAAGTAAATGTATTTTTTTAAAGAAAGAAAAAGAATTATCTCACAAGGATTTTAAGGCAGCCACCATTAAAATGCTTCAACAGGCAATTACCAACACGTTGGAAACAAATGAAAAAAACAGAAAGCCTGAGTAAAGAAAGTCTCAGCAAAGAAATACAGAATGTAAATAATGAAATTACAAAACCAAAATTACGATAACTGAAATCAATGTCAGTGGATGGGTTCAATAGCAGAATGGATGTGACAGAAGAAGGAATCAATGTACTAAAAATAAAACAATAGAAATTTGCCAGTCTGAACAATAGGAAGAAAACAAACTAAAAAAACAAACAGAACTTTGGTGACTCGTGAAACTATAATAAAAGATGAATATTCATGTCATCAGAGTCTCAAAAGGAAAGGAGAAAAAGGACAGAAAAATAATTTGAAAAAATATGAACTGAAAAGTTCTCAAAAGACAAAACCTACAGATTCAAGAAGACAAGTAAACCCCAAACAGTGTAAACCCCAAATCAATCCAGGCCAAAACACATCAAAGTCAAACTTCTGAAAACTGAAGACACAGAAAAAATCTTGAAAGCAGCAACAGAAAAACAACATTTTCCCTAGAGGGGAAAAACAGTTTAATGACAGTAAATTTCTCATTAAAAACCACGGAAGCCAGAAGGAACTGGCACGATATCTTTCAGGTGCTAGGAGAAAAGGCTTGTTAACTCAGAGTTCTTTAACCAGCAAAAATATCCTGCAGAAATGAAGAAAAAAATAAAAATATTTATAGAGAAAGGAGAATTTCTCACTAGCAGATCTGCTCTAAAAGAATAAAGAAAATTCTCTAAACAGAAAGGAAATGAAAAAAGATCTCGGATAATCCAGGAATCGTGGATAATGAGGAAGGCAGGATGACAGGAGGAGGAAAAATATGTATAAACACAACAGATTCCTATTCCACTTGAGTTCTCCAAATTATGTTTGACTGTTGAAGCAAAAATTATAATGCTGTATGATATGGTTCAAAATGTATGTAAAGAAAATAAAACCATTAATACACATAAAAATATATATAAACATGCATGTAATATACACATATACATATATTAGAAACATATAAAAATGTTAAGATAATTAAATGGGGGGGACTAAAGGGAGCAAAAGTTTCTATACTTTACTGGAAGTGATAAAATGTAGCATCACCAAGTAGCACTGTAGTACAGCCGACTATGACTTGTTACATACAAAATGTAGTATCTAGAGTGAGGACAAAAAGGCCATATAAAGAGATATACTTTAAAACACTGAATTCTAAAAGGTATTCAAGTAACCTGCAGGAAAGCCAGAAAAACAAACAAACTGTGACACATCCATACCATGGAAAACTAACTATATCAGCAATAAATAGGAATGATTCTTGACATCTCAACTTAGATGGATCTCAAGGGCATTATGCTGAGTAAAAAAAGCCAATCTCAAAGATTTTATACTACATGATTCCATTTATATAACATTCTCAAAATGACAAAATTATAGAGATGGTTACCAAGGGTGAGGGATGGTGAAAGGGAGTGGGTGTGTGTGTGACTATAAAGAGGCAGCACAGGGATATCATTGGGTTAAGGAATTCTGTATCTTGGTTGCAGTGTTGGTTACATGAATCTACACATGTGATAAAATACCAAAGAACGATATACTACTCACTTTACACCAATGTCAATGTACTGGTTTTAATATTGTTCTATAGTTACATAAGATGGAACTAATAGGGGAAACTCGGTGAATGGTACAGTAAATATGGTACTTCTCTGTACTATGTTTTCAAATTCATGTGAATTTATAATTATTTCAAAATAAAAAGTTTAAAAAGTGAATTAATTCTGTGAATTATTTAAGAGCTCACTAATAGGATCACCATACCTGTAAGTAAATATTTTTGTTCTAATAGAAAAAAATTATAGCAACTTTATTCATAACAGATAAAAACTGGAATTAAGAAACCAATCTGAAAAGGCAGCATAGTGTATGATTCCAACTATATGACATTCTGAAAAAGTTAAAACCATGGAGAGAGTAAAAGGTTCAGTGGGTTGCCAGGGGCTGGAGAAGGAAAAGGGATGAATAGGCAGAATGCACAGGATTTTTAGGGCAGTGAAAATACTCTATATGATACTAGAATGGTGGACAGCTGTCATTATGCATTTATCCAAACCCATAGAATGTACAACACCAAGAGTGAACCCTAATGTAAACTATGGGCTTGGGGTGATTATGATGTCTCAATGAAGGTTCATCAATTGTAGCAAATGTACCATTCTGGTGGGGATGTTGATAATAGGGAATGCTATACGCTCGTGGGCACGAGGGTATGTGGGATATCTCTGTATCTTTTTCTCAGTTTTGATGTTGAACCTAAAATTGCTCTAAAAAAATGAAGTCTTTTGAAGAAACACTGGAAACGAAATGTTCATGAACAGGTGATTAAGTACATTGTGATATAGTCATACAATGGAACACTACTCAGCAATTAAAAGAATGAACTACTAATACACACAACATATGAATTTCAAAAAATTAAGCTGAGAGAAAGAAGCTAGATTCAAAAGAGTACATAATAATTCAATTTATAGGAGCAGTGTAAAGAAGAAGCAGGGAGAACGACCCCCAGACTGACCAAAGCCCACATAACGCACCTATGTCCTACCACATCGCCAGCACCATGCCCAAGAGAAAGGCTGAAGGGGATGCTAAAGGAGATAAAGCCAAAGTGAGGGACAAACCACAGAGAAGATCTGCAAGGTTGTCTACTAAACCTGCTCCTCCAAAGCCAGAGACCAAGCCTAAAAAGGTCCCTGCAAAGAACGGAGAGAAGGTACTCAAAGGAGAAATGGGAAAAGCTGACACTGGCAAGGAGGGGAATAAGCCTGCAGAAAATGGAGATGCCAAAACAGACCAGACACAGAAAGGTGAGGGTGCTGGAGATGCCAAGTGAAGCACGTGCATTTTTGATAACTGTGTACTTCTGGTGACTATACAGTTTGAAATACTATTTTTATCAAGTTTTATAAAAATGCAAAATTTTGTGGGTTTTTTTTTTTTTTTTTTGAGACAGAGTCTCACTCTATCGCCCAGGCTGGAGTGCAATGGCATCATCTCTGCTCACTGCAACCTCCGCCTCCTGGGTTCAAGCCATTCTCTAGCCTCAGCCTCCCGAGTAGCTGGGATTAGACACACGCCACCACAACTGGCTAATTTTTGTATTTTTAGTAGAGGTGGGGTTTCACCATGTTGGTCAAGCTGGTCTTGAACTGACCTCAAGTGAACCGGCTGCCTCAGCCTCCCAAGGTGCTCGTGTGTGCGTGTGTGTGTGTGTGTGTGTGTGTGTGTGTGTTTCAAAGCTATGCTGTTAGCACACAGAACACTTACTGTTGTTTTTGGGGGAAGGGGCATATGTCACTAATAGAATGTCTCCAAAGCTGGACTGATGTGGGGAAAATACCTTTCCCTTCTAGCTTTGAGAGACTTCTTCTTGGATCTCAGGAGGAGGGATTCCCTGACTTAGATACACAGGGCCTCCTTGGCACAAAAGCCTGTGGGATGGAAAAACAAATTTGTTTTTATGTTCTTTTCTCCCTTTCCACCTTTCAGCATAGACTTAACTCCCTTTAACCCAGACATCTGCTGGGATCTGACCCCCAATAATTGGTTACCAGTGTGTCAGACAATCTGGATGTTCCAGTGATACCACTGAGATGGAGCCCCTCAAAGGAGCAGTGGTTCCATTTCCAGATTGTGGATCTTCAGATAAATTCTGTCATTTTCATTTCACTTCCTGAGTCAGGATCGGCTCGTGAAAAGTTGTTAAACAACATTCTAAATGTGAAATGTCAACCCTCACTCTAAACTTTCCCTGTTCAGAGCATCACATGAAGACTTCACTGGGTTTATAGTGGCTTTCTGATTTTTGGTAGTTCATTGAAGAAGGGAGTTTGAAAGTTGTTGTATGCTGTTAATGATTTTCTGCCCATGTCCTGCCTGAAATACCATGATTATTTATGGAAGGTATCTTTAATAAAGCTGGATACAGTTTAGCTAGGAAAAAAAATTCCATTTATACAATATTCTGGAACAGGTAAAACTATAGTGATGAAGTACAGATCAGTAATTGTTAGATGTAGGGAGAGATTTTGACCAAAAAGGGAAAGCCAGAAGTTTTCTAGGGTGATGGGACTGTTTGTTTCCTGTTTGTAGTGGTAGTTGTATGGATCCGAACATGTGTTAAAGCTCACAGAACTTATGTTAAGTCAGTTTTGGGCCGGGCATAGTGGCTCATCCCTGTAATCCTAGCACTTTGGGAGGCTGAGGTGGGAGGATCACTTGAGGTCAGGAGTTCGAGGCCAGCCTGGCCAACATGGTGAAATCTCAGTCTCTAGTAAATACACAAAATTAGCTGGGCATGGAGGCAGTCATCTATAATCCCAGCTACTTAGGAGGCTGAGGTACAAGAATCGCTTGAAAACGGGAGGCGGAGGCTGCAGTGAGCTGAGATCATGCCACTGCACTCCAGCCTGGGCAACAGAGTGAGTGAGACTCCATCTCAAAAAAAAGGTCAGTTTTACTGTATGTAAATCTTAAAAATTAACAACAAAATAAAATAATTTCCCATCAGAACTTTTTAAATTCTATCTTCAATTATTTAATAGATACATAAAGTGTATTCTAGTCTTAGTTCTGTTACCACCTATATAACACTTGAGGATGTAGCTTCACACCCTTAGTTTCACTTTGCAAAATGTAAGGGGATAATCAAATGATTTCCTTTTTTTTTTTTTTTGAGCCTTTTCTTATTCTAAAACCTATTCCTATTCCATGTTTCTGTTAAATTTTTATTATTTTAGAATTAACAAGGAACACAAAATATTTTAATGTACTCAAGTTGACTCCACAAACTTCCTTCAGACAGTGTGGGCTGGCTTGCAATATTCTTCTTATTGGTTTTATGTGATCTTTTATGAGCTCTAAACATTTGACCTTACTTAGTAGCTTTGTTTAGATGATTATTAGATAGCACTCTCATCTTTGGAATAATCAGGCTTCTGACTATAAGAGCTGTACAAGATTTCTATTTCCTGGCTGGGCATGGTGGCTCACATCTGTAATCCCAGCACTTTGGGAGGCCGAGGTAGGTGGATCACTTGAGGTCAGGAGTTTCGAGACCAGCCTGGCCAACATGGTGAAACCCCATCTCTACTGAAAATACAAAAATTAGCCAGGTGGGGTGACACCGGTAATCCTAGCTACTCACCTGTAATCCCAGGAGGCTGAGGTCAGAGAATCGCTTGAACCCAGGAAGCAAAGGCTGCAATGAGCCGAGATTCGCCATTGCACTCCAGCCTGGGCAACAGAGCAAGACTCTATCTCAAAAAAAAAGTCTATTTCCTTTATTATATCAGACCATGTCTATATTTGCTGTAAAAAAGTATGTGAACTGCCATTTCTGCCAGCCAAATGATGCCTATTGTTATTAATTTTTATAAGACATGGTATTCATATTGCTGGAGAAAAGAAAGTAAGCCATTGTTACTGAATTCATTCAATATAATCAAAAAAATTTTTTTAACCCTACATAGAAAATCTGGAGTCCCCAAATCTTTTGCAAAGATCTTCATTTCTCCTATAGAAGAGCTGCAGACTAGCAATGTATTATACTACCAAATCTTATATTAAAATGTTCTGTTTATATATAAGAATAAGCAAAGCTATTGAGGAAGTTCATACAATTTAAGAATCAAATTTAATAACTTCCTAGAAAACCCTCATTGCAATTAGCAACTTTTCATTTAAATTTTTTTGGAGATGGGTTTTCATAAAAGAAATAAAAAGACCCAAGAGCAAATTATTATCTCTTTCAACAATACTCTCAATTTTGTACAGGAGAATAATTTTTGAATATTTATGAAAATCATCCAAATTTCTCACATTGAGAATTAAGAAAAATAAACGTGGCATACATAAGCTAATGAAATATTCAATAACTACTTGAATATTTATACTTACTTGGTACTATTTTTCTCCGATAAATTCAAATAACTGGGCAACTCAAAGTGGACTGATCTTACAAATGCAGGCCAACAGATTCTGTAATTCTCCTTTATTACCTATACTTCTATTTTTTAAAACTCTGAATCAACCCATTTAATTCTTTCAAATACAGCATGAAGAAATAAAACGAAGCCCTGAGCTATATCTAATCATTTAATTGCTAAGCAGCAATACACTTACAAAAGAAAAAACCAATCAATATTTCCATATAATTCTATCACCATGTTAAACTTTAAAATAACTTGGTCAAGAAGGAAGCTATAAATCAAATTTATTTCCTGTGTGTTTAGATCACACACCCAAATATACACATACATACATATACACACAAATCAACAGCTCCATATTTCCCTTATTGCCATCCTGAGGTTTACTGAATATGACATCAAAGAGTTCCTCGAATTTCCATACATCTAAGAACTTATCTCATTTTTAGAAAATATCCTGGCACAGAAAGCAGACTACATAGAAATAAATCTACATTAAAACTAAATAATCAATGGCTAGGAAAAACACTTAATTTAATGCTAACGAATTTGTCAACATGACTCATTAAAAAAAATTTACTGTTTCAGCAATTTCTTTATTGAAATAGTTTAAAAAGTTAAAAGGCTTTGTGTATTAAAACCATGCCTTCTGAATCACAAGGCCATCCACGTGTACAAAGGGAATGCTTTAATAAGAATGGGACACCAGCCTGGAAGCCTGGCTTGCTTGCAGTTGACTCTAGATCAGGAATTCTTTAAGCCTAAAGCCAAACAAGAGAAACTCACAAATCACAGGAAAAAGCCCAGTCATCTTGAAAAATTCCAAACCCTCAGTTAAATGTCATAACTTTTTTATGAACACTAAATCACAATGGGCCAATGAGAAACTAACAGTAGTCCTTAAAATGACTACAGTCTGGGTTAGCAAGACACAATCATATTATAATAGGTAAAATTTAATGAAACTGTGTTAGGAGTTTGAAGTTTCCAGGAAACTAGCTCCTGAGTTATCTCAAAACAAAAACCAAAAAATTAATTACTATGAAGGGTCCTCTTCATCTTTTCCTTTAAGGCACCATTAAAAAGTGGCTGTAAAAAAAACCTTTGCATATGTTTTGAAGTCATACATAGAGCTGAGAATTAAAAACTAGCTCTATTCAAGTCTGTATCAAATATCATTTTGAATTCCATGGATCTGTGATGGCATGAAAATGGGTACGCAATAAGAGGTGGAGCTCTGTAGGGCAGGGCATCAGGAAAGAACATCAGCAGCTGGGCAAGAGAATCTTATAATGGACTCTTAAGAAAAACAGACTTCAGAAAGGACATAATACATTTTTCTTCTCTAAAATAAGTCAAATCTCAAAATGTTGCTTTCAAATTTTGTTGTATATCAACTCCATCCTTTGCTGTTTTCCTTATTTGATTAGAACCATCTGGGAGATCCTCCTTTCTTTTATTAGTTCTACAGAAAACATGCAGTTAATCATCTTAAAAAACACTTTTTAATATAGAACAACTGGAGATTGTATTAATGATCAAATTTTCATATCTGCAGAGAAAGCACCATCATACCATGTGGTCTAGAAAGTCAGTTTCTTTTAAAGGAAAGACAATTTAGAAAAAAAAATTGTACAAGAAAAACTGCTCATACCCACATACTAGTTTTAAAATTATTTTCTTTCCAATTAAAAAAATACTAAAAAGTTACACAGTTGTAGCTCTACAACTACAAAGTGGAAATAAAAAAGAAAACCCACTTCAATAAAGGCAATGAAATAATTAATTTTACGTACAGCTTAGCTTCCCATGCTTATTTATTCATTTTCAAAGTATCCTTTTAAATTAACTGAAATTTTCCTTAGCTCACCTACAATTTATGAATACTTTATTATAAAGTATGATTTCTCTTTGCATTAGTCAGGATAACGTATGTGGTTGATAAACACAAGGATATTAAAAGTCAATTATGCTTATTCTTAATCCAGGAATAAATGAAAACCAAAATTAAATCAACTCATAGACCTTATTACTTGCCACTTCCTTACCTCTTTGTTACTGTTATTTATATAGCTGTAGTCATTACTACTTTCATATTAGAAAATGTTTGTTTCTCCTTCTTGGATTTTTTCATAAATCATTGAATTCTCACTTTCTCACAAAATGGTACTTCATTGAAGGATGTAATTAGTCTCACTAAAGCAAGAAAACATGATAAACTTGGTTGAGAGTCACAGAGTCACTTAGTCTAGCCCAGCTATATGACCAATTCAATCTGGTCATGTAAACAATGAAGAGAATGATATTTAACCCACAAGAGTATGGTGATGAGGCTCACATGAGATTAATGTATGTAAAGAGCAAAGAGCTTTGAAATGTTTACAGTGCCATACAAATGCGAAGGTCTCAGTCTCACCATCTTCACATGGCAGGATTCAATGAAGTGATCTCTAAAGACTTATCTCGCAACCAAAAATTCTTAGCTATTCACATGTGAAGCACATTTTAAAAATCTACTGATAGGATAACTGTATTACTGTAAGGGACTTATGGAACAATGAAGTCAATCTTCTCACCTTACAAAATGTATGAAAACAGGTTAAGATACTTGTAGAGCACATGAGTCAGTAGGAAAGCTGGGAATTGAAAGAACCCAGATCTGAGCCCCACCTCAAAGTCCTTTCTATCATATGTTGCTGTTCACTATTCTGTGAATTTAAAATCTCTCTTCACCATAGGATCATGTAACCTAAATTACTTTTTCAAACTGGTTACAATGAAAAGCTTGTTAAGATGGAAATATTATTTTGGTGAGGCGATTTAACTGCTAATAGTTGAATTAAGAATGCTTACAAATGACACTAATAGCAAAAGGAGCTCAGACTAAATTGTCCAGCTATTTGTTTGGTTTGTGTAATATTAAATTTTAAGTCAGCTGGGTGTGGTGGCTCAAGTCTGTAATCCCAGTACTTTGGGAGGCCGAGGTGGGCGGATTACAAGGTCAGGAGATCAAGACCATCCTGGCTAACACGGTGAAACCCCATCTTCTCTACTAAAACACACACACACACACACACACACACACACACACACACACAATTAGCCAGGTGTGGTGGCACGCACCTGTAGACCCAGCTGCTTGGGAGGCTGAGGCAGGAGAATTACTCGAACCCGGAAGGCAGAGGTTGCAGTGAGCCAAGATCACGCCACCGCACTCCAGCCTGGGCGACAGAGTGAGACTCGTCTCAAAAAAAAAAAAAAAAGTAAGTCAATAGACATGGGTTTACAAACCCTATCTAACCTTTCCCAATACACGGTTTTGAATCTGCTTTTGGTACTTACTAGCTATGTGATCTCGGACAATTTGCTTATTTCTTTGTTTTAAAGATTAGTATGTCACCTGGCTGTCGTGAATTAAATAAGTTAGTTCACGTTAAGTCCTTACGATAGTGTCTAGCACATAGTAAGTGCTTATAAACGTTAGTTCCCATCTCTAATCTTCCAAACTTTTGAGGAATAGAGAATACTCTCCCCCTTTTTACTTCATCAGAAAGTAAATGAAATAAATTCCTTAAATGAAAGTAAATTCCTTATATGAAATACATATGTCCTCCACCCTCTACTTCAATAATCAGCAGTTGCACAACAACTAAACCTAAATAAAATAGGGAACATTGTGACATAATGGAAGGCAAATACGGTTTGGAGTCAGCAGATATGAGTCTGAATCCCAACTTAACTCTTTAAGAGCTTCTGACCTCAAGCAATTTACCAAACCTCACAAAACTTTCCATGTTAAAATGAGATTGCTATCTAGCTGTTTATAATTTTGTCTTTCATATTCATAGTTAAGTTGCTAATCATTTGATATCCCCTATGTCATTTTTTTTTATTGCATCTATTTGATTCTTCTCTCTTTTCTTCATTAGTCTGGCTAGCGGTCTATTTTGCTGATCTTTTCAAAAAAACAGCTCCTGCATTCATTGATTTTTTGAAGGGTTTTTCGTGTCTCTGCCTCCTTCAGTTCTGCTCTGATCTTAGTTATTTCTTGTCTTCTGCTAGCTTTTGAATTTGTTTGTTATTGCTTCTCTAGTTCTTTTAATTTCGATGTTAGAGTGTTGATTTTAGATCTTTCCTGCTTTCTCTTGTGGGCATCTAGTGCTATAAATTTCCCTCTATACACTGCTTTAAATGTGTCCCAGAGATTCTGGTATGTTGTATCTTTGTTCTCAAAGACCATTTGGTTTCAAAGAACATCTTTATTTCTGCCTTCATTTCGTTATTTACCCAGTAGTCATTCAGGAGCAGGCTGTTCAGTTTCCATTTGGTTGTGCGGTTTTGAGTGAGTTTCTTAATCCTGAGTTCTAATTTGATTGCACTGTGGTCTCAGAGACTGTTATGATTTCTGTTCTTTTGCATTAGTTGCAAATAGTTTGAAAAGAGCATGTCTTATTCACCTTTATCTCCTCCATACTACTATGGCAAGGTTTAAAATTATTAGATTTTTGCTGAAATAAGACAGGAGATTAATAAAAGAGATTTAAGACCAGAATAAACATGTTACATTATGGAAAGAAAAAGTACAAACCTGGTTTAATTGGCTCCAACTCTGGGCATTATGTTGTTGCTTCCTTTTCTTTCCTTACAAATGGATCTCAAGTATTCTTTTCCTATTAGAAGATGCAAAGTGGGGAAGATATATTAATAAAGGGCATTTGAATCACTCTTTAAAACTGAGCATTCTTTAATTCACCATAAAGCAGAATCAAACTCTTACTTATTCTATTTGATGAACTTATTTTTAAGCTATAAAATCACTAAGAGGTGTTTTAATTGGTTAATACAACAGAAACATTATAGGCTTAAGTAGCCAAAAAGTAAACATATATTATAGTGCATTAAAATAAATTTGTTCCTTACTTCAAAAAATTACTTTCAAAGAATAGCAGTACCTCTGCTAAAGATAACTTCACTATTCAGGGGTTGCATGAAACAGTGTAGTTTATTATAATACATTACACAAAAATACTTCTGGTTCCTACAGTTCTTAACCTTTTGGGTGGAAGGTGAGTGGTGAGTTATATAAAACTTTGATAATCCAAAAGAAGCTATAAATTGCATCTTCATAAAAATGTGTACATATGCATCATATCTTGCATATAATTTTAGTTGAGTCATGAAACCCAGTCATGTACCCTGTAGATCTCTAAAACCTGTTGGCAGACTCTGTTCTTGAGTTTCTAAAAATGAACAGACTTAAGAAAATGAAGAAATAGTGACCCAGAGAGATGAAAAAGATTAAAAGGGCCACACTGTACTCAGGAAGAGAAGGATGTTCAACTACCATATTAATCCACATAAGACTGACCATGCAAAATTTACAGTAAATCAGTGCCTTCGGGTCAGAGTAATTCTTAAAACAAAACCAGAATAGGAGACTTCATGGTGCCTAGCACATAGCAGCTCATGAAATGATACGAATTAAAAAATATTTGTCAAGTAATGAAAATGGATAAAATATAAAAACGCAATTTCCAAGTAAATGAAATGTTTTCCAGCTGACCAAATAAGTGGCAAACTTAAACGTTTATTATCTACTACATAACATTATATAATATCCTACTATTCAAGAATGCTTAAATTGTGATTCAAAAAGGATAAAGTTGTCCTCCTTTTAATAGTAATTAGGCAAAGACATAGAACTTCTTCCTTCCCAGTTTCCTTTTTGGGTTCCTCTTTTTCCCTTTCCTCCTAGGGTTCAGTGTTTTGCCCACTTCACACTCTACTCACATTTTCTGTATTCCTCCAGGACTGGGAGGAACTCAAATGAAAACCCTGAATCCTAACCTTTCACCTGAGCCTCAGACTCCTACATCCAGTTGTTTGTTGGATGTTTCTAACTGAAGGTACTATAGGCAAAAACTCAATATATCCCAAACCGAGCTGTTCATCTTTTCCTAAAATCTGTTCCTTTTTAAAGTCCCTGTCACAGCAGAACAACAGCCCCTTAACTTCTCAAGCTAAAAGTTGGGCAATCATCTCACACTTCACCAGTCATCTTCAATTCTTATTGATTTCTACTTTAAACACTTTCCAAGTCTATTTCCTGAATTCCATCCCTATTAATAGTATCTAAATCCAAGTTATCTCTCAATATGACCAAATCAGTAACCTAACTCATCTCCCCATCTCTAATTTTATCCTACCTCAAATTTATTTACATACTTCTGCCAACATGATTGGTTTAAAATAAAAATTTTGCCACATCAAGCACTATATCAAACCCTCATTATGCCAAACTCTTCAAAGCAACCCAGCACTAACAGAATAAAGTCCTTTATTCAAAGAATAAATGTCCAAGTATGACATATAAAGTCCTCAATGACCAGGCTCATACCTATCTCTTCAACTTTATTTCCTATCTCCCACTTTATTGCACCACTGACATACTGAACTATTTGTCAATCCCATATATTCTCATGCTGTTCTCTTTGCCAGTATATCTTTACCTACCTTCCACACATAGGAAATTCTTACTTATTCAGGTACAAGATCACTTTCTCTGGAAACCCTGACCACAGCATACTTCTCTACACCACCAAGCTCACATATCATTGCAACAAGCACTCAGGAGATATTTAACTGAATATTAATGAAACTACACAAACTAATGACAAAGCAGCATACAATTTATATACATAAAACCAGTGAGAAGGGAAACTAAATGGATTTTAGTAAGTCTTTTTGGAGAAAAGGTCTTAACCTGGTGGATCCAAGGAGTAATTGTTCAGATTGTTGAAGAGAAGAAATAAAAGTATTTCAATGAGGCTGGGCGTGGTGGCTCATGCCTGTAATCCCAGCACTTTGGGAGGCCGAGGCAGGCGGATCACGAAGTCAGGAGATCAAGACCATGGTGAAACCTCATCTCTACTAAAAAGACAAAAATTAGCCGGGTGTGGTGGCGGGCACCTGTAGTCCCAGCTACTCGGGAGACTGAGGCAGGAGAATGGCGTGAAACCAGGAGGCGGAGCTTGCAGTGAGCCGAGATAGTGCCACTGCACTCCAGCATGGGCACAAAGCAAGACTCCGTCTCAAAAAAAAAAAAAAAAAAAGTATTCGAATGAGTAAAACAGAGATGGAAATGAACATTCATAGGAGGCTAAGAAGACATGTATTGCAAGGTTTGGAGGAACAGTAAACAGCAAATATAAATTAACAAATACAGCTATCCCTATAAAGAGCCTTAGATACTATAACCAATAATTCACCAAAGACCTTCAAATATTTTTTTCTGAAACCATATGGCAAAGTTGACATTTAGGTACTATCCTGTACTTTCATTAGAGATATATTAGAGAAATATTTTCATCTTTTAGTCACTTCCCTGCATCCTTATAGGTTTAAGAAGGTATCCCCACTGAATTAGCACTTACTGAAGAACTTTACATAAAATTCTCAAATTATAACACATCTCTATATTGCATAATAGTTTACTGAAATTAGAATAAGGTAACATAAGACTCTATTTCAATTAGGTCAAGGGCTGGTTAATCTTACAAAACAGTCTTCAATACTAGAACATTAGGTTGCTCCAAATAAGTAGGGAAAGTGAAAATATAGTATACTTGATGTTAAATTCACAGAGGATTTCAACTGCAAATACTTTGCTTTCTAAATGCAATATAATTAAAAAGCATCAATCCTTAAACTTAAATACACGACCGGGTGCAGTGCCTCACGCCTGTAATCCCAGCACTTTGGGAGGCCGAGGCTGGCGGATCACCTGTGGTCAGGAGCTCGAGTCCAGCCTAGCCAACATGGTGAAATCCCATCTCTACTAAAAATATAAAAATTAGTGGGGCATGGTGGCACAAGCCTGTAATCCCAGCTACTCAGGAGGCTGAGGCAGAGAGAATTGCTTGAACCCGGGAGGCGAAGGTTACAGTGAGCCGATATCGTGCACTCCAGCCTGGGCGACAGAGCCAGACTCTGTCTCAAAAAGAAAGAAAGAAACCAAAACACCTAAGATAATACACTAGTCATAGTGCAGAAGAATAAATCTATGAGGTATTTCCATGTGAAGAGTGAATACTAAGGTCATCTACCAAAAATAAGGAGAAAAAGATGCTGTTATAATTACTCTTTTTTTTTTGAGACGGAGTCTCATTCTGTTGCCCAAGCTGAAGTGCAGTGGCATGATTCAGCTCACCGCAACCTCTGCCTCCCAGGCTCAAGCGATTCTCCTGCCTCAGCTTCCCGAGTAGCTGGGATTACAGGAGCCTTGCATCACACCCAGCTAATTTTGTTTTGAGACAGAGTCTCACTCTGTTGCCCAGGCTGAAGCGCAGTCCACAATCTTGGCTCACTACAGCCTCCATTTCCCGGGTTCAAGCGATTCTCCTACCTCAACCTCCAGAGTAGCTGGGATTACAGGTGCCCAGCACCATGCCTGGCTAATTTTTGTATTTTTAGTAGAGATGGGGTTTCATCATGTTGGCTGGTCTCAAACTCCTGACCTCAAGTGATCCACCTGTCTTGGCCTCCCAAAGTGTGGGATTACAGGCATGAGCCACTGTGCCTGGCTAATTTTATATTTTTAGTAGAGACAGGGTTTCACCATGTTGGCCAGGCTGGTCTCAAATTCCTGACCTCAAGTGATACACCCGCTTCAGCCTCCCAAAGTGCTGGGATTACAGGCATAAGCCACCTTGCCCAGCTTCTTCTTCTTTTTTTTTTTTGCTCAGTTGCCCAGACTGGCAGACTGGAGGGCAGTGGCGTGACCATGGATCACTGCAGCCTCCACCTCCCAGGCTCAAGCAATCCTCCCGCCTCAGCCTCTCTGGTAGCTGGGACTACGGGTGCACACTACCATGTCTGAATAATTCTTTTCTATTTTTTTTGTAGAGATGGGGTTTTGCCTTGTTACCCAGGCTGGATAACTACTCTTGATGACATAAAATCTACTGTTTGCAGTAAAGACAGAAAGCATTCACCCTAATACCTTAGTTAGAAGACTACAGAATCAGTCAGAAGAAGATCAAGTCAGAAACATAAGCAGCACAAATAAATCAGCCACCCCAAACTGAAGAATCTCTAAATGTAGGTCTGTATCATTTTTATTTTAAGCGTTTAACTATATAGCCATATAAGACAATAACAAAGGCATATTTTCTATACCAAGGAACAAGATGATTAGGAAACAGATATATGCTAACAAGCACAGAATCACTTTGAAGTGTAACAGTCAATGCATGGGGTTGTATGATGGCTTGTCCTTGACTTTGTAAATGCCAATTCCCTGCTTTCAGATTTGCAGACAGTAAAACGTGAGATACAAAGCTGAATGTTAATTTTCAACATAACACTGATATGTCAGAAAGTAGGGGTAATTCTCATTCTCACATAATACCTGTCATTTTAAAACACCCCTACTGATATGAACCAACATTTGTGAATGAAAGGTTAAAAAATGCTTTTGAGCTGTCATATTCAAGCAAATTGACAGATATAAATGCACACACACACTAGTCTTCGATTATGAAATCTCCTCACACATAAACACTATTATAAAATAAATTTCTTTAAGAGAAAAGCGACTGATAATGTTACAAGCTTGCTAAAGAGAATAACATCAACCATAAAAGAAACTGGCGGCCCACCAATATGATGCTGACAACCACATTATGCTCAAGTGTGCTATAGAGGATCATTTAAATGCTGTCAATGTCACCTGTACTCCTTCAATATTCCATTTTATGAAAAACCTTCTGACTTAAGGAATATGGAATCATCCATCTGGTGTAAAACAGCAAACTGTTTTCATCTTGTATGCATTTATTTTTCACTAAAAAAGAGAGTTATGGCCAGGCGCGGTGGCTCACGCCTGTAATCCCAGCACTTTGGGAGGCCGAGGCAAGTGGACCACGAGGTCAGGAGATCGAGACCATCCTGGCTAACACGGTGAAACCCCAACTCTACTAAAAATACAAAAAATTAGCCCGGCATGTTGGTGGGTGCCTGTAGTCCCCGCTACTCAGGAGGCTGAGGCAGGAGAATGGCGTGAACCCAGGAGGCGGAGCTTGCAGTGAGCCGAGATTGTGCCACTGCACTTCAGCCTGGGCGACGGAGCAAGACTCCGTCTCAAAAAAAAAAAAAAAAAAGAGTTATATATTTCTTGTGATCACAATTTCAAGTAAAATTAGGACTAATGCTTACACTGTACAAATATAAGGGTTATTTGTAAAAGAGTAGCAGATTTTCTACACATGCACACACACACAATGATTCTTGTTATCTGTGGTAGTTATGGTCCATTAAATTGTCACAAACACTGAGTTAGTGAACACTGAACCACTGCTTCTAGGGAAAATGGGAAAGAAGGTTAGGTTTCTAGGAGCCTCTGGTCACAACATTTTCATCAACTAGCCAACACATAACCTTGTTTTATCTGTATTTCTGTTTAAAGACACCTTACTTAATATATATTTACTCATTAACACTGAAATCATGGCTGAAAGCATAACTCATGATTGAGAGAAGCTTACTTAACATACATATTTCTTGCATAGATATATCACAGCTTTCTTGCACTTAGGAATATTACACAGCACTTTGGGACAACACTGGGGGCCATTTGCTTAAAAAAGCAAAATTACCAAAAAAAAAAAGCACAGAAAATGTGAAAAATGTGGCATTAAGTAGACTGCAAAAGGGATGTTTGTTTATAGTATAAGAACCGAAACAAGAAGGCAGAGTATCAAGAGTATCACCTTGTCCAACTACAGCTGAGAATTTGCACATCAGGTGACTCAAATTTTTTTACCACTCCGAGCGTGCCTGCAAATTATTACAAAAGCACCGTAAGTACTGATTTAGGGATTACAGATAAATTTTAGGAAGTAGGCCAATTTGGAAATACGCAGTTAGTGAATAATAAGGATTAACTTATGTATGTATATGAACGTATATGAATACTTACATATATATAGTCTTATATATATGAACTTGTGACATATGACATACGTAGCAGGAAAGGCAAGTTATAGAACTCCCTAGTGTGAGATTCTCTTATGATCCAGTTCTATATCTCCACTTGGCACAATGAATACTCTACCTGAATGACCTATCAGCACTTCAAACTTAAAATACTAAGCTCATCATATGCCCTTATTCCAAACCAGTCTTCTGCTGTATTACTCTAATCCTGGCATCATCACATCTATTCAAGTCATTCTATGACTATCTCCCTTCTCCACATCCTCGCCAGGCACCAAATCATGTTGATTCTTCCCCTGAATTATCTCTTAAACTTATCTCCCCCTGCCTAAAACCACTACTGTTATCACCAAATGCCTTTCTAATTACTTGAACCATTGGCAGTTTACTGCCTTCCCTCTTTATCTCATACTCCAAAAATGTTACTGCCACTGTTCTCTTTTAAAAACCCAAACCTAATCATATTCTTCATTTCCTGGTACCCATGTAATAAGCACCACATTTTTTGATATATATGTCCATTCATGATTTGGCACCAAGCCATCTTTTTAGAATCATACTGACACTCATACCTGATAATCACTATATTCCAGCCACAGTAATCTATTTCCCCCTCTTTGAATATGCCATGCTTTAAAAAACCCTTTACACATGTTAGTCCTCCCACTAGAAATGCTCTTTCCATTCTCTACTTGACCTTAAAGCTTCTGCCAATGCTACCTCCTCTTTGAAGCCCCTCCAACGCTGGCCACGTTAGTCAGTCTTCCATGTGCTTCCACAGTATTTTCACACACTTTTATTATAGAATTACTTAAACGTAGTTATAATTACTAAGAGAGAAAGTGCAAGAATGTAAAAGGTTAACTAAATATTGATTACTATTATAACTAGGTGATGTGGATTTGTTATATTATTCTCTAGTCTAGTGTATGCTGAATTTCCATTATAAGGAAGTAAAAAATATAGAGACAGAAAATATTTGTCTACAATTAATTGAAGCTCTGATTTATGTATGACTTTAAAAAACAGGGCATTATTTTATTTCCCCCCAAACAAAATGTCCAGAGGTAGGTAGTCTAGGATTAGTACAGAGGCTGAAGGGGTCATCAAGTCCAAGGCTCTTTCTATCTTTTTGCTAAGTGTGTTGATTTGTTGCTTCAAAGCTGTTTGCTTTAGATATAAGCATTACCTCTGCATTCATGGAAGGAAAAAGGACAGTGCCAGTCACACATTTACCCCCAAAACAGGAGAAACAAAAGCATTTTTCCAGTGCCCTCAGCAAATTTGGCCTATATCACACTGTCCATATCTGCTGGATAAGACAACAGTGTCTTGATGGCCTGATCTCTGAAAGCTGAGACTGGCTTTGTGCTTTAGCAACCAATCCAGTACCTAGAACACACAGGTACTTTGTGTCTACTGAATGTATGAGTCTAATAAAGGAAACTACAGTAAATATATAACAGAAGAACTCTGCTTTTATAATTTTATTTAAATAATATAAAAGGTATTTTAAAAATTATAAGTACTATGCAAATAAAGATTTGTATAGCAGTTTGACATCTACGATTATGAAATAATATACCATTTTACTGCTCTCTGTAAAGATTCAGAAAGAACATTAACAAGTTATCGAGAGGTCTGAATTTTTGTCTAGGCAAAACATTCAATCTTCCTGAACCTTGGTTTACCTAAAAGATAATGCTTATTTATTTCTCAGGGTTGTTCTGAGAATAAAGGAAATATAACAATATGAATGCACATTGAAATGTGTAAAATGCGATAAACACATGCATTATAAACACAACAGCCCTTCCAGGTCCTGAAAGGAAATTTGCAGTCTTATGTAGTATGCATAGAGCATCTGGCATACCAATAATATGAATTAAAAATTAAACACTATCAATACCTAGTATAGATGCTGGACATTATAATATGTATGGTTAGATGAGTTTTTGAACTTGATCTTTTTTCTTTCATTGCTATAGGAAACTAAACTAACTGAACTGATATTTATACCTCATTAAGGAAAAAATGCTTTATAACATAAATCTGGTTTCTCATTGCAATGATATGATATATACAATTTAAAAAGGAGAATATGAAAAATAAAATAAATGGGTTAATACAGAACAGTTGACATCAAATCTCAATTCAACAATTAATATTTACTACCAATGGATGAATGGCACTGATGTAAGTCAAGGTCCTAAAGTACTTCTAAATTAAATCGAGTAATAAATAAAACAGTAGAAGCATTGAATATTAGTTTCCCTTTGGCTTTAATAACCTTGACTAAGCTTATAAAAAGTACCACTCAGGGTGACCTTATGGCTCATGTATATATGCACAGGCCACAGTGGTAGTCAGAACTAGTTCTATAAATGATAACATGATGGCCTGTTCTCTTGAGTTTTTACTAAGCTGTGTAGGTCTTCATTTATAAGAGTGTTATATTAAAATAAGCATGGTATATACAACATAAAACAGTTGCCAATACTAAGGAAGAGAAAAAAAGACATTTTAAAACAAAAAAAATCCTTATAGACTATTACAGTGAGAAGTGATCTTCACTTTTACTAGATTTGTGGACTACGGATGCTTTGAAGAACATGGTCTTTTCTCAAGTCTTTTAAATTAACTCTCACTTCTCAAATATTCAACTATCTCAACCTTATTAATAAAGCCTCATCATACTCTGATTCATTTAAGCAGAAACTCTTTTCCATGTAGGTTACCATGGAATTACTTGATACTGAAAACTGATTCATCTTAATGCAAAACACTACCTCAAGACTGTAGGCCAGTAAATTCCAACACAGTATTACATAATGCACCATCAACTGAAAAATTCCAAACAGTGGATCAGACTTCTTATCTTATAGTTGCGGAACATCTATTTCAACAAGAAGTAAAACATGTCCAAACAGTAAGAATGAGCTTATGTTTTATAGCTATATCCACCCAGTTTCAACTACATAGATTTTTGTTTATAAACGAGGGGAGAAAGAATGTTTCTCTTCCTGTTTTATCTGCTCATATAGCTTCATCAGCTAAAGCTTCAACAGTGAATATTTCTTCTACAAAGAAAATTTTGGGTACCTGGAATAAGCAAGAAATGATACGTCAATGTGCTGATGTTTCTAAAATTAAAAGATGTAAGTGGTATTTTAATATAAAGAGCTATTTCAAATATTTAACTTTGTAGATGGAAAAGGAAGTGTATTAATTTAAAGATTCACTGCTGTTTAAAATATTCCCCTTATTTTCTTTCAATAAAAACTAAAAAGAAGAGGGGAAAGAAAGGCACTAAGAGAGCAACGTAGACAGTGAAAATGAGTCACTAGGGAATAAAGAGGTAAGGATGCCTTATCTTCTTTGGCTCATGAATTACCCTTACCTAAAATGGTAAAGGAGATTTGATTATATGAATATTGAATTATTACATATGCCCTGAAATTATGTACATCTAATATGTATCAATAAAAATAAATAAATGGGACCAGGCGAGGTGGCTCACGCCGGTAATCCCAGCACGTTGGGAGGCCAAGGCAGGCAGATCACTTGAGGTGAGGAGTTCGAGAGCAGCCTGGCCAACATGGTGAAACCCCCATCTCTACTAAAAATATAAAAAATTAGCCAGGTGTGGTGGCAGGCATCTGTAATCCCAGCTACTTGGGAGGCTGAGGCAGGAGAATTGCTTGAACTCAGGAGGCGGAGGTTGAAGTGAGCCAAGATCACGCCACTGCATTCCAGCCTGGGCGACAGAGTGAGACTCTGTCTCAAAAAAATAAATAAATAAAAGAAAATAAATGACAAATTGAAAAAAAAGTAAAATGCAGGTATCTAAATCTGAAAATTGAAATAAAATAAAATAAAATGGTAGAGGACGAGTTTATCCTAGGGCAGATTATTAACTATGATCTAGGATTGTTCTTAGGAGGTCTCATGTTTAAAGAGGCCCATATTTTTCTTTTAACACTGAAAAATTAAGAAAATATTAAAAATGAAGAAAGGGATATAGGGAGAGAACGAGACAAAGGAGGGACAAGCACACACACAGAACTTTGGCCCAAAGTACCAAGTACTACAGCTTAGAGAATGCCCCAGGAGATCAATCACTGTCACATTATGACATCAGAGATCAAAATTCCCGTTTAGTCTAAAATGACCAAAATTGGACTTAATCAGAAGTAATCAGCTGTAAAATATGCAGATCTGAAAGGTTCAGACTATGCTCCACTGTCATTCCCAGTTAGGATATCAAATTGAATTTGCAAGTTTAGATGATTTGTATTTGCTAAAATTAGGTCTCAGGATACACAGAGAATGTGAAATGCTCCCTGAAGCAGCTGACTTGATATATGCTCTGAGGAAGTACTACTGCCATTCACAGAAAAAAGCATATGTTTCATAGCAGCTACTTTAAAATCAATGTTTTCACTGCCTCTGATAGTAACAGAAGTAAAATATTTGTATTTCAAATTCACTCCAAGCTGAAAATTTAAAAAATGAATCTTCTTATAAACTTGTGTTGGCAAAGTATACGCTATTAACACCTGTGACTGCCTCTTCCCCAAAGCATATGTCACTTCAGCTGACATAACAGCTTGTCCTCCTTGGAGGAATTCAATCACCTCATCAATAGTACTGGTCAAGCAGATGAAAATATTTCTCATGGGGCAGTTTATCTTAGTGCAATAAGATGTTTCTAAAACTCTTTAAAATCTGTAAGCATGTGAAATCTGGTGAAACCTCATTTCTACTAAAAATACAAAAATTAGCTGGGCATGGTGGCACGCACCTGTAATCCTAGCTACTCAGGAGGCTGAGGCAGGAGAATCGTGTGAATCCGGGAGGCAGAGGTTGCAGTGAGCCAAGATGGCGCCACTGCACTTCAGCCTGGCAACAGAGTGAGATTTTGCCTCAAAAAAAAAAAAAAAAAAAGGCCGGGTGCGGTGGCTCACGCCTGTAATCCCAGCATTTTGGGAGGCCGAGGCGGGTGGATCATGAGGTCAGGAGATCGAGACCATCCTGGCTAACAAGGTGAAACCCCGTCTCTACTAAAAATACAAAAAATTAGCCGGGCTTGGTGGCGGGCGCCTGTAGTCCCAGCTACTCGGGAGGCTGAGGCAGGAGAATGGCGTGAAGCCGGGAAGCGGAGCTTGCAGTGAGCCGAGATTGCGCCACTGCAGTCTGCAGTCCGGCCTGGGCGACAGGGCGAGACTCCGTCTCAAAAAAAAAAAAAAAAAAAAAAAAAAGAATGTCACAGTATTTCAGGTCAAGTCACAGCAAATAATCTGCCCTCTGATCTTTATTATTAATGAAAAAAAAAAGTCCTATAGCTTCTTTTGTTTGGTATCCTTAATTTTTTTTTTTTTTTTTTTTTTTTTTTTTTTTTTTTTTTGAGAGGTAGTCTCGCTGTGCTGCCCAGGCTGGAATGCAGTGGCACAATCTCGGCTCACTGCAAGCTCCGCCTCCCGGATTCATGCCATTCTCCTGCCTCAGCCTCCCGAGTAGCTGGGACTACAGGCGCCCGCCACCACGCCCAGCTAATTTTTGGTATTTTTAGTAGAGACGGGGTTTCACTGTGTTAGCCAGGATGGTCTCGATCTCCTGACCTCATGATCTGCCCGCCTCTGCCTCCCAAAGTGCTGGGATTACAGGCGTGAGCCACCACGCCCGGCCGGTATCCTTAATTTCAACTTTGAGGAGACCCAACAACTATCTCTTACCACATTTCTTATCTAGCCTCAAATTGCTGGACGAAACATAATAAATTAAATGGTGCTTTAAAGATTATCCTTTCTAAAAATTTTTATTCACAGAGTCCACAGGCCTTGAGATGTCAAGGATCATAGTTTAGGGGTAGGAAAATAGTATACTTGGATTTATTCTATAAATTCTATTGTGTAATTTTCTTTTCCTCATCTCTGGCAGGTTCTCCTAAGTTAATGTACAAAATCAAGCTCCTTCTACACCTCCAAAAAACTGTCCCTTCTCTCCGTTTCCTTAGCGTTACCAGGGCCTAGCGGTAGCTAAACTTCCACTCCATCAAGCAGCACCTAGGCAGAGGTGCCTAGGTGGGGAGAAGGCCAACTGGCACTACCATATACCCTCTTGTGGGTACAAAGTGGTGCTAGTTGGCCCTCTGCCCTCTAATCCCTGTGAGACCCAGCTGGATGCTAAACTTTCACTCCCACACTTGGCAATGCAACAGGCCAACAAAAAGCAATAACTACCAAATCTCACCCAATATAAAGTTTCCAAGGTTATTTATAAGATTCTTACAATAATTCTTTCCACAATCTCTTTCTTCTAGAATTGATTTTTTATCATCAGTATTTCCCTTTAATATCTTAATTTTCTTCAAGGTCTGGAGATATTTCATTGATCAGATGTATTCTTAATGAATGTCTCCTCTTATCCACTCAACTCACAATGGCTTTTATTGAAAGCTTTAAAAATTAATTTTAAAAATAATTTCAAACAGAAAAGTTCAAGAATGGTTTTTTCCCCAATTTGAAAGTTGCTGACATTATGTCCCATCATCCCTAATAACTTGTTTATAATTCCTCTAAAAATATTCTCCCAAATAACCATAATACGATCATCAAAATTGACAAATTAACAATGATACATTACTAGCCTGTGAAGTTTCACCAATTATTCCACTAATGTCTTTTGTAGCAAAGGCATCCAATAGGGTATTATGAGATGTATTTAATCGTCAAGTGTGTCTAGTCTCTTTAAATCTGGAATAGTTCTAAAGTTTTTCCTTGACTTTCATAATCTTTATGAATTTGAACATTACACACTGGGTATGTTGTAGAAAGTCTCTCAACTTGGAATTCTCTTTTCTTCCAAATTAGATTTCAGTTATGCATTTTTGAAAGAAGTGTCATAGAAATGCTGCTGTGTTCCTCACTGCATCCTATCAGCTAGGAATCATGGAATTAGAAAGATCACTGATTACAATAATTGGCAAATGGTGATCTTTCCATTATTCCTTTTCTTCTCCCCACTAATTTATTAGATCACTGTGGTCTCATGAGTTCCTATTTTATTCAAAGAGCTACGATTTGATAGTATGACTATTTAGTCTGATGCTCAAACTGTTCAAGAATTGGCCAGTGAGTGCCCCTTCAAGGTGGCTTCTGCATCCTTTAGATATAATCCCCTCATTCTTCGAGCTCTACTTTACTTTCTGGTACAGGGAGATGTGTCCAGCACATCTTGTCTTATGCTTTCCCTGTCCCAGCCCTAGAATCAGTCATTGTCCAAGAAACCCTAGCACCTACACCTTCCTGGGCCCTGTCTTAAAACTTTTAGACTGAATTATTCAGGAAGGAAGGTCAGTAATACGAAAGCCAAAGGGCTAATTTGTTTAGAATGAATAACTGCACTGACTTCTGCTGTAGCTGAAGAGGTCTGTTTTCCCAATGGTCTCATCTGCCTTGAACAGCAAGGTTGACTACAGGATGTTTGAGGAAGAGAGGAGTACTGTTAGTAGGCAGGCTTCCTCCAACAGATAATTGCCAAAGTAAGAAAACTCTTGCTTTTGAGGGGTGGAATATTCTGGTTTCATTTTATTCCCAGGAAAGGTATCTATTCCTTTTCTTTCTTTTTTTAAAAATACAACTTTTATTTTAGAACAGCTTTAGATGTATAGACAAATTGTGAAGATAGTACATAGAGTTCCCATGTATCCTACACCCAGTTTCTCCAATTACGAACATTTTACATTAGTATGATACCTTTGTCACGATTACTAAAACAATATAAATACATTATTAACTAAAGTCCATATTTTATTCAGGTATCTTCAGTTTTTCCTTAATGCCCTTTTTCTGTTTCAGGGTCCTATCTAGGGCATCACATTACATTTATTCTCCTTAGGCTAGTCTTGGTTGTGACAGTTTCTCAGACCTTCCTTGTTTTTTATGACTGTATTCGTTTCCTGTGGCTGTTATAACAAATTACCATAAATTTGATGGCTTAAAAAACCAGTAATTATTTATTTATTTATTTATTTATTTTGAGATGGAGTCTCCCTCTGTCACCCAGGCTGGAGTGCAGTGGTGCAAGCTCGGCTCACTGCAACCTCCGCCTTCCAGGTTCAAGTGATTCTCCTGTCTCAGCCTCCAGAGTAGCTGGGATTACAGGCATGTGCCACCATGCCCAGCTAATTTTTGTATTTTTTAGTAGAGATGGGGTTTTGCCATGTTGTCCAGGCTGGTCTTGAACTGCTGACCTCAAGTGATCAGAAATTTATTTATTTTTATATGGTTCTAGAGACGAGAAATCAAAGAATCAAGTAATTAGCAGGGCTGCACTCTCTTAGAAGTCTCTAGGGGTGAATCATTCCTTGACTCTTCTAACTTCTGGTGGCTGTAGGGATCCCTTTGCTTGTGGCTATATCATTCTAATCTCTGCCTGACTTCACATGGCATTCTCCTCTGCCTGTTATCTTCTGTGTCTTATAAGGACACCCCTCATTGGATTTAGAGCCCAATAGATAATCCAGGATGATCATCATATCAAAATCCTTAATGTAAAGACATCTGCAGAGGCACTTTTTACAAATAAGATCACGTTCACAAGTTCTAGAGGTTAGGATGTGGACATAATCTCTTAGGGGAGCGGGGATCATCATTCAACCCATCATTATTACCTTGACAGTTCTGAGGATTACTGGTCATATGTTTTGCAAAACTGTGATTTATTTGATTTCTCATTAGACTGGGATAATGTGTTTTGGGGAGAAAAACCACACAGGTAAAGTGTCATTTTCATCATATCATATCAAGGATACACGACATCTCTGTTGATGCTGACCCTGATCATCTGGCTTGAGGTACAATTTATCAGGTTTCTCTATTGTAATGTTACCCTTTCTGTACTGCACTCATTGAAGGAAAGTCACTATGAACAGCCTAATGTATGGAGTGGAGAGTTTTGCCTCACTCCATTGAGGGTGGAATGTCTAAGTAAATCATTTGGAATTCTTTTGCATGGGAGATTTATCTATTCCCTCCCAAGGTCAACATCAACCATTTGTTTATATCAGTAAAGATTCGTAGATATTTACTTTATACATTGGATTATGATCCAACAATACTTTTATTTTGTTGCTCAAACTGTTCCAGCTTTGGTCATTGAAGAACTTTCAGTTGGCTCCTGTGTCCCCTTGACATACTCCTATCGTTGTGTCTTGTTTTGTTTTTTTGAGTACTTTCTTATTTTCTGTCACTCCGGAGGCTCCATACATCTTGTATATTTCCTACCCCAGGGCTAGAATCAGCCACTTCTCCAAGGAATCCTGATTCCTAACATTGGATAACCCTGACTTCTACTCCCCAAGATCTGAGGACTAGGTATGATAATTGCTACTGGAGTTTCATTGCTTCTAGTACACATTGACTTAGTGTACATTGTAAATATGTACACTAACCTGTGCATATACATATATCTATAAACATTTCCATATGCAACCATGTGTATCTATACATTAAGCTAAATGAGTTCATATCAATGTCTCCAACATGAATCCATTACCACATGGATCATTTTAGCCTCTCATTGCTTACCTGTAACCAACACTACAACAGTGAAAAACGTGGCTTCTAACAACTGCCACCCATTTTCTTAATTGTTCAATTCCAGTATACATGCATGGTAATTTCAACATTATTAATCCATACCTTGTTCCCCATGGGACAGAACTTTATCAGTAGAGTACAGGGCTTATGCATAGTTCCTTTAGTTTAAAGTAAGTACGGTAAGACTAAACAGTCATACAGATGCCACTCATTTCCAAAGTTACTTAGATTAGCAACTTGTTTCTTCACTCCCTTCAGTGAGATTATTGGATACATTTATAATACATTTAGACTCTTTTGCCACATTTTGCATTCCATCCTGGAAACTCTGACCTCCTAAATAAGTTTTCAAAAATTTGTACACATTAAGATCCACTCTTTCTGCTATAAAATTCTCTGGGTTTTGGCAAATGCTTAATATCTTATATTCATCATCACAGTATCATACTTATCACCCTAAAAAAGTCCTGGTTTTTCATCTATTCAACCTTCCCATCAACTCCTTGCTCCCAAGTCCCTGGCAACCACTGATCTTTTTACCAACTCTCTAATTTTGCCTTTACCAGAATGTCATATAACTGGACTCACAGAGCATTTTCAGGCTGATCTCTCTAACTTGGCAATGTGCATTTTTAAGATTCATCCATGTCTTTTCATGATTTCATAGCTCTTTTTAGTACTGATTAATATTTCGCTATATGAATGTACCACAGTTTATCCATTTACCTACTGAAGGACATCTTGGATGCTTCCAGTTTTGGTAATTATAAATAAAGCTGCTACAAACATTTGTGTACAGGTCTTGTGTGAACAGAAGTTTTCAAATTAGTTGGGTAAATACCTAAGAGCATAACTGCTGATTTGCATGGTATGATCATGTTTAGTTTTATAAGAAACTGCCACCAAAGTGGCTGTAACATTTTACATTCTCACCAGCAATGAATGAGAGTTCCTGTTACTCCTGTTACTCCACATCCTCACCAGAATTTGGTCAGTGTTTTGAATTTCAGCCAATTGCTGAGTAGTGGTACCACATTATTGTTTTAATTTGCAATTCCCTAATGACACACAATGTTGACCATCTTTTTAAGTGCTAATTTTGCCATCTGCTTATCTTCCTTGATGGGGTGTCTCTTCAGATCTTCTGCCCATTTTTAAATTGGGTTATTTTCTCATTGTTGAGTCTTAAGAGTTCTTTGTATATTTTGGATTCAAGTGTTATATAAGTGTTTTACAAATATTTTCTCCCCATTTATAGCTTGTCTTTCCATTCTTTTAATAGAGTATTTCACAGAAGTTTTAAATTTTAACTAAGTCACAACTTACCAATATTTTTCTTTCATGTATCATTCTGATGTTGTATTTTAAAATCTTTTACCAAACCCAGTATCATATATGTTTTCCTCAATAAGTTTTATGTTGTATATTTAGGTCTATGCTCCATTTTGAGTTAATTATTGCATAAATTATAAGGTCTGTGTCTAGGTTCAGTTTTGGATATGGACATCCAATTGTTCCAGCACCATTTATTGAAAATGTCATCTTTTGTTAAAAATCAGTTGACTATATTCATGTGAATTTATCTTAGACTCTCCATTCTGTTCTATTAATCTATGTGTCTATTCTTTCACCAACACCATAGTATCTTGATTATCGTGGCCTTACAGTAAGCCAGGTAGTGTGAGTACTACAACTTTGCCAATTTTCTTCAGTATTCCACTGACTATACTAGGTATTTGGCTTTCCTTATGAGCTTTAGAATCAGTTTGTTGACGTCTACAAAATAGCTTGCTGGGATTTTGATTTGGGACTGTGTCAAGTCTATAGATCAAATTGGAAAGAACTGACATCACAACAATATTATTTCAATCCATGAACACAGAATCTCTCTCCATTTCTTTAGATCTTGTTTGATTAGTGCATTGTAGTTTTCCACCTATAGATATCTGTACGTATATTTTTTATCAGTGCCTTACAGTTTTCTAACTGTAGCTCCTAGCTCCTGTATACATTTTTTTTTTTTTTTTTTTTTTTTGAGACGGAGTCTCGCTCTGTCTCCCAGGCTGGAGTAAAGTGGCGCGATCTCTGCTCACTGCAAGCTCTGCCTCCTGGGTTCACACCATCTCCTGCCTCAGCCTCCCGAGTAGCTGGGACTACAGGTGCCCGCCACCACGTCCGGCCAATTTTTTTGTATTTTTAGTAGAGATGGGGTTTCACTGTGTTAGCCAGGATGGTCTCCATCTCCTGACCTCGTGATCTGCTGCCTCGGCCTCCCAAAGTGATGGGATTACAGGCATAAGCCACCACACCTGGCCAATCCTGTATACATTTTCTTTCATTTACACCTAAATATTTCATCTTTGGGAGTGCTATTGTAAATGGTACTTCCTGGGATTAAAAAGTTTTAGAACAACTTTCATATACAAATCACCTAGCCTACTTGGACTTGAGGTTTCCTATCTGTACAATGTGGATCATTCCTGCATGCATTACTGTAAAGGGCACAAAGATGAAGTACAGCCTGGGCAACAGAGTGAGACCTCATCTCTACAAAAGGTAAACAAAATTAGTCAGGCATCTTTGTGTGTGCCTGTAGTCCCAGCTCCTTGGGAAGCTGAGGTGGATCTCTTGAGCCCAGGAGGTTGAGGCTATAGTAAGTTGAGATTGAGCCACTGCACTCCAGCCTGGACAACAGAGCAAGACCCTGTTTCAAAAAAAGGAAGGAAGGAAGGAGGGAAGAAGGAAGGAAGGAAGGGAGGGAGGGACGGAAGGAGGGAGGGAGGGAGGGTGGGTGGGAGGGAGAGATGGAGGGATAATATAACAATATATGGAAAAATTATGAATAAATTAGAAATCACTAAACAAATATAATGGCCATTAAATCCACTGTCCTCCATATAACAACAAGGAAACAAAAGAGCAGAGAAATTAAGTCATTTGATAAAATTTTATTAGGGGCATGGAACAACTGAAAGTCCACATAGCAGCTAAAGGATATTAAGGGAACAAAATTGGCCAGAGGCGAAGGTCTATAAAGAGGGGTGGAAAGGTATTTAGAGAACCAGAGCTCAGACTGAATTACATATGTAATGAGGAGCCACTAAAAGTTCCTGACCAGGACAAAAGAAGAGATAATTACTATGGAGTTTTTTGGAAATTAATCTGACTGGTGGATAGGGTGGAATAAAACAGAGAATGAGTAGGACATGGGGAGAACAGTACAGTCTCCGTGCTATAGTTATCTCTCATTATCTGTGGGGAATTGGTTCCAGGACCCCTGTGAACACTAAAATCTGCAGATGATCAAGTCCCTTACATAAAATGGCATAGTATTTTATATAACCTGTGCACATCTTCCCGCATACTTTAAATCATCTCTGGATTACTTGCTATGTAAATAGTTGTGATACTGTATTTTTATTTGTGTTATTTTTATTATTGTGTTGCTATTTTTTATTTTCAAATATTTTTAATCTGTGGTTTGTTGAATCCACAGATATGAAACCCACGGACATGTAAGGCTGACTATTAGGTTACTGCAGAACCAATTGTGGCTTTTGCCATTACTTTTAATAATAGATTAGGGTCATGGCAAGAATTTCAGAACATGAAAGGTACTTAGACATATAAAACCCAAATTTTATATACACTGTAGGTTATTCTTACTAGCAAAGATTAGTACATATGGCACAACCCGTTTTGCTCTCCTTGTAATGGCAGTTAACGTGCATTTTTGCTTAGTCATTTCTCTTTTCAGTCCTGAATTTTTAAAAGTATATTAAGAAAGATGATGGAGGAAGACTAATTAGTCAGGAAGAGTTTAAAGGACTAAGAGTTTAAAGGACTCAGTAAGACCTCTTAAACAATTCAAGTTCTAAACCCTCCTTTGGACATAACTATGGAAATTCTGAGAATACTTTTGTCCTTTCACTTTTATAACACTTGCATTGTTTTTCAGAAATTATTTGGTTTACCTGCATACACTATTTCCTGGATAAGGCAACTAGAAAAAGGCTGATAGATGCAGGATACTTTCCTATGCCAATCAGAATTAAAGTGTATTTCTAGTTCCAGAGAAAGAATAGTTATAATCACTTAAAATCCCAGGAAATGGCCATGTGATAAAATTTGGCATTTACGTTTTGAACTGCCTAATCATTCCTTTTATAGACTGGCTGAAGGTTACTTTGTCTTTGGCATTTTCTTTTGTCTCGGCTGCTTTCCTCTGTCATCCAGGGCTCAGTTTCAAGGTTGAAATACATTATGATAATCACAGTCAACCAAAGGCATCCCAATTCCAAACTCTCCATAACTTGATGCTTTTCCCATCAATTTTACTTCAGTTAAAAGGCCAGTTAAAGGAAGAATGTATGAATAAATCTGAGCTTACAAGTGCTATTGCCAACATTACCTCACAGAATAAGGCTTTTTATTAAATTTGCTGTCTTTCCACTATATTATACATTAGAAACATAAACATGTACATAAACATCTTTTGAAATTAAGTGACTCCCCTTTAGAAAGCTGAACCTTCTCAATTAAAGGTTCCATATGTTTTACCTAAATAAGTTATTGCCCATAAGACTATGTCAAATATTTCTATTACTTCATATTTCCTCAATCACTTCTCTCTTAAAGCCAATGAAGAAAAACAGCAAATGGAAACATAAATTATTTTTATTATTAAACCATAAGTAACCTTCATGCATTTTTCAACTAGAGATTCAGGACAGAAACCATGACCAATAGCCAAGCCAAGTCCCAGGTCTGATGCTTACTGTATCTGACATTAAGTGTATCACAGCTTATTTGGACCTTAGCTTCTCTATGTGTAAAATGAGGGGACTGGACACAATGTTTGGTTAAACCGTCTTAAGTAAGCATAAACAACTGAAACTTCTAAACTTCTAATGCTGACATTTTCACAAAGAACATAGAGTCCTTTTGAAAACATTACCAGAATAAAAGATCTACAGAGATCTACTGTCGTAGATAACAAAGGAAAGAGAAGCGTAATCAATCGATAGATACAAACATTTGGGTTAATAAAATTTTAGAATCATCACAAAAGCCTTCCCTTAGCTTCCTTACTAACCAGCTTTTGCCTTCTCTTAACAATCAGTTTATTTATAAAAACCACTCCTCTTCAGGAGGTCTTATGCTAACTACCTCCTCTAGGTTTCCACTGTATACAATTTCCTCTCTATCAAGGCATTTCAACAAGACTATAAACTCTTTCCTTATTTGTGCTTGTAAGCTGGATCATATAGAGTAAATTGGATTATGCATTTTAGCTTTTGCATGTACTTCCCCCTCTCAACAAAAGGGATACAATTTGGAAAGGATCTGGCAAATAGTCCAAGTACTGGAAAAGAGAACCCTGCTCTCTTTGATCCTGCTCTCAAATTTTGAGTATATAGGCTGGGGTATTTACCTGGTAAACTCTGAGGAGGAAGACTCAGTGGGAAGGAATCAATAAGACCTCTTCAACAATTCAAGTTTAAATCTTCCTTTAGACTTAACTATGGGAATTCTGAGGATACTTTTGTCCTTTATTTAGTTACAGGCTTCATAATACTTAGTGTTAGGAATATACTAGCTGCTTAACAAATGTTGAAAACAGAATAAATAAAAGGTTAAAAATTTAAGAATTAACACGGCACAATTGAGCTTTTCAGGTATACTAACAGATATTCAACAGAATAAATATTTTAAAGGCTTTTTAATATAAGCTTTCATCTAATAAGCAGTTTGAAGTACTAGAAAGAGCACAGGCATTATCATACACATCTATGTGACTTAATCTCTCTGAGCTTCCTTCCATGTCTTCATTTGTAAAACTGGAATCAACTTAGTTTACAGAGTTGCTATAAAGATTTAAGCTAATGGACAGGAAGCATCTATTAGTCCATGCCCATGTAGGCGTTTGAAATATATATGGCAATATTATGTGACTTATTCCTCAGGGTAACTTCAGGCTTAATAGAGATAAAACCTTTTCCTCTGTGCTTTACTTTCAACATACCCCTCATTTGTATTTAAGTCCCTTCTGATCACATTCCAGTTAATAAATTTCAGTTATGTATGCTTCTCCCAAATGTCAGCTTCATTACAAGTTCTATTAGGAGGAAAGCTTTCCATACTTTAACAGTAGAGAAAAATCAGTTTTGATATTTCATTACTTTTCTGAAGTCCTAGAACAGTAATAATATTTATGACACTGAGCACCGAGGTTTACGAAGCAGTAAATAGCTTTTGTGGCTGATTAAGCATCTCTGTTTCACTTCACATACTCTGGTACCACAGGCATCACCCCTTAATTAAATGCTTGCTAATGTTGCACAAGGACTTTTCTTGGTCCTGTACCTTTCAACAAATGTTACAATGAGGGAGAAGAAAAAACAAGCTAAATTATTGAGATGCTGTGGATACTAAAAGTTCTGCTCAAAGCTGGGTCAATAACATGACATCATGAAAAAGTTACTGTATACAATACAAAATCAAAGCCAAAAAAAATCCAAAAAAAGCAGTACTTTGGAAAGATTCTATTTGAAATGTCTGCATTTCAGGAGTATGAGTAAAACCACAAACATCAGGTAAAAGGAGGAGCATATTCCTTTTCCCATGTTTGCTGCATATAAAATAATTAGTATAAAGTCATTTTATAATTTTCTTTGATATTAATACTTTAGCACCTGAGTGGCTAAAGATCAGAAAGGAACAAGTTTGTGCCATTACCAAAGATGAATATGTCTTTTCTCATTTATGGAGGTTTTATCCCAGAGTAAGATAAAGGAAAAGTAAAAAGAGAAACCTTAGAAACCCCTGACAAATTATGCTTAGGACTTTGAAGTTCATAGAAAGTTCAGCGGCCACCATTGCTTTTGACTCTCCTAATTGAAGCAAGTAGTAAATCTGTATTCTGCACAGACAGAAGGAATGACATATAAGGCTGCCACAAGTTTTATAATTAATGACAGAATGTGCATTTTCCAGCAAGGGAAAAAAAAAACACCTTTACAGCTTCCAGAAAATCAACAATCTACATGTGGTGGTTGCAAAATGCTGAATACATTGCATTTCTAAAATTAAACAGCTGATCACAGATTGAAAATGATAGTAATATGCAAATGTAATGGTGTAATAAAGTGAAGGAAGTGGTCACACATTACATAAATAATCACCTATTCCAGTTTCCTTCAACTATCCTCTGTCCCCACCCTTTATTTAATCCACCAAAAAAGCCTAAATAGCTTTTTAGATCTGTGAGCTAAACACCAAGTAGTATTTCAGTCTCACAACTAATTTGTCATTGCATATTTTTTATTTGCCATAAAAAACTATTAACTTGTTTTATATACAATCACCTTTATTATTTATACTAATAGAAAAGGACATAGTGGTGAGTAATCCAAAACATTCAAACAATCAAAACTTTAAATATTCAAACAGGACAATAAAAGAACCTTAAGTCATGACATATGAGGAACTGTGGCTATTCTTCCTGGAGAAAAACTGTTTAGGGAGAACATGGTAGCTGTCTTCTCATACCTGAGTTGTCATTTCACAAACAGTGCTAAGAACCCAAACTAGTGGACTAAATTTGTAAGGAGACAGGTTTCAGCTCACTACATGGAAGGAAGACAATCTCTTATGTATGGGTGGTAGAGAACACTCAGAAACCAACTGACATTGAATAGAGGTGGCTGGACTAAAACTCAGTAACTCTAAAGCCTCTTTGAATGCTTGAGCCTACGACTTTGTGATATATGTTTAAACTTATGGCCAAATCTGGATGTTTTTCAGGAGTTCATGAAGTCATACAAAAGTTTGAACTAATAGGTTTAAGTCTGGGGTCCCTGAGTCACTCCTTTTACAAGTCTCTTATGTTCCTAGCTTGGTCATAGCACTGTTTAAGCAGAACTTAAATTACTTAGAACTTTTCTGAACAAAGTAAACTGCTTTCTCTGCAGGTTTCATATCAAAGCACAAAAAATAAACCACAACTAAAAATTAGAGAACAAATGGCTTGGGCTGTAAAAAAGGTTTTGAGCAAAAGAACCTAGGGTGCTGACAAGAGCCACATTTAAGTAGTTTGCACCATGAAGTCCAAACAGGACAGGAGTCTAATGAGATGAGTGAAATGACCAGTTGCATACAAGTGAAGGTTTCTAGAAGGGCACATGCAGAAAAGCTACTTTTAGATGGGAGCTACAACCAATGTTGAAAATTAAATGCAACTATGTGCTTGTCAGCTTGCTCTACTATATAAGTTTATGCAAAAGACATGGAAAGTAAAACATACAACAAAGGAATCTGACCTAGACCTGGCTTGGGGATAACCTAAAGAAGCGTTGAGATCTGAAGGATGAAATCTAACTGATAAATGTTTCAGACAGGGGAATACCACATGCAAAGGTTCTGAGATGACAGGGAGCATAGTATGTTTAAAGAACTAAACAAACAAACAAAAACCCAATGAGGCTTGAGAAGTAAGTAGATAGGAACAAATCTATGCAGGACATTTTAGGTATTAGTTTACAGCCTAAGATCATTAGGAAACCAGAGAACATTTTTTAAACACAGGGCCATAATGATCAGATCTGTAGTTTGAAAAATCACTGGATACTGGTTAAAGAATAGATTTCACAAGTTATTAAAGTAGGTGCAGACAGACCATTTAAATAGGTTATTATGATGGTAGCCTAGAACAAAGTGGTGGTAATGAAGACGGAAGTAGATGAATTCAAGAGGCATCTCCCATATGATAACTGCCAGAGTTATTATGCAATAACAGAGGCTGGGTACAGGAATTCTTGACAGGGATAGGTTGAGAATTCAGAAGTTTTCTGAATGACCAGCTCTAAGTCTTAATTAAGGTCTAAAAGGCATTGGGAGTAGTAAGAATTTCAGGGTTGAAGGAATGTTCGGAAATAAATGAGGACATAGAAAATTAAAGGCAGGCCGGGTGCAGTGGCTCACGCCTGTAATCCCAACACTTTGCGAGGCAGAGGCGGGTGGATCACTTGAGGTCAGGAGTTCAAGTCTAGCCTGGCCAACATGGCAAAACCCTGTCTCTACTAAAAATACAAAAATTAGGCGTGCTGGCGGGTACCTGTAATCCTAGCTACTCGGGAGGCTGAGGCAGGGAGAATTGCTTGAACCCAAGAAGCGGAGGTTGCAGCAAGCCAAGATTGCACCACTGCACTCTAGCCTGGGAAACACAGCGAGATTCCAACCCCCCCAACCCCCACAAAAAAAAAAAAAAAAAAAAAGAAAAAGAAAACTAAAGGCAGAAGTTGTTAAACGTTTGGAATGAGATAAGGTGTGCGTCTGGTGGGGGGCACTGTGTAATGAGGACAGTGCCATAAGGTGGAGCTGGATAGCCACGCAGGTTCAGATCCTGGAGGGCTTTCACAAGAGAAAAAATTTGAACTTTACACTAGAGACTATGCAGAGCCAATATACAATTTTACTGAAGAGAAAAACAAGATTTTAAAGTGCCTTTAGAAAGACTGCCTAGTTAGTAGTGTGGGGAGGGATGAACACTGGGAGTAGGGATACTAGGTATGAAGAGTTGTATGAATCATGTGAGAGAAATTTATGACAGTCATAATTAGTGCAGGAGTAAAGGAAATAAAGAAAACGGACCAAAAAATTTTTACAAGGTAGGAAAAACAGGGCGTGGGGAGTTAGAGAAAATAAAGGGACTAGTACTACTCCTGGGTTTCTGTTCTGAAACTAGGTAAATAGTGAAACTTTTTGCTGACACAGAGAATACAATAAGAAAAATAGATTACAGTAACAGATGACAGGTAACTGCGACCAACTAAGTGACACATATTACTATATTCCATTTTTAATTATAGTTACTCATGTAATTATCCTATTCTGTACATCATTATTAAACCTGGGTTCAGAGAGTACGGAGCCAATACTGACTGATAAGAGTTTCTTTCTTTGTGCTCCATTTTATGGAGGCTTACACATGGTAGGTCTTCAACAGGTATTTTATAAATAAACAAATAACAATTCTGCCAACCAAATAAATAACTGAATTGGCTAAGACTATGTGTGGGGCTACACTCACAGAAAAACCAGGTAACAACAATTTAAACACACAGGATTTTATTTTAGGCAATCAGCAGTCTGGGGCTGGGCAGACCAGGAATGGTTTGACTGCAGGTCATCAATGACATCACAAAACAAAGTCCTTCTATCCATCTGCTGTGCATTCCCTCGAATTTGTTTTCATACTCATGATGAACCTCCAGGCATCAGTTCCATATTCCTGGCAGGAAGAAGGCTGAAGGCCTAAAAATATCTCCCATAAGGTTTTGATTTTTGATTATGGAAAGAAAGCTCTCCCCAGTGGACTTGTACTTACATGTCCCTGGCCAGCACTGTGTCACAGGGCCAACCCTAGCTGAAAGATGTCTAAAGGGAGAAGGAAGGGAAGGACAAGGTAGTTAGAAATGGATAATCAGTGAGCCAAAATACATTTAACATGGTAGAATTTATATTTGGCTTATCAGAAGCCTTTTAAAATAAAAGGAAAAACCAGAAGTAGGAATAGAATATTAAGCAAAAACAAAATAATATCTAGATTTTGGTTTCTTACACTATTCTCTAATAAAAGGAAGGCTCTTTGGCAAAAATTGCTATTTCTAGGGCTATCGCAGGAAATACACAAGATAAACCTGGGGCATTTTGTAGTGTCAGAAAATTTTTTAAATGCTTAAATACACACACAAAATATGGTTGATATGGGTATGTCAAAGGGGCGCAGGAGGCAACTGAAAGAACTTCCAATGGTTAAAGCTGAAACAAGATGAGCAATAAAATAAAGTAATACTGGATTAAAATCCAAAGTATAAAATAAGTCTTCAAGTTCATACCAATATAAATAACTAAGTAAATAAATGAGGAAGAATAAACAAATTTCCTAGGCAGAATAATCAAATAGTTTATTCACTTCTTCTAGGAAGTGCAACCTAACATAGGCTGTGCACAAAGACTTCCTTTTATTTTATTTATTTATTTGTTTATTTTGAGATGGAGTTTCACTCTTGTTGCCCAAGCTGGAGTGCAATGGCGCGAACTCGGCTCACCGCAACCTCCACCTCCTGGGTTCAAGCGATTCTCCTGCCTCAGCCTCCTGAGTAGCTGGGATTACAGGCATGCACCACCATGCCCAGTAATGTATGTATGTATGTATGTATGTGTGTGTGTGTGTGTGTGTGTGTGTGTGTGTGTGTGTGTATATATATATATGTATGTGTGTGTGTGTGTGTGTATATATATATATATTTATTTATTTATTTATTTTTAGTAGAGATGGGATTTCTCCATGTTGGTCAGGCTGGTCTCGAACTCCTGACCTCAGATTACCCACCCACCTCGGCCTCCCAGAGTGCTGGGATTACAGGTGTGAGCCACCGTGCCCGGCCAAGACGTCCTTTTAAAGAGTAGTATATGGAAAGAGGGGAAAAGAATAACTTTACAATGGAGAAACCTGGCAAACACTACCTTAGCCAGTGAGCAAGGTTAACATCAACAGCGATAAGTCATGCTGACAGTATATACCCTTGATATGATGTGATGAGAATGGTACTTTATTTCTGTGGTCTTCCTTTCAAAACTTGTGTCACTGATGTATTTTAAAACTTTTGTTTAAAGCATTACAGTATTTTTCTGTGACCATCAATTAATATGAGGGTTTGTGTTATAAGAGTTAAAGCATATGCTATCATTGTATTCTTTAAGAACCTTATTTTGATAAAATGTAAATTTGTTGAACCCTGCCACATTTAGTATCCCCACCCTCAAATCCTGTTCCAATGAAAAAAGTAAAACCTGATACGAAAAAAAAAAAATTCAGTTAACCTATTTTGGGTCTGTAGGCTGACCTCAACCCTGTAATATAACCCATTACAATGAATTTTCTTTTTTTTTAAGACAGAGTTTCTCTCTGTCACCCAGGCTGGAGTGCAATGGTGCGATTTCAGCTCACTGCAACCTCTGCCTCCCCGGGTTCAAGCGATTCTCCTGCCTCAGCCTCCTGAGTAGCTGGGATTACAGGCACATACCACCACGCCCAGCTAATTTTTGTATTTTTAGTAGAGGCAGGGTTTCACCATGCTGGTCAGGATGGTCTCGAACTCCTGACTTCATGATCCACCCACCTCGGCCTCCCAAAGTGCTGAGATTACACATGTGAGCCACTGCGTCCTGCCTAAAACGAATTTTCTAGATGACTGAATAACAGTAGTCCTCTGGTAGGAGATAATGACTTGGTTGATGGCCTTAATATACTACTTAATTACTTAAGATGTTTATTAATAGAATGATAAATGTACAGAGTAACGTATAAGCATGACATACTTTTGCTTTCCGTAGTTTCATGTAAAGAAAAAAACTTGAAAATAGTAATACCTGACGACCCATGGGAATAACAGACACTGGGGAGGTAGGGTGTGGAGTGGGAGCAAGAGCTGAAAAACTACCTACTGGCACTCTGCTCACTACCTGGGTGACAGCATCATCCGTACCCCAAACCTCAGCATCACACAGTATACCCAGCTAACAAACCTGCCCATGTGTTCCCTGAATCTAAAATAAAAATCGAAATAATTTTTTTAAAAAAGAAAAAGACAACAGTATTACCCATGGGACAAAATTTGTACTAATAGCAAGAATTATTTTGTGTCTCATTTAGAAACAATTTGACTTTTGTTCCAGTGTTTAAACTTTGACAAAAATGGTTTTGAATAGATCTTTATAACCTGATGCCATAAATACAAGATTCTCTGATACTTTCATTTAATATATCAATATTGGGCCTAAAACAGTATTCTGTAAAGCTTAAATTGGTATTAACTATGATCATCTTGATGTCTACGATAGATAATAAACAAGGTCATACATACCTTACTAAACAACTTTGGTTTTTCACCAACATTTTATTCTTTAAAAGATTCAGACTAACAGAGTTACTTAGCATTTCGAGTCGTGTGCTTTATTTAGCAAGTGAGTAAAAATATTGGAATATTTAAGTATTTGCATAAAAAATCAAATGGTAGTGTTTTGTAATCTCTACTGTATTTCCTATTAAGGTTTTATATATTACTTTCCCATTGTTCCTGAATTTGTTATCCCATATATAAACAGAAACACGGATGAGTAAAAAAAATAAAAATAAAATAAAAAATAAAAAAATAAAAATCAACAACAACTATATATTATATATGTACAGGAAAAAAACCCATGAGTCTAATCATGAGAAAAACATTGGACAAATCACAAAAGAGGGACATTCTACAATATCCCTCACCAGTACTCCTCTAAATTGTCAAGAACATAAAAAATAAAGATTATCAGAGAAATCATCACAGCCAAGAGAAGAATAAGAAGACCTGAAAACTAAATGTAAGTGTGGTATCCTAGATGGGTTCCTGGAACACAAAAATGATACAGGTAAAAACTAAGGAAATCTGAATAAACTATGAATTTTAGCTAATAATATCAATATTGGTTTATTTATTGTAACAAATGCACCATAAGATGTTAATAAATATGATAGGGTACGTGTGTATTGGGGGGAGGGCATATGGAAACTCTTGTACCATCTTCTCAATTTTTCTATAAATCTAAAACTGCTCTTAAAAAGCCTGTTTAAAAATTCAATAGCTAACTGTAATGCCACCACAGTATTAACACTGTGAGATATATTTTATCAGTTTTGTTTTTCTTTACGTGCATGTGTATTCACATACCCAACAGGTTTAGTTTTTCTATTTTAGTCAAATGATAAATACATGTTCACCATAGAAAAATTAGAAAATAGAGACTTTTAAAACTTCTGTAATGCCATCACCACAAATAAATATGATTGCCATTTTGACATACAGCCTTCCAGCTGTATATGTATATATCTATTTATCTATGTACTATTCCTTCATCACCCATTTCCTGATTCTTACATAAACATACTTAGATTTTATCACAAAGTTATTTTCTCTGGAAAATTCTCCCTGGTTCCCAAAGCAGGTTAAGTCTCTCTAATAAGCACTTACATAGCTCCCTGTACTGCTCTTTCCTAGTGCTTATAACATTTGTAATCAAATGGTCAATTGAGAAATTAATCATCATTAATGCCTGTCTTCCCACAAAAATGTAAGCTTCATATATTATTCATCGTAGTTTCCCCACCATGGTGCCTTAAACACAGCAAGTATTCAATGAATAATAGCTGACGAAATGAATGAATACTACATGTACACAGTGAAGTAACAACATAGCTATTAAAACTATATGTATACCTATGGAAAAATGTTCAACATAGCTTAGCGAAAAGTAAGATGCAGCTGGGTGCAGTGGCTCACACCTGTAATCCCAGCACTTTGGGAGGCTGAGGCAGGCAGAAAACCTGAGGCCGAGAGTTTGAGACCTGCCTGGCCGACATGGCAAAACCCTGTCTCTACTAAAAAAAATACAAAAATTAGCTGGGCGTGGTGGCGTGCACCTGTAGTCCCAGCTACTTAGGAGGCTGAGGCAGGAGAATTGCTTGAACCCAGGAGGTGGAGGTTGCAGTGAACCAAGATGGCACCACTGCACTCCAGCCTGGGTGACAGAGCAAGACTCTGTCTCAAATAAATAAATAAATAAGATGCAAAACAATACGCACAGCAAATTCTCATTTTCTGTTTCAATAATAACAAAAGCTTACTATGTGCATAGAAAAAAAATACAACAAAGAGTTCAAAATCGTTAAGTCTGGGTGGGGAATTTCAGTAAGTTTTCATTTCCTAGTGTAAATATCTGTCATGTTTCAATTTTTATTAAGTATGCATTATTTTTATGAACAGAAAAACAAAGATAAAATATGCCTTCATTATGGAAAAATTAGAAAAGGCAATTCTTTTCAAAAAAACTAAACAACTTGTTATTATCAATCTCATTATACCAGACACAATCAGTTAATAATTCAGTATATTTCCTTTTAATTTGTACCTTGCACATTTATTTTTGTTTGACATACTATAGGTAAATTTATATTTTGACTTTTATGTCTCATTTCATCCTGACAATTACCTTATCAGGGAGACAACCTTTGGCCACATCAGCAGCAGCACAAATGAGTTGAATCATGAGCATGTGTTCCCAGAGCTGGTTAAAAACAGACAGAAGAATGGGGTCTCCTGACTCTCAGTCTTTCACTCCTCGTTAGCCCTCACAGTTCAGCAACAAATTATCAAAGTTGAGATATCATATGTACTATAAAATGACTGAATTCAAATTGAACAGCTCTACAAGTTTAATCACTTTTATAGTATTTCAAATGTTCATATAGTTAGGCAAATGTTTATTGTAGTCTTAGAAGGAAAGATATCTGTAATTACTAAAAAGAACACCAACCAGCATAACTATTGATATACGTAACAATTTGGATAGATCTCAAGGGAATCATGTTGGGTGTAAAAAGCCATTCTCAAAGGCTATATACAAATACTGTATGATTCCATTTATATAGCATTCTAAAAATGATGACATTTCAGAAATGGAAAGCAGATTAATGGTTGCCAGGGACCAGGAATTGGCAGGGGGAGGGAAGATTGAGGGTAACTATAAAGGGGTAGCATAAGGGAGATCTTTGTAGGTATGGAACAGCTTTGTATCTTGACTATTTTGATAGTTAGACAAATCTACACAGGTAACAAAATTGCATGCATGCATGCATACACACACACACACACAAATGTATATAAACTAGTGAAATCTGAATAAGGCTTATGGATTATACCACTGTCGATTTTACGGTTTTGCTATTATAATACAGTTTTGTAAGATGTTATGATTGGGGGTAACTGGTGAACAGTAGACAGGAGATCTCTGTATTATATTGGCAACTTCCTGTGAATATTTAACTTAAAAGTTTTCAAATGGGCAAAAAGGATAAATGACACAAAAACCTCATAATTAACCCTTGCCAGAAACCCCTTATATTAGGGTTTCATAAATGTTTGAAACACACAGTAGTAAATGTGTGGGAAGAAAAATACCACAGAGGAGAATTTCTAACAGAGCTGTCCAACGACAGAGTGGGATCTCAGGCAGGCAGTAAGCTTCTCACTGGAGGTATGTGAACAGAGAGAATGATTTTCTGAAGAGGGATATGGTAAGAATGACTCATTAATTTATAAGTTATAATTTATTAGTCATAAATTATAAATTAATGTATAACTTATAAAATATAATTTATAATTTATTAATTAGAATAAATACCTATTCTAATTCTCCTTTATGAATTTAGCAAACATGCGGTATAAGTAACACAAAACCCACTCCCTCTCTCCCCAGCTTGCAATCATGTCAGATGCTAATAGATGACACCCCTCCTTACCACATGTCCCCTATAAACCTCCTAATTCTGAACAGGTGCTTCAGGTAGCTACTACAGTCGGAGTTAGTATTTGCTTTCCTGAACCACGAACCACCTAACAATGTGGTCAATGTTCTACAAACTCTCTGAAGATGGCAAAAGTATAAAATGCTAATTCAAAAGTAAAGCTTTGCCACACCTTGCACTAGAACCAAGAAGACAACCTAATAGGATCCAAAGAAGACTGTCTCCAGCTATAACAATATTCATAATCACTATGATATAATACTTTGAAATTTAGTAACTACTCTGATCTAATGTCCTACTAGCTCTTACCTTTTAAACTATTCTTACAGAAAAGGTGGATAAATTATTCTGGTCTATAACAGGTGAAATTCTGGCAAACGGAAGGTAAGAAATAATTTGCCCCAAATGTAGTTTAAAAAAAAAAAAAAGCGTGCCCTAGCACCACTTATAAAACTCAAGGCTTTAAATCTTTTCAGTGATCTACAAACACCTTTCTTTAAAAAGGAGCAAAATTGTTGAAGAAAATATCAAATATAAGGAAAAATAAGTGTATACTGATTATACTCATTATCTCTGAAGTAACCAAAGAGTTAATCACTGATTTTTAAAGTTCTTAAATAAAAGAAAGTAAACAAAAACTGGTTGTAACTGCCAGACAGGAAATTTCTGTTGGATGCAGAGAAGATTCTAGGAGTAGCTTGTGATGATAATGGAAAAGGGCACTTTGGCTAATAGACAGACCTAGAACACTGAGATAAAAGGTTCTCTGAAGTGTTTTACTTTTTAATAGGTTTTAAGGAATAAGAACACCAACCACTTCAACTAGCCAATATATAAAATAAAAATATTGAATGTGGACCACTGTTTTCTAATTTTGTGCACCATCAATCCCTCTTAAATAGTTCTACCCCACAAGGCTATCTGTTCTAATGTTATAGGCCTTCTAATACCAAATTTATAGATGCACCCATTTAGAGCAGTGCAAATTCATCGCTGTTTCTGGCAATATCACTATGGATGATCTTTTACTCTTTGTTTACTTTCTTCATTTGCAAAGTGGGAAGCTGCTCCCAATGAAAAATATCGTTAAAAGGTCAACTACAAAGCAGAACCAACATGAGATTTTATTATAAATAACAAAATGCCTTCTTTGTAACAAAGATATTCTTGTGCTTTAAAATTTACTTTTGTTTTTCTCTTAGTAATCATCACTGAAATTGCTAATATATGATGTAGAAGTAAAGAGCTTCTGAAAGATTCTCCTAGGCAGAACTGGCTGCCTCCTTCAGTCATCCAGGATTTTTGGCCTGGTGACCTTAGTTTCTCTTTATTGCCCAGTGTCCCTGTTACCTGACCTCCTTAGTTCCTCTTTACTCCCTAGTGTCACTCCTACCAACAGAAATCACTTGGTACAGAATTCAATAATAAAATGTCTATCCCCACCATACTGTAATTATTTGCATATATAGCTGTCTCCCCCACTGACCTCCTCAAGAATAAAACACTCTATCTCATATATTTTATATCCCTAGTGCTGATCATGATGCTTACAAACAGTAGACCCTGGGGAAAAGTTTATTAAAACATTGAGTAATGACTACCAAACTCTCTAAGGAGAAAAAATTCCACTGTTTACTAGAATCTTACTTCCAAGGTTTTCTAGACAAAATAAAATAGAATATCCACACCAACAATTTATGCCTTGCCTTGGTAGTTCATTGTTTTTCGTATCTGGGAGTTAAATGACCTTATCTAGAGCAGCTAACTGAGCCTCACATTTCTCTGTGCCAAAGTTTAAGACTTTATTTATTTTTTTCCCCCAGCATTTTTTTTATTATACTTTAAGTTTTAGGGTACATGGGCACAACGTGCAGGTTAGTTACATATGTATACATGTGCCATGTTGGTGTGCTGCACCCATTAACTCGTCATTTAACATTAGGTACATCTCCTAATGCTATCCCTCCCCCGTCCCCCACAGCACAACAGGCCCCAGTGTGTGATGTCCCCCTTCCTGTGTCCATGTGTTCTCATTGTTCAATTCCCACCTATGAGTGAGAGCATGCGGTGTTTGGTTTTTTGTCCTTGCGACACTTTGCTGAGAATGATGGTTTCCAGCTTTATCCATGTCCCTACAAAGGACATGAACTCCTCATTTTTTATGGCTGCATAATACTCCATGGTGTATATGTGCCACATTTTCTTAATCCAGTCTGTCATTGTTGGACATCTGGGTTGGTTCCAAGTCTTTGCTATTGTGAACAGTGCCACAATAAACATATGTGTGCATGTGTCTTTATAGCAGCATGATTTATAATCCTTTGGGTATATACCCAGTAATGGGATGGCTGGGTCAAATGGTATTTCTAGTTCTAGAGCCCTGAGGCATCGCCATACTGACTTCCACAATGGTTGAACTAGTTTACAGTCCCACCAACAGTGTAAAAGTGTTCCTATTTCTCCACATCCTCTCCAGCGCCTGTTGTTTCCTGACTTTTTAATGATCGCCATTCTAACTGGTGTGAGATGGTATCTCCTTGTGGTTTTGATTTGCATTTCTCTGATGGCCAGTGATGATGGGCATTTTTTCATGTGTCTTTTGGCTGCTTAAATGTCTTCTTTTGAAAAGTGTCTGTTCATATCCTTTGCCCACTTTTTGATGGAGATGTTTTTTTCCTGTAAATTTGTTTAAGTTCATTGTAGATTCTGGATATTAGCCCTTTGTCAGATGAGTAGATTGCAAAAATTTTCTCCCATTCTGTAGGTTGCCTGTTCACTCTGATGGTAGCTTCTTTTGCTGTGCAGAAGCTCTTTAGTTTAATTAGATCCCAATTGTCAATTTCGGCTTTTGTTGCCATTGCTTTTGGTGTTTTAGACGTGAAGTCCTTGCCCATGCCTATGTCCTGAATGGTATTGCCTAGGTTTTCTTCTAGGGTTTTTATGGTTTCAGGTCTAACATTTAAGTCTTTAATCCATCTCAAATTAACTTTTGTATAAGGTGTAAGGAAGGGATCCAGTTTCAGCTTTCTACACATGGCTAGCCAGTACTCTTCAGCAAATGTAAAAGAACAGAAATTATAACAAACTGTCTCTCAGGCCACAGTGCAATCAAACTAGAACTCAGGATTAAGAAACTCACTCAAAACCGCTCGACTACATGGAAACGGAACAACCTGCTCCTGAATGACTACTGGATACATAACGAAATGAAGGCAGAAATAAAGATGTTCTTTGAAACCAACGAGAACAAAGACACAACATACCAGAATCTCTGGGACACATTCAAAGCAGTGTGTAGAGGGAAATTTATGGCATTAATGCCCACAAGAGAAAGCAGGAAAGATCTAAAATTGACACTCTAACATCACAATTAAACGAACTAGAGAAGCAAGAGCAAACACATTCAAAAGCTAGCAGAAGGCAAGAAATAACTAAGATCAGAGCAGAACTGAAGGAAATAGAGACACAAAAAACCCTTCAAAAAATCAATGAATCCAGGAGCTGGTTTTTTGAAAGGATCAACAAAATTGATAGACCGCTAGCTAGACTAATAAAGAAGAAAAGAGAGAAGAATCAAATAGACGCAATAAAAAATGATAAAGGGGATATCACCACCGATCCCACAGAAATACAAACTACCATCAGAGAATACTATAAACACCTCTATGCAAATAAACTAGAAAATCCACAAGAAATGGATAAATTCCTCAACTCTTACACCCTCCCAAGACTAAACCAGGAAGAAGCTGAATCTCTGAATAGACCAATAACAGGCTCTGAAATTGAGGCAATAATTAATAGCTTACCAACCAAAAAAAGTCCAGGACCAGATGGATTCACAGCCAAATTCTACCAGAGGTACAAGGAGGAGCTGGTACCATTCCTTCTGAAACTATTCCAATTAATAGAAAAAGAGGGAATCCTCCCTAACTCATTTTATGAGGCCAGCATCATCCTGATACCAAAGCCTGGCAGAGACACAACAACAACAAAAAAAGAATTTTAGACCAATATCCCTGATGAACATCGATGCAAAAATCCTCAATAAAATACTAGCAAACCGAATCCAGCAGCACATCCAAAAGCTTATCCACCATGATCAAGAGGGCTTCATCCCTGGGATGCAAGGCTGGTTCAACATACACAAATCAATAAACGTAATCCAGCATATAAACAGAACCAAAGACAAAAACCACATGATTATCTCAATAGATGCAGAAAAGGCCTTTGACAAAATTCAACAACCTTCATGCTAAAAACTCTCAATAAATTAGGTATTGATGGGACGTATCTCAAAATAATAAGAGCTATCTATGACAAACCCACAGCCAACATCATACTGAATGGGCAAAAACTGGAAGCGTTCCCTTTGAAAACTGGCACAAGACAGGGATGCCCTCTCTCACCACTCCTATTCAACATAGTGTTGGAAGTTCTGGCCAGGGCAATCAGGCAGGAGAAGGAAATAAAGGGTATTCAATTAGGAAAAGAGGAAGTCAAATTGTCCCTGTTTGCAGATGACATGATTGTATATCTAGAAAACCCCATTGTCTCAGCCCAAAATCTCCTTAAGCTGATAGGCAACTTCAGCAAAGTCTCAAGACACAAAATCAATGTGCAAAAATCACAAGCATTCTTATACACCAATAACAGACAAACGGAGAGCCAAATCATGAGTGAACTCCCATTCACAATTGCTTCAAAGAGAATAAAATACCTAGGAATCCAACGTACAAGGGACGTGAAGGACCTCTTCAAGGAGAACTACAAACCACTGCTCAATGAAATTAAAGAGGATACCAACAAATGGAAGAACATTCCATGCTCATGGGTAGGAAGAATCAATACCATGAAAATGGCCATACTGCCCAAGGTAATTTATAGATTCAATGCCATCCCCATCGAGCTACCAATGACTTTCTTCACAGAATTGGAAAAAACTACTTTAAAGTTCATATGGAACCAAAAAAGAGCCTGCATTGCCAAGTCAATCCTAAGCCAAAAGAACAAAGCTGGAGGCATCACGCTACCTGACTTCAAACTATACTACAAGGCTACAGTTACCAAAACAATATGGTACTGGTACCAAAACAGAGATACAGACCAATGGAACAGAACAGAGCCCTCAGAAATAATGCCACATATCTACAACCATCCGATCTTTGATAAACCTGACAAAAACAAGAAATGGGGAAAGGATTCCCTATTTAACAAAGTTTAAGACTTTAGAGACAGACAATGAGATCCTCAGGACAGGAAACATGTCTTATTTATCTCTGTACTCCTAATACTTGGTTATGGAATATGCGCTCAATAAATGTTTGCTGAGTGAATGCATTATTAAATTGATCCACATTGCTGGGTGTGATGGCTCACGCCTGTAATCCCAGCACTTTGGGAGGCTGAGGCGGGTAAATCACTTGAGGCCAGGAGTTCCGAGACCAGCATGGCCCACATGGTGAAACCCCCATCTCTACTAAAAATACAAAAAATTAGCTGGGCATAGTGGTGGGTGCCTGTAAGCCCAGCTACTCAGGAGGCTAAGGCACGAGAATCACTTGAATCCAGAAGGCGGAGGCTGCTGTGAGCTGAGATCACACCACTGGGCGACAGAGTGAGACTCTGTCCCAAAAGAAAAAATAAAATACTGTTTTTATACCAGCTAAAAACAATGTATTAGGCTGTTCTCACTTTGCTATAAAGAAATAACTGAGACTGAGTAATTTATAAAGAAAAGAGGTATATTTGGCTTATAGTGCTGTAGGCTATACAGGAAGCACAGCAGCATCTGGTTCTGGGAAGGCTTCAGGAAGCTTACAATCATGGCAGAAGGCAAAGGGGGAGGAGGCATCACACATGGCAAAAGCAGGAGCAAGAACGGATAGGAGGTGCCACACACTTTTAAATGACCAGATCTTGCAAGAACTCTCTCACTATTGTGAAGACAGTACCAAGGGGATGGTACTAAACCATTGATGAGAAATTTGCCCCCATGATCCAATCACCTCCCACCAGGCCCCACATCCAACACTGATGATTACAATTCAATGTGAGATTTGGATGGGGACACAGATTCAAACCATAACAAACAACTTCTAATATCAGACCCACAATCCATGTAAAAAAAACTAGACATATTTGTCTCACTAGTGTTTATACAGTAATTTGAAGCAAACAGTGATGTATCAAATTGAATTCAGTTCTTAGGTCCCAAGTAGAGTGAAATATAAAGATAATGTGGAAAAGAAACAAAAACAAAAAAACAGCTAGAATACATTCTCTCAAAACCCTTCCCTTGGCTGGGTGTGGTGGCTCATGCCTACAATCTCAACAATTTGGGAGGCCAAGGTGGGAGAATTGCTGAGACTGAGTTTGGGACCAGCTTGGGCAACATAGGGAGCCCTGTCTCTATAAAAATAAATTAGCCAGGTGTGGTGGCACACACCTGTATTCCCAGCTATTCAGGAGGCTGAGGTGGGAGGACAGCTTGAGCCTGAGTGGTAGGCTACAGTGAGCTTTGATCGTGCCATTGCACTCCAGTCTGTGTGACAGAGCAAGATCCCATCTCAATAAATAAATAAATAAATAAATAAATAAATAAATAAATAAATAAAATAATTAATAAAACACTTTTTCCTTGGTGTGACCATGGCAAATAGGTGGAACTCAGCTGTCAAGCGCTTTTATATAGAGAGGGTAAATTAGCAGTGATGGGGCCACTGAAAAGCCAGAAACAGTTCATCTCCTTGTAAAGTTTCCATTTTCTTGGCAAATGAAAGTTCCCAAGAGTAAGTGCTACCTTTCTATTTTGGAACTGATTTTAAAAAAGATGTTTCTGAGGTCTTTGGATTTAGTTTCTCTTAATAATATACAAACCAAATTTCTCAGCTGATATATTTAATGATGATTTTCTAACTGGGATCTGAAAATCCAGCTGTGCCATACCCACTGCTTTCTTATGCCTCTCCCTCTTAGTGACTAAGATTCTTTGATATGAATTTAGGTCATCCTGAAATATAATAAATTTTGGTTACCTTATATAAAGTTAAAGTTGGAGAATGGACTAAGATTTTAAAATAGCTACAAATGTAAGGTGACCATATAAATATAACAGAGAACTAGTACAAATTTAAAAAAAAAACATAACCATAGACTACTCTAACTTCTATGATTTAGAATCCAGCACCATATAGTTTGAATTTGTTTACTAAATGTTCTAAATTGTAAGAGAAATCTGATCTCAAATAATCTCCATAGACTATAAGCAGTTAAGTCTCCCCATTTGCTAAGCCATTTTAGCCATCTATCTTGAACAATTAACTTCCCCCTCCTGCTACTCCCTTCCCCCAACACACAGATTCATCTTTGGATTTTAAAGAATGACATAATGAACTTTCACATTAGGGTCTATTAACTTTGATAAAGGAGATGCTCAAAAACATCAATAAACACTTTCAACTACTATCTTGTGATGACAAACCATAATACTTGGTCTTGATAATCTCTCAAATAGGTAAGTAAAGCCAGAAATTTTAAATTAGGAGAAATAAAAGAAAGGACATAAAATATCTCCAAAGAAACAGAAATGCCAAAATCATTTTAAAACATTCGTAAGAATGAGAATACACATTTTCTACTGTCATAAATCTAACAAAGCTAAAAAGCTCTCTTCTGAGACTCCCTCTCCTTATTTCGGTCTGCACTTTCCATCTGATGACAGCATTTTCTGGATACAAGGAATATTTCTCTCATCACAGAAACTGCCTGACTTGTAATCTAAGAGAAACAAAAATAATTCTTAGCTCTTAGATCCAATATCCTAGCAATGTTGAAAAAACAACTCCCTAAGATGTTAAGATGTTTCTGAAACTGATTGTCTCTCATTTTCCACCAAACACAGAATTAATCAGGGTCTATATTCTTGATACTATTCTATTTAGGAAACAGCTTGACATGTGGGATATACATATATAAAAAAATACTGGTGACAAAGAGCTCGTGCTATAGGCAGGCAGACAGAAGAAAACCTATCTCATGTACCATATTTAAAATCTTCAGAAATTAAGTTTAGCAAGGTAAAATAATCCCAAAAGGGCCCACTATTATTTGCCTCAAGTAAACATATTCAACAACAAACCACATCCAAAAATACTTAGCAGCCTATGATGTTTGACTATCACTTAAAGCAAGGCTTTAGAATATGTAAAGAAAATCCAAACATTTCTGATACTTACCTGCTTTCCAAAGTAACTAATAATACCACTGGACAAACTACACTTTGAAAAGACCATAAATGAGTAACCTGGATTTTAGAAATAAGAAAATATTCAAAGTTTTCATACTAAAAAGTATTCCCAGATGATTGTCAACATGATGGTAATTAGTATATTAATGTTTTAATAACTACGAAATCAAATATTTGGATGTTAGGTTGAGGTTGTCTCTGCACTCATCAGATTATGGTTCTAAATAAAGTAAATCATTGTTGGGGCAAGGGTATGTTTAAACTGGAATCAGCCAGTTAAATAAAGAAACAACCCAATGAATCATTGTAAATTCCTATGCCAATAAGATAAAAACTCACACTTGGCACTAATGTATTCTAAACATCTGTCTGTATTTCTTTAACACTCATATTTCATGTAAATAACAAGCAGATAACTACGAAACAAGTTCTCTTTTATAATGTATATAAATATATATGACAAAAGATCAATATTAAGCATTAGTGGAACATTATATCAACAATAATAAAATATACTAAGACCTAATCTTCCTTTTTAACAGAAAAGAAGAACTAGTTATAGATCATTGTTGTTGTTGTTTTTTTAACGTGAACCCTGAAAAACTAAAACACTAAACCAAATGTAAAAAAAGAAAATCCATACCCATGCTAGATTTTCCTTTTGATATAATTAGAATCATTACAAATACTGTATAAGGGGGAAAAAATGCAACGTTATTGCAATATCCAAAGATAAAGTGATGAAAATTAAGGAAGATACTCACATTTTGAAGATTTAAGAATTAATTGATAAGCCACATTATGGAAGAAGAAGGAAAAAAAATAAAAAAACCTTAGTCAAAGCACCCTGAAACGGCAACAGTGCATGCTGACTTCAAAGATGCCTCCAATATCACAAATAATAGCAGTAGCTCAACTCCCTCACAGCTTCTTGACAACCACTACTCTGAAGTCCCAATGGAGACTACTCTGATCTGATAATGGATCCTTCACTCTCCAATGGCAAAAGATCACTTTACAGTATACCACATGTATTTTAATCCATTGACTGGCCCATTAGTACATAAATATTTTTAAAAGCTTTCCTGATATGATCCTCAATTTCCCCTTCAATAAAAAAGAAAGTATATCTACCTTATATAGTTGTGAGGATTAGACAAGGTATACAAAGCTTCTAGCACAAGGATCTTGCAGGATATTCTGGCACAAGTACTTATTTTGAATGTACCACAAAACTGTATAATAAGCATTTTTTGAAAGAATGGAAAAAAGCAAGGCCTCGACTGAAGCTCTGACACCATGCAGACCAAATTTAGTAACTGACATTCTTTTCATTCACCATTAAAAGTGCTCTTTATATAAATTACCTTAAACTGTAATAAAATTACCAAAGGTTCTATTCGATAAAGAAGACAAACAAAATATAAAGGAAGGAAAATAGAAAGAAGTAATACTTATTGGCTGCCTACCATATACTAGGCATAATGCTAGAGGAACACTGTAAGAAATCCATAATGTAGTCTGATTGGTGAGGAAACTGAGGCTCTCACAGCTATTCATGCAGCTATTACATGACAATGTTGGGATTCAACCTGGTCTGTGTGAAGGCAAAGTCTATTTTTCTTTCCACAGTGCCACACACAATTCACAGAAAAGTGATGGAAAAATTCAAAAAACATAAGCATTATAAACCACATAGTTGTTTTTGGAGCAAAGGAATTATTTTCACTGAAACATTCAGGAAGCAACAACAAACACATCCATCCTGGATCACTAAAAAACTAAACTGAAAATCTACATGCCAATTAGGTAAACAAAGAAAAACAAGTCAAACATGATAAAACATTTATCCACCACATAAATTGCTTAGTAGGCACAGAAAGATACAGAAGGTATAGAAAGCTTTAGATTTAGTTCATGTATTACATTTCGTTAGAATCTACAGTCTAAGATGATATATACTTTCTCTATTTTCATGAAAATGAAACAAAGCACATTTATTTTTAATTAATGGGCTAAGATACAACCAACAGGCCATGAAGTAATTTTGTTGTTTATAGAACAAGTCCCACTACAAATCTGCAATTTACTTGTAAAACATGATTCAGAACCAAAATGCAGAGCAAAACAAAATTTTATCTTGTCCTCTCTTCATGTCACCTGGAGGGGTTCTTCTGAGAGTAAAAAGCCAGAATCTCTATTTTCTAACTAATATTACAGGACTCAACCTTACCACTGAAAGCAAGGATTACTATTATTGACCAACAGAACACTCAAGTTAGGCTTCCAGATAATTAAGGGTTTTGTTTTGTTGATTCGTTGTTTAGGAATGCAATCAAATCCAGATTGTCTATAGCCATGTCTGAATTCCACCCTGAATTTTAATCCCCTCTCTGCCAACCAGCATGCTCTGGACCACTAGACCTCACACCTAAGTTAGAGTAAGCAGGTTTATGAGTGTCTTACTATTTGGTGTAATCAAGCAAATCAGAAAGATAAGTCAGAGGAAAAAAATCATATTTTCTAATAATACATACAAATGATTTTCAGGAAATCAATGATATACCTCTCATTCATTAGCAAGGATGACCTGGACATGACCATTCTGTTGAACTATATTGCACAGTTTTTCATCACTGAGTTATTCTGCATTAGTGATGAGGTAAGAACAGCAGAATACATAAGAAAAAATTGTTCCTTATGGCATTGAATTTATCAATATATGAAAGTGGGTTTCTAGAGTTTACAGAGGAAAACAAGAATGACAGGGAAAATGCTGAATACAGTCCTCTGTAGTGGGGGAAAAAAGTGTAATTTCCTTCCTTGATCAATTACACTAGTCAGTTAACTAATATCTTGGTTCTAATTTAAGAGCTGGACCTATTCACCCTCTGAATCACAAGACAGAAGTGACTACCTAATATTAAAAAGAAAAAAAAATTCTTAAAATTTTAAATGCACATAATACTCTGAAATCAAGAAAAAATACAAAAAAGTAGAAGTCACTTTAGTTTTTTTTTACTGCTTTTAAAATAATATAGAAATTTTGAAAAACATTGGTCTGTATAAAGAAACACAAATCACTAGCAATACTACCAAATAGAGATTAACTATTGACATGTTGATGTACGTATTTCATTATTTCTTTTAACAAGGCTTTGTGGGCAAGAGTTGTAAATCCAGAATCAAACTACTTCTCATCATTGGTCTAAGCTACCATCATCTCTTGACAGGGTTATTACAATCACCTCTTATCTCCATGATTCCATAACAGCTCCTCTCCAATCTATTCTACACCAAACCACTAAAAAGATCTTTTAAAATATCAGTCATATTTCATCCCTCTGCTCAAAACCCTACAATGGCTTCTCATCTCATCAATGTGTGAGTCCAAAGTGCTTACAAAAGGTCCTACAAGGTCCTCCATTTTCACCCCTAACCTCCACTTCTCTCACCCTGTTTCCCATACATTCTCCTCCCTGGTTTAACTGTGCTGGTTAAGCTGACCTCCTTACTCTTGCTGGAATACACACAGTTCCCTCCACAAGGAATACTCTTACCCCAGATGTAAACATTGCTCTCTTCCTCCCTAACTTTCTTCAGGTCTTTATTCAAATATTTTTCAGACACTTCCCTGACCTATGGTATATAAAACGGCATTCTCTCCCTTTCCCTCCCTTGGTGCACCTTATCACCCTACTCTGTTATATTTTTCTCCAATTATCACCAACTGACAAATTATTTGTTCACTGTTCTCTCTCTACTAACTAGAATGTAAGTTCCATGAAGGCAAAGAAATGACCTGTTTTGTTTTTTCCTCACTCAGTGCTCTATCTCTTGGTTCCAAAACAATTCCTGGGATACAGTAGGTACTAAGTATTTGTGAGTGAATGGCTGAGTAATTAGGATCAAAGTATATCTAAAATTTACACTCAACTTTTGTCATTTACTATTAGCATTCCTAATTATTGCATAGCATTCCATTATAGACATATACTATGTAGTACATTGAATCAATTTTCTATTTTATTATGTTTAAAATTTTTACTTATTTATTTATTTTGAGACGAAGTCTTGCTCTGCTGCCCAGGCTGAAGTGTAGTGGCATGATCTTGGCTCACTGCAACCTCCGCTTCCTGGGCGCAACTGATTCTCATGCCTTGGACTCCCCAATAGCTGGGACTACAGGCATGTGCCACCACGCCCAGCTAATTTTTGTATTTTTAGTACACACAGGGTTTTGCCATGTTGGCCAGGCTGGTCTCGAACTCCTGACCTCAGGTGATCCACCTGCCTCGGCCTCCCAAAGTGCTGGGATTACAGGCATGAGCCACCATGCCTGGACAATTTTCTATTTTAACTATTTAGGTTGTTTCTACATTTACTGTATCATAAATATCCTTGTATACACAGAATATCTTTGAAATACATGTCTTCCTGCACAGCTCTGATAATTTCTCTAGGATAAATTATTTTAAGTACAATTGTTGGATCAAAAAGTATTTAGATCATGAATGCTTTTATTTATTTATTTACTTACTTATTTTTTTTGAGATGGAGTCTCATTCTGTCGCCCAGGCTGGAGTCAGTGGCACGATCTCAGCTCACTGCAACCTCCGCCTCCTGGGTCCAAGCAATTCTCCTGCCTCAGCCTCCTGAGTAGCGTGGGACTACAGGCTCGTGCCACCGCGCCCAGCTAATTTTTGTATTTTTAGTAGAGACAGGGTCTCACCATATTGGCCAGGCTGGTCTTGAACTCCTGACCTTGTGATCTGCCTGCCTTGGCCTCCCAAAGTGCTGGGATTACAGGCATAAGCCACTGTGCCCAGCACTCTGAATGCTTTTAATACATTTTCTAAACTGCTCTAGAGGCTGGGCGAGGTGGCTCACACCTGTAATCCCAGCACTTTGGGATGCTGAGCCGGGCGGATCACTTGAGGTCAGGAGTTCAAAACCAGCCTGGCCAACATGGCGAAACTGTCTCTACTAAAAATACGCCACTGCATTCCAGCCTGGGTGACACAGCAAGACTCCATCTCAAAAAAATATAAAAATAAATTTAAAAATAAGTTGCTTTAGAGAATAGCTAGTAATATAAGCTTACATTTCTCCTCACTAACAATGCATATGTGAGTCCTTTTTTGACAAAACACAAAAAGTTGATTTTTTTCCCCCTGAAACTAAACAGGAATACCTGGTCACCATATATTTTTTGTTTGTTGAAAAATTTTTTGGCCGGGTGCGGTGGCTCACACCTGTAATCCTAGCACTTTGGGAGGCTGAGAGGGGCAGATCACGAGGTCAGGAGATTGAGATCATCCTGGCTAACACGGTGAAACCTCATCTGTACTAAAAATACAAAAAAATTAGCCAGGTGTGGTGGCGGGTGCCTGTAGTCCCAGCTACTCGGGAGGCTGAGGCAGAAGAATGGCATGAACCCGGGAGGCGGAGGTTGCAGTGAGCCAAGATTGCACCACTGCACTCCAGGCTGGGCAACAGAGCAAGACTGAGTCTCAAAAAATAAATAAATAAATAATAGGAAAGTTAGAGGAAAATATAAATTTTATTAGTTAATGGACAGTGGTTGTTTCCAAGCACCCTGTCCCATGGTGGCATTATCATTTTTAAAAGCTTTACCAATCTGGTAGATTTTAAAAGGTACTTCATTTTTTTTTAACGGTACCTTATTATTTTCCATTTCTTTGTTTACTAATGAGTTTGAGGATGCTTTCCCACATTTATCAGTAGATTTTAAAAGGCACTTCATTTTTTTTAATGGTACCTTATTGTTTTATTATCCATTTCTTTGTTTACTAATGAGATTGATGATGCTTTCCCACATTTATTGGTTGATTTTGTTTTCCATGACAAACTGCCCTATTCATGACTGCTCCTTTTCCTATTCAGGCATTCATTTCTTATTGACTTATAAGTGCTCTTCATACATTAAAGGTGTTAAATTTTTATCACATGGCATAAATATTCCTTCATATTTGACATTTGCCTTTCAATTTTGTTGATGGTATTTGATACATAATTTTTTGTGCAACTAAAACACTTTATTTATTTATTTATTTATTTATAGCAAAGAGGTCTCACTTTATTGCTCAGGCTGGTCTTGAACTCCTAGGCTCAAGCCATCCTCCTTTCTCAGCCTCCTAAAGTGCTGGGATTACAGGCACGAGCCACTGTGCCGGATTCAATCACTTTTTGTGTGTTATTATTTGTTTAATTTTGCATTTAGAAGAGCACTTCTATATACAACCAACATGCTATCAAGTTAGAAACCAATGGTGGTTTTGTGGTTTCTAACTGAGTAGAAGTCTGGGTATTTTTTCTTCTTTTTGCTTGTATATTTCTTTTCTCTAACAACTATATAAGCTTATCTAAGAATAAATATTTTCTTAAACATTAAAAATAGAAAATAATTTCTCCACTACTTGATTATATATTTACACACACACATTTCCTTATGTTTTTATTCTATTTTAAAATGTTTTCATTATTTTAACCATCTGAAATCTTAGCTCATGGCATGAAGTACAACTCTAGTTTTATATTCTTGTGATAATTTTAAGTCAATATTCTTACCACTTTTGTTTACTAATTCATTCTCCTAATGAATTGAAATGGCTTCACTATCATACATTAATCTGTATTATTTTAGGACTCTACCTTGTTCCATTCTTAGTCAATATCATATGGTTTTAATCATTGCAGATTTATAAAAATCTTCTAATATATGGTGGTGCAATTCCAACTTCATAATGCTACTCCTTCAAAAATTTTCTTTTAAACTTATTCTACAACAATTTCAGACCAATTTTGTTAAATTTCCCTATTTCATCCCACTTCTGAATCAAAAATGTTAATTAGATTTTGATTAGAATTGCATCAAATTCATAGATTTGGGAAGAATTAATATAAGACTGAGTCCTGCTTATTAGAAACATGTTTAATCTCTGTACTTATTCAACTCTCTTTATGTTATCCTGTAAGGTTTTTAAAAAATAATTTGTACTTGTTTTATCGTTTCTAAATACTTAAGAGATTTTTTTTCTCCATTGTAGTTTCCAACTAGGTATTCCTTGAATATTGAGAAAGTACTGACTTCAGTACATTTAGACGTAACTAACCACATAATTTTAGTTCAAATAGGCTTTCAGGTAATTTTCCTAGATTTTCTGGTAGATCACTTGTGCATAATAGTAATGCTGTCTTCTCTTTTGAAATGACTGCCCAACCATGTAGTGTTTCTGGTCCTGACACCAGAAGGAAGGCCTTTTATTATTCCAGGAAGAAGAAATATTTTCCAGATGAAGGTCTCCCATCTTGCCAGGCTTCTACTTGTACCTGCTTATCCTTGTTTCCGAGAAGTAGAGGAGATTTAGTCAGATTTATTCAGCATCTCTTCCACTCACGACCCAGGCAGTTTGCTCTTTCATGCGAGAATTTATGGGTTGGTTCTCTATACCTCCATCAACTCGGTTCCTTTCATATTGTCTCTAGCATAAATGCCTACAATTACGAAAAGTCCAGCAGGAAATATTTTCATATTTTTATTTGTATTACTTTTGGATCAGCATCATTTCCATCTATTTTTTTAACAATGTGTGTGCTACATCTCTCTCTTTCTGATATTCTTGCTGTTTGTACAATACATTTTATCTCCTGACCTGTCTTCCTTTTGTCTTATTTTGTCATTTTGATTTATTTTTGTAGTGTCTAATTTGCTATTCACTGCATCCAGAGATTTTAATTTGGCAACTGTATTTTCATGCCTTCAGAATCCTGTCAGATTGCTTCCTTTTTATTACTGATATCCAGCTTCCCCAGGTTTAATGACTAAACCTTTTTGAGAACACAAATCTCAACAGATTGCTAGTTGAGCTATCCAGCAATCTGAACAGGGTTTGAGGCAGGAGGGTTGGTAGCTGGGAACTTAGTGACTAGGCCACCTATGTGGACAGGTTTCTTCTAGGGAGGTGCTATAAGCAAACTCTAGATCTATAAACAGTGTTCACAAATGCTTCTGGTCAAAGAGCCAAGAGAGGGATTTAAACACTGTGCTTTGTAGGAACATGCATTAAGTTTACTGTCCCTCCCAACTTAAGAGTCCTCTCTCAGAAAGATTCTCCTTCAGGGGCTCCTCCTCAATTACTTCTTTCATTCCAGGACCATAAGCAATGCTGCCTAACAAAGATTATTCTGGGTTTTCTGGCATGAGTGGCATTAAGCTCTAGCTTCTAATACACATGCAGTGTTTTTCCCATTCATCTATGTATCTAGTGGTCTTTTTAATGGAAATTTAGATGGGTGAAGATAGGAAACTTTTTTTTCTGCTATTTTGCCCAATACTGTTGTCTGTATTCTTATCACTATACATCACGTTGATGCTTACTACTTTGTTTCAAGAGACAGGGTCTGGCTTGTTGCCCAGGTTGGATCACAGTGACATGATCATAGCTCACTGCAGCCATGAAGTCTGGGCTTAAGCGAACCGCCTGACACAGCCTCCTGAGTATCTAGGACTACAGGCGTGCACTACCACATGCAGCTAATTTTTTGCTGCTGTTGTAAAGACAGGGTCTTGCCCAGGCTGACCCATGTTGCCCAGGCTGGTCTCAAACTACTGACCTCAAATAATCCTCCCACTTCAGCCTCCCAAAGTGCTCAGATTACAGGTGTGAGTCACTGTACACAGCCCTCTCACTACTTTTAATTAATCCATGCTTCTAGGTAATGGTTTCCAATCTCCATTTTACCAATTCAAAGAGACTTGACAACATGCCATCCTTCCCACCCCAATCATTGCACTTCAGGAAACAAATGCCACAATAAGAACACCTATCTCTTTCTGGGAAATCTTTTACCAGGTTAGGTATAATGATGGACTAGTAGGACTCCAAATGGTCAGAGTTAATAGACCCAGGTATCTCTGTGTCTTAATTTTTGAAGGTAAGATAACAAGAATAACAGTGCCATTAAAAGACTGCTATGAAAGACTAAACAGTGAGTGCCAACTTCTCTGAGATGAAGCAAAGGGGTCTCTCCAAAAGACAGATGAGCACAAGACCTGCACCTACTTGTTCTACAACCACAGAGCTTCAGGGGCAGAGAATCAGCCTCATTCATGTTTGCATTCCAAGAACCACAATGGGCACAAAGAATCTAATCATTTACATCTTGCAGAACTAAACTGTCCACATGGCTGGTAGGCAGAGTTACTTGCAACGAGGGCTCACCCTCATATTCTCTCACCAAAAAGCTCTCATTATAGAGACGTTTACTAGGAACCAAGGCAGCTTTTCCACTCAGGAGTCCCTTCTGAGTGAGGGGTTAATGGTAACCTACTTTGGTTTTATATTATTCACACATAAATAATTTGGCCGTTTGCTAATCATGTCTATAAAAGCAGCTCTTCAGTTGCTTGTTGCTTGTTGCCCACATGAAATATAGAGTCTGTGAATCCTCATGCACTGCTCAAAGCAGTAAAAACTATCTAGTCATCCTACAGAGCAATCTGGCAATACCTGGTGAACTTAATAATGGACATCCAACAACAGATCAATCACATTCTTGATTATATACCTCTATAAAATAAAATGAAGATTATCACTGCAACATTATTAATGGCACATGGAGTTGAATACACCCAAGTGCCATCAGAAAAATGTATAAATAAGACAAATACACAGTATACATGGATAAGAGTGTGTACATGATATAATACTGTATAGCAGTCAGAAGTAATGAACCAGAATTGCATATAGCAACAAAAATAGATTGTTTAAATATAGGGCTAAATGAAAAAAAAAAAGAATAAAATGGGATGTACAGACCAAGGCCATTTGTGAAAATTAATAACCTATATATATATGTACTAAACACTATATAATATTTTCCAAAGATATAGAAATATCCAAAGACATAAATTAACTAGATTATAGTAGGTGTTTATGGAGGAAACAGAATGAGTAAAGATAGGAAAAAGAGAAGACAACAAAGTAACCAATCAAGATGCGGGGCTAGCCCTCAAGATGCCAACAGTAAGAAGCATCATTATAACCTACCTGTGCCCATGAAGTTTGAGAAGCAGGTAGAGGAGTAAAAGAAGTCCAAATAAACTCAGCCAAGACAAGATAATACAGACATGAAAGCTCCACTAGGGAAAAAAAAAAGGTTCTAAGTATGCCAAGACAAGAAGTTTATTTTGAAAGGTGCCAGGAATGGTATTTCATTTATTTGAGAGGAGAAACCATCAGTGAATATTTATTTTAAAAATCAAGAAATAATCATTGAAGATTATAATAATGTAAAGTAACTACATGATCAAACTAAGAATTTGATGATTTCTCTGAAATTAATAGGTCTGTAACATCATCCAGAGATTAATCTGAATTCATCATCCTGACATACAAAGATCCTGAACACAAAATACCAAACAGAAGATAAGATGTAGTCTGGCAGAGATTCCACACCAACAGAATTTTTAACTTTCACTTACCTCAGAGATATGCTACAAAACCTTTACCATGGATTAATTCCCATGAATGAGATGAAATCTAAAACCATGGCATATGCAAAAAATTAACCCGGAAAAGTCATTTGTCAGTAACCCTTTATTATTATAGCACAGTTATGAACATAGTGTCACTAGAAGAAGAGCTGGGGAGACAAAATCTGGAACACATTTTATACTTGAGGAAGACAGAATGGAAAACGCTACTTTAGCGTTTCATGCAATAGAGCTAAGAAGAGCAAGGACTTAAGAAAAAAATCAATTCCCTTGTCATATTAGTCTGTTCTCATTAAATTACAGCTAAATCTGTCAATAATTTGGGGGTGCTGATAGAAAAAAATAATCTGAATTGGAAGTACCATCATACCACTTTCTGGAACCTATAATAAATTATCTTGAGGTAAAAAGAGGTCATTATTTTTCAAATGTGTAAAGCAGTAAAAATTTGAGCTTTTTTAGCTATTGGACTCAAACTGTATACCAATGAAAGGGTAAATAAGCAATGATAATCAAATCAGCAGTGACAGATTAGCATGGACAATTAATACAGCAGACAATGGGAGTAGCCTTCTCTAAAGACTGCAATCCTGTATGGTTCAGATTTAATTTAGGCCACAGAAGATTCTGCAAACATCTGCTTTTGCTGGATGAAACTTGCTGCATTCATCAGCATAAATAATTAGGTTCAACTCATCCCATCCCAAGCAAAATCAAGTCACTTTCCTCTTGCTGAGGGAGGAAGCTATGCCTTTACCTCCACCTTGAATTGCACAGATTATCTGATGAAATCTATAAATTGTGCTCTCAGAAACTGATGCTTAAAGAAAATCTGTGACTTTGAAAGAGCCCCAGAAAGAAATCTACAAAAGGTACACTCCCCAACTAACAGCACATTTTGTAAAAATTAAGTATTTCTACAATAGCTTCTGTTGAGTATTCTTAACAGACTAGCTATGGAACAGCATATTAACAATCTAATCTCAATTGTATATACATTCTAAAAAACATACACCACATGAAAAATCTTTAAAAAAAAAAATATATATATATATATATGTATCTAGCTATTTAGAACCAATTTAGTAAGGCTCTACAAAATGAATCCCACAATAAAATTTAAAGATATGTCTTTAAAGGATTGAAAAACTTAACCTTCAGGTCAGAACTAAATCATAGTAAATTCCAGAAAACCATGCATTTCTATCTAAGCTAATGTAAGAAACCATGATAAAATTAACACTTATAGTAAATTGATTATTTAACATTAAATTGCTTTAAATTAAAATGTTTTTCCTTATAGTAAAAAAGTGTCTAAATCTCAAAAACAATGCTGAATTTTGAAATAAACAAGTTGCAGAAATACATGTAATGTTAAGATGAAATTTTAAAATTTGTAAATTGGTTATTTCTGAGAAGGGGAGAGGGATGAGATAAGGAGGAATTCACAAGGGAGGGTCTCAACTGCATTGATTTTACAATCTGTAGATTAATAAGGTAAAATGTTAAGACTTTTTTTTTTTTTTTTAAACGGTCTCATTATGTCGCCCAGGCTTGAGTATGGTACTGCAATCATGCCTCACTGCAGCCTCAACCTCCTGGGCTCAGGTGATCCTACCATCTCAGCCTGCGGGGTAGCTGGGACTAAAAGCACATGCCACCACACCCAGCTAGTTTTTTTGTAGATATGGGGTTTCATCATGTTGCCCAGGCTGGTCTAGAGCTCCTGGGCTCAAGCAATCCACTGCCTTAGCCTCCCTAAAAGTAAGACTTGATAAAGCCATTTGGTAAGTACTTTAGATACAGGTCATTATATTAGTGTTTATATCTAATTGTATGTTCTAAATATTTTATAATTTTAAAAATGTAAAACAAAATTCACACAAAATTAAATTCATACATAATTAACTCAAAATGGATTATACACCTAAATATAAAACATAAAACTATAAACATTTTACAAGGTAACACAGAAAAACATCTAGGTGACTTAGGTTTGACAATGACTTCTTAGATTCAACACCAAAAGCACTATCCAAGAAAAACAAACTGGTAAGTTGGACATCATTAAAACTTCTGCTCTGAAAAAGACATTGTTAATGAAAAGACAAGTCACATACTGAGAGAAAATATTTGCAAAAGACATATCTGAAATCAGGATGTTATCTAAAATATACATAGAACTCAAACTCCACATTAAGAAAACAATCTGATTAAAAAGTGGGCCAGTGATCTGAGCAGACACCTCGTCAAAGAAGATACATATATGAAAAATAAGCATATGTTAAGAGGCTCAATATCATATATTATTAGGGAACTGCAAATTAAAACAATGAGCTACCATAAAATACACTTATTACAATGGCTAAATTCAAAACACAACACCAAATGCTGGCAAAGACATGGGGCAACAGGATCTCTCATTCAGTGTTGCTGGGAATACAAAATGATGCAGTAACTTCAGAAGATAGTTTGGCAACTTCTCACAAAGTTGAACTTAGTCTCACTGTATGATCCAGCAATTGCATTCTGATTTGAGAACCAATGTCCACACAAAAACCTGCATGCAAATGTTTATAGAAGTTTTATTTCTTAACTGTGAAAACTTGGAAGCAAACAAGATGTCCTTCAATAGGTATGGATAAAGTGTATTAAGTCCACTCATTGGGATATTATTCAGGAATAAAAATAAATGAACTATCAAACCATAGAACATACAGGAAGCTTGAACTAACACAGATAAGTGAAAGAAGCCATCTGAAGAGACTACATACTATATAATTCCAACTACATGACAGTCTGAAAATGGCAAACTTATGAAAACAGAAAAGATGAGTAATTGCCAAGGGTTCAGCGGCGAGGAAGGAGGAATGAATGAATGGAGCACAGATGACTTTTCCAGCAGTGAAAATATTCTGCTTGAATGGAATATCTACCATTACCACTGTAATCGCAGATAGATGCTATTATGAATTTGTCAAAACTCATGAAACTATACAATATAAAGAGTGAACCACAGTGTAAATTATAGACTTTACTTTAAAATAAGGGATCAATATTGGTTCATTAATTGAATGTACCACCATTCTGTTTCAACCATAACAGTGTATATTGTAATTCAATTCTGGCACTAACCATCCAGTGTTAGTGTAGACCCTACAAGTTAAAGGGTATGATCCCAAACAATATTGCTCTTTACTTTAGAAACCAGCTGGACTTCAGGAGTCTCCAGACCACCTGCACTCTGACCAACTAGCCATAAATTCAGAGGTTTCCATGACTCCCTCAAGTTCAGAAATTGGCCAGAAAGATTTACACAACTCAGGAAAGTACTATACTTACAATTATAGCTTTTTTTTTTTTTTTAATACAGGGTCTTGCTCTGTCACCAGGCTGGACTGTGGTGGCACAATCACAGATCACTGCAACTCTTGATCTCCTGGGCTCAAACAATTCTCCCACCTCAGCCTCTTAAATTATAACTTTACTATAAAAAATACACATAGGACAAGGTCTTAGAGGGTCCGAAGTGCAGAGTTTCTATGCCCTTTCCCCATGAGTTAGGGCACTTACCCTCCCAGTACACCAATGTCTTCACCAACCAAAAAGCTCTGCTTGGCTGGGTGTGGTGGCTCACACCGCCTGTAATCCCAGTACTTTGGGAGGCGGGTGGATCATCTGAGGTCAGGAGTTTGAGACCAGCCTGGCCAACATGGTGAAACCCTGTCTCTACAAAAAATTTAAAAATCAGCTGGGCATAGTGGCACGTGACTGTAATCCCAGCTCCTCGGGAGGCTGAGGCAGAAGAATCACTTGAACCCGGGAGGCAGAGGTTGCAGTGAGCTGAGATCGTGCCACTGCACTCCAGCCTGGGTGAGAGAGTAAGACTGCATCTCAAAAGAAAAAAAAAAAAGCTCCACTGAGCTTTGGTGTTCACAGTTTTTATTGAGGGGTTATTACATAGGCATGATTGTTCAAATCATTAGCCACACGACTGGACTCAAACCCTCCTACTCCCACCAGGTCAGGCTGGCCTAAAGTCCCAACCTTCTAATCACATGGTTGTTCTTTCTGGTGACAGCTCCCATCTTGAAGCAATCTAGGGGTCCACCATAAGTTACCAAGTTTACATAACAAAGATACACCTATCACTTCAGAAATTGCAAGAGTTATAATTTCCATGTAAAAAAGTCTAAGACAAAGACAAGACAAATTATTTATTGTACCACAAGCATATTAATGCAAGATGTTAATAAGGGAAACTGTGTATGGGGATGGGGAGCTCTGTACTGTCTGAAGTGTTTGTAAAAATCTAAAACTGATCTAAAAATTAAGACTTTATTTTTTAGAACAGTTTTAGATTTTTACAATAAATAAAATTTAAGAAATAATAATATTACACCTCAATGCAGCTGCATTAAGTTACATTGATTTAAAGGACTTAAGGGCTTTTAGTAATCTTTATATCTCCTTAGCCCAGCAGTATGCAGAACACAAAACAACCATTTAATGAACAGTTATTGAATGACTGGCTTCATTTCTTTCATTATGGTAAAAAAAAAAAAAAAAACACACACACAACATAAAATCTTCACCATCTTTAAGTGTACAATTCAGTAATGTTAAGTATATTCACATTGTTGTGAAACACATCTCCAGAACTTTTTTATCATGCAAATCTGAAACTTATACCCATTAAGAATTCCTCTTCCCTCTCCCTTCAGCCCCTGGTATTCTACTTTCTGTTTCTATGAATTTGACTACTTCAGATACCTCATATAAGTAGAATCATACAGCATGTCTTTTTTTTTTTTTTTTTTTGAGACAGGTTCTTGCTCTGTCACCTAGGCTGGAATGCAGTGACATGATTACAGCTCACTGCAGCTGCAATTTCCGGGCTCAAGTGATTCTCCTGCCTCAGCCTCCTGAGTAGTTGGGGCTACAGGCAGGAGCCACCATGCTTGGCTAATTTTTAAAAATTTTTTTGTAGGAAAAGGGTCTCACTATGTTGCCCAGACTAGTCTAGAAGTCCTGGGCTCAAGCAATCCTCCCGCCTTGTCCTTCCAAAGTGCTGGGATTACAGGAGTGAACCACCACACCTGGCTTGCATATGTCTTTTTGTGACTGGATTATTTCACTTAGCATAATGTCTTCAAGTTCTTCCATGTTGTAGCATGTAACAGGATTTCTTTCCTTTCTAAAGCTAAATAATATCCCACTGTATGTATATACCTCATTTTGTTTATCCATTCATCTGATGATGGACATCTGGGTACCTTCCACCTCTTAGCTATTATAAATAGTGTTGCTATGAACACGGGTGTGTACATATGTCTTTGAGAATTTGCTTTCAATGCTTTTGAAAACTTACTCAGCAGTGGCATTGCTGGATCATATGATAGTTCTATTTTTACCTTTTTGAAAAAATGCCATACTGTTTTCCATAGCAGCTGCACCATTTTATATTCTCGTCAACAACAATGCACAAAGGTTCCAATTTATCCGTGTCCTTGCCAATACTTGTTTTCTGTTTTGTTTTCTTTTTCCTTTTTCAATAACAGCTATCCTAATAGGTGTAAAGTGGTATATCACTGTGTTTTGATTTGGATTTCCCTAATGATTAATGATGTTGAGCATCTTTTCATGTGGTCATGACTATTTGTATCTTTGGAGAAATGCCTTTGATCATTTTTTAATTGAATTGTTTGGTTTTTTGTAGTTGTGAGTTATAGGAATTTTTTTATATTCTGGATATCAATCCCTTATCAGATATGTGATTTGCAAATATTTTCTCCCATTCTTCATAGGTTGTCTTTTCACTCTGTTAATAGTGTCCTTTGATGCACAAAAGTTTTTAATTTTAGTAAAGTCCAACTTACTTTTTTTTTTTTTTTTTTTTTTGAGACGGAGTCTCGCTCCGTTGCTTAGGTTGGAGGGGAGTGGCACAATCTCGTCTTACTGCAACGTCCACCCCCTGGGTTCAATGATTCTCCTGCCTCAGCCTCCCAAGTAGCTGGGGTTACAGGCACACACCACCATGCCCGGCTAATTTTTGTATTTTTTATACAGATGGGATTTCACCATGTTGGCCAGGCTAGTCACAAACTCCTGACCTCAACTGATCTGCCAGCCTTGGCCTCCCAAAGTGCTGGGATTACAGGTGTGAGAAACCGCGCCGGCCTTATCTATTTTTTCTTTTGTTACCTGTGCATTTGGTGTTATAACTAAGAAATCACTACAAATTCAATGTCATGAGGATTTTCTCCTAGGACTTTTAGTTTTAGCTTTTATGTTTAGGTCTTTGATCAATGTTGGGTTAGTTTTCTGTATGTGGAATAAGGTAGGACTCCAACTTCATTCTTTTTTCATATGGAAATATAGTTTTACCAGCACGATTCGTTGAAAAGACTGTCCTTTCCTCATTGAATGGTCTCGCCACCCTTGTTGAAAATCATTTGACTATATAAGCAAGGATTTAGTTCTTGGCTGTCTGTTTTTTTGTTTTTTTGAGATAAGAGTTTCACTCTGTCGCCCAGGCTAAAGTGCAGTGGCGCCATCTCCGCTCACTGCAAGCTCCGCCTCCCGGGTTCACGCCATTCTCCTGCCTCAGCCTTCTGAGTAGTTGGGACTACAGGTGCCAGCCACCACGCCCGGCTAATTTTTTGTATTTTTAGTAGAGACGGGGTTTCACCATGTTAGCCAGGATGGTCTCGATCTCCTGATCTCGTGATCCACCTGCCCTGGCCTCCCAAAGTACTGGGATTACAGGCGTGAGCCACCACGCCTGGCCGGCTGTCTGTTTTATTCCACTGGTTTATATATCTGTCTTTATGCCAGTATCACACTACTTTGATAACCATAGTTTTTGCAGTAAGTTTTGACATCAGGAAGTGAGAGACCTCCAACTCTGTTCTTCTTTTCAAGATTGTTTTGGCTATTTGCAGTTCCTTGAGATTCTACACAAATTTTAGGATACATTTTCTATTTTTACAAAGAAGTCATTGGGATTTTGATAGGGATCTAATTGAATCTATAAATTGCTTTGGGTAGTACTGACATCTTAACAACAGTGTCTTCCAACCCATGAACATGGGCTGTTTCCATTTACTTATGTCTTAATTTCTTTCAGTAATGTTTTGTACTTTTCAGTGTTCAGGTCTTCCACCTCCTTGGTTAATTTATTCATAAGTGTTTTATTCTTTTTGATAGAATTGTTTTCTTCATTTCGAAACCATTTTTGGATTAGTCATTGTTAATGATTAGAAATACAACTGATATTTGTGTGTTGATTTGTATCCAGAAACTTCGCTGAATTGTTTTAATTCGAACCTGTTTTTATGAAATCTTCAGGGTTTTCTACATATAAGATCATGTCATCTGCAAACAGAGATAATTTTACTTCTTCCTTTCTAGTTTGGATAAATTTTTTTTCTTTTTCTAATTGTTGTGGCTAGGACTTCCAATACGATGGTGAATATAAGTGGTGAGAGCAGGCATCCTTGCCTTGTCCCTGGATCTTAGAGCAAAACCTTACAGTTTTCCACCATTGATTAAGATGTTAGTTGTGGCTTTCCATATATGGCCTACATTATGTTGAGGTAGTTTTCTTCTACTCTTAATTTGTTGAGTGTTTTTTATCGTGAAAGGGTGTTAAATCTTGTCCAAGGTTTTTTCCGCATCTATTGAGATAGATTGTGTGTTTTTTGCCCTTCATTCAACTGGATAGCTTTGTAAGGCATATCTCATTCATTCAAAAACAAAACTAATACCCCCATTTTGCATAGTTTCTCTTAATTTTTGTAACAAAACATTTAAAACAGAATTTAGTGACACAAACTCTTTGAGTTTTATGAAAGACCAGAGGTTTTGAAAAGATAAAAAGGAGATATTGAGTAGAAGGCGGCTTTTAAAGGGAGAACATTGCACAACTAGCTCAGACTGGGAATTACATCAGATAAAACCTACCAAAAAGGATCAAGGTGAACCAACACTTCATTTGATAACACTGCGGCATACATCAATATACAACCCAGAATTGGTATACTGTTTATATAACACCCATTGATTAATAGCACAGTAGGGAACTTAGAGTTAACAACAATTTACTGTATATTTCAAAATGGCTAAAATAATTTTTTTTGTATTCCCAACACACACAAAAAGATAAATGTTTGAGGTGATGGATATCCCAATTACCCTGATTTGATCTTTACACATTGTATACAGGTATTAAAGTATTACATGTATCCCCAAAATATGTACAACAATTACATATCAATAAGTAATTTAAAAAAATCAAACTCATTTAAAGCCTACACATACATATTAATTATAGCACATAGCAATGGCAAAGGTCTATCATGGTCAAAAAGAATACAACTGAATAAATTAATACCTGGGGAAATGAAATGGAAAAGAAATCAAGTAGTATTCATTCAAAAATGCCTGTCCCTTTCCATAGAGTTAATCGAAGGCACAACGACTATGCCATAAACCAAAGTTCCAACCAAGAGTCAAAGCTATATTTTATAGAATTGCCACTTTCCTCACCAATACCAATAAATAAATTATTAAATCTACCCTTTTGGCATAATAAAGTCATTTCAATAGAACTAAGAGTGCCACAGTTTCAATGTCATCTCTTCTGAAAATAAATGTTGCTGTCTTGACTCAGAATTCAAATTGCAGCAGCAGGTCATTATTTTGTTCTATTCTATTGACATATTTTAACTCATTTTGTAAACCTGGAATTTGTTCCTGTTCTATAATCCCAGACAGAAAAATGTTTATGAGAAGGCAATTTCATTTTGCTAGGATGACAGTGATCAGTCCCTTGGGGGAGAGGCCAACTCAAGCAGGACTGAAGCAGCTGTTAGAAGCCAATTTTCCTACCTGCTAATTGCTTTTATGACTAGGATGTACGGGCTCAGACACCCACCTGGCAAGCAGAAAATAGATGGAAACAGTCACATCTCAAGAGGTTTTTCCCTTCTTCTAAAAGAATTCAACTAGGAGACAAAACAGCGAAGAAACAGAAAAATGTCAAAAATACAAAAATATTAATTGCAAAAACATTAATTGTATCTTCCTGACTACCAAAAGGAAAATGAAAAAGAATGAAAAGACATTTGTACGAATAGCTGGTAGAAAAAATATTCATTCATTGGTCACTCAGTAAATATTTACTGAAATGCCTATTATGGCAGACACTACTGTAGGTGCTAGAGATACAGCAGTAAACTAGACACAATGTCCCTTTGTCCCCATCAGAGGAGATTAATGAGAAATAACAGCTACCAATTAGTGATCTGGTACTAAGAGGAAAACAAAACGCAGCCATGTAATAAAGTGAGTTGAGAAGCACCAATTTACAGTGAGTTGTCAAGGAAGCCTCTTTGAAGAGGGGACATTTAAGCTGAGACTTAAATGACAAGAAGAATCCAGTAAACCACCAGTCTGAGGGAAGACCATTCCTTGCAGAGGGACAAGGAGTAGAAGACTTGCAAGTTGGAATAAACTTGGTATATTCATAGAAGACAAAAGAAGGCCAGTGTAGCTGGAGTTTTGTGAACAACGTTAACAACGGCAGAAGATAAGATCTCTTCAAAGTGCCACGGCCATTTCAAAGTTATCTGCTGAGAAGATAAAAATAAAACTATGACCCACGAACTATTCATGGAAATTCACTTTTGGACTAGTAATGACCACCAGGAAACCTTCAACAAAAAAAAGATAAGCATGAGTTGAGAAATGCCACAGAGGAAGAGGTTTCTGAATCAGAAAGAATCGGCATCAGAGTACTGGCTGAATCAGTGCTGTCAGGAACCTCAAAAGCAATATTGTTCTAGATAAGATCAACATCTAGGGCTGGCACACCTGGACAAGGTGATATCTGAGGCTTATAATAGGAACCGTTAAAGCACAGCACTCATAAATGAACTCCAATCACAAAGGAATGTTTCTGGATGTATTTGTCCTAATACTTGTTTGACCTACACATTTGAGATAGCCCAGAGACTTTAAAAAAATTTTAATGTAAATAACAAATATAACAACATAAAACAACACCCTCCTAAAACAGAAATTTTTAGAAATTACAGAAAATATTTCCATGTTTAAAACTCTTCCTAGGTTACAAAATAAATTAGGAGTTTTTTAAAAGAAAAAAAATTTAGTGAGTGTATAGATCATCTGTTTTCCTTCTATAGCAAGCACAAAACAGTGTTTAAGTTCAAAAGCATCTACAACATTAAACAATGCTACATTTAAAAATAAAATATACCTACTAAAAAAAAAGTAGCTCACCTTAATTGAAGGATAAACTTTATTTTTAAGCACTGAATGATTCCCAAACATACTGTATAGGTTGCATAATGCTAACAAGACATTTTGTAATAGTGCTATAATGTTAAAATTCCCAAACTATGCACATGGCTATCAAATATATGCACTTTTCTACAAAAACATTTTGGTCAGACATTATTCATCTAGAGAAAAAAAGAAAGAAACAACAATGGAGATCAAAAACTTGCTCTACATGAGGTATATGGCAATGTGTCTTCACTTAAGCCACATGCTAAGAAAAAAAAAAAAAAAAAGAAGACTGGGATCAGAGACCCACCTGTACTGGAATCCCACCTCTCACACTAATTAGCGTACAACATCCCTGAGTCTCAATTTTCCTCATCAGTAAAATGAGTCTCATGCCACCTACTCTTACAAGATTGATAGGAATATTAAATAAAACAGGTTAAATTTAAAGGAATCCCATCTTATTATTTGGTAATTACACTATAAGCAAGGGAAATGTCTTTAAAAAACAGCTGATTTTTTAAAAAGAAAAAATAATAAATAATAGGTTGTAAAAGCTAAACACAATGTAAACAATACTCAAGTTGAATATACAGGCCAAACTCCTTTATTTTACCTATGAAGAAATAAAAGCTTGGCAAGCTTAAGTGACCAGCCCAGAGTTGAAAAAGCAGGCAGAAAAAGGGCTAAAATCTTGCTTAATTCCTAAATGTGGTATACATTTTATAGAGCACTTTCATGTATAAGATCCAATTGATGTCCATGATAAAATAGTTAATCTGACTCACGGGAAAACCCAAGGCACCAAAGTCAGCCAGCTTCTTAGTTATAGAACTGTGACTAAAACCCGATGATGAATATCTTTTTTTCTTTTTTGTTTTTGTGGGGGAGGGGGCGGGCAGGTGGGGGTAGAGTGGGGGTCTAACTGTGTTGCTCAGGCTGGTCTTGAACTCCTGGGCCCAAGCAATCCTCTTGCCTTGGCCTCGCAAAGTGCTGGGATTATAGGCATGACTTACCATGTATGGACTATGTCTCTTAAAATAGAGATTTAAAGCCTTTCTTACTTATAATTTAACTAATACAAAAAAATGCCTTAGCAAGCAATCACAATTTTATTCAGTCAATAATTTTTTTTTTTTTTTTGAGGCGGAGTCTCACTCTGTCGCCCAGGCTAGAGTGCAGTGGTGTGATCTCGGCTCACTGCAACCTCCACCTCCTGGGTTCACGCCATTCTCCTGCCTCAGCCTCCCGAGTAGCTGGGACTACAGGCACCTGTCACCATGCCTGGCTAATTTTTTGTATTTTTAGTAGAGACGGGGTTTCACCATGTTACCCAGGATGGTCTCGATCTTCTGACCTTACGATCTGCCCGCCTCGGCCTCCCAAAGTGCTGGGATTACAGGCGTGAGCCACCGCGCCCGGCCTCAGTCAATAATTATTTTTTAAAGTCACACTACAAAGACATAAATGTTTCCATGTTGTATTTAAGAGAGTCAATCAGTTTAACATAAAAATGTTCATAATAGGAGCAAATTAAATTGCCAAAGACACATTTTTAGGCCTATTTCCCAAAGCTCAATTGATATTGGCTTAATATAATGTAGCAAGACTTACTTTTATTCTGTTTGTTCATAGATTATTTAAACCAGATAGGTGGGTTACGGAGTCACTGAATATATGCTTGAGTATGATACTGAATCCATGTTTCTATCATTAATGACTCTAATATTCACGTACTTCAAAATTACTTAATCAATCCTTTACATTGTCCTTTCTTCACGTAGGATTTTCAAGCTAACCCTTCTATAAGTAGGTCAATCATTCTTAGACTTAAGTTGAGATGATTCACTTTCACAAATAATTAGGTTACAAATACTGCATTGTTTTGCAGCTGAGGGGACAGCCAGGCTGGAAAACTAATTAAAAGAAAAGGATTCAAGTGGAGAGGAGCCAACTGAACAATATGGTATCTAAAAAACAGACACATTTACAATACATGTTTCTGAGTGTCACGAAGAAAATATACATCTGCTCCATATTCCAAATTCTTCCTTTAAAAAGGATCAAGCATTATAGGAAGATTTCTAGGTTTAAGAAGAAGACATAGAACAGCAATGTAGGAAGTCAGGGCTCAGCCACCATGATAGTTTTCAGATCATTTGTGCAAACATAATAAGAGCATACCCCCAAATAGGTCTCTGTTCAAAGCCACTTCGAAAGATGTGAAAATGCATGCACAAAAGTAATCTCTGAGTTTTGCAACTACTAACTGGCAACACTGTTGTTGGGTAGGTGAGAACACAAAAGAACAATAAATCAATACACAAATTAACAGTAACCACTCACACTAATTTCATATGAATTAGAAGAATCAATATATAATTTGGGTGGGAATCCAGCACTCTTGAAATAGTCATGGCCAGAGAGTATCATCAAATTAACTACTTAGCTCAGTTCACAAGACTTCATTTGTGCTCAGCAAGGACTATCACTGAATAGGGAACAGCCTGAATGTAGCAAGCTTTCCACTGAATTAAGATAGTGTATATATCTTAAGGTATGTTGCTTGTCTGTCTTCTAAGAATTTTTTAAGCTACATTTGAAAAAACATGATAATACAATTGTGAGTCTCCTTAGTGTTAAATTTATAATTAGATAGGCAAAATAGTAAGTATATGTGTGTTAGAGATTCAAGTAAAAAAAAAAAAAAAACAAGGCCCAGCTTGTGACATAGCATCACTACAGATCCCCCTACAGCTCAGTTCCCTACAGCTTCCTCAGCCATAGCTCTAAACAAGCCACAGAAATCAGAATGATCATGCTGAAGCACCTTATGGATTAATAAAGACAGATCAATTCTGTATAACCTATTTTGTTTTTTATTCAAATTATCTAAAATTGATAATTTGTAATTGGCTGTTAAGAAACATAATCAATTACTGGAGCACTCCATTTCTCAATCACCTTGGATACGCAGGCATTTACTACAAACATGGCCCTCTATTTAGAGCAATTCACATGTAAAGCACTCCATTAATTACACTCTTCATTCAATACACATCTATTAAGCACTATTGTGTACTAGGCACTATTGGTATTAGAGAAATACCATGCTGAATCAAATCAGCCCCTGCCTTCAGAGGCAGAAGGCTTTGCTTACAGACATGCAAACATTACATAATGAGACAAGTGCCATAACAACATGTATACAAACCACTATGGAAATACACAAAGGGAAGGACTTAATTCTTCCTGGGGAGGTGAAGAAAAAAGGCTTGTCAGACTACCTAATATTTAACTGAGTGTTAAAGGGTCAGTATAAGTTTGTTTGGTAGATATACTAGAGGTTGTTCATGAGAGAGGATGTGACAGACCCACAGCCTGTGCAAAGTTGGGAGGGCAGAAAAGAGTACTTGCTTGGAAAGACAATAGAGCTCGGTAATAGGTAAGAATGAAAAAGTAAGTATGATCAGAATGAGGCAGGAAAATATGGTCTGGAGGCAGGGAACATAAAGCCAATTTACACTTCAGCTATAATAGGAAATATCCTCTCCATAGGGTATATGCCGTAAATGACTTTGTAACTTTACCTCATCCTCTTCATTTACATAGGGCGTACCCCAAGTAAAGGGTATTTAAACTCATGAAAAACTCCGTTAACAGGGCCTTTGAGCCCGTATGCTCAGGCCCACTCCCACACTGTGGCATGTACGTTCATTTTCAATAAATCCCTTCATTCCTTCCTTGCTTTGTTTGTGCGTTTTGTCCAATTCTTTGTTCAAGGTGCCAAGAACCTGGACACCCTCCACCGTTAACGAGAATAGGGCACAGAGGTTCTCCAACAGGCCATGTTAAGACTTTATCTTGATGAAAATGTGGAGCACTGAAAAGTTTTGAACACGGGTGTGGTAACAGTTTGAGTTTTAGACAATTATTTCCGGGCATACAAGAAAAGGACAGACCAGAAAGAATAAAGTCTAAAGGTAATGAAGTCTGGTAGACCTATTATAAGATTATTAAAATCAGCCAGGTGTGGTGGCTCATGCCTATAATACCAGCAATTTGGGAGGCCAAGGCGGGAGTATAGCTTGAGCCCAGGAGTTCAAGACCAGCCTGGGTGACATAAGGAGACCCCATCTCTCCAAAAATTTAAAAATTGGCCAGGCATGGTGATACATGCCTGTGGTTCCAGCTACTCAGGAGATTGAGGTGTAAGGATTGCTTTAGCCTGCAGTGAATTATGATCACCACTGCACTGCAGCCTCCAGCCTGGGTGACAGAGCAAACCCTGTCTCAAAAAATTATTAAAATCACTACTATCCTTAGATCAAGGCAGTAGGATTTGGTCCTCCTAGCCATACCTCTCCCCCAGGAAGTGAGCAGTGCAGAGGGCCAAATCGAAGTGCCTTACTCGATCTATCTCCAGAAATCACTTTCTATCTACCTGAAACCCCAGAACTCTGCTCAAATGGCCCTGAGTCCACTTCCAAGACAGGTCCTCATTCAGATACACGCACCACTAGGCCTGAAGGGGAGATGAGGGACAGCTGTTGAGAGGAAATGGGGGCTATGGAGAGAGCCTGGACATTTTGCCAAAATTTAAAAATACATACATTTTAAATTTAAAATATATATACTTTAGAAATATGTCATTTTTTAATATATATAAAACTACAAATTGAGAATTAGCAACTTCATACCATACTCATGAATAACTGAATATTTCTGCCTAGAAACCTAAGGTTGTTTATGATATAGAGTATTAACCTGAAATTTTTAAAAATTTAATGTTTCAAGAAGATTTGAAATAATTATTTAACAGACAAAAAATATTTTCCCTATAAGACAGACATACAAAAGTCAGGATCAACTTCTCAGAAAGTCAAAGCAATTTGAAGATAGATGTGCCAAACAGGTGTTCATAACAGCTTTGTTAAAAAAAACAAAAAAAGACATTTAGTGAAGGATCAATGTGTGGACTAAAGGCACATATTTGCTATACACAAATGAGCTAATGTATTGTACTGCTCTTCTCATTAGCTACAGAGATGCATTACCCTCACATTAAATACTCAGTGAGTAAAACACTCTGGCAAGCATCTGTTGGCTAATAGCAAAGAAAACCATGAACCCTCTGAGGCCAATTTCCATCCAGCTGCAAGCATGGAAGCAGCAAACACATGCACTGCTTTTCAATATCAACCCCAAATAACCGTGAAAAAGAAACTCCTCGGCTATTCTGTGGCAAAGGCATTCCAAGTATCGATCGTGTATGCTAAACAAGACACTTGGAAAAAGTTAACTCCCTAAATCCAGGCTGGCATTTAACTTGCTTGTTACCAACAGACTGTGGTAGAAGTGACACTGAGTGACTTCCAAGGTTATGTCGAGAAAAGCCATGCAGGTTCTGGGACTAAGTTTGGGATGGCTGCTATACAGCAACGTTGCCAGACAGAATTTGGTATGTGAAACTGGGATGCTGACATAACAAAAACCTAAAAGATGCGACACTGGTTTCAAGACTGGGTGGTGGACCGAAGCTGGACCCTGGCTTGAAGAGCCTGGTAGAAACTATTGAAAAGGAATTAAAGGAGAGTTAAATGTTTTCAGAAAGACCTTGTTATGAAGTGGCAGAAAACTTAGCAAAACTGTTGCCTGCAGTAAGGTAAAAAAACAGAAAATGTTGGTAATGAACTACTACTTCTACCTAAGGTAATTTCAAAGCAGAATGTCCAAACTGTCAACTGGTTTCTTTTATATGTATAATATAAGGTAAAAAAAGAGATGACCTAAAGAAGAAAGTACTTTTCCAGCAGAATTTAGGGGAAATACAAAGAAGTCAGCAATTGCTGGGTCCAAAAATAAAACTATTTCTCATCCACAATGTCTCCCAGCAGAGAATGCTCAAAGTAAGAAAAGGTCTGAGGACAAAGATCAAACATAGGATGCAGAAAAGAAAAATCTCATCTCAAGGTAGAGACGAAAGCCAAAGGTGTTACTGTGAAATCCTTTGTTACATTTCTCTCCTGATTTCTTCTTCATGATCTTCTTCCCAGTTCCTTTTTCTGCACTTGTCCACTAAATCTAAATGTCCCTGAGGATTTTGTCCTCAATCCCGGGCAATTCCTTCTTCAATCACTCTCTAAAATCTATTAACCTCAAAAACTCTCTCTCCCTTTCAAGCCTCCACCTCCCTCTAAGAACAGCAGACAGATCTGTACATCTCCACTCAACTATCTCAGAGAAACATCAAACTAAATATTACAAAATCCTATCTTCCACTCCAAAAGTTCCTTCTATACCTGAATACACACTGGAAAGGAAACAAATAGTGCCACACCCATTAAATTGCCCAACTTGAGAGTCATCTCTGATTTCTACACTTCCTTCTCCTCACCCAACACCAATATTTAATTAGTCACCAATTTCTATGAATTCCACCTGCTAAAGCTTTCTGGCATCTGCCCCTCTTCAAGTTATCTCCTATCTGGACTATATATAGCCTTCTAAGTGGTCTCTCCATTCCAAAATATCTTTCATACTACTCTTGAAACCATCTTCTTAAAATAAAATATTAGCCATGTTAATCTCCTGGTGAGAATCCTTCAAGAGCTCCCAATCAAAACCCTTTGATACAGCTTACAGGTAGGTACTTTGTGATCTGGCCTTTCCCTGCAAACTGTCCCCACATATCATTTATTCCAACCATGCCAAAAAACAGGACTTATACTCATGGTGGTTATGAATACATAGTTTTCTCTCTGCCTAGAAAGTGTTGTCTCTTGTTATGAATACTAAGTACGTTTTTGTCCATTAATTTAACAGTTTTAGAACACTTAGTAGGGCCAGGCGCGGTGGTTCATGCCTGTAATCCCAGCACTTTGGGAGGCCGATGGTGGAGGATCACGAGGTCAGGAGATCAAGGCCATCCTGGCTAACACGGTGAAACCCTGTCTCTACTAAAAATACAAAAAATTAGCCGGGTGTGGTGGTGGGCACCTGTAGTCCCAGCTACTCGGGAGGCTGAGGCAGGAGAATGGCGTGAACCTGGGAGGCGGAGCTTGCAGTGAGCCAAGATAGCGCCACTGCACTCCAGCCTGGGCGACAGAGCGAGACTCCATCTCAATAAAAAAAAAAAAAACCACTTAACTCTGTGGCAAATCTGGCAGGCAAGTGAAAATAAATAAGAAACACTACCTGCCTCTTCTCTGGAAGCACACTACCTAGAAAGAAAGAAAATAAGTACAACACAGGGATTTATAACGGAAAGTAGCATGGTGTAGTGGATTGATTTCTTGCAGGAGGTGGAGAGATACGATTGACAGACAGTAAGCAAAACAATGGAATAAATACAATATGATCTCCTGGATCAGCAAGTTTCCTTGATATAAGTAATTTAAAACATTTTAATACTATTATACATACTTATTATAAGTAAAATACAAATTTACATGAAAGATGCAATAAAAGACTTAAAAATTCATGGGCCATTTTGGGCAAGAATGACTGTTCAGATTAGAATTTAAAGTAAACACTTAGCAGAAGAGGAGCGACTTTAAGTCAGAGAGACCCTTTTATAATTGCGCAAGTCACAACACATTTTGGCCCCGCCTACTCAAAAAGCCATCCCTAGTTCAGTTCAAGTTCAAATTCAGAGAAGCAATACTGAAAAATCAACAAGATTCTGTAGGACCCTTTGCTGCAGCCAGCTCACACCTCTATATGGCCCTCTATGAAGGGCTACAGACCTGGCATGGAAGAAGGCTTACTCATGACCAAGGAGTCTTGAACTCATCCATTTTGGGGGGTCCAGATTAAAGTTGCCTGTAATTACGTAAATCAGGTCTAAGAAGGCTGAGAAAAAGTTTACCTCGATTCCAATTCCTGTAGAATCGGAATTATAATAGAAAAACTGCTGACCCCCTCCCAGAATATCAGCCCTGGAAAAGTTACAGCCCTGGAAAAATGGAGAGAACTCAGAAAAACCCCTGGGTTGACTAGGACCCCTGTGTGTGGAATGGTGGCTTAGGCCTGAGACAAGAGGCAGTCCAGCAAAGCTGTGGGATAACAAACGAGAAAAAGAACTACTAAAGTTCTATTTTGCTTCTCTTGTATTCCAGTGCCCATGTGCACACGACCTGGCCCCAAACGTGCATTACTCAGTGATAAAAATTCAGAACAGTGGTTCCCTCTGGTGAGGGATAAGAATGTCAAGGAAGAAGTCTGAAGGAACTTAAGGGGTAATAAAATGTTTTGAATTTTTACAGCAGAGTAGCTACATGAGTATATGCATTCATCAAATCTCACTCAACTATATATTTAAGAGCTGAGTATTTTATCATAAAATTGAAATTTATACCTCAACTTTTAAAAGTTTTTCTTAAAAGATCACAATAGATACTACTTTAGATCATTCAACTGGCAAAATTTAAAAGTCTGAAAAAAAACAAGTATTAGAGAGGCTGTAAAACAACAGGATTTCTCATACATCAATGGTAGGAGAATAAAATTGCATAAGCCCTTTGGAAATACACTTCGTATTATAACTTTAAGTTTAACATTCATTACCCTATGACCCAGCAATTACATTCATAGGTGTATACTCAATAGAATATCTTGCATACGCATAAGAGATTGACAAGAGTCATGGATAGTAATGTTTCCTGCAGCAATATTAAAAATTGCAAACACCTGAAAATAAGATTCTTATTCTTAATCCCAGGAATAAATTGAGCATGATCACTTTCAAATATTTAAGTTGTCTTTACGTTTCAACAATAACCCAGTTTTTATACATATTATAGTTTGCTCAAGGTGTGCATATATAGAAATCCAAAATTAAGGCACAGAATTAAGGCATTATAATGATTTTGTATTTTTTAAAAGATGGAATTTATTTATTCAACATGACTTTTACAAGAGTAAAGATAGAATTCATCTAAATGCTGGTTACATAAATTATACTATAACCACACACAAAATATCCTGTGGCTATAAACACGAATGAAGTAGATCTACATATATGGAAAAATCTCCAAGATACAGAAGTAAGTTTAAGAAGCAAAAAGTAGGCTAGGTCCAGTGGCTCACGCCTATAATCCCAGCACTTTGGGAGGCTGAGGTGGAAGGATTACCTGAGCCCAGGAGTTCAAGATCAGCCTTGACAACGTAAGAGGACCCACTCTCTAAAAAAGAAAAAAACATACATCAGCAGCGCATGGTGGCACATGCCTGTAGTCCCAGTTACTTGGGAGGTGAAGTGGGAGGATCATGTGAGACGAGGAGTACGAAGCTGCAGTGAGCTGTGATCATGCCATTGCTCTTCAGCCTGAGTGACAGAGTAAGACACTGTTTTTGTTTTGTTTTCTTTTTTTAAATGAGACAGTCTTACTCTGTTACCCAGTCTGGAATGCAGTGGTGCAATCTTGGCTCACTGCAACCTCCGCCTCCGGGGTGCAAGCGACTCTCGTGCCTCAGCCTCCCAAGTAGCTGAGACTACAGGCATGTGCCATTACAACTGGCTAATTTTTGTATTTTTAATAGAGATGGGGTTTCACCATGTTGGCCAAAGCTGGTCTCAAAAGCCTGACATCAAGTGATCTGCCCACCTCAGCCTCCCAAAGTGCTGGAATTACAGGCATGAGCCAAGACCCTGTCTTAAAAAAAGTAAGAAGCAAAAAGTAGAACAGTAAATTCTCACAGATCAAAATAAACTCCATATATATTGATGCATATGTATGTTTGCAAAAATAATTTAAAAGTAAATAAAGTGCTAATGTTAGTTTCTTTTGAAAATAGAGACAGAGGATCTAAGGTGAAAGATTTAATTTTGTACATTTGCACTATCTATGAATCATTTTATACTATCTAAATTTCTGACCACATACCTTTTCTATTTTTTTAATTACAGAGAAGAGACAGAGGCCCTCGAAAACTTTTTCTATTTCTAATAAGCAAACTCTTCCATGACCCACAGTAGTTATTCCAAACCTTTACCACTCCCCTCAAATCCCGTATCTCAGTCCTGTTGCCTTTTCCCACATAGCCAAGCCAAGGACCTTGTCCTCTGCTTCAGAGGAAATGAAAACTCCCTATATTTCCTAATTCACATCCACAAATTTGTCACTAGTTGCATCCATGAGCACTTCCTTCCCTCAGAAGAAAGAAGCCATTCCCGGCAAATCTTATGTTCTATCATGTGTTCTACATGCAATCTGCCATTTCTGCAAGGAGCCTGTTCTATTATTCTCCTCTCTCTCTCTACTTCCACAATTTTGCTCTTACCTGTTTCCTTTTTCCCCTACCTCTGTATATATGCATGTTCAAGCCTCTCCTATATTAAAAAGTACCCTATGTTCCCCTCTATCAAGCACCCTAAACTCATTCCTTCTGTTCACAGTTAAACTTCTCATGAGAGTAGTCTATACTCTTTGATAGTCTCTTCTTCATCTCCCATTCACTGCTAAACACACTAGAATCTGTCCTCTGTCTCCACTGCTACTAAAAACAAAAAACCAATCTTACTAAGGTCACTAAAAGACCAAACCAAAAGTCATGCTGTAAACTTTATTTTATTTGAACTTTCTCTGTAGCATCTGACACTAATGAACACTGCCACCCTTTTCGAAACACTCTAATCTCTTTGCTTCTGTGATATTTCTCTCTCCCGGCTCTCCACTGAGCATTGGGGGATTTAAAAATGAAAATGACAAAGTCCCTGACTTCAAGAAGCATAGTTTCTAAAATGAGAGAAACATACACAAACAATCACAACATAGTGAAAAAGTACAAAGTGCAGTGATAGCTTAGCAATCAACTTTATATGGGGAAGCGAGAGAGCACTTTAGGAGGAGGAAACTAGCATGTACAAAGTAACATATAAATCAGTATGGTTTGTACAGAAATTTTAATGGATAATGACTGAACACACAAGTTGTGAAATAAACAATCTGACTGTATCTATTCTATCTGAGGATAAAATAACAGTCTTTACCTCACAGGACTACTGTGAAGATTACATGAAATGCTAAATATAAACCACTTAGCATAGGGTCTGGCATATACAGAAAGATCTCAATAAGCGTTATCTCATATACTTTCTGACAAAAACATTCAACAAACTATGACTAAAAGAGAACTTCCTAAACCTGATAATGGGCAGTTATGAAATACCCATAGTTAACATCTTACTTGATCCTGAAAGACTGAATGTTTTCACCCTAAGATCAGAAACGAGACAAGGGCTGAGCACAGTGGCTCACATGTATAATCCCAGCACTTTGGGAGGCTAAGGCGGGAGGATCACTTGAGCCCAGGAGTTTGTGACCAGCCTGAGCAACATGGCGAAACCCCATCTCTTCAAAAAATATATAAAAATAAGCTGGGTATGGTGGCGCCTGCCTGTAGTCCCAGCTACTTGAGGGGCAGAGGCAGGAGGATCACCTGAACCCAGGAAGTCAAGGCTGCAGTGAGCCATGTTCACACCACTACACTCCAGCCTGGGCAACAGAGTAAGACCTTGTCTCAAAAAAAAAAAAAACGGTTTCAGCCAGAGCAGTTAAGAGACATGAAAGGGATCTAGATCAGAAAAGAGGTAAAACTATCACTATGACACGATGACATGATCTTACATATTAAAAAGCCCTAAGTAATCTATAAACAACTATTACAATTAACAAATAAGTTCAGCAAGGTTGTGTGATACAAAAATCATTATATTTCTATATACTAGCAATGAATAATCCAAAAATGAAATTAGAAAAAAAATTTCACTTAGAATACTATTAACAAAATAAAGTACTTAGGAATAAATTTAACAAAAGAATTATAAGACATACACTGAAAACTATAAAACACTGAAAGAAATTAAAGACCTAAATAAATGGAAAAACATTCAGTGTTTACAGATTGGATGACTGACTGTAAAGTCCCCAAACTGATTTAAAGATTCCTGCCTCAGATTCAACACAATCAAAATCTAGCTGGATTTTTTTGTAAAAATTGACAAGCTAATCCAAAAATTCATATGGTAATATAAGCAATCCAGAAGAGCCAAAACAATCTTGAATAAAGTTGGAAGAACTTACACTGCCCAATTTCAAAACTTTATTATACAACTACAGCAATCAGGACAATGTGGTACTGACATAAGGATAGACAAATCAATGGAACAGAATTGAAAGTCCAGAAATAAACCCCTACATTTATAGGCAATTTGTTTTCTTTAAGGGTGCCAAGATAATCCGATAGTCAGAGACAACTGGATATCTACATACAAATGAATGAAGTTGAACCCCTACATTACACCATTTATAAAAATTAAGTGAGAATGCATCACAGACATAAAAATAAGAGGTGAAACAATAAAACTCCTAGAAGAAAACATGAGTATTCCCCAGGACCTTGAATTAGACAATTGTTTCTTAGATACAACACCAAAAGCAACCAAAAAAATAAATAAGTAAATAAATACTTTTGTGCTTCAAAGGACAATATCAAGAAGTGAAAAGACCCACAGAATAGGAGAAAATATTTGTAAATCATTTCTCATAAGAGATTTGTATCCAGCCAATATATATACACATATAAGTTGATCCTTGGACAACATAGGTTTGAACTGTGTAGGTCCACTTATATGCATTTTTTTCAACCAAACATGGATAAAAAAAGACAGCATTCATGGGATGTGACACTCACCTATACAGAGGACTGACTCTTCTTTATAGGTGGGTTAGTAGGACCAAATGCAGGACTTGACTATGTGTGAATTTTGGTATACACAAGGGTCCTGAAACCAATTCCCTGAATATACCAAGGCACAACTGTATTTCTATTTAATGTAAATATACATTTATATTATATGTAATATAAATAAACATATATATACAAATAACCTAATTTTAAAATGGCAAAGGATGAAAATAAAAATGTCTTTAAAGCCCCTACCTCTCACCCTATACAAAAATCAACTCACAAAGGGATCAAAGACCTGAAACAATAAAACCACTAGAAGAAGACATAGGGGAAAATGCTCCAGGACACTGGTCTGGGAAAAGATTTTATGATAAGACCTGAAAAGCGCAGGCAACTAAAGCAAAAGAAACAAACGGGATTACATCAAATTAACTTCTGTACAGCCAATGACACAATCAACAGAGTGAAAAGATAGCCTGTAGAATGGGAGAAAATATTTGCAAACTACTCACCCCACAGGAGATTAATATCCAGAATATACAAGGACAAACATATTCAAAAGCAAACAAACAAAAAAAATCTGATTTAAAAATTGGCAAATGATATAAATGAACATTTTTCAAAAGAAGACATATACCAGCCTGGGCAACATAACTAGACTCCATCTCCGCAAAAAATTTAAAAAAATTAGCCATCGTGGTACATACCTGTAGTCCTGTCTACTTAGGAGGCTGAGGCAGGAGGATTGCTTGAGCCCAGGAGTTTGAGGCTGCAGTGAACTATAATCATGCCACTGCACTACAGCGTAGGTACAGAGCCAGACCCTGTCTCAGAAAAACCAAAAACAATCAAAAAAAGAATGAAAAAATGCTCAACATTGTTAATCAAGGAGATGCAAATAAAAACCACATTGAGGTATCATCTCACCCCAATTAGGATGGCAGCTGTTATCAAAAGACAAAAAATAACAAATACTGGTGAAAATGCAGAGAAAAAGGAACTCTTATATACTGCTGATGGTAATGTAAACTAGTACAACCACTATGGAGAACAGCAAGGAGGTTCCTCAAAAAACTACAAATAGAATATCATATGATCCAGCAATTTCACTACAGTGAATCTATCCAAAGACAAGACTATCATTATATCAAAGAGACATTTGCACCTCCGTGTTTACTGTAGCACTACTGACAATAGCCAAGATATGAAATCAACCTAGATGGCCAACAAAGGATGAATGGATGAAGAAAATCTGGAATATATATATACCAGAGAATGCTATCTAGTCATGAAGAAAAAAAAAAAGAAATCCTGTCATTTGCAGCAACATGGATGAGACTGGGACGTTATGCTAAGTAAAATAAGCCAGAAACAAAAAGTTAAATAAACACTGCATGTTCTCACTCATTGGTAGTAGGGAGGGAGGGACAGGGAGAGATTTGTTAAAGAATAAAAAATTACCAATAGATATGAGGAATACATTCTAGTGTTCTATACCACAGTAAGATGACCATAGTTAACAGTAATATGTAGTTTCAAATAGCTAGGAAGAAAATCTAAAGTTAACAGTAATACATAGTTTCAAATAACTAGGAAGAGGATATTGAACATTCCCAACACAAAGAAATGATAAATGTCTGAGATGATGGATATGTTAATAACCCTATCTGATCACTAACATATATGTACTAAAACATCACTATGTACCTATGAATATGTACAATTATTATTGTCAATTAAAAACTAAAAAAAAAAGAAAAAGAAAATGTTCAAATGGCCAATAAGCATATTTAAAAAGTTCATAATAAGTCACTAGGGAAATACAAATCAAAACCACCATATACCACTTCACATCCACTGAGTGGCTATATTAAACAAAACAAAACAAACCCAGACAATGTTAAGTATTGGCAAGGATATGGAGAAATCAAAACCCTCATTCATTGCTAGTAGGAATGTAAAAAGGTACCGTCTTTTTAGAAAACAGTTTGGCAGTTCCACAAAATGTTAAACACGGAGTTATTAAATGACCTAGCCATTCTACTGTTAGGTATATATCCAAGAGACATGAAACCCTATGTCCACACAAAAACTTATACACAAATAAGTGTTCACAGCAGAATTTTCATAATAGCCAAAAAAGTGGAAACAACCCAAATGTCCAACAACTGATAAATGGATAAATGAAATATGGCATATAGATATTGTGGATGAAAAAAAAGAAAAAAAAGTGTGACTTTTTATTTTATTTATTTATTTATTTTTTTAGACGGAGTCTTACTCTGTAACCCAGGCTGGAGTGCAATAGTGTGATCTTGGCTCACTGCAACCTCCGCCTCCTGGGTTCAAGCGATTCTCCTGCCTCAGCCTCCCAAGTAGCTGGGATTACAGATGCTCACCACCACACCCAGCTAAATTTTGTAGTTTTAGTGAAGACAGGGTTTCACCATGTTGGCCGGGCTGGTCTCGAACTCCTTACCTCAGGTGATCCACCTGCCTCAGCCTCCCAAAGTGCTGGGATTACAGGCATGAACCACCATGCCAGACCACTTTTTTTAGCTTGATCATAAACAATTACAGTCTTTACCTGGCAGGCTTCACAGGAGAAAACTGCCCTCCCCACACCAGATTTGGTGCATACCTGGTGCACTGACATCTCTAAAGCAAGCTGCAGTCAAGACTCAGGTATTCCTAAATGGCCATGCTCTTTACCGTATCTACATTAGTAGCCCAGGTACCTTCATTCAGAAGTCTCTGTGGCCTTTAACTGAGGCCTTTCCTTAGGCAACTATGGAGAGGCCTCCTCAACAGAGGGAAAACACTAAAAACACTTTCCTCCACTCTGACTCAGTACCTTCCTCCACTCCTAGCCTTTGCACCTTTTCCTCCAACCCACCCCAGATCTATAAAACAGCAGGAACCTTTTGCTGGGGGCTCCCTCAGCATTGAGAAAATCCCCACCTCTGTGTTGATCCACTTGACAGGAGGGAGCCTGCACTTTCTCAGCTTTAACTTCTTGCTTATCCTAATTCGGTAAGTGATTAAAGTAACTCAGCTCTGTGTCCCCAGCTAAGCTCCTGACACTATGGAATATTATTCAGTCATAAAAAGGAATCAAGGTTCATCCATGCTTCAACATGGATGAAGCTTAAAAACTTTATGTTAAATGAAAGAAATTAGTCACAGAAGACAACATATTGTGCAACTCTATTTACATAAAATGTCCACAATAGGCAGAAAATAAATTAATAGCTGAGGGGAGGGAGGAATGAGTAGAGACTACTAATGAGTACTTTTAAGAGTGATGAAAGGCCAGGCAGGTGGCTCACACCTGTAATCCCAGCACTTTGGGAGGCCGAGGTGGGAGGATCACTTGAGGTTAGGAGGTCAAGACCAGCCTGGACAACATGGTGAAACCCTGTCTCTATTAAAAATACAAAAATTAGCCAGGCATGGTGGCACACACCTGTAATCCCAGCTACTGGGGAGGCTGAGGTAGGAGAACTGCTTGAACTCGGGAGGCAGAGGTTGCGGTGAACCAAGATGTTGCCACCGCACTCCAGCTTGGGCGAAAGAGACTCCATCTCAAAGAAAAAAATGAGTGATGAAAATATTCCAAAATTAGACTGTGGTGATGGTTGCACATCTCTGTAAATATAATAAAAACTATTGAATTTTACACTTTAAATGGGTGGAATTTATGGCATGGAAATTATTTCTCAGTAAAGATATAATATGAATACATGATGTTAGTGTTCATATCATATCTAGACCACTATTGCTCTGTAAATGAGTTTGTAAAATAATCCTTAAGGAATGTAGATACTGAAGGACTCAGAGTAGTAGACGGACAGGCTGACATTTTTTTAAAGAAAAAAATAATCTGTTGACAATGATAAAAATGGCTGACAGAGCAGTCAGACTCAAGGTGGAGAGACTTACAACGATGTATTTGGAAAAATTTTAACAAGAAGAGGACTTGAGCCAAGACAGGTAAGAAACGGGAAAAGGCTATGATCCTACCTTTAGAGTGGAATGCTATCTATAGAAGCTTTCTGTAAAAGGGAAGCTTTCTATAGAAGGCAACTATTAACCTATATCCTTATTACAGAGGCTCCCAAACAGGGAACTACAGAAAGTCATCAAGTCCAAGAGAGTAGAGTGGTAGAAAGCTCTTAATAATGGCCCATTAAAATAGCAGTTGTTTTAATCTATGATTTAACTAATGGAAGACTTGTCTTCAAAAATATTAGATTATAATGCCAATATATTCTCAAGTATATCAGAGAACAGTAGTATGAATTTCGTCTTTGAGTATTAAAGATATAGAAAAAATTCACTCAAAAGTATTTTATCACTAGAACAAGTTTCATTTATTTCAAATGTCTTATAAACATGCTTAAAAGTAAGCATACTCTATATGTAGTTTTATAACTTTCCTATTAAAACACTCAGAGGAAAAGATATTTGATATTGCCTTAAATTTTTTCAAAAACAATTCTTTCTCATTATAAAATATATATTAAAAGGCAAATGAATTCATAAATTATCTCACCTTTGGTTTTTAGATAAACCACAAAGAAATGTCTACAGCATAAGTTCCAGTTTGGGCAGATACCTGAATTGTAAAAAACAAACAGAAAAAGACATGGTCAATATGGTTGAATCTGAGTATGGAAATTTAATTATTTCAATAGAACCCTAACTTGATCATTTACCTCCTAAATTTTTACGTCCAAGCTGTTCTTTAGATATCTATAGAATGTCAAGAATTAAGAAATTCTCCTGGACTTTCTATTGCCTTTGATTAATGTTGGTATTTCTTGAAATTAAAAGTATATCAAAACAGGCCGGGCACGGCGGCTCACGCCTGTAATCCCAGCACTTTGGGAGGCTGAGGTGGGCGGGTCACCTGAGGTCAGGTGTTTGAGAGCAACCTGGCCAATGTGGCGAAACCGTGTCTCTACTAAAAATACAAAAAAATTAGCTGGACATGGTGGTGTGTGCCTGTAGTCCCACCTACTCGGGAGGCTGAGGCAGGAGAAACGCTTGAACCCGGGAGGCGGAGGTTGCAGTGAGCCAAGGTCATGCCACTGCACTGCAGCATGGGCGATAGAGCAAGACTCCATCTCATAAAAAAAAAAAAAAAAAAAAAAGATACCAAAACATGTACTACATAAACAGGAGAAAAAAATCAATCTCCTTCATCAACTCAATTCTTCAAAAGAAAGTATTTTCTACAGTTTACACTCCCTATATTATGATTGCCCATCCTCATAGAAAATACAGAATTTAAAAATCTGGAAATGTAAAAGTAAATCAATAGCACATGTTTATAAAACCTAAGCAAATAAGTAAATTAAATAAAACCAATGTCTACTAAGTATGAAAAATGGAAAAAATGTTCTCTACATTAGCAAAGAAAATGAAATTAAAATGAGATATCATCTTTGATCAATGAAATTATAATTGTTTTAAAAATAAGATTATAGTCATTGGCACCCTTCCAGTTCTTCTCCTTACCAGACTCATGGTAAGATTGCACCTCACTGCCCTCTTTCAACTTAGGTGTAGAAACATGACTTGCTTTAGCCACTGAAATGTACACAGACGTGATGTTACACATTTCTAAGTATAAGCTTTAAGACCAACTACACAACTTACAGACCTCCCAGCTACTGCAGTCATTATGGAGTTCACTAAATGTCTCTGAAGAGAAAAAAACAACCCTGCTGACATGTATTAGACATGTAACATGAGCAAGAAATAAACTTTGTTGTATTATGCAACTGAGATTTTTAGGACTGTTTGTTACTACAGCACAATCTAGGCTATACTGACAGCTACAAGTGATAACGTAATATAATAATATATAATATTATAATAATGTAATATAACAGGCATTTTTGTACACTGTTCATAGGAATTTAAATTGGTAAATTTGTTTTTGTTTTTCGGGTTTTTCTGAGACAGGATCTCACTCTGTCACCTAGGCTGGAGTACAGTGGCGTGATCACAGCTCACTGCAGCCTAGACCTCCCAGGCTCGAGTGATCCTTCTACCTCAGCATCCTGAGTAGCTGGGACTACACAGGTGCCCACCACCAAGCCCTGCTAATTTTTGTATTTTTTGTAGAGATGGGGTTTTGCCATGTTGTCCACGAAGACTGGTCTTGAACTACTGGGCTCAAGCAATCCACATGCCTCAGCCTCCCAAAGTGCTGGGATTACAGGCATGATCCATACGCCCAGCAATTGGTAAAATCTTTCTGGAATCCCAGCACTTTGGGAGGCCGAGGCAGGTGGATCATGAGGTCAGGAGATGGAGACCATCCTGGCCAACATGGTGAAACCCCGTCTCTACTAAAATACAAAAAATTAGCTGGGTGTGGTGGTGTGCACCTGTAATCCCATCTACTCAGGAGGCTGAGGCAGGGAAATCGCTTCAACCCGGGAGGCAGAGATTGCAGTGAGCCGAGATCATGCCACTGTACTCCAGCCTGGCGACCGGGCGAGACTCCATCTCAAAAAAGAGCTAGAAGCAAACTAAAAGTACAAATGATTTGCTAAATAAGCTAGAATATTAAGCAATCATTAAAACTGCTTATCAAAGATGCTTAATGACTAACAGAAGAAACTGTGTAAAGGGCATACATAGGAACTCTCTGTACTGTCTACTCAATTTTTTCATGTATACGATTCAAGAACAGGTAAAACTAACTAATCTCCACTGACAGAAAGTAGGTAAGTTATTGCAGGAACCAAAGGTTGTATGAAAGAATTGACTGCAAAGGGGCTTAAGAGAAGCTTTTAAGAGTGATTAAAATGTTCTATATCTTGATTATGGCGGTTGTCAACAGGATATACACATTAGTCAAAACCCCTCAAACTGTACTGCACATAAATAATTTTACTAAAGTGGATTTTAAAAGTAAAATAAAAATGCTTAATGATAGGAAAATGCTCATCTGTTGGGTAATTTGAAATGTGTAATACATAAATTTGCATAGAAGAGGCTACAAATACATACAATGTTAATAGTGCTTTGCTTTGCATAAATATTACATAGGTAGTTTTCATTTTTCCTTAAGTTATGTACTTTCAAAATGCTCTAAGTAAGTACGTATTTTTATGTTTATTTGGTGGTATTTTATTGAGAACCAGAGCTTAAGCCTAGAATAAGCTTGAGGTTTTAATAATTTATTCATTCAGTATTCATTACATGCCTCCATGTACAAACAGCATTCTAAGTGGTAGAGGGATACCTCCAAGCTTGGGTATGTTTCTCCAAGGTTCAGCTAGATGGGGCTTTCAAGTGATCACCATTGCCAGTGAATGTGGAAGCATCAACTATCATCTGTAAACCACATCTGTTTATAATCTTTACGCTGGCAAATGACAGGTAAGTTGTGACTATAAAAACTGTTTGGATTCATGATTATCTGTTTACCTAATCTTCCTGAAAATAAGCTTAAATTTTCTACAGTGTTTAATATGTAATATATAACATATATTTAGAATGTATTATAATGTGTGAATGTGTTTATAAGAATATGTATTGATAACTAATCATTTAAAAATGTTATGAGTTTTGAGCATTTATTTACTTAAAAAATTAAAAGTTTTGGGCCAGGCATGGTGGCTCATGCCTGTAATCCCAGCAATTTACGAGGCCAAGGCGGGCGGATCACCTGAGGTCAGGAGTTCCAGACCAGCCTGGCCAACATTATGAAACCCCGTCTCTACAAAAATACAAAAACAATTAGCAGGGCGTGATGGCAGGTGCCTGTAATCCTAGCTACTAGGGAGGCTGAGGCGGGGGAATTGCTTGAACCCAGGAGGCGGAGGTTATAGTGAGCTGAGATCACGCCACTGTACTCCAGCCTGGGCGACAGAGCAAGATGCCATCTCAAAAAAAAAAAAGAGTTAAAAGTTTTACCACTATAAAAACTGCTTGAGGGTTTAAAACTCTAAGAAATTGTAGAAAAATATAAATGAAACATAGAAAGCAATAAGTAAGACAATGGAGACAAAGCATTAAGCAAAGAGCAAGAAGTGTTTGATTAATCAAATAGAAACACTGGATACATATCATTAACAAATTGTAATCAACAAGTAAAAATATAGTGAGAAAATACTTGTTTCATGTTCAGCAGTGAGTGTAGCAATTCAAGATACTGGGGACAAGGGATTACGACTATATGCAGGGGACTATATGCACTAACTTCTCATGACAGAAAAATCTGAGATAACTACTCCATTATAGGGAATACACATGAAGCAAAAGAGAAAGAACATATATAGAAGAATCTAATCCAGAACTGATTTTAAACCAGTGATCACTGAAATTAAATCACTATGTTTAATTATAACTATACAATATGTTGCCTTCTCAAGTTTGACATTTGCACTTACATGTTGTATTCAAAAAGTATAAAACTTCATAATTTACAATAAAATACAAATAAAATGCACTATTTATACTGATAACCATTAAGAAGCACTAAAATAATGTGTGCTAATCAGGTTACAGCTAGTAAAGATGAGTAAAATAGTCTCAGACATTAAGGATACAACACAGAAAATATTTGTATGTGAATCACGGTACAGATAGTAAAGATGGATAGACTCAGACACCAGGAAGTTTTCATAGCACTTAGAAAGACAGCACAAACCCAAAACACAAAATTGCCAACACTACAGGAATGCAAATGGAGAGTTCTTGTTAAGTATTAGCTTCTCGACCCTTAGAAAATACAACCTATGAGTCGTCACTGAAAATACAGACAGATGGGAAAACACCATCACCAAGTTGGTCTTGGTTTTCTAAATTCTAGAAACCATATGTGCAGGAACAAGTACCCTAATCAACTAAATCAGTGATCAAACTATAGCCTAAGAGCCAAATCCAGCCCAGGGCCTGTTTTTGTCTGATTTATGAGCTAAGAATGGTTTTTACGTATTTAAAGGGCCATAAACAAACAAGAATATGCAACAGAGGTAGTATATTGCCACAAAGTTTAAAAGTTTAAAGGGGATCTTTACAGAGGTCTGCTGACTTCTGAACTAAATAATTCATAAATGGATGAAACAGGTCTTAGTGGTGGCTCTGATCCAAAGATTTGAACTGTGCCATGGCATCATAGTATATTAGAACTGGAAGGAGGCATGAAGACCATCTTTCCTTCCCATGATATTGCAAAGGCGCTGACTATGGCTCATAGGTTTCCATCTTCTGGATCTACTGTATCCTGGGTCAAAAGTGCTTTACATCTCACCACAACACTGGCTCCCTTTTCCTTTAGTGAAGTAATCTGGGAATTAAAAAAAGAGGTACAACACAGTAAGTACACTCTCCTCCAACTCTCCACTGAGCCTTTCCTACACACAACTAATCAACTAAAAGTGAAGTGCTGATGACCTTCATATTTTACTAATTCAGCATCAAAGATCATTTCCTATTCTCCCCACTTCATCTCCCCACTTCATCTCCCTCTACTCTACTAAGATATTCTCTAAACCAAGCAAATTAAGCTACTAGCATTCCTGAAAAAGCATCTGTTTTGTCCTATGGACCTTGGTCTATGTGGTTTCTCTCCTATGGACATGACTTCCTTTCTCCACCTATCCAAATTCCTTCCATCCTTCATGGCCCAATTTGACATCCATGATACCTTTGGAAAGCTTATAATCCAATAGGAAACAGAGCTCAGGTACACACAAAAAAGTTTTAAAAATCTTGAAAGTTGTAATAAATAAAATGTTATAAAATTCCAAGAAGCAAAATGTCACCTCAGGGGAAAATGTTTAGGTACCACCTTGGGAAAGTCTTTGAGTAAGATATGAGAAAGAGCAGAGAAGAAAAAGGGACGTTCCAGGCAGTGGAAATGAGCAAAGGTATAAAAGGGATAATTTCTTATAGTAGTGATTCTCATCTTTTTGTTTCCCTAGATTTGCCTCTAACCAAGTGATGACACAGAGAATGCCCTCAATTTCTAAAGTCCCTTGCCTACCCATAATTTTGAATGTTACCAAAACCCACAGATTTAATGTGCTGATCAGTTAATCAAAATTCAATGGAGACAGTCTATTTCTGCATATGTCTTCAGATAACTTTTGTGAACATAAAAATCCAACACATCGAGCCAGGCACGGTGACTCATGCCTGTAATCTCAACACTTTGGGAGGCTGAAGCAGGCGGATAATGAGGTCAGGAGTTCGAGACCATCCTGGCCAAAATGGTGAAATCCCAACTCTACTAAAATACAAAAAATTAATCACGTGTGGTGGCCCACGCCTGTAGTCCCAGCTACTCAGGAGGCTGAGGTAGGAGAATCGCTTGAACCCAGGAGGCGGAGGTTGCAGTGAGCTGAGATTGCGCCACTGCACTCCAGCCTGGCAACAGAGCAAGACTCCGTCTCAAAAAAAAAAAAAAAAAGAAAGAAAGAAAGAAAAATCCAACACATCTACAAAATCAAATATAAATTCTGTGACTTTAAGGCTGAATTATGTTATTTTCATATCATTAATCAAACCAAAAGGGCTGAAAGTAAAAACTTCATTATTTTGGTTACCTTTTTACTAAGTAATTTTATTCTATGGATAGCAACCTTTCACATTCTGGTTCACTCCAAACCTAGGGCCTAGTAGATGCTACCTAAATACCTGTTGAATTAATAATATTGGAACATAATATATATTTCACTGAAAATATTCCTTCCTTTAATTATGCAGTATAATAGAAAGTAGAGAGAAGATAAGGAACATTAATTGAAAGTGTTGTAAAAGTGAAGCCATCAAAAAACTTAAAACAATTATTTCAAAACCATCTTTGAAGCAAATAATCTATTCACATGTAACTCAGATCTTTATTGTAGCCTTTGTTGTAACACTACACACATACCACCACCACCACCACCACCACCACCACCATCATCATCATGACATTTTTTTCTAAATACAGCTTGAGGAAGGAAACCATATAATTTGATTAACAGAAGCTGGGCGCAGTGGCTCACGCCTGCAATCCTAGCACTTTGGGAGGCCAAGGCGGGAGGATCACTCGAGGTCCAGAGTTCAAGACCAGTCTGGCCAACATGGTGAAATGCCGTCTCTACTAAAAATACAAAAATTAGCTAGGTGCAGTGGCACACACCTGTAATTGCAGCTACTCGGGAGGCTGAGACAGGAGAATTGCTTGAAGGAGGTGGAGGTTGCAGTGACCTGAGATCGCGCCACTGCGCTCCAACCCGGGAGACAGAGGAAGACTCTGTCCCAAAAAAATAAATAAAACTAAAAACAAAACAGAAAACAGTCACTTATTCATCTTTGTATTTCACGTAATTCCTAGCACATAATGGGTACTTTAAAATCACTCATTGAGTTGAACAGTCATAGAGAAAATGTTTTCTCTGCTCTCCATGACTTCACTATATTTCAAAGGTATAAGGCAACAACTCTGGCAATAAAAGCAGAACTTAGAAAGCCTGACTTATTTCAAGAGTTCTCTGATACGAGAAGAGATATCCAATAGATGTGTTCCCTAATTACACAAGTATAAGAAGATGCATTGCTCCACTGTTGTCGATTTGCTATATTTAGTAGGCTCTGAATTGAATTATTCAAGCATGTACAAATATAACCTTAAAGGGGTCCACATACTTGCTCCTGACAATCTGGATACAAAAGCTGCCATTCAGATAAAAGATGACAGGCAACAAGAATCTGACAGGCCAGCAATTTACTGCATTTTCTGCACATTTGAATTTGTAGCCCTCCATAGCCATTAAGCAAAATTAGTTTCATGATGTCAGCCAAAAAGCCTCATGGGCAGCAGTTTTATGTCATTAAAAAAACTACCATCCTCAATCTGTTTGAATCTGTGTTTGCTCATTAGAAGCCTCTCAATGAATCAGAAGCGAGGGTTTAATCACACTCTTACTCTATGAATGCTTAGTATAGCCCTGAACTATAACAAATTCCTATTCTACCTTTCCCTGTATCTAAAATAGTTTAGATATGGCTGAAGAACCTAAGTATCAGACAGGCTAGCAGTTCTCAACTGATATGGTTCGGATATGTGTCCCCGCTCAAATCTCATGTCAGACTGTAATCCCCAATGTTGGAGGTGGGGCCTGGTGGGAGGTGATTGGATCATGGGGGCAGTTTCTAATGGTTTAGCACCATCCCCCTAGTACTGTTCTCATGATAAGAGTTCTCACAAGATCTGGTTGTTTAAAAGTGTGTAGCACCTTCCTCCTCTCTCTCTCTCTCTCTTTATGCCTGCTTCCCTTGGCCTTCCGCCATGATTATAAGTTTCCTGAAGCCTCACCAGAACCCTAGCAGATGGCCAGCTTCCTATACAACCCGAGGAACCATGAACCAATTAAACCTCTTTTCTTTATAAATTACCCAGTCCAGGTATTTCTTTATAGCAGTGCAAGAATGAACTAATACATCTATCAAAAATGGAGCAATTTCAAAACTATAAATGTGATCTTAATATGTATTTATCCAATTTAAAAAGCAAGTGTCAGAGAAAAACTTCATCCTCTCCTGCTCCTAACTGTTGATCTCTGAATCCACTATGCTCTCTTATGCCCCTATGCCTTTGAAATTGTTATTTTCCCCTTTGCTTGTTTAGAATCTCCTCCTTAAACCTGTCTGGCAAGTTTCTACTCATTATGGAAGTCTTCCCTGGTTTTCCCAAAAAAGATGCATGCAATCTTCCCCTATGCACGTTTATATACTTACATAAGTACCTCTCAAACTATATCATAACTGTCTCTTATGGTTAGAGAACAGTAAGCTCTCTACAGGCAATGACTGAACACCTCTTGGCAGAACTAATATTGAACTGGTACACACCAACAGAGCCTGAAGGGTCATACTTAAGTACGGAAATACTTCCGTAACATAGTCTGGTAACGTGTCACTGCCTCAAACTCCACCAGTCCTAAGGTGCCTACTGATGGCCCAGTCTCCCCACCACCACTACAACCCAGCAGGTAAAACAAGAAAGCCTGACACAGCATAAAGGATGAAGGGGTTCTTCAAGATCGTGATCCAGTGCTACAGCCATCTTAACTGGTTGGTCCCTATTTTGTACTTACTGGTAAATACTTTAAATATCACTCCTGCCTCTTCATAGCCAAAGCACAGGACACTGCCTAGCTTATCAGGCTTCTAATTCTTTGGCAAAATAATAAATGAAGACATACCAGGTCTATCAATGGCCCAGGGTCAATGGGCATGCTGTCAAAACTATGCAGACAATGATCAGTGATCAGACTGTCAAGAAAAATCCAGATACTAAAGTACTAGAAAAGAAAATGGTCAAGTCTGTCTATTCTCTGTGTTTGCCTTCAGCATTTGATAAAATAAATGCTTATCTTGATAATGTGCAAAAAAATCTTCAATGTGATACTTTATAGAGAATATAATTCAAGTATTTTTAATGTTTTTAAATAAAGTTTAAAAGCAAAGTTTCTATAAAGTAAGTCTCCATAACATATCACAAACAGTGATCATTAAACTCTAATCAGTGTCTTGGATAGGAACACAAGTATCACTAAAGGAGGAGCACAGTGATTAATTCAAATGGAGAGGAAAAGGCAAGAATGAGAAGAGTCAGTTAATTATAAATGGCATGTCTAATTACAGATTTTGCTAGGGGCTTCAGATACTTCTAATTAGTTTTACTAGGTATATTAATTATAAACAGAATACCATGAGAGAATTTTCTAATCACAGAAATGTACCTAGAACGTAAAATCAGAGTTTATCTTTATAATTTAATAATTAAATGTTCAATAATGTATAATTATTTTGAAAGTCATCAATAAAATATATATCACACTAAAATCAAGTTACTCAGAATATTGCTAAGGTGGTGACAGAGTCTTTAAAACATCCATAGGGGAGCAAGTGTGTAGCTGAAGGAAGGATGAACATGTAGCTTCAATAATAAGAATTTTGAACTTATAAATGGTGATATAACAATCTTTTTAGGCTCCTTCCTTTCTGGTAAATACTTTAAATATCACTTTTTAATACTTTAAAATTTTCTGGTAGAAAAATTGTCTTTTATTCATGCTGTAGGCAGTTTCAGAGAGCCATATGATTAAAATGTTAAAAATAAAGATGGAAGGGATAAATAGCAGCAAGAGAAGCTTATCTAATTTCAACACTATCTCATTAAGATCAATCTTTAATTTAAAACAAAAACAAAACCCTGCTGTGCTATATACTGTATTAATGAAAAATTCTACAAGGTGACAAAATCTCAAACAGGAAGCATAATGTGTTTACTAAGGACAAATTAAGAAAAACCATTCTGATTTTTTGGTATTTGTATTAAAGTAAAAACTTAGAAAAGAGGAGAAAAATTAAAGACCATGATGTATTTCAACTTTAAGAAAAGCTTTTAAAGTCCCACTAATCTTAAATTAAAACAATCAGGTAAATTATTTTGGTTATTAGCACTAACATGAATTTAAGCAGAAAATATATACAAAGAAAATGTAAGTAATAGTTACAGTATCTATCATTTATTGAACACCTATATACTATCCCAGGCAGAATGCAAGGTGCTTTACCTAAATTGTTAATTTTCACAACCATCTAACTTGGCAGATACTATCATCCCTACCTTACTGATGATGAGTTAGTATTAAAAATAATCTCGCCACAGTCAGCTAGTAAGTGGCAAAGATTCAAACTCATAGTTGACTACCCAACAGCCTCTGTGCTGGCCACTACACCCCACTAACTGACCAGATGGCCTCAATGTAGTTAAAGTAAGCCAAGGTAGCACTGAAGTTCCATGGTGTATAAGCTGTACTAGATGGATGAAGTTAAGGCTTCTATCTACTATTCCAATGAATGTGACTATCTGAATATCTAAGGAAAACAATATAATTTAGTAATTACACTTCTGACCCTGATTTGGGAAATCAAGGATGTAGCCAGTTGGCTTAAGAGCTATCACAAAATTCTATTTTCATTAAACTCACTTTGATCCAAATGATCAAAAATTAAGCACTTAGATCCACAAGTAAAAGGATTCAATCAGGACCGATATAAGTCAAAAATAAATGTAATAATAGGCCAGGCGCGGTGGCTCACGCCTGTAATCCCAGCACTTTGGGAGGCCGAGGCGGGTGGATCACGAAGTCAGGAGATCGAGACCATCCTGGCTAACACGGTGAAACCCTGTCTCTACTAAAAAAAACAAAAACAAATTAGCCGGACGCGGTGGCGGGTGCCTGTAGTCCCAGCTACTCGGGAGGCTGAGGCAGGAGAATGGCGGGAACCCGGGAGGCGGAGCCTGCAGTGAGCCGAGATCGCGCCACTGCACTCCAGCCTGGGAGACAGAGCGAGACTCCGTCTCAAAAATAAATAAATAAATAAATAAATAAATAAATAAATAAATAAATGTAATAATAAAAATAAATGAGTTTGATTATCACAATTTATTTTAAAAAACCTTTCTCCAACTTTTTTGAACACACATAACAAAAAAGAAAATGTACAGTTCACTTAAAAAAATCAGGCAACTTGAAACTCTTCTGAATAAATGAGCATGAATAAAAAAAATTACCATATACCTAACAAAGGCACACAACAAACATTTAACAAACAAGTTAATGACTTGGCTAAATGAAGATTAATAAGTGAAAATGGGGAAAACAAGGAAAATTAAGGGAAGAGTTTATCTTTCTCCAAGTTCCTTCTCACATAAATACTACCTGCTCTATATTTCCCAGGAAGTTGGTTAAGGGGGTGGGGGGGAAGTACCTGCTCTTGAGGTTCTTTACTAAAAACAGTCCTTCAGAATATACCTACCCTAGCAGAACTCTCCTCCTCATATTGTGGCTAAGGAAATATCACCTCTCTCCTAAGAGAAGGTCTAACATCCAAAATAATATCCTTCCTTGTCCTGAACAGCCTCTTTCTGGAAACATTTTCAATCCCTCTACATCCCACAGCATATTTCGAAGATACACTTTTCTGGTTTTCTAAATTGAATATTATTTATTATTTAATCATCATAATGAAAAATTTAAAGAGTAGTTTATGATATACAGAAACTCTGACACAATAAGGATATTTTATAGTGCAAATATAATTCTCATTTTAAAAACACAAGCATCCTTCACAAAGATTGTTCCATTTGAAAAGAATTTTTTAAGGCTTTTTTATGTAAGCTATTTTCTACTTTTTTATTTGAAAGAAATCATGCCTTTAACAAAAGCTGTATTACAGTTACACATCTCTTACCAACAGGGATACATTCTGAGAAATTCATCAGTAGGTGATCATTGTGCAAACATCGTAGACTGTATTTACACAAACCTATATAGTATAGCCTACTATACCCAGAGGCTATTTAAGAGAGCCTATGGCTCCTAGACTACAAACCTGTACAGCATGTTACTATATTGAATACTGTAGGCAATAACAATGGTATTGGTGTATCTAAACACAGATAAGGGGCTGGGGGCAGTGGCTCATGCCTGTAATCCCAACACTTTGGGAGACCAAGGTGAGAGGATCACTTGAGCCCTGTTTGAGACCAACCTAGGCAACATAAGGAGACCCCATCTCTACAAAAATGTTTTAAAAATTAGCTGGGCATGGTAGCACATGCCTGTGGTCCCAGCTGCTCAGGAGGCTGAGGTGGGAGGATTGCTTAAGCCAGAAAGGTGGAGTCTGCAGTGGGCAGTGATTGAGCCACTGCATTCCAGCCTGGGGAACAGAGTGAGACTCTGTCTCAAAAAATAAAGTAAAACACAATTACAGATAAACATAGACAAGGTATGGGAAAAATACAATGTTATATATACTCTTTTTTTTTTTTTTGAGATGGAGTCTCACTCTGTTGCCCAGGCTGGAGTACAATGGCACGATCTCAGCTCACTGCAACCTCCAGCTCACTGCAACCTCCACCTCCCAGGTTCAAGCGATTCTCCTGCCTCAGCCTTCCAAGTAGCTGGGACTACAGGTGTGCACCATCACATCCGGCTAATTTTTGTATTTTTAGTAGAGATGGGGTTTTACCATGTTGGCCAGGCTAGTCTCAAGCTCTTGACCTCAGGTGATCCGCCCACTTTGGCCTCCCAAAGTGCTGGGATTACAGGCGTGAGCCACCATGCCAGGCCAACAATGTTATACTCTTATGTGGTCCTCGTTGACCAAAACTTTGTCATTCCATGCATAACTGTATTTACAACTCTTACCTGGTTAGTGCCTGGAATAACTTCCTGAATCTCATCTACTGTATCACCTGCTGATTCAAAAATCACCTTAGAGCCCAACTCCTTTACTTCACCTAATAAAACTTACTGAGCTTGGACATGTAAAAACCACATGTGGTATATTTTCTTCCAGTGCAACAACGCCTATGAGACTGGGCAAGTTGAGACCAAGAGTGATCTCTCCTCTTCATACAAAACAACTAGCCTATCATTTGAATATGCTATTATTTTACACATGAGTTTAAAAAGAAAACTATGCCTGACTATCACATTTCCTAAAACTGTAAGTTTCTAAGGACTGCACTGACTCTGTATAACAATATTATATATATATATATATATACATAATCCCATAAAAATAAAGCAAGCAAGCATTTTGTAATTCTTATTTCACCTGTAAAAAGGCCAACCACATGACAATTTTACGAAGCATCTCATTTCTTTAGTAAACTATTGAAAGATCATCTCTCTCTCTTTGACATACATGGGCAGTGGAAGTCATAAGCAAAAGCAAAATGAAATGATCGTCAAAAATTCGTGCTTCTTACAGAGTACGGAATTCAATAGTCTAACTGCCAGGAATCTTGCTACTTCACGGTATTATTTACATATTACAAATTATATTTAATTAGAGTTTGTTATTTGTTCCATTTTAAAGGTATTGGAAAATAAAATATTTCCCTTTGCTGACATACTAACACACTCTTTACTATATACTAAAACTTTATAACATTTTATGTCTTAGTGGTTTTTGGAAGGTCAATACCATTGCATACTTATATGCTGAAATAAATCCTTTTAAAAATCACATTGTCAATTCTCTTTGGCTTCAGAAAATAGACATGTCAAAAACTCAACTGGAAAGCAAATAAATCACAATACCTTTGAAGTGTTATTAAATAATCCTGAAGACGAAATCTGAGTCAAACTACAAAAAGGCCCTCAATCTCTGCTACCAAGAATTGTGTTGGATTCATTCATATATCATTTATAGAAAAGAAGTAATCACCATGTCTTTAGCCAAGCACAAACATGTTTGTTGAGATGGACTGTGTAAGTCCGAGGATTTTGCTCGCCACCCCTATATTTCCTTGGTCTACAAGAAACAACTGTAGTTCAGCTGAGACTGTCTTTAACTGGTTTGTTTTTAAAGAGCTATATCTGCTGAAATGAGATTGCCTAAAAGCACTGCAATCCTCTCCAGTGGGATTACAAGTTATATTGGTAATAAATGTGTTCACTTAGGTAACAAGAAAGAAGAAAAAGGCAACCTACAAATAGTGCTGAAAATCTGAAGTTATACATTTTCTCCAATGAAATAAAAGTAGTTGAATACCATATATTTCAAATAGAAACTCAAAAATCTGGGGATGTCCACAGCAAGACCTTCCCATAAGGAGCAAAATTATCTAGCAGTCCTTCTAAGAGGAACCTGAATTAGCATTCTCTATTGAACTAAAAAGTCGTAAGAGAATGTGAGTCACTTTTGAAGAGCTCATTGAAGAATAAAATGAGACTTTAAGTCTTTAAAGAAACTATCTAGAAATATATACAAATCCTAAGTTGAATACAATGTAACAAAAATAACACTTATCAAACACCCTCATACTTACAATTCTATACCCTCTGGGAAGAACGGTATACATGGAGGGAAGCCATTTTCTAGCTGGACATACTAGGCTAGGGTTCCCGAAATCCAATATATAGAGATTCAGGGGTTTGCTGCAAATATTCTAGAAGTGTATATCTAGAGTAAGAACTGTTCACTGCCAACCCAAGGGCCCATCCAACATAGAATACACCAATAGGGACCCTTAAGAGGATTGGTTAGGTCCAGGACCTTCATAAGAGATCTAATTAGCTTTAGAAAACGGGCCAGAAACTCTTGTAACAGGAAACTTTTCCGTTTACAGCAGGACTTGCCTACAAGATACCAAGACTAAATGCTGTTTCACTAGAATGGGACTTATTTCAACCAATCATATACAGATCTATGAATTCATGCCATCCTATCCAAAATGCTGGTTTTCAATACTTAATTTGGATAACTACTCCAAACCTACCCTAACCACTGCTCTTTTCTAGTACTAAAATCCAGACTTTTCTTCCTCAACAATTACTCACTGAATTTCTTTACTATATTTCTTTACCTGGCAAATGTAAAATCCTTACTATATTTCCTTACCTGGCAAATAAATAAACTCAGCTTTGTTTTATCTTGTTTTTTTAGCTCCATTGGTCTTTGTTATATTCTTTGACATATTGATTTTCAAGAATATTTTCATTCCTTTTCTTCCACCAAAAGCAAATCAATACTGGCCTGGGAGCTAGAATCGGTCAATAGCATGACCTGCCCTGGTAATCAATAATACACGCTGGTTATGTAATAATACAGGCCGATGGTTAGGTCATGCCACTGGCGTACCTGAAAATCTGCCAGATAATTAGAATCACCCTTTCAGCAAAAACAGCAACTCTCTGAGTACTCTGGTGGTACTGATCAGTGCAGTTTTGGAAGGCTGGACATAACTGATCTTTAAAGGCAAGATCCCTTTTTATTCCTCTTTCTGCTTATTATGTACGTGGTCCACTGTCAAAGAGATATGAGAAAATCAGTTTTTTGAATTTTTTGAGACAGGTTCTTACTCTGCTACCCAGCCTAGAATGCAATGGCACGATCACAGCTCACTGCAGCCTCGACCTCCCAGGCTCAAGTGATCCTCCCACCTCAGCCTCCCAAGTAGCTGGGACCACAGGCATGCAACACTATGCCCAGTTAATTTTTGTACTTAGTGTAGAGATGGGGTTTCACTGTGTTGCCCAGGCTGGTTTCAAACTCCTGGGCTCAAGTGATCCATCCACCTCAGCCTCCCAAATTGCAGGGACTACAGAAGTGAGCCACCATGACTGGCCAAAAATCAGTTATTATGCAACAACTATTTGCTTGACAAGCATCCCCCTCTCTCCCAAATGGCAGAGTAAGTGTTGCTGGAAACCCTGGTATGCCACTTTCATCAACCCAAAACTATCTACATTTAATACACAATCTTTTAGGAGGGACTTATTTGTCAGGTAATTTCAGAGTGAAGCATAACTGCCAGGTAAAATAAGTTTTATTTAGACAATATGAGCTAATAATATGATTTGCCTTATTAGGTCAGCCTTGGCTCCCCAGCACTTCCCAAACCCTGCTCTCCCTCTTCACAGAGAATATCCCAGAGGCTCTGTGGAACCCAAACAGCAAAATGCTACTATGGAGTTTTAAATAATGGAGTAACATGCTAAAAATCATGTTTTAAGATTAATAACCTAAAAAGCTAATCTAGGACTACAGTTGGGAGACAATGGAAGCAAGGAAACCAACTCAACATGACATAATTGATCCTTAAAGAATACAGCAATGGCCAGATGCAGTGATGTGTACTTGTAGTTCAAGTTACGTGGGAGACTGAGGCGAAAGCACTGCTTGAGGCCAGGAGTTAATGGCTGTAGTGCACTATGATGGTGCCTGTGAATAGCCACTGCACTTCAGTTTGGGCAACATAGTGAGACCCTGTCTCTTAAAAAAAATAATTTTTTCTTTAAAAGAATAAGGCAATGGCTCTAAGAACAGTAAAGAAGAACTGAATCTGACATTACCAACAAACTTTATCTTTTCCATTACAGATTCAATTCATTGAGTAAACAGAAAGGTTCACTTGTAAGGCATAGAGTCATTTTTATCCATCCAGGTTACAGAGTGCTGAAATTCAACCACCAGAAAATCATCCTTTTCAATTACAACACTCTACTCTCCCAACATTTTCTCCAAAAACATTCTAGAAGGAGCAATTTCAGAAGTACTCATTTAGCCATTATTGCTGCTTTGATGGCAATTAGCTTGCCTGCTTGCCTTCTCCAGGCACTTTCACCTCTACCCCAACCCCAAAGCACACCATAGTATCCCCCAAAGCCACCTTGATAAAAAGGGATAGGGCAAAAACAAGAATCTAAGAACCTAATTGTATCTGAACTGGAAGTGGGACTAAAAGAAATGAGATGCTTTGCCAAAATTTGGAATAAAACCAGAGTTAAGTTTTTAAAATTCTAATGTCAGGGTTCTAAGATAACCTTCATATTTTCTCTGCCTTTGGATACAATATATCAAAAACCAAAAATCCTTGTAAAATTAAAATTCACAGAAAAGTTTCAAGCTAGACTCCATCCATGTCTCTCTCTTTCTCTCTCACTCTCACTCATACCCTCCCTCCCTCCTCTCTATCTATCTCTATCTCTATCTTTAACTTTAGTGGGGCAAGAGTGGTTAATAGAAACAGCTAACAAATCAAAGAGCTTCCTTCAGGGATTCCCTGCCACCATCAGGGCAAAGTTCTGACTTGACAGCCTGGTAACACAAGGCCCCTAATATTTGACACCCAACAGTCCTTTCCAATCTCATCCTTCACCATGCTACTTTCCATTTCCTCATTCACCAATCATTTCTACTGAATGTCTATAGATCCCCAGTCTTTAACGTTGTCTAATACTTCCATACCTTGGCTCATTCTTTCACCTTGTCTGATACTCTTTCGCCTTGTCTGTGTGGCTATGTGAGGCTCGAGTTCTTCTCTTAGAAATATTTCCTGACATCCTTCCTCTTGGGCCCTTCAATACACCCCTCTCTAACCCACACCAAATCTGCATTAGGCTCCCTCCTTCATGCACACCTCTATCAAACTTCTTAGAGGGTACTGTCAATTCCAAAACTAGGGAATGCTTGCCACATTATAGGTACTAAAATGGTCATTAGTTTCCAGTTCTGTGTTCCTCCTAGAGCAGAGTCATTTTTCTTTCTCTTCTTTTTCTTCTATTTTGTCTAAGAATCCTCGGTATTCTTCCTATTAACTTGACAGTTTTATGCACATTTGGAATATGGCTATTAGCTTCTTAAAGGGGAATCCAAATGAAATTAAATACACAAGGAAGTTTTTCCATACCGGGCTCAATGAATCAATCTGACCCCAAAAATGAACTTTTATGAATATTCAGACTACTACTAAAACAAAGGAAAAAATAACTTTTCTTAAAATGTTTATTGATCTACTTTGAAAATGTATTAATACATCAGCTTCTGAATCATCAAAATGTTGAAATATGAAATCAGTTTGTATCTCCTTTTTTTTTTTTTTTTTTTTTGACACGAAGTCTTGCTCTATTGCCCAGGCTGGAGCGTAAGTGGTATGAGCTCAACTCACTGCAACCTCCGTTGCCCGGGTTCAAGCAAGTCTCCTTTCTCAGCCTCCCGAGTAGCTGGGATTACAGGCTCCCGCCACCACGTCCAGGTTTAATTTTTGTATTTTTAGTAGAGATGGGGTTTCACCATATTGGTTAGGCTGGTCTCAAACTCCTGACCTCAGGTGATCCACACCTCTCAGCCTCCCAAAGTGCTGGGATTACAGACATGAGCTACCATGCCCAGCCAGTTTATATCATTATTTTAAATAGAGAAGAATATCCACACTGCAATAGGAAATCTGCCTTGAGAAGAAACATCAGAGTTAAAACTTGCAACATCTGACTCCACGTTCCTTTTTGATCTTTTTAGGTAGGATAACTGTTAAAGGATACATAAAAATGTGATAACCCTACTTGTCAGAACTCTGTTCAAAATCTTCCCACTAGGGATTCAGACTGGGGACTGCATGACATCCTTATGCTATCGGTGTGAAAAACAAAAAGCAAGCTTTGAGCAAAAACGCTACCCAAGGCTATACTCAGTTATAGCCTCAAACTGGCATCACCCCCATATACAACATCATTTTTATAATATTACTTACTAGATTTAGGAATTCTACCAAATTAATGGTTCTAATAAAAGCACAGAAATGTGATCTAATATAAAATACTCATGTGGGTCTTGCTTTGCTTTTTAGAATGACTTTGGTCAATCTAAACTTTTCTATTTCTTAAGCTCTAAGATGTAGCAATTATAAAGTCACTATTTTAAAATGTTTTCTAAGCTACCTGGTGCACTTTAACTCAGTTACTCTCTCTAGCTCTAAAAATCAAACTACCCGTTCATGGAAACATACTTAGGATTAAACACTGTAAAATATAGATTGCAAATAAAAACACCAGTCAACTTGAATCAAAAGATTAAACTCTAACAAAATGATTTACAATTATACCTCAATAATAAAAATGTAAGTGAATTCAATACTAATTGTAATACAGTGGGGTTTCCCTTATTTACCTGAGGGAGGGTATGGAATGTAGAAAATAAATTAGGTATTCTGAAGATCAGAGTAAAACAAAACATAACCTAGCTAGATCTGAAATTTAGTGCAAAAAAAAAAAACAAGCTCACAAACTATTATATTTTTGTCCTTTACCTTTACTCCTTCCCTGCTGCCAGCCACCTGTTTTAGATATTCTCATGCAGAGAAAATAGCAACAATGCCATTTTCCTTCCAAATGCAATCAGGTTTTGGCAAACTTCAGTCAGTATGTCAGTTAAAAACAGAAACAACCCAAAATGTGATTTGGCAAATAACTACTTAAGTATTGAGTAGTTCCTCCCCTGAATGGTATTGCACTTTCCATTTATCATTTTTAAATGTACAAAGAAAACTGAAAATCTGCACATGTAGCTGGACAAGTAATAGTTTCCAAATTAATAATACATTATGCATTACTCTATTAAGCATACATTAAGAGCAAAATTATGCCATTTTGGAAACAGAACTCCTTGTGAGAGTGGTCCTTACTGTTGTGGTATTTCAAACCACTGCTTTCATTTTTATATAAACCTTATTGACACCTTTTTAAGTTAGTATTCAAATTTGCCAGAAGTTTAAACAACTGTTTTCATCAACATGTGTGCCAACTGCCTTCCCTTGGCCCTCCACCAGATCCATTTAGGATTCTCAGACTAAGCCTGCCTAAATAAAGTTTTATTTTAATAGTCACACCCATTTGGTTACAAGTTGCTTATGGCTGCTTTTGCTGTATGTCAACAGTTGAGTAGTTGTGACAGATCATCTGGCTCTAAGGAAAAAGTCTGCCAGCCCAGGCCTTTTTACAAATAAACTTGATAAAATCCCCTCACCACTGTCTTCACTGTTCATCTATGAAATAAAGGTGAAAGAGTGCTTACAGAATTTCTCAGAGCATATGCAATTAACTTTTTAATATTTATACTACTTGGAACCCATGTATAAGATACTTTCCTGAAATACTGAGTTGATTCAGCAACTCAGGTGAACCTAAAATCTTCTCAGATTCAAAATGTAAAATGCCTACACCCAAAACCACACTAATTACTATTACTCAGCAATAAGTATAACACCATCATAAGGAAGTTGAGTAATGACAGAAGCCTATTTGTCTGTCATTATTTCTGCTATAGAATTTTCAAGTAAAAATAAAAAACAAAACAAAAATGTTTAGAGGTGGTTAAAACAAATGTTCTTTAAAGTTTTGCAAATAGAAGACAATTGTTTTATTTTCAATGATGCTGTTTCACTCTAAAGCCATTCTAAAATTTTCCAGCAAAAAATAAAAGGACCAAACTTCAGATTAAAATGTCAGATAGCTAAATATTAAACAAATATCTGAGGAATAAAGGGAGCTATGGGGATGCTCTGGTTGTTAACTTCATTGTAATTATTTTGTGTATTACAATTTTCACTCTGTAAAGGTAAGGACATAGATATGGCAAAGGAGTCTTTTTTCTAACCCAGCCCAGATACTTCGAGACCCCTATAAGGAAGGCTATCTGGGGACTGGGTGCCAAGGCTGCCTCAATCTGCAGAGAAGATGAACAAAAGGAAGTCACACTGTATGAAAATAATTCATGGAAAACCCTGAAGTCTGAAAGGCACATTTCTAAAGAAGAGTCACATCATTTTATCATGGTGATTAAGAGAGGCACTTATTTAGATGCCACCTGAGCCTTTGGTCTTCTAACACCAACTGCCTCCTGACTAGTTAAAAGCATTGGGAATTTCCAAAGGACCATGCTTAGGGCAGAATATATGAAGAAGGAAGGAGCCTTAGTTTTAGAATGAGTCAGATAAACCTGGTTTGAATCTAGCACCCATTTTATATGTGACCTTGGGCCAATTATTTAGCCTCTCTGAGTCTTCGTCTCTTCATGAAGATAAAAATGGTACTATTTTCATAGAACTGCTATGAGGATTAATGGAGCTATTATAGGAGGCACTGACTCCTGGAATGTAAAAATAATTAATAACAGCAGCTAAACATATATAGAACTAAAGGCCAGGAATATATTCCTCAGCATTTATTCCTCAGAAAATCTATTTAGTAGGTATTATAACTTGTCCAAAGTCACAAAACAAGCAAGTTGCAGAACCAGATGTGGACCCACGAAGTACGCCTCCAATGTCTTTGTTCTTAATTACCTCTTATACTGAAGTTATTATTAGAATGAGCATCCCAAGTATTCCTAAGAATGGCTCTATGTACAACAAAGTATGTGAAGCCTTCTTCATCAATATTTGAATTTTCATAGATTTCTAGTTTGGAAACAATCCTGCTTTGTTGTTAAAATGCTGTTGGTAGCACAAAGCTATTAACATTATGGTCATAAATTCAATATCTGTTTAGGTCACTTAATTACAATCAGAGGGAAAAAATTTTCCAAAACCCCAATCCATTTAGGCTGGCTTTGTTCATACCCATCAGAACAAGGACTGCATTAAAAAAATAGAAAGGGCTATGGAACAAACACCTCTTCATGAGGAGCTCAGAAGGGATTCTGGTGGCATCATAAAATGAGAGACTCAGAGATAGAAGGGCCTTGATTTAACTCCCTTATTTTACAGAGTGAGAAATGAAGCCAAGAGAGAAGTGTTGCTTTCCCCATGTCCCACAGTTGGTTATCCATCACATCAGACCATGTGCAAGAAGATCTTCCCACGACACCACTATGTCTAGATTCCTACTGAACTGCAAACTCATGCCTCGTTAATACCTCAATTGACAGTCATGCATAGCTGGCTACTACACAACAGAAATATACTGGAAATCAGCAGATGGAGAGGGATCCTCTCACCAAAGATCTTTAAAGAATTTCTCTAATACAATTATTGTGTATCCATAGTAAAAAAAAAATCTATTTAAACAAGACATAGTAAACTTGTTAACTCAATAAAGTGCAGACGTATAAGTTTGTAAACATTCCTAATACACTTCTGAACTATTTCTGTGTTCTCAACATAGAATAAGTCTCCAACAGAAATTATCTCCCTCCTTCTAGAATCTCTCACAAGAAAACTCCCATTAAGGCCTGATTACAATCTTGATAATCTTTTCTACAAAAACACTTGCTCCCTTAAATTAATAAGTTATTAAATTCTCTCTTCCTGGAAACAAATCCATCAATAGACTTTTAAAATGGTAAGTTACCTGATACTTTACTCTCTTCAAAGACTGGCTGTTCACTGCCTAGGTGTAAATATAATTAGCCTGCTCCTAAAATAATTTTGTAGGGTAAGAATTCCCTCATACTAGGTTACAAATATTTGTCTTTATGCACATCTTACCTTTTGTTTAAGGCAAAACAGATGGATTTGTTGTTCAAATTCAAAACAATCACATAAGGAAAGTGATTTGCTCACAGCTGATGCTTTCAACTCCTTTTATGACAACCCTAACTAATGTGTACGATCTCCTCTCTTAGCAGAACTGAGAATTACATCTCCAATAGGGAAGTAGCTCTCCAGTGACATACCTAAGCAGCCAAACTAAGGTTACATAACTAAATTAAGCAAAAATGAAAAAGCATTACCCAGGAAAATGTGTTATAAAGTTACTTGAGGAAGCTATGAGAATTCCCAAAAAAACAAGCAATAATTATCTTTCCCTCTATAGCAAAACAATTAAAAATTAAAAATAAATAAAATAGTGACAGTGATGGGAAAGGAACAAGCTATATATTCCAAAGGAAGAACTACCAGACTTGGTTAGATATAAAGATGAAGCACTCAATGAATAAAAAGTGACTTCAGCATTTTGGTATCTGGCCAACTATGTGGATGGCAGCCTTCTTGACAAACCCAGAAGTCAGAGGAGAGTTGGTTAGTAAGGAGGGGAGGTAGGGCCAGTTTTACCCTGTTGAAGTGAATGTTAGCAAGTGGGTATACTTAGCATGTTCTAAGTATATATAGCTGAAATTAGCTGGGCGTGGTGGTGTGCACCTGTGGTCCCAGCTACTTGTGGGGCTTGAGGCAGGAGGATCGCTTGAGCCCAAGAGGTAAAAGCTGCAGTAAGTCATGATAGCATCACTACACTCCAGCCTGGGCAACAGAGCAAGATCCTGTCTCAAAAAAATAAAAACAACTTGAAAAGTATATGCAACTGGATCACGCGTAAACTGAAGGTACAAAACTTGAGCCTCTTGTAGAAGTTTAAACATGAAAATGTTTAATTACCAATGTGGGCTTCATAGGTAAAAGGTAAAGCCTCAGAGTGATAGATATGACATGCTAACGTGCAGCTAATGAAATCTGTATCAGAACTTTTAGTGTATTACAACACTTGCTCAGATAGTTGCAGTTGCTATTCAGTGTCTGCCTCCTTTTCCCCTGCTTAAACACTCCAAATAAAAGACGACTCATATTGGCATCTCGTTTACAGAAAAATATAATTTAATACTATGTCAACTAACTCAGGAAATATTAACTCCAGAATGCTTACCTGAATCTTCTCTCCGTGTATCAAACAATACATGCAATTTGCCTTCTCTGAACCATATCTACATATAGCTATCACTTAGAACATATATCTTCAACATTTCATGTTGATCATTGTTTTCTGTTAAATATACATAATGTTTCTATTTCTACATTTTCCTTTCAACTGCTAATATTCTCTTCATCCTCTCTTCTACAGTTTCAAGTTTGAATTCTGGGTCTCCAAGTTAAAACTTCACACTACAAAAAAAAAAAAATACTCCATCAAACAGGCCTTATATGAATTGTTTACCAGAGATACTTGAATAAATTTGTTTCCATCCTATCTTTTATGTTCCACATTTATTAACTTAACTTTCTTCATACCTTCTTTCTGCCTGTCTACCTTCTTTTGCTTATTTTTTTTTTTTTTTTTTTGGAGATAGGGTCTTGCTCTGTCGCCCAGGCTGGAGTGCAATGGTGCTATCTTGGCTCACTGCAACCTATGCTTCCTGGGCTTAAACGATCCTCCCACCTCAGCCTCAGCTAGGACTACAGACATGCACCAACTTTGGCTAATTTTTAAATTTTTTGTAGACACAAGGTTTCACTATATTGCCTAGGCTGATCTCGAACTCCTGGGCTCAAAGTGATTCTCCTGTCTTGGTCTCCCAAAGTGTTGGGATTACAGGCATGAGCCACTGCATCCATTCTCTTTTTTTAGTTGTATCATTTACAAGTTTTTATAGGAAAAATTTTGACCCTAATTTTGGGATTCAGCTTTCTAATTCTGAGCAAAAAAGGAAAAAGCTGTAGAGTGAATCAACCCTGTGTGTCACTAGACAGGTGTGCAACCTTAGGCAAATTATTTGACCTTTCTGAGCCTTGCTTTCCTAATTTGCAAATGGGAGATAATACCATCTCTCATGGAGGGATGTTTTGCAAGTCAAAGAAAAAGAAACGTAACAAAGCTGGGATGATAACTTGTGGTTATACATGAAATTTTATAGGTTATTATGAAAGTAATTATCTTAGAGGCCATTTCAGAACTTAGCTACCAAACACACTGGATGCACTTTCTAATTCTGTCTTCAACTCAAGGACAGAGTACAAATTAGATTACTGAAGTTTTATTGGAGGAGGCATCAAGGTGTGCATGTAATAGAAATCTAGGGTTACTACCTTTTTGTAGAAAGGCTAGAATACAAACACGGGAAAGCCAAATCTCAAGGTTTACTATGTTCCACCATCCCTGTATACCCTAGAAGGTAGTAAAATCTTGACTGCAATTGGAAGGTTTACAGTGTATTTCAAGCAGGGAACTGCTACATGGCATTTAGACTCACAATTCCAAGCAGAAATGGGATTAGTGTAGTCTGTATTTCATTGCTGATTTGAAACAGAATGATGATAATGAATACATTAACTTTACAACTAATATTACATGCCACGTACTATGTTAAGTGTTTTGTATTCATCATTAACCCTCATAACAACCCTATGAAGTGGATACTTTTATCTCATTTGACAAATGAAAGAAAACTGAAGCTTGGGAGAGCTGGGATTCAAACCCAGATAACAGTAAAAATTTCAAAACAGTGAAAATGTCAATAACACAGCAACAAGTTATGTGCTGACAGTAAGATACCAATATTTCAGCAGTCAGAGCTATTTGAGTATCTGTGGGGGAAGTGGAGCATCATATTCACCTAACTGTATAAGTAAGAGCAGGAAAGAGGGAGAAGAAAAAGAAAGGATTACATCCAGAGCAGCAATTCTGGAATTTTCAAATATTAAAAATCATGACACTGTCAAATTAAGCATAGCCTGCTTTGAGGATAATTAGGGCTTTCCAGAGCTAAAGTTCTCCACCTGCTTTCTACCTGACACATGGTGATGGATGACAGCATTAGAAGCTGATGTTATGTGCTATCATATGCTCAACACACTTCCATGGGCACAGGTAGGCCTCTGTAAAACTCCCAGAACATCAGCTGCACCTCTGTGGCTTCTCATCTTCCTCAGGAAAGCATATTAGAATGAAAATGAGTAAAAGAAGTATGAATTTTATCTGTATCAAATATGTACATGTTAATATTTACTGAACATTGGTACTATGTGCCAGGCATGTTCTAAGCCCTTTGCCTCTATTAATCCACAAATGAGACTATAAATTAGACACTATTTTCATTTTAAAGATGAGATAACTAAGAAACAAAATAAGTAATTTGCTGAAGATCACAAATAAGGGAGATCACAGTGCCAGGATTTCAACAAGGTGGTCTGGTTGCAGATCCCCAGCTCTTAAACAGGACAATAAACTGTCAACTTTTCCTGGGGCACAATCCAGTAGACAGATGCCCTGGGAATTCCAGGAACTCCTTGCAAGATGACACAACCAAAAAGAAGAACTTTTGCCTCTGCAGAATAAGTTCAAAGGGCTCCCTAGGACTGTGAGGGTGCACTGTCCCCATCAGGATTTTAGTTTAAAGTCACAGAGACCTTGAATCCCAGCCCCACAGACTTAGAAGACTCTATTTATGACTCTCCTTATTCCTGGGTAAGCTGGGCAGTAAGAATCTTCTTAGTTACCCCAGCAAATGATACTGGTTGAGGCAGCCCAGACCCATGGTGCTACTGCTGAGCTACACAGTATCCACATAGTTTCACATAAAGAATAGGAATACAACTCCTTGCTCTGAAACAAGAACTGTGCATTAAAGATTCATTCAGTCTTCTGGGTAGCACTGTTCACATACCATTCATTCAACAGTATTTACTGCAAGCTGCTATATACCAGACACTATTCTAAGTGCTAGAATACCTCTGTGAACAAGAAGAACCCTGCTCACAAAGTTTATATTCTAAACTTTATATATAAAGGTCAGATTTAAATACAAGAGGAAAGGGTACTGGCACCAACCTAACTCATGGCAAAAAAAAAAAAAAAAAAAAAAAAAAAAAGAGATACCAGGGAAACACCAGGCCAGACTACTGCACTGCTATTAAAGATGCTGCCAACTTGAAATGAAAAGCAATATGATTTGATGGTACTATTTCTGGCTCAGGCTAAGATAACAGTACCCACCAGCAAGTATCCAAAAGAAAAAGTGTAAAGCACAAAGATACAGAAGTCTGAATCACTGTTTTTTAGTATCCCTTCCCAAAAAAGGGAAGAGAAATCACTATCAAAGGATCCTAAATTCTGCCAACTCGTGACATTGTATACTACCAGTGTGCAAACTAATACAAGGAAATAAGATAGCAAACAAGCTAAAGAGTTCTCTCTTTAACCAACAAATTAAACAGGGGAGAAGAGATGATCACATACATACTAATATCCGATTATTCACCTGTAAGTTCTTAAAAAGTGATAATACCAGAATGTGAAGCGTGATGAACCATTAGAAATACTTTAAACTCTTAGCCTATAAACTATCTCTATATCAGAATGGTCAAATTAACACCAAAGTGCAAAACTATGATCCTGTATATACCCCTATAATTGTACTTGACACGTAGCATTGAAATTAACTTCCTGGGCAGTGAGATACAGGAAGGCCAGACTGTAGTTCATTCATTTTTGCACCCGCAGCATTTAGCACCAGGCTTGTCACAAAGAAGGCATGCAGAAAATGTTCGCAAAACTGAACTAAAAATCAGAATCTTCAATATGGAAATAATAGAACCACTGGTGGGATACACACTAAACAATATTCATCACAGTTGTTCACTCTGAATGGTGTGGCCAAAGTTACCTGTGTAGCTTAGATCATAACTTAGATAATGATAATCTATGTGAAAAAAGAGTAATACCTCTAATAGAATAAAGTAAAATATAGCAAGAGAACAAAATAACTCAAATTTTGATAATATATCAAACAGCTTAACTGCTCAGAATTACAGAGGTATTAAGACCAATGCAATTCAAGGCAATCTCTGCAGCCTTAACTGCCAGGTTATTTTCAACTCATGGCCCAAAGATTAATATGCATCATATATATGGCATTTATACATTCATCTATTCCTACATCTTCATGTCTATGCCATATGAGATATAAAGAGAGGTACAGGGGATCTAACTTTGAATAGGAAAACACAGGTTTTCTACCCTCATGGACGGTCTTCTTTACTGCTCTCATTCATCAAAAAAGATCCAGGTCTTGTTGAGGAGGCGGCGGAGTAAGATGGTCAAATAGACGCATCCACACCAATCGTCCTCCCTGCAGGAACACCAAATTGAACAACTATCCACACAAAAGAGCACCTTCATAACAAGCAAAAATCATCTGATTTTTTAACTTCATATCACTGAAAGAGGCACTGAAGAGGGTAGGAAAGACAGTGTTCAATTGCCGACACCATCCCCTCCTCCCTCCCCCATCCTGTGTGGCATGGAGAGGGAAGCTGTGCACTTGCGGGGAAAGAGAGCACACCGCTTGTGGGACTTTCCATTGGACCTCAGTGCTGCCCTGTCACAGCGGAAAGCAAGACCAGGCAGAACTCAGCTGGTGCCCACAGAGGGAGCAATTAGAGCAGCCCTAGCCAGAGGAGAATTGCCCATCCCAGCAGCTGGAACCTGAGTTCCAGAGAGCCTTGCCACCATGGGCTGAAGTGCTCTGGGGTTCTAAATAAACTTGAAAGGCAATCTAGGCCACAAGGACTGCAATTCCTGGGCAAGTCCTGGTGTGGTGCTGGGTTTGGAGCCAGTGGACTTTGGGGAGTACACAACCTAGTGAGACACGAGCCAGGGCGACCAAGGCAGTGCTTGAACTCCACTCCCCACACTGTCCCCCACAACCCCAGGCGGTGCAGCTTGCAGTTTGGGGAGAGGCTCCTTCCCTCCTTTTGAGAAGAAAGGGAAGAGTAAAGAGGACTTTGTCTTGCAACTTGGATACCAGCTCAACCACAGTAGGACAGGCCACCAAGCAGGCTCCTATTCCAGGCCCTAGTTCCTGGACCACATTTCTAGATACACTCTGAGCCAGAAGAGAACCCACTGCCTTGAAGGGAAGGACCCAGTCCTGGCAGGATGCATCATCTGCTGACTAAAGGACTCCTTGGCCCTGAATAATCAGCAGTGTTAGCTAGGCAGTACTTGCCAAGGGCCTTGGGTGAGACTTGGCTTCAGGCATGACCTAACACCTCATACATTCCCAGCTGTGGTAGCTACAAGGAGAGACTCCTTCTGCTTAAGAAAAGGAGAGGGAAGAGTAAAGGAGACTTTGTCTTACAGCTTACCAGTGCAGCCACAGTGGAATACAGCACCAAGGGGGATCTTGCAGGGTTCCCAATTTCAGGCATTGGCACTTAGATGGCATTTTCAGATCTGCCCTGGGCCAGAGGGGAGCCCACTGCTCTGAAGGGAGAGTCCTGGGCCTGAAAGCATTCATCACAAGCTGACTGAAGGGTCCTTGGGCCTGAGTGAACATCAGCAGTAGCCAGGCAGTACTCACCACGGGCCTGGGACAATGATGGCCATGGGGACAGAATTCTCTGCTTGTGGAAAGGGAAGGGAAGAGTAGGAAGGACTTTGTCTTGTGGCTTGAATGCCAGCTCAGCCGCATTAGAATAGAGCATCAGCTAGATTCCTAAGGTTTCCAACTCCAGGCCCTGGCTCCTGGATGGCATCTCTGGACCTACCCAGGGCTAGGGAGACCTTGCCACCCTGAAGGGAAAGACACAAACCTGGCTGGCTTTGCTATCTGCTGATTGTAGAGTTCTAGTATCTTGAGCAAACATAGGCAATAGGCAGGCAGTGGTTACCATGGGCCTTGAGTGAGAGCCGGTGCCATGCTGACCGCAGGTCTGACCCAGCACAGTCCCAGTAATGGTGGCCACAGAAGTGCTTGTGTCACCCTCCTCCACTTCCAGGCAGCTCAGCACAGAAAGAGATTCCATTTGTTTGGGAGAAGGTAAGGGAAGTGAACAAGAGTCTTGGCCTAGTAACCCAGAGACTTCTTCTGGATCTTATCCAAGACCACCAAGGCAGCACCTCTATGGGTCTGCAAAAGCCGGTGTTACTGGGCTCAAGGTGCCCTCTAATGCAGACATGGCTGCAGTAACTAAAAACCTGGATTACAACACCCAAGTCCCTTCAAATACCTAGAAAGTCTTCCCAAAAAGAAGGGGTACAAATAAGCCCAGATTGCAAAGATGACAATAAATACCTAACACTTCAATGACCAAACACCCACGGACATCCAGAAGCATCAAGACCATCCAGGAAAACATGACCTAATTAAAACAAACTGAATAAGGCACAAGGAATCAATCCTGGAGAGACAGAGATAATGTGATATTTCAAACATATAATTCAAAATAGCTGTTTCAAAGGATAAATGTTTGAGGGGATGGATACCCCATTCTCCATGATGTGACTATTACTCATTCTATGCCTGTATCAAAACATTTACTGTACCCCATTAATGTATATAACTCCTATGTACCCATAAAAATTAAGTTAAAAATTTAAACAAACTAAAATTGCTATTTTTGAGGAAATGCAATAAAAATCAAGATAAAATAGAGGATGAATTCAGAATCCTATCAGATAAATTTAACTAACAGACTAAAATAATTTAAAAGAATCAGACAGAAATACTGAAGTTGAAAAATGTAACTGACATACTGAAGAATGCATCAGAGTTTCTTAACAGAAGAAAGAGTCAGTAAGCTTGAAGACAAGCTCTTTGAAAATACACAATCAGAGGAGAGCAAAGAAAAAAAGAATGAAAGACAATGAGGCACACTTAAAAGATCTAGAAAATAGCCTCAAAAGACCAAATCCAAGAGTTATTGCGCTTAAAGAGGAGGCAGAGAGAGAGAGGGGCAGGGATAGAAAGTTTATTCAAAGGGATAACAGAAGACTTCCCAAACCTAGAGAAAGGTATCAATATTCAAGTACAAGAATGTTATATAACACCAAGAAGATTTAACCCATGTAAGACTACCTCAAGACATTTAATCATCAAACTTTCAAAGGTCAAGGATAAAAAAAGGATCCTAAAGCAGCAAGAGAAAGGAAACAAATAACATACAGTGTAGCTCCAATAAGACTGGCGGGAGACTTTTCAGTGGAAACTTTACAGGCCACGAGACAAGAGGCACAACATATTTAAAGTGCTTAAGGAAAAAAAAACCTTTATCCTAGAGTAGTATATATCTAGTGAAAGTATCCTTCAAACATTAAGGAGAAATAAGGGCTTTCCCAGACAAACAAAAGTCAAACAAAAGGGATTTTATCAACAACAGACCCCTTCTATGATAAATGCTAATAGGAATTCTTCAATCTGAAAGAAAAGGACTTTAATGAGCAAAAAGAAATAATCTAAAGGTACAAAACTCACTGCTAATAGTATATAGAAAAGCACATAATATTACAACACTGTAATTGTGGTGTTTAAAGTACTCATATCTTGAGTAGAAAGACTAAGAGATAAACCGATCAAAAATAATAACTATAACTTTTAAAAACACAGTACAATAAAATATAAACAGAAACAACAGAAAGTTAAAAAGCAGGTGGGATGACGATAAAGTGTAGAGTTTTTATTAGTTGTTTTCTTTGCTTGTTTATGCGATCAGTGTTATCACCAATTTAAAATAATGGGTTATTTAAAACCCATTATCAAATATCTATCTATAGATAGGTAGGTAGATAGCTAGATAGATATTATATGCAAGCCTCATAGTAGCCTCAAACTAGAAAACATACAACAAATACACAAAAAATTAAAAGCAAGTAATTAAAACATAACACCAGAGAAAAATCACCTTCACTAAAAGGAAGACAGAAAGGAAGGAAAGAAGGAAGAGACGACCACAAAACAACCAGGAAACAAATAAAAATATGGTAGAAGTAAGTTACTTACTTATCAGTAATAATATTGAAAGTAAATGAACGAAACTCTCCTATCAAAAGACACAGAGTGGCAGAAAGGATTTAAAAAAAACCAACAAAAAAGTCCCAACTATCTGTTGCCTATAAGAAACACACTTCATCTATAAAGACACACATACTGAAAATAAAGAAATGGAAAAAGATATTCCATGCCAATGGAAACCAAACAAGAGCAGGGGTAGCTATACTTATTTGAGACAAAATAGATTTCAAGACAAAAACTACAGACAAATAAGGTGATTAAATAATGATGAAGGGGTCAACTCAGCAATTAGATATAACAATTGCAAATATATATGTACCCAACACTGGAGGACCCAGATATATAAAGCAATACTAGAGCTAAAGAGCAAGCGAGCAAGCAAGCAAGAGAGAGAGAGAAAAGTAGAGTTAAAGAGAGATCTAGATCCCAAGATGATAATAGTTGGAAACTTCAGCATCCCATTTTCAGCACTGGACAGATCATCCAGACAGAAAAGAAACATCAAACTTAATCTCACTTCTGTAACAAATGGACCTAATAGATCTTTACAGAACATTTTATCCAATGGCTGCTGCATACACATTCTTCTCCTCAGCACATGGATCATTCTCAAGGATAGGTCATATGTTAGGCCACAAAACCATTCTTTAAAACTCAAAAAAAATGAAATTATATCAAGTATCTTATCTGACCACAATGGGATAAAACCAGAAATCAATAACAAGAGGAATTTTGTAAACTATATAAACACAAAGAAAGTAAACAATATGCTCCTGAATGACCAGTGGGTCAATGAGGAAATCAAGAAAAAATTTAAAACTTCTTGAAACAAATGATAATAGAAACACAACATACCAAAAATCTATAGGATATAGTGAAAGCAGTACCAAAAGGAAGATTTACAGGTATAATCACCTATATAAAAACAACAGAAAAATTTCAAATCAGCAAGCTAACAATGCAACTTAAAGAACTAGAAAAGCAAGAGCAAACCAAACCCAAAATTAGTAGAAGAAATAATAAAGATCAGAGAAGAAATAAATAAAATAGAAACAAAAAAAATCAATGAAATGAAATGTTGGTTTTTTCAAAACATAAAATTGACAAACCTTTAGGAGACTAAGAAAAAAAGAAAGAAGACTCAAATAAATAAAATAAAAGATGAAAAAGAAGAAATTAAAACCAATACTGCAGAAATTCAAAGGATCATTAGAGGCTACTATGAGTAACCACATGTCAATAAATTGGAAAACCTAGAAAGGACAAATTCCAACACACATACAACCTACAAAGATTGAATCATGAAGAAACCCAAAACCTGAACAGACCAATAACAAATAATGAGATCAAGGCCAGGTGCAGTGGCTCATGCCTGTAATCCCAGCACCTTGGGAGGCCAAGGTGGGCGGATCACCTGAGGTCGGGAGTTTGAGACCAGCCTGACCAACATGGACAAACCCCGTCTCTACTAAAAATACAAAAAAAAAATTAGCCAGGCATGGTGGCGCATGCCTGTAATCCCAGCTACTCGGGAGGCTGACGCAGGAGAATCGCTTGAACCCAGGAGGCGGAGGTTGCGGTGAGCCAAGATCGTGCCACTGCACTCCAGCCTGGGCAACAAGAGCAAAACTCCATCTCAAAAAAATAAATAAAATAAAATAAATAATGAGATCAATGCTATAATAAAAAGTCATCCAGCAAAGAAAAGCTCAGGACTCAATAGCTTCACTGCTGAATTCTACATAATATTTAAAGAAGAACTAACACAAATGCTACTCAAACTATTCTGAAAGATAGAGGAGGAGGAATGCTTCCAAACTCATTCTATGAGGCCAGTATTACCTTGATACCAAAACCACACAAAGACACATTTAAAAAAAAGAAAAAGCAAAGATACAGGCCAACATCTCTGATGAACATTTATGCAAAAATTCTCAACAAAATACTAGCAAACTGAATCCAATAACACATTAAAAAGACCATTCATCATGATCAAGTGGGATTTAACCTGAAGATGCAAGGATGGCTTGACATATGCAAATCAATCAATGTGATACACCATATTAACAGAATGAAGGACAAAACCCATATGATCATTTCAATGGATGCTGAAAAAGCATTTGCTAAAATTCAACATTCCTTCATGATAAAAAAAAATTCAAAAAACTAGGTACAGAAGGAACATACCTCAACACAATAAAAGCCATATATGACGGAACCGCAGCTAGTATCATACTGAATGGAGAACAACTGAAAACCTCTCCTCTAAGGTCTGGAACACACAGATGTCCACTTTCACCACTGTTATTCAAAATAATACTGGAAGTCCTAGCTAGAGCAATCAGACAAGAGAAAGAAATAAAGAATATCCAAATTGGAAAGAAAGAAGTCAAATTATCATTGTTTGTAGATGACATGATCTTATATTTGGATAAACCTAAAGATTCCACCAAAAAACTATTATAACTAATAAATTCAGTAAAGTTGTAGGATACAAAACCAACATACAAAAAAAAGTAGCATTTCTACATGCCAACAGCAAAAAATCTGAAAAAAAAGTCAAGAAAGCAATCCCATTTACAATAGCTACAAATAAATAAAATACCTAGGAATTAACTTAACCAAAGAAGCGAAAGATCCTTACAATGAAAACTATAAAACATTGATGAAATAAGTGGAAGAAGACACTAAAAAATGGGAAGATATACCATGTTCATGGATTGGAAGAATCAATATTGTTAAAATGTCCACACAACCTAAAGCAATCTATAGATTCTTCATGGACTGGAAGAATCAATATTGTTAAAATGTCCATACAACCCAAAGCAATAGACAATTTAATGTCTATCAATATACCAATGACATTCTTCATAGAAATAGAAAAAAACAATTCTAAAATTTATATGGAACCACAAAGACCCAAAATAGCCAGAGCTATGCTGAGAAAAAAAGAACATAACTGGAGGAATCACATTACCTTACTTCAAATTATACTACAATGCTATAGTAACTAAAACAGCATGGTATTAGCATTAAAAATAAACTCACAGACCAATGGAACAAAATGGAGAACCCAAAAACAAATGCATACATCTACAGTGAACTCATTTTTAACAAAGGTGCAAGAACATACATTAGGACAGTCTCTTCAGTAAATGGTGCTGGGGAGACTGGCTATCCATAGGCAGAAGAATGAAACTAGACCCCTATCTCTCACCATACACAAAAAGTCAAATCAAAATGAATTAGAGATTTAAATCTAAGACCTCAAACTATAAAACTACTACAAGGAAACACTGGGAAAACTCTCCAGGGCATTGGACTGGGCAAACATTTCTCGAATAATACTCCATAAGCACAGGCAACCAAAGCAAAAGTGGACAAATGGGATCACATCAAGTTTAACAGCTTCTGCACAGCAAAGAAAACAATCAATAAAGTGAAGAGATAACCCACAGAATGGGAGAAAATATTTGCAAACTACCCATTTGACAAGTGATTAACAACCAGAATATAGAAGGAGCTCAAACAACTCTATAGGAAAAAATCTAATAATCTGATTTTAAAATGGGCAAAAGATCTCTATAGATATTTCTCAAAAGACATGCAAATGGCAAATAGATCTATGAAAAGGTGTTCAATATCACTGATCATCAGAGAAATGCAAAATCAATCAGATATCCTCTCACTCCAGTTAAAATGGCTTTTATCCAAAAGACAGGCAATAATAACTGCCGGCAAGAATGTGGAGAAAAGGGAACCCATGCACATTGTTTGGGGAAATGTAAATTAATTAGTACGATCACTATGGAGAAGGTTTTTGGACATTCCTCAAAAAAAACAAAAATAGAGCTACCATATGATCCAGCAATCCCATTCTCAGGTATATACCCATAACAAAGGAAATCAGTATATCAAAGACATATCTCCACTCCCATGTTTACTGCAGCATTATTCACAATAGCTAAGATTTGGAAGCAACCTATGTCCATCAACAGAAACGGATAAAGAAAATGTGGTACATATACACAATGGAGTACTATACAGCCATAAAAAAGAATGAGATCTTGACATATGCAACAACATGGATGGAAATGGAGGTCATTATGTTATGTGAAATAAGCCAAGCAGAGAAGGACAAACTTTGCATGCTCTCACTTATTTGTGGGATCTAAAAATTAAAACAATTGAACTCATGGGGATGAATTTATCAGGACATAATCCCATTATAAGTTGAGGAACATCTATATTTAATATTGAGATAGGAGGTAGAATGTAAAACAACATATGCAATATATTAAAAATACAGACACAAAATAAAACTACATATATACACTACAGTGCTTGGAAAGATATCATAGCTGACTGCAATGATTACCTCTGGAAGGTAAATAGAAAAATATTGAAGGAAGATTTGTCTTGTTTTTCAATATATTGTTTGAATTTTTCTGAGATATTATTCGTCTATCACTTGCTCAATTTAAAACATTTTTCTAATCTCTAAAATGAGATAAATAATCAAGATTTTGCATTTGATCCTTACTATTTCAAACACTACATAACAATCTTGTGTATTGTTTATGTCAGAATAACTGACAAAACATTTAGAGCCAACAAAACCCAATATATACAATAAATGGCATAAATTTAGAAATCTTAAATTTTAAAAGGGGTACATCAGAAGAAAAAACTCTTACACTTTAAAAACTCACATTCTACCCACTAGAAGTAGGCTGGATACTACAAAAACTGCTTTCACACATACCCTGTAACTCATTTATAATAAATGTGTCTTACAGATTAATGGTTCACAATAATATCATCAAACTGCAAACTACTACCTCCAAAATAATCACCATATAAATGAGCAACTTTTCTTCTCCTTTGCTTTTGCTGTACATACTATTTCCTTTCCTGATAGATGTCTAATTTGCTGGCAATTTAAGCAGTGGTTTAATTTTAGCACTAATTAAGAATACTTTTTCTTGTTCTTTCAACATTTTCCTAGAAATGATACCCAAGGACCAGACACCATGACAGTCAATCTGCACTAGTCATAATACAATTTTTAAGAGTATAAGAAGAACAATACTCACCTAAAATCACATTTCTTTTGTTTCTTAAAAAACTCAACACAAAAATTGTAGCTTATAGATCAATTAAACTCCCAAATCAGCTACAAACATATCTTTGTATTTTCCACAGAATGTTATTCATTAGAACTTCAATGGACATTGCCACGAAAGAACTCAAAATTAACACAGAGCATAATGTCAAATGCATGAAATGCAATTTGGTATACATTAAAGGTGCCAGTTTTACTTTCTTAGAGAGCTTTTGCTGATCTGTATTGGAATTTTAAAGTTCCAATAAAAATTATTTACAACATGATTACAAGTAGCCATTAGGTACATCTTGCTTTATTATATTTTCTATGCTAAGAATGGGCAGAAGCAAGATACAGAAGTAGCAAGACTAAAGAAAAGGAGGGCCAGGCGCAGTGGCTCACACCTGTAATCCCAGCACTTTGGGAGGCCAACGTGGGCAGATCACCTGAGGTAAGGAGTTCAAGACCAACCTGGCCAACATGGTGAAACCCCAGCTCTACTAAAAATACAAAGATTAACTGGGCGTAGAGGCATGCACCTATAATCCCAGCTACTATGGTGGCTGAGACGGGATAATTGTTTCAACCCGGGAGGCAGAGGTTGTAGTGAGCCAAGAGGGACACTCCACCTCGGAAAAAAAAAAAAAAGGGACCAGATTTCAATCCTCTTCCCTTGTGCCTAAGTACAACAACAAACAGTAAAATTCAGAATGGAACAGAAACAAGCAGAAGGTTTTCAGTAATAGAATTGCTTTAAAATGCATATCTAGACATCGGGGAGAAAAGGAGATCAAGGGAATAAATCAAGGGAAAAGAGGCAAGTTCCTTCTTCTCCTCTTTAAATGAGACCAATTATTTCATTCAATCAACATATCACCCATTTATTTAGCCAAATGGTCTTCAATGTCACTGCATATCTTTTAGTAATGTGCCATATTTTCTCAATATTTAAAATATTACATGTTAAAATTATTAGTATATAATTATCATGTGAAGAAAAAGAAAAAATCAAGTTTAATCTGATTATCTTTCTGTCATCAAATAATGAAAGATATGCTCCAGTTTTGAATGAAGGTACAAAGTGGGGGCATATAATGAAAACAGAAAACTGTGCCAACTACTCCCATAGTGTATCGTTTAGTTAATGGTTCCTAGTACACTGATAATATTCAACTGCTTTCTAAAGTTCTCATTTATTCCCAGGAAACAATAAAGCAGACTTTCATACTGCACATGCCATTTTATATGAATCTTGCTTACTTCATTCAGGATAGATAAAAGCCATGTTGTATGAAAAAAAAAATGCCCTAACGAATGGGAAATATCTAAACTTTCAATTGCTACAGATGACTCAGTGAGTGGGCAGTTGCAGAAACTCATAGCTGAGGCCAGAAAAAGCTTATGTTTTCATGAAGATCACTTTGAAATGCAGTTCTGGGTAGACATTATTTGCTCTTGCATTATGATTTTGTTATACTTCCACTCTAAGCAATGATGAAATGTTGCATCCCATTGCAGAAGAAAAAGATGGAGTTTCTCTCATCATTATAGAAATAAGAAACCCTTTCTAAATTGGAGCCTTTTCTGGTTACTAGAACCATATTACAGGATTTAAAATACTGCTACTTTGCCTGTATCATCTTGGCCTCCAATGAGATTGTATTTGTCTCTCAAACTGCTGATTGGGTATGGTGAAAGCAGTCAAGTCTATCTCCCAATACCAACAACAAGATTTCAAATTGTTTACTCTGAAGAAAAGCAGAGACATTTAAGTGCTAAACATGTTTTAAAATAAGATAGTAACATATTTTTAGAAATATATTTATTTACAGCCAAGATATAATGAATAAAATATTACGGGTAAGTAAAAATACAACCATGATAGGCAATCTTACATATTGATTGTAAGGGTAAATAATTATTAAAGAGTTCTCATATTCCAGTAAAGAACTTAAATAAGAAATAGTACAAATCAAGCACAGTAATAATAGCTTCCACTGGTAGCATATTTATTTAGAAAGTTCTTTCACATATATTCAGCCTCTGAGTCTAATATTTATTGGATGTTCATATATCATACCCTATACTAAGTTCTGGGGACATGAAGATGAATAAAACACATCCCCCTTTAGTTTCCATTCATCTCATTTGACAATCAAAACCATATTAAGAAAAAAGGGCAGGATTATCTCCATCTTACAGGAACAAAATAAAGCGTAAGATGTTAAGGAATATTTTTCACATGACCACAAACTCAATTTAAAAAAAAGCTTATTCAATTCTATTCTAATATATCCCTAACCTTTATGCCCATGCCACATATTTATTACAATGCCACAAATTCATTTTAGAAACAGAATGACTTTTTTTAATTTCCAACTTTTAGGTTCAGGGGATACATTTACAAGTTTGTTGCATGGGTAAACTGCGTGTCACAAGGGTTTGGTACAGATTATTTTATCACTCAGGTAATGAGCATAGTACCTGGTAGTTAAAAACAGAACTTTAGAATATAGAATCAATTTTACTGACCATTCTGAGAGTTACTGCAAATAATATATCCAGTAGGCCTTTAGACAACTACAAATTTAACACTTGTGTGACATGAAGGTCCATAAATATAGAAATACCTAATTTTATTGAGGCAAAGGTTTAACATCTTGTGAGACACCAAAGTGAGTGTTCAGGATCCATGGTGTAACTTGGCTTTGCTGTTTTCTTCTCATACACCTCTCCAGAATACCTGCAAAGTGATATTTTATTGCATCTTCTGGGGGGAAATTCCATGTTCTAGGACTGTGCTAATACTAGCCACCTGTGGCTACGAAGCATCTGAAATGCAGCCAGTCTGAAGTGAAATGTGCTTTAAGTGGAAAATATACATTGGATTTGGAAGACAGAAAAAATAGAATGTAAAATATCTCAATAATTGATTATATTGATGGCATGTTGCAATATACAATTTATACTAGAATAAAATATATCATTAAAATTAATTTCACCTGCTTTTTTGTACTTTTTTAAATGTGGCTACTAGAAAATTTGAAACTACATATGTGGTTTGCACTATTTCTATTGGACAGCACTGCTTTAAGATATACCCAAGAGATTTGAGACATATTCTTCGAGACTATAAAGAGTCTGCTGTACTAATATATTTGGAGAATGATCATAGGAGAAGTAGGAGGTAGGATTTATTAATGATAAAGTCTATGATACATTATCAGAAAAAAAGAGCAGGTTATCAGATTATTAAAGGTACTGCTGCTTCAATATGTATTCAACTTATCGAATGTAACTTAGCAATATGAAAAAAAGAAAAATGCCAATTCCTGCAGTGAACATAAATCTGCTCTCTCCTCAATCAGTCTCAGCTCCTGTATGCCTTTCACAGTGTGACCACTTTACTGCATTCATTATAACTGATACATAAACTACATCCCTATTATATGTAGTATAAGGTCAATTAGTTTTTTGTTTTTTTTTTTTTGAGACAGAGTCTTGCTCTGTCAGCAGGCTGGAGTGCAGTGGTGCAATCTTGGCTCACTGCAACCTCCGCCTCCCGGGTTCAAGCGATTCCCCTGCCTCAGCCTCCTAGGTAGCTGGGACTACAGGTGCACGCCACCACACCCGGCTAAGTTTTTGTGTTTTAGTAGGGATGGGGTTTCATCATGTTGGCCAGGATGGTCTCGATCTTCTGACCTCGTGATCTGCCCGCCTCAGCCTCCCAAAGTGCTGGGATTACAGGCGTGAGCCACCACGCCCGGCTGAGGTCAACTAGATATTATAAGATGTATATATACACAAAAAGGCTGAGGAGAAGGGCGTTACATTATTAGCACTAGTTATCTCTGGATGGTAGCATGACAGATTTTCTCCTTTTTACTTATTCTACATTTTCCAACTTTTCTACAACAAAAATGAACTATATTCCTATCATAAAAGCTATTAATTTTTAAAAGATGTGTGGTATAATATGTAATATCAAACTCCACTTGAGATCTTTAGCCAAAAAGGACAGAAAAAATTAGAGGGAAATCGTTGCATATAGCAGGAGTCAGTCTCCTAGTAAGACAGCAAGCCCATAAAAATCCAGACGCTGAAGGCCCATAGAAGATAAGAGAAGATCAGCATTCGCATCTTAATAAAGCCCTGCCACTGCCTTTTACAAAAGAATACAAAACATATCCATTCCTAGGGACAAGATTTTTTGCTACACAACTGACAACTACAAGTTGCATTTATGAGATTCAAATTTTATTTATATATATTTAATTTTAAAATATGTGAATAAGATCTAAGTCAATAATTAAGGAATTCAGAGGTCTAACTCCCTAAAAATCTAAGTCAATAATTAAGGAATTCAGAGGTCTAACTCCCTAAATTAGAAACCATTGTATCTACAAATTATTTCTATGCTGCTTATGGTGTGATTTACATACTCACTGATAATATTTCACAAGCTGCGTTTGTATGGGAAGAGATATATAAGACACCATTTAAATTTGCTGTTATGCTGCATAGAAGAAAATAGATTTTTATAGGTTTTTTGTCTTTCTCATCACTCTTAGATTATAATACATTCCTCACTGAATCTGGAAACGAACGAGCTCTTTTAACTTCAGGAACAATAGCTGAATTAAGACCCAGCAGTTTACCTGAAGTCTTTAGTTTTGAGGTTTAGCAGTATGGATGTAGCCAGATTCCAAAAGGCAAATAAATGAAAAACAGCCTAGCCTAGCCAGAGCAACCAGATAAGAGAAAGAAATAAAGGGCATCCAAATTGGTAAAGAGGAAGTGAAACTGTCACTGCTCACTGATGATATAATCATATACCTGGAAAACCCTAAAGACTCATCCAAAAAGCTCCTAGGTCTGATAAATGAATTCAGTAATGTTTCAGGATACAAAATCAATGTACACAAATCAGTAGCACTGCTATATACCAACAGCGGCCAAGCTGAGAATCAAATCAATAACTCAACCCCTTTTATAATAGCTGCAAAAAACAAAATAAAATACTTAGGAATACACCTAACCAAGGAGGTGAAAGTCCTCTACAAGGAAAACTATAAAACACTGCTGAAAGAAACCACAGATGACACAAATGGAAACACATCCCATGCTTGTGGATGGGCAGAATAAATATTGTGAAAATGACCAGAGTGCCAAAAGCAATCAACAAATTCAATGCAATTTCCATCAAAATACCACCATCATTCTTCATAGAAAAAATGATCCTAAAGTTCATATGGAACCAAAAAAGAGCTCACATAGCCAAAGCAAGACTAAGCAAAAAGAACAAATCTGGAGGTGTCACATTACCCAACTTCAAACTATACTGTAAGGCTACAGTCACCAAAACAGCCTGGTACTGGTGTAAAAATAGGCACGTAGACCAATTTGAACAGAACAGAGAACCAAGAAATAAAGCCAAATACTACAGCCAACTGATCTTCAACAAAGCAAACAAAAAACAAAGTGGAAAGAGGATACCCTATTCAACAAATGGTGCGGGGTAATTAGCTAGCCACATGTAGAAGAATGAAACTGGATCCTCATCTCACCTTACACAAAAATCAACTCCAGATGAATCAAAGATGTACATCTAGGACCTGAAACGATAAAAATTCTAAAAGATAACATCGGAAAAACCCTTCTAGATATTGGCTTAGGCAAAGACTTCATGTCCAAGAACCCAAAAGCAAGTGCAACAAAAACAAAGATAAATAGGCGGAACTTAAATAAACTAAAAAGCTTCTGCACAGCAAACGAAATAACCAGCAGAGTAAATAGACAACCCAAAGGGTGGGAGAAAATCTTCACAAACTATGCATCCGACAAAAGACTACTATCCAGAATCTACATGGAACTCAAACAAATCAGCAAGAAAAAAAACAATCCATCAAAAGTGGGCTAAGGACATGAAAAGACAATTCTCAAAAGAAGGTATACAAATGGCCAACAAACATATGAAAAAATGCTCAACATCACTAATCAGGGAAATGCAAATCAAAACCACAATGCAATACCACCTTACTCCTGCAAGAATGGCCATAATCAAAAAATATTAGATATTGGCACGGATGTGGTGAAAGGGAACACTTTTTACACTGCTGGTGGGAATGTAAATTAGTACAACCACTATGGAAAACAGTATGGAGATTCCTTAAAGAACTAAAAGTAGATTTACCATTTGACCCAGCAAATCCCACTCCTGAGTATCTACCCAGAGGAAAAGAAGTCATCATATGAACAAGACATTTGCACAGGCATGTTTATAGCAGTACAATTCGCAATTGCAAAAAAATATGGAGCCAGCTCAAATGCCCGAGTAGATAAAGCATGATATATATATATATATATACACATATATATACACATATATACATATATACACACATATATACACATATACACACATATATACACATATATACACACATATACATATATACACATACACACACGTACACATATACACATATATACACACATATATACATATATACACATACATGCATAGATACACATATATACATATATACACATATATACACACACATATATACATATATACACATATATACATATAGACACATGTATACACATATATACATACACACACACACACACACACACACACACACACACCCTGGAATACTACTCAGCCATAAAAAAGAACAAAATAATGGCAGTGGCAGCAACCTGGATGGAATTGGAGACCATTATTCTAAGTGAAGTAACTCAGGAATGGAAAACCTGAGAACTTACAAGTTTTCACTTCTAAGTGGGAGCTAAGCTATGAGGATGCATAGGCATAAGAATGATAAAATGGACTTTGGGGACACAGGGGGAAGGGTGGGAGGGGGGTGAGGGGTACACATGGGGTACAGCGTACACTGCTTGGCGATGGGTGCACCAAAAATCTCAGAAATCACCACTAAAGAACTTATCTGTGTAACCAACCACCACCTGTTCCCTGAAAACCTATGAAATAAAAATTTAAAAAAAAAAACAGTCTAGGAATACTGCTGCAGAAACAGTTTTTCAAATGAAGTAGAGAACTGGCATTAGAAGATATTTTCTACTGTTTCTCCAATGCCTTAACTCTTCTTTCACACAAACCTCCACAATTAAAAAACTACTTCATACTCAAATAAAATCTACAAATATTGTAGCACGCCTAGAAAGAAGGCAGTTTTTCAGCATTTGAAATATTCAACTAATTATTCCAAAATATTTAAGAATTGAAGCAGGATGTGATGGCTCATGCCTGCAATCACAGCACTTTGGGAGGCTGAGGCGGGAGGATCACCTGAGCCCAGGAGTTTGCAATCATCCTGGGCAACACAGGGAAACTGTCTCCAAAAAATAATTTTAAAAATTAGCCGGATGTGGTGGCATGCCCCTGTGGTCCCAGTTACTCAGGAGGCTTAGGTGGGAGGATCGTTTGAGCCCGGGAGGTCAAGTCTGCAGTGAGCCATGATCATGCCACTGCACTCCAGCCTAAGTAACGGAGTGAGACCCCATCTCAAAAACAAACAAACACAAAAATATTTAAGAGTGGTACCATGGCATCTTCCCTTGCGATAACAAAACTGAATCTACTTTGAAAATTAAGAGGGGACCCTAACTTTAAACAATAAAAGTGCTCCTGTCAATGTGGGTGAAAGTATAAATGTACTGGGAAAATTAAAATCTTTATTTTTAAATGGAATATTTCTATCATCTTTTATATTATTTAGCACACACATGATACTATGCTTCAGGCATTATTTTAAGTACTTTTCAAATATGAGCTCATTAAAAACCCTCTGAGGTTGATGCTATCACTTCCCCCATTTTACACATAAGAAAACTAAGGCACCAGGAAAGAAAGTGATTTTCCCAAGTGGTAAAGATGAGATTCAGCTCCAGGCAGTCTGGGTCCCAAATCCATGTTCTTAACCACAATGTTGCTTACTCTCAGAAAGTAACATGCTCATGAAAGCCCAGTGTTTGACGCATAGTTAAGCATTTAATAAAAATCTGTTCAACAAATAAAAGAAAAAATGGAGATGGCAAAAAGCAGAAAACCCATTACTCACTGTCTCAACATATCATTATGAGTATAGTGGTATACTTTCTGTCAGTGTTTTTTCTTGTTCACAGAGGGATTTGTTTTCCTTTAACACTCAGCATATGCAATTTTGAGAAAATAAAAAACCTTAAGATACTAGCCTCTTAGCATTTTTAGAATAACAGTTAAAAACTGAACACTTGTATATATGCATGACATATATTCTAATTTCACCTCACAACCCCATAAAGTAAGTACAAGTATTATCCTTATTTTACAAATGAGGAAACTGAAGCACAGTTAAGAAACTAACATAAAGTCACATGGCCAGGAAGTGGCTGAGCTGGTAAATTCAAATCCAGGCAGTGTGACTTCTGAACTAGAATTCTTGACTATTCTTGGAGGGCAGGTTATGAGCTACTTGAAAGACAGTAATCGTGGTTTTTTTGTTTTGTTTTGTTTTTTGGTGTGTGTGTGTGTTTTTTTTTTTTTTAGACAGAGTTTCGCTCTTTTTGCCCAGGCTGGAGTGCAATGGCACGATCTTGGCTCACCATGATCTCGGCTCACTGGAACCTCTGCCTCCCAGGTTCAAGTTATTCTCCTGCCTCAGCCTCCTGAGTAGCTCCTCAGCCTCCCAAGTGATTCTCCTACCTCAGCCTCCCGGGATTACAGGCATGCGCCACCACGCCCAGCTAATTTTGTATTTTTAGTACAGATGGGCTTTCTCCATGTGGGTCAGGCTGGTCTCGAACTCTCGACCTCAGGTGATCTGCCTGCCTTGGCCTCCCAAAATGCTGGGATTACAGGTGTGAGCCATCGCACCCGTCTGTGATCATGTTTTTACAAAGTGGTATGATTTGTTTGGCTTGGCCTAAAATGAGGATGTTACCTTACAGATTTATTTTGTTTTACACTAACTCTGACTTAAACAATGAAAATTTTTAATATCTTCAGCTTTCTTGAACAAGCTAAATAAATCTTCATGTCTTAAATTTTATAAGGGTAAAGTACCTTATTGAAATCTTTCATTCAACAAATATTTGAATATCCACTACTTGTTAGGAACTGTGCTAATAAGATACAGTCTTTGCACTCAATGCATTGGCTCTTTCCACTCAGCATATAAATATGCTCAGATTTCTCACAACTAATAAATACAACACACTGGTCCATAAACCTGGATAATAGCTTTGTCGACTATTCGGAGGTAGAAATAAGAATGGAATCCTGCAATTACCTGCCCCCTATCCTACAAAGTAGATACACCTGTTATTTTTCTTGTAGTTCCTGAAGAGTGACTGACACTTAAATAATTACTAGATAGGTGCTATTTGCCTGCCTCATGCCATACTACCACCTCTTATCAGCTGGCAATGAAAGCCTACCTATTTTTAATGCAAAGGGGTTGAAATTAAAATGTTTTACTAAAACTTTGGTTTACCAGGCTACATGTTGTAATTATTTTTAAAATTCTAAAATTGTTATTTTGGGTTTGACTTTAATAACCAGATGATAAATGTGAATGTCTAAGACCACATGTGAAAGAAATAGTTAAAAAAAAAAAAAGGTGGGGCAAATTCACGGCAGATGGTAAGGCCAACCCTGCTTGATTTACAACCCTGCTTGTAAATGGAAACATTTGATTGTATGCAGTCTGAAGTTAAATCCTATTGATTGTGAAAAGGTAGCAGAGAGCCAAAAATTAAAAAGTCGAGGGCAGCAGAAACACTCCTCATCAGTTCACTGAGTGGCTTAATTGATAGCCAATGACTACAGGCACAATTAACAACCCAAGACCTAATAATGGAAAGGAAGTAAGAACAGAAACAACCTCCGAAACTAATGTTAACATATGGAGAAACTTCTACTGGTTGATAATTACTAGTGTGTACATAAAGCCTTGACAAGTTTCTTGACGCACACATGCTTACATCGGTGTTTAAATATAGCTGACACATATTTGAGTTCATAGTTTCTCATGTCCACATTCTCTAATAAGCTTCATTAGTACTTCATACCTTTTTTTTTAAATACAGTCTTGCGATGTCACCTAGGCTAGAGAGCAGTGGTGCGATCATAGCTCACTGCAGCCTTGAACTTCTGGACTCAAGTAATCCTCCTGCCTCAGCCACTTAAGTAGCTAAAACAGGCATGGGCCAGCACACCCAGCTAATACTTTTTTACTTTTTGTAAAGATGGGGGTTGGGGGTGGGTCTCACTACCCAGGCTGGTCTCAAATTCCTGGCCTCAAGTGATCCTCCCGCCTCATCCTCCAAAAGAGCTGAGATTACAGGCATGAGCCACCACACCCAGCCCCTAGTACTTTATATCTTTATCAGGTATGTGGCCTTCTACTGCTATTCTCTTTTTAAGTCTGTAATTTGTCTTATAAATTTATGGAGGGAGTGATGTTAACCCCAAACATAACTTGGTATCTTGCAAATAATAGGTATTAAGTGTTTATTAATGATATGAAATCCACCCTATAACCACACCTCAGCCCTTATCATTATGTGGAACTGCTCCTCCTTATCTCTCTGACTGGAATGCCCCATGGGCCAGTCCTTAAATTTCTTCTCTTCTCTAGCTACCCTCACTCCTCAGGTGATCTAATCTATACTGACAAGTCCCAAATGTAACCTGGACCATTCTTCTCTGAACTCTAGATTCCCATGTTCAACTGCTGACTTAATATCTCTATTACTTAGCATGTCTATTAGACATCTCAAAAACTTAACCAGTCTAGAACAGAACTCCTAAACTCTCCCCAAAAACCTGCTCTGCACCGTCCTCAAGTCTTCCTCATTTCTATTAATGACAACTCTATCCTTCCAGTTGCTCAAGTCAAAAACCTTGGAGTGATCCATTACTCTTTTCTTTTCACATTCTACAACCAATCCATCAGTAAATCTATCTGTATCAAAACATATCCAGTTAGAGTCACAGACAATCAGTATATTTATATTTTTATATACAGAAATACAGATTTTTACATAATTGTACATGGATACGTGGATTAGTATACATACATGCATTTCCTAGTTCTTTCCACTGAGAAAGTCTAGGAGCAATGATACTCCACAGCAATGAGCACACTTAGCATCCAGATCTTGGCTTCAAAATATCATCCTCCAATGAAAGGAACCAAGGTTCCTTAGAGAAATAATTGATTCTAGGGCTGAGGTAGGAAAAAAAAACAAGATGAACCTGAAGCATGTGGTAGTGTCAGAGAATAAAGAAGTGTGCATGTACATACGCATAAAAAAAGGATAGAAATATGCCAAAAAGACACAGAAGTAGACCTAAAAGAGATCCCAAGGGCCAAAACTGGAATAATTTGAGCAACAAAATAATGATAGCATTTAATTCTAACACTAAGAATAAAATAAATATCTATGAATTTGAACTGAGATAAATGATTAGATAGAAGGGAAAACCTTCCTTATAGAAGAATTCTAATTAATAAATGTAGAAAGAATGAGGAAAATTTAAAAAAGTACCTTCAGAAGCCACAGCAATAATTGCTGCAGGCAAGATCCACTAATGAATGCTAAAATTAGTGGGCAGAAACAGGATACTGGCAAAGCCTCAAAGTAGCTCTCTCAAAATATTTACCAATTACTGTGGTGGTTTTAATATATGTCCACAAATTCTTTTATACTTCTCCCTCCAGGAAGTGGAGTTTAATTTCCATCCCTTTAAGTGTGGGCTACACTTAGCAACCTGTTTCTAGTGCACGGACTATGGGAAAGGAAAAATAGTAACTTTACAGTGGACAAACCTAGCAGAAACCACCGTAACAGAGTGCTCACAAGTGATAAATTATTTGATATCATGCACCTCCTGTATGAAATAATAGGGGCACTTCACCTTTGCAGTACTCTCCCCCAAAATCCATAACCCCAATCTAATCATGAGAAAACATCAGACAAACCTAAACTGAAGAACATTCTACAAAATACTTGTGTCAAGGTTATAAAAGATAAGAAAAGACCAAGAAACTGCCACACATTGGGAGAGACAAAGAAGACAACTAAAGCAATGCAATATCAAGGTTTGGATAACAGAATGGAAAAAGAATACTAGAAAAACTGGTAAAATATTAAAGCAGTTTGAAGCTTGGTTGAAGCATCGTACCAATACTAATTTCTTAGCTTGATAAATGCACCATGGTTATGTAGGATGTTAACATTAGAGGAACCCAGGTGAAGAGTATATAGCAGCAGTTTTTCTGTTTGTTTCTTTGAGACAGGGTCTTACTCTGTTGCCCAGACTGGGGTGCAGTGGTGCAATCATGGCTCACTACAGCCTCTACCATCCAGGCTCAAGTGATCCTCTGACCTCAGCCTCCTAAGTAGCTAGGCCCACAGGCACATGCCACCACACCCGGCTAATTTATTATAGTTTTTAGAGATGAGGCCTCCCTATGTCGCCTAGGCTGGTCTTAAACTCCTGGGCTCAGACGATCTTCCCACTTCAGCCTCCCATAGTACTGGGATTACAGGAATAAGCCACCACACCCAGCCTGCATTTTCTTTCTTTTCTTTCTTTCCTTCCTTCCTTCTTTCTCTTTCCTTCCTTTCCTTCTGTCTTTCCTTCCTTCTTTCCTTCTTTTTTTTTTTTTTTTTTTTGAGACAGGGTCTTGCTCTGTCACCCAGGCTGGAGTGCAGTGGCACAATCACAGTTCACTGCAGATTGAACCTCCCAGGCTCAAGTGATCCTCCCACCTCAGCCTCCTGAGTAGGTGGGACTACAGGTGTGCACCACCATGCCTAGCTAATTTTTTGTATTTTTTTTTTTTTTTTGTAAGCGACGGGGTTTCACCATTTTGCCCAGGCTGATCTTAATGTCCTGACCTCAACCCACCTTGGCCTCCCAAAGTGCTGGGACTACAGGTATGACCCACTATGCCAGGCCCAATTACTGTATTTTCTATCTTATCCTCTGACTTGAAACGAACATGGTTTGGACAAGAAAGAATGGGCTTTGAATCCTGGTTCCATCACTTGACAGGGTGTGTCTGAATATGTTATTTAACCTTTCTAATCCTCAGTTTCTTCATCTGAAGGAGAACAAAGGAAATAATATAAGGTAAATAACAAAATTGTTGAGTTAGTGTTAGGATCAGAATTAGGTATTAAAGTGTCTAGCACATAGGAGGTACTCCACAAATAGAAGCTAGTATTATTTGCTCTTCATTTGCTCTACAGCTTCACACTGACTTCTAGCATTTCATGCTCCTCATTTTCTCCCAACTGGATCACCTCCTTACAGGCTTCCAGCTCATAATCCAGGAGGACTCCATAGTTCTTCAGTAGAGCTACAATACTCAATATCATTAATTCCCTCAACCAACTGTCCTTCAGATATCTCTACCAAACAGATATCTACAAAGCAGCAGATAACAGCCTGGGCAGAATTTAAACCCAAGCTGTTCATCTTACAAACAAGGAGAGTAACAGTAACAATACATAACTCATAAGGTTCTTGAGAGTATTAAATAGTTTCTTCAGATAGTCTGATCACTCACTGCTGGAGAAAAATCAACCACGAAAATTGGTACTGCTACAAATGTGAGGTCTACAATCTGAAATAAACAGGTCCTCAATGCTAACTAACAATCCTTCTTCAGTTTCCTAGTCATGTAACTAACAATCCTTCTTCAGTTTCCTAGTCATGTGTCTGTTTACCTCTCTCTCCCTTACCTCCACCCCATCCACTGTTAGCCATTCCCTTGGAAGCCGTTTACAAAGAGTATGTATAAACTACAGACTATCTTTTTTTCCATTCCTTTCACAGGGGTGGATTAATTTTACCTGGCTTTTTTGTTTGTGTGTGTGTTTTTTAAGAGATAGGGTCTCATTATGTTGCCCAGGCTGGCCTTCAACTTCTGGGTTCAAGCGATCCTCCTGCCCCAGCCTACTGAGTAGATGGGACTACAGGCACATGCCACAGCACTTGGCCTCACATACATTGTTTAAAAACTCCTATTCTACCACGTTCCCTTCACTCTTAGCAGATGATCAAAAATTACACAAGACATGTCATCAACTCTTCCTTCCTGCCCTGTCAGTTACAAACTTATTTACATTGCCATCCATCTCCTTCCTTTCTGCTCACTGGAAAAGTGAGACTACCTTCTACTTAAGACCAACTTCTCTGCCTACGCCCTGGATCCCATTCCTTATTACCTTCAAATCCTTGTCTCCATCCACCAGCCAGTCTCCCACGCCCACCAAACACACACATATACACTCTTCTTCAGTTTCTCCTCTCCAGTGGCTCTTTCCAGGCTCACATTAAGAATGTCCAAGATTCTCTAAATCCCAAGTATCTCCCCCTGCTTAAAGACTCCTTCAGAGTCCTTTGTTGAAAACATTGTACCCCTCTCAATTAGCTACACTTACAGTTGTCATTCACTTTTCAACACCCACCCCCATGCATTACAATGTAGCTAAGTGCTCTAGCTGAAGTTATAAAAGACATCCTAATCACCAAGTCTCAGAGACTTCATTAGGTCTTTATCTTACTTTTCCTTTTGGAGGCAGGATACAGTGTTGACCACTCCTAGCCCTTGAAATAATATTCTCCCTCAGCTTCCATGACAAATCTCTATTTCCTTTTTTCATCTTTGGTCTGTCTGGCACAGATGGTTGGCTTCTCTTCAGCTGCTTGCCCAATCTACTCAGCGGATCACAACAGAAATGTAGGAATCATCCAAAATCTTCAATCTTGCTCAATTCTATAATCTAAATAGATTTATCCTGTCCCGTTAATAATACTTCCTAAATCTCTCATAGAGCCACTCCCTCTTCTACACTCTTCATCATTTCTCACCAGGAATAGCTTCCTAACTGGTCCTTGCTTCCAGTTTTGTCCCTCTCTAATTCAATATTCACTTCACTGTCAAAATGACAGGTCTAAAATACAAATCTGATTCTACCACAGCATAATTTTTTTTCCCCACTAAATCCCCGCAACTTTTGGAATTAAGTTAAAGTTATTAACTTGGTTCACAAGACAATCATTGATTTGGCTTATTACTTCATCCACCCCTGTTCTAAAGCTGTGCTGCTGCTGTCCACTCACCTGCAGCTATTGAGTATGTGAATGTAGTTGTCCAAATTGAGATGTGCTATAAGTGTAAATTACACACCAGATTCTGAAAACAGTAGAAAATTATGCACCAGATTCTGAAGACAGTATGAAAATGGAAATGTCATATTTCAATATTACTTTTTATACTGAATGCATGTTGAAATGATATTTTGGATATACTGAGTTTATATTATTAAAATTAATTTCACTTTTTACTTTTTAAAATTTGGTTACTAGAAAATTTTAAATTGTATATGTAACATATTTGTGGCTTGTATTAAATTTTATAGGACAGCACTGGTATAAGATGTACTTTCCCTCTTTCTGGACCTAGTTAACTCTTACCTATTATTGAAGATTAGCTCAGGTAACACTCTAAGATGCATTCTAGACACCCTCCACCCATCCCCCGAAGTCTGAGTCAGCTACCCCTCCTCTGTGCTTCCATCCATAGGAATGTGTGCATGCCCCTGTCATACTATAATTATTGGTTATCACCTATCTTCTCCTCCTCAACTGTAAACTCCTTGCAAAAAGGAATCTCATATTCTATAATACTCAGGTCCTACCTACCACCATGCCTGGCACTTAAAAGGTACTCAAACATTTGTCAAACAAATGTAAACTATCTATTCCTGGCCTGAAGGTTACTAGGATTTCTACTTCACTAAGGAAAACAAACCAGCCTTGAGGGAACCTAGAAAGTACCAGGAGCTTTAGTAATGAAAGGACTAGGAAGGAGAGTGGGGTGGGGGGATGCGGGGCGGGGGGGGAGGGGGGCAAGAGGTAGGAATCACAGTAAAGAGATCAGCAAATGACAGAATAACGCTCATCACACACATCTGCCTCTTACACTGAAAACAGGGATTTGCAACACTGATATGGAGCCTTGTACTCACACTTGGCATGCCAGGGGCCACAGTTTGGTTACTAAATTACTTAAACAACCCATCCAACAAAAGGGTATGATTTGGCAGGTATCAACACAAATGGCTAGGGCCCAGCACCCGTTCCACTTAAACAGCACATCAGTACAGTTAAAAAGAACAACAAATCTCTCTCATGAAGCAAATGCTAATCTCATGATGCTTCACCACGGAACAATTTAGAAGAGTTATTATATGAAATGTGCCAAAGCATGAATTTATAGCTGATGCTTATTTGGCAAATATGGTTGGCACTGCTAGATGTTGAAAAACATGTATGCAAATAAGCAAATAAAAGTTTTTAAGCTCTCAGACTTAAATATTTACATTACCATAAATGTACAAAGATAAATGTTTATATGAGTACACGTATAATGCATTCCAGGAACATATTTTTTAATGTGATTGTCGGCAAACAGTTATGAAGTGGCATTATTTCTTCATGGGCCTTCAGGGTAGACTCTTAAAAATGAATTTTGAATGTTAATAGGCTACAAACATTATTGTGAAAGTTTCTGTATACTATCAACTGGATAAAACGAATAGTTGAGGTATCATAATAGTTCAAAGTGATCTTATCTTTTTCTTTCACCAAAACACTTCTCTTCCAACCCTAGAACACAGCCACACATAAATTTTAGCCTCTAAGTTGGGACAGGAGATGGGGGGTAGTGAGGGAAAAGAAGGAACATACATTAAAAAGCCTTAAAGAAAATAATTTGACATTTTTTCCCACATAATGTAGTCATGTTAGAGAATCCAAAATAAAGACATGATAAAATATTTCCCTTTCCCCCCCGACAGCAATGAAAAGGGGATGTTTGTTTTTTCACATAGTTTGTGAGTTGGTCATATCCAAAATTCACTAGCAATGCTATGACTTCTACTTCCATTGTTCATCTCTGGGCTGAGGCTATAACCCTCAACTTTGAAGCCAAGAAAATGTACCATATCTGCCATTACAGTTTACTAAATAAGTCACCAAAGAGAAGTCCCAGGCAAGTCAGAAAGTAATTAGGGTCGTCAGTGAATTGAGCTATCTAGAAATGCTCTGAGATTACGAGAGAAGCCATCATGAAGTGAGTATCCAAGATTGCTCATGGAAAGTTTTACCCCGGTGGATAATTCACGTTTTTCACTTCCACACTGCAGAGAGCAATATGGGTTCTCTGACTATACACATCACTACATCACTTCATTTATCGGGGGAAAAAAAAAGACGCTGTGGCTGAACAAAAATCAGTAAGTAGGCCCCAAAACAGAATCCTCAAGGCAATCCCAATTCAGGTGAAAAGCTGTTCACGTACATCATCCAATGACCTAAAAATAGTCTTTTATGTAAGTCTCTAAGTATTTAATTCAACGTATGATCTTACCACATTCAACAGAGGCAGAAAAAAAATCAATTAGGTTTTCTATAGCAAGGCCAATAAAGATGAAATCATAGTTTTCCTCTAACTCATCACTACCCCCTCAACGTCAGCCTTCCAATAACTCCATTCCACAGCTCTCAAATTCCTGAACTTGGATCTTTAAAAAACAACGAATCGCAAAAAGTAACATTTAACAGGCCAGAGGCAGGCGGGGGAGGAGGGTCTCTCCCGGTGCTCTCAGCAATCTTTAACGTAGCCAAAGGAGGAAAAAACGAAATCAAGCTCCCAGACGGATGGTGCATGCGACGAGAGGGGAGGGGGCAGACGCGGTTCAGACGGCAAGTCCCCATCGAAGGAGGAAAGAAAAGTTGCAAGAACGGATGGGTCAAAGGGCAGAAAAGAAAAAAACTGAGCAGCCGAACCACTCACAACCCCCAAACGACCCCGCCAGCCCACACGTTCGCGGGCTCCCCAGCCGCGGCGCGAAGGGAGCAGGCAGGGAGCCACCCGGCTCCGTCCCGACGCTGCCGGCGAGGCTGCGCCGATGCTCCCGGGTGCGGGAGCGGGCTGACCGTGTGGACCCGGCAGGAGCCAGAGAAGCCCCTCCTGCCCCGGCCTCCCCGCGTCCAGCTCCTCCAGGCTTCACTTTCCCCCGCAACCTCCCAGCCGCGCCCGGGGGCGTCCCTCGCGGCAGGTCCCAACTTTCCTTCCTCTGGGGGGCGTCGCGCTCCCGGGGCCGCCGCCGAGGGAGGGGGCAGGGGCGGCAGGGGGCGCGCGGCACCGGCGGGGCGCGGGGGTGGCCGGGGAGCTAGAGCCCGCGCCGGGCGGGACGCACCGGCCGCCAGAGCCCCGGCGGCGGCGCCACCCAGAACCCGCGCCGCCACCCAGAACCCGCGCCGCCCCGCCCGGATTCCCCCGGGTCAGCGCCCTCAACCCGCGGCAACCCTGGTCCCACAGACGGCGCGTGAGTAGAAGACAACCGAGCGGACGCGGACAGCCGGGCCGCTGTTACCTGAGGGGCGCACACGCCGCCGCGGCGACCACCATCACCGTCCGTCCCGTCCCCTTCCTGGTGACCACGGCCGCCGCCGCCGAGCAACTGACACTGACTAACAACAACTAACTAACTACTCGCCGCGGCCGAGTCCACCGCGCGCTCCCGGCCGCTCGCCGCCCGCCCAGCCCACCAGCCTGCCCGCCTCCTCTCGGCCCCGCGCGCCGCCCCTCCGCGCGCGCCCTCGCCCGCTCGCCGCGCTCCTGGAGCCGTGAGCACGCGCGCGCTCACGGGCCCCGGTCGTCTCCCAGGTCTCCCTCAGCCCCAGCGGGAGGAGTCACCGCCAGGCCCCTCCTCTCTGCCTTCCAACCTCCAGAGGACGAGACCTAAAGGGTGCCTGATTGGCTGCGGAGGGCGGGGCTAAGACAAGGGGCGGGGCTGCCGAGACCTTGGGCCCGCGTGAGGGAAAATTTGGGTTCGATTAAGCCGCAGAGGAAAAGACCAGGGGAGTCTGGGCCCATTTGGGCGTCGGGGCCCGCTAGGTCAGCCGTCATCGAATACAGAATATGTTTTCGAGGACGCTAATATGTAGTCATGACCAATTTCAGTTCTTCTACTTTCTGCGGGCCTTCGCAATAAAAAAAAAAAAACTACATCTCCCAGAAACCTCCACGAAAATAAGGCTCACCTTGCGTAACCACGTAGTCCTTCGCCGCATTGGGGCAAAATAATCCCTTCATTTTTGTGAAGGTACCGTGGAAAATATTTCATTTTTCTTCTCACCGGAGCAATTGTAAATGCTATGCGGTAAGAGGAGTTACCTGTGGAAAGGTGGTTAAGAGATTAGGTAAAGAAAAGGAAAGGACACCAAAATAAAGTGCTGCGGAAGAATTTTTGTCCAGCTGTGAGACGACGAGTGCGTGAAGTGAAGGCGATTGAGAGGGGCTGAGGGAATTGTCCTCTGTGGAAGGGACTTTCTTTTGGCCCTAGGCCCCTTCCTGCCCCTGTCGTCAGCAGGTCAGTAAGCAAGGCGAGCTTGGGGGTGGCCCCAGTCGAGATGCCCTTCACCCCTTGAAGATCACCCCTCTTTTGGTGGTGGTGGTACTGGTTTGTCTCAGTTGGAGGCCGGCTGAATGGGGGCGCCTCAACTTCCGGTTGGGGGAGGGGAGGAAGGCCGTCCTGGGGAGGGGGGACACCCTCACTTCCTGTGGGGGGGTGGTGATGGTTTGGGGGTGTCCGACCCACTTCCAGTGCTGATGAGGGCTTGAAAAGGTGGTGCTTGGTGCCATTCGCGGAGACATTATCTTGCAGCTTGGGGATTGTGTTTTATGTGAAAAGTTAGATTATTCCAAGTTGTGCTGAACACCAACCTGCAGTCAGAATTTATGAGTTTGCTTCCACGTGGAATATGGAGCATTTCCTCCCCAGCAAAATTGTCTGTGTTTTCTTCAAAGAATTCGAAAGCCCTTGTTAAAAATCTCTATGCACCTTTGCAAGACGACATAGCTTGTGTGACTGATGAATTGCCAACACCTGCACCCCTACTCAAGTCCAGCCTTGGCTGGGTGAAGTGTGGTGCCCTCTGCCTTGACATGCAACAGGAAATCTAGCTTCTCTTTTAAGGAGATAACTTTTTATTTAGGGGACTGAATATTTTACATAAAATCTGGGGCATTTTCATCTTAGCAGAATGAAAGTATCACACTGAAGTACTCAAATTTGAGGTTACCTTAACTGATAAAATTGACATCTTAAATTATTAGGACTGTTGATTTTGGGCTACAGGTTTTGCCCTGTGCCTGAGAACAGCTTCTTCAGCCTTAAAAATTCTTATGTGTAGCTTACACGTAACATTTTTGAAAGTTGTATTTTATTACATTTTCCTCCTTTGTAATTTAATTCATCACTGATTTTTAAATGGTATCTGTTCTTTGTGGTTTTAAAGTATAAAGCAAGGGTCATGAGACTCAGCTCAGATTCTAAACAGGAAAAAGTTGGCTCACAAAGGACAAAAGGTCAATAAGAACTTTCTGGTTTTCAGTAGCTCATTTTTAATAAACTATATGTGAGGCGGTAATAAACACTCAATAATTTTGATTCCTTGGTTCTGTTGTCAGATAACACAATACTTAGAAGGGTGTGTGTCTGTGTATTGAAGGAATCAATCTATTTGAAGCTTACTTTGTGAAATCTGAATGTTAGTAATTTTAGTATATATATCAGTGAACCTAGAACTGTATTGTCTTGCAAGAATTTTTGAAGTAATAAGGCCTGTGTACTTTTTCTTTTGGGATTGTACTTAATCTAGCCTCAGACTCTGCGATTATTTTAATTCTATAATAGTTTTTTTAAAAAGCTGTTTGGTCACGCCTGTAATCACAGCACTTTGGGAGGCCTAGGCGGGCAGATCACGAGGTCAGGAGTTCGAGACCAGCCTGGCCAGCATGGTGAAACCCCGTCTCTACTAAAAATACAAAAATTAGCTGGGCGTGGTGGCGTGCGCCTGTAGTCCCAGCTACTCAGGAGGCTGAGGCAGGAGAATTGCTTGAACCCGGGAGGCGGAGGTTGCAGTGAGCCAAGATCGCTCCACTGCACTCCAGCCTGGGCGACAGTGAGACTCCGTCTCAAAAATAGATAAATAAATAAATAGCTGTTTGGGTTAGGGTTCATTAGAAAATATGTTTTAAACCAAATATTACAGTAAAAAAAAATACATGTTTTAATCTTCTGTGGTCACTTTTAAAAAAGAATCTAAGACCCTAAAATCAAGTATGATTTATATTTTGAAAGACCACACGATTGCTGCAGTAGTTGACTGAAAAAGCAAGACAAAACATTGTCTTTGTGGTTATTAATAGGTTAGGAACATGTAGACTGCCCGAAGTAAGAATTAATTGATTAAAGAAGAAGTGTTCACTATCTTCTATATTAATGTAATATAGAAGAAAATATAATATGGTCACCCTGACAAATGAAACTGTAGTGTTAGGAATTATTGAAGTATGGAAAGATTGTAGAACTAAATGAAAAAAATAGAGAATATCATGTTAAAATACTGATTGAGATAGAGTAATATTGCCTTTTGGAAACTGTCTTTATTAAATTGGTCTTTATGGTACTCCATGGAAGAAATACAGTATAATAGAAATAAGAAAAATTGTTGCAGCTGAAAGACTTGAGCAGCTTGAAGAACTATCTGTTTAGAAGAAAGCAATATATAAAATACCTATCTGAAAGAAGGTATTTTGTGATAAGTGGCAGTTATTCATTGGTTCCATCAAAGAAGAAATATTAGAAAAGCTTGTGAAAAATAGAGAGAGAAGGTCCATAGAACCTGTTTTTATTCTTTTTAAAAATGTTTCTTTAGAGAGGCTTGCTGTCCTCCAAAGGTTTTTTTTTCTTAATGCCCTTTGTGCAGTTTTCTTTGCATGTTTAATAGAAATATAGTATCAAAATTTAAAGAATTAATATTTTTGTACATGTACTGTTACTTCAAGTTAATGAATTTGAGATTTCATTCCATTACTTGCCATATATGTAACAAAGAAAGTGTCAAATCTTTTTTTCAAATACTTGGATTAGATAACCATTTTCTTTTCCAAAGACAGTCATTGGATACACTGCTCACAGCAGTTTGAAATATTAAAACCGTAGGTCACAATTCTGGATTCCATCTGACTGAAATTAGATTATCCACAGAGATGTTATACATAATACAGAAGTGTCTTTTCATTCTTTCATCTACTTTACTTTGTAAAATCAGGCTAATGTTTTGCAACTGTTGCTTTCCTTGTTTGTCGTTTTGGTGGTGGTTTGTTTTTGTTGTTGTTTTTGCCGTAGGGTTGAGGATTAAAGAAAGTATCTTAAGAACCTGAATGGTTTTTCACCTTACTGCTTTGCTGTCTCTATTTCATAGCCTTCACAGGTATTCAAATGAGAATACCCTTTACGTGACTTTTCATTATTTAAGCAAAAGTTTAGAGTGTCTACTATATGCCAGTCACTGTTCTCAGGACTTTGAATACAGTAAATACGGCCAAATATTCATATTCTACTGTAGTTTACTCTCTAATTTACAAATTAAAACTAGAATTTTGCTCCCTTGGTATTCCTAAATAAGATCTATGTTATGATCGTTGTTCAGACTGGGTAAAGAAGCAGCCCTAAACTTGATCTCTCCTGGTCTTAATCTCTAAGCCATTCTAAACCCAGATTTGAATGTTTCAGCCTAATTTTTCTCCAGACCATAGAAGCCCCTGTGTTAAATATGCAGTCCCTTTCATTGATACATGTATCATTTTCCTACCATTCTAGCTTCTTTTGTATTGTGAAAACAAATGAGAGTGAACAGTGGGGAAAATATGGGATCAGATAGGCCCAAATTCAGCACTGGTCTCTGCATTTTACTGGCTGAGCTTACTAGCTTGGTAACCATGAGCAATTTATTTGACCTCCCTAAGCCTCAGTTTTCCTAAATCCAAATGGGGTTGTTTGGTGGAATCAGAATGTTGTATGTAAATCTCCTGGTCCAATGCCTGGTGCCAGAAGCTTCATTAATGCAATTATCTTACCCCCAATCTTGCTTCTGCTACTCTGGCTATTGTGATTTGCCCACATGTCTGTTTTAAGCTTTACATTTTCCCCACAGTATGGGATGCAGTGGTAGACTGACTGAGCTTCAGCCTTGTCCCCCTATCAGCATGCTCACACAGTTGTCAAGATTTAATTTTTTTTCCTTGTGGGAAGGAGAAATCACTAATTTCCATGATTAGAAGATATACAAAATAGAAAAGTTTCAAGAAAAGGAATCTTAATCTTGGCACAAATCACTAAGGTAATTTGAATTGTTACAGGCAGACTTTCAACTCATTCTCCTAAACTTATTTAAATACGAAAACCAAAAATGACCTTTCACACTATGATCATACCTCACATTATTCATCTACACATCCAAACGGGATCGCCTCTGGGGGGAAAAAAATCTGTACTGCACCCAGCATTAATATTTTTTTTTGCTCATGCTATTTTCTGCCTGAAACACTCTTTTTTCCTAGGAATCCCCATCTATCAAAATGCCACTTTCTTTGAGGTCGTTTCTCAAGTACCACATTTAAGAAATATTTTCTGATATCCATCCTCTTCTACACTCTCCCAAACTGTACACGTTCTGTCCATTAACTCTCCAGAGCATTATACCTTTCTTACAGCACTTACTGTCCAGTGCTCCTCTTGTTTGTTTTTATTGCGTTGTTGTAGGTAGAGTTTATGCCTTCCCTAAAAGGCTGCAGACTAGGTCTTATTCCACTCTGTGCTGTCATACCTGGCACAAGACCATTCACATCATAGGTATTCAGTAAATATTTGTGGACGTGAGCTGGCTCTTGGAGTATGACAAAACTGATCAATAACTTTTGTCCACAATTATGCCCAGCATCAGCACAATGGCTATCATACATTAGACACTCAAATATCTATAAAATGAAAGAGTGAATAGTAAGTCATCATTCTCTCATTTGGGAGCTTCTTAGGGTGTCAGATAAGCATATATTAAGCACCTCCTATATAACTGGAGCTGTAAGAACTGATCTCTGCTCCTCAATTTAATTGGAAAAAAGTAAATTGTTACTAATATCTGCAGACTTTGAAGATGGTAGGTGTTTGAGTAGGGATGGCATGGAGAGCTTAATATAGAATTGTTTGCATTGTGAGAGATACCCTCTGCTACCTGAACTCAGAAACCAAATAGATTTTTATATCAAATATTTGGACACTTAACTTGTATTTCCACTCCTAGGTATATATCCAAGAGAACTTAAAACATGTTCACACAAAAACTTGCACACAAATATTTGTAGCAGCCTTATTTGTAAAAGGCAAACTCAAATGTCCATTAATTATTGGATGACTAAACAAAATGCGATATAGCCATACAATGGAATATTATTCAGCAACAAAGAGAAACAAAGTAGCAATACCTGCTGTAACATGGATAAAACTTGAAAATATTAAAGTGAAAGAAGTCACATACAAAAGGCAACCTATTATGTGATTCCATTTATTTAAGATGTCTAGATTAGGCAAAACTAATAGAGACAGAAAGTACATTAGTGGATGGGAATGGGAGTGACTGCTAGTATGGAGTTTCCTTTGGAAGTGATGAAAATGTGCCAGAATTAGATAGTGGTGGTGGTTGCATAACCTTATATACTAAAATATCTTGTATACTAATATACAGTTGACACCTGAACAATGAGGGGGTTCGGGGTGCTAACCCCTGTGTTGTCAAAAATCCATGTATAACTTCTGACTCCCCAAAAAGTTAACTACGTAAATAGCTTACTGCTGACTGGAAGCCTTACCAATAGCATAAATAGTTGATTAACACATGTTTTATATGTTACATGTACTATGTACTGTATTCTTACAATAAGCTAGAGAAAGAAAATGTTACTAAGAAAATGATAAGGAAGAAAAAATATGTTTACTATTTATTATTCGTTAAGTGGAAGTGGATTATCATAAAGGTATTCATCCTTGTCATCTTCACATTGAGTAGGCTGAGAAGGAGGAAGAGGAAAGGTTGGTCTTACTGTCTCAAGTGGTGGAGGCAGAAGAAAATCAGCATATAAGTAGACTCATGCAGTTCAACCCATGTTGTTCAAGGGTCAACTGTACAAAAAAAATCCTGAAATATACACTAAAGGGGTCAGTTTTATGGTATGTGAATTATATCTAAAAGAGAGAGATACTTAGACTTGAAGAATAGAGAATTTTGAATGGAGCCAGAAGAAAGAAGCAAGAGGTGTGAAAGCAAGGAAATGATCATTCTTTCTCAGATCCTAGAGAGAAATATAAGCAGCTAGGTACAGGGCTAAAGGTATGTTAAGGATCAGGTGAGGATGGATATGAGGATAGCTTCTGGGTTTTTGTCTTAATGTAGCAGGGATTTTGGTAAATACTTAGACTACAGAGGTATTAACAAAGGAGAAAAACATCTTATGACCTTGAAGGAAGCTTCAGATTTCTTCTTGATTAGGTCAAGGATGTGGTATATGGTCTTTTTGGTTTCTGTGTTACGGTCAGCTGAGTTTAAAGAGTGGGAGTATTCTAAGGTAAGGAGTCTAGTAGCAATCAAAACAAAGTTACTGGGGAAGATGGGAGAATAGAGACTAGACAAAGATGTTAGAATTTGATTCTAAAGCTCTCCTCAGGTAATAAAAATAGATAAATCTTAATGAGAAGGAACCAAGGGCAGTGATTTGGAGAAGTCAGTACAAATAAAGGTATTCATTTGAAGAAATATTTGAGTGCCTTTTATGTGCCAGGCACTATTAAATAAAACTATAGCTATTTTCCTTATTTGACTTTTTTTCTGAAGATAAAATCTTATGAGTGTGATTAATGGTTCTACAAGCATGGGTAGTTCTAGATATGATACCTACATTTCCCTAAAAGATTGTACTGATTTTTAATGATAACAGCAATGTATAAGGATGTTGTTTTCACCACGATTTTACCAGCAAAAATATTTGGCTAGTTGAACACACATAAAATTATTGTTCTCTTTGCTTATAATCTGATAAGTGTTTCCATACCTTGGAACCTGGATCTGTTGGAACATGAAGGAATTCAGGACCCTTATACATGTTACCCCATATGGCTTCTTTAAAGGATATGGATTTTTGAGGATCCTAGAAATCAAAATTCTCTAATTTTATTCAGCTCAAAAAAAAATTTTATTCAGTGCTGCTGTCCTTATTTTCTGAATAATATTCAGATTCAGACCACACTGAGCCATAATTCCAATTCCCACTTGACTAACATTTATGTAGTATTGTGCTAGGCACTACATGTTATCTTAATTCTAATAATTTGGCATTTTTCCATATGAGAAAAATAAGATTTAGAAAGATTAGATTACTTGCCCAAAATCACTTAACCAGTAAGTGGTAGAGACAGGATTTGAATGCAGATCCTCTAAGGCCAGTGTTTATTCTCATACTGCATGATCCCTCAGTATCACTACTAAAATTTACTGGAGGATAATGGAAAGTGGAAAATCTGAACTGGAACTTGGGACAATCAAGCACTGACTTACCTGTGTTCATAATGAAGCATTTAGCAGAGATGTTGTTTGTTGTTTTGTTTTGTTTTTACTGGGGAGGCTATAGTACATAAACAGAGCGAAAGATCTTGGTATGGTTAAACCCACATTTTCAAGGCCTTCTGTGTTCTCCCTGATGATCAGGTACCTACTACCCCAAAATCTGTGATGGTAACAAAGAAGGAGGAAGGCAGCTGTAGAAAAGCAACGGCCTTTGGGTATACCCAGTAAGATTTATGTGATTGTAGAAAGAGCAGGCAAATGGCTTGGCCTTCAGAGAATCCCACAAAGTAAAGTAACCTTTTAAAATAGTAACTTAAAGTCTGACATAAGATTCTTAACAGGATATTCATCACAAGATAAGATATTCAAAGCATAGCGTGTAAGACATTCAAAGCATATCAGCAAAAAAGGAGAGATTCCTTCATTTTTATTGAAGTATGGTATACTCACAAAACAAATTTAATATCAGGAATATAAAACAAGAGATACGATGTTCCAATTCTGGCTTTAGTCGGATATTATAAAATTTAATCCCAATTTATAGATAAGGCAATTCAAGGCTCGAGATTACACACCAAATAAGTGGACTCTAGGCTGGGTGTGGTGGCTTCTGTAATCCCAACACTTTGGGAAGCCAAGGCAGAAGGATCGCCTTAGCTCAGGAGTTTGGGACCGGCTTGGGTAACATAGTGAGATGCTGTCTCTACAAAAAAATAAAAAATAGCCAGACATGGTGGTATATACACATGTGGTCATAGCTACTCAGGAGGCTGAGGCCAGAGGATCGCATAAGCCCAGGAGTTCAAGGCTGTGAGCTGTTATCGAGCCACTGCACTCCAACCTGGGCTACAGAGCAAGACTCTGTCTCAAAAAAAAAAAAAAAGGAGGGGGGAGCCTCTAGAACATAGGCCTTTAATCTGTGTGGTTGTTTTGCAATTTATATGTATAATTTTTAAATAATATGTTGGCCGGGCACAGTGGTTTGTATCTATAATCTCAACACTTTGGGAGGCTGAGACAGGAGGATTGCTTGAGGCCAGGAGTTTGAGACTAACACAGGCAACATAGCAAGACCCCATCTCTACTAAACAAAATAATAATAATTTAATATGGTGGGTTTTTTTGTTTTTTTTGTTTTTTTGAGACGGAGTCTTGCTCTGTCTCCCAGGCTGGAGTGCAGTGGCGCTAGTGAGCTCATGCAATTCTCCTGCCTCAGCCTCCCAAGTAGCTGGGATTACTAGCGCTTGCCTGCTTCAAAAGAAATGATTTCCAGCACCCCATTTTTTCTTTTCCAGCCTCAAAATTCATATCTCCTTTTTTTCCCCCATGTCCACATGTCCTTCATTCCTATACTTCATAGCTTTAATTCCTGTTCTCTTGATACAAACCTTCATGTTTGTTGCTTGATGGCATCATAATTATCATAACTTTTTGGCTTAATAACAGTAGCAGTTATATCAACAAATAATAAAATGTTCATACTTTTGAGCCAATAATTCCACATATAGAACTTCATTCTGAGAAAATACTTTAAATAAGAAAAATAGTTAAAGGCACAAAATGTTAATAGCACTGATATCTATACTGTCTAAAACTTGAAACCTTCTAAATATTCAACAATATAATAATGCCTAAGCAAATTATTGCCTATCTACTCAGTGGGCTGTAAGACATTCATTTTTCACAATAGCGTCTTTAAGAATACATTGAAAGATGTTGTAAGAATGTTTTTGCAAAAATGAAAAGGAGAAACATCAGAAGAAAAAGTAGAAAAACTAATGTGATTGGTGTCTATTTCTGAAGCATTTATATTTTCTATATAATAATAATTTACATTTACTGACCACTTACTTGTGTCAGGAACAATACTCAAGCAACATTATAGAAGCAACAATTTGTAGTTATTGAAAACTGGTGTTCTAGAATCAAATCTGAGCTTCATCACTTACTAATATGTGGTCTTGAAAAGGAAATGGAGGATAACTATGTCTACATTAAATTATTAAATCTATATAAAGTATTTGGCACATACAAAACCTACAATAAGAATGTTTTTGTTATCAGACATTTTATAAATATGTCTCATTTAATCTTCACATCCTCACAGTAACCTCATTAGATAGTGTTAACGTTCATTTTACATGAAAGAAAATTGAAACTTCAAATGTTTAAATACTCTAGGTTAAATAACTTGCCGAATCACTTAACTAATAAGCAGTAGAGTTTTTATTCAGAGCCCAAGCTATGGTTTCCACTTATGACTCTGAGAGATGAGGTTGCTGCAGACTAATGCTTTTGCTAAGAACAGGAAAGATGAGAATTAAAAAGAAAAGTGAAGGCATCAGAGACCTGCTGAGGCATCCAGGACTTAAGAAACCACAACCATAGAACCAAAGGAGCTTCAGAGAAGTGGGCTGATGTTCCATGCTTCTCTTTTTTCCTAGGAATTTGCTAATTCTTAGAGCATGACAAGATGCTGTGAAACTTAGCAGAGGGTTTCTTCTAAAAGCAGAGAAGCTGTTAGTTTTATGGGGCGGAGCAGACAAAACTTGGATTTTAGAGATCTCCAGGTAGCTAGTTCTTGGGTCAAGATCCCTAGAGAAGGACAGTACCCAGAAACTTTTTTAAAACTTGTTTTCCCCTCACAGTGTTTGCTAGGCAGAGTCTAGAACTGTAAGAAAGTTAATTTGTATTGCTTTAAGCCAATAGCTTTGGATAACTTGTGACAGCAACAATATGAAACTATTACAGAGACATGAGGAAATGATGAAGAAGTCTAACATACATATGACTGGAGGAGAGAAAGTTAGAAGCAGTAATATTTTAAGAGACAGTGATTGAGAATTTTCTAAAACCGATGACAAATATCAAGCCATGGATTTGAAAAGTGCAAGAAACGACAAGCAGAATAAATACAAGGAGTACCACACTTTCATTCTTCATAGTAAAAATAAAACTGTTGAAAGTAACCAGAGGAAAAAAGACACATAATCTTCAAAGGAACAATTAGACTGACATCTGACTTGTCAACAGAAATAATGGGGGCCAGAAAACAATACAATGTAACTTTTTTGTTTGTTTTTTTGCTTTTACCTACTTGGTTTATTTATTTTTTATTTTATTTTATTTTATTTTGAGATGGAGTCTCCCTCTGTCACCCAGGCTGGAATGCAGTGGCGTGATCTCAGCTCACTGCAACCTTTGCCTCCTGTGTTCAAGCGATTCTCCTGCCTCAGCCTTCCAAGTAGCTGGGATTACAGGTGCATGCCACCACACCCAGCTAATTTTTGTATTTTTAGTAGAGACAAGGTTTCACCATGTTGGCCAGGCTGGTCTCGAAGTCCTGACCTCAGGTGATTTGCCTGCCTTGGCCTTCCAAAGTGCTAGAATTACAGGCATGAGCTACCATGCCCAGCTGGTTTTTTTTGTTTTTTTAATTGACAAAAATTATATGTATTTATCATGTACAGCATGATGTTTTGAAATATGTATACATTGTGGAATAGCTAAATTGCGCTAATTAACATATGTATTACCTCACACAATTTATGTGGTAAAAACACTGAGCATCTACTCTCTTAGCAATTTTCAAGAATATAATACATTGTTATTAACTATAGTTAACATGTTGTACAATAGATATCTCAAACTTATTCCTCCTATCAAACTGAAATTTTGTGTCCTTTGACCAACATCTTCCCAGCCCCACCCCACCCCTGGTAACTACCATTCTACTCTATACTTCCATGAGTTCAGGTTTTCTAGATTCCACATATGAGATCATATGGTATTTGTCAGTGCCAGGCTAATTTCACTTAACAGATAATGCCCTCCAGGCTCATTCATTTTGTTGCAAATGACAGGATTTCCTTCCTTTTTTTAAAGCTGAATAGTATTCCATTGTGCGTATATACCACATTTTCTGTGTTCATCTGTTGATGGATACTGAGGCTGATTCCATATCTTGGCTATTGTGAATAATCTGGCAATAACCCTGAGAGTGCAGATATCTTTTCAACATAGTGATTTCATTTCCCTTGGATATATTCTCAGAGAATGCAACCTTTAAGTTCCTTAAAGAAAATAACTGCCAATCTAGAAATCACGATGGCAATTAGAACACATTTACAACAGCGTGATTATGAAAATACATGTGAATCAGTTAAAGATATACTCAATGAAAAATTTATAGCCTTAAATGCATATATTAGAATAGAAAAAAGTAAAAAATCAGTTATCTAAATACCCATCAAGGTAGGAAAAGAACAGCAAATTAAACCCAAAGTAAGTAGAAGAAAGGAAATAATAAAAAAATAGAAATCAATGAAATAGAAAACAAATTGTTGGCCAGTCGCAGTGGCTCACGCCTGTAATCTCAGCACCTTGGGAGGCCGAGGTGGGTGGATCACCTGAGGTCAGGAGTTTGAGACCAGCTTGGCCAACATGGCAAAAGCCCATCTCTATTAAAAATACAAAAATTAGCTGGGCGTAGTGGCAGGTGCCTGTAATCCCAGCTACTCAGGAGGCTGAGGCAGGAGAATCACTTGAACCCTGGAGGCGGAGGTTGCAGTAAGCCGAGATCGCGCCATTGCACTCCAACCTGGGCAACAAGAGCGAAACTCCGACTCAAAAAAAAAAAAAAAAAAAGACAACAAATTGGCATTAGGAAATAACAAGACCAAAAGTTGGTTCCTTAAAAAGATTAGTAAAATGCATAGACCTCTAGCAATATTGATAAAGAAAAAAAAAAGAGCATAAATTACCAGTATCAGGAATGAAAAGGGAAAATTTCTTTACAGATTCTACAGATGTCAAAAAGGTAGGAAGATACTATGAACAACCTTACATAGACAGATTTGAAATTTTAGATGAAATGGACAAATTGTTAAATGCTTTATTAAAATTGGCATATAAAAAATTGACATGAAGAAATAGAATATCTGAATACTGTTTTTATCTGTTAAGTAAATTGAATTCAGTATTTAAAATTTTGGCTGGGCATGGTGGCTAATGCCTGTAACATCAGCACTTCAGGAGGCCAAAGCTAGAGAATCATTTAAGTCCAGGAGTTCAAGACCCTGTCTCTACAAGAACATTTTAAAAATTAACCGGGCATGATAGCGTGCACCTATAGTCCTAGCTACTCGGGAGGTAGGAGGATCGGTTTAGGCTAGGAGTTCGAGGTTACAGTGGGCTGTGATTGTGCCACTGCACTCCAGCCTGGATGTTAGAGACCCTGTCTCTAAAAAAAAAAAAAAAAAAAAAAATTTCTTCAAAGAAAACCAGGTCTACCTGACTTCACTGGTGAATTCTTACAAATATTTAAAGAAGAAATAACCCCAGTGTTACTCAAACTCTTCAATAGAATACAAGTCGTTTTATGAGATCATCTAAGCCTTAATGCCAAGAGCTGGCAGTGATATTTTGAGAGAAGATATTTACAGAGCAATCTCTTTCGTGAACCTAAATGTGTTACTTGGGAATATAGGAACTCTAAAAGAATCTATAGACAAACTATTAGAATTAATAAGCAAACTTACACGAGCAACCAACAGTTAGAAAGTGAAATTTTTAAAATGCCATTTACAATAGAATCAAACAAATCAAATTTAAGTCTTGTAAGATCTTTACACAGAAAACTATAAAACATAGAGAGAAACAAGATATAATAGGTAGTCATAGATTGGAAGACTTGGTATTGTAAAGATATCATTTCTCTCCAAATTGCTCTATAGATTAAATGGAATCCTAATAAAATCTCAGGTGATTTGTGTACATGATGGAAGGAGGGACTTACAAGTTGATTCTAAAATTCACATAGACATGAAAAGGACTAAGTAGTCAAGACAAACTTGAAGAACAAAGTTGTAAGACTTTATCAGATAACAGGATTTATTATAAAGCTACAGTAATTACAATGTGGTAATGGCGCAAGGATAGACAGATCTGTGGAACATAATTGAGAGCCCAGAAACAATCCCATATGTATGTAATCAATTTATGACAACAGTAGCATCCACCACAGTAGGGGAGGGATGGATTTTTCATTGAATGGTGCCTGGTTTTGTGTGGAAGGGGCAGGGAATGAATCTTGAACCCTTACCTCACAACATATACAAAAATCAGGTCTAGTTGGATTATAGAGCTAAATGTGAAAGAAAAATTTAGGGAGAAACTGGAAAACACCTTTATGATCTTGGAGTAGGTAATGATCCGAAAAGGAAGGAGTTTATGAAATTAAAAACTTCATAAACTCATGAAATTGGAGTTTATGAAATTAAAAACTTCATAAACTCATGAAATTGGAGTTTATGAAATTAAAAACTTATCTTCAAAAGACATTATGAGAGTGAAAACACTAGTCACAGAGTGAGAATACATATTTGTAATACATGTATTCAACAAGGGACTTGTAGAGCTCTTACAGATAAATAGGAAAAAACAAATAATCAAATTTTGAAAAGGACAAAATACTTCAATAGGCACTCCACAAAAGAAACTATCCAAAGGCCAATATGCACCCAGCTATTTTATTTACATTAAATAAGTGCAAATTAAAGCCACAGTGAGATACTTGGGACCTCTCAGTATCTTGAGGCCTCTCACTACATCCCCACTGAAATGGCTAAAATTAAAAAGATTGAGAATATCAAGTATTGATGATGTGAAGACACTGAAACTCATATGTTTCTGGTAGGTGTGTGTATTTTTACAGCCATTTTGGAAAACAATTTGGCCGTATATTCCAAAGGTGATCATACACCCTCTGACCCAGCTGTTCCTAGGTATACACCCAACAGAAATTTATATGTTCACCAAAAGACACAAATGGACAAGAATGTTCATAGTAGCATCATTCTTAATAGCCCAAATGTCCATCGAAATAGAATGGGTAAACAAATGTTTCTTGTATCTACATGGATGATCACCAAGCATAATATCGAGCAAAAGAAGCCAGATAAGTGCATGTAAGTACAAATAATTACATAGTATATGAATAAAGTTCAGAAACAAGCAGAACAAATCTTAGAAGTCATAGTAATTACTTTTACAGGGATAGTGAATGGGAAGGGGCATAAGGTAGGGGATTTCTGCTTGTTGTAATATTCTGTTTATTCTGATAAGGCTACAGGTGATACAGTCTATGAAAAGTTGTCAAGCTGTACACTTAAAATTTGCATAATTTTTGTTTTATAGTCTATTTATTTTGGAGACAGTCTTCTCTGTCACCCAGGCTGGAGTGCTGTGGCGCGATCTTGGCTCACTGCAGCCTCCGCCTACTGGGCTCAAGCAGTTCTTCTGCCTCAGCCTCCCAAGTTGCTGGGACTACAGATGCGTGCCACCATGCCTGGCTAAATTCTTTTATTGTATTTTTTTTAAGTAGAGATGGGGTTTCACCATGTTGGCCAGGCTGCTCTCAAACACCTGACCTCAAGTGATCCGCCCGCCTCGGCCTCCCAAAATGCTAGGATTACAGGTGTGAGCCACTGCACCCAGCCATTTGTTTTGTACTTTAAGTTTACTTAAACCCTCCACTCCCTCAATGACTTGAAGGACTGTATTATTTTTCTCTACATTCCCTATACACAAACCATGTAGGTGGTATGCTTCTACCCCACCATTCCATCAAAAGGGCTCTACTAGGTTACTAATAACTTCCATGTTGTCAAAAAACTTGGGCATCTTTTACATTCTCATTTAACCTCAGTAACATGTAGGTGCATCTTTTTTTTTTTTCTTGAGATAGTCTGACACCACGCATTCCTGGCTCTCTGCCTACCTCTGTTCATGTCCTTTTTGCAGTTCCTCCTCTACTCATCTTCTAACTGTTGAGTTCCTCAGAACACAATTCTAACTCCTTTTAACCTATTATCTCTCCTGAGGTTATATCATACATTCATGCTTTAAAATACTATCTACTATACTTGCTGGAAACTCCTAAACTCCTGTCTCCATCTCAGACTTTTGTTCTGTATACAGAGTACAACTTGATATTTTATCTCAAAGGCATCTTAAAATGAACATGTCTAATCTTAATACTTTTTCTACTTCTACATCTCGAGTATTCCTTATCTCCATAAATGACAACTCAGTCTACTAATTTCTTCGTTAAAAATCTTGGGCTCATTCTTGAGACCTCTTACTAATCCCCTTACCCGTTCAACACACACACTTACACACCCCCCTATCCAGACCACTGCAAGATTCTATTGATTCTACCTCCTAAATATATCTCAGATCCACCCTCTTTGCTACATCTCCACTGTTGTTATCCTTTTCTAAGCCACTGTCATGCTATGGTGGACTGGTGGACTATTGCAGTAACTACTTCCCTACTGATCTTTATAGATCCATTTTCTTTTTTTTTTTTCCCTCCCCCAAGATGGAGAGTCTCACTCTGTTGCCCAGGCTGGAGTGCAGTGGCATGTTCTCGGCTCATTGAATCCTCTGCCTCCCAGGTTCAAGCAATTCTCCTGCCTCAGCCTCCCAAGTAGCTGGGGCCATGGGTGTGCACCACCATGCCCAGCTAATTTTTGTATTTTTAGTAGAGACTGGATCTCACCATGTTGGCCAGGCTTGTCTCAAACTCCCAATCTCAAGTAATCCACCTGCCTCAGCCTCCCAAAGTGCTGGGATTCAGGTGTGAGCCACCACACCTGGCCTCTAGATCCATTCTTACACATCTATTCTTTACACAGAAGTCAGAATGAACTTTTAGAAAGCATAAATGTCACATCATGCCCCTCCTTAAAATTTCTCCTTAAAATTCCTCAGAGGTTTACTCTTATACTTTGGGGAAAACCCGGATTTCTGACATGGCCCCAGATCTGTTCTGGATTTGGTTCCTGTCTACCTGTCTTTGTTGCTTTCCTCTCTGGCTCATTTTTCTCCAGCCACAAGCCGCCTTTCACTTCCTCCAAAGCATCAAGTTCTCTCTCACCTCTGGGTCCTAATAAGCTAATTCCTCAGTATGCAATGTGCCTACTTAACATTTAGCTCTCAGGTTATGTGTTCCTTCTTCAAAGAGGTCCCCTGTCTAAATGAAGTCTCCCCTGTTATTCTATAGCTTTCTGTTCTTTTCCTTCAGAGCATTTTAAACAAATTTAAAGTTTATTTATTGGTATATTTGCTGAACGTCTTTCATCTCCAACTGTAGTTTTTCATGAGGGCAGAGACAATTTGTTCACCATTGTATTGCTGGTATCTTAACCATGTACCTGGTACATATTACTGAAAATATGTAATGAATAAGAAAATAGATCATGCCATCCTAGGTAAACTATAGGTCGGGAAGTACTTCATAGGTGTGTGCTGTGCCCTGAGAGCATGAAGGAGTTGCTTGTTTCCTCTGGTTTTTGATGTTTTTGAAGTTTTTGATGATTAGTCTTCTCAGTGCTAAGCTAAATTGGCAGTGTGTGCAGATTTTATTTAAGCCCCCACAGAGGAATACACCTACCCACATTTTTTAGATTGAAACTTTTTTTTTGTTTTTTGAGACGGAGTTTCACTCTTGTTGCCCAGGCTGGAGTGCGGTGGCGTGATCTCAGCTCACAGCAACCTCTGCCTCCTGGGTTCAAGCGATTCTCCTGCCTCAGCCTCCTGAGTAGCTGGGATTACAGGCATGCGCCACCACACCTGACTAATGTTTGTATTTTTCTAGTAGAGATGGGGTTTCACCATGTTGGCCAGGCTGGTCTTGAACTCCTGACCTCAGATGATCTCCCTGCCTCGGCCTCCCAAAGTGTTGGGATTACATGTGTGAGCCACTGTGCGCAGCCCTAAGTTGAAACTCTTTAAAAGTAAAGATAGAGAGTTCTCAATAGCAGTCTTGACTAAATAACTTTGTCTTCTTTTCTAGAACTGCAATTTTGTTCGTTTTTTTGAGACAAGATCTGGCTCTGTGGCCCAAGCTGGAGTGCAGTGGCATGATAACTCACTGCAGCCTTGAACTCCTAGGCAAAAGTGATCCTCCCGCCTCAGCCTCCCAAGTAGCTTGGACTGCAAGCTCATACCACCACACCAAGCTAGGTTTTTAGTTTTAATTTTTTTTTTTTTTTTTTTTTTTTAGAGACAGGATCTGGCTATGTTGCCCAGGCTGGTCTCAAACTCCTGGGCTCAAGCGATCCTCCCACCTTGGCCTCCCAAAGAGCTGGGATTACAGGTGTGAGCGACTGGACCCAGCCAAACTGCAATTTTAAAAAAATACATAAGGGCCCTACAAAGAAAAGTTAGTCTAATCGCATTTGGTTACTCCTGAGATTTACAATATTGTTTGTAAATATTATTAACTATTTTAGTCACATAAATATGCCATAATGCAACCACAGTAAGTATATGACATGTCTTTTAATCAGAATAATCAGAATAAAGCAAAAAATGACCATATTTCACAATATTAATGTATTCACGTGTTTTATAGGTTATACACATCTATTATGATTTGATATTACAAGATACTCTGCATTTTCTTATATAGCTTGGGTTTGCTTTCTCCATCTTAGATGTAGTTTTTAATTATTGTTTTTGAAGCTGGTTTTAATACAATAAGATGCTTAATTGTACGTTTGGTAGAAAATTATAAGCACAACAATTTGAAACAGCTTTCAGGCTACTAGCATTTCCCAAAACCCTTGAAAAAATGCCTGTTTACTACCAATTTTAAACCAGATAAATTTCATTTCAAGAGAAAATGTTTTCAAGTTTCTTTTTTTTTTGAGACGGAGTCTCCTCTGTCACCCAGGCTGGAGTGCAGTGGCGTGATCTCGGCTCACTGCAAGCTCCGCCTCCCTGGTTCACACCATTCTCCTGCCTCAGCCTCCCGAGTAGCTGGGACTGCAGGCACCTGTCACCACGCCCGGCTAATTTTTTTGTATTTTTTTAGTAGAGACGGGGTATCACCGTGTTAGCCAGGATAGTCTCGATCTCCTTACCTCGTGATCCACCTGCCTCAGCCTCCCAAAGTGCTGGGATTACAGGCGTGAGTCACCACGCCCGTCCGTAGGTTTGGAGTTCATTATAAAGAATAACTTTACAATTGTCAGAGCTATTGAGAAGTGGAAGTAGACATTCCCAAGAGAGGCTTTCAGGTTGGGGGCTGAGCCTTGGTTGTATGATTGGACTCAGTGATCTTTGTGGGACCTTCTAATCTTGGAATTCTCATCTTAACCAATGCTGCTTTTTTTCTTTTACTTTTTAAAACTGTGGTACATACAGTAAAGTACAAAAATCAATGAATTTTTACATAGATATATATGTGCCTGTGAATATTTTCGTCACTCTAGGAGGCTCTTCAGTCATTACCTTCTCTCTCCCCACGAGAGATAACCACTATTCTGATTTCTGTCACTATACGGTTGTTTTACTTGTTATTGAGCTTCATATAAATATATTCATAGAATATTTATTCTCGTGGGTCTGGCTTCTTGGCTCATCATTATATCTATGAAATTCATCCATGTTGCATGTAGCAGTAGTTCAATCTGTATAGTATTCCACTGATTTCATTGTAGGACTATATCATAACATATCCATGCTACTGTTGATGGACACATGGGTTGGTTCCACTTTGAGGCTATTATTTAAAAAGCTGCTATGAACATTCGCATACATGTCTTCTGTTGGTTATATACACTCATTTCTCTATGATATATTACTAGGAATGGAGTTGCTGGTTCATAGGATAGGTGTATTTTAACAGATATTGCTAAATAGTTTTCCAAAATGATTGTCCCCATTTAGATTCCCAGTAGCACCGTCAGAGAATTTCAGTTCCTCTCCATCCTTGCTACCACTGTGTATTGTCATTTTTTTTTATTTTAGCCATTCTGGTGGGTATATAATACTGTCTCTTTTTCTATAGCTATTGATCATTTGGATAGTCTCTTTATGAAGTGCTTGCTTTGTATTTAGCCCCCTTTTTTAAAAAAATGGGTCATTTATTTTTAATCTTAGTGATATTTAGGAGTTCTTCGTATATTCTAAATATGAGTCTTTAGGGAATATATGTATTACAAATATAATTTCCCAGTCTGTGGCTTGCCTTTTTACTCCTTTAACATGATCTTCTGATGAACAGACATTCTTAACTATAGTGAACTCCAATTTGTCACTTTTCTCTAATGTGGTTAGTGCTTTGTCCTCTTTAAGAAATCTTTGCCTAGCCTAAGATCATGAAGACATTTAGACCAACAATTCTTAAATTGTGGTATTAAACTAGATAATAGTGAACTTTTGTTGGTTTACACACACAAAAAGAAGTAAATGGATAGAAATGTACTGTTTTCTCCCATAATTTATTTTGAAACCTTGGGTATTAACTATAAATAAGTAGATAATGATGTTACTTAAATCTGAAATTTATTAACTGAGAAGGTGTCAGTTAGGATAGGCTAGGTTATTGCTATTTATATTGCTGTGGTAATAAACAACCACAAAATCTCAGTGGCTTTCTTTTCTCACTTATGCTATTTGTCCAAAGTGAGTCAACATGGGGCTATGCTATTTGTGGTCACTTAGACAACCAGGCGGATGTAAACTACATTATAATATATACTTCCACAGTCACTGTATTCAGGGGAAGGAAACATGGCAAATTGCTTATAGACTCAGATTTTCTGCCCAGAAGAATCATATGTCACTCACTTTCATTGCCCATGAGTTACATGGTCCTTGTGTCTTCTCTGAGGCAGTGAGGAAGTTTCCTCTTATGTTTCTGAAAGGAGATCTAAATATTTTTGAATAGCCATAGTGACTATCACAGTAAACATTTGTAAGTTACTTAACCCCTCTGTGGATCAGTTTGTTCACTATAAAATAGGTGCTAATGATAATATCTACTTGATACGGCAGATGTGTGGATTAAGTGGTATCATACACGTATAGCTCTTAAAATAGTGCCTGGTACTTAGTAAGCAATAAATTCTTGCTGCAATTATTGCTATCATTATTGTTATTAGGCTCTTACTATATGATGACACCATACTACCTGCTTTATTTACACAGATTACTTCTTGAGATAACTTCTATATAGTATGTACTATTACTCTTCTCATTTATAGGATAAGAAAACCTTGGTTTGGAGCTTTTGACTAGCTTGCCCAAGTTCCACAGCTAATACGTAAAAGATGAGATTGGAATCTAGGCAGTCTGACTCCAGAGCCCTCAGTATAAACTGAGACTCCCTCCCAGATAGCAAATAAATATGAACAGAATTCAGAAGTGCATACCATGCTTAGAGAACTCTGTGTTTGTTTGTGTACATATATGTTTATGGTTGTGATTTTATATTGAATTTTTAATATATTCCTATTTTCTGCTAGTTTGTTAGTGTTTCTAGTTCATATAATTAAATATACTGTTTCTCAGTATTCTATGTAGTCTGACAGCTAAACAAATTTGAAGTTGATTTTGTTCTTCATGAACAGGTGAAAAAACTTGAGCCAGAGTCATTTAGTGATCCCAGAAACCAGTTAGTTGGTAGTATATCCTGAACTCAAAGTCAGATTTCCTGACTTCGATTCAGAGCTCTTCCTACTGCCTCAGGTTGTCTCCTTGTAGTTTATGCAGCATATCATCCTTTATCAAATATTTGAGATGCTTTTTGTCTCCAAATTTTGAGTGAATTTGTTGTAGAAATCACAGTTAAGCTTTTTTTCCCTCATAGCTCACATTACTACATCTTGATTGTAATTTATCAACTTTGTCTTTTAAATATTCTAATGTTACTAAACACCCAGGGCCAAATTAAATATTTGGACAGAGTTTCTAGTAAGAATAAATGCCTCCAGAGAAGCTTCTGTGGAAAAATATTGTAATGATGAGCTTGAGAGTACCAATAACTTTTCTTTTTCGTGTAAGGCAATTTAGAGTCCAATTTCTGAAGGCACAGAGATGCCAGTGGAATTAGAGATGAATCAAACACATTACATTTTAGGTTTATCTTAAGGTATATTGGCAAGAAGTAAAACAACAACTTACCAAAAGCTTGTTACTTTTCCTGCCAGTGACATAAGAATGTACATATAACAACCTCAGATATATTGTAATTTTCAGAGTTAAACCTCTTAAGGAAATGCTGAGCTCATTTTCCTGGTCTGTTTTCCCATAATTAAATGGTATTCTTGTTTGATAATTTCAGTGTATTTTCATGTAACTTATCTGGAAAGTTAATAGGACATAAATTGAGTTAGAACTTCTCAATATATTGCTATATAGTGGAGATATTCAATAAGGAAGTCACAACACTTTTTTCCCCTCAGTATCAAAATATGTCAGTTATCTGTCAAGAAAATGAACTGAATCTGTGCTGTGTGTTATTGCACTCATGGGGAAATACTGTTTTGAGGCTACATGATCCTTGTCCTGGCCTCGTGCAATTTAAAACATTAATTCTTGTGTTAAAATAAATACTGCTTTATAAAACTGACTGCAGAATTTAAGGGAATTTTTAATATAAAGCATGAGGTTTATAAATTGTGCCCTTACTCTCCCTGCTAGACATGCGTACTCTTCTCTGCCCTATAGTCCTAATTCTGATGAGAGAGAGAAAGAATATATCATTAGCAACTATCTTTAAGGCATCTTTCAGCAATAAGCTAGAAACTCCTTGTTTGTTTGTTTTTGAGATGGAGTCTTGCTCTGTCACTCAGGCTGGACTTAGAAATCCTTCTAATGGTGTTTTTCTGGAAAGGGGAGTATGGAGAGTCTGGCAAAAAGGGAATTTTAGCTCTACGTGTAGCCATATTTTTTTTACAAAAAAGAAACTAAGTATTGCATGTGAAATTAAAATTTAATTTTAAAACATCTGTGATCCTTGATGGCACTTTTCCTCTTTCTTTAAAGTAACAAAACCATACTGCTGAAGGTTGAGTTTAAAACAAAGATTGGAAAGTAATTATTCATAATTTCACCACCCTGACATAACTACTTTGAACTTTTTTTTTTTTTTTTTTTTTTTGAGACAGAATCTCGCTCTGTAACCCAGGCTGGAGTGCAGTGGTGTGATCCCTCATCACTGCAACCTCCACCTCCCAGGTTTAAGCGATTCTCCTTCCTCAGCCTCCAGAGTAGCTGGGATTATAGGCTCCTGCCACCATACCGGGCTAATTTTTGTATTTTTAGTAGAGACAGGGTTTCACCATGTTGTCCAGGCTGGTTTTGAACTCCTGACTTTAAGTGATCTGCCCACCTCGGCCTCCCAACACTTTGAACATTTTGATGTGTTTCCTTCCAATCTTTGTTCTTATATATCTATTTTTTATGATGATGATGATGATGATGATGATGATTATTATTATTATTATTATTATTATTATTAAGTTAGGGTCTCACTCTGTCACCCAGACTGGAGTGCAGTGGCACGATCTCACCTCACTGCAACATCCACCTCCTGGGTTCAAGCTATTCTCCTGCCTCAGCCTCTGGAGTAGCTGGGATTACAGGCGCCCACCACCATGCCTGGCTAATTTTTGTATTTTCAGTAGAGACAGGGTTTCACCATGTTGGCCAGGCTCGTCTTGAACTCCTGACCTCAAGTGATCCACCCATCTCTGCTTCCCAATACTTTGAATATTTTGATGTATTTCCTTCCAATCTTTTTTCTTATGTATTTATTTATTATTATTATTATTACGACAGGGTCTCACTGTGTCACCTAGGCTGGAGTGCAGTGGCACGATAATGGCTCACTGCAGCCTCAACTTCCTGGGCTCCAGCAATCTTCCCACCTCAGCCCAGCCTCCCTACTAGCTGGGATCACAGGCGCGTGCCCCCATGCCCAGATAATTTTTGTATTTTTGGTAGAGATGGGGTTTCGCCATGTTGCCCCGGCTGGTCTCAAATTCCTAAGATCAAGCAATTCACCTGCCTCAGCCTCCCAAAGTGTTGGGATTACAAGTGTGAGCCAACATGCCCGACCTGTATCTATTCTTTTAATATACTTATAATCCATATACTTTCTCATAAATGTTTCATTGATAACTTTGTAATATAATTTTTAAAATAGCTTTCACATTCTTTTATTGTATGCAGAGCTTGTAAAGAAATATTTGATCCTCACGGTAGCCCTTTGAGGTAAATAGAATAAGTTTTAGCCCCATTTTACATATAAGGGTATTGAAGCAGATGCTCATATAACGCCTCTACTTGGTACTGTGGTAGACTTCTGTTCATGACAGAAGTACTTGCTAACACAGGCAAATGAGTGCATTTAATGTTGAAAGAACAAAACAAATCGTTCTGTAGATTCTTATTCCCTGGACTTAGTCCTTCCTTCCTGGGCTAAGTGAACCCTTGAACAGCACTAGGCAATGCTGAAAATACAGATTTTGTCAGATTTTAGTAAGTGCTCTAAACACCAAGAATCTTGAAGTGATATAATGAAAGTTACAGCTAATGTAGTTTTAAACTTGTTTTTTCTTTGTTATTTCACCTTGAAAAAAAGAAACAATCAGTAGCTTTTAAACAAAAAAGATTAAATCTAACCACTTGTTCTGAATTACTATGGTAGGGTGAGAACTGAGGCTCTGTGTATGGAAGTTGAAGTTTTATCATGTTGAGTAGGTTATCAAAGGAGAAATGTTCCTAGGAAACTGGTCTTGTAGAGCTTAAATGTGTCAAATGTGAATTCTATGGCTATGTGTAACTTTCTGAAGTCCTGAGCATTGTTATTAGGTTTCAAAGGCAAAATATAGCAAAATAATTCTGAGTTTTTCAATTTATTTCTGTTTAAACTGTAAAGCATGTTACAGTTGTGCCTATTCATCTTGTGAAGAAAACTCTAAATTTCATCTTACTGTTCAGAGTAGTAAAGACCACTAACTGCTTTGCCTCCCTGTAACTAAAGTTTTCTGTCTTCAGCTTTTGGCTGAGGAAATTCCTCTGCTATCGAGCATCCTCTGTTTTTCTTTTAGGAAATCTTCCTAGGAAGAAAATTTAATTTGTAAGTCAGTTGATTAAAATGAAAAACACTTTGATGGGATTAGTTTCCATTTATTACACTATAGTTTTTATAAATGTTCTTCAATTTTCCTTCTGAAACATGTCATCCTTTACTTGCAGTCTTCATTGGCTTTTGAGAGGGTAAACGATTTAGGATTTATTGCCTGTAAAAGGAAGAAACATTCTTTCTACCTCCTCTCTTCAGCGTTGTCTCACAGCTGCAGGTTTGAGCTGAAGAGCTGTGTAAAATGTAAGAAAATAGAGGAACAGTGTTCCTTGAACCAATAAGGACCCTTTCCCTGGAATTGTTAACTATGAATTTTATGTTTGGGTTCAGATACTAGGGACCTTTGTTACTTCTGCTTTCTCATACAGTAGTTCCCCTTTATCCATGGGGGTACATCCCAAGACCCCCGGTAGGATGCCCGAAACCATGGATAGTAACAAATCCTATACATATGGTACACATGAATTTCTCCTTCTTCACAATTTCACAGATTTATCTTTACTGTAGGTCTTAGCAACCTCAGCATTTGTGATTTTTTTTTCCTTTTGTTAAGTTGGGAACTTTTACCTTTTCACTTAAAGAAGCACTTTACAGCTTCTCTTTGGCATATCCATACTGGCAGCCTCACTTCTCTTCTGCTTTGGGGCCGTTGTGAAGTAAAATAACACCAGCCCTGCGATACTGCGACAGTCGATCCAATAACCTAGAAGGCTGCTAAGTGACTGATGGGCAGGCAGTGTATACAGCATGGATATGCTGGACAAGGGGAGGATTCACATCCTGGGTGGGATGGAGCAGGACAGCATGGGATTTCATCACACTACTCAGAACAGTGTATAACTTAAAACTTATGAATTATTTCTGAAACTTCCCATTTAATATTTTTGGACTGCAGTTGACCATGAGTTAACACACTGGCAAAGCAGAACCACAGATAAGGGGGGACTACCGTCTATGCTGATTGAGTTGCTTTTCGCAGACTCCAGCCTTGAATTATATTGTTTTAGAGCTACCTACCTTAGTATGAATCTGGATTTTCAAACGTGTAAGGACCCAGAGCTGTGTGGTCCTTCTCAGGTGTTTTCTCAGCTGGTGTTTTCTGTTTCCTTCAGCTCTCCAGTGCATCTGTGAATGTATTAGGATAATTAACAATTACCTTAGCTGGTTACCTAACCCATTCAATTCTTCTTTCTCTGTTTTTCTCATATATTTGAATAAATACCGTTATACACATCAGCCATTACCCTTTTTCCACGTCCCCTACTAGATTATGAACTGTAAAATAATAAGTGTTGTTGGGATTTTTAAATCTTATTTACCTCTGTATCTTTGATGCCTAACATAGTGACATATGATAAACTGAAAAACATTGTTTTTCAACTTTAAAAAAAAAACTCGTGTCTCCTCTTGATAAATACATAAATTCCCTTTTCTGATATACCCTGCATGTGAATCACCAAGATGTGAGTAAAAAGTATACATATGTGGCTGGGTGCGGTGGCTCACGCCTGTAATCCCAGCACTTTGGGAGGCCGAGGCGGGTGGATCACAAGGTCAGGAGATCGAGACCATCCTGGCTAATACAGTGAAACCCCATCTCTACTAAAAATACAAAAAATTAGCCGGGCATGGTGGTGGGCACCTGTAGTCCCAGCTACTCAGGAGGCTGAGGCAGGAGAATGGCGTGAACCCTGGAGGCAGAGCTTGCAGTGAGCCAAGATCACGCCACTGCACTCCAGCCTGGGTGACAGAGCGAGACTCCGTCTCAAAAAAAAAAAAAAAAGAGTATACATATGTGTCTTTACCAAACAAGAACATTAACTTTTTGTGCTTTGTGTACTTAAAACAAGCTTGGTTTTGTTTTTTGTTTTTTTCCTCCAAATAGAAAATTGACTGTCACTGAAAACACCTTTTCATATATCACAGGCCTTCTAGAGGGAGTAAGGCTTTACCAGCATTCCCCATCCCAGCTTATATGGACCCACCTTTTTACCGTTTCATAGTACACCCATGTCCCAGGAAATAGGGGAAGTACTCTACACTAAGGAAATAATTCCAGGTTTTATTGGATTACTTTAACTCTTAGTTCAGGCACTGGTCCAGAAGTTGTCTTACTTGGGCAATCACCTCCTTGTTTACTAATAATAAAAGCAGTGCTTAGATTGCCTCTGTAGGAAGGGCAACTTGGGACCAACAGGCACCATGAAAAAGCCAACGAGGTGGACTGTGACCTCAAAAGGCAACACTCTGCTTGTAAAATGACAAATTTTGCTTTGGAAGAGGAAGTGTTTTTTATTTTCCCTGCGTTATCACCGTGCTTTACAAAAACTGATACAAAATACTATTCTTAGATGTTTTGGTTTTGTGGAGTTTTTTTCTTCACAACACATTTTCCGTCCTAATATTGACAGTTCTCCATCAAGGTTCCATTGAGGGGGCAAAAGGCATATACAGTGATCCAATTGTCTAGCAAGAAATCTGAACTGTGCCAGTCTCTTTTGATGATCTAGTACTTCTGTGGTTTTTAAGAAGATATCTGATTTAAGTTTCTAAATTTTTACTTCAAAAAAACATGTACCATCACATAAGGAATTTGGAGAAAAAAATCATAAAGATAGAAGTTTAATTTTTGTTTCTAACTCTGGCCTCTTTTTCTCCCTTTTTATTTTTCGAAAACAGAGTCTCTACAAGGAAGATAACGGACTGTAAAATTCTATAAAGCAAAGCTACACATCACTTGACACCATACACCATCTTGGTTACATAATGAAGGTGATCAACAAATGTTTGTTGAAATATAAACTCTCTAGGCATTTGCATTAGATGGAGCCTGGATTATTTCTTTTGTGGCCAAAAAACCCCGCTATATTTAGCTTCAAAAAATTTGCAAATAGTATATTGTTAGTACAAGTCACCCTTTTTTACTAAACTGATTACAAGACTACAGTTAAAGTATATGCAGGCCACAGTTTATAGATTCTAGTCCTGATGTTTTTTCCAGTTATTTTGAACTTAGAAACTAGCTTTACCTTCAAAATATATTAAGAATCTGACCACTTCTCACCATCTCTACTACTGCTATTCTGATCTAATTCTTCCAGCTGTTTTGTTGCAGTCGCTTCCCAAATGATTTCCTTACTTTCCCTTTTCCCTCTCCACCTTCATTCAGTCTGTTCTTAAAATAGCAGCCAGAATGATCCTATAAACTTGTTAAATTTTATGCCTTATCTGCTGAAAACCTTCCAGTAGCCCCGGTTAGCTTTCAGACCTCATCTCCTTTTCCCACTAGTTCAGTCCAGCCACATTTGCCACCTCCTCAGTCACACCAGGGGGACTTCTTTGCACTAGTTGTTTCCTCTGCTAGGGCCACTCTTTCCCCCACATACATGCATAGTTCTTTCATCTCCTTCTGGTCTTTTCCTAAAGATTACCTCAGTGAAGCCTTTCATGGCCTCTGTATATAAAATTGCAGACACCCCATTTCCTTGAACTGTTCCTAACCTCTTTCCCTGCCCTGTTTTTTCTTGGTACTTCAAACTATGTATCATTATTCATTTTACTTATTTTATCTTGTTTTTTGTCTGTTCCAGTACACTGTGAGCTCTATAAGGGCAAGGATCTTTGCCTGTTTTGGTCATTGCTGTATTCCCAATGCATAGAAAATGCCCAGGATAGTAGATAATATTTGTTGAATGAATGGATCAGTTTCTCTATAGTTTGGTTCCTAGGGTAGCCTACCAACATTTTAAAAATCAATAATAAGGCCGGGCGCGGTGGCTCACGCCTGTAATCCCAGCACTTTGGGAGGCCGAGGTGGGTGGATCACAAGGTCAGGAGTTCAAGACCAGCTGGAAAAAAAAAATTAGCTGGACATGGTGGCAGGCACCTGTAATCTCAGCCACTCGGGAGGCTGAGGCCGAGAATTGCTTGAACCAGGAGGTAGGGGTTGCAGTAAGCAGAGATCAAGCCACTGCACTTCAGCCTGGGCAACAGAGTGAGGCTCGTCTCAAAAATAAATAAATAAATAATAAAATAAAGATCAATAATAGTCATAGGAGCCTGGACTATCAATTTTAGGTCTAGAGAGCCATATTTTCTGTCCACCCCCACCCCAGTGCCCAGCCAAACACACCCCTCCTTATACCCTTCTCTTGAAGCAGCAAGCCTTATGTTTAGACCCTAATTGCCTCTCCCTACCTCAACCCTCCCCTAAAACCTAAGTACTTAATTACTCCTAAATTGCCTCTTCTCTCTCCTCGTCTTTTTCCCTCTCATCTCACATATAAAAACCTATGGTGAAAGAGTTTTTAACTGAATTTCACTTAACTGAACCCCAGTTAACTGCCTGGCAGGATTAGCCAGTGTTCTCATTCACACTGTAAAACATATTGATTAATGTCCACAGCCCACTGATTGCTTTTAGCTAAACGTTCACAGCTGGTAGACTACTCTCTAGTAAGCCTCTTTTCCTTCCTCCAGTTAAATTGTATGCATATCAAAGTCAGTTGTGTTTATTCCCAAACCTCTTTATACCAGTTCTCTGGCATAATAAAATACATAATTATAATATTCTAAATATATAATATGGCAATTTTAAAATGAATGAATGTTATATTTTAGAGCGCTTTTAGATTCACAACAAAAATGAGCAGAAAATACAGAGACTTCCTATATATTCCCTGTCCCCCCACACACACAGCCTCCCCAACTATCAATATCCCTGGCACCAGAATGCTACATCTGTTACAATCAATGAACCTATATTGACACATAATCACCATAGTTTACATAGTGTCCATCACTCTTGGTGTTGGACAGTCTGTGAGTTTTGACAGATTTATAATGACATGTATCCACCATTGTATCACGTAGAAAGTTTCACTGCCCTAAAAATGCCGTGTTCCACCTATTCATCCTACTCCCCTGGCAACCACTAATCTTTTTACTGTCTCCATACTTTTGCTTATCCAGGATGTCAGATAGGTGGATGGATTCACAACATATGGGTTGAGTTTCCCTTATCCAAAATGCCTGGGACCAGAAGTGTTTCAGGTTTCAGATCTTTTCAGATTTATTTTTTATTTATTTATTTTTTTATTTGTTTTTTTGAGACAGAGTCTTGCTTTGTCGCCCAGGCTGGAGTGCAGTGGCACGATCTCGGCTCACTGCAAGCTCTGCCTCCAGGGTTCGCGCCATTCTCCTGCCTCAGCCTCCCCGAGTAGCTAGGACTACAGGCGCCCACCACCACACCCGGCTAATTTTTTGTATTTGAGTATTTGCATACACATAATGAGATATGTTGGGGATAAGACCCAAGTCTAAACAGGAAATCCATTTATGGTGTATCCATTTACCTTACACATGGCTTGAAGGTAATTTTATAGCAATGATTTTATTTATTTTGTGTATGAAACAAAGTTTGTATACATTGAACCATGAGAAAGCAAAGATGTCACTCAGCCACCCACATGTACAGTCTGTGATTGTTTGGCATCACCATTATTCCTGATTCAGAATTCATGTGCTACCAATAAGAATCATTCTCTTACACTTATTTGCACATAAGTACTTAACAGTAAAAAATGTGACATACCATTAATACAATGAAAAAATAATGTGTTCGGGGTAAGCAGTACAGTAGCATCACCAGTGCACCTGTGCCAGCTGTTAACAACAAACAATGGCAAGTTGAATAAACTAATTATCGTGTGCCAGTGTTTTTATTGTGACCCATTACGTGAAGTCCCATGTGGAATTTTTGTATTTTGTATTTTCATACAATGAAGGAGAGTTCTTGTTCCACATCCTTGCCAGCATTTGGTGGTATCAGTGTTTGGGATTTAGGGCATTCTAATAGGTGTGTAGTGGTAGCTCACTATTGTATGAATTTCCTCTTGGGTCATCAAGTGGGCACTCAGGAAATTTCAGATTTTGGAGCATTTTGAATTTCTGATTTTCAGATTAGGGATGCTCAATTTATATAGCCTTTTCAGATTGACTTCTTTCACTTAGTAATATGCACTAAGTTTCCTCCATGTCTTTCCATGGCTTCATAACTCATATCTTTTTAGCAGTGAATAATATTCTATTATCTGAATGTATCACAGTTCAGCCACTCACCTACTGAAGGACATCTTGGTTATGCCCAAGTTTTGGCAATTATGAATAAAGCTACTATAAACATCTGTGTGCAGGTTTTTGTGTGGACGTAAGTTTTCCATTCATTTGGGTAAATATTAAGGTAAGAAGTGCGATTGCTGGATTGTATGGCAAGAGTATGTTTAATTTTGTAAAAAACTTCCTGTCTTTTGAAATGTCTGTACTGTTTTGTATCCCCACATAATGAAGGAGAGTTCCTGTTGCTCCGCATCATTGTCAGCACTTAGTGGTGTCAGTGTTTGGGATTTTGGCCATTCTAATAGGTTTGTAGTGGTAGATCATTATTGTTTTAATTTGCAGTTATAGTTGGCCCTGTGTATCCTTGGGTTCTGCATCCACAAATTCAATCAGTTTGGGGTGGAAAATACAGTATTCGAGAGACACAGAACCTATGGATACAGGGCCGACTTTTTGTAATCATGGGTTCTGCAGGGCCAATTGTGGGCATCTACAAATTTTGAGCTCGCAGTGTACTGGAACAGACAAAAAACAAGATAAAATAAGTAAAATGAAAAAAGATACATAGTTTGAAGTACCAAGAAAAAAACAGAGCAGGGAAGGAGGTTAGGAACAGTTCAAGGAAAGGGGGTGTCTGCAATTTTATATACAGAGGCCATGAAAGGCTTCACTGAGCAAAATTGATGTTAAAGATTCAATACTTAGACATGAATATCTAACGTGAATGGAAAGTTGAAAATTCCAATACAGAATATACATCAATCGGCCATGTTCACTAAAGTAGACATGAACACTGACTCTATTGTTTGAAGATAGTCTCACTCCTTACAAATAATAAAGGAGAATGCATATATGAGGAAACATTTAGAGAATATATTGAGTGTCCCCCAGTTTCAGAGTTAATCCATTTAAAAGACACATAATCTGCAAAAGTGCCTTGCTTGAGCAATAAATAAATACTAATTGAATGAGGAGCCTCCTTCAGTTGAGGGGTATGGTGTGGCTTTAGGCAAAGTCTGGCCACAATATTATGATGAAGCTGTGAAATACATAATTGTATTTGCTCATCAAATGCATATTTAACAAATGCCCATGATATGCTCAAAACCAGGCTGGGGGAAATTTAAAGGTAAACAAGGCACTGTTTATAACCTAACAAAACATATAACTAAGGGTTAGAAAAGACAAGTGTAGTACAGTGAGTCAAGTATTATGATGGGTGTTTAGTACAGAATGCTCTGGTAGTACATAAAAGGGGCATCTGATACATTCTTGATTGATCCAAGAACACATGCTGAAAGAAGACACATCTAAGATGAGATGTGAAGGATAAGAAAGTATAATTGGCCAAACAAGAGAGACTGGGGTACTAGGAAGTATTCCAACCAAAGACAACAAATGGCAGTTGCAGAGATGTAGAGGTCAGAGAATATGGTGCATTTTCTCAGAATGAATCAAAGGCATAAATGTTAAGAGCTAAAATTATAAAGCTCTTAGAAGAACACATAAGGGTAAATCTTCACAACTTTGATTAGGCGGTAGTTTCTTAAATATGACACCTAAAGCACAAGCAACCAAAGAAAAAAAAAAGATAATTTGTACTTTAAAGTTAAAAACGTTTGTATTTCAAAGACCACTATCAAAGTGAAAAGACAACCCAGAGAATGGGAGAAAAACATTTGAAAATAGTATATCTGATAAGTGTCTAGTATCTACAATATAAAAAGAACTCTTGCAATTTTGCAATAACAATACAGTTTTAACCCAATTTTAAAAATGAGCAAAGGAGGCTGAGTGTGGTGGCTCACGCCTATAATCTCAACACTTTGGGAGACTGAGGTGGGTGGCACCTCTTGAGGCCAGGAGTTTGAGACCAGCATGGCCAACATGGCGAAACCCTGTCTCTACTAAAAATACAAAAATTAGCTGGGCATGGTGGTGCATACCTGTAATCCCAGCTACTACTTGGGAGGCTGAAGCACAAGAATCGCTTGAACCCAGGAGGTAGAGGTTGCAGTGAGCCAGGATCACACCAGTGCACTCCAGCATGGACAACAGAATGATACTCTATCTAAAAAATAATAATAATAATACAAAACACAATTTGAAATAGGATTTGAGTAGACAGTTCTCCAAAACAGATAAACAAATGCACAATATGCATAAGAAAAAATGCTTAACATCATTACTCATTAGGAAAATATGAACCAAAATCACAATGAGATACCACTTCACATCTACTAGGATGGCTCTAATAAAAAAGATAATACCAAGTGTGCTGAGGATATGGAGAAATTGGAACCCTAATAGGTTACTGGTATGAATGTAAAATGGTAGAGGTGCTTTGAAAAACAGTTTGATTTTCTCAAAATATTAAACATGGTGGTACCAGATGTTCCAGCAGCTCCACTCCTAGGTATATGCCCAAGAGAACTGAAAACATGTCCACACAAAAATTTATACACAAATGTTCATAAGCAGCAGCATTCATAATAACCAAAAAGTAGAAACAACCCAAGTCTATCAACTGATATGTGGATCAACAAAATGTGCAATAGCCATCCAGTATAATATTATTCAGCCATAAAGCAGAATGAAATTCTGATACACGCTACAATGTGAACCTTGAAAACTTTATGCTAAGTGAGAGTAGCCAGACACAAAAGGCCACATATTGTATGATTCTATTTATATGAAATATCAGAATAGGTACAGTTATAAAGACAGAAAGTAGGCAGGCATGATGGCTCACGCCTATTATCCCAACAGTTCGGGAGACTGAGGCAGGAGGATTGCTTGAGGCTAGGAATTCAAGACAGCCTGGGCAACATAGCGAAACCCTATCTCTACAAAAAAAAAAAAAAATTAAAAATTAGCCAGGCGTGGTCCTAGCTACTCAGGAGGCTGAGGCAGAGAGATCACTTGAGACAAGCAGTTTGAGGCATCAGTGAGCTATGATTATGCCACTGCACTCCAGCCTGGGTGACGGAGCAGGACCCTGTCTCTTAAAAAAAAAAAAAAAAACAAAGTAGATTAGTGGTTGCCCAGGCCTAGGAGGACTAGCAGGAAGGGAGAATGGGGATTGTTTGCTAAAGGATATTGTGTTTCTTTTTGGGGTGATGAAAATGTTCTAAAATTGGTTAGGGTGTTGGTTGCACAACCTTGTAAATATATTAAAAACCACTGAGTTGTATGTAGTAAAGGGGTGAACTTTATGGTATATCAATTATATCTTCCAAAAAAAGCAATTTAGTATGCTTTTTGTCGTGAGTTGGGGTTGAGGAATGTGAAAAGATAATGCTGACTGAGTTGGAGGATTTGGGTGAGTTTGGTTGAAAAACTTTGACAGAGATAACATGGCAGTTGGGAAATATCCTAAGAACATACAAAGTGATTACTAAGAGCATAGAGGGCCCAGTTGTGATTGGATACCATACATTTATAGTAATACTCTTTATTTTGTCATTTTTTTCCTCCACCATCTAAAGCCAAAACTCAGAGTTGATCTACTTCTAGTGTATAGAAAGATGTAGTGCAAGGGAATTGAGTATTGGCAAAAGAACATTTGCAATGTAGCCATTGAATCTAAGCTGGACAGAGAAGGGAAAATCAAGGGCCAATGAATAGAGGTTTGTATGGTTCAAGGTGAGTTGTAATAGGAGAATTAAGAGAGCTGAAATGATAGGAGATGATGGTAAGAGATTTTTGGGTATGAGGTTGATATAACCAAGGAACCTGATGTTTTAAAGGAACCAAGGGTTTTGCATAAAGGCTGTAATATGGAAAATGAGGTTGAGATGGGCAGAATCCCACCTCTCAATTATGAGGTGTATGGTTGGAGAGGGAGTGGTGCAGAAGGAATATGCTGCATCTCTATGAAAAGACTTAGGGAAGTGGGGTTAGCATGTGTAAAGTAAGAAAAGGGCACTTGAAAAGAGCCAACCCCAGAAACCAGAAGTACAAATATGCTTCCAGCACTGTCCAACACATTTGGAATAACATAGTCACATTGGTGTGATCATCCCTATTATTGGGAAAGATTACTAGAGCAATCTTAGTTGAGGAACATTTCTTAAGTTCCACCTAATTTCCTTTGTTCTGGCCATATATTGACCATAGCAATGTTCTGATTATGATCTGGCCTACTAGATGACTACAGAGAGAAAATGTGTTCACTAGTCATTAAATATCTAGTACGCTTAATATAATTCTCATTACAATCTTTATAATCATCATTAAAATATTTTAAATTGGCACTCTTTTATATGTCAGGTTTTTTTCAGTGAGTGGTTAGTGTTAGAGGGAATTTTGGGATTTCCAAAGCTCAGGTCCAGACCCTGGTTCAAAGTGTTCTAAGTGGCAAAGTAATATCATTTTTGTGAGGCTTCCTGGTAGAAGCCTTCACTGGATAAGTCCCCTCTACTAGGTAACATCTGCATGATAGACCTGTTTGTATAAAGTGCAGTGAAGAGCCAAACTTGTATATTGCTTTGCCTTTGAACAAATTTCTCTTCTTTACTCATTTAGAGCAGCATTCATTACATTTCTTAAGTGCTTTGCATAAAATTTCAAAGTTCAGTGTGACCTCTGTACTGGGACATCATCAGGCACAGATGCTACATGTGAAGGGCTTTTGGCAATCAGTGGCTTGGTAGCCGTGATTCCTTTTGAATCACTCCCTCATGGACCATATGAAATGCATTCTCCCAGGATCCCAGACATATTCTTGGGAATCATTGTATTTTCCGACTTACTGGACTAGTTTAGAGGCCTTTGGGTTTCACTGCACTTTTCTTCATTTCCTTCTTTTGTTGATCTTGGCCCCTTAACCTTCCACCCACTTTATTACTCATTTCTTAGGGACCTGACTACTCAGTAACACTGAGAAAATATATCTGAAACCATATGGGTTTGAATACAACAAACTTAAGAGAGGGAAAATAAAAAAGGAAAAAATGTGTGTTCTCTGAACTTCCTTTGTTTATATGATCTGTTTATATGTTGTTAAGGTTATGTTATCCAGCTGCCTCCCCACGTTTCAGAAATGACTAAAGATATCTGGAAAACACTCTAACAGGGTCATGTTGGCATAGTGGATGAAAAGACACTTCATTTGTCCCTCACCAGATAATATATCTTCTTTTGAGGCATGGGAGCAATGCCAGGAGCTTTAAATGCTGAATCTCAAGGTTCTTGAAAGGCCATTGACTTCTAGGGATACTTTTAGAAAGAAGCCAGTCAATCCCAGGCGTAGTGGCTCACACCTGTAATCCTAACACTTTGGGAGGCCGAAGTGGGCGGATCACTTGAGGCTAGGAGTTCAAGACCAACCTGGCCAACATGGTGATACCCCGTCTGTACTAAAAATACAAAAATTAGCTGGTGTGGTGGCACGTACCTGTAATCCCAGCAACTTGGGAGGCTGAAGCACAAGAATCACCTGAACCTGGGAGGCGTGGGCAACAGAGCGAGACTGTCAAAAAAAAAAAAAAAAAAAAAGCCAGTCAAGTGAGTTCCCTAAGGTATATACCTGGCCATTTGAATGTTTGCTCACTATGGTTAGTCTGTATGGTATCTAACAGATATTACAGTTTTCTTTTGGTAAAATGAACATTGACATTGGTGTGAGGTGATGTTAGCAGCCCAGGCTTTAATCTCGCCTTTGTATTGTATAATGTGAATTAAAACTTAAGTACACTTGAGTCAGGGTTATTCAGTAAAACATGTGGAATGGAATTTTGTGGTATTTATTAGAGCTATTCCACTTGTAAACACCTTATCTTGAAGGAACTGAAAAGAGGTTGCAAGCATTCCTGCAGTAGAATAAAGTGCTTATGATGGTTGAGTGAGAAGTTCCTCTCTACCTTCCATGCTCTACCTACTGTAATGGGTAATATTTGTACAGAGATGTGTTTTTCCCATCAAGCTGTTTATGGAACTTGGCCTGCTAAATAATAAACTTAGAAGTGAGAATAAGTAAGAATAAGGAATAAAACATCAGTGTTATCTTTTGGAAATAAATCACTCCATTGAACATGGAGAATGTGGTCCTCGTGTCATCGGCATTTTCTTCATATTTCCACCTCAGTGGAGTGATCCTGGCTCTGCTTTGCCGCTGTGCTTTCCTTTTAATTGCTGTTTCACCAGGTCTCCTTAGCAGCAGCAGCGCCTGAAATAACTCCTGAGGAAGCTCCTAAGTGAATTCTCATAATTTGCTTCTCAATTCTCCCAATTGATTGAGGCACTCTTTCTTGAGTGCTTTGCAGTTCTGTGTAAGTGGCTGATGTTTGGGGTCACTGCTGAATGTTTTGTTTGAATATCCCTTTCATGATGAAGGGAAGACTGCTGCTTTTAACTACATGGGGTGATGCCCTTTGTGGTAAGCCTTGAAAGGCAAAAATCGTTTTTCATAGTGATATGCCAAATGAAATTATTCTCTTTGTCACTTTGTCCTTTTATCCTTTCAGTCTGATAACCTCAGTTCTTGTGATTTGTTTGTTTTCTTCAATTAAGCTTAGTTGTTTCCTGTACCCAGGTGCATGCTATTTCTGCTCTTGGTTATGATGGTGTGTGGAGCATATTTCTGACCTGGAAGTGTGGTTTCTTTGACTGAGAGCCACATCAGCATGCCTTCCATCCTCTACTTCCTTTGCATTATTTCCTTTTGGAGGGCTCAGTTTGCCATCATTTAATCTATAGATGATTCATCTGGGACTGAGAACTGGTAATGCTGTAATAACAATATCTTTCTTTATATAATACTCAATGCACTTACTACCTTAGATTTTCTCTGTTTATGGAGCACTTTCATTTTAATCTCTCACAATAACCCTTTGGGTTAAGTCAGCAATTTTGTCTTAGTCTAAGATGGTGAAATTGTAGCTCAAAGAGCTTAAATAGCTTGCTCAGAGTGGCAGTGCTTCTGAGTTACCCTGCTTAACAATTTCTACAGGAAATGAATACTTTTGAAGATACTCTGGATAAATAAAAAGGAATTTTCCAAACCACATCCCATTTGTTAAAACCTAACTTGTTTTCAGTCTGGTCAGTTGATAAGACCAAGGTTAAAAGGCCCATTTACCATACAGTTTAAATTGATGTGTCCAAGTCAAGAAAATAAATATTTAGGTCAGTTTTTATTCTGTTGCTTATATGATAAAGTTCAAGAAGGCTGGCTCTTAAATTAGTGGAACTTGAAATGGAAGTAATTAAGCCATTAATTTTTTTTTATTCTCTTTTCCTTTCAGAGAGATGGAAAACTTGATGACTAGCTCCACCCTACCGCCCCTTTTTGCAGATGAAGACGGTTCCAAGGAGAGTAATGATCTGGCTACCACTGGGTAAGCAGCTGCTTTAGGACACTGGACTTCTCCATAGGCCTCAAAACAAAGCTTCTAGCAAAGTAAGAGGTCCTAAAGAGGCAGTTTTATATCATAAGAATAGACGGTGCACTTGTTTCACTTTGCAAAGAGAGTGACAGCCATCATAAACCACTTTGTAATCTGCATTCAATTATCTTTTGCAGTGCTCTGGTTTTTGTGAACTGGTACAACAATATGTGGAATCTAGCAAACACTGGTGACTCCAGTTAAGAAAATTATATAGTCACCATTAAGGAAATACCTGCCACAGAGCTAGCTCTAAAAAACAAATGCATTTTTTCTGTTCAAATTACCACAGATATTAAAATAGTTTTTTCCCAAAGATCAGATTTTTTAATGTGGTTCTTTATTCAAGATGCTTAGTAACTTTAGCTGACTTCTGTTCCTTTCCCCATCCCACCCCCTTCTCCTTTCTGTGGGATCTTTTGACAAATATTTAAAGAGATATAGAAAAGGGTTAATAACAGTAGTCCACCTCTTCCCTTGAAAATCTCTGTTCCACTTGAATTTTTATCTTTTCTAGATGTTTAGAAGTTATTTGGCAAAGAGAAAGTGTGTTCACTAATAGACTGAAGTGCTAGCTAATCCCTAAGATGAATTATTTTAATATTCTTTAGAGCTGTTTAAAAAATAGGCTATACTTTGTAATTCTGTTTCCTTCCCTCACATTTATGTCTCACCTCGTTGATATCCGCCTTTGACCTCACTACTCAGATGAAAGTGTTCTCCAAGACTTTTCTAAAGGCTGCTTAGTTACTATATTCATTCAGTAAAAACTTTCTGAGTATCTGCTATGTGTCATTGTTCCAGGCATTAGATAGAAAGCATTGATCAAAATAGATAAAAATCATAGGCCTTTTAAAGTTCAAATTCTACTTGTTGAGTCAGACAATAAACAGGATAAATAAGCAAAACATATACTATGTTGATAAGAACTATAGTTTAAAAAAAGAAAAAAGTGGAGAAAAGGGATAGGAAGGGTTTGGGGATGCAGTTTTAGACAGGATGGGCCAGAAAGTGTTTAATGAGAAAGTGACTTCAATAAAGACCTGAAGGAAATAAGGCAACTGGCATGCAGTTTTCTGGGGAAGATTATCCTAGACAGAGGGAGCAGTAGGTGCAAAAGCCCTGAGGCAGGAGAGTTTCCATCTTATCGAAATAGCCAGGAGGACAGTGTGACTAGAGCAGCACATAGCAGCAGGAGAGGCAGTAGAGGACTACATCAGTCCTTCTCAAACATATGAATTGCCAAGAGAGCTGATGAAAATGCAGATTCTGATTTAGAAAATCTTAGGACCAGAGATTCTACATTTCTAACAAGCTCCCAGAGAATGCCAGTTCTGCTGGTATGAGGCCCATACTTTGGGTAAGAAGAGACTAGATCATAGGGATCAAAATATTTAGAGATCAAAATAAACCCTTTAACTTTTACTCTGAAGTGGGATAACATTGGAGGGTTTCACACAGAATTATATGATCTGACTTACGGTTTTATAAGATCCCTCTGACTGTTGTATTGAGAATAGAGTGAAGGGAGCAGGGGCTGGAACAAGGAGACCAGTTAGGGAGGCTCTTAAAATAATTCAGGAGACAGATGATAGCCTGAAGAACCATCATCTGGTGACTTTCACAAGAGTGTTTTTGGTGGAATAGTGGGGGTAAAAACCTCATTGGAGTGTGTTTCAAAGATAATGGGAATGAGGGGTAGTGAGAAGTATAGAATTCTAGATATATTTGAAGGTATACCAAACAGAATTTGCCTGAAAGAAAGGATGAGCACAATGTAAGAAGGGAGAAAAAAAGCAGTCAAAGGCAACTCAAAAGTTTTGGCCAAAGCAACTGGAGGGATGGAGTTGCCATTAGCTTAGATGGGGAAAACTGAACAAGTGTGGGAGGGAATTGTAGGAGCTCAGTTTTGGAAATTTTACATTAAAGATGCTTATTAGATATCTAAGTGGAGATGTCAAATAGGCACTTTGATATCAGGTTCTGCTATTAGGGGAAGTTTAGGCGAGACAGAGAAAGTTGGGACTTATCAGCATATAACATTCAAAGCCGTGAGACTGAATGAGATCACCAAAGAAATGAGCACTCTGTAGATGGAAGAAAGAAGAGCTCTAAAGCCTGACCTCTGGGATACTCCATCATTTAAAAGTCAGACAGAGGCCGGGTGCAGTGGCTCACAACCTGTAATCCCAGCACTTTGGTAGACTGAGGTGGGTGGATCACTTGAGGTCAGGAGTTCAAGACCAGCCTGGCCAACATGGTGAAACCCTGTCTCTACTAAAAATACAAAAATCAGTCAGGTGTGGTGGCACGTGCCTGTAATCTCAACTACTCGGGAGGTTGAGGCAGGAAAATTGCTTGAACCCAGGTGGCGGAAGTTGCAGTGAGCTGTGATCGTGCCACTGCACTCCAGCCTGGGTGACAGAGCAAGCTCCATCTCAAAAAAAGAAAAAGAAAAAAAAGTCAGAAAGAATAGGAAGAATCAACAGAGTCTAAAGTGAGTTGCTAGAAAGGTCGCAGAAAAGCCAGAAGAGTGAAGGGTCCTAGAACCCAAGTGAAAAAAAAAAAGTATTTCAAGGGAGGGGAAAAGATCAACTGTGTCAGATGCTTCTGGTACATCAGGTAAGATGGGGGCTGAGAAATGACACTGGATTTAGCATGGGTGTCATTGGTGGCTTTGACAAGAGTTATAAGCACATATCTCCTTTGAAGTGGACTTAAGGGAGGAGAAGTCAATAAGTATAAACAAGTTATTTCCAGGGGTTGTGCTATAAAGGAAAGGAGAAAAATTGGGACCTTAACTGGAAGTGGGATGGAGTTTTTTTCTTTTCATTTTGTTTTGTGTTAAGAGAATTAATATCATACGTATATGCTGATTGGACTGATCCTGTAGAGAGAAAAGAATTGGTATTGCCAGAAAGGACAGAATTGCTGAAAATCTGCCCCTGAGTAGGCAAGAGGGTGTGAGATCAAGGGTGCAAATAGAAGGGTTGTGGGCTTTAGCTAGGAACATGGATAATTTATTCATGGTAACAAAAGATCCCCCTTTTTTCCAGTCTTCATCCAACTTGTCATCAAGAAGGCATGTGATGCCTTTGGCCATTCCTGTCCACTTAAGTCAGGGATTCATGGGATTGTGAATTCCCATGTGAATTCCCAAGTGATTCCTGTCCACTGAAGTCAGGGATTCATAGGATTGCTACTCTTTCCCAAACCTAGTTCTCATATTTTACCAAAATAAGAATTTACAAGAATTAGTAACTTAAAAATTGATGGCACAGTTGAAATGAAAATGACAGTGAAAGAACAAGTTGCCTAACACATCTAAAATGATTGAAATATTTGGAAAACAGCACTGCAGAGATCAAACTGGATCTCGATGGTACCTCTTTTCAGAGAAAATGATTGGCATTGATTTCATAGCTTCTTTTACTTACTCTTTTTTAAAGGACCTCAAAAATGTAGGAACCTCCTGCTAAAATCATCTATTATGTTTCCTAGAAAGGGTCAGAAAAGTTTAATTTCTTTCAGTCCCAGGACAGTCTGCTTCCTGTTTTCATCCATTTCTCGGTCCACTGTAATCTGGAATTTATTCTCATAATTCCACTAAAACTATACTTAACTAAAATTGCCAGTGACCTTCAGGTCTTCAAATTTAGCAGACACTTTTTGGCCTATCTTATTTAACATCTGCAACTTTTTACTTGATTAGCCACTACCCTTCTCAAAAGTCTTCCTGCCTTGGCCTCTGCAATCGTCTTCTCTCCAGTTATCTTAATGCCCTTCTCAGTCTCCTTTCCTAGTTTTTCTACCTTGCTCATACAATGATATTGCTTCAGCTGAGTTCTATCCTGACTTTTCCTTCTTCTCACTGTCTTTCTGGAGAATATCTAGCACTGCCCATTATTTCCATGGGCTAATGCTTCTCGAGTCTATCTTTATGCCCTTTTGTTCCACTTCTGTTCTCCTGGGGCATGTTTCCAGTTGTCTGTGGTACATTTCTACTTAATTATGCTACAGGTGTTTCAAATTTATCATTTTCTTGTGTGTCTGTCCACACACACACACACACACACACCCTGTTTTTACTTTGATTAATATTAAGTACATAATCATCAATTGGAAACCTCAGAATTATCTTTGACTCTTCCTTTCTTTCACTATTAAAGTCAATCAGTCATTAAGTTCTCTCCATTCTACCTCTTTTTTCTTTTTCTTTTTCTTTTTCTTTTTTTTTTTTTTTTTTGAGACTGAGTCTTACTCTGTCACCCAGGTTGGAGTGCAGTGGCATGATCTTAGTTCACTGCAACCTCCCCTTCCCAGGTTCAAGCGGTTCTCCTGCCTCAGCCTTCTGAGTAGCTAGGATTACAGGCACTGCCATCATGGCCAGCTAATTTTTTTATTTTTAGTAGAGACGGGGTTTCACCATGTTGGCCAGGCTGGCTTTGAACTCCTGACCTCAAGTGATCCACCTGCCTTGGCCTCCCAAAGTGCTGGGATTACAGGCGTGAGGCACCACACCTAGCCATTCTGCCTCTTAAGTATCTCTTAACTGTCCTTCTGCTCAGAATCCTGCCTGCCTTTGTGTCTCACTTAATCTATTACAGTAACCTCTTGATAGTCTCCCTTTCTCCTTTTATACCAAGTTCTTTCTATCTGGAATCGTGTTGTTTACCTTGATGAATACGTACTCATCTTTTAGGACCTCCTCTATAAATTCTTTCTTAACATCCCTCCATACATATAAAATTCATCATACCCTCTACCATACCTCTATGGTACTTTTAACAAGCCATTATTTTAGTACTTACGTTGCATTGTAATTATTCCCTATAATACTATGGGTTGTGCATTCTTTCAGAATAATGACTGAATATTACTCTATTATCCATCTTTCTACCGCTCTTGACTTCCCAACTCCTCCCTCGATCAAAAACAAAAACAAAAATACTCACTAGCACATGGTGTTACCTTTCCTTCTATTCCTTCGTCCACATGTAATAAGATAAGTCCATCTAAGACCCTACCATTATCTGTACCTTCTTGTGTTCACTCTTCAGAAGGGTGAAATCTGGTTTGCTAACTCATCTGGAATAGTATAGTGGGAGCAGGAAGTAAGTACATCTGTCTGATTTATTAACATGTATACCTGAACTTACTTAACTTGATAGTATTGTTCTTAGATGATCTGATTGTCACTAAACGCTATAATCCAAGAAGAAATAGCCAATGAAATGTACCGTTAAGAGATTTTTCTTACACCCTTTAAGACCTCTTTTGTGATAGTTGGCAAACTGCCTCTACAACTCCCATTGCTATTCACTTTTTTCATTAATAGTGTTTTCCCTTTACATTGGAGATACATGAAAGGTAGCATGTAAAAGTCAGATTCTACTGCATATTCAGAGCTAAAACATGAAGTCTGTGTTGAGAGGAGATCATCTTTTTGGAAGAAGATTATAGTTGTTTTTGGTAGGAGATGTCTTCATGGAACTGACCTGGTTTAATCAAGCACTGAAACCAGTTTTTTTAAAACGCCCTGTAACGTCTGTGAATACGTTGTTTACATTTATACAGATTATTGGGGGAATTAATTCAAGGACTGGCATGTGCTTTTGCTGGCAGGGAAATTTATCTAGAACCTTAGTAAATAGGTGGAGTTTTTGTGTTGTTGATACTTCTGCCTATTATTCAGGTTAAATCACCCAGAGGTTCCATACAGTAGTGGCGCCACATCATCCACCAACAATCCAGAATTTGTGGAGGATCTCTCTCAAGGTCAGTTGCTTCAGAGTGAGTCTTCAAATGCAGCAGAAGGCAATGAACAGAGGCATGAAGATGAGGTAAGCTGAAGTATCTCCTTCTGTTCCTATCCTCTGAAACTTCTGAAGAAGCAGTCACAAGGAAGGTGTGTTGATCAAGGTGTTCATATGACCTTCTTATATTCTTAGGCTGATACCTGCAAAATTTTGTTTTCTATTTCTTGTTTTATACGGAACCATATTAATAATTTTAATGACATAGACAGGTAGACTCTTTTTTCCCTGTTCCCTAAGAAATGTATACTTACCTCATATTAGATGTTGAACAAATACTTGTTGAATGAGTGAATGATTTAATCATTAATAAGTAACTAATGAGAAGTGTACATGCCCTTGCTCAAGGCTCTGCTCAGCAAGCCCTGCTGCATGGAGCCCTATGTGCCCAAAGGATTCATACTACTTACCAAATCTTTCACCCTCCCATAGGGGGTAACTTTCCTTAACTCACACAAAGGCGTATGAGCCTGGGCAGTCATGCCCTTGTTGGACTTTCAGTGTTTCTTACAAATAACTGATTACATTGTCAGTGTTTTAAGGCACTCTTTTTTTTTTTTAAGCCAATAAAGAGTGCCACCATTGATTTTTGTCTTTTTTCTTATTTTAAAAAAGCTGGCCGGGCATGGTAGCTCATGCCTGTAATCCTAGCACTTTGGGATGCCAAGGCAGGTGGATTACCTGAGGTCAGGAGTTCAAGACTAGCCTGGCCAACATGGTGAAACCCCGTCTCTACTAAAAAATACAAAAAATTAGCCAGGTGCAGTGGTGTGTGCCTGTAATTCCAGCTGCTCAGGAGGCTGAAGCAGGAGAATCTCTTGAACCCGGAGGCAGAGGTTGCAGTGAGCCAAGATAGCGCCACTGAACTCCAGCCTGGGCTACAGAGCGAGACTTCGTCTCAAAAAAAAAAAAAAAAAAAAAAAAAGAAAGAAAAAAACAACTAATTTTTTTTTATCTATCCTATTGGCATTTTTAAAGATTATAATGAATGCTTAAAGTTTCTTAAATACCTTGAAATTAAATTGTTCTGTTGTTTTTTGTTTTTTTTTTTTTGAGGTGGAGTCTTATTCTGTTGCTCAGGCTGGAGTGCGGTGGCACAATTTCAGCTCACTGCAACCTCTGCCTCCCAGGTTCAAGCTATTCTCCTGCCCCAGCTTCCCAAGTATCTGGGATTACAGGCACATGCCATCATGCCCAGGCAATTTTGTATTTTCAGTGGAGATGGAGTTTCTCCGTGTTGACCAGGCTGGTCTCGAAATTCTGACCTCAAGTGATCCGCCTGCCTTGGCCCTCCAAAGTGCTGGGATTACAGGTGTGAACCACCGTGCCAGCCCACAGTAGCTTTAATGTAACTAGGTTTAAAAAAAGAAAAACCTAATACCAAATACATAATTTGCCCAGTGGTGAATTATACCATTTTATATATATTTGGAGGAGTAGAGTACTACAATTAGTATTTAGATATTTTTGTCCTTGTTTATTTATATTTCTCTTGTCTGAAATAAGAATTCTTGTATCCATGAAATATTAACTGATACGGCTGTATTTGTAAAATTATGAAGTAAAAATATTATGTACCTTACATCTTATTTAAAGGGCCAAGAAGAAAGGCTGTGGTGAAACATCAGTGGTACCTCAGTCCTTTTCATTTCTTTAGTTTTTTTCAGAGGTGATTCAATCTTTTGATTTACCTGGTAACTCAACATATAAAGACCTCTGACTATAAAATGTACATCTAGGCCGGGTGCAGTGGATCACGCCTATAATCCCAGCACTTTGGGAGGCTGAGGCTGGTGGATCACCTGAGGTCAGGAGTTCGAGACCAGCCTGATCAACATGGCAAAACCCCATCTCTACTGAAAATACAAAAATTAGCTGGGTGTGGTGGCACATGCCTGTAATCCCAGCTACTTGGAAGACTAAGGCAGGAGAATCACTTGAACCTGGGAGGCGGAGGTTGCGGTGAGCCGAGATAGCGCCATTGCACTACAGCCTGGGCAAGAAGAGCAAAACTCTACCTCAAAAAAAAAATTAAAATAAAATGTACATCTAAAGGAACAAATTGTCAAGCCAAAGAGCTCGTCTTCATTTCAGATATATTATACTTACTAAAATTTTTCTGAGACTTAGATATTAATTTAGTATCTATCTGCTATGCTATGCTATCTGCTATCTGCTATGGGAAATAAGCTAGTCTTTGAAAGTTATCAATGAGCAACTCCCATTGTGAGTTATTTTTAATTTCTGCTACAACTTGTTTCTTCTTTTGCCTGGTGCACGTGACACCATCTTACTCTAATCTGACAATGTCTGCCTCCCTGCCACAATGCTGCATGTGCTGCTGTATTTCCCATTTGGATACTCTCCTGTCAGGAATCAGGACCTGACAGTTGTCTGTGGGACAGTCATATGCATATGAAGGTCAAAGCTGAGTGATCATGGCACCTCTTATTCTCATACATTGAGATTAGCACAAAAATAGCCCTTTAGTGTAACATTTTGTAGTGTGATACATAAAAGAGGTTGCAAGTGAAGCATCTGGAGTTCCTCAAAAATTGCATTGCTGTCATTTGTATATTACCTACAACAGATGTGGAGAGCTTTGAATATCCAGGGCCAAATTGCAACTCTTAATCCTGTTTTGTTTGTTGTTGTTTGTTTTTGTTGTTGTTGGGTTATTTTGGGAGATGGTTGTTGTTTGGTTTTTGGTTTTTTATTTTGTTTTGTTTTGTAGCAACGAAGTAAACGAGGAGGTTGGTCCAAAGGAAGAAAGAGGAAGAAACCTCTTCGAGACAGCAATGCACCCAAATCCCCCCTTACAGGATATGTTCGGTTCATGAATGAGCGTCGAGAACAACTTCGAGCAAAGAGACCAGAAGTCCCATTTCCAGAAATCACAAGGATGTTAGGCAATGAATGGAGTAAACTGCCTCCTGAGGAAAAACAGGTAATTGTTCCTATTCCTGACTCTTTGTTTGGTTTTGATTATATCTCAGAAATAACTTATATAAGAAAAGCAAAGAGGATGGACAGTTGATTCTGCAGTTTTGTCACAGTGCCTAGGAGACCAGAATAGCAGGGTCCATCATAGCAATTTTCTCTAGCCTAGTGATTTTTAAACTATTTGCTAGAGGGGTGTGAGCAGGGAAGGAGTCTAGGACTCCCCTCAACCAAAGCAACACCACTTTTTATACGCTGAGTTCACATAAGATTGTTTTAAGTGGTTCAGTATTAAGAAATCTGTCAATAAAATGTATTCCACTGAGTTAAATGAAAAGTCGTGAATTAAATGAGAAAAAGTCACTTGACACAATTCTGCAGTTCACATAAGATTTTTAAGAAAAAATGTTACTGCTTTAATACTTTTTTTAACTAGAGTTCTGGCAAATTAACCTACTATTGAAAATAAAGCAAGAACAACTTGAATTCTTTCTCCTCTAAGACAGAAACTAACCTGATGGGCAAACTGAAATGAATCCGTTCATTAGAGAGATTTGAAAGGAATTAAGGACAAGATAGCCATGAGCTGGTTGAAGTACCACTAAAGCTGAGCAGTGGTCATGGTTGTGGGAGCTGCTTTGGGTTAAAAGTTCCCAGCATTCCCAGCATCTGAAAGATATCTGTATTTCTTTTACGTCTTAAACTCTTTTATGACTTACACTTTTTAAAAAGGATTCCAGACACACTAAAACCAAATGGAGAAATACTCTCCTGGGAATTAATTGAATTCAGAAATTTTCAAAGAGATCAGATTCAGTTGCAACTTTTGAAGCTCTGTGTTTGTGGTAGCAAGCTAGTAGAAAGCAGTGAATATCATCCATTGTTTTGGCGCTACTGTATAAAAGGATAGTGGGCTGTACATACTATGCTATTCTTTTCTTTTTTTTCTTTATTTTAAAATTAATATGTGCTCATTATTCTCTTTTCAGAGAATACAGAAATGTATAAACAAAAATGTAAAAATAACAGTGCTTATTTCTTGGGATAACCACTATTACGTAGGACAAAGGTTTTGTGTTTGTTTTTGTTTTTTTAACTTTTTTTGGAAATAATTTCAAATACACAAAAAGTTACAAACATAAAAATAATACAAAGAACATCCCAACACTCTTTACCCAGATTCACCTATTGTTAACACATTTTATTCCATTTCTCCATTTGCATATGCACTTATATGCTCAGTCTTTCTTATACTTTTGCATGCTCAGTCTTTCTCTCTCTCTCTCTCTCTCTCTGTCACACACACACACACACACACACACACACTTGCATGTGTACACCCAGACACACACAAAATTTTGTTTTAATCATGTGAGGATAAATTATATACATTGTAGCCCTTTACCCCCAGGATATTTCAGTGTGTATGTCAAAGAATATTTTCTTATATAACCATAGTGTAGTCATCAATTTCATAATTTTTCATTAACAGTGCTTTAATCTGTCATCTATATGTTGACTGAATGTCATTTCTTTATAACATTTTTCCCTTCCAAAACAGGTTCCAGTCTAGGGTCAGGTTTTGTGTTTAGTAGTCAAGTTTCTTTAGCTTAAACTGGGATATTTCCATAATCTTTCTTTTTCTTTTATAACATTGATATTTTTTTAAAATACAGTTCCCTTCTGCTTCCCCCGCTGCTTTTACCTTTAACAGAACATTGCTCATTGTGTATTTTTCAGATGTTTCCTTGTGATTAGATTGAGGTTGCGCATTCTTGGTGGGATTACTTGCATAGGTGGTGGTGTGTTCTCAATATGTCACATATGCAGGCACACAATGTCCTTTTGTTTCTCACTAGTAATGTTAATTTTGCTTACCTGGTACATTATTTAAATTCTCCTTTGTCATTAATAAGTAATCTATGGGGAGACGATTTAAGAACATACAAACAGCCTGTTTTACATCAACATTTTCCCCTAGATTTAGCATCCATTGATTATTTTTGCCTGATTTAATCTTTATCATTATGGTTACAACGTGATGATTTTTCCAACTCCAGCACTCCCTTTACATTTACCAGGTAGCCTTCAGCATTCTAATCTAAGCAAGATCTTGGCTTACTGCAACCTTGACCTCCTGGTCTCAAGCACCCCTCCCACCTTAGCCTCCTAAGTAGCACACACCACCAAAACTGGCTAATTATTTTATGTTTTGTAGAGATGGGATCTCACTTTGTTGCCTAGGCTGGACTCAAACATCTGGGCTCAAGCAGTCCTCCTCTTGCCTTGGCCTCCCAACATCCTGTGATTACAGATATGAGCCACCATGCCCGACCCCCTACCCCCATTTATTTATTTGTTTGTTTGTTTGTTTGTTTGTTTTTTGAGATGGAATCTTGCTCTGTCGCCCAAACTGGAGTGCGGTGGCACACTCTCGGCTCATTGCAACCTCCACCTCCCAGGTTCAAGCGATTCTCTAGCCTCAGCTTCCCAAGTAGCTGGGACTACAGGCGTGCACCATCACACCCAGCTAATTTTTGTATTTTTAGTAGAGATGGGGTTTCAGCATGTTGACCAGTGTGGTCTTGAACTCCTGACCTCAAGTGATCCACCCACCTCGGTCTCCCAAAATGTTGGGATTACGTGCGTGAGCCACCACGCTCAGCCTCTACACCCATTTATTGTATTTGTATGGTAACAAATCATTGGTATTGTGTCTGTTATAAATCATACTAATAATAGTATGAAGTTTTTTCTACTAGTTTATAATTTATTACTGTACTTAATTATTTTGGTGCTTAAATTGTACCAGATTTGGCCAGTTGAGTATCCCCTACATCTGGCTCTTACGCGGGACAAAGTGTTTAACATAATTTCTGAGTGTGTTTTCTGTTCATTTAGAAGCAGTATTTTTATACTTTCTTATACTTCATTTTGATGAATGAAAAGGGCAAAGCATTAAACAAAATAATCCTGGTAGATCAATGAACTTTGTTTAAATAATTAATAGCACAAAGCAATCAAAGCATGTAGATATAGGTTCTCTCAGAGTAGTCCATTTTTAGGTCCATAGGATGAGGTCATTATTTTTATGTTCTTTGTGTCTCCCAGCTTCATTGCTCCAACCTCCTGGCTCTTAAAGGGCCAATTGATGTATGACATCATCCCCTCAAAATGGGCTGGAGACAGCAAAACAAAGTAATATTCTGTTCCTTCCCTTGGGAAGACTAAGTGTGCCTATGTGGTGTGCACATCTCATGAGGATGACTCTAGTGGCCATATAGAGTTCTATCTATAGAGTTAGAAGAATAACTCTAATCATCTTCATGAATTTTTTATAAGAATGATCTCAATAGAACTTGTCTTCATTAGGTTAGAAAAGGCAATAAATATTCTAAAAACTCATAATGACCTATTTACTTTTATAATTGAGAGGTTATATTTTATTCTATTCATACAACTCTTGTTTTTCTGATTCTTTTTTAAGGCATATTCCCTATATTCTTTTCTTCCCATGTTCTAATTGTCCTGTTTTCTTCAAATAGGTAATTTAATTTTATTTAAATAGGATCTCATTTTCTTGAAAATAATTCTGTATTTCTTTCCTAGCGCTACCTTGATGAAGCAGACAGAGATAAGGAGCGTTACATGAAGGAACTGGAACAGTATCAGAAAACAGAGGCCTACAAGGTCTTCAGTAGGAAAACCCAGGACCGTCAGAAAGGCAAATCTCATAGGCAAGGTATCAAAACCAGAACCAAATGTATTTGTAGTTTGTTGTGGGTGATGGAGTGTCATAAAGCCAACTGTTAAGAGTGGTAACTATAAAAGATGTGTTTCTGTTTTTTCTCCACTATCCAGTATTCACTTACAAGCATTATCTTGAAATTTTATTAAAATCACATTGCTCTCATTTAGAAATTTCAACTGGGTTTCCGTGTCTATTATCAATGATTTTGACTTGTCCTCCGAGACCCCTGTTAGTTGCCTGCCCTTCTTTTCCTGATTCCCAGTTTAGGCATTTCTCTGCCTGTAAGCAAGCCTATCTACAAAATTATATCAGTAACTTCCCTTTAACACTTCTAAGCCTTTCATGTGTCATTTTTGAAGCACCATCCACAACTAGCCTATTTTTCCTTAGCCATTGCATCTTCTCTATACTTGGGCATCTAGCCTGCTAAAATTATAGATGTTGTATAAGTAGTCTTTGGTTTGTGTCTTCTGTCCACTCTTCCACCCTTTTCTCCCTAAAGTTAAGAACTGTGTCTGCTGTTTCTCTTATGCCTAATTATGAATTCTGTAGGCATGGGGTTCCCTTACTTTTGTTGGCTGACCGATTAATAAAGCCTTAAGGAAAAATATCATATGTTATGAGAATCTACATATACAAGCAGGTTTTATAGTTTGGCAGAGTCGTATACTTGGGTTTTGTTATTGCTTTCTTTTTAAATGTAATGTTCTCTTATTCTTTTATATTTTTAGATGCAGCCCGGCAGGCCACTCATGATCATGAGGTAATTAGCCATCTGTCTACATATCATATATATGTATTTATAATAATGTTGCTTTTTGAAATGCTATTGGATTTTTTTTTTTTTAATGAATGGCAAAGTATTTCCTATCTCGTAATTCAGATTAAATGAGATACTTTAGCTTGGGGGTTCTTAGCATATGGCAGACACTTACGTTGTGTGTCTGTCATTGAACTACAGCCCCTAACCTCAATCCTTTCCTGTGATCTGAGAATTTTATTGGCTTTAAATGCCAAAGATGGCTGGAATTTGGAATGAAGTATAGAAATGAGGGCTAGCTGAAAGCTATAACATGACCATAGTTTATCATCACCAAATACTTAAATCTGACTCTCAGAAAAGTTGTTATTTAAAGAATCCAGCATTTGCTTAAAGCGAACTGTTCAACTACAATGTCGATAGAGCACAAGCGACAGTATCTCAGGTTTGTTTTTTGTTTTGTTTTGTTTTTTGTTTTTTTGAGATAGAGTCTCACTCTGTCGCCCAGGCTGGAGTGCAGTGGCACAATCTCAGCCCACTGCAACCTCCGCCTCCCGGGTTCAAGCAATTCTCCTGCCTCAGCCTCCCGAGTAGCTGGGACTACAGGCTCGTGCCATCATACCCGGCTAATTTTCTGTATTTTTAGTAGAGACAGGGTTTCATCATATGAGCCAGGATGGTCTCGATCTCCTGACCTCATGATCCACCCGCCTTGGCCTCCCAAAATGCTGGGATTACAGGCGTGAGCCACCACGCCCGGCCCAGTATCTCAGTTCTCACACCTCCTTTCCTATTCCCTCACTTCACTAGCACATGTTTGTGTACTGGCTTCTTTCCTCCCACTTGGTTCAGCCCCATTGTTAGGATTTAGGCCTGTGTTTCTGTGTGTGTATGGGATTTAGGTGTGTGTGTTGTTTCAAATTCTGTTTTCTCCTTCAAACTTTTCTTGTTTCCTCTAACTTCCTTTAACCCTCATGGCTCTCTATACTTGTGTTATGTGCTTAGCTGATCTGACCTAGGGGTTTTGAGGTAATTCAAGGGCTCACACTCTTTGGTTGTAATGTCTTTGTGGACATACACAGTCTAGTTTCCATCTTTATATCCAACCCCATACCACCTATCATGATACCTTTGCCTTGAGAAGGTATTCCACAAATGATTATTTTATGGAATCTATTCAAAGTTGACCTGAAATAACTGAGAATTTGAACAAAAAGAATTTTCTGATGTACTCTTTTACATGTGTTTGGTTTTTTACTAAATCAAGGAAATGTTGGTTACCTTAAAACATAGAGAAAAGATTCAGATTCACAGGTCAAATAGACGTTATTACCATCTATGAATTATAAAGTGAGAAGCATAGTAAATATTTACATTTTATTCTTCAGATAAATCCTATATAAATGTAATTATATATGACATTCTATGCTCTAATTAGGATGAAATGTTATGTTGTTTTGCTGGAGAAACTTTGTATGTATTCTTTGTATTTTAAATCATAATAATATTGTAAACTTTTCATATTAGCAGACATTTGTATAATTACTTCTCTCTTTCTTTGCCTGTGTGCCCAGCTATCAATATCATGAAATTCCTGTGCTTCTTTTTTTCTCTATTTTATAGCTTCTCTATCCTTAACAGTTACCAAAGAGAATTTGGACAGTAACCTGAAACATTAGATCTCACATTTTCTAGTCAGTCATCTGAATAGGTGTCAGTCATCTGACTCATTTCATCACTATGAATTTTGCTGGCCAAACTATATGTAGCATTTTTGTCTTCAGTAAACTTGATAGTTGCAGTCAGAAAAGATGTAGATTTAGTCTGTATCATAGAACCTGCTGCTGATTATTTGAGAAGTGAAGGTGTTTATTCAGATACATTAGTGTGATATGAATTTCTGTAATTTCTGTGATTTGCAAAAAGAAGTGAGTCTCTGTATTTCCCTGTTACAGGATTAGACACATGTTAAACCAAACAAAAAAAAGGAGTGAGTAGATGGAGAGCCAGCAGTTGTTTCTTAAAAGGTTATACAGTAGGTTCTGTAAATCCATGTGTTGGTATGGCCACAGCAGGATAAAGCTCCTTTAGTAAGCGTGTTGACCCAATTAATGTCCCTTACTTCATCCATTTTTATTTTTCACTGAATAATATGTTTCCTAAATTAGATAATTTTAGAACAATTGCAGTATAAAAGAACTGATTTGAAAGTTTTAAAACTGTTTTTAAACACTGTTACCCAGTAATTTTCTTACATATAACTTCTTAGTATAATAGAAGTTCAGAAAAATAGCACTATGGGTGAAAAGCAGCCGCAGAAGGAGCCCATGGAAAGGAGTAATTGAATCAGGACTTAAAAATGACCTAGGTTTTGTGGGCATCTCAGGGTGGGTAAAATGGCTTGAGCAGAGGTATGAGTAAGTTTTTAATAAAAGAGCAAATATCTTGCAGTGTCTAAAGACCATAGATCCTAAATACATACTTATTTCCCTTTACTTATCCTATGAGGAGTAAAACACTGAGACTCAGTGATCCTCTCAACTGACCACCTCATTTTGCCAGTGAGGAAAGTGACTTGCCTAAGACAGTATATAGAATGGAAAGAATTTACCCAGAATCACTTACTGAATTAAATTAGAGGCAGAATTGTGACAGAAACCCAGGCCTTCTGTGTCATAGTCTAACATTCTTGACAGCACAGTGCCATGCTACATAGCATAAATTACAGCGTTGAAAGTAAAAATGGGCCTCGTTGCCCAAGGTGTCAGCAAAATGTGTTGCCAGTTAAGTAAACTATTTGGTTTGTGTATAGTAAAGAAACCTATTGTATTCCTAAATGAAACTTGGATCCCTAAGTCATTGTTACCAAGGCAGGTACTGGAGAGGGCATATTAGAGCTAAAGAAATGCTGACCTGAAAGCCATTCTGCATAGCAGTGGGGCACTTCAGGCTGGTACACAATGTTAAGAGCATTTCCCAAAGTAAAAGTCTCTTGAGAGAAGCACATATCACACTCTTTGAAATTCTGGCCCTGAGCCTAGATCACAGCAAAATAGGTTCAGTTCAAAAGGGCCTCTTTTCTCTTAACCTCCACTCAATATATAGAATGGAAACCAAAGTGAAGAATATTCTTGCTCCTCTCAAATCGAAAGCCAGCCCACTAGACCCAAGAGTTAGCGAGTATTACTCTCAAGAAAGTGTCTATATCTCATGTGAAAACTAAGATAGAAACAATAATTTTGTTTCTCCTTTAATTTATGAGAAATGACAGAATGACACTCAGCTTGAACAAATTAGACCCTTTCAGTGAAAGGGTAATCAGATCCTTATGATTTTAATCCTTTGAGCTATCCTTGGAGCAGCTTAAGTACACCCAAGCCCCCAGAAGGATCCTCTCCATGCCGTGAAATGTGCTCAGTAATGGAAGAGCGCTGATGGTTTTTATTACCACTCTTCCATTAAGTAGAATTTCTCTGTTACCTTTCAGAGACTGAACAGTTTCATTGAATTGCTTTAATGTTTCTTATTTTGTGCTCTGAGAATCTGTACCAAGGGGCAGTGTGTTAATGCACCTATGTGGTGCTGTCCTCTGCCCTTACATAATTAGCTTGATTTGGACTGCTCTGGCAAAGAAGAGAAAAGATTACCAGTCTGAGGAGAGTCAAGACTTTGGAGGAGAGGGATCTTTGTACCATGGTAATGGGAGCCAAGCGTCTCCACTTTACCCATCTAACTGGCAGATATTGAGACGTATAGCTTAGGTAACTGATCTCATGTAACTGCAGTTAAGTTGGAGATTGAATAAGATAGGATGATAATGTCCTAAGTCTTTATGCTGTCATCTGTGGACTTATGTTTATATCTGTTATGCCTTGTGCATGTTGGGATTGTGTGTCATTAAGTTTTGTTTTCCTGCAGCAGCCCAGTAACAGTTAAAGCATATGGGAAGCCAGCAAATTTGAGAGAAAGCCACTGCGAAATATGGCTAAGATTCCTTCTGGAACCAGCCTTTCTTGTTCATACATTAGTTTCCATTGAAATCCCCTAGGAACTGGCTCGAGGTAGAGCTTTGCATGTTGAAACTTGGGACTTTCGATTGATAATTTTGTTGTTCATTTTCAAATTATTCTGGGAAACTTTGCTTTCTTTTGTTAGGAAGAAAAATACAAGTAGAAATTAAGTGCTCTGAAATTACATAGCTTTTCAGTGTCTTTCTTGCTCAGCTGCCATTGGCAGGTGGTTCACACAGCCCAGCCCCCTTACTAGGCGGCCACCGTTATGAATACAGGAGCTCGGGTGTCAGATTTCCCTCTTAAGCTGTGAACTGCTTAGCTTTTCTACTGGGCACCAAGTCATTTTTGTGTTCAAAGATTTAAAAAACTAGTGGAGGCTGGGCACGGTGGCTCAAGCCTGTAATCCCAGCACTTTGGGAGGCCAAGGCAGGTGGATCACCTGAGGTCAGGAGTTCAAGACCAGCCTGGCCAACATGGCGAAACCCCGTCTCTACTAAAAAAATACAGAAAATTAGCCAGGCATGGTGGTGGGCACCTGTAATCCCAGTGACTTGGGAGGCTGAGGCAGGAGAATTGCTTGAACCTGGGAGACAGAGGTTGCAGTGAGCTGAGATCGTGCCACTGTACTCCACCCTGGGCAACAGAGAGGGACTCCCTCTCAGAAAAAAAAAAAAAAAAAAAAAAAAAAGCTAGTGGTGACAAGAGTAGGAAAGATACATTCTGTCTAGCTTTAAACAATTGTTTATAGGAATGAAATCTAGGTATTATGTTTGCATGTTTTTCATGTTATAAAGGTCCTGGGATCTTAAGATTTCACTAGCAGTTTCTTCATTTCTCACTTCCTGCCATTTTACCACCTTTGTTATGGAAAATTTTGAACATTATGCCAACACACTTAAAATTAATATTCACAATGCTTTCAACTTCAAATTCATTTTAGAAACGACAGCCAAAGCATCTTGAGTTATTGACTTTATTCTTAAAGATCATTGTGGAATATATTTTGCAATGATCTTGTGAGGCTTTTTTATTTTTAATGGCTTATTGGTGAATTAATTTTAGGCTTTGTTATTCTTTTGTATCTCACATAATCGTTTGCTTTCTAATTTTTAGAGCCTGGTTATTTCTGATTTCTCGGTCTCATGTGTTTGTTTGTTTATTTTTCCTGTGTCTAAAGAAAATCTAAAAGACCCCAAAGATAGGCTGCCTCTCTTAAGTAAATAGAAGTACCAATGGAATATCATAATTATTGCTCATAGCAGTTACATTTCTGCTTAAAATTCTTATTGTCCACTCTGCAAATTTATATTGCATAATCTTATCTCAGGGAGCATTTTACATGCATAACCAACAAAAGTGACTGAAAAAAAACTACTCTTTCTCAATTCCCACTGCAATCACTTTCACAACTGTATACTGTTGACTATTCAAAACACAAGGCTAAGAAATGGCTTCAAATTCTCCATTAGGGAAATTTACGTAACTTTGTTTTAAGGTTTCTAATTGCACAGTAGTTGTATACCTGAGAGAAGTGAATACTTTACCTGCTTAAGCTCTGTGAAAGTTGGATTCCAATGAAAAGATGAATACATTTCCCTCACAGACTCACCTGGACTGATTCCTGCTCACCCTATTCTTTCTTTAAAGAAGACATGATCATTGTCTTCAGGCACTATTATTTAATTTATCTTCTATTAAGAATTAACTGTTTTGTTCCTCTTGATTCACAGAAAGAAACAGAGGTAAAGGAACGGTCTGTTTTTGACATCCCTATATTTACAGAGGAATTCTTGAACCATAGCAAAGGTGATTACTGAAGTTTCTTTTTGTGTTTCTCAGATTTTTGACAGGGGACTTAGTTCTCAGAAGAAATTCATTGCTCAAAAGCAATGGTAGTGTTATCCCTCCTTAGGACTACTCAAAGACCAGTGAAGGAAAGCTAGGGCATTGTTGTCAAAGCTTCTTTGGTCTCTGGATGAAAGGAAATAAATGCAAATCACAAATTCACTTGTCTTCAAACTCTTAGCCTGGAACCCCTTGCACAAATAAAAACTTACATGGGAGTCCAAAATATAAAATAAGTAAGAGCAAGTCTGATCCCATTGTGGTAAAGATGGGTACCTACAGCTGTGCTTGGCCAGTCTCCCAGGATCCCCCTGCAAAACCCCTCAGGCTTCTGATTGTACAATTTAAAAAGCAAAAACTAACAAACAAAAAAATACTGGGAATTGAAACTGTTTGTTGCAATCTTATGTATGGAATGTGACTAGCTTTAAGAATTAAAATAGCTCTGGGGAGTCAGGCGTTTCATTGCTGAAATTGCTATCTGGAATGCCATAATGAGAATAGGGAGATGAGGTGGGGTAGCTAAATTAGAGGCAGCTAAGCAGAACTTCCCTGTAAGAGTCATTGGGACTCCTCAGAGACTCCTTCTAGTGCTGCATGTGTTCTGTGGGATGTATGTCCTCAGCTCGGGAAGCAGAGCTCCGCCAGCTTCGCAAATCCAACATGGAGTTTGAGGAGAGGAATGCAGCCCTGCAAAAGCACGTGGAGAGCATGCGCACAGCAGTGGAGAAGCTGGAGGTGGATGTGATCCAGGAGCGGAGCCGCAACACAGTCTTACAGCAGCACCTGGAGACCCTGCGGCAGGTGCTGACCAGCAGCTTTGCCAGCATGCCCTTGCCTGGTAAGTCCTCCTGCCTGAGAACTGTCAGTGACAGGGGTGTGTGTGTTGTGTGGAGTGGGGTGCTGTTTATGTTAGTACTGGTGTGGAGAGATTGAAATCTCCTCCAGAGGAAAATTAATTAAACTACATTTTTTCTTCTCTGGATATAATAGAATGTCAGTATTGGCTAAAATCGTCCAATGTTTCAGGCTCTCTGGTCATTCAAATTTTTGTCCATTTATATTTTAATATCTATTTTCCCCTCTTTTAAGCTTAATTTGCTATTCAGAACACTGGAAACTGAGTAGTAAATCTTGAGAGTGTTTCTTCTTATGTATGTTTGTTTGCTTTTTAGTTGTTTTTGTTTTAACGGGAAGGAAGGGAGAATGAACACTGGTATTTCTTATATACTCTTTCATTTTGAAGATAGTCATAGCAGAAAGCTGAGCGAGTCTAACCTTCTGTTACATGCAGCTGCTCATATATACTATACAGCAATTATATAGCCCATCTGTTTATTTAGAGTATGTGGACTAATTTCATTTCTTTGAGATCTAAAAGTCTCTCCTCTAAAATTAAAAGCATGTCTGTGGAGCAGACCACATTAGAATCACTGTTTCTTTGAAATTGTGTTTTATGGTACAACTGAATAGGGAGGATTTTCTTACTTTCTTCTTATCTCACTTCAGGAAGTGGAGAGACACCTACAGTGGACACCATTGACTCATATATGAACAGACTGCACAGTATTATTTTAGCTAATCCCCAAGACAATGAAAACTTCATAGCTACAGTTCGAGAAGTTGTGAACAGACTCGATCGTTAGGGAATGGTGAGTGCTCACTGATAAATATTTATATGCCAGCACATCATCAAAAATAAGATGTCATCAGACTTTATCAATACTACTAAAACCCTGGGATTACATTGGATGAACAAGTTGGAGACTTGGTTAAGATTCCTGTTGCATGGTTGTTAAATGTAGTAAATAATATTAGAAAAGAGAATCACTGTAGTCCCAGCTACTTGGGAGGCTGAGGTGGGAGGATTGCTTGAGCCCAGCAGTTCAAGTCCAGAGAGATCCTGTCTCTAAAAATAAAAGAAAACAGACTCAAGACAGTTTTTTCTTATGCTTGCTTCAGAATGGTTTAATGGGAAAAGCATGGTTTTTGTGGCTTGACCTCATTTCTAGCTTTGTCACTTATTAGCTGTATTCTTGGGCATTAGTTTCCCAAAAGGTTTTGAAAAGTGAGTGGGAAACTTAGAAGAAATCATCCCCAAAACAGCACTCAGAACAAAATAAATATAACTTAATTTTTAATCTTCCTTTTCTCTGGAAAATACTAATGATAATTTAGAAGTAGTCAGTGAGACATTGTATGTATGTGAGCCTACATAAGTAGGAAGCTTTTATATTCACCACTCAATAACACAGTGACTGTTGTCTGTTAAATGTTGATGTGGACTCACCATACAAACAGGTAACTCCCTGGTTTTGATAGATTAAAAAATAAACTCTTCAGCCAGGTGCAATGGCTCACACCTGTAAGCCTAGCAGTTTGGGAGGTCAAGGCAGGCAGATCGCTGGAGTCCAGGTTCAAGACCAGTCTGGGCAACATGACAAAACCCCGTATCTACAAAAAATACAAAAAATTAGCCAGGCATGGTGGTATGCGCTTGTGGTCCCAGCTGCTTGGGAGGCTAAAGTGGGAGGATCACTTGGGCTTAGAAGGTCAAGGCGAGGCTGCAGTGAGCCATTATCAGACCACTGCATGCCAGCCTGGGTGACAGAGCAAGACACTGTCTCAAAAATTTTTTTAAATAAAAAATAAATAAACTCTTGGTGGGGCACAGTGGCTCACACCTGTAGTCCTAGCACTTTGGGAGGTTGAGGCAGTATTGCCTGAGCCCAGGAGTTCAAGACCAGCTTGGGCAAAATAGTGAGACCCCTGCTTTAAAAAAAAATGAAAAAAATTAGCTGAGCATGATGGCGCACACCTATAGTCCTAGCTACTCAGGAGGCTGAGGCAGGAGGATCACTTAATCCCAGGAGTTCAGGTTTCAGTAAGCTAGGGTCACACTAGTGTATTCTAGCCAGGGTAACAGAGCAAGATTCTGTCTCAAAAAAAAAAAAAACAAAATAAAAATATAAAATTCTCAATAAGCAAAAAAGAGAGAGAAAATAAGTTTTTAAAAAATATGTTCAACAAATGAGCAGTAGTATGTATCCTTTTTTTTTTTTTTTTCCAGAAGAGATCTACCCATGACACTTTTTGGTACTAATGGTCATTTCTCAAATGGAATTGGTATTTATTCATTCAAATTCCTAGAGATAGGATACCCCTTTACTATGCCATCCCACAAAACTGGCATCCCTTTGCTCTATTGGTTAAGTTATTCCATACCTGCAGACATATAAACTGTGTGGAAATTTTAAGATTAGACTCTACAATGAGGTGGCCATATATGGATACTAAAATAAGAGTCAACAGCAGGATATGTTCCTTAGAATGGTCATGGGTTTGAATCTTTATTTGTCCTGTGAGTACATGAGCACACTCATATACATAATTTATATTCTGGTTTGGTTTGGACTTTGAGCAACATATATAAAGATAAATGCCTAGTAAAGACAAAGGCAGAAGTCTTTATACTTCTTGGTGATGCCCTTGGATGGTAACTGTACAAGGCAATGCATTATATTTTAGCCTCAGCCATGCTCTGATGGGGAAAGGATTACTATCCTTCTAGGGAGTAGCCAGATGGAATGGACTGTACTTCTTAGAGATGGCTGGACTCCCTGCAGAATAAAGAAGTGGCATTACTGCTGCTGCTTATGAAGGGAACAGCTTGTAAATCTAGGCCTGGGATATTCAGGAGCTCATCATCCTTCCCATTTTCGTACAGTGTTTTCAATTAGCACTCTTGTAGGCTTGAAAAGTGAGAGCTGGGAGAAACAGTGTGGAAGATTGTGAAAGAAAACATTAATTGATAACATCGTGTCTCTTCACATAGATACAGGGCAGCTAATTAAGTATTGACCCAAAAGTGGTTTTCCATTTTGAGCATTTTGCCAGTAAGACTCTCCTAAAGCTTTTTTCATCTCAAGAGTATAAACTATATTATTTGTTTTCTGATGAGTCTTTGAAAACTTAGAATATTACTATTATCCTTGATTTTAACCTACAAATATTTTGCCCCTGAAAAAATAGCTAAAAGTGTGAACTGTTATATTACTACAGATTCTTACAGTCTAGCCATGCAAACATAACTAACAATAGATGGTTCCCCACACCCCCAAAACTGTCAAAGGAAACAATTACAAAGACTGTGATTAATACTGGTTTGGCCTCATTATACAAATATGTACAGACAGCGAGGCTGATGTCCCCAGCACTCATGATGCAATTAATTACTCTGACAAGAGTTTGGCAAAGTTTTCATCCACTGTCAGGAGCCAGTGAGTGAAGGGAAGCTAATGGTCTACAAGTTTCAGAGGAGCATATTAGGGACCTTTAGAAATCTAACATTTTATATATGAAGAAACTGAATCCCAGAGAGGAGAAACATCTTGCTTGAAAATATCTGCGTAGATGAGTACAGAATCCAAGACTAGAACCACAGATATCTAAACTCTCTCATTCACTGGGTTTCTAAAACATTGCTCTAAGGAAGAGGTGGATGGGGGAAGGGGAAAGCACTAAAAAATCCTGAAATAGAGCATTAAGATACATAGGAAGTAAACAGATAAAAATTGTAATCCAGGAATTATAATGTTATAGAATTTTAGCTCATTTTAAAATTATTTTGATAAATATACAGTGGAAGAATTACCCTACCTGTCTGTCACCTTTCTTGTAGCTGAGTAGTACCTAGAGACAAGTGGAGCTAGGAGGAGGCCATGAGGGTGATTTTAAGTTGAAAGGTGACTACCTTATATAAACTATTAAAATGCATATGTTGCCTGATTTCAATGATAATATTTGGCTGTTTGAGTTTAGGGAAAAAAAATCTTATGTGACTGTATTTTTATTAATATGAGAAATGTTCTTGATTATATGCACATAATACATCTCTATACATGCAGATATCCTTAGTTAACACTTGAAGAAAATTGGTTTTGATTGACCATACATTCTTCAGACTAAAGTAGGGTACTCATTTTCCCTCCTCAGGTTTGTCCCTGATAGTTGCTTTTCTGTGTTTAGCTGATGATTTTCCTACCTCCCATTGTTGCTGAACTGGAACAGGGCCATGTTTCTCATTGAAATGTTATGTAAAACATCTCAATGAGGTTGCCTGCTTACAGCTTTATGAGTTCTTCAGTTTACATACACCCTGCACTCACTTTAACGCTTATGAAACCAAAGCATTTTTAAAATCCATAGCGCTAACCCCTTCCATTCAATACTTACTTTCTTGGTGTTATTTTCCTTGTTTGTTTTTGTTTTTGTTTTGTTTTGTTTTCCTGATTCTACAGGTCTTAGAACTCCAAGATGTTCCATAAGTGTTTTTACTTGTGAGGAATGAGAAGCCATCCATGGAAATTTGAACTGAGTGGGGGCAGAGAAAGAGTGCAGATCCCTTTGCTTGTGAAAGAATTATCAGTGAGTGAAAGGCCATCACCCCAGGAAGCCAAATGAGGGAGCAGCAACATGTATATGAGCTTCCTATGGAATTGTCCTTATGTGAAGCTTTGAAGGTGTACAGCCACTCTCCCGGGTCTTCAGGTTCCTACCATTTCCATTTCTGTTAAAGTGGATCTGCATATCTTCAGCTTACTAGGTGACCCGGATGCTGACATCTGCTGCTGCAGAAAGGAAGACTTTTCATTGTAATTTCGCTTAGACCCTTTTATCAGTGGAGCTCCAGTTTTCTTACCTAGCTGTCACTTTTTTAAATGCCTCTGGGGGTTATTTTTGCTTTCCTTGGCCCCCACCAATTTATACATCTCCATTTTCTGACCTCTGGACTAACTGGTTGCTCAGCAAGGTTCTGAAGGAGAGTTTCTTGCATTGGACAGGCCCAGTCTTCTCCCATCATTGCCCTGCTGTGACTCCAAAGAAAGGAGCTTCTTGCTGACAGTGCCCTGTGGAGCAAGGCTGTGTTTCCTACCCCACACGGTGCTCAGTGGGTGCCAGCCCTCAGTGTGGCTTTGTGATTGCTGCCCTAAAGGAGAATGCTCTTTCCTTCCTCACTGGTACTGCCTGCTGTTTTCTAAGCATTGCTCCTGCACAGACATGGAGTCCCAGCCCCAGCAAGGCTCTTCTGTTCCCATCTGTTGACAATGTCTTGTGGAGCATTTTTGCTGAGGAAAAGGTCACTTGTAAACAGAGGAGAAAGGGAAAGAGTACAAAGCCCTAAGTTTATTGTAAGTGAAAACTGAGGGAATTCCTGTCTTCTTTAGGAGTAATGATTCATAGATCTAGATAGGTGGAAATATCATTCAAAATAGTCACTTGAGCTCACAAAAAAAGCAAGGAAGAATTCTCATGTCCTTTGTCTTCCTTCTGTAGCCATTAACTGCTGAATCCATGTGAGGAAGACAGGCTTCCCTTCCTTCCCCCTCCTTAGTGATTTTTTCTTTAACAGCATAAGTAAAGAGGACTTTCTGGTTCATTTTTGTTTGTTTTGTTTTGTTTTGTTTTGTTTACAGATGAGGTCTTCCTGTGTTGCCCAGGCTGGAGTGCGGTGGCTATTCACAGATGCTATCATAGCACACTACAGCCTACAACTCTTGGGCTCAAGCATCACGCCTAGCAGTTTCTGGTTCCTTTAACAGCAAAAGGAAAGAGAGGTTCTGATTCTTACCTCAGGGTTTTTTGGTTGTTCATTGTTTTTGTTTTTGTTTTTGTTTTGACACTGCAGAGCACAAGGCTAAAGGTTACAGCTGAGATCTTTGGAACCAAAGGCAGAGCAAGCAGAGCCCGTTGTCTGGGCCCCACACCACTGCAGGCAGGTGGATAGAAGTGCGGCCCCTCTCATAGTATGCCCATAAGTCAGGGCATAGGGCAGAACTACCTGTCATGTTGCTACACCATCCTGTCTTCTCAGCATCTCCTTGCCTGTTTTCTTTATTAGTCCAAAGGAAAACAACAGCAACAAAATCTGTTTTTAAAATGTCTTATATGAACATATATCAAATATCCATGCGCTGAAACCCACATACCATCACTTGGCAATTTTTTAGAATAAGACCCCATTATTATCTATTGCTATAAACCTAGCCAGTTCTCTTGCTCTTCTGTATTTTCCTATTTCCCTGCCATCATCTGCTATTTCTGCCACTTCTCTTAGACTCCTTGTCTGCAAAGCCCAAGCTAGAACTCACTGTCTATGGCAGAAGGACATCCAGAGCCCATTCTGGAGTTTTGTTTTTTCCTTCTGCCAGATGCTTTGTGTCCTGTCTTCCTTCCTCCTCATATTTCTGTTTCTCATTTGTGTTCAGTTTTGTGCAGCATTGCTAGCACTGCTTTTGTGACCAGAAAAGGCCATAACATGGTCCAGGATCATCATTCTTCTGACTCTAGATGGGACACTTGACAGTGACTTGAAACATTTGCATATTCAGGAATGCATGAGATTTCAAGAGAGCCTACAGTATGAAATCATTTTCACAAAATAAGCAGCTTGCTTCTGAAATGCTGTCTTTCCCAGTAGCTACTCACCTGCCTCTGGTGGCTGGGATTCAGATGCCACAAAACTGTCAGTATCTATAGACCAGGTCTGTGCCACCTCCTCTCTCCTCTGTGCTCAGTGAGGAGGCAGTAAATGAAGTTACAGGCTAGCACAATACCTAACTCATGTTTCCCAGTACACCTGTAGATATTACTGTACTTTTATGTTCTCAAGAAATAAGTTGTTGCCTATTCAGTGTTACAGATTTCTTTGTTTCTTTTTAATTAAAATACAAGAAGCAGCTGAGGAAAGGGAGACAAGGTATTTTATTTCTGACTGATTTTAGAAAAAACTTGTGTACATGTGTTTGGAACTGTTGAAATGCCAAGTTTTCTGTATAAGTGTTTTTGTAATTAAACTTTCAGATTTTCTTTGTTTTTTAAGAAGTTGATGTGCTTGTTTGACATTTGTCTCATTAAAACTTTTCTACGTTGAATTCACCTGTTTCAATTTTACTTGCTTTGTAACAAAAAGTCCTACCTCTGGCCGGGCACGGTGGCTCATGCCTGTAATCCCAACACTTTGGAAGGCCAAGGCAGGCAGATCACGAGGTCAAGAAATCGAGACCATCCTGGCCAACCTGGTGAAACCCCGTCTCTACTAAAAATACAAAAATTAGCCGGGCATGGTGGCATGAGCCTGTAGTCCCAGCTACTCAGGAGGCTTAGGCAGGAGAATCACTTGAACTTGGGAGGTGGAGGTTGCAGTGAGCCGAGATCGTGCCACTGCACTCCAGCCTGGCAACAGAGCGAGACTCCGTCTCAAAAAAATAAAAAATAAATAAAAAAGTTCTATTTCTGTTTTTTCCTCTTAAAGACTTTGTCAACTCTACATTAATCATGACATCTGTTATGCTTTTAAAACAGTAACACATTCATTTTACTAATTGCTACTTCAAAATGTATCTTTACCGGTTTGAGAAGTCAGCTCTTTTAATGTATGCTGTAACAATACAGTGAATTCTAATTCATTTTAATATAGCAGTAGTATTCTGAAGACAACTTACAAGGATGTTTTTAAAGTCAGTGACTCTGATGTCCCCTTGATAGAAGATCATTTGATAGAAGAAAGGAGATGTGCTTAAATGCTTGCTTTTTTTTTTTTTTTTTTGAGATGGAGTTTTGCTCTTGTTGCCCAGCCTGGAGTGCAGTGGCACGATCTCCGCTCACTGCAAACTCCGCCTTCCAGTTTCAAGCGATTCTCCTGCCTCAGCCTCCCGAGTAGCTGGGATTACAGGTGCACGCCACCATGCCCAGCTAATTTTTGTATTTTTAGTAGAGACAGGGTTTCACCATGTTGGCCAGGCTGGTCTTGAACTCCTGACCTTGTGATCCACCAGCCTCGGCCTCCCAAAGTGCTGGGATTACAGGCATGAGCCACCACGCCCAGCCAAATGCTTGCTTTTTGAAAATAACTAATCAAAATATTTTTAAAGGAAATTTGTCACCTATTTCTACTATGCTTTTAAAAATCCTAGGGGTGAGGCAACCTGGTTTCCAGAGCCTGCTGCTCTCCAAGTAGCCATTTGTGTGGCATTGGGCAAGTCTTGATTTGTTTCAACTCCAGTTTCCTCTTCTGACATAACACGTGCCTCAGCAATCCTGTACTATTGTAAGAAGGATAGAGTAAGGTAACAGAATCCACCTTGCCTTGGAGGACAGGAAGATAGGAAGTATCTGTTACATGATTGCCAGTAACTATCAGGGTATCTCAGTTAGGATTGAGTTTGGCTCTACATTAAGCAGAACTAGCAACAGCTTAAATAAGAAGTGTGTCTTTCTCATAGAAAACTATGCCAAAGTTGGGCAGTTAAAGGCTAGTATGGAGGCTCCTGTCTGTTCCACAACATGATCTTTCTCAAGGTCACCCCGTGGTCCAAAATAGCCACTTGACCATCAGCCATCACTCTGAAATTCCTGGCAGCATGAGGAAAAGAGGGCAAGGACAAAATGAGCAAACCTAGCTGAGTCAGGGCCCTCTAAAGAGTCTTCCTGGAAATCGTATTCAACACTTTCACTTAATTTGGCCAGAACTCAATCATGTGACTATAGCTAGCTATAAAGGAGGCCAAGAAATATCATTTTTGCATGGACGTCACTGTGCCCAACAATACAGGTTTTAGTAAGGAAGAAGGAGAAAATGAATATAGAGTAGGCAACTAATGTTAATTTCATAACTATGTGTGACTTCATTTATGCACTCTAAGCCCAACCCCGCCATGCTAGTGAATGGAGTGCATTATCTTGCCTTTGTCTCTTGGCCATTTGAGAATGACCATGTACTTCCGTGATACTTTTTTCCCCCGGAGAGCCAGAAAGCCAAAAACTGGCTTCCATCTGAGTTGCCATTTCCTGTTCCCATCTAGCTCTTCCCCTACCCTACAACAGCTGGTGGCCAGTCTTGTTTAGTAAAAATCAACATAAACAGGTGGTAATACTTCCCCTAGTTGTTTGTTCCCTTTCTCTAACTGCTCAGCATCTGCTGAATTGAAACAACACCAGGACAAGCTTTCCCTAAGGGTGGGGAAATTGAAGTATTGCTTAGCGGAAAAGCTCATAGCTACTTCCTGCCCTCTGAAAGAATTTCCTGCCTTGCAACTGAGAGTTCCAAGTCAGGGGTTTTTTCTTTGTTTTATTTGTTTACCTTTGATATATAGCCTGCACTCAAATATATACTTCAGTATCTATGGATATAAGCAGTAGTTTATATGCCAGCCCATTAAAGAAATCAGGATTGAGAATCAGACTAGGTGAAATTGTTAATGTACATCTGCTCATCCAGAAACCATTTCAGTTTAGTTTTCACAAGACTATGTGTCTACAGGGGGAAACTTTTGCCAGAGGTAGAAATGTAAATTCTCTTAGCTTAGTGAAATGCAAAAGGAGGAGCCACAAGAAGATAAGAATGGCATTGGGAAATTAAGTGCATGGCCAATGCAGATTTTCCAGATAGAAGGATTTTTATAAACCACCTGCAACACCAGATCAGTGGGAGGATGTCTTATATGTTTATGTGGGAATATGTAAGATTCAGTGTAAGAGATTCTCTTATTTGAATCTCTCTCTCACACACACACACCATCCAACACTTAAGAGCCAGAGTTTTTTATACCAACTTCTCTTCATTTCACTTTAATTCACCCTTTATTTGGGAATACAAAGATGTTTATAAAACATGGTTTCTGCCCTCCATAATTTCTGATAATCTAGTGGGAAGGACAGACTTGTACATAAATATTTCTAACATAGGGCAGCTTGTATTAATAGTTTTAATAGAGACAAATAATTTTTAGAGAGTGAAAAAGTTATTTGAATCTTACCTGATGAGATATTTTTTCCATAAGTGCAAAAGAGTTTGCAATAGAGAGTAGATCTGAGTCAGGGTGGGGGATCAGTATCTTAACTAATTAATAAGGGCTTTATCTGGAATGTAAATGAAATATGAAAATCTGAACTGATAGCTATCAGAGTTTGTCTGGTAGAGGTTGAGGTAGCTGGAAGGTCAGAACATTTGGATTAATTGTAATTTAGACAAGCAGTTTTTCAAAGTTCACTTTTGATTCATTCATAGATCATTAAATCAGTAAGTTGGTCAAAAACATTTTTAAAAATTAAAATGAGAAACTATCAGAATGCACTACAGGTAGTTAAGGGTATTATTTTGTGAAACTTACACTTCAGATACAGTCATATGTCTACATACACTTTTAATGTAAAATGTGTTTCTTACCATGGGATCACAATAAAGATAGTCAATGACTGTTTTATTACCTCTGAAATTGGACAACACTGCTGGGTTCAGGTCTGGATTCTGCTGCTTTCCTCTTACGTGACCTTAGGCAAGTTGCATAAACCACTGTATGACTTAAGTTTTCTCATCTGTAACATAGTGATATTTATCATTTCTGTCCTGTAGAGTTTTTATGTAGATTAGTCAATCCATGTAAAACACTTAGAATAGTGCCTCTCATAGAGTAGAAGACACTTAAATATAAGTTGTTATAATTTGTGGAAGACTAAAGGGAAAAGAGAAATAACAGACATATACCATAGGCCACTCTGCTGTGCTTTTTATGTAAATTATGTAATTCCACAACTTTACAGAGTAGGACTACTGTACTCATTTTTACAGTAAGTAAATTAAGACACAGATCTGATAAGTGACTTGTGCAGTTACAGAACAGGGAACAGGTAGAGAAATGGTTTATATCCAGATAACTGTGGCTTTACATTCCACTATAGCCGTACTGTCTTAGAGATAACTAATGAGAGTGGCATGAGTTCAAAGCCGTAGCATGGTATGGTGGGTCTGAGAACTGGAATTAGACCTATTCAACAATATTTGTTGAATATCTTTCTTGCGTTAGAAATTGTTCTGGGTCCTAGTCCCCATAGAGCTCTTCCCCTTGCTGGGGAAAAAGAGACTACAAACAAGTAACCTAACAAACTCATCTCAGCTAATTACCTAGATAAGAAGAAATGATATAAGCTAGGATAGAGAAAGGCCTTTCTGAAAAAGTATCTTCTGAAGAAAGACAAAATTGATTTGAAGGAGCCAGCCCGGTGAAGGGCTGAGGGTATACAAAGGCTGAAATCCTGAGGCAGGAATGAACTCTGGAATTTCAAGGCATAGAAAAAGCTGGTGAGGCTGGAGCAGAGTAAACGAGAGGCAGAGTGGCTTTGAAGTTGCAAGGCAGGCAATAGCAAGATCATGTAGATCCTCAGAAGTGTCGTAAAGAGTTTGCAGTTTGTCATAAGTGTAATGTGAAGAGAGTTCTACACAACTGAGTGACAAGATCTGATTTCTGTTTTTAAAGGGTCACTCTAGGCCGGGCGTGGTGGCTCATGCCTGTAATCCCAGCACTTTGAGAGGTGGGAGTGGGCAGACCACTTGAGGCCAGGAGTTGGAGACCAGCCTGGCCAACATGGTGAAACCATGTTTGTATTTTTCTACTAAAAATACAAAACAAAATTAGCTGGACGTGGTGGCGCGCATCTGTAATCCCAGCTACTCAGGAGTCTGAGGCATGAGAATCCCTTGAACCCAGGAGGTGGGGGTTGCAGTGAGCCAAGATTGTGCCACTGCACTCCAGCCTGAGTAACAGAGCAAGACTCTGTCTCAAAAAATAAAAAGTAAAATAAAATAAAGGGTCACTCTGGCTGCTGTATAGAGAATTGTGGGGTGGGCAAGAGAAGAATCAGAGAGACTAGGAGAAGGCTGGCATAGGAACCCAAGTGAGAAATGACAGTGGCTTAGCCTAGAGTGGTGGGAAAAGGCAGATTAATTCAGGATATAGTTTGGGAGTATAATGGACAGGAATTGCTGAGGAGTGGGATGTGGAGAATGAAAGAAAAAGAAGAATGACTCAGTTTTTCCTGGGCACAGTGGCTTACGCGTGTAATCCCAGTACTTTGGGAGGCCAAGGCGGGTAGATTTCTTGAGCCCAGGAGTTCAAGACCAACCTGGGCAACGTGGTGAAACCCCATCTCTATAAGAAAAAGAAGAAGAATGACTCAGTTTTTTTGGCTTGGAAAACTGGGTAATGGAGAGAGGTGCCATGGCCTGAGATTGCAGACTTAAGTATGAAACATCACGGAAGAAAAATCAAGGATTTGTTTTTGACTGGCTAAACTTGAAGTCCCAACAACAGATGAGCCCCTGGGCAAGACACACATCTCCCTGCTATCAGTTAAAAAGTTCCTTTCAGTTCCTAAAAGTCTGTGGTTCCTTGAGATTCTAAGTTCAGGTCAGTGTTTGCTAACATTCCTTCTATCCTCAGCGCATGTGCACACATGTAGATCCAGTTACGTTGTGCGTTGAACTGTGAAATTAAGGAATGGTCTCCTTTTTAATTCTTGACGCTTCTTAGGAAAAGAATTTTTAAAACTTGCATCTGCATTTGTTTAAGATTGACATAAAGCAGCTGAATGTTCTAGGATATAAAAATCATGCCATAACCTGACCATTAGAAAATCCTGGGGCAAGAAATGGAAAGCGTCTGCTTAAAAGAGACTGGTCAAAAATATATTTGGCATCATTCAAAGAAGGGTAATGTGAGAAGACATCACTGATACAGTCAGAAGGTTTAAAGACTCAGCAAATGGGCTCCTGTGAGGGGTGCTTTTGCTATCTTCAAGGATAGAAGTCAACTGAAGGCAGCTGGGTCCAGGCACTGGAATGTAAGACAACAACCTATTTTTCTTGGGGCCGGTGGATTTTTGAAGTAGACTTATGTTATATTTATCAAAAGAATTTCTTGGTTTAAAGGACAAACTAATATAGTAATTATGGATTTTATTCATCCCTCAGAAGAATGAGTATTTTAGATACATTCATTTTTTCAAGCATTTCCAAGTACTCACTATGTGTTTTGGGTGTAAAGTTGAGGAAGTCCCTCTCCACTGGAAGCCCACAATGTAACAAAAAATAGATACAAAAGCTAACTACAATAGGGTCTGATAAATGATCAAACGGCTGTGAGCGCAGTATTCTGGAAAACACAAAGGAAAAATTCAGTGGTTTTGCTTGGGGGAAGGCAAAAGAGCTTTACCAGGATAACATTTTGAGCTGGGCCTTAGAAAAAGAGTAGTTCCTTAAGATAAGCTAGAAATAGACCTAGAGATAGAAGTACATTTTTGGTGTACTCAAGTAATTCAGCGTGACTGGAACACAGGTTATATCCAGGGCACTGACCAAAAAGAAAGATAGTGAGGTGTTCTGAAAATGGATTGTAAATGGGCCTTGAATGTCAAGCCAAGGGTTTTAGCTTTTGTTTTGCAGGCAGAGGGAAGGCCTCAAGGCTGTTTTTGCAAGGCAGTGACATAAGGAAAACTACACCACAGCCTCTCAACCATTTTTCTGCCACGAGCTGCTTTGGCAATCTGGTAAAGTCTATGGACCCTTCTAGGAATGTTTTCTAAGTGCATAAAATACAAATAAAATTACAAAGGAAATCCACTATATTAAAATATAGCTAACAAAATATTAACAATGTGTTATGTAGGAATACCTGTGCTTCTTGATAAAGCATTAAATAACATGATCTAGTTCTAATAATGACCATAATTTTAAAGTAGTAGTGACCATAAATAATATTTCAACATCTGCAATGTCTATAATATAGTATGAAAATATCTGTGATCTTGTTGGTGGCAAAGTCACAGGTCCTGCCAATACTACTGGGGCTTGTTGCCAATGTTTATAATCAAAAGAAATGCAAATTTTCAATTAGAGGTTTGTGAAAATCAAAATGTAATTTCCCCCCATCCATTATTGTGGTCCTTAGCATAAATACTCTTGAATTCAAGGCAGTATGGAGATAGACTGGTTAGGAGACTGTTAAAATAGCCAGGATGGAAGGTAAGAAGAGCATGCAGTCGGGGGCTGGGTATGGTGGCTCACACCTTTTGGGAGGCTGAGGCAGGAGGATTGCATGAGCTCACAAGTTCAAGACCAGACTGGGAAACATGGTGAGATCTCATCTCTATAAAAAAAAAATTTTTAATTAGCCAGGCATGATGGGGCTCCAAGATACTTGGGGGGCTGAGGTGGGAGGATTGCTGGAGCCCGGGAAGTCGTGGCTGCAGTGAGCCATGTTCATACCATTGCACTCCAGCTTGGGTGACAGAGCAAGACTCTGTCTCCAAGGAAAATAAATAAATAAAGAAGAGGAAGAAGAAGAGCATGCAGTGGGGATGGAGTAAAGGAGCAGAGGAGATTAGAGACATTTGGGAGTTTGACTTGGTTCCTCCCAAAGCTCAGTGAGGAATTCTTCAAGGAGGAATTTTGGGTAACTGTGGTCTGGTGGGGCGGGTTCACCAGGAAGGCAGTGTAAATACCCTTTAGGCAGCTCTCCATATGCAGTCTACTTTCATTACTTGGTTCAACTAATATGCATTACCCTCTGGAGCAGGCAATAGGAATATAGCAAAACAGGTAACAATTCTTGCTTTCATGGAGCCTAGTATCTAGTGGAAGAAACGTGATTAAACAAACTTAAGTAGATGTGATGTTGCCATGTGGTATCAAATGCAGGAAAAGAGTAGTAGTAGCGTGTGTCAGCATATTGGCAGGGAGTGGGCAACTTTTTTCGATGGTGGGGTCAAGGAAGGCCCCTTCAAGGAAGTGACACTTAAAATGAAAAACCAGTAGGACTTAGGGAGAGTCAGGAAAAGAGCACAAAAACCAGCTTTCATTGGGGATTTAGAGGAGCTGAAAGAAAACCAGGGACCTGGAGCAGGGAAATGTAGGGGAAAAACAGCAAGAGATAGGAGAGAGGCCATGTGCGGTCTTATCACCAGCCCAAGGATCTGGGATAGTCTCCTCAGTGCAGGGGGAAGTCACTGAAGGTTTCAGAAAGGGAAGTGACATCATCTAGTTTGTGGTTTTAAAAACTTATTCTGACTACTCTGTGAAGCATTGAAATAGGGAGCTAAATTGTGGCTGTGGCTATAATCCCTCCAGAGGTGGTGGTATTATGGACTAAGGGTGTAGCAGTGAAGAATGATGTGGGGAAGAGGATGGAATACAGCCATTTTGGTGGTGGAAGGAACAAGATGAGTGACGGATGAGAGGGAGGCAGGAGGGAGAGAGCACCTACAGTGATCTTGTGCTTCACATGGATGGTCCAGATACCAGTTACAGAGACAACGACTAGAAGAGGAGCAGACTGGGGCAGGGGAATGGCTGGAAATCAGACAGCCTTGTGGGAATGTTTATTTGAGATGCAAGTGTTAAGTCAGCAGATGTAGGTGTTAAGTAAGCATTTATATTGACAATTCTAGAGCTTAAAAGGCGGGCCTGGACTTGGAATGACTTTTACCAAAGACTTCCAAGGAGACTTTTTTTATTAGAACTTTTCTCCCAGATCCTGGCACTGCTCTGAAGGCAGATAGTCAAACCCTACCAACTGCAGCCACCCCTGGCTAAAGATTTCACTGTTTTATTCTTTGCCCTAATGTTAACTTTTTTTGTTGTTGTTGAGACAGGGTCTTCTTTTGTTGCCCAGGCTGGTATGCAGTGGTGTGATCATAGCTCACTAGAGCCTTGAACTCCTGGGCTCAAGAGATCTTCCCACCTCAGTCTCCCAAGTAGTTAGGACTACAGATGTGCACTACCATGCCTGGCTAATTTTTCCATGTTTTATAGAGATGGGGGTCTCACTATGTTGTCCAGTCTGGTCTCAAACTCCTAGGCTCAAGCAATCCACCTACCTCAACTTCCCAAAGTGCTGGGATTACAGGCATGAGTCACCATACCCGGCCCCTACTGCTAACTTTCACTATTCTTTCATCCTGCCCTTGACATCAGAACAACATCTGGACCCAAGTGAGACTTTTCCATTGGCTTAAATCAGTCAGTACCTGTAAAGATGTTCAGAATATTTAAACTTACATGAGTCTGCCACATGAGATTTCTGCAGGGGGAGCTTTGCAGCCGTAAAGAGGATGCTAAACATAGTGGCTTATAATGAAATAATATGTTTATCTTGGCTGGTTTTATAGCAGATGTGATTGGGATATTTACTGGTTGTTTCTTAGAACTAGATGAAAGCAATAGTTCAGACCAAATGAATTACAGCAACAAAACATGCTAACAACATAAAAAAAGATATAGATTATGGAAAATTATAAATTGTGATCATGCAGAGAGGTCTCACTCTAGCCTGAACACTGGTGACCCACAACTAAATGGGGCCAAGATTAATCATGCCTCAATCTTACACATAAGCCAAGGGATCTTTTCTAAAGATCATGCCTATTAAAGCAGCAAAGACTTTTCTGCAAGATATATCATAATGAGCTCCAGACATTTAATGAGAGACAAGTGCTACGGTTGAAAGTGGTGACCTTCAGCATCGAATCTGAAAATGAAGTAGGCCTGCTTGCTCTGCAAAATGAGGCCCCAATCCAGTCTGCTTAGGTGAAGAGAAGTCTCACATTTGTAGATGGTCTGTTGCAGGCAAACCTTAAATCTTCTGGGAAAGGGGGAAAGGCTTTTGTTTGTTTTTATTTTTCTAATTAGGTAAGGATTGTACATGCAAGGAGCAAGCAGCTGACTCCAGGCTGCAGGCCCAGTAGCTTCCAAAGGCAGTAAAGCCAGCAGGCGTGGTGGCTCACGCCTGAAATCCCAGCACTTTGGGAGGCTGAGGCGGGTGGATCACTTGAGGTCAGGCGTTCGAGACCAGCCTGGCCAATATAGTGAAATCCTGTCTCTACTAAAAATACAAAAATTTGCTGGGTGTGGTGGCACATGCCTTGTAGTCCCAGCTACTCGGGAGGCTGAGGCAAGAGAATCGCTTGAACCCAGAAAGCAGAGGTTGTAGTGAGCTGAGATTGTGCCATTGCACTCCAGCCTGGGCATCACAGCAAGACTCCATCTCAAAAAAATAAAGAACAACAACAAAAAAAGGCAGTAAAGTGGAAAACGGCATCAAGGAAGAAACCAGCCTAAGGAGTTAGATAGAGTGTCCCAAAAGCCTCTGGAAGAATATGCAGCACTCCAAGGCCAGGAGACCTCAGCTTCCATCTCTGTTGTAATGGCTGCCTCAAATGAGGACAATTGCCTGGCCAAAAAATAGCAGCATGAAAGAGAAGTGTCATCCCCCCTTATTCCTAGTTTTTCATCCCCTAGAAGCCCCTCATCCAAGGACTTGTGTAAAGTTGTGTCCGCCCCTACTTTGATCTGCAGTAGGAAATGCTGGGATGCATGTCCTGACCCTCCTTCCCCCACTGCAGCCCTCACGAATGGTAGGTGGCTGTCCTGCAGACAGGATGCTGCCTCACGTCCTGAACCTCGCCACAAATTCCTGCCCCACTGGCTGCTTCTGGCTTCCTCTTGCAATCCCAGGAGACAAAGGACTGTGAGGGAGGAAGGGAGCCGAGCATGGTCTCCCAGGCAGAAACCCTTTGGAAGATGCCGGAGCCTCAGCCTGCTTGCCCGGGTCTGCCTTTCTGGGTGGGAGGAGGGGCGGCCTCCCTACTCTTCCCAAATGTCCCTGTCTTAAACCCATGCAGCACAAAACAAGCCAGTTCATTGTGTTCTTGGATATAAATATTGATTCTAGGTGATGTTAACATTCTGTTCATAAAAGAATGTAACATATTTCTCCCACACCATATTAGACTGATGTGTTGTTTGGCCAAGGGAAGTACCGATTGCTGGCTTCTGCGAGAAAATGTGGACATTTAAATGCATGCAGCTTTCAGAAGTCTAGGAAGCAGCCTCAGAACAGCAACCAGGCCCCTGGGTTGGCTTCAGCTCTGCCCTCCTCCATCCAGTTTCTCCTTTTCCATCTCCATTGTTTGCACATACCTTTGGTATTTCTGATCACTTGTAATTTAAGAAAATGCTTTCTTGGAATTATATCTTCTTTCTCAAGGACCTGTTAATGTGGGACATTTGCTTTCTTCAGGAGGGCCCGGAAGGTCAGGACCAAACATTTTTAGTTTTCTTCCCCAGGGGAAAAGATCTGGGAGGTCCTGTCCTCCCGTTTACTTTTTCCCCCTCTCTGCATGTCGGAGGGAAGGGCAAAGTCTTCAGACCAGAGGTGGTCCCGCCAAGCGCTCCACCGAGGCCTGACCAAGCCCAAGACTCAGATGTGTTGGCCGCCTTGGCAAGGCAAATTCCCCACATTCCACAAGTGCTCTTGAGGGAGAAATAGAAGTAATGAGAAAGTGGAATTCTTGATGTGTATGCGTGCTCACTCGGGTGCCAATTCATCCGACACAGACAGATCCCTGGCCTTATTTCGCAAGAGAGTGATAGAGCCCATTTCCAGATGTGCGGGAGGACGGCCCGGGACCCAGTGCTGGCAGGAGAGCTGGCGCCCTCTGCTGTCCCGGCTAGGAAACACTGCAATGGTGGGAAAGAACCTGGGGTTCCTGAAAGCCGGCAGCTCTGTTACAATCCATAGCCGACCCTCGCAAGTGTGGAAGGGGCCTGCAGCTCCTTGCTGTTCAAATGATGAACCTGCAAGGGGCTGGATTCCCTCCTTCTAGCTGGCTCTCTTTGTGTTTCGTGGCTCTAAATGAGCCAGAAATCATGAGGATTTACAATAAAACCCCAGCCTCCCACAGCATCTGCTGGTCCCGTTCCCGAGAAGGTGAGGAAGAGTGGCACTGTCTCTGGCCTGTGAACCTGGCCAGCAGGCCTAGGCAAGGCGAGACAATGAGGGCAGCTTGCCCAAGAGGAGGCCTCCTGCTGATTAGCAGCCCTCGGGCCATACCCTTGCCTGAGAATGCAGCTTCTGGAGGCCTGGCTGGCTCCAAAGCTTCCAGCCGAGTGGAAGCTGCAACTGCTCCCACTCAGGCATACTGGCATCTCTAAGGGGCCTCAGAGCTGGCACAGCCAAGAGACTGGCTCAGCTTACAAGCTTAGACAGAGCTGCCACCCCCCTCTGCCCTGCTGCCTGCCAAGACAGCAGCACAGCAGTGGGTCTGGGGCCAGGGCCAGGCTTGCTGCTGCAGGAGAAAGAAAGAGATATTAATAGAGAGAGAGAGAGAGAGAGAGAGAGAGTGTGTGTGTGTGTGTGTGTGTGTGTGTTGGTGAAACGTAGGGTGGAGATATTAGGGGGATGCAAGGGGGATGGCTGGTGAACTATACTTGGACAGCCTTTCAGTTCTGCAAAAAGGCACAAAACAATCAGTTTTTGTTTTCTGGAAGATTTTTAATTTTTTTTTTTTTTTTTGTAAACCAATCTCTTCCCTGCTGGGAGAAGAAAAACCCAACCCGCCAAGCAACCCCCTAAAAACAATGCCCTTCTCTCTCTGGGACCAATTTTCAGGCTGCACAGCAGTCCTGACAAGGTCAACAAGCTGGAGCTGTAAGTGGAAGATCTTTATCTAGGTGGGAAATAGGAAAATCATTTGACTGATAAAAGGAAATACAATAAATAGCATCTAAATTCCTGGCTGCATCCCCCAGGCCCCTCCTCTGCTGGAGAAAGTGCGTGGGCCAGGGATACATGTGCTGCTCCAGCATGTTTAAAAATAGCATGCAGCACACAGCCCTTTCTTACCTTCCAGAAAGACTTCATTACCGGATCCTCAGCCCTGAGCCTGCAGAGCTGCTGCCGGCACTTTCTTCTCCCTGCGCTGGATTTTTCTCTTTGGAAGCATTAAGGGAGTGCATGTGATACATTTTACTCACGGGCCAGCTCTTGCTCAGCTAGTTTCAATCTAGGCACGTCTAGAGCTCACGTTGAAAGTCCATTGTATTTAATGGGGTGTTAACTCTGTTTATTCTCTGGGGCCTGTGCAGTAATTTTACACTCTGCAAAACTAGCAACTTGAACCAGAAATGATATTCCTCTTTCCCCATGCCCACCCCAGTGGGCTGCAGTCCCCAGGCACCTCTGGCCCTGCTTCCCAGGGTTCCTGTAGCTCAGGTAGCCGAAGAAGTTCTGCATGCCGTGGGAGATGGGAACTCTGGGGTTCACATCCGGTTCTGCCGCTTGTTAGCACTGGTGCAGCCTGAAGCAGGTCTCCTCAGCTCCTGGAGACATTTTTCACATCTGTGAAATGAAGATTTTAATCTGCCCCATGTATCTCAAAAGGCATACAACAATCTCATAGTGGAAAAACATTTTCCTGGGTTCTACAAAGACACCGTCCTATTATTCCCAACTGGGCCACTTCAGCATCACCTCGGAAGCCACTTAACCCCTTCGGATCTCCATCTCTCCACTAAAACCTTGGGGATTTGAATAGGACTATAAAATCCACTAATCAGTCTGAATCTTCACCATGCTGTTGTGATTTTTTTATAAGTCCATTATTCCTTCCACCTTTATTGGCTGGCATTCTACTCTTGGGAAGACTTTCTTGTCTCCCCACTTACTTATTCTCAGGGCCTGGCCCTAGAAGGTGCTGAAGACTTCATATAGGACTGGATGACCCCTTCTAGCTCTCAATCTCCAAGTCTCCAGGAAAATAAATGAAGCACATACTATTCTAATACATTCTACCATTCTGTGGGAACTGTGCCTTCCGTTATTCCCACCTGATCTAAAATCCCGACACTTAGGATGCTCAAACATCATCTGGACCTTGGCATTCCTCCTCCAGTGCCAGGCCTTCCCTCCTGCATAAAACAGCTCAGAGCTGAGTCGCCCTTGCTGGAGTTCCTGATCTCTCTTTCCAGCTCCCTCAGGGCTTCTCCATCTGGCATCCTGCAGAATCCTCAACTCAATTTGTCCAAAATTAAATATGTATTCTTCCCAAACCCACATTTTCTCTAATACCTGTCAGCTCAGTTAAAAACTCCACTGCTCTCTGAAGCTGGAGAGCCTGGAATCCTACACGCCTCTCCCCAGCTCTTTACCCTGCTCCCAGCCCTCCACATCTCATTCACAGAATGCTCCCCCCCACACACACACACAGAGCCCTGGAATCCCCCTAACAGCTGGCCCTTCTCAACACCTCCAGGACAGGCCTTTGTGGGGGTCTTCAGCTTTCAGCTCTCCTGGGGCTCTCCTAATAGCCCATTGTTTTGTTTTTCCTCTTTTTTGCTATTAACTAGTTCTATAATAGCCTTCTAACTAGACTTAGTATAGCCAGTCTCATTTGTCCCCCTCTTAACTCCCCTCCACCAGTTCGTCCTGCACACCACTACAAAAGCAACTTTTCTAAAATGCAAGATTAGTCTTGCAAATATCTTTTTCTTTTCTTTTTTTTTTTTTGAGACAGGGTCTCACTCTGTCGCCCAGCCTGGAGTGCAGCAGCACGATCCTGGCTCACTGCAACCTCCGCCTCCCAGGTTCAAGGGATTCTCCTGCCTCAGCCCTCCCTAATAGCTGGGACTACAGGGGCACACCACCATGCCCAGCTAATTTTTGTATTTTTAGTAGAGACAGGGTTTCACCATGTTGGCCACGCTGGTCTTGAACTCCTGACCTCAAATGATCCACCCGCCTCGGCCTCCCAAAGTGCTGGGATTACAAGCGTGAGCCACTGCGCCCAGCCATATCACTCTATTTTAAATGAGATCATAGTTGTGGTAGTTGCTTTTGTTTTTAAGCCTTACAAAAATTCTATACGATAAGAATTATTAGCATGAAACTAAGATGAAACTAAGACTTAGCTAGGTTAAAGGACCTAAAGCCACATAGCTATTACACCTTGCAGAACCAGAATTTGAACTCAGGTCTGCTTTGTACTGCAAAACCCATGTTCGAAAGTATTTAAGGTACCTGGCACAGAGCAGGTGGACCAATGTTATATTCTTTATATTCCCCCTTTTCTATAAACTTCAGTCTCTTCAGCAGGGTGCAAGGGCCTATCCCATAGTGGGTGGCGTATGTCTCCAAATGCATCTCCTGTTACTGTGTGGCCCATTATCACCACTACCCATTAGGCAACATCAGACCACTCGCTGTTCCCCAAACCCTCCCTGTTCTTTTTTTTTTTTTTGAGACAAAGTCCAGCTCTTGTGCTCTTGTCTCCCAGGCTGGAGTGCAATGACACGATCTTGGCTCACTGCAACCTCCGCCTCCCGAGTTCAAGCGGTTCTCCTGCCTCAGCCTCCCAAGTAGCTGGGATTACAGGTGCCTACCACCATGACCGGCTAATTTTTATATTTTTAGTAGAGACAGGGTTTCACCATGTTGGCCAGGCTGGTCTTGAACTCCTGACCTCAGGGGATCCACCTGCCTTGGCCTCCCAAAGTGCTGGGATTACAGGCATGAGCCACCGCGCCTGGCCCTCCCTGTTCTTTTTTAAACTTTCTTTTTGAAATCCTCTTTCCTACTGCTTGGCAAGGCTTTTCTTACCTTGTCCTTCCTGCTCTGCAAGCCCAGATCAGATAGCACCCATTCTGTGATGCTTTTCCTGATCCCCAAACTCAGAATTCACGGCTCCAGCATCCCTCTTGCCAGCACCACTTGTTACGTATGCCTATTCTGATACTGATCATATTGGTGTGTGGCTATTCAGTCCTGTCTCTTCTCATCTTTGTATCTCCAAACCTGGCACTGTGCCTGGGACAAAGTAAGCACTCAGTAGTAAGTCTGTTGAGTTTAGTTCAGTCCTGCATCCTTCCCTATGACTAATGCTTCATTTCATCTGTCTTGCAAAGGTTAGAATGTCTCTGAAGACTTGTTTGCATCACCTCCACTCTCTCTGATTTCCACACCCACCACCCCATTGAAGTTGCTCCTGGCAACTTCTTGAGAGATCTCCTCATTACCAGAACACTCTCTTGTCCTCAGCCTCCAAAAGTTGCAGCAGCACTGGGCATGATTTCCTCCCTTCTTTTAAGTGACTCCTCTCCCTCGGCTTCTGCCATCACAGTCTCCTGCTTTCTTTTGCCTCTCAGGCTCTCTTGGGACTCCATCTGAGCCCTGGAAGTAGAGAACCTCAGAGCTCCGACCTGGGTTGCATTCTCTTCCCTCTACATTCCTTCCTGAAGAGACTTGTCTATTCCCATCATTTAAAGCAGGACCACTATCTTCAGCTCTCAGCTCTAGATTCAGATATGTGACAGCTATTTGACATCTCACTTAGATCATCCTTAGGTACTTTGGGCTTGAAAGCCTAACAATTGACTCCCAGGTGTACCCCCAGACCCTTCCTCCTTCAGTCTTTCTCTGTTCACTAAAAGGCAACATAACGAAGGATCCCCTTCTTGGGATGTTGGGAGCCACTCTCTAGGAGGGAAGGTGCCTTAGAAGAGGGGGCAAATCTGGGGATATCTGAATATCATGCATTCCTACCTCTGACTTAACCTTGGAGAAACACCAGATGCCTTAACCATGTATTCAATGCCTGGCATGATCTGGCCCCAGCATCCCTTTCCAGGCCCAGCTTTCATCTCGCCCCTAGATCAGAAATGGGTGAAGTATGGTCCATGAGCCAAATCTGGCCCATATGTTTCTCTACCGCCTGTAGGCAAAGAATAATTTTTTATATTTTTAAGTAGTTGAAAAAAATCAAAAGAAGAATATTTGGTGACACATGAAAATTACATAAAATTCAAATATCAGTGTCTATAAATAAAGTTGTATGAAATACGGCCATGCTGGTTTATTTACTTATTATCTGTCTCTGCTTTCTAGCTACAAAGGCAGAGCTGAGTCGTTGGAACAGACTTATAACCTACAAAGCCTAAAATATTTACTATCTGGCCTTATACTGAAAAAATTTGCCAAGCCCTGCTCTAAGCCAGTCCCTTGTTCCCTAAACACACCTTGCAAACTTCTAGTTTGGCACACACTGATCTCTGCTCCTCTCTATCTAAATCCTACCTCTCTTTACCCCTTGCCAATCCAGCATCTTCTAGAATCTTCCTTGTCTCCTCCATTCAGTGGTTTCTCGTCCTTCTCCAAATCCCTCTGCTAACACGTAAAGTTGGTGGACTTACCACCCAAGGCCTTAGATGACTATTAGTTTCTGGTGTATGTCACATGTCCTGTCCAGATTGGGAGCCACATGACGACAGAGATGGTATCTGTTCATCTTGTATAGCAGGGCCCAGCACAATGCTTAGCAATATCATAAGTGCTTAGAAAGTAGGTGTTAAAGGCCAGGTTCAATGGCTTATACCTGTAATCCCAGCACTTCGAGAGGCCAAGGCAAGAGGATCACTTGAGGCCAGGAGTTTGAGACCAGCATGGGCAACATAGTGAGACCCTGTCTCTACAAAAAATAAAAAAAAATTAGCCAGGCGTGATGGCATGCCCCTGGAGTCCCAGCTACTCAGGAAGCTGAGGTGGGAGGATCATTTGAGCCCAGGAGTTCAAGGTTGCAGTGAGCTAGGATCCCACTGGACTCCAGGCTAGGCAACAGAGTGAAGCCCTGTCGCAAAAACAAAAGCAAAACGAACAACAAAAAAATCAGTGTTGATGTACTCCTTTCTGAGTGGTTTCATCTTTCCTGACAATCCCCTATTTAACTCTGAAAAACAGCCATCTACTTATTTGCTTAGGTATTCTTTTTTAAGGAAGATGCAACTTCTATCCAGCCTCCCTCCAGTTCATCCCCATGAAGTGCTGAAGACAAAGCATAGATAGATAAGTTGCAAGAACAACTTTACACAACTGCTAGAGCTTATGGGGAGAGGGGGCAGTGAGATGGAACTGGGCTGGACTCCAGTCCCAGCTCAGTCACTGATAGCAAAATCTGGTATCAAAACCATCAGTTTTGCTATTTCACCTGTCCTTCCTCAGTTTCATCATCTGTAAAATTGTTGACTGAAAGTTGAATGTCTGCTCAATCAAAGGAGTCCCTCAAATCCTTTCCAGCTCCAAAACCTGAGGATCCTGTTTTTCCTGTAAGCCCTCAGGGTGGTGAAAATTCCCAAGCTTACCTCCTGAAAGAGGCAAGCTTGTCAACCCTAGCTGACCCCACTTGAGCCCTCTCCTCAGGAGATGCTCTCTGATGCTTATTCCTTATGTAAGCAGTGCAGCCACCCTAGGGGAGAGGCATTATATTCCCACTTGGCAGACCCAGAAAATGAGACCCAAAGAGGAGAAGTGATTTGCCCGAGCAGGAGAGCATGTCACACGATTCTAGGGGTGCTGCTCACACCCTGGTCAGTGGTGCTCCCTCGGATCGTAATACACCAGCGATTCTCCAACTTGGGTCTTTAAATCACCAGAGGATCTCGTTAAAACAGATTTTGATTCAGTCACTCTGGGGTAGGGCCCAAGAGTCTGTATTTCTAACAAGCTCGCCTGTGATATGTATGCTCCCGGTCTCTGGATCCCACTTTGAATAGCGAGGTAGTGCACAACCTGTACAGCTGCACATGGCAGCTGTACACACAGCTCAAAAGCAGCACAGCGGGGACTTAAATTTAGGTCTTTGGACTCAAAGTCCAGTGTCCTCTATGCTGAGCCAGAATTTTGCAAAAAGCACCTCTACTCTGGGCATATGAGTGCCTGGGGATCTGGAGGAGATTTGATAGGGAAAAAAATATCTTTAGTAAAAGAGAAACAAAGTCCTGCCTTTGCTGACCAAGAGTCCTCAGCCGAGGCCTTCTGGGGCAGGCATAGATAGATGTCTGCATAAGTGGGGAGCCCTGTGGGAACAAGAGGAAATCAAGGGACCCCACACCTAGCCTAGTGGCAACCTGGGGTCCAGAGGAAGGAGGAAAGGCAGCTGGGCTCTTTGTCTGCCGCTCCCAGAGTGGCTAATGAGCAGGGCGTTCTTCCTTGCAGGTGCTGAGAAGTGGGATGAGGCTTGTAAGGAGACAGAGTACCAAGCTGCAGTCTGGGAGGCCTTAATTCCTAGAGTTCTCCCTGCCACAGCTGAGCTGGCTCAGGGCCCATTTCTGTTTGCTTGGAACAGTCTGACATTTTGTAAGGAACCCTTTGCGCGGGGTGCGCCTTCTGGCCTCTCAAGGGTAATTGCCCAAGAGAAGCAGGTGCTCCCCGCTGGGGCTGGAGTTTCCGTTGGGGAAATCAACCTGACATAATGTACTGGGGAAAGCTTTGTACACTATAGAGAGCTATGCAAATACCAGCAGTCCTGGGGTGGAAGGAGGGCCTGCAGCAAGGGGCAGCACTGGAGGACCGCTGGAGGGGCAGCGCTGAAAGATGGGCTTCTGTTGGAGATGCCTGTGAGGCCTTGGGGGAAGTTGGCAGCAGAGAACTGGGCGTTACAAATGGGGGGATGCAAAGGGCAGTGAGCTTGCAGGTGGGAAACTGGGCTTCAGTGCTGGCCCCGCCACTCACCAACTTCAGATAAGTTTCTACAGTACTCTGAGGCTCCATCATCTCCTGTGTCTATGAGGCAATGAAGCAATAGGGGCCATGACATGTCTGCTGTATTATTGTGGGATTTTAGCGTCCTTGGGGGTGCCTGGCACAGTGTATGTTAGTTGACTCACTGAGGTTCGGGGTCATATGTGGCAGACCCCTGAGCACTGAACAGGGGATGTGAACACCTGTTTGGACACAGAATCCTGGACTGGCCTTGATCAAACGCCTTCCTCTCTTGAGGCCTTGGTTTCCCCCATGTGAATAGGAGGAAGAAGTGGAGTGACTGCCCACAAGTGCCCTTCCAGCCCTGGACCTGTGCTCCAGATGGCTGCACGTCCTGGCCAGCAATGCATGAGTTGGGACGTCCACTCTGAGGCTTTGCCTCATCGACAAGGCTGAAGCAGGCAGAGATTTCCAGGTTCGAGGTAAAGGGCCTCAGCCTCAGCTTGGGCAGCTTCCCAGAGCTGATGCAGCTCAGACACATCTTTCCTAGGACATCTTCTTCAGTCAGGGGACTCAGGATGGCCCAGTCACCAGATGCCCAGCTGGACAGAGCAAGACCCTGGCAAGGTCGTGTAGGGACAGCATGCTGAGCCCGATGGCCTTGATCATAGGGCTCTGCCTCACCCTCTCTGCTCCCACACCCTACGCCTCCCATGCAGGAGAACCAGCAGGACACACTGGCTTCTGCATCCTCACCAGCCAGCACCTGCTTCTCCGCATGTTCAAGAAATACAGTGCAACCTGGGGCCTGGAGGAAGGAGGAAAGGCAGCTGAGCCCTTGATCTGCTGCTCCTATCACAGTTCACCAGCTAGAGAAATGTGATGCATGCAAGGATATAAACCAGGCTGATGTGGGCTGCAGGGCTACAGGGCTGCAGGGCCGGAGGGCATGTCCATGCAGAACACCTGTGATTCACCGGTGTGCAAGCTCAGGGGCTCCCGGGAGTAGATGGCAGAGCCAGATCTGCAGCCCTGAGCTGTGTCTTCCTTCTGCCATACCACTCTCTTCTTGAACAGACCAGGTAGCTGCTATTTCAAAATGCAACCATTCCATCTTCTAGTCTAACTCTCCCAGGACAGCCCTTCTGGAATTGGGAGCCGGTGCCCAGAGTCTGCCAGCTGCTGGGATAAACTACCTGAGTTTCTTCAACCACTTTTCCCATGTAGGATTTCTACCCCCCCACCTAGGGTTGGTAGAGTTAGCAAAAAAAAAAAAAAAAAACCCTTTAATTAATTAATACAGGACACCCAGTTAAATTTGAATTTCAGATAAACAACAAATAATTTTTTAATATAAGTAAGTATGTCCCATGAAAAGTTCAACTTTAACTGGGCATCCTCTATTTTATCTAGTGATCTCATCCATATCCCACCCCGATCCCAGCCAAGCCGTCTCTGGGAAAAGCTAGAGAAGGTTTCAGAAGGTCACGGGGCCTCGCATTAGGATCAGGGTGTCTTTAATGGGCAGTCCTCCCCTGTGCACTCCCCTCCCTCTCCACCAGTTGCTGGTTCACGATGAAGCCGCCGATGCCCCTTGCCTGCTCCGGAGGCAGTGCGTTCTCCCCGCAGGGTGATTGTGTTTATTGTCTCTGCACCAAGACAGACCTGGAGTGTGCGGCTGCCCTCTTGACTCCCTGTTCTTGCTATTCATTACCACTGCTCAGCCACTTTGCCTTTGTTGCTGAGCACCTAGAACACAATTTATTTTTCTCTTCCTCCCAAAGTGGGGGTTCTGGGAAGGAAGCCAAGGATTTGAGCCAGGGCCGCCAAAAGACAGAGCTCCGCCTCTGAGACTCCTGCCTGCCACACTGCGCCCAGCCCACGTTCCGGTTTTCACGCCTGCGGAATGGGTGTGACCTGTTCCAGCCAAAGGCAGAGGCTCCCAGACCCTGGAGGGAGCCATCTGTGGAAACAGGAAATGTCCTTGCATTCCAGCCATGGCCCTTGTAGGCGTTTCAGTGCCCCTTATGCCAGTGGGGATGTGATGAAGAGAAGGAAGGTCGGCCAGCGCCTCCACACCACACTGCAGAGGCAAAGGCCTGGGCAGCCCTGGTGTGGTTCATGCTATGTGTCCACTTGACTAGGCCACCATGCCTGTTTCTGGATGAAATTAACACTTGAATCCGTAGACTGAGTAAAGCACAGGGCCCTCCTTCATGTGGGTGGGCTCCATCCAATCAGTTGAAGGTTCGAACAGAATAAACGCCTGAGTAAGAAAGAATTTCCTCTCTGCCTGACTGTCTTCAAGCTGGGATGTCAATCTCTTCCTGCTCCCAGACTCACACTGGAACTCACACCATCAGCTTTTCTGGGTGTGGACTCCTCAGCCCCCATAATCCTGTGAGCCAATTCCTTATAACAAATCTCTCCGTGCATCATGTTGGTTCTGTTTCCCTGGAGGGCTCTGAGTAATACAGGCTTCTTCCTTCCTCTTCCCTGCTCCCCACTGTAAAAGGCAGAGTGTAGGCAGGTGCATGTACACACACCCCCCACACCCCTCCCAGAAGCAGTCAAAGGACAGGTCTCTCCAGGTGCCTCCCTCCGCTGTGCCTGGTCCTGAGGTTGGAGAATATCTTAGCTGAGGTTCCCCTGAGGAAAACTGAGTCTAGATTTATGTGAAAATGATTTCTTAGGGAGAAATCTAAGTGGGAAAGACAGTAGAGGGACAAGGAAGTGGGACGCAAGCAAAGAGAAAGAAGCCAAGCCAGGGTGTGGCATCAAGCCAAGCCACGCGAAGGGCTGCGTGTCTCATACTCCAGGGAGCTGTGGGGACACTTTAGAGGTGCCCCAATCAGGGGCAAGCGGGCAGGGGCAGTTTTACTTCCTTGCCCTCCCCAAATGGAGCACAAAAATGTCCAGGTATTTCCTGTTCTTCACAGGTGCGGGCAGAGTGGTTCTGGCAGCTCAGGGCCATTCTCCAACAGAGACAGCTGACTGTTGGGAGTGAAGGCACAGGGGTGGGTAAAGATAGGGGGTTGGAGGAGACATGAGGATGGAAAGCATGTTGTGGGGGGGCGGTGCTGAGCGTAGGTCTGGAGAGCAAGAGAGGGGCAGGTTGGGGAGGTCTTGTCTTTGGGGGGGCCCACCCCAAGCACACCTCTGTGAGTCTGAGCTTCCCTTGAAAAAAAGCCTCCCTAAAGAAGCAAGTAGCCCGCTGCACCCAAGCCCTACGCACACAGTCTCCAGGCCAAGGCTATTTTTGTTTTCCTCTAATAACAATGAGCACATTGTGCACACTTCCTGACTAATCTGCTCAGTGAGGTTGGGAGGAGGGACGGGGAGGTCCTAGGACAGAGGGCCCATCTTAGGCTGAGAACTAAGCCTGAACCGTCCAGCTAAGTCAGGTGTGGGAAAGACCCCAACTCCCAGGTCCAGCCACTGCCCCTTCCCGCCTACTCAGCACCTGCTTGTCTCATATGGCTGCTCGGGTTCTGCTGTCAGAGCAGAAGCTAAGGACCCGCCAACTCCCTTCGTTGCTTCTTGCAGGTAATAGTTGCTTCCTGAGCACCCACTGTACACCAGATCCCGTGCTAGGCCCTTTGCATGTCAGATTTCATTTTCCCTCATGCTCAGCTCTATGAATAGTGAGTGTGAGCCCATTCATTCAGACAAGGAAGCTGAAGCTTGGAAAGACTAAGTGACTGATCCAAGTGTACGCGGCTGGTCAGTGGTGGGGGCCTGTTCAAATCCAGGCCTGCTGAACCCCACCCCTGGGGTGAGGGTCTTTCTGCACCTCTGAGACCTTGTGCCCAGGAATCCACACTGAAGTCCCTAAGAGGTAGTGGCACCAAGCCAGGGCTGGACGGGTCACTTGGCAGGCCACGTATATGCTTTGGCACCAGCAAAGCAGGGCACGCCCCAAATGAGAAGTTTTGGAGAAATTATCCATTTTTAAAAATCATTGCAGACTCAATGGGAAACCCCAGAATGCTGTAAGACTTCCTGACTCTTATTCTGTGGTTTAGGACTAGCTTTATTTTGATTTGCACATGGTAAGTGGGGGATACTTGATCCTTTTTCAGGCTTAGGGCCCTGAAATAAAGGTTTTCATCTGGCCCTGCCCAACCCTGCAGGGAGGAGCTGCTTCCCATGGCCTCTTTGGCCCCTTTGTTAACTCAGCAAAGATGGATCGTGAACCTTTTATCTGCCAGGACCTGTGTAAGAGGTAGGGACACAGCAGTTTCAGCTTCCCTGCCTGCTCTTGGAGATGACCACATCTATGGACATGCTTCATAAACTGTCAAATGCTGTAATGTGGTGAACTTCTGCTTGATGCTACTGTCATGAAGCTGAAAGCCTTGCCAGGACAGCTGGGAGTCAAGGGATGGCAGTCCAGCTGAGCAGTCACCTTCATTTCCTTCCTTCCTTCCTTCCTTTCTCTTTCATCTTTCTTTCTTTCTCTTTTTTGAGACAGGGTCTCGCTCCGTCACTCAGGCTGGAGGGCAGTGGTCATGGCTCACTGCAGCCTCGATCTCTCTGGGCTCAAGCAATCCTCCCATCTCGGCTTCTCAAGTAGCTAAGACTATAGGTGCATACCACCATGCCCAGCTAATTTTTTTATATTTTGTAGGGATGGGATTACACCATGTTGCTCAGGCTGATCTTGAAATCCTGATCTCAGGTGATCTGCCTGGCCTCGGCCTCTCAAAGTGCTGGGAATACAGGCATGAGCCTCTGTGCCCAGCCGTGTGTGTGTGTGTGTGTGTGTGTGTGTGTGTGTGTGTGTGTGTGTGTGTGTCTTAAAGAACTATCCAGGCTGGGCACAGTGGCTGATGCCTGTAATCCTAGCACTTTGGGAGGCCGAAGTGGGCAGATCACCTGAGGTCAGGAGTTTGAGACCAGCCTGGCCAACATGGAGAAACCCCGTCTCTACTAAAAATACAGAAAATTAGCCAGGCATGGTGGTGCATGCCTGTAATCCCAGCTACCTGGGAGGCTGAGTCAGGAGAATCGCTGGAACCTGGGAGGCAGAGGCTGCAGTGAGCAGAGATTGCACCACTGCGCTCCAGCCTGGCGACAGAGCAAGACTCCGCCTCAAAAAAAAAAAAAAACTACCCAAATTATATATGTTTCAGGCCCCTAAAACCTGAATGCATCCAAGATCATGTTGGAAAGGCTGGCCTGTCTTTCTGGAAGGTTTCTACCAGGGTTTCCCATCATCCTTACCTTTCCTGTTTCCATCACTCACAGAGTGGCTGTTCTGTCATTCCTAGCCCCCCACAGGGGCATCTGCGGGTGTATGGGGCTGCTGCTCCTGCCCTTGGTGGGGCTTGTGACCCTAGATAGTCTTTGAGCTCCCTGAGGGTGGATTCTTCCAAACACTCACTGGAAGGCTCTGCACACAGCATGCCTCAGTGAGCTCTCTTGCCCACACCCCCAACCCTCGGGAGGTAGGCTGGGTACAGGGGCTACCTGGCTGCGCATGGATGATGACTGAAACCTGGCAGTGGGCCTGAACCAGGGCTTCTTTAGGACAGAGACACTCCTCCCCCTTCCAGTGTCCCTGTGGTGGTGGAAGCCACAGTAGCAAGCAAAACCTTTCATATTCCAGGGGCCAGGATGAAAAGGAAACCTCTAAGGCATTTGTATTTGTAAAGCGCAGCTTAAATGCACTGGGGGAGAGGAAGCTGTACTCAGCTAAGAGCTTCTGCATGAGTTGAGTCTCCTCCAGTTTCCAGCCTGACCTCCTGGGGTAGGCCTTGCCAGGTCCCCCTGAGGCCCAAGGCCCCAGCCTCCTGCCTGACCATGCTGGGTTCAGGGTTCTGGTCAGGGTTCAAGTGCTGGGTGGACCCAGGGCAACACTGTGGCCTCCAGCAGCTGCCAGCAGCTCCGGCAGTAGTCCGTCCTTGGGAGTGTGGAGGCTGAGCAGACTGGCTCATTATGGTCTGGTGGGCATCCCTGAGCCAGGGGCTGGCCCAGGAACTTCCCAGAAACACTGGAGCAGATGGGGCTGTTAAAAGGCACGTCCCTGAGCTTTCAGCCCAATTACCTGGGGCGGAAATGCGCTGAGGCCATCTGCAAACTTCTTCAAGATCCAGCCCTGTACTTGCTTGCTTCCTTCCTTCCTGAATAATTGAATAATTCCCTTAAAATTCTGTAGGACCTCCTTCCCTTCCCCCAACACTTCGTGAAAGCAGCAGAAGGGGTTAGTGGGAGCAGGGAGGTGGCCAAGTGAGGGCAGTAGCCCGTGGATTCAGGAGACTGGCTACATGCAAGGGCATTGAGCAATACATAAATATAGCGCGAAGAGTGGGAGCCAGGTTTCTTGTTGTTGGAGAAGGAAGTTGAAAATATGGAAAGGGGAGAAGTTTGAGTGAATCCTATGAGGATGGACTGGAAATAGAGGTATTGATGTGAACTTATGATTTTTAATGTATGGATCTAGAAATAAATATAAATATATGTGTATACACACACACAAATACACACACACATTCCTTGGCTCTGGACACTGAGAAGGTCTGGGAGCAACAAGCCCCCAAAATAAATGAGCAAATCTACAGCCCAGATCTGCCCCCAAATCATTCGCCACTGAAAGGAATCAGGGCTCCTTGGAGAAATGACTGATTCCAGGGCTGGGGCAGGGGAAATAGAGCACTTGAAACATCTTGTTGTTTCAGACAGAAAGTGCTCAAAGAATGATGGGGACATGTCGAAAGCACATAAGATAATATCCAGAATATATAAAGAACTCCTGTGTCCAACAACAGAAGAAACAACCCAATTAAAAAGGACTTCAATAGACGTTTCTCCAAAGAAGATATACAAATGGCTGATAAGAACATGAAAAACGATCACCATTGCTAATCACTAGAGAAATGTAAAGCAAACCCATAATGAGATGCCGCCTCACACCCATTAGGATGGCTACTATCAAAGAAAGAAAATAAGCATGGGTGATGATGTGAGAAATTGGAACCCTTGGGCACTGGGTTGGTAGGAATATAAAATAGTGCAGTTGCTGTGGAAAACCGTATGGCAGATCCTCAAAAAATTAAAAGTAGAATTACCATATGATCCAGCAAGTCCACTTCTGGGTATACATCCAAAAGCATTGAAAGCAGGGACTTGAAGAAATATCTGTACACTCATGTTTATAGCAGCATTATTCACAAGAGCCAAAATGTGGAAGCAGCCCAAGTGTCCCATCAACAGATGAATGGATAAACAAACTGTGGTATAACCATACTGTGGAATATTACTCAGTCTTAAACAGGAAGGAAATTCTGACACATGCTACAGCTTGGATAAAACTTGAAGACATTATGTTATGTGAAATAAGCCAGTCACAAAAGGACAAATACTATATGATTCTACTTATTTGAAGTACATAGAGCAGTCAAATTCACGGGCACAGAAAGTAGAATGGTGGTTGCCAGGGGGTGGGGGGAGGAGGCATTGTTTAATGGGTACAGAATTTCAAGTTTGTCAGATGAAGAGCCCTGGAGATGAATGGTGGTGATGGTTGCACAACAATGAGAATGTCCTTAATGCCATTGAATGGTACACTAAAGCTGTTAAGATGGTACATTTTATGTGTATTTTACCACAATTTAAAAAATAAAAATGTAAAATTAAAGAAAAAAAAGGACACAACAGCCAACTTGAAGAGGCTCCCAATGGCCACATCAGGGACAATTTGAGCATCAAAATGATGATCTGTGAGTTAATATTAACACAAGTAAGTATATGAATAAAAAATAGGGAGAAGAGAAACTCTTACTTAAAGTAGAATGCAAACTAATAAATGTAGAAGGGATAATGGAATTAGGAAATCACATTTTGCAAGCACTGTAGAAATATTTGATTTAGTCAAGAATCATTAATGGATACTAAACCTACTGGGTAAATTTTTGATGAGAAACAGGATATTTACCTAATTTCAAACTTACTCTATATAAAATATTAATTAATTAATTATAAGTTAATTAATAAGTATAATATACTCATTAATTTAACACTGGTGAAGCCTGGTAGATACCATCTTAGCCAAGGAATAAAAGTTAGTATCTCCAGTAATGGGGCAAACTGACCACGAATAACCTGACAGGATGCAATGCAAAGAACACAGCATTACTTTTGTACATTCCTGCCCAAAACACGTTAACATCAGAGCAACTTAAATTGTGAGCCATTCTACAAAATGACCAGCCTGTAACTGTTCTAGGTGTCAAGGTCATCAAAGTAAAGATGAAGGAACTGTCTAGGACTGAAGGAGAGTAAAGACATTTGACAATTAAATCAACATGTAATCATGGATAGGACCCTTTCGATATAAAGGACATTATTGGGATAATAATGAAATTGGGATGGAGTCTAAAGATTAGACGGGAGTAAGAGAGCATCCTACCTTCACTGGCTGCAATGAGGTTTGGGAGAGTGTATCTGCTTAAACTTCTTCTCAAATGGTTCAGAAAAAAATAATTCCTGTCTCTTTCTCTTTCTCTCTGTCCTTCTATCAATGCCTCTACCCTATGACCCACTCCTGGGGACAGAGCCAATAGAAAGAAGTGCTTATGTTTGCCAAAAGTCATGTAGAAGAGTATTTATAGCAGCTGTGTCATAGCCCTCAATTAGAAACTACCTGCATCAGTCCGCCTGGGCCACCTTAACAGAATGCCACAGGCTGGGTGGCCTAAACAACAGACATTTATTTCTCATAGTTCTGGCGGCTGGAAGTCCAAGATCAAGGTGCCGACCGGGTTGGCTTCTGGTGAGTCCTCTCTCTCTGGCTTGCAGATAGCTGCTTTCTCACTGTGTCCTCAAATGGCCCACTTGGTGTCTCTTTCTCTTCTTATAAGGACACCAGTTCTATTAGACCAGGGCCCCACCCTTATGACCTCATTTAACCTTCACTACCTCCTTTTTTTTTTTTTTGATGGAGTCTCGCTCTGTCGCCAGGCTGGAGTGCAGTGGTGCAATCTTGACTCACGGCAACCTCCACCTCCCGGGTTCAAGCGATTCTCCTGCCTCAGTCTCCCAAGTAGCTGGGACTACAGGCATGCGCCACCATGCCCAGCTAATTTTTGTATTTTCAGTAGAGACGGCGTTTCACCATATTGGTCAGGATGGTCTCGATCTCTTGACCTTGTGATCTGCCCACCTCGGCCTCCCAAAGTGCTGGGATTACAAGCGTGAGCCACCACACTCAGCCTTTTTTCCTACTGTCTACATAATTGCAAAGTTTAATTACTTCCTTAATGGTCCTGTCTCCAAATACAGACACATTAGGGGTTAGGACTTTATTCCATAAAATCTGTGGACACAATTTAGTCCACAACACTACTCAAATGCCCATCACCAGTAGAATGCATAAACAGTGGTGTATCTATACAATGGAAGATTCCACAGCAGACAGCATGAATTAATTATTAATACACGCAACAATGTGGGTGAATTTCACAGACATAATCTTAAGCAAAATAATCCAGGCACAAAAGAACATATACTATATAATTTCATTTCTATGAAGGTCAAGAACAGGCAAAACTAAGCTATACCAAAGTCGATTTAATGATAGGTGGGTACTGCCAGAAAGGCACATAAAGAAGATCTCGGAGATACTGAAATGGATAGTGGCTACACACATGTTTGCATATATAAAAATCATTCAAGCTGTACATGTAAGATGTGGATGGTTTACTCTATAAAAGTTACACCTCCTGTTTCAAAAAGTGAAGTGTGGAGTGAAGTGTTGAAGGGAACAGCATGAACTGAAATAAGGTTAGTGTGTATGCCATGGAGAAGGATGAGGTGTGGGAAGAGGCTAGGGAGGGAGGCAGGCCCTGATACTAGACCTTTGTGGAATTTGGATTTTGGGGGAAAATGGGAAGCTGTGGAAGCTATAGAAGGGGTCTAAGAGGGAAGCGACATAATCACATTGCATTGTACAAAGGCCTCTCTGGCTACAGAGGGCGCAGCAGCTTAGAGGGGCCCGAGTCGGGGCAGGCAGACCAGTCATGAGGCTGCTGTGGTCCCAGCTCGGGGTGGCGGTGGCTTGACTCTGCATGTGCTGTGGGGATGCAGAGCAGCAGGCAGCTTTGCAGAATTGTCAGGTTGATGATAAATCGTAGGTGGGGCAAGGGATATACAAGGAGTCCTAGAAATGTCCAGGTTTTTTCCTTGAGTGACTGGGCAGATTGTGAAGCATTTCCTGAGATGGGGAATATTGGAGGGGAGGAGGTTTTGGGGACAGTGGAGGAGGATGTGGCTTGGTCATGGTTGGGTTGAGTTTGAGATCCCCATGGAAGCAGTAGGAAATAAATCAGGAGAACCCAAAGACAATGGGCTTGAATGCCTGCCCTAGGGGCAAGACGGGTACACAAATGAGGGGAGTGGCCAGTGGGTACAATAGACAGTGGTGGAGACTGTGGAAAAGGGGGAGTGTATGTCTTTTGTGAAGGAGGCAGCCGCCAGCTAAAGCTGATTTAGGATAAACGCCCAGCAGTACTGGCCTTCCAAGTGTTCAAGAGAGGGTGGAAGTCTGGATTTCGATATGAAATCTGCTGTTTTTTTTAAAAAAAGTTATCTTATTTTTAAATATTTATTTATTTATTTATTTGAGGCTGGGCTGTGAGACTGGCTAAGTTTTGTATTTTTGGTAGAGATAGGGTTTCCCCATGTTGCACAGGCTGGTCTTGAAGTCCTGGGCTCAAGCGATCCTCCTACCTGCTGCCTCCCAAAGTGCTTGGATTACAGGCATGAGCCACCATGCCTCGCCTGAAAACTGCTGATTAAAAAAATATATTTTTTAAATGGAAGGATACATGCAGAAAAACATAAATGTTAAGCACACAGCTTGAAGGGTGATCACGAAGTGAATTCACTCATGCTGATTTTCAAAACACTCCAAACATTGTAGGCCAAACAGAACATACCTGCATGAACATGGGGCCACCATTTGGGAAACCTGAGACAGAGGTTTGAGAAGGAATGTGGCTGGCCTTGGGGGCAGGGTTGTGGGTGAGACAGAAGGAGCAAGTGGATAGTGAGGGGGAAAGAGTGGCAGTGGATCTGTGAGCAAGGCCAGATCCGATTCAAAGGTGTGGGGAGAAGAGGAGCCTGCAAGGGTCCCATGACACCCTCCAGGGGCCCTTAGTCTCTAGTGGGCTGATGCTGCAAGTTGCAGATGTGGAGTTGGGCCACCCAGGGAGGCATCAAGGAGGAGGTGGTCTCACACACAGAGGGGGAAAGCCTAAAGTTCCCTTAGGATCCCCTAGACACTGGGCAAGGTATAAATACTGCTCGAGGGGAATTGGATTAGAGAAATTGATGGTGCTCTGATTTCATTTTCTCTCTTGATGAAAAATGTATGACTTTTACACCGTGGCAAAACAAGAAGCACACGGCTGGCCATGGTGAATGGCCAGCACAGTCATCGCTGGCAACGATGGCATGCATAGTCAAGGTTGTGAACTTTTGCCAGCTCACCATTTCTCACAGTTAAGATAGTTATTTGAGCCGGGTGCAGTGACTCCCACCTGTAAGTCCTGGCTACTCGGGAGACTGAGGTGGGAGGATATCTTGAGTCCAGGAGTTCAAGGCTGCAATGAGCCATGATCAAGTTGCTGCACTTCAGCTTGGGCAACAGAGCAAGACCCTGTGTTTGAAAAAGAAACAAAGATATTTTTCTCCTCTAGGATGCGATGAGGTCACACATCCTCCACTGTACCACCCCACCATGTGTGTCCCACTTGGGGCTCCAAGACCCAGACCCTCCCCAAAAGACAAACAAACCAACCAGCTCAACATGACCATCCCCCTCAAGAGTCCCCAGGGGAGATGTCTGAGTGGTGAGAAGGGCACTGAACTCCACCCCGAGGCTTTGCGAAGAGGGGAAGGCTAAGCTGAGACTTAAACAGAACTTCCCAGGGGAAGAAGGGGAGTGGGGTGTGGGCATTCCGGGAAAAGGGGACAGCAAGCGCGTAGGCTAGAAGTGAGACACAGCCTGGTTGTGTGAGACACAACGGGCAGCTGAGCTAAGGGTGTGCGACACTAAATAAGGGGACTAAGGCCAGGTGCCAGGCAGGGGCACTGCTGCAGGACCAGCAGGGTGGAGGCTGCTGTGATAGGCCGATAACCTGTCCCCATCGCCTCCCCGCAGCATGGTGGCCTCACCGTCCCGCACATGTCAGTCCCTCGTCCAGACCCCTGCTCGAGCCAGTCTTGGCACCTGGAGTTCCCTTCCCCTCCACCAATGCTCACCTTGGTCCTAGAAGACCTAGGCTCCTTGAGGCCCTGGCCAGGCCCACTTGCCTGTCTGAATCCCTGTGGGGATCCACGGGCATCCCTATCACTTAGCCTACTCCCATCCCTGCGGAGACCATCAGGGGTTGCCCCAAGCCTCTGTCAACTCTATCACATTGCAGAGGTCTTAATCCTCTACAATGTCTGTTTTTCTTTGTAGCCACTGAGGATCTCGTGGTCTACATGGGTTTCATCCACATCTGTGTTCCCAGTGCCCAGCACAGAGCAAGTCCCATAGCAGGTATTTACTGAATGCTTGTTGAATGGATGGTGAACGAGTCAACCCTTTGCATGACATGGCATCCACTGTCTGTGACCTGGAGATAGTGATGAGAATATTGCTTCACAAATGGCAGTTCGAGGGATTCTATGGCAGTATTTTATTTAAAAGCATAAATGCTGCTGAATGGATGCCGTGCTTCTGCTTGTCAGGGAGAGGAAAACAGAGGATTCCAGAAAATTGTCTCTAATTTGAGCACAATTTCACTCTTTCTGTTGACATCTCCTGGTGTACTTTGAAAAGACTGCAATTCTGTACCTTTAGCCAGGAACATCCAGTCGGGGAGATCACCAGAGCAGCTCTGTGGGCGACGGCATTTGAGGCCCAGGCCTCAGAGCTGCATGTCATGGGGCAAATGGGCACTGGGCTCAGACGACCCTTCCCCTCCCACCCAGCTTCCTGGAGACACTTCGCATACACTGTGCCTGGGGCAGCAGAAAACGCTCAGGTTCTGCAAACAGACTCACTTACTATGTGGATAATTTAGTCTGCCCAAGCCTCCCTTTCTTCTTCTGTAAAATGGGGAGAATGCCTTCCTAATAGGGTTGCTACAAACAGTAAATGAAATATTGAATGTCGGATACTTAATATAATGCCTGTCATTAGCAGATGTTAAAAAAAAATCCCTCCCCACCTATCCCTGTGTTCACTCTCATCAACACTAGCCTGGCCCCTGCCTCTGGAAACAAACCTCTCTAAGGGTCTTGGGCTGAGCAGCTGATCCCATCAAGGATGGAGCTGGCACCCAGAGTTTTCACTTTGTGAGGATTTCTTGGAGCAGGAAAAGTCTTTGGTTCAATAAGGAAGAGAGTTCAAATAGTGGAAGGCGGTGGGGGAGCCGATAGGGGAGGCTCTGTGAGCTGGGGACCTTCTAAAGGTGAGCATCTGTGATCAGCTGTGATTCTACCACGCCTGCACCAACCCCTCTCATAAACACCAGTGGTCATTATGCACTGGATAAAATCCCAGCCTTTCAGCCAAGTTTTCAAGCCTTGGTGATCTAGCCCACCTGCCTTCATTCATTCACTCCACGAACATGCCCCAGGTCCCCATCTCCACAACTGTACACAGGCTGGTCCCTGGACCTGCTACACCTTCCCTCACTCTTACCTACATTACTCACCAGCCCTTCATGTTAGAAACCATCTGTGCCCCTCCAGAACTTGGTCCACAGTTGTTTATGCTTGTGCCTTAGCTTCCGCATGGGCTCTAGGCATCTGTAGTCAGGGTCCACAACCGAGCCATCCTGAGGACACTCAGGCGGAGCCTTGCCTCTCGCTTTGCACCACACCACGGCTCAGCGTCTTCTTGGAGTGAATAAGGGACTGGGCTTCTCTACACTCAAGTCATTCCCATCTCAGAACAGTCCAGGTGCACTGAAGGAGGGAAAGCTGGGAGCACACTCCTCCCACAGGCTGTCCAAAGGGATTTGAGAGTTCCTTTGGGGGTGCTGTACTTTCTTTGCCACATAGGCATGTGGCAGCTATTTGCATGACTATCTGGCATCCTAAGTACACAAAGATGGTTTGTCTATTTCCCATCTGCTAACCTGCTTGGATGACCTCCTCCTCAGCACAGCACACAAGAGCACTAAAGTGCCCCAGGGATGCTGCAGGCAATGTCTATACCCCATTTCCTTTTAGAAACCAGCCCGGGTCACGCAGCAATAGAGCAAGCCAAATGCAAATGGCCACCTCCTGGGTCCATCCATTGTCCCTTCTGGCCTAGATCCTGCCTCAGTGATATAGAAAAAAGATGAAGGTGATCTGGAAGAGGAAGCCCTGAGATGCTGTCAAAGGAAGAAAAAGATCCAGGGTAGAAGTAGGGGAGACGACTGGCATGTGGGCAACAAACCCTGTCTTCTAAAAACACCTGTGCCCTTGAAGTAGGGAGACAAGCCCGGAAGAAAGTCCTGGAGCTCCACCAACTCCAACGCCAGTGTGCGCCTACTGCAAACGCAGGCCAAGGGTTATTGTTCCCACTTACAGATGAGAAAACTTAGATAGATCATGCTATGGTCTGAATGCTGGTGTCCCTCCAATATTCACATGTTAGAACTTGATCCCCAGTGTGATAGTATTAAGAGGTGGGGCCTTTTGGAAGTAATCGAGTCCTGAAGGCTCTGCCCTTATGAATGGGATTATGTCCTTATAAAAGAGGCTCAAGTGAGCTCCCTGGCCTCTTCTGCCACATAAGAACACAGCAACGAGACGCCATCTATGGAGCAGAAGGCAAACCCTTACCAGACACCACATCTGCTGGGGCCTTGATCTTGGACTTCCCAGCTTTCAGAACTGCAAGCAAAAAAATTCTGTTGTTTATAAATTACCCAATCTAAAGTATTTTGTTGTCATGGCAGGAAAGGACTGACAGGTCAGTGTCACATAACTCACCCAATCAGAGTGGGCAGGGTAAGGTCTTCTGATTCCAAGGCCAGAGCCAAGGGGACTAGTTTGTTAGTGATCCTGGGAAGAAGTGCTATTTGCTTATCCAGGAAATACAGATTAAAACCCCAGTACATGGGGCCAGGCACGGTGGCTCATGCCTGTAATCCCAGCACTTTGGGAGGCCAAGGCGGGTGGATCACAGGGTCAGGAGATTGAGATCATCCTGGCTAACATGGTGAAACCCCGTCTCTACTAAAACTACAAAAAATTAGCCGGGTGCGGTGGTGGGCGCCTGTAGTCCCAGCTACTCAGGAGGCTGAGGCAGGAGAATGGCATGAACCTGGGAGTTGGAGGTTGCAGTGAGCCGAGATCGCGCCACTGCACTCCATCCTGGGTGACAGAGCGAGATTCCGTCTCAAAAAGTAAAAATAAATAAATAAATAAATAAATAAATAAATAAATAAAACCCCAGTACAACACATACCCTCAGGATGGCTAAAATGAGTAAGAGAGATTTTAAAAATTTGGTGTTGGTGAGGATGTGCAGCAACTGTAACTGTGCTTTACATGGCTGGTAAGAATGCAAACTGGCATATCAACACTTTGCAAAAGCATCTAAAGACGCCTACCAAAGCTAACCATATGCAGACCCTATAACCCAGCAATTACATTTCTAGGTACCAAAAGCATTCCAGATACTAGAATTTTCATAGCACTAACTATAAAGCCAAAAAGCTGGAAATACCCAAATACCCATAAAAAACATAGGGTTTGGTTTGGTGGTTTTATTTTTTTTTGGTTTTTGTTTGTTTGTTTTGTTTTTTTGAGAGGGAGTCTCACTCTGTCGCCAGGCTGGAGTGCAGTGGTGTGATCTCAGCTCACTGCAACCTCCGACTCCCTGGTTCAAGTGATTCTCCTGCCTCAGCCTTCCAAGTAGCTGGGATTACAGGCACGCACCACCAAGCCCAGCTAATTTTTGTATTTTTAGTAGAGACGGGGTTTCACTATGTTGTCCAGGATGGTCTTGATCTCCTGACCTCGTGATCCGCCCGCCTCGGCCTCCCAAAGTGCTGGGATTACAGGAGTGAGCCACTGAGCCCAGCCAGAAAAACATAGTTGATAAAAATATCGTGGTATAAGGCCGGGAGTGGTGGCTCACGCCTGTAATCCCAAAACTTTGGGAGGCCAAGGCGGGTGGATCACGAGGTCAAGAGATCGAGACCATCCTGGCCAACGTGGTGAAACCTCGTCTCTACTAAAATTACAAAATAACTGGGCATGGTGGTGTGCGCCTATAGTCCCAGCTACTCGGGAGGCTGAGGCAGGAGAATCACTTGAACCTGGAAGACAGAGGTTGCAGTGAGTCGAGATCACGCCGCTGCACTCCAGCATGGAGGACAAAGTGGGACTCTGTCTCAAAAAAATAAAAAAATAAATAATATATATATAGTCATATAATTATAGAATATGAATGAGCAAGCTATAATTACACATAGCCATGGATAAATGTCACAAACATAATGCTGAGCAAAATGAGTCAGACACCAAAGAGCAAATATTATATGAACCCATTTACACAGTTTTCAAACCAGACATTCATCAATGGTGTTACAAGTCAGGATAGCGGCGTCCCTTAATGTGGGTAGGGACAAGAAAGGATTTCGGTGGTGCTGGTTGCATGAGGGTGCTACAGTTATGTGGTGGTGGTTACATTTTTCACGAAGTGAAAAATCATCAAGCCATACGCTTATGACTTGTACATTATGATTTCGGTATGTATGCTATTCTTCAATAAAAATGTAAGCTTACAAAAATTAAGGACAATCTCTACTAACTGAGAGAGAGTGAATCCAGGATGTATTGTTAAGTTTAAAATAGTAAAGTGCAAAACTATAACTCTAGAATGCTACTTTGTGTGTAAGAAAGAAGGGGAAATAAGAAATTATTACCCTTTTATATATTATGGAAGGGGGAATATATAAATTTATATTATATATTTATAATATATTATATTATATTATAGAAGATTATTTTTGCAAAAAGAAACACAGGAAGGATAAACGAATGAGATCAGTTACCTACAGAGGTAGGGTGGGAATGGGGTGGAAGGGATATGAGCAGAGAGCTATTTTTTCTGAGTATAAATGTTTTGTATAGTGTTGGCTTTCAGAACCACATCAGTGCTTTACCTGTTCAAACAACAACAATAATAAAGGATGGGGGAAGTCTCTAAAATGTAATACAATCAGAAACAAACAAACCTAATGCATTTCAAATGAATAACAACCACACTAAAAGGAGGGGAAAATCTGACCCAAGGGCATTTTGAACACAGTATTTTACTATATACGCCCAGACAAAAGATAAAAAAGATCTGCAAAAATGTCAGACTCTAGTTAGCAGGTTTGTTTTTTGCAGCGGTATGGTTTAGCCATTCTGAAACTTCTAGGCTTCGGCATATGAGTAAATATAATGACAATCACGGGGTCCAAGTTTCTCACTGTTGAAGAAGTGAGTTACAGGTATTGGAAGGGAGAAGACAAAAATGTACCCTTAGGTATTAAATTGAAATTGGAGGTAACCATACAAGCACATGGCTTTATATAGAGATGTTAATATAGATATGGTCATGGATATTCTACCTCCCAGATCATTCTCTCCTAAAATAAATAAGGGATCGTTGGAGAAATAGCTGATTTCCAGGACAAGTACGTGATGAACCTGAAAGTAAGAAAATGCTCAAAGAATGATGGGGAAATGTCAAAAAGACACAGGGGCCAGCTTGAAGGAGCTCCCACTGGCCAAACCTGGAACAATTTGAGCACCAAAATGAATAATGATAAGAATGAATTACAACCCACTGAATAAAATAAGAATCCCTGAGTCCATACAGAGATAACATAATAAGTATAAATAAATACATGAGGAAAAGAAAAAGCTCTTCTGTATAGTAAAATTCAAACTAATAAAGAGGAAATTCTGAGGTTAGAAAATTACATTTGACCAGCATCATAGTAATAATTGATTCAGGCAAGAATCATCAATAGATCCTGAAATTAGTGGGTGAAAAATCTGACAAAGAACTGGATATGTATATGGTCTAAAGGTAACTCACCACAAAGTACTTTTTTTTTTTGTTTGAGAGAGAGAGACAGGGTCTCACTCCTGTTGGCCAGGCTGGCATGCAGTGTGGCACAATCACAGCTCATTACAGCCTCAAACTTCTGGTGGACCCAAATGATCCTCCCACCTCAGCCTCCAGAGTAGCTGGGACTACAGGTGCATGCTACCACACCTGGCTAATATATACCTATACATATATATGATATATATAATCATATGTAAGTTATATACATCATATCATATATGTAGATATATGACATATATATAGATATATGAGACTTATCATATATGTACATATGAGATATATATTTTATATATATATATATGACTGGGTCTCACTATGTTGCCCAGGCTGCCCACAAAATATTTATTAAATAGAAATGGAAAAATAGTAACTTTATAGTGCTAGACCACACCTTAACCTGTGATCCAAATTAGTATAACTAGTAATAGGTCAAATAGACATCATGTACCTCCTGAGATGATGCACGAAGAAGGACACAACTTCACTTCTGTGATAATCCTGCAAAAATCAACAACCTGCATTTAATCATGAGGATACATCAGACAAACCCAAACTAAAGACTATTTATGTATTTATTCATTTATTTGAGACACAGTCTCTCTCTGTGGCCCAGGCTGGAGTGCAGTGGTGCGATCTTGGCTCACTGCAGGCTCCGCCTCCCAAGTTCAGGCCATTCTCCTGCCTCAGCCTCCTGAGTACCTGGGACTAAAGGCGCTCGCCACCACATCCGGCTAATTTTTTTTTTTTTTTTTTTTTTTTAGTAGAGATGGGGTTTCACCGTGTTAGCCAGGATGGTCTTGATCTCCTGACCTTGTGATCTGCCCGCCTCGGCCTCCCAAAGTGCTGGGATTACAGGCATGAGCCACCATGCCCAGCCAAGAACATTTATTAAAATAACTGGCCCACACTCTTCAAAAATGCCAAGCACATGAAAGACAAAGAAAGGCTGAGGAACAATTCCAAATTAAATATGACTAACAAGACATGACAAGTAAATGCAACCTGGGATCCTGGATCAAATCCTGGACCAAAAAAAAATTAATAAAGGATATTCTTTGAACAATTGGCAAAATTTGAATAAGAAGGCATATAGATCAGAAAATATTATTATTAATGTTAATATCCTGATTTTGATAACAAAGACAAGAAAATAACCTTATTCTTAGGAAATACACACAACTATTTTGAGCAAAAGGGCTATGATATCTGTAACTTACTTTTGAAAGGCTCAGAAAACAATGATATGTAGGACATATACATAATGTATGTATAATTATATATGCATGAAGAGAGAGACAGGGAGACAGACAGAGAGAAAGGATGATAAACCAATTGTGGTAAAATGCTAGTTGTTGGGGGATTTGGGTGAAGGGTAAATGTGAATTCTTTGCGCTGGTCTTGCAACTTTTCTGTAAGTGTGCAATGATTCCAAAATAAAGATTTAACTAACTGACTAAAAAAATTCCATGCTTATTTTTATTATTTACATACTAGATAAAATTGACATGCAACCTTAAGTGTACAGTTAAATGGGTTTTGACAATTGACTATGTATCTATCATCCAAATCAAGATACAGAACACTTCTTTCATATCATTCCAGAAAGTTCTCTCACGTGTTCTTCCTCTCACCCCCTCCTTCCTCCCCATCTGACCTCTATCACCAAGATCCATTCTGCTGCCTGTTCTGGATTTTCACATGGTTGGAATTGTGTAGAATGTATTCTTTTGTGCCTGGCTCCGTTCCCTCAGGTTAGTGATTTTGAGATTTATCTAGTTAGTTGCGTGTATCAATAGTTCATGCTTTTGTATGGCTGAGTAGTATTTCATCGCACCAATGTACCACAGGAATCCAGGCACCTGCTGATGGACATCGGGTTGTTTCCAGTTCTGGGTCACTATGAACCAGCCTGCTGTGGGTGTTCTGACGAGTCTGTGTGTGAACTGGTTTTCGTGGCACCACTTGCCTCCCTCCCTCGGACATGCCACCTTCCCCTTGACCTCACTATGCACACATGCAGGTGCCACAGGGCCATGGGCTTTATGGATACCAAAAAAGCTTGCTGACTCAAATGATCTCTTCTGTGAATGCCTGAAACTCCACCACTGGCTGTCCCTTCTTTTGAGGCTACCCTCACTCTGGATGGTCTGCAATTTTATCAGAAGGAAGCTTACAAAATACCTTTCTTCTGGCCAGGTTGGGCCCTGGATAGGGCTATGGAAAGTGAGTGAAAGGAATGGAGAGAAACTTCTCCCATTCTACTATTTTCTGGGTGGCGTATCCTCTCTTGCCTTCTCTGTGTCCTCCCTAACAGTTCGTACCTGGGGTCAGACACCCCAAACTAGTCAGTGTAGGAGCTTGGCAGCCTAGGCCTGTCTATCTCCAATACTCAGCAGTTCTCCTGGAAGGAGGGAGGGAGGACCACGGGGAGTCTCCGTATCTCTGAATCTACAAGGATTCCTGGAGGCTCGGGGGTGAGGGTAATGAGGGGTGTGTGTGCTGCAGAGAGTTGAGCGACAGCCACACACAGGGATGGATCTGCTGGCCTCATGGGAGAAGCCTCTCTCTGGATCAGTGGAATAAGCCAATTTGTGCCCCAACCACTTTCCCCGCCCCGAGGAAAGAATCAGCAGGCTTTGTGTAAAGGGATTAAGGCATTAGCCTGCTCAGCAGGGAGAAGGGCTCTTGACTCTGTGGCAGTGTGGCCACGTTTCCATGTGTCCATGTGTCCATGTGGGCTGCTGTAGGCCCTGGCTCACTGGTCCCAGGACCTGTGGCTAAAAGGAGGCATTGCTGGAGGCCTCTCTTGAGAGGTGGGTACGTGGGCCATGCTGCCTATGCCCTCCTCAGGTCCCCAGAAGGAGCACTTCCAAGGGGTGCTGAGTCGGGGGAGGTGGGCAGGAAAAGATGCCAGGGAAAGTTCTGAGCCCAGGTAGGAGTGACAGTGATGTGTGGTGGAGATCCTACAGCCAAACGAGGAGCAGTTAACAATGCCACTTCAAAAACAGCGCCTGAGGCTCAGAAAGAAGGTGTATCTTGCCAACCATCACACAGCAAGTCACCAGCAGAGCTGAGACCAGAACCCAAGCTCCTGGTCCAGGGCTCAGTCATTGATTGTTCCAGCCACACGTGGCTGGTGCCAGGGGCCCGTCCGGTCTACTCCCTGCGGTGACTCTTTCTCCTGCCTCCCAACTCCAGAAAAGGATCCTGCTGGGGAGCCTGGGGTGAGATCCCAAGAGCCTTTCCGTGTGGACGTGGACATAGTGGGGTAGGTCGAGAGACCAAAGCAGGATTCTAACAGGCCTGGACATATGTCATGGGCCATCAAGACCATCTGCATGAAGGTCTTTTGCTACAGAAGTGAGGTGGCTTTTTGCAGCTGCTCAGGAGAACAATCTGGCGTAGAAGTGGGAAGGTAAGTCTGGGTCTTTCTGGAGTACGATTGGCCCTTGACCAGTCTCAGGGACGTGTGTCCAGGCCCTGTGAGGAGAGGGACCACAGGCAGAAGGGGCAGGAGTGTTGGAGCCAGCCAATGGAGCTTTGAGTCCTAGGTGGGGTGTGGTTCCCAGTGGAGGCCTTCCCCCATCTTCTCAGAACCCAGCATGGCTTCAGCACTGTGTGGATGACAGGGAGCTGACTTTGTAACTTTGGAGGAGATTGGGAAACAAGGCCCTTTGGGCAGAGGACATCACAAGGGGCCCAGAGATGGAGAGGAACAAATCCTGCGGCTCTGCCTGCTCCCTGTCCCCTGCACTTCACTTCCCCTCACCTGCCCAAAGACAGATCCAAGCTAGAGGCCTGGTCAGGCCCTGGAGAAAAGCTGGGGGGTTCGGGAGGAGAGGGTGGAGCAAGATTGGCCCACACTACATTGCCTTCCCCGCATCCTCGCTTGCACCTGCCAGGGCCTGCATGAGCCTCCTCAAGGGCCTGGGCTCAGGACCCCAGAGCCAGCAAGGAGCCCTGCGCTCCATTTCTGTGTGGCTGGCCTGGGAAAGGCCTCTGTCTCCTCCGCTGTAAAATGGCATGTGGAGGGGGAGAGGGAGGCCAGGACTACGCCCACGTGGGTCCCTCCTCATAGACCCAGCCTGCCTTCCCAGCTCGAGCCCCTGAGACAGCCCCCATTCGTCTCCCCTTTTCAGCGGACCACCTCGTTCCACGTTCTAAGATCAAACTCTTGGTACTTGGGAAGGACCTTAGAAAGCAGCTGATGTGCCGTGTCTGTTGTTCAGATGGGGACAGTGAAGCACAGGGAGGTTTGGCCTTGCCCCTCTAGGGAGTCTGTAGCAGCGCTAAGACCAGGGCCCTGTGCTCTGGTGTCAGGCCTGCTCTCCCCTACCCCTTGGCGCTTCTGAGCAGGAGGCAGACAGCATTTTCTCTGATCTGAGCAGGGGGCGTGGGGGTGGGGGTGGCTGCCTCCTCCCTCAGGGGCCCCAGGCTAGTCCAGACAGGCTCGGCAGGAATCTGCTCTGGTTGGAGCCGCCTCCCTGAGGGCTGCCCCAGGCGGGGCCCGGGGCCTCGAGGTCCTGGGGACGTGCTTTCTGTTTACTTTCTGCCGGGCTTCCACAGCGTTGTGGTTTCCACTTGGAAGGGCTGCAGTGGGAACTGAGGGGCCTGCTCCGGGGGCTGAGCTGCATCTGTGGGAAAGCCCTGCAGCCGCTCTGCTGCTGAAAGTTTGGAATTCAGCAGACCCCATCCCTGAATTCCCATGCGGTGGGCTCAGCCCTGGCTCTTCCAGCTACTGGCTCTACCCGGGCCAGTTTAGAGTGAGAGGGTGGCCAGATCCTCCTGGGGGTGAGTCAGAGAGATCTTCCCATTTAGAGAGGATCATCACCTATTTCACAAACAGGGAAACTGAGGGAGGAGAGGGGCAGGAACTTGTCCAAGGCCACTCCTCGTCCATGGCAGAGCTGGGACTGGAACGAGGCCACCTGGTTCCCAGCCCAACTTGAAATCCCCTCATCCCTTTGGGCTTCTCTGGGGTAGGGTGGACACTCCGGGATTCCTGAAGCCCTTAGTTTCCCATGACTTCCCTCTGGGCTGGGGCATGGTGTGTATCCTGGAAGGGGCCTGGCCTTCCCCACTGTGCCCTGGCCACGACCCCGGCCCTGGGCAGAAGGGAAGCTGGGAAGAGGCTGCCCTCTGCTCTTGTTCTCCCTGGGGTCTCCTTGGCCTGTCTGCTGGGGGAGCCCCCCCAGTCCCTGAGAATGTGACCCGCTGCTGAGAGGCCTATAAGTCTCCTCCCCATGCGGGCTCTGCAGTGCCCAGGTCTGGGAACCAGAACTTGGATTTGAATTCCAGTTCCTCTGTCTATTGGCTGAGGGACCTGAATTTCCTAGTCTTTAAAACAGACGTATACCACTCCCCGCCTTACAGAGGATAATGGGAGTGAAGTGCCAGGTGAGCTGTGAGGGGCTCAGCCTACACACTAGACTTGAGGCCATTGGCCACCGGCCTGCTCACAGCAACAGCTAGGAAGGGGCTGAAGTCCCATCTTGCCTAGACAGGCCTGCCACCACTAGGGCTGTGGCAGAGGCCCCCAGAAGGTGGGGAGGAGGGCGGTGACAGTGCCAAGCCCTCCCTGCAGAGTTCTTGCCTTCTCTGGGGAGCGCCGAGGCAGTGTGCTGGGGTGCGGGTGGCCTGGTGGGTGGCCCCACTTTGTAAGGCCCATCTTATTCTGTGCTCTCTGTGAGGGGAGCTGATAATTGAGCCATTTCTCAGGGAGATGACCCTGATTTTTATGAATCTGCAGGACGAAGGAAGCAGCGCTGTCCTGCTGGGGAGACTGTGAGAAGGAGGAGATGAAGGGGAAGTTGCTTATCTTCCCAGTCTTTCCACTTGGGAGACTGTTTGGCGTGTGACGAGGGAGGAGAAGCCAATTTGAAGCCTCTTGGAGGAGGAGGTCTCTGCTGTTGCTGTCCCTGGCACAGCCTTGCCCCTCATCCTCTCTGGCCACCTGCCTCCTTAATCCATTTAACGCCTCTTCATCGCTGTTTTTTTTTTTTTTTAATACTTTTCCTGAGCTGGGGCCCCCAGGGCCTCCTTGATGGCGAATGGTCTCGGCAGCCCCTGGGCTGTTCCTGGGAAGGGACAGGCTTCAAGGTCAGGCTGCTGCTGGCTGACCTTGAAAGCTTCCGCAGGCAAGCCCCTGACATGCCTCCACTCTCCAAGCTCAGCGAGCTCCATCACATTAAAAAGCTGTTAAAAGCGCCCGTCTGGTTGGCTGCCTCTGAGGCTCTGCGGCCGGTGGTGGGGAAGGCAGCCTCAGTTCAGGGATGAGCTCCGCTAGAGGCGCGGGTCTGCCCTGGGGACCTAGGCCTGGGAACCGCCTGGCAGTTGCCCACCCCTCCATTCTTACTTGAGGGAAGGCAGTGGGAGGATGACACTTATCCTGAGCCACACAGTAGCCTAAGTGCTTTTAGATGGGTGAGCTCACTTCATCTTTACAGCCGCCCTGTAAAGTAGGGCTATTAGGAACCCCATGTTGCAGTTGGGCTCAGGAAGGTTAAGACACTTCTCTAGGGTCACACAGCGAGTAAACAGATGAGGAGACCCTCAGCCCCTGAACTCACTGGCTCGGGCCTCACCCGAAGGGTTCTCAGTGTCCACCTACCCACTCTGCACATCGTGCCCGGTGTGGGCCTCACCTGTGGTGGCCTTCTCTGGGCCGTGGCTTGCCCTGCACTCATGGGCACAGAAAGCTTCTCCCCTCTGGAGATGACCGGGGCTTTGGCCTCGGTTGCTGTGTGGCCATGGACAAGCCCTTGGGCCTGCCTTTCCTCAGGTCAGGAGTCTGGGAGGGGTGTGGAGAGTAGCGGGTGGTTATGGCTGGGCTTCAGGGCTCTTTATTCAATTCGAAATAAACCTAGCTGTAGGCTTCCATGGTGGCTTCATAGGCCTCCCCAGGCCTTTTGTTTGCCTGCTAATGGTTTCTAGTGCCCCTGCAGGGCCTGGCAGGTTCAAAGCTCACTCAGACTAGCAGCTAGCAGACTCCTAGGCTGGGGAAGGCTATGGACCTTCCTCCTTCACCCAGCCTGGCCCAGTCTCCCTGGGGACACACCACAAGCATGAGGTGGGGTAGGGGCAGCATGGGGTGGCACAGGGTGAGGGTAGGAGAGGTGGAGGAAGAAGACTCCTCCCAGGGGAGGTGAGAGGGCTGGATGCCCCCACTCCCACTCTGCTTCTGGTTGTGATGAGCCCCATGTGACTCCATCATTTGTGAGACCTTCAGATTTGCCCAGGAAGGCCCATCTGCCCATGGGCAATTTTAATGCCAAGGCATGATCTGTTCCTCTCTCTCCACCTTTCCCCCATCATCGCCTCCCACTCTTCTCCCATTCCTCTGCTCCAGCCACACCAGGCTCCCTGCTGTCCACAAGCACCCCAGGCCCACTGCTACCTCAGGCCCTTCGCACAGGCGGCTCCTCTGCTGACAGACTCCTCCCATTGGGTCCACATGGCTGGCTCATTTCCCCAGCTCCTTCAAGTCTCTGCTTGATGTTCATCCTTTTTTTTTCTTTTTTTTTCTGAGATGGAGTCTCACTCTGTCGCCCAGGCTGGAGTGCAGTGGTGCGATCTCGGCTCACTGCAACCTCTGCCACCCGGGTTCAAGCAATTCTCCTGCCTCAGCCTCCCTAGTAGCTGAGATTACAGGCGCATGCCACCACGCCTGGCTAATGTTTGTATTTTTAGTAGAGATGGGGTTTCACCATGTTGGACAGGCTGGTCTCAAACTCCTGACCGCGTGATCCACCCCCCTTGGCCTCCCAAGGCAAGGAGGGTGGAATGTGCTGGAATTACAGGCATGTGCTGCTGCACCCAGCCTGATGTTCATCTTCTCACCAGACCTGCCCTGAACATTCGACTTTAAACCGCCTCCGCCTGGCCCTCCCCATGTCCTGACCCTGCTCTGTTGCATTCCACAGATGTATTGCCTTCTGGCACTTTGTAATTAACTTACTTATGTTGTTTCTCCTTCTCCTGCATTAGAATATAAACTCTAGGAGGGCAGGCATTGTTGTTTGCTTTGATAACATTGAAACCCTCCCCAGTACTTAGCACAGTGCCCAAACACAGTGTAGGTCCCTGAGAAACACCTGCGGAATGAGTGAGCAGATGAGTGGATGGGTTTCAGTACATCTTAAAGCAAAGTATCTGTAACATTTGTCTCTTTAGGGACCAGAGAATGGGGCGTTGGAAGACCTAGGTTGGAGCCTCACCTCTGCCCTATCTTCGCTGTGTGACCTTGAGCAGGTCACTCTAACTCTTGCCGCCTCAGCTTCCTAACAGCGCCCCTGCCCGGCCTCTCTTGCAGGCCCACAGAATGAAAAGAGAGGAGTTCCAGGAAAGGGTTTGGCAGATGGCATCCCTGCAGGACTGCCTCGCGGCGCTCTGCCCCATCCAGCCCCTACGTACTGGCCATGTGACCTCAATGTTTGATGGACTCACTTGGCCTCTCTGAGGCTCGCTTTCTCCATCTCTAAAATGGAGGATGAAGCAGGTTCAGCCCCACGGGCAGGCAGCACTATGCCAGGGACATGGCGAGCCCTCTGGAAAAGTTCACCTGATCCAGACGTTGCTGGGTCAACGGGAAGGAATGACTTTCACTCCTCTGCTTCAAACCACCAGACTGTCCTTGGCCCTCCCTAATGAAGGAGCAGAGAACAGCAGAGTGGGCAGGGACCTTGGAGGTCAGCAGGGTGGCTGCTCAGCCCAGAGGCAACCGGGAGCTCGTCCCAGGGTGTGACAATTCAGTCAGCCCTTTACTGAACACTCGGCTTTAAACCGCCTCATGCCTGGCATGAGGAAGGCACCGTGCTGGAGGGTTTCACCACGGTTCTCTGTGTGTCTCCGGGGAGCTCACTGTCCTGTCTGAGGCCCGTCCGGGGTCCGGACAGTGGAGCTTTCAGGTTCGTGCGCACCCTCTGCCTGCCTCTTCTCCCTGTCAGTAAGGACGTGGGTGTGGCTGGGAGGCAGATCCTGGGTGGAGAACGGAGCTCCTGGTTCTGAACAGTTTGAGGGTCTGGAAGTCCTTTAAGAAGATGGTGAAAACTATGGACCTTCTCCCCAAAGAGAAGCACACATCCACATCCAGAGGCAAAAACCCCATCGCTCAGAACCCCGTGGATGAGGCAGTCATTATCCAGTGGTGCTGTCACTATGGCTGGGGCTGGCCTTGATCTCTGTTGCTGGATTCCACATGTTCATTCTCTCTGGCCACATTATCAGATCTCTAGCTCCAACATCCTGTGTGATACCAGGATGGCCATTGCCATGATCTTGTCCACGGGTCCACTTTCAGCAGCTGGGCCCTGGAGGGCAGCACACAGCTCATGATTGGGTTGGAGATGGGGGAGTCAGGGGCAGATGGTGGGAGCTGTCCCCAGCCCTGCCTCTCTTAGGACCCTCCTGGGACTCAGGTACATAGGGTCCCTGAGAAAGACCCAGTTTGATGAGACAGGCAGGAGGAATAAGGAAGAGTGTAGTTTAAGAAAGTTTTCTCCAGCTCTGGTTCATGCATCCGTCCTGAAAGAAGGCAGGGAAAGGATTATTCACCCATTTCACAGATGAAGAAATTGAGGCTTGGAGAGGTCACGGAGCACACAGAGCAAAGAAGTCAAAACCAGGATTTGAATCTACTCTGATTACCTCCAGAGCCCATGTCTTGTCCCAATGGATGGAAAATTCTTAACTATTTAACTCAATATTGAGCAGCTACTGTCTACAGAATTCTGTGCCAGACAGCTTGGGAGACACAGACCTACAGGGAGATATAGTTCCCACTGGAAGCACCCAGGGCAGTAATAATTATCATCATAACAAAGGAATAATAATAGCTAACATTTTGGAGCACTTACTAGGGACCAGCATTATGCTACACAGTTTTCATGGATTATCTCATTTAAGCTCTCAAATATTTTGGGGTGTAAATAACAGTATGCCCACAATTTTTGTTTGTTGTTGGTGTTCAGAAGTGTATATCCGTTTTTGAGAATGGAGGCTCAGCGAGATTAGGAGCCTTGCTCTCAACGAGGGAGGAATTCTGGCTGCGACTCTGTCCCTTACTACCTGGGCATCACCTCTGTCAAACCTGGACAGGTGCCACTTAGACCTGGCTGAGGTTGGCTGAGGCGGGGAGGATGGGGAGGTTGTGGGTAGGCAGCACCTATTCATACCCACAGTCCAGGGACTGTTCCAGAAGAATAGTATTCCCTGTGCCCTTGCCGCCTCTGAGCCTTGGTGTCCCAGCCTTTCGATCCTCTCACTTCTGATGTCCTTGAGCCATAATCTGAGCCATTCTCTAGGATAAGGAGATGCTTGAGGTTGAGTGAAAGGTTGACATTTCTGCAGGAGCAAAGAATGACTTGATGCAGGAGAGAAAGGCTGTGGGGGGAAAGTGAGTGAGGCAAATCCCCAAGGCAGAGCAGAGCCTTCCAAAGGGTGCAGGGGAGAGTCTTGGTGGAGGGGGCCAGCCTTGCTCAGCAGCCCCAACCTCAACAAGGACCCCTACCCAAGAAGGCCTGCAAAATAGCAAATCAATGAAGACAGCAATGAAAGCAATGAGGAGGGAAGAGGGACCAGAATCCCAGTCACATCATCACCCCTCACCCCTTTTTCTGGCCTCAGTTTTCCTTCTGTGAACAGAGGGAGCTGGCCCTTCTGTCATTTGCAGGATTTTCATCTCAGGCTGGCAGCAGGAGCTGGAAAAGTGAGGGAGGTCCCTCCCTTCCCCGGCCCGGGGTCTGTGATTGGCAGCACCTCCTCCTCTCTTCCTCTCCTGTCCCTTCCTTCCCCTTCCCTCCCCTGCTTTCCTTTCCCTTCCCCTCCTCCCCTTCCCTTCCCCAGTCTTCCCCTCCCACTCTTTCAAGCCCCCAGCGTGCTGTGCAGTTATTAGTTTAGGTTCATTTAGAATCGGCTTAGCAACCCCACACCCCTGGAACCTGGAAGCTTAAAGCACAAGATGTCTGGCAAATGGAAATTCAATTGCTTTAATATAGAGACTATTTTGCTGCAGTCGAACTGGAGCCTCTTATTAAGAATCTGATGGAATTTCTAAACAGGGAGAGAGGCCCCAAGGAGGGGGCATCGCCCATCACACACCAACATTGCTCTTGACATATTTATGGCTCCAATAAAATCTCACATCTGGTATATTTTAAAATAAAATTGAAAATTTATCACTTTCCCTGAGTCGGTTTGTCGTTCTCCCAAGGAGGAGATAGCCAGCCTGAGATTACAGGCGAAGCGGCAGCGGGCGGCAGGCGGGCAGAGAGGTTAGGCTGGGCTCTGATTTAAATTTCAATACTTTCCCCATTACAGCTGTCTGGGCTGGGAAAATTACTAGGGGAAGCAGGCCATGTGCTTCTCCTATTTCTCTGGACATCTACTTGGCTGTCTCTGCCAGGGTCCACAGACTTGGTCTGCTCTCCCCACTACTTAGCAAGGTTTGGATGAACCACAAAATGGGAGGAAGCCCCATCCTCCAGGCCTAGGAATCAGCATCATCCATTTGTACCTCTCTGAAGCCCAGTGGACACCTTTGGGTGCTGCTACATGGTTCGAGAGGGCCCCTCTTTATCAGGACTCAGAGATCAAGATCAGGGCTTAGGCTCAGGTGGGGAGCAGGGTTCAGTCTGTAACTAGCATTGGGGTTCAGTCTAAAACTAAGATCAGAACTTCAACTCAGGCCAGGATCAAGGATCAGTCTGTAACCAAGGTCAGGGCTCAGGCTCAGGATGGAATCAAGGTTCATTCCATTAACAAAAACAGGGCTCAGATTTCATCATCATAGAAGTCAATTCATATCTCAGAGCCTCGGTTTCTTCTCCATTCAAATGTGGAACTAGGTATTGCCCTGCTTGCTTCACAAGGCTTTTTAGAGGAATGAATGAAAACAAGAGTATTGGGCCGGGCACAGTGGCTCATGCCTGTAATCCTAGCACTTTGGAAGGCCGAGGCAGGTGGATTGCCTGTGCTCAGGAGTTCGACGCCAGCCTGGGCAACATGGTGAAACCCCGTCTCTGCTAAAAATAGAAACATTAGTCAGGTGTGATGGCACGCGCCTATAATCCCAGCTACTAGGGAAGCTGAGGCAGGAGAATCGCTTGAACCTGGGAGGCGGAGGTTGCGGTGAGCCGAGATCGCGCCATTGCACTCCAGCCTGGGTGACAGAGTGAGACTCTTTGACTCAAAAAAAAAAAAAAGAGTATCTTTCTTTTCTATAACAACTTACACTTTATAAATTGCTTGCACATACTTTATCTTGTTTGGTCCTCATGATAACCACCATTTTAAAGACAATAATACAGGCTCAGAGAGGTTAGGAAGCTTATTCAAGGCCGCACAGCCTGTAGACACAGGCAGGAAGTAGGGGCTGGGCCCAGCTGGTCCTGACTCCAAGCAGTTCCTAGAATACTGCAACGCAAAGAAGCAGTGACTGAGACTGCACTTGTCCACCCAGGAGTCATGTTCCCCTTTTTCTTTCTTTCCTTTCTTTCTTTCTTTCTTTCTTTCTTTCTTTCTTTCTTTCTTTCTTTCTTTCTTTCTTTCTTTCTTTCTTTCTTTCCTTCTTTCTCTTTCTTTCTCTCTTTCTTTCTCTTTCTTTCTCTTTCTTTCTTTCTTTCTTTCTTTCTTTCTTTCTTTCTTTCTTTCTTTCTTTCTTTCTTTCCTTCCTTCCTTCCTTCCTTCCTTCCTTCCTTCCTTTCTTTCTTTCTTTTCTGTCTTTCTTTCTTTCCTGTCTTTCTTTCTTTCTTTTTTTTTTTTTTTTGAGACAGAGTCTTGCCCTGTTGCCCAAGCTAGAGTGCAGTGGCGCGATCTAGGTTCACTGCAACCTCCATCTCCCAGGTTCAAGCTATTCTCCTGCCTCAGCCTCCTGAGTAGCTGGGATTACAGGCACTTGCCACCACGCCTGGCTAATTTTTTGTATTTTTAGTAGAGATGGGGTTTCACCATGTTAGCCAGGATGCTCTCCATCTCCTGACCTCATGATCGGTCCGCCTTGGCCTCCCAAAGTGCTGGGATTACAGGCTTGAGCCACCGCGCCCGGCCATGTTCCCATTTTTCTATGGTAACAGAACCCTTATTCTATTCTGGGGAGCAAGGTGTCCACCTAAAAGACTACATTTCCCAGCGACCCCTGCAGCCAGGGGTGGCCAATGAGATATGAGCAAGAGAATTGTTGGGCGAGGCTCCAGGGAAAGTTCTGGAAAAGGGAGACAGGTAGAGAGCATGGGTTTTCCCCCTTTCCTCTTTCTTCTTGCCTGGAATACAGATAGGATGGAGCCCAGCTGCCACTATGAACCATGAGGTGACACTGAAGATAGACAGCAGTGCTGAGGATGATTAGCCTGGAGAGAGAAGGTATTTCAGACATTGAAGGCATGGTGAAGCCACCATCCCGACCCTGGGCTGCTGACCTCTGTACAGGGGAGAGTAAAAGACACTACTAGTTTGTTTAGGCCACTATGGCTGGATCTCTGTTATCAGGAGGCAAAGGTAACTTCTGATTCAAAGGTGCTACCCTGAGAAAAAGTATGCTCACATAAGCTTGGGAAATAGCAAGTTAAACAGAATCTTTCTTGCAGGACTTCCCAAAGCCTTTAAATGCTAAACAGTTTTGGGAATCACCAAGTGGGGGAGGTACTACACCATATTTCCAGAGCTCACTTGTCATGGCACACTGTGTGTGTGTGTGTGTGCGCGCGTGTGTGTGTGTGTGTGTTTGTGTGTGTGTAGAGAGAGAGGGAGCAGGAGAGACTAGGGGTCTAGTGCTGGGAGACCACCTCCTGATGTCTGATGGGAGCTGGAAAGTGCTTTGCTCAATGCCCTCATTATTAAAACAATTGAAGACACTGACTCCTTTTTCGACTTTCTTAAGCTTCAACTAGCATTCATGATTTCAGTTCCTAAGTGTCTAAGGGATGTAGGGCCAAGCAGGGGAGGGCTAATTTGGGGACAAAGCTAGGAGAGCTGTTTGGGGTAAGAGAGTCTCCTTGTAGCTGCTGGAGCCTTTGTGGACTGGGGTTTGGCTCACAGGCGTGGGGGCTGCTACAGGGAGAAGATGACCCTGGCCACCCTTCACATCATATATAGGGCATTAGCAGCCCTGTTCCTCCCCTCTCCCCAACCTCAATAAAAGAGGGAAATAGAGGCATGGAGAATGAAAGGGGCTAGGCCAGCCAGGTCCACAGAAAGAGTGGGTGGCAGAATGGGGTCTGGAGCCAGCTGCCCATACTCCCTGCCCTTCCCCAACCTACCCCCTGCCCTCAGCTTTCTGGAAGGCTCTGGCTGAGTCATATGCCTGACACCCAGTTTCTGCCTCTGCTGCAGTGGCCGCCTTTCAGTCCTCTGTGGGGGTCCCATTGCAGGCTGTAAGATCTTGACATGCCCTTTCAATGCCATTTTAAGAGACTCAGAACACAATAGCAGTAATAGAGGCACCTGCTGCCTGGCTTGGTAATTATTACATCCCTGTGGGGGGAACTGTTGACTGCCTGGCAAAGGGGTGAAGTCTCCCCTCATTTCTTAAATAGGAGTCCTCCTTGAAGACCGTGGGCACAGCTGAGGGTGGTTAGTCACCAGTCTGTGCCCAGGAGGGAGTCAGGGAGCACCAGTGTGGCAGCCAGGTAGAGGAAATGGGGGTAGAGGGAGTCGGGGTAGGCGGTGGGGGGATGTGGTGTCCAGAATCCCAGACTGAGGATGGAGGGCTTGAGGCTCTTTTCCCCTGTTCTGTGTGGCTAAGTCCAGTTCATTCCCCAGACCTCAGTCTCTCTCTCTGTGCAATGGGAAATTGGATCAGGCCTCTAAGAATTTGTCCAGTGCGTAATTCTAAGGTTCTGCTTTTTAAGGAGATCGTAGGGAACTGAGGACAGAACAGAAAGGTGGGAACTCCTTGAGGGCAGGAAACTGGCTTGTTTCCTCTCTCAGACCCTGGCATGGTTGGGTGGAAGACCCCATCCCAGACAGAGCAGGAGGTATGGTGGTGTCCTAAGAGGGAGGGAGGAGCCAGGACAGGAGGAGAAAAGGAGGGGAGAGGAGTGGGGGAAACAGAAGCGTGAGGCCCCATCTGAAGAAAACCCAATATCAAAACTTTAACAAGAGCTTCGTAACCAAGAAATGGGCCTTTGACTTAGGAGGTGAAGGCTCATTTAAATGGCAAATTTCCCTTGTGCCTGCAAGGGCTTGTTTATAGAATGTGGAACTGAGAGTGCAGGTGGTCCCACACAGAAAACTGGAAGCTTTTCTTTTTAAACTCCCTGAAGATTCATCTGCAATGCAGATGAAGCATCTTAGAAACAAGAATGAAAACAGCGTTTGATTTTTACAAAAGCCAATTCAGAGGCTCACTTCCTGTCCAGCCCAGCGTGCCAGCATCTGTGTGTGAGACCACTGTCCCCAGCCGGGTGGGGGCCTGCACGGGTCTTGCCAAGGTCAAATGGGTGTGCACACATGACTACACGTGAATTCACTGCACATGTGTGTACACACACACATTTACTCGGATCCTCAGCAGAGTTATTTTGGATTTGGTCTTCGTGGAAGGTCCAGTCTGTGCCTAGATGTGGATTCAGAAAATTCATAGACTCTGCACAGCTACTGGTCACTAATAAGAGCCTGGAGCTGGGGATACCATGATGATCAAGAGATAACCTCTAAAAGAACTCACAGACCAGCTGGGGAGACAGGTGAATAAACACCTGGAGAACAGAGCATTATGGGAGCATCTGGCCCAGGCTTGGGAGGTCAGGGAAGGCTTCCTGGAAGAGGTGTTATGTTGGAGCTGCATACTATCCAATATGGTAGCCACTAGCCACAGGTGGCCATTTACATTTAAATAAAAAACAAATAAACAATTCAGTTCCTCAGTCATACTGGCCACATTTCAATTGGCTAGTGGACAGCATGTCGAATAGTGCAGAAATGGAACATTTCCATTGTCCAGAAAAGTCTACTGGATGGCGCTGTGAGGAGGAACAGACCCTCTCCAGGTGAGGGCCATGAGAGGTGTTCCAATTCTAGGGAGCAGCTTGTGCAAACACCTGGAAGTGGATGGCAGCATGCCCAGGGGACTGGAGCCCTGAGCACAGGTGTGAGGAGGAGGGAAACAGTGACAAGCGAAGCTAGAGAGAGTGGAAGAATTCAAATGGCAGTTAAAGGCTCTGCTTGTGTTGGCAAGGAGCTGGGATTTTGTCCTGAACATTTGGGGAGCCTTTGGAAGGGTTTCAGCTGGGAGTGGCAAGGTCAAGGTCGGGTTTCATGTTAGAAAAGCTTGCTTGGAGAAGGGACTCCGCAGGGAAGGGGCAATTGCCAGCAGCCAGGTGAGAGCCAGGTGAGAGCCAGGTGAGAGGAGGGACCTGACCTGGGAGTTTAGCTGGGAGGGCCTGGAGATGAAGTGCCTGTGTAGGGGGCACTAGAGAGAGGGGCTTCTGGCTTCAGTGCCAGGGTGGCTGGGGCTGCCCTTTGGGCTCAGGCTGTGCTGAGTGCAAGGGAAGAGGGAGACCTCTGCACCTGGCAGGTAGGTGAGGGCACCTGATCCTTTAGGAAAAGTTTAGGCTGAAACCACTGACTGGGTGATCATCAGTGAATAGATAGGGGTGCAGGTCCTGCAAGGGGCTGAGGTCTCAGGAGAGTCCTCCGTAAGACAGTACTGGAGCCCTGGGAAGCACAGATGAGTCAGTGGCCAAGAGAGCAGAAGGAGCTGGGTAGGCCAGATTTCTGGAGAAGAGTGAGGGAGGCCAGATGTTCCCTGGACGCGTCATGGCTGTGGTTGTGATTCCGTCCCCTGAGGTGTGGGAGCTATAGCTTTCAATCCAGGCAAGTTTCCTGCAGGGGACAGTGTCTTGGTACTGAGGGGCAGGGCTGGGAAAGGAAGGGAATGGGGGCGGCTTTCATCACAGCCATGGTGAGGAGCCACAAGGCAGCTTGCACTTTGAAGATGGCTCCAACAATCTCCCCTATCCCGCAGGCCCTTCTACAGTGAATTGACTGTAGGGGGTGCTAGAGACAGGGTCTTCTGGCCTTTCTGGCCCCTCATCTCCTGAAGATGTACGCCTGTGCTCCCCCTCTTAAAACATGGGCGGGGCCGGGCGCGGTGGCTCACGCCTGTAACCCCAGCACTTTGGGAGGCCAAGGTGGGTGGATCACGAGGTCAGGAGATCGAGACCATCTTGCCTAACACATGGTGAAACCCCGTCTCTACTAAAAATACGAAAAATTAGCCGGGCGTGGTGGCGGGCGCCTGTAGTCCCAGCTACTCGGGAGGCTGAGGCAGGAGAATGGCGTGAACCCAGGAGGCAGAGCTTGCAGTGAGCCAAGATCGAGTCACTGCACTCCAGCCTGGGCAACAGAGCGAGACTCCGTCTCAAAAACAAAAAACAAAAACACGTGGGTGGGCTTGTGACTGCTTCGACCAATAGAGTATGGCAGAAGTGGCACTCTGGGGCTTCCAAGAGTGTCATAAAATGCAACACAGCTTCTACCTTACGTGCTGAGACGCTCACCCTTGGATCCCTGAGCCACCAGGTAAGATGTCCTCCTAGGACAGAGGCTGCTATGCCATGAGGAAGCCCGGGCCTGATGAATGGGTCCATGCAGGTGTTCTGGGGGACAGCCCCAGCCTAGCTCCCAGCCCACAGTCAGCATCCACCACGTGTTCACGCGTGAGTGAAAAGCCTCTGAATGGTTCCAGACCCCAGACATCGAGCCCCCATCAGCCACTGGTGCCTGCTGTGTGAGGCCCCAGATATCACAAAACAGATACAAACCGCCTCTTCTGTGCCCTGTCCGATGCCTGACCCGCAGACTCCATGAACAGAAGAAAATGGTCAGTGTTTTGTGCCACTATATTTTGGGGTGGTTTCTTGCACAACAATGGTAGTTGCAGGCAGAAAGGGAACTGGCTAGGCTGTGGCTGTGTGGCAGGGACAGGGAGCTAACTGGCTGGTGGGATGGAGCCTCAATTGCTCGGGCAAGGGGTGAGTTTTACCCCTGTTGTCAGGTTAGGGGCAGAGGAGGTTGAGGAGGTTGAATGGAGGTTGATGCTAGGAAACCAGGGAGGGGTTGCGGGGACATTTGGGGAGGAGGCTTGAAAATGACACCTAGTTCTGGCCTGGGGGTTACTCCAAGGGCAACATCAGGGAGGTCCTGGTGGGAGCAACAAGAGGTGGGGAGGGCTTTGGAGTCTTACAGGGTATGCTTAGTTCCCAGCACTTTCAATACCCAGCTCTCTCTGAGCCTTGGTTTGCTGGCCTGGAAAAGAGGGGTACAAATCCCCCGCTAAATGCAAGGTGAATGTGACTTCCTTTGATCACGTTTTTCTCCTTTATTTCTTATTGTCTTAACAAGCGCCCCCGCCCCCGACATTGCACGTAGACAACTGCTGATAAACGTGTCCAAGAGCAAGGTTTTTTTGCGCCATTTTATAGACACAGAAAATGAAGCTGAGAGGGGCTGGGGAGTGCCCACGGCCTTAGAGGACTCCAGCCTTCAGTGTGCACTTTTCCTGTTCCTCCCCTGGACTGAGGCAGCAGGAGGGGAGGGCAGGCCAGTGCCCCAGCAGGCCCGGGTGTGGCCCCCAGCGCTGGCTGGATTAAGCATTCCTCCCCAGCCCTGCCCCGGTCCCAGCCTCACAACTGCTTTCGCTCTGGAGTCCTAGACAAATTGTAGCCTGGAGAGCGGCTGTGGGGAGCTTACAAATGTGGCTGGCCCAGCCCTCCCCGCCTTCCTCCCACTCCACATGTCTGCCTCTGAGCCCTGGGGTCAGAATAGCCACTAAGGAGCTCTCACCAGGGCTCCACACACACTTGGGACTCCTGGGGTTCTTGCCAAATGGGTACCCCCGCCCCCAAGCCCTAGGAGCCTTGGATCTGCTGCCTGGACCCCAGCTCCCCTCCTCCTGCCGCCCTCCTCAGCATCTGGTTCCTCCTCAGAATGCAATGCTGTTGCCCCTGGCAACCGAGCTCCAGGCCAGATCCTGGTCCTCCTTCCTCCTCCTTCCCTTCTTTTTCTCCTCCTTCTTCTGCTTCCATATTCCCATCCTTCCTGCCCTCCCCCAGTCTGCCGAGACAGTGCCTGGGGCTGGAAGACTCCCCCCAAATCCGATGCCAGCTAGGCCAGCCAGCCAAGTCCCCTGGCCTTTCTGGTTGCTCGTTGGCTGATGATGACAGTCAGTACTCCCTGCCTGCCCATGGGACTGACTACTGCAGTCTTGGGCACCCCAGCGATGTCCCAGAAGACTCTGAGGCAGGGCTCTCAGGGTACCCCAGGCAAAGAGCCAGGGACTGTAGAGAGACAAGAGACAGCAGCTGAAGAAAATTTCTCCCCATTAGAGCTGTTTGAGGTGGTGAGCTCCCCAAAGCCAAAGGCATGCAAGGAGAGGCCTTTCCAGTGATGATGGTGCTGGCACTGGCATGGCACAGGGCAGTGAGGGGCTGTCTTGGAAGGAAGGTCGATGTGGGCTCGGCCTATGTCTATCCTGGCTGTCTCCTTTTCCCCAACCCCTGAATTCCCAGAACCTTTAGGAACACTTGCTCCCCAACCCCTGCCCTCCCAAGGACTCGTCATTTTTCATCTGGGCTCTAGAGAGGAGGACAGCACTAAGAGGTGGTCCCGGGTCCAGCGACATCAAGCACCATAGGGCAGGTCCAACGCCCAGCACAGCTGTTTAGAGTGGACAGAAACGGGCTCAGCAGGGCAGGCCACATGAACCCTAGCCGCCCTCACGCATCCCTTCCAGAGCCTCCGCTCACACTCCTGGATCCCCCTCCATATCCTAGGCTCCTGTCACCTTCCTGCTCTCCTGCAGGGCCTGTGGGCCAGCCATGCCCAATTCACGACTCATTCAACCGACTCCCACTCCTTCGTGCCCTGCACCAGTTCCTCCCTGTCAGGAATACACTTCTCCACCTTTCATTCTGAGTCAGCTCAGAGGCCCCCTCCTTCAGGAGGCTTCCCTGGACTGCCTGGGCTGTGCCCACTGCCCCGCGGGGCTCCCCACCCCGGGCTTGCCTCCTAGAGCTCTCTCACCCACGGCCTGGTCACCATCTGCACACGGTTTTCCCGAGTGCATCATAAGGACCTTGAGGCAGTGACTCTGTGCCCCACATTTGCTAACAAATACTAATGAGAACATCAGCACAGCCCTGCCTCTCTCTGGGCCTCAGTTTCCCCCATCTGAGGCCCCATGTCTGGGCCTTGGCTTCCCCCAGGATCCCCTTTTGGCTGAGAAGGGTGGCCACGCCCGGGCTGTCAGAACAAGACAGAGGCCAGTCCGGGCAGCTCTGCCCTCCTCATCTCCGGGGGCGTCCCCTCCAGGTTTCAGGAATGAGCCTCAGGAACTGGGGTGTGGGGGCCCGGACGGGGAGGTCCTGGCACTCCCCGAAGCTTTGGTTCTCGTCTGCCAAATGAGGACACTTATCGGGGCTACCCACCCCTCCGGCTGCCGTGAGGCCTTGGAGATGGCAGCCAGACCGGACTTTCCCATCGGATCCGCCAGAACCCAGGCTTCCCAAGGCAGCAGCTCCCGCGCAGCCGCCGCCCGCTTCTGGCAAGCCCAGCCCACGGGCTCAGGGGTCCCTGGGGCTCTGCTGCCCTCCAGTGGCCGGAGGCCCCTGGGCACTTAGAACCCGTGAGCTCCGGATTAATTCCATGGGCTTCCGTCTCCACCTAGGACGGACAGAAATGGTAGCAGGGACTTGTTGAGGTCACTCAGCAAGCCAGGCGCGGTACATGGACCAGGACCTGGGGCTCCAGGGCCCCAGCACTTCCATGCCCAGGGAGGGCTTGTCCTCTCGCAGGAGACCAGCCAGGAGAGGGAGCTGTTCCCCACCTGCCCACGTGTCTCACCTGGGACACCCTCTGTGCTGTAGCCCTTCCCTGCTGGCCACTCTCAATGCTGGCCTAGACTGCCCCCCGCCCGGAGAAGTGTTTCTAGTGCCTGCCCAGGGGTCATCCCCAATACGTGGGCCAATGTTGGGGGCTTGGAGGGGTGGCTTAACCCCTTTCCTCCTTGATTAATCAAATACTTAAAATAATGGCTGAGGTCATGATTGATGGACAGAGCATAGCTAATTACCCTGGAGATTAAAACGACTGTTTCTGTTTAAAAAGGCTGCAAATGAGTTAATTATTTCCTTTGCTCACCTCTCTAACCTCGTTACACTTCTAAATGAATAGCAATATTGATCTTGGAACTGATTTTGGTGTTACACCGCCCGAGCGGGTTTAATTAGGGTTTGAAAATGCTGCAGTGCCTCCTCCTTCTGACCGAGGAAATTAGACTTGGGTTTTACTTACATTTCACAGCCGTGTCCTCCACACAGATAGAAGGGCTGGAACATGGCGCAGTGGTGCCTGTCATCCCCTGCCCTGCCCTGCCCTGGCTCCCAGCTCCACTCCCATCCAGAGCAGCACAGACTGACCCTTGCTTCTCACCTCTCAGGAAGACGTGGCAGGAAGGCCAGTGGGGTCAGCTTGTTTAGCCTTGTCTGGTCACAGATTGGGCTCGGAGGCTCGGATATGATAGGACAGAGCCTAGCATCACTTGACGAGGTGGGGGCAGGCCTAGGACCTGAACTATCACAGACTCCCAACTCTGGACCTTGACGGCTCCCTGACTGAGTTAATATTTCCTCTCTGTCCCTCCTCACTTCTCCAGATGCCTACGGAGCCTCCTGGTGCTCTACCCCACCTCCAGCTCCCTCCTGCCTCTCCTCTCCTTCTTAGAGCTCCATGAAGAAAGGCCCCAGCTCGATGAAGGTGGGGAATGAGAGGGGGAGCAGGGCCCAGGATACCAGCACCCCTGCCCTGGATCTGCAGCTGACATCTAGGTGACCATGCCCTGTATCTGGGCCTCCCTACTCTGAATCTGACAGTCTGTCTATATCACTCCCTCCCACCTCCCCCAGCCAGAATTTTCAAGAGCAAGTAGCATCTCTGGGAGCCAGAGCCAGAAGGGTAGGGTAGTGAGAGTGAGCAGGACAGGCTTGGGCCAAGGATATAGGACTGAGTGGGTCTGCTCCTTCTTATTCCAAATAAAACCTTCCCTTGACCCTGGCTCTCCTCTGCCATGGCCAGATCTGTCCCAGTCTCACTTCTTTTTTTAATTTTTCCAGAGACAGAGTCTCCCTCTGTTACCCAGGCTGGAGTACGGTGACAGGATCACAGCTCACTGCAGCCTTGAACTGCTGGGCTTAAGTGATCCTCCCACCTCAGCCTCCCCAGTAGCTAGGACCACAGATGTGCACCACCATGCCCGGTTATTTTTTAAAAATTTTTGGAGAGATGGGGTCTTGCTGTGTTGCCCAGGCTGATCACAAACTCCTGGCCTCAGGTGATCTTCCTTCCCACCTTGGCCCCAGTCCCAATTACTGAGAGTTGTGTACATTCACTGCCCCCGTCTCTGACTTCCTCCCCACGCCTCTGCCCTCTGTTTTTTATGTCTCCCAGATAAAACGATTCTTACTGAGGTCACCAGCAACCTCTAAGTTGCTGAACAAAGTGAGCGCTCTGTTCAGGGGGTCTGGGCATGGATCTACCTGACAGCTTCTCTCCTTCCTGCAGTGGCACTGGCTCCTGGGTTTCCTCCTCCCTGCTCCCTCTTGGGACTGGGTGCTCCCCTCCCATCCCTGAAGAATCTCAGGGTTTGGCTTAAGCCCTCTTCTCTTTCTTCTCACTTGACGCGCCCTCCCCTGGTGAGCCCACCTCTCTCGTGGTTGGAAAGTGATCTATCCCAAATTACTATCTTAGCTCAGCCCTCTCCCTTGAGTGCATGTAGGTCCAGCCAGGGAGTGACATGGTTAGACTTACACTTTAGAAAGGCCACTGTTACTGTAGTGTGGCAGGAAAGGATGATGGTGGAGACAGAGGAACCCCTGAGGTGGCTGTTCTAAGTCTCAGCGGAAAAACATTCAGGCCTGTGGCTGAAGAAATGGGGAGCAGGGGGTGATCCACTGGACGGGGAGGCTTTGGGGATTGATTTCCTAGGGGCACGTTCCAGGGCAATGTCCCATTGTCAAGTTGGACCTCTGAGTGCCTTTGGCTGAAACTGGCAACGTCAGGGAGAAGCAGGCTTCCAGGGAGTGTTCAGGCTGTTGGGTTGAGTTCAAGGTGCCTACAGGGACATTCAGAAGGAGAAGGAAGGTAGGTGACTCCCTCAAATTGCTACAGCCAGCTTGTAGCCCTGCCATTCAGGGTAGAGGTCATCAGCATGCAAGGAGCTAGGCGGCGACTGCATGCCCAGAAGCACTGCTACAGATAAGACAGCCAGGACGATGTGGGAGAGCAGAAGGCACTGCATTCGACCCTGGTGATTCATGCCTAATTTGGCCAGTGAAATCTGTGAGCCAGACCACATGCCCTGCCTTGTCAAACAAGGAAAGAAGTGTGGAGATTGAGGGTCAGAGACTCTAACTGAATCCCAACCTCACTAATAGACTGAGCCCTGATCCTGCTCACAGTCTGAGCCCTCATCCTTGTCACAGTCCAAGGAAACAGGACTACCCAGCTGGAGGCTCTTAGGTAACACCTTCCTGTTTCCATTTCCCCTTTTCTCCCCTGAGGTAAGGATGAAGGAGAGGGAGCTTAGTAGTGCCAAGGAAGCAAGCCTGGAGTACTGAAGGCAAGATAGAGAAAGCACTTCCAATGTGCATGCCCAGGAATCCTCAGCTTTTTGGGGGTTCATGGCATACATGTGAACACTGGAACTTTCAGTGGCACCATTGAGAAAAGACTCACTGGGCACAGTGGCTCACGCCTATAAGTCCAGCACTTTGGGAGGGCAAGGAAGGTGGATGACTTGAGCCCAGGATTTCAAGACCAGCCTGGGCAACATGGTGAAACCCTGTCTCTACAAAAATTAGCCAGGCATGGTGGTGCACGCCTCTAGTCCCACTTACTCAGGAGGCTGAAGTGAGAGGATTGCTCGTGTCCAGGAGGTGGAGGTTGCAGTGAGCCATGATTGCACCACTGAACTCCAGCCTGGGCAACAGAGTGAGACTCTGTCTAAAAAAAAAAAAAGAAAAGAAAAGAAAAAAAAAAGATTCAAAACCACCCTAAAGGAGCCAGCGGCAGTGTCCTTGTGGTCATCACTGTGGCATCAGATGCTTCACATGCTTGCAAAAGCTCATCAGTTACTACTGAGCTGTCTGGGTCCTCAGGACACAATTGCCTTTAGATGGAGCTATTTACTGTCCTGGGTATACTGCTGTCCCTGTATCACTGCATCCTGTGACATACTGGGCATAGACAGAAGAGTTCCCTTAATGAGTTCTAGGGTGGTGGTTAGGAGTTCCAAGCTCTGAGTTCCAGACTGCCTGGAATTCAAATCCTGACTCTGCCCATCCCAGCTGTGCGATCATGGGCAAGCTGCTTCACCTCTCTGTGCCTTAGTTTCCTCATCTGAAAGTGGGGGTGATAATAGCACTTACCCCCTAGGGAGTTCACTTATATTAAGTGCTTAGTGCCTGGCATGTGGTGAGTGCTCTCTTAGGGTTGGGTGTTGCTATAACTTTGCTTATTGATGCATGCTTGGCTGACACTGTAAAGATCACAACACCTCAGAGAGGCCAGTATTCAGGCTCTGGGAGACCAGTACAGTTCGAGGGCAATTAATTGCTGTCTACTCTGTGCTGGGCGCTGGTGACACAGAGAGAAAACTCCACATTCCTGCTCTCAGGGGGTATACTGTCTGTGAAGAGATCGTCCTAACACACACTGTGTGTGCTGTGTTGGGGGGAATGTGAGTGAAATGGACTCTGTTGGGGGGGATGATGGGTGTTCATAACAAATACATTTATTGCGTGCCTACTGCGTACCAGGCCCTGCTCTGGGGACTTTACACATATTACATAATCCTTACAAGAGGATAATATATAACATTATCATAATTTTCATCCTTGTCTTATAGATATCTTTGAGGCTCAGAAAGGGTGGGACTGGAGAGGCCTGAAGCTTTTCTGTGCCAGGCAATGTTGTGAGCAGAGGTGTGACTGAGGCTTGGGGGCCCAGGGGGCTGCCTGGCCGAGGGGGCCTATGCCAGGCGTGGGTGTGGGCGAGAGACTTGATAGAGGTCTTCAAGGTCAGGCCGAGGCACTGTGCTTACTGGTCACTTGCGCTTGAACCAGGCAGGGCTCCAGTGTGGAAGAGCAGGGCAGGGACTACCATTCCCCCAGGCCTAGCCCTGAACATCAGGACTAATCGTGAGTGCGTCCTATACCCCAGAGCTCTGCGATGAGTGTGAGTCCAGGTGTGTACACGGATAGGTATGCCAGTGTGGGCAAGGTGGGCTTGTCTCCTTAGGGGTCTTATCCCTTAAGTCCCCTCCACCCATAGACCCAGGCGGGGCAGGGCTCAGGAAGGAGGGCACCTTCTTCCTGAGGGTGGGAGGGGTGGGCAGGGTCAGAAGAAGGGGTGGAGGGAAGATGCTGCTGCCATGGGAGGGCCTAGAGGCAGAGCGGGCGGCCTGGGGACTTCCTGCTCAGCTTCCTGCTTGGCCCCAGGAGCTTCCTCCCAGCACTGCGGCCCCAGGACCCTGACAACCTCCACCCTCAGACGGGAGAGGAGAGGCTGAGTGCCGGCTACCAGGCAGGAGGTGGGGACGCTGGATGCCTGTACCTCCCGGCGCCTCCTGCCCCCCACTCACCTCCCCTGCACAATTAGCGGGCTCTTGTCTCTAATTGATTCCTCTGGTACTCACAGGACAATTAGAATTTAAATTGCCTTTTACAAAGGTCACAAAAACATGATCAAAGAGGGATCTATTAGAGGGGCGGGGGCCGCTTCTCCTTCCCAGCCTCCCAGAGCCGTAGAGGCAGAGGCCAGGCCTTTGAGGAACCATCACCACGTGTGCGGGGCCCTTCTATCACCACACAGTCTTCCCCAAGCCTTCCTGGTCCCGGCTGTGTGAAGGGTGGGGGAAGGGTAAGTCCAACCCCCGACTCTTTCCCCACCATGGGGGGTTTGAGGCCTCATCTCTGCTCCTCCCACAGCTGTCTCCTTGTTCCTTCCTCAGCCTGCACCCTGCTGGCCCCATGACCTTGCTCTAACTGTGCTTCAGATGGCCAGATCCCGTCCCTCACCAGCTCTGTGACCTTCCCTACGCTACCTGCCCCCTCCAAGCCTCAGTGGTGGCATCTGTGAAACGGAGCCAATGCGTTCTGCTTCCTAAGGGTGGGAGGTACCACAGGAAGAACTCCTGCACCCCTCCACCTCGGAGCGTTGCTTCTCTCTCTGCACGTCTGCCTCCTCCAGGAAGCCAGCTCTGGGGCTCACACTCTGGCTGCTGCCCGGCAGCTACTGTGGCCTGTACCTGCCCAGGGATGAGGAGGCCGCCCCCATGCCAGGGTACAGGACAGGGATTGCCCACTCCTTCCACGGTATCCCGCAGCAGCCTGCACAGGGCTAGGCACATGGGGAGCGTGGAGGTTTGGGGCGTGGATCCAAGAGACAGATGGGGAGGTTGGCTGAGACAGCCAGGTCCCCACGCCAGGAGCTCCCCCTCTGGCAGGATAGATAGCAGCATCACCAGCTCACTTGGGGTCAGGTCTGGGGGCCGTTGCTCTGCGTTCTGGCCTCCCCAGGGGCACCACAGGGGCACCACAGGGGCTTGGCTGGGTCTCTGGCAGCCACACTGACTCAGATTCTCAATCTTGGGTACTCTTGGGATTGCTGGGGTGGGGTTTGGGGCTGGAGGAGGCTGGATGGGGTGGCCTTGGTGTGTCAGGAGGCCTCTTTTGGACCAGCCTAGTTGTTGAGGCCAGCTTGGCCTGGCTCAGCTGCTGGGGTTGGGGGTAGGGTGGACAGCAAGGGGCCAGGAGGAGCTTGGCTTCCTGAAGGCCTCCAGACCCTGAGCCCACGCAGCTGGGTCTGAGAGGATACCTTGGAAGCAGCCCCAGCTCCACCCAGTTTCTACCACCCAAGCCAGGAGGGCTGCCCCTGGAGAGCAGGTGACAGTGCCCATCATGCCAGACTGGCTAGTGGAGGGAAGTGGGGACAAGGCACAGCTGCCTTCTAGACCCTATCAGACTTCAGAAAAGGAGTGGGGTGCATTGGGTATCTGCAATGTGCCCGTCCCTGGCTGCAGGCTTTAGGAGTCTTGCCTCACAGAATCTTTCCAGCAATCTTATAGGTCACCATTTCACAATGAGAAAACAGGCTCAGAGAGGCTGAGCATCTTGCCCAAGGTTGCACAGTGAGGGAAGAACAGAGCTGGAATTTAAACCCCGGCTTGCCCAGTTCCACGGAGAAACCCTGGATGGCCCAGCTCCGTGGCTGGTACTGGTTGTAAGGAATCTCATTATTTTGGGACACAAAACCAGCATCAGGAGCAGCACAGGTGGTAGAATCTCTTGAGGCTCCACTTGGGAGGGTGGGGTGGGGCACGGAGCCCAGCACGGAGTCTGTGTGGCTTTGGGGAGGGGTGGGCAAGACATCAGTATTCCTGCTCACTCTACTGTGGCCCCCAAGGTCAGGAGACATCATCATTCCTCAGTTAGAAGCGGGCAGGGAGCCTCAGGGCGGGGAGGATTACCCAGGTAATCCAGCCTGATTACCAGACCTAGCAGAACTTCATCTGGATGCTGGAGGAGGCAGCTGTGGGGCTGAGGCCGGCAGCACAGTCAATGAACACCCAGCCCCCTGACCTGGTGTGAGCTGGGGTCCACTGCCAGCCTCTGAGGAAGTCCCTATTAAAGAGGAGAGGCAGGAGGGGTGGGGGAGGACAGGACCACTCGGGATCCTCAGAGGAGGCAAGGGAGGCTGCCCTCCTTGCCAGTGCATCTCAGGGTAGAAACCTGGCAGAGCCATCTGTCCACACCCCTGCCTTAGTCCTCAGTCCTGCCCTGTTAGCAGAAGGGAGGTGTTTCAGAGTGGGGTGAGATGCTGGGGCTGCCCAGGGAGAGGACAGAAGGGCTGCTCTTGTCTGTGGCACCCTCACTGGCGGGGCTTCTTGCTCTAACCCTGCGTCTCTCCAGAGCAGGGTGGGGTTGGGCATTCCACTAGTACTTGAGGCATGAGAAGGTCTTTCCAGGGCCATAAATCCCATAGGCCCAGGCGAGCAGGCCCACAAAGCTGTTGTGACAGCAGTGGTTAAATTAAGTGGCCATCTTGGAGCCAGGCGGGGCAGGTTTCCTGAGCCAGGATTTATGGCCTGCCTGCCCCATTGACTGCCCATGCGGCCTGCCTGAGGGAGGCCCATTCACAGCCACCGGGAGCTCCTACCATGTGGGAGAACCAGCTGGGGCTGCTGTGCCTGGGCCACGGGAACTGGGGGCCTCTGAGTGCTGGCATCCCAAAGCCACACCACTGCCTGCTTTTGTCCTCAAAAGAGGATCCCAAGGCCCAGGGAGGGCATGAGATCACATGGGGCCTGGCTCAGTCTTAGATTCCTGAATGATGCAGCCACACTGCTCTGTTCAGGATGTTGCTCAGGTGTGCGGCCTCTGAGGCCCTGGCTGGCCTGGCCCAACGAGTGAGGAACCCTAGGTGTAGGGTTCCTTTACCTTCTCACAACCTTCTTGGGACAGGTGGGGTCCTTCTGACCCCGGCCCCTTAGGCCTTCCTTCTCTCCTGGAGTCTAGCCAGTGGCGACAGAGCAGGAGGCAGGGGCTGCCCCTGCCTGGCTTCATCCTCATATGCACATGCCTGTGTCCAAGCACGTGTGTTGGGAAGCAACATAAATGTGCCAGCATCTCAGGTCATGTTAGGGTGAGACACTGTGCTTGGGGCATTTCATCTGTAGAACCCACTGACCTGGACATTGTTAGATATTTACTTGGAACAAACAGAACATCAACAATAACAATAAAGAATCAATACACAAAACATAAAACATGTGGGATTGGAGTCCTCCAAAGCAGCCTTGAACCAGTCTGTTCCAAGCAATGGTGTGGACTTGGCCCCCTAGGTCCACAAGACATTTCAGCTAATAAGTCCAGAAGGGTGACACCCTCACTCCACCTCCCACCCCGAACCCTCAACAGATTTATGCCCAAGCTGGAGAGCAGGACCTGCCCCTTCCCTGGTGCTCATTGCTGGGACCCTCCGAAGTCACGTTAACCAGGGGAAAACTGCATTGCGGGTGGCCAGTGACCACTACTCAAATAATTAAGTCATATTCGCTTGAAGATGTCCTTGAGCAGGAGCACAGGTGGCACTGGGGAGTGCCACCTATCTCAGGAGGGCTGTCTGTGTGGGCCTCACCTGCAGGGCAGCCTCTAGGCCTCGGACAGTGTCTGGGCTGTGCTCCTCAGGTGGGACCCAAGCCCGGGCCACACCCTGCTCTGGACAGCTCTTACCTGTCCAGGCCACACCCTGCTCTGGACAGCTCTTACCTGTCCGGGCCACAACCTGCTCTGGACAGCTCTTACCTGTCAGGGCCACACCCTGCTCTGGACAGCTCTTACCTGTCTTGGCTCTCCGAGGTCTGGAGGCTGCAGGTCTCAGTCAGATTCCCTGCTGGAGGTCAAGTCTGTCAGGAAGGCCAGGAGGGGCTCCCTGTCACCAGAGCAAGGGCTCAGCCTGGCTCCATGTCACTTCAGGCTCAAGCCCCAGCCAGCCTTTCCATACCCTTCTCCCTCTGTGCCTCAGTGTGCACAAGCTCAAGGACTTGCTGGTGTCATTTGGACCTCGTACTTTCCGACTTCCTAGCCTTGGCTGAAGCTGTTACGTCCTCCTGGAAGGACTGCCTCCCCCAACCCCTCCACCGCAATCTCCACCTTTTCTGGTCCTCTCCATCCACAAGGCCCAGGGCTACAGCCTGCTGTTCCTCCCTGGAGAGGATCTGGCCCTCACACTGCGGGGTGTGGGGTGCTGGGCTTTCCCTGCAGTTCAAAGAACCCTGATCTGGGATGAGTATAAACAAAAGGCCCATTTTACCCTGTGGGATCCTCGGTGGCCTCATCTATAAAATGGAGAGAATAGCCTTGCTCCTCCCCTTGCTTCCGCAGCCCTCCATGCTCTGCCCTGTCCACTGTAGTCCTCAGGCTTAAAAAAAAAGAGAAGCCAGCAGGGGAGGGTGGGGTAGCCTGGGGCAAAGCAGTGCCCGGTGTGTGAGGATGCAGTTCAGAGGGGAGGGGAGGGGACCTGGCTGAGGCCGGATGGTCTGTGAGCAAACTGGAGGGGCTAGAGGGGAGAAGAGCGGGTTCTGTCCGCTTTAGGGCCCGTGAATGCTGACGGTTTGGTAGGCAAAGGCAAGGAGGTGAGAGCTTTTGCTGCCAGAGCCTAGGGAGCAGGCAGGGGCTGTGTGTACATCTGGTATGTCTGTGTGTACATGTGTGTATGAATAGTGTGTTGTATGGCTGTTAATTGTACGACATGCAAATATGACCATGCATATGTACCCATGTGTATCTGTGCCTGTGTGAGCATGTATATGTGTCTATGGCTATGTCTATGGTGTGTGTGTAACATGTCTGAGTTTGCATGTACATATGATGTGTGTATATGTATAATATGTGTGTGTGAGTTGTGTGATTTTGTGTAGGGTGTGTGTAGGGAGTGGGCATGTGTGTTTGCTTTTGTGTGTGTGCATATGTGTGTGTCTGTGTGCATGTGTGTGTATTTGTGTGTGTGTATTTGTGTGCGTGCATGTGTGTGTGTGAGAGAGAGAGATGCATGTCCTCGTTCCCGTGATCATCAAGCCTCCTTACCCAGCACCCTTGACCCTGGATCTGTCCTGTGATCCTTCACAGCCCACAGTTGCCCTAGACATGTGCAGAGACCACCCACTGCCCCCCACCGGCAGCCTGTCCCCTCCCACCGCTGCTCCTAGACTGTCCTGAATGAACCCAGAACATGGGACCCATTGCTTCCCTCCCTCTGGTGCCCCACTTCTCTTAACAAAGCCTGACGTCTCCAGAGCATAGGTCATTAGGGTGGCCTTTCCTCCTCCGAACTCTGTCCCCCGCCCCAGACCCTGCACAACTCTCTCATTCCAACCCTCTTGCTGGAAGGGGCCGGGTCCTATTGCCTAGAAAGAGAAGCAGAGAGGCAGGGGACAGAGGTTCAGGGAATGATCTGCATCTGGCGGCCGAGAAGGGTCTCCAGGGAGGTTGCCCATCCTTGACTCAGAGTGAAACTAGTTTCAGGCCCATCTCAGGGAGCCTGGGCCTGTCCTCCTGGGGCCCACTGCCCTTCAAGTGACTGCCAGCACCTCCAGCCTCTCTGTTAGCTCTGCTCCAGGCCTGCTGCCTCCTGCTGCCTCACGGGAGAGATGACGAAGAAACGACAGACAGGTCAACCCACTCCTTCTATCCCCTCTGCCTTGATCTCATGCTCCTGATGGGCCAGCCACCTCCACTCAGGGGGGTCCTGGGCCCTGGGCTGAGGCCCTCTTGTGGTTTTCTCCCTCCCTAAAGTCCCAACTCCAGCCTCCAGGAGTTCCTCTCAGCTATAACACCCACTTTTCTCCACCTGCTTCCCCAGGTCCCCATTATTCATTCACTGGTGCCTGGCCCTGGCCCGCCCTGCTGGGGCACAGCAAGAAAGCAAAGCAGGCTTTCCACTGTGGGGACCAGCCTGAGGGCAGAGGAGAGGGACCCAGGCTCTGACTTCCGGGTGTCTCCCTGTCCTGGGAGTCAGAGGCCAGCACATAACACACATGTGTGCACACTCACCCACCCACACACATACACACACACGTGCATAAAGCACAGTGAGATGATGGGGAAATGAACCTGGTGGAGGACTTGGGTTGGGATAGAGCCAGCCCTTGGGGAGCGAGCGCAGAAGGACAGACCCCCCTGGAACCCCCTATCCAGATCAAGGGCTGGTGGAGGTGGAGCTTCCTGGCCAGGGCTCATCCTGGGGGCTCAGGCTGAAGAGGGAGCAGAGAGGGGCAGATGTGGAGATGAGAGCAGGAGGGGGCTCAGAGGAGGGAGCCAGATGGACAGTGTGTGAGGGAGCATGTTGGGAGGGGCCCGCAGCCCGGGGCAGTGGGGAGGGAGGAGGGGCTGCTGCTGGCCTGGCCAAGTCAGCTGAGCCGGACATCAAAGCTGAGTGTTCCCAGGATGCTGGTCTCCCTCCCACAGAGAGACAGATGTCCCTTTGATGGTGAGAAGAAAGGATGTTGTACAGCAAGGGTGGGGAGGGGTCGGGGGAGACCGAGTCTCCTCTTTGTGGCCATCCAGGCAATGGAGAGTCCATCATGAATGTCACGTCCTCCACTTCCAATGGACAGTGAAGCCGGACCCATCACTGGGGCTCCAACTGCCAAGGGAATGGCAGCTGTCCCGGGATCAGGGGTCGCCTACTGGCTACTTCCTCGCAGCTGAAGTCCAGTGGGGCCACTGTCCTGCTGGCTAAATGGGGGTCAGCCAGTCCTGCAATGACAGGACAGCCTTGTATGTTGGGAGCTAGAGCAGAGTAGGAACAGTGATCACTTCACCTCCCTGCGGCTACCTTGGCTATTATGTGTCTCACTAAGCCCATGTGTGTGTGCACACGTGTATGGGCCTCGAGAACGTGCATGCAGGGCCTCCACCCCCTGCCCCAGCTGGGCCTTCACTCCAGCAGGACCGAGACACTCTGCCCTTTCGGGCTGTGGGCTCCTCTGAGTCCTACCTCTACTCTGGGCTCACCTAGCTGCCCTGCCTGGAGCACCTGCAGCACCGGTGCTAGGCCATAGGATACCCTTGTAAGAATCAGCAAAGGCACTCCTTCCTCCAGACGCTTTTCTGCCAGTCTGCTGAAGAATGTCATGCTAAACATACACATCTAGGATGACCACAGTGCGGGCACCGCACTCTGCGGTAGTGAGGTGAGGGCCTTGAACCTCTCCCTGCCCCTTCTCTCAGCAACCCAAATCTACCAGACTTCTCCACGAAGCCCTTTGACCTCCAGCCTGGGGCCTGCACAGCACCTGATGTGAAGCCTGCATCCCACCCTTGGTGACAGCAGTTTTGGACTTGGGCATCCCACCTAGGAGCCATGGTTACACGGTGGGGGACACTTTCACCAGTGGGGAGGTCAGTATTCTCTCCTCCACTGTCACACCCCAGAGAGGGCCCACTCAGGGAGACCCAGCCAGGTCTCCATCAGTGCTGGAGGGGCCCTGGGGTGCAGGCAGCAGCCAGGTCACAGGCAGGTCCTGATGGATTTTAGACCTTCGGCAGGGTGGGAAGAGCAGGCTCCTGCCAGCCATCTAGGGAAGAAGAGGGCTTGCTTCATGATCCAGCTCAAGAAGAAAATGCCTTAGAAAGGTCCCTGGTGCAGCTGAGCAGGCTCTGAAAGCCACAGGGCCTCTGCGGCCTTCTGAATCCAGGCTCTTTGGAAAGGCCCCTTTTGTATAGAGGGGAGCCTCACCACACCCTTCTGTCCGCACCCACTGGGAAGGCAGACCCCATGTCCCTTTTACCCCTAGGTCCCCCCATGCTACCCACCATACCAAGGTTCTGCCAGGCAGGTCTATGGAGATCCACAGACAGGCCCCTCGCCCCAATTCTGCTGTGCTTTGGCACCTGCTTCTGGGACTCCAGCCTGTGTGCCATCAGCCCCTCCAGGCTCTGCACACAGCACCCCCACCATGTACCATGATGCCAAGCTGTCCCAGAGCCCCCTGGCTGCCCTCGCATCTCCCCATATAAACAGAGGCTTGCACACTGCAGCGTCCACACCTGCTCCCAGACATGCCCAGACCCCGCGGGGCAGAAACTCAGCAGAGCTCCTCCTCATGTCCGGAGATATTCCTCACCACCTTCCACCTGGGCCCAGTTTCCCTCTGCAACCTGGCAGAAAAACCCAGCCAGCCCCCTAACCCCCACCCTCAATCCCGTGGACTCAGCTCCCACCTCTTGGGAAAGAAAGTAGGAAATAAAAGGGAGGCAGGGGAGGGGGAGACATTGGAAAAGACATTTCCAAGCGCTGTATGTGCTGGTGACATCCCAACAGCTGCCGCTGACGTGGAAAAATAGAAGTTGCTGGCTTGTTTTTTCGTCCTCTCTTTCTAAATGATTTGACGTTTTATTCCCCCTCATCAAACGCTCTATTCTCTGCTAATGGCAGAATAATAAAAAATTATCCCTCATAGCATGTGAGTGAGAGGCCAAGATGGGAGCCCAGGAGAGGGAGGAAGGAGAGAAAGAAAAAAGGTTATTATAAATGTGTCAGCCTTGTTTATGGCCCTTTATCAGCGAAGGAGAAATGGGGAGGGATAGACACAGTTAACGTGCACTTGCAAGCGGCCTGCCAGTTGGGTTGGGGAGTGTAAATAATTTTTATTTTCAGCTGTATTTAGATATTTTAAAATATACACCCGCCAGCCATCGTGGGGAACCAGTTGAGCCTGCTGGGCCATGAGGGATGGGGGCGGCCTGGCTTTCGGCTGCTTTGATGGGACCGTGCTTGACAATTAGGGCTTTCAAATGCAGTGTTTGCTGATAAAGGCTTCCCTTCCAAGGAGCACAGAGAGATAGTGAGGCCAGCCTTGGTGGCTGCCAAACTCCCCGGGAGGCAGGCCCGAGGCAGGATTTGGGAAGGTGGCGCAGGGGCCCAGTGTCCTTCTTGATAAGGCCAGCAAGGGCACAGCTGCCCTGGGCCAGCATTCCACCCTCCCCACACTGCCGGTGCCACATCTTTGTCCCGGGCTTGCAACAGACTGTGTAGCCTCAGACCCTCAGGTTCCATTCATGCCATCACTCACTGGTCAACATTTACTGAGCACCTACTGTGTGCCAGGATCATAGGGGTTCAAGGGCAGGGAAACTTAGAGAGACTGTGCTGCTTAACTGGTTGTTTAAGCCCTCTTCCTTGAGTACCTCCTGAGACCAGTCCTTCACGATGTTCAGTGTTAGTCCATTGCACTCTGGGCTTGAAACAGCTGCCCAAAGGCAGTGTGATACTGTGGTTAAGGGAGGCACCCCACATGTGAGTTGTGGCAGTGAGACTTCAGGCACATGACTTCCAAGGGCTGAGCAGCCATCTCTTGTTCTGTAAAATGAGATAATAGCATTCCCACATATGGGAATGGGGGTCAAATGAGATGATGAGTACAGTGTAAAGCCTTTACTATCTGACACACTAAACAATGTCTCTTGTCATTTGCTGTGTACAGCGATGGGACTATCAAATCCCACCAGGAACCCCTAAATGTTCCAGTCTGCCCAGTGTGGAGGTCAGGTTCAAGATTAGGCTGCTGAAAGCCAAACTCTGTCTTCTGGGAGCTTGCAGGCCAGGGTGGACAGAGGGGCTGTGAATGGCACAGGCTCAGCTTATCTGGGCAGGCTCCAGAAGGGTCCTTGAAGGATGGAGATGGGGTAAGGAGGGGCCTGGCCTGGCTGGAATAGAGGGGGTGGTCAGTGGCCAGATGGCCTGACTTCACCATATTGGTTCCCAAAGCAGCTCAGAGAGGGCTTTTGACATTCATATCCCATGAGAGTTGTGTAGGAGGTGTGCGGCCAGCACATTACTGGCCCCCTGTGTCTTAGGCCCATTGAATGCCATCTCTGATAGATGCAAGGGTCAACTTGCCATGTCCTACATGTTCCTCTGGACTCTCAGAGCTGGGCCAGATTGACACTGGCAGACAGTGGGCATGGACAGGCTCAGAGAAGCAAACGAGAATAGAACCAAATTCCTAGGTCTTTTACTTTGCTGGTCATGGGAAAGCAAACTCTTTAAGCACAGCCCCTGCCACCCCCCACAGTAAGTTCCTTCTTCTGACTGGAACAGGGATGACTGGAAGGACAGGCAACATCAAGCTAAAGAGTGACTGGATGTTTAGTCCTGAGTATAAATTTAAACAAATATGCTGAGCTGAGCAGGACCAGACCCAGGACTGTACTAGGCCCTGCAAGGAGGGCCAAGAGCAAGCCAGGAAGGCAAAGCAGGTAGGAGAGAAGAAGAGGAAGAAGAAAGTATGGAGAGGGAGCAGACAGGGGCTCTGCACCTGCCTCCCTCCTCTTGTCATTGCCTCAATCATTTACACCACAAACACGTTGCTGCCTGCTGTAAGCCTGGACCTCAAGGTGCTCACAGACCCAAGAGGGAGGAAGATATGTAAACAGACAAGGAAGAGTCAGCATATGAAGTGGCGGTTTATGGTGGTTCAAGAGTGGGGAGGGGAGGTGGGCATCAGGGAAGGAGGCGCAGAGCAGGAGAGACTTGACTGGGCATCAGAAGTAGACATAGGAGTTTCCAAGTAGACTGGGTGGGGAGGACATTCCTTGTAGAGGGTCAGCCTGAACAAGGGCCTGAAAACCAGAGGCCACATAGACCACAAGGGGAGGTACAAGTTCGTAATATCCGGCGGGGAGAGGATGATGTTACTCCTTATATCGCAGGGGGTGTACACCTTGCTGCGATATTTTTTGTAATATCCAGGGAGGGAGAGGATGATATTACTCCCTGTATTGCAGTTGTTTGTAATATCCAGGGGAACAGATGATATTACTCCCAATATCGTAAACACCCTGAGCGTACACCCTCTGTGATATTGTTCATAATATCCGGGGGGAAGAGGATGATATTACACCCAATATCGCAGGGGGTGTACACCCTCCTGTGATATTTTTCATAATATCCAGGGGAGGATAGAATGATATTACTCCCAATATCGCAGGGGGTGTACACCCCCATGTAATATTGTTTGTAATATTCAGCGAGGGAGAGGGTGATACTACTACTCATATTGTAGGGGGAGTACACCTTTCTGTGATATTGTTGGTAACATCCAAGGGGGGAGAGAGAATGATATTACTCCCAATATCGCAGGGGGTGCAAACCCCCAGCGATATTGTTTGTAATATCCAGGGGTGTGAGATGATATTACTCTTAATATCGTAAACACCCTGTGTGTACACCCTTTTTAATATTTTTCGTAATATCAAGGTGGGGAGAGGACGATATTACTCCCAATATTGCAGGGGGTGTACACCCTTCTGTAATATTTTTCATAATATCCAGAAGGAGAGAGGATGATATTACTCCCAATATCTCAGTGGGTGTACACCCCCCTGTAATATTGTTCATAACATTCAGGAGGAAAGAGGATGATATAACTCCAAATATCGCAGGGGATGTACACGCCCCTGTGATATAGTTTGTAATATCCAAGGCGGAATAAGATGATATTACTCTGAATATCGCAGGCAGTGTTCACGCCACTGTGATATTGCTCGTTATATCCGGTGGGGAGAGGTTGATACTACTTTCAATATCGCAGGGGGTGTACACCCACCTGTAATATTGTTCATAATATCCAGGGGGGGAGAAGATGATATTACTCCCATTATCGAAGGGGGTGTACACCCTCCTGTGATATTGTTCTTAATATCCAGCGGGGGAGAGGATGATATTACTCCCAATATCAGAGGGGGTGTACACCCTCCTATGATATGGTTCATAATATGAAGGAAGAGAGAGGGTGATATTACTCCTCATATTTGTGGGGGTTGTACAACCCCCTGTGATATGGTTCGTAATATCCAGTGGGGGAGAGGGTGATATTACTCCCCGTATCGCGTGAGGTGTACACCCTTCTGTGTTACGGTTCATAATATCCCGGGGGGGGGGCGGTGATATTAGTCTTCATATTGTGGGGGGTGTACACCCCCCTGTGATATGGTTCGTAATATCCAGGGAGGCAGATGGTGGTATTAATCCTCATATCGCGGGGGGTGTACAACCTCCTGTTATGGTTCGTAACATTTAGGGTGGTAAGGGTGATATTACTCGCCATATCGTGGGGTTCTACACCTTTCTGTGATATGGTTCGTAATATCCAGGGGAGGAGAGGGTGATATTACTCTCCACATCGCGAGGGGTGTACACCTCCTGTGATATGGTTCTTAATATCCACGGGGGGAGAGGATGATATTACTCCCCATATCGTGGGGTGTGTACACCTCCCTGTGATATTGTTCATAATATCCAGGTGGGGAGGGTGCAATATTACTCCCCATATCGCGGGGGCTGTACACCCACCCCGTGATATGGTTCGTAATATCTGGGGCAGAAGAGAATGATATTACTCCTCTTACCGTGGGGGGTGTAAAATGGTTCATAATATCTGGGGAGGGAGAGGGTGATATTACTCTTTATATTGCGGGGGATGTACACTTCCCTGTGATATGGTAATATTCGGGGGGGAGAGGGTCATATTACTCCCCATATTGTGGGGGGTGTACACCCCCCTGTGATATGGTTGGTAATATCCAAGGAAGGAGAGAGTGCTATTACTCCCCATATCGCTTGCGGGGTACACCCTCTTGTGATATGTTTCCTAATATCCAGTTGGGGAAAGGATGATATTACTCCCCATGTTGCGGGGGGTGTAATATGGTTTGTAATATCCAGGGCATCAGAGAGGGATTTTACTCCCCATATCGTGGGAGGTGTACACCCCCCCAGTTTTATGTTTCATAACATCCAGGGTGGGAGAGGGTGATATTACTCCCCATATTGTGGGGGTGTACACCCTCCTTTGATATGGCTTATAATATCCAGGGGGGCAGAGGCTGATGTTACTCCCCATATCGCAGCAGCTGTACACCCCCCTTTGATATGGTTTGTAATATCCAGGGGGGAGATGGTGGTATTACTCCCCATATCACGGGGGGTGTGATATGGTTCCTAATATCCTGGGCGGGAGAGGGTGATATTACTTTCCATATCGTGGGGGATGTACATCCCCCATGATCTGGTTTGTCATGTTCTGAAGGGGATAGGGTGATATTACTCCCCACATCGTGAGGGGTGTACGCCCCCCTGTGATATGGTCTGTAATATCCACGGGGGGAGAGGGTGATATTTGTCCCTATAACTCGGGGGGTGTACATTCATGTTATATGGTTTGTAATATCCAAAGGGGGAGAGGGTGATATTACTCCACATATCGCGGGGGGTCTGATATGGTTCGTAATATCCGGGTGGGGAGAGGGTGATATTACTCCCCATATCGCGGGGGGTGTACATTTTTCTGTGATGAGCTTCATCATATCAAGGGGGGAAGAGGGTGATATTACTCCCTATATCGCAGGGAGTGTACACCTCCCTGGGATATTGTTGGTAATATCTAGGGTGGCAGAGGATGATATTACCTTCAGTATATCAGGGGGTGTACACACCTCTGTGTTATTGTTTGTAATATCTTGGGGGGAGAGGATGCTGTTACTGCCAATATTGTGGGTTGTTTTCACCCCCCTGTGATATTGTTCTCAGTATCAAGGGGATGGAGAGGGTGATATTAATTTCAATATCACAGGGGGTGTATACTCCTCTGTGATATTGTTTGTAATATCAGGATGATATTACTCCCAATGGGGGTGTACACCTTCCTGTGATACTGTTCTAAATATTAGTGGTGGAGAGGATGATACTACTCCCAATATTGAAGAGGTTGCACCCGCCCCGTGATACTATTCGAAATATTAGGTGGGGAGAGGATGATACTTCTCCCAATATCGCAGGGGGTGTACACCCCCCTGTGATACTGTTTGAAATATCCAGAATGGGAGACGACGATATTACTCCCAATATCTCAGGGGGTGTACACTTTTCTGTGATATTGTTTGTAATATCCGGGGGAGGGGAGAGGATGATATTACTTCCAATATCACAGGGTGTGTACATTCCACTGTTATATTGTTCGTAATATCCAGGGGGAGAGATGATGATATTACTCTCAATATCACAAGGGGTGTACACCCCCCTGTGATCTTTTTCATAATATTCAGGGGGGTAGATGATATTACTTTCAATATCATAAACACCCTGTACGTACACCCTTGGTGATATTGTTCATAATATCCAGGGTGGGAGAGAATGATATTACTCCCAATATCTCAGGGGGTGTACACCCCCTGTAATATTGTTCATAATATTTGGGGGGGGTGATGACATGTCTCTCAATATCGCAAAAGGTGTACACCCCTTTGTTCTATTGTTTGTAATATCCATGGGGAGAGAGCCCTAAATTTCTGGGCTGAGGCTGGGGAAGGCCAGGCTGTTGGGGCCAGAGGTGGGAGAGGGTTGGGTTAGCCCCTATTCAGGCCCCCTGGGTCTTCTACAGTGATTGTCGTGATTATTTCTTCCTTGACTTTTGAGGTTGGCAAGTATTCATAGCAGATCCTGACCAGGCTTCCAAGAGAGCCAGTGGCAGTATACAGAAACTGTTCAGGTGTATACTTGGGACTGGCTCAGAGTCGCTGCCACCACATTCAATGGCCAAAGGCAGTCCAGATTCAAGGGATGAAGAAACTGACTCCACCTCTTAATGGACTGAGCTGCAAAGTGACATTGGAAAGGGGTAGATACAGGGAGGTGTGGGGCCACTTTTGTGATTGATCTACAAAGAGGCGGTTAGAAGCAATTCTGTGAGGGACACCATTCTATTCCATGAGGCTGGTATTTCTGTAGATGGCAAAGGAGAGATGAGGGGGTGCTAAGGTTCTTGCATTCTTGAGGGATGGTGCGATTAACTGCAAAATTGTCCCCCAAAGTTTGTACCAATTCCCACTCCCACCAACCCCAAAGCAGATAAACTGGGAGAGGGATGAAAAATCTTTACAAAGCCTTCTTGTGTCAACTGATTCACCCCAGGATCTGTTACTGACACTTGCCAACCTCAAAAGTCCAAGGAAAAAGTAATCATGACGATCACTGTAGAAGACCCAGAGGGCCTCACTAGGGGCTAATCCAACTCTCTCCCACCTCTGGCCCCAGCAACCTGGCCTTCCCTAGCCTCAGCCCTGATATTTAGGTCTCTGACCCATGTTGAGATCATTTTTGTGCCTGTCACAAGGAAGGGGATCCAGCTTCATTCTTTTGCATATGAACATCCAGTTGTCCCAGCATCATTTGTCAAAAAGACCATTCTTTCTCCCATTGAATGGTCTTGGCTCTCTTGTTGAAAGGCAATTGACCATAATGTGAGGGTTTCTTTCTGAACTCTCATTTCCACCCCATGATTTATGAGGACAAGCTCAAGCTGGCCTGCTGTAGGATGAGAGACATGAGGAAAAGAAGTGGGTCATCCCAGGTGAGGCCATCCTAGACCAGCAGCCCCGGTCAATCCTCCTGCTGACCACAGACTTGTGAGGGAGCCCATCTGGGAGTCAGCCCAGCCCAGCCCAGCCCAGCCCAGCCCACGGCTGCCCAGCTGACTTGGAGACTTGCGAACATAATAAACGCTTGCTTTAAGACGCTAAGCTTTGGGTTGTCAGGTAACCATTATTTATTCTGCCAGAAAACAGATACAGCTCCAAACTGAAGATAGCCCAGATGTCCCTCCGTGTGGGGCTGGTGGTCCTGCAGTACAATGGAGCACCCTGTGGCCATTTAAAAATTGATCCTTTTGTACCGACCTGGAAGGTGTCCATGATATATTGGTGAGGGAAAAAAGCAAGTGGCTGATCAATATGTATGCCATGACCCAATTTTTGTTTTCTTAAAAAAGTCTGTGTATAAAAAAATATAGAACAGGGACACCTCAGAAAAAGCTGGCAATGATACACAGTGAAGCATTCACAGGGGTTGCCTCTGGGGGAGACAAGAGGGAGTTTGAGGTCTTTTGCTTTCTTTCTGTAATTTTTTAAAAATGAAGATTATTTGGAAGAAAAACAAAGTTAGCATTTTCAAAGACTGTGTGTGTTGAAATGGAGGCCAGCTGCCCACACAGGGATCTCCAGCTTTTTCTCCTCTGCCCTGGCTCCCTGGCTCTGCCTCGACTCCTGGCCCAAGCCCACCCCTCTTGCTGCAAATCCCACAGCCTAGACTCCCCACAGCCCCATAAAACCCCTCGATGGCTTTGCCATCCCTCAAGCCTTTAGGGGTTCACTTTCAATACTAGAGCAGGAAGAGCCTTCGGGATCAAGACTCACCTCTTCATGGCACAGATAGAGGCAAACTGAGGCACGGAGGAGGGAGGGATACACCGGAGGCTTCTGTGAGGCTGCATTGGAGCCAAGGTGAGATGCGGGGTCCTGAGGACCTGCCCCCATCTTGGGTGCCCAAGGCCACCCCCTCCCAGCACAGACCTCTGCTGGGACCCATTTCCCTCAGAGGGGGCCTGGAGGATGAGGGACAAGCTTTGTCCCTCTTGGGAGGAGATGACGAAGGTACTGTGAGGGAGAGTAAAAGGGACAGAGGCAAAGAGGAGGAGGGATAGGGTGGAGTGGGTGCCAGTGCCGGCCTCAGCCCAGAGCCTCTGGCAGCAGCCAGATAATAAGCGGGAATAAAAGAGGAGAGAGAGCGAAATGTCACACACGCTCTGGTGCCATTAGCCACCAGAGAAGGGAAATATCACAGAATTAGGCCAGCCTTTGTTTGCCTTTGTGGAGGAGGAGCATGAGGGGGTCTTCGCTGTGGGTAGGTGGGACTGTGCCTCTGGGGATGGGCCTGTTTTCCCGGGGGAGGGGCAACGAGAGGAGGATTTCACGGCTGGGGCTCTGGGACCCTTGGGCCTCCCAATCCCCAGTTACTGGGCCAGATGCGACTCAGAGAGGGGTGGTGGGAATGGGGACAGGGGAGAGATGGGACTTGTTCCACTTCAAAACAGAGACACCGAACTCAGAGGCCTCCTTGCTAAACTGCCTTTGCTGTTGTTTGTTTATATTTCCCTAGTTATTACCCAAGTCACAGAAACACCCGGGTAATAGCTGTAAAATTACACACTCGCAGCTAATTTGGGTACGACTCTTGGCATAGCAGCCGCGTTTTAAGGAGAAATAAACAAGGCCTGAAATAAAAGTCGGCAGGAATACAAATCTGCAGCAATGAGGCTAGCTCCCCCTTCCCCACGCGGCAGCCAGCGCGCGCGTCACTCCTTCCACACATGCGCGCTCACACGCACCCACACATAAGCCCACCCTAGCCCTTCCCATCCATTCCCTCTGCACCCTGACCCCGCTGCCCGCAGAGCAGCCGAGGGGGCTCGTTCCACTGCCCGCCCCCTCCAACCAGAGCCACGTCCTGGGCTAGGCCAGGGTCCTTGTCTTTGCAGATCCAGGCTGCCCTCCCTGTACCGACTCCCGTCCTCTGTGGGTGCCCACGTTCCACTCTCTTCTAGCCAAGGAGGCTTACCATTCATTCATCCACTCATTCATTCGTTCATTCAAGTGTTTCTTGAGCAACGACTTTGTGCCAGGGACAGTGCTCTAGTGATCGGTAAAATAGACGTTGGTTTCTTCTCAGGGCTAATATCTGTTGAAAGAGATGGATATTAGACAAAAAAAAAAAGGAATAAATATGTAATAAGTTAGGATAAGTGCTCTAAAGGAAGAGTGTAGAAAGAGAAAGAGAAAGGGAGGAGCTTTTGGGGGTTCAGGAAAACGCTCTTTTAGGGGAAAGGAAAGGCCTGGGTTGAGGCCTGAAGTGGGATCTTGCTGGGGGCACAGCAGGGGTATTTCAGGTGGAGGGAACAGACCATGCTATTCAAAGGCCTTGAGGCAGCATGGCCAGTGTGGCTGGCAGGCAGGGAGCTGCGGGGATGTGTGGTGAACCGGCCCAGAGAAGCCTCACAGGTGCTATCAGCCACCTTAGGAGCTGGGAAGGATTATAAGGTTTTAAGGGAGGGGTGGTGGTGAAATGAGATCTGATTGATGGCTTTGAAAGATCTCGCTGCTTGGCTGAGAGAAACTTGCAGAGGAGTGAGAGCGGGTGAGTAGCTGGGGGAGGCTGTTGCGTTCATTCTGGGGAGAGATGACAGCAGCCTGGGACAGGACAGTGGTAATGTGGACACGGAGAAAAGGAGGGGTTGGGAGAGATCCTAAAGGCAGACAGGACTTGGAATTCGGGGTGAGGAAGAAAAAGGAGTCAATGAGGGGCCAGTGAATAGAGGAAAATTTCCTGAGATGGGAGAGAGTGCAGGAGGGGCAGGTTTGGGACTGTGTCTGAGGAACATAGAGAGGGTGTTTGAGGCCCCACAATGGACAAGGCTGCCTGGGAAGACAGAGAGAAGAGGTGTTTGGACACGTGTGACACCTAGCTCAGACTCTCTGTGACCACACCTCCCTCCCCACTGTCACTAATAAAATAAGAATAAAAGTTGTAACCACAGTTTGCTGAGAGGATGAAATGAGCCATGTCAGGTGTCATCCCGGTTGCATCCCATTGGACTCTCCCAGGTGCGCATGCAGTGGGGCTGCAGTTGGTCCCTGGAGGGAAGCAGAGCTGGAGCAGCCCCACTGGCCAGTGTCGATACTGCCCTTGGGATCTGCTCAAAGCCAAGGGTCTGTGGCCTGGGAGGTTTTGGAAAGGAGTGCTCCACATGGCAGATGGAACCCCAGGGAGACCCCCAGAGCTCACCCCCGAGACAGGAGAGCTGAGGGTTGATGGGGTGGGTGCAGGAGGAGGGCAGAGAGAGAAGATCGTGGGCTGGACAGGGGGCACAGCCACGACAGCAGGCAGGCTGGGAGTTGGGCCAGGCCACAAGGGGGTCTCCTATCTCTGCCAGGCCGACCTGGGCTGCAGAAACTAATTAGCACAGAACAATGTCCTAACGTGGCCCTCTGACTCTAGCTCACGCCCACACCATGTGGTGTAAGGGAGTGTGGGCATGCAAGCATGTGCTAGAGGCGGGGTGCAGGGCTTCCTCCCTTCCCCGATTCTCCTCTCCCCTTGAGAGACCTGGGGGCAGGTGAAGGACCCGGAGCTGGGAAGTAGGAGGCTCTTGTTTGCCAGAGTCCCCAACTCTGCCCCATCCCAGCCTCCCTGTCTGAGGATTCGAGGGCCCGCCAAGCTCCACTGCACTCCCTGCTTGTCTACCTGTGTGCGTTGAAGGACATTTTGTTCATGTGCATGTACTTTCCATGTTCCTGTGTACTTGGGCACATATGGAAACACACACAGACATCCACGATGTGTTTGTGCATGTTTGTTCAGGCTTGCACATGTGTGTGCACATACAGGTGTGAGACCATGAGGGAAGGGGTTGGATCTGCAGCTGAAGTGATGAGTAGCAGCCTTCGAAGCCCCAGCTCAGCCCCCTCCCTTAAGGAACTCCCACCCATCTACTCCCAGTACATGCCCCTCTGTCCCCATGCTCCTGCAGCTGGAATTGAAACCACTGTGCTGGGGCTGACCACGGGCACTCTCTGCAGGCCTCAGGCTGACCACCAGCTGCTCTGGAAGAGGTAGAAGTTCTCCCTTGTCTCTGTCAGGCTAGGCCCTAGGAAGCCTGCTGTGCACAGCAGTGATTAGGAAGCTGAGTTATGCTGGGGCAGAGGCCCGAGGGTCCCCAGACCTGCTGGTGAGAAGCTGCTGATGCTTTGGGACAAGTCCCCATGCTGGCCTGAGGCTGCTGAGGAAGCTGTGTTCTTCAATAACACCTAGCAAGGCCCTGAGGACCTGGGACGGAGTCTGGCTCTAGTCTCCTTGTCTCTTGGCGAAGCTCTGGGGAGGACAGGCTGCTGGCTAAGCGACCTCCTCATCACCAAGGACATCTGGATAAAGGAGGGCTTGCCATGCATTGGAGAAAGAAGTTTGGTTTAAACATCATAAACTGATCTAGGTTCCAGGACCAGCCTTGCCACTGACACGCCCTTTGGTGCTAGATAACTCCCTCGGGACTGGGTGACTCCCGAGGGCCTGTCTGGCTCAAATGCTTTGTTACTATGATCGAGGCTGAGGCAAGCAACCCTGGGCCATGAAGACCAACCCAGCAGCATGGGTTGGGGGCATGGGCAGGATTTCTGAGGGCACAGTGGGGGTAAAGAGTCGTAGGCCCCTACCTGTTATGAATGTACTTGTACGACCCTGTCATTGCTCGGCATCTGCAGTATGGAGAGGCTCTCCCTAAAACACTCAGGATTGTTTAACAACAATGCGCTCCTCTGAGCTCTGCGCCTTCCAGAGCTCACAGGCCTGCAGGGAGAGAGGCACACAAACAATCACAAGCCAAAGCTGTGATGGAAGTTGGCACGGACAACTGGATCTCCCCTGCCCCCAGCTGGTTGCCCCCAGGCCAGGCCTGGTTTTATACCCTCCTCAGTTCCCTTTGGCACCCAGACAGGACTAGGGAGACAGTGGCCCCAGAAGCAGTTTAAAATTTTTTTATTATTTTGAAAAGGGATTACATTCACATGTTTCAAAATCCAAACAAGATAACACAGCATAGAGAAAGAAGCCTTTCCGCCTTCCTACTCTGTAACCCTGCTTTTCGTTTCCTGTGTGTCCTTTCAGAGCTCCTTTTGCTTTCAAAAGCAAATACAAATACGGGCAGCTTCTGAATGGATGGCCAAGTGACTCTGGAGCTTCCGCGCTGTGTGAGGGCTGGGCTTTCTGTCCCTGTTCACCCTCGAACCCAGGCTTCAGCCACCGCACGGTGAGTATCCATTGGACACTTTCAAATATTTATGAAACACCGATGGATTTTCTCAGTCCGGAGCTGTAGCTTCCATGGAATTTGGCTTTATTAGCCAGAAAGTCAATATTTTCCCTGGGCCACCGCAGAGATGCACATACTTCTATCTTGCCTCCGGCCCCGTGGACCCGGCTGCTCTGCCTGGTCAGCTTCCTGCTGGTGGATCACGACCTTTCTGCTACTGGGAGCTGGCAGGGAAGGACTCAGACAAGCCAAAGCTCAGGGCTGGAGCAGGAGCTTGGGGTGAGGCAGAAGTTTTGTGCAGACTCACTGGGGGTATTGGACAAACCCGTTTCCCTCCCTGAGCCTCTGTTACTCCACCTGAAAACGAAAGGTCTGGCCGATCGCTGAGTTCTGTTGCCGCTTGTTGCGCAAGGGGAGTCTCCCGGGCTTCCCAGACTGGGGCCTCCTAAGTGCGGGGCTGGGTCTTCTTTTGCTCCTTTCTCACCCCCAACCTCCCACACATAGGGCAGTTTGGCTTCGGGCTTTTTCTTCCTCATAGTACAGCAGATTTATGGCTTTGCTATTCTGGGAAGCAGCCGTTTTTCCGTGGGATCTAAGGGGGCCACGGCCGGAGAGCCAGGACCCCCAGGCCTCATCCCAGGTTGTCCCTGGCTCGTGGCTTCTTGCTAGGGCCTGAGGGAGCAGCTGTTACAAAGCTGATGGGATTGGAGTCTGATCAGGGGAGAGGGATGGCCATAGAGCATGGCTGATGGAAGGTTGTGAAAACAGAGCTGAAGTTTCCATAACCCTGAGGTCAGAACAAGGGCAGCAGTGAGAACTAATGAGCTTGGCTGTGATGGTGCGGGGAGGGGAGCTGGGGGAGGGAGGCAGCCAAGAGCAGCCAGGCAGGGGGTCCACCTGGCACCAGGGGAGCTGTGGTGGGGCCTCCAGACCCCTGTGCAGCCTTTTGAAATGTGTGTGTGTGCATTCAATTTTATGATCTTAGGATCTTAAAAATATTTACACATGTATTCAGGTAATCCACGAATAAATTTTCACCACAAAAACTCAAACAACCAGCACATTACACAGGAGGCTCCCTGTCCTTGCGGAGCACCCTCCACCACTTCCTATCATTAGCAGTTTGACACACACCTGGCAGACTTTCCCCACAGATCATATTAATATACAGAATACTGGCCGGGTGTCGGGGCTCAGGTCTGGAATCCCGGCACTTTGGAAGGCCAAGGTGGGCGGATCACTTGAGGTCAGGAGTTTGAGACATGGCGAAACCCCATCTCTACTGAAAATACAAAAATTAGCCAGGCGTGGTGGCGCCCACCTGTAATCCCAAGCTACTCAGGAGGCTGAGGGAGGAGGATCGCTTGAACCCAGGAGCCAGGATCGCACCACTGCACTCTAGCCTGGGTGACAGAGCAAGACTGTCTCAAAAACAAACAAACAAACAAAACCATACAAAATACCTACATGTGCACAGATATGGTGTTTTTTAAATAACATAAATAGGGTCCTACTGATATATCTTGCTCTGGAATTTGCTTGTTCCCCATATGTTTAGGAAAATTGTCCTATGTTAAATATAGATCTATAACTGCTTCGAGGTTTTTTTTTTTTTTTTTTTTTTGAGACTAAGTTTTGAGCCTAGGCTGGAGTGCCATGGCAGGATCTCGGCTCACGGCAACATCCGCCTCCCAAGTTCAAGCGATCCTCCTGCCTCAGCCTCCCAAGTAGCTGGGATTAGAGGCATGCGCCACCACACCCGGCAAATTTTGTATTTTTAGTAGAGACAGGGTTTCTCTATGTTGGTCAGGCTGGTCTCGAACTCCCGACCTCAGGTGATCCGCCTGCCTCAGCCTCCCAAAGTGTTGGGATTACAGGTGTGAGCCACCGTGCTCGGTCGCTTCAAAGTATTTTTGTGCAAATTTTTTTGGGCCTTCGTTCTTTTAACAATTTTCCTATTAATGGACATTTGAGTTGTTTCTGGTTTTTGCTCTGACAAACGGTGGTGCTGGGAACATCCTTGATGATCCTGTCTTCTTGGCCCAGCTCAGACGTTCCCTCAGCCCCCAGGTGCACAGGGCCCACCTGGACAAAGGACAGCATCTGATCCACACACTACCCGAGTAGGAAGGGGCTGAGGCCTGCCCCCCGCCCCCTAGGGGAGGAGCAGAATGCTGAGCCCAAGAGCTGACGCATGCATGGTGGCATTTGGGGCTGTGAGATGCCAGTGGTGGGCTCATCTTGTTACCCCTCACATCATGCCATGCCTCTAACTGCCCACTGTCTCCGGTTCTTGCCCAGGGCAGCCTCAGAGGAGGAATTTTGAGGATCCGAGGGTGGATATGGCACCACTGGCTGCAAACCACATTGGTCTGAGGGGAGCTTGGGGCTTGCCTGGGACGTCCACGATGGGCACCCTCCGAGGTCACACAGCCAGGGTAAAGAGCAGGCAGTTCACCTTCTCTGAGTGCTTGCTTGGTGTTGGGCACTGTGCTGGGGCATTTGGATATGATTTTACTTCAAGCCTGGGTAGTAGCAATGATTCCATTTATCGGCACTGGTAATGCGGCCCAGAGAGGTGAGGTGACTTGCCCCAGGCTACACAGCTGCTTTGCCTGACTGCACAGCCCAAGTCTTCCCATCTTCCTTGGCTGCCTCCCTTTGGCCTTTGGCCCCCCACTGAAGCCAGGTTTAGAGCCGCACAGGCCTCTTGCCACCCTGGCGGCTGTCGGGGGAAGCGGTTAGCGGTGATGGACCGTCTAGGACCCTTGGGCCGCCCGGGCTTCTGCCATCGTGGTGTCACTTGGCATAGCAAGAAGCATCCCCCAGGATCTCGACTGGCGTTGGAGTGGTGTGGGGCCCAGGTAGAGTTGGGCCAGCAGGTCCAAGTCCGGCTTTGGGGTCAAAGGGCAAGGAGAATGGCCAGAGACCCTGTTGGTGGGGCGTGAAAAGTCAAGGCCGTTCCTTGACTCTCCGTGTTAGGGTCTAGGGCTTTCTTCATATTTTCCAAAGTATCTGGGACCATAAAAGAGGTTCTAACTCTGTGGACTAAGGCATATTCTCTGGTGCAGGGAGAAGATGGTTCAGACCACACCTCTACCCTGACTCAGCACACACAGCTGTACCGTCAGGGGCTGCAAACCAACATCTCTCAGGGCCTTCCTGGAAGCTGCGGCTGGACTCCCCTTGTACTCCAGGGGAGCATCCCTGGAGGCCCAGGTCGGGGCTCCTGGAGGGTCCCTGGGTTCTGGGGGACAGAAGAACAGGTGAGCTGGAAGCTTTTTTGGGGAGCAGGAGGTATGAGGGCAGTTGGAGGGTGGCACAAGGCTAAGTCTCTTGTTTCTCTCTCTCTCTCTCTCTCGTTTCCACCAATGGCACTTGGCAGGGAGGAAGAATCCAGATGTGGCTCACTGGGCTCTGTGGATCTGGCACTGGAACAGCTGTCCAGGCTTTGGGGCCCCCGACACCCCTGCTGCTCTCCCTCAGGCCCCAGATCTGCTTGGGCCCCCAGTGGGCAACCGCTCGGTGCTGGCCCACCACAGGGAAATATTCCGGTGGAGGTAAGCTCTGTCCTGTTCTCAGAGAGCCCTGGCCAGGCCTGGTAGATAAATTCCAGGCCAAGCCATAGGATTTGGACACTGGGGCTACAGGAATTCAAGAAAGAAGAATAAAGAAGCAGCCTTGAGTATTAGTGAATGTGGCCTGACATTGGCAGATGGCTTTAGCACAGCCTTCCTGGAGGAAAAGGAGGAGGGAGACTGCACTGAACGGGTTTCTGAAACTTGTGCCCTGACGCCAAGCATACCACCACATCACTTATAGGATGTGCAAGTATAAACAAGGGATTTTGCCGCTCTGCTCCACAGTCTCCTTGTCTATGAAATGGGAGTAATAATAGATTCGAACCCAGAGGGATGTTGGGAGGATTCCAAACGTTCATAGTGGCGCCTGGTGCAAAGCAATTGCTCAACCAAGATGAGCCACTGGGTTGCTGTTTCCATCACTGTGATTAGAGGATGGGATGAATAGGAAACGGTGGAGAAGGGAAGGGCAGGCGGCCCAGGTGGCTGCCGAGGTGGGACTAACAGCACCAAGGCTGGAGGAATCTCCTCCACCCTCTCCCAGCACAAGGAGGGAAGCACAGGCTTTGAAGTTGCTGAATTATCTAGGGTCCTGCCCCAGCACCCATACTCTGGGGACCAAACTTTGCCTGCTTTTAGCCCCAAGTTCTCTAATGACTGATGCCATCGGTTCTAGGTACGGTGAATGGATTGGGAAAGATGTCTGGGGCCCAAGGCGGAGTAGGAAGTAAGTGCATGTTTGCCTATTGTGATCATGCAGAAGACCACCTCTTCAAGGAGGTGACGGGTGGGTGCACCAGGCTGAGTCGGTCCACAGAGCCTCAAGAGGCAGGACAGGTCCTTTCCAGCTTTGGGCCTCTCTTTTCCTCATCTGTGCAATGGGAAGGTGTGGCTGGACCAGGTGACCAGAAAGGCCCAGCTGTGAGTGGCTGTCCCTGGGCTGGCAGTCCAGGGCAGGAGCCAGAAGTGGAGGATGGGGGGGTGGGCCTGCCTTTGAAGAGGCCCCCCCAGAGTGGAAGGGTGGGCAGAAGGCTGGGATAGGGCAGAACCTGTCCCTCCCTTCTTGCTGCCTGGCAGGTGACAGCTCCTCCACTCCCTGAACAAGGCAAGGCTGACTGACGAGAAGGCTGCAGAGCCAGGCTGTCAGCAAGTGCCCCCTGCCACCTTTGCATGACTAATTTGCATAATATTTGCACAAATCTGCATAATTTAGGAACCAGCCAGTGCTCATCTCGGGTCGTACAACTGGCTGTGATTTTATGAGCTTTGAAGTGGCCCTTTCTTCTCCTGCCCACAGCCCCTCCTACCTTCCTTTGCTCTGAGTCTGGCCTGTCATCCTGTTGTCTGCCTACCTCTCTGGGGCTGGTGGATGGGCCTCCCAGACTTTCTTGGGTCCCCAGAGAGAGCCCTTCTGCAGCTGCCGAGTGGAGTTGCCTGTGAACTGTGACACTGGTCTCCATGCAACCCTCCAAGGGGCCATCATGAAGGAGATTTGAGGACCCTGAGAAAGCTCTACATGGTTCATCAGGAGTAGGTGAGGCCAGAGTGACCAAAGCCTCTTTTCTGACAGGGCATGAGGAGGCAGGTGTCTGCGCTCCCATGAGGCTTTGCACTTGATGCTGGTGAGGCTGGGATAGTGCCCTGAGGATCAAGGTGCAGGACAGGGCAGAGATTGTGACTGCCTGGTCAAGCAGCTGCCCCCAAGGGAACCAACTCACAGTTACTGTCAGTCCAGGTGGATGTCCCTATAGCAGTGCCACAGCGCTCTGTCCCTGCCCTTTCAACATTTTTATTCTTAGGTTAGTTAAGGTTTTCTTGGGTACAAGTAGCATGAACTCCAAGTGGTTTAAGCAAAAGAAAAAAAGAGAGAGGATTTACTCTCTAATGTAACTGAGAAATCCAGGGGTATATGGGCTTCAGGCACAGCTGGATCTAGAGGCTCAAACACTAGCATGAGGACATTGTCTCTCTCTGTCTTTTCTACCCTGCTTTCCTCAGTGGTGGCTTAAACTGGCTCCCTCCCTGCCATGGCCCCTGGAAATGCTAGTGTTATGTCCTACTGGCTCCAAGTCCAGGAGAATCAGAACATCTTCCCACCAGCTCCAGCTAAAATCCAGAATTTAGTGGTATTGATTTAGCTTGGGCCGTGTGCCCAAAGCTGAACCAAGTGTTGTGATCAGAAGCATGTGGCCCTTTCAGTGGTCAAGCCCCACGTCACATGCCGACCCTCAGGGGCATGGGAGGAGTCAGTCCCACTACAAGGATTGAGGGAAGGGGGAGGTTCCTTGGGGAATACTAGGGACTCCTCCCAGAAGACAAGGAAGTGGAGAACTGAGCTGGCAACCCCAGCTGGCCATGCAGGGCCTTTCTCAGATGAATCTGTGGGTACCAACTCCAAGCACGGGGATCTGGAGATTCGGAAGGGAGAGGTTTGTGAGGACTGATGAGTTTATGGATGGGGACACATGGTGGGTGCCTGGCGATGGGAACTTTCTTCCTTCTGTGAACAAAGGCAGGGCTTGGGTGGGATTTGAACCCAGCCCCACAGTTCCTGGGCACTTGGTGGGGCACAGTGCTACGACTCCCAGTGATGCAGAGCCCCGAGCCACCCACCTCTAAAAAATGAAGACAATGAGCAGAAGGGAGGGCGGTGGCCACTGGTATAAGGAAGGGGAGGTGCTGGAGTTGAGCTCTGAAGGAAGGTAGGCAGGGCACCCTGAGTTTCCTTCCAACAAACGCTGAGCGAGCCAGGCCCTTTTTTTAAACAGGGAGACTGAGAGGAAGGGAGTCATTGCAGACACAAGAAACCCCACTTTAGCAGAATCCCTCATCAACTGCCCGGCCCTCCATCCCATCCCATCCTATTGGAGGCCAGAACTGGTGAGTCTGCGTTCCTGCCTCCCACCTCCAACAAGCTCAGCACTTTCCCTGCTCACTCAGGTCCCTGGCTGCCCAGTCCAGGATTGAGGCTGCAGCTCAGGCCCCGAGTTCCCCGCCCTGCCCACACCCTGTGCTGCCCGGGTTCATGTGGGGCCCGCAGAGCTGGACTCCTCCTCATTGAGATTCTGCCCCAGGGAAGGGCCAACACTTACCAGGCACTCACGATAAGGCAGGTGCTGGGCTAAGTGCTTTCACTCATTAATTAACAACTCGATGAGAAAGATATGATTATCTTCCTCCCTGCTTTACAAATGAGCAGGCTGAGACCCAGAGAGCTTGAGCAACCTGCTTAAGGTGGCACAACTAGCAAATGGCAGGGGGGTGTGAACCCAAGACTGCAGACCCTGGGTTCTTTACGTTGCAGCCTGTCCCCTCCTCTCCCTGTGCCTCAGTCCCACCGTCTGTTCAATGGGCAGAATATCACCTGTGTGCCATGCTGCCAGAGGTATGGGAGAACTGAATAAGATTTTAGAAGACAGGGCTTCAGCAAAGGTCCTTTAAGCCAGAGCCCTTGTCCTCACTGCCAGGGAGGAGCAGGGGGAGGCTGGAGCGCACAGCCCGCAAAGACTTGGGCAGACAGAATGTGTGAAGGAACATGGTCAGCTGTGCCTCATGCTGGAGGAGGAGGAGGAGGGGGAAGAGGGGGGACAAAGGGGAGGAGAAGGAGGAGGAGGGGGAGGAGGACAGGCCTGTAGGGGTTGAGACTGAGACCTTTGCTGGAGGCCTTTGGTGGAGGTGAGCGGAAGGCAGCTGTCCAGGCTGCACGGAGCAGGCTCATGGCAACCACGTGTGGAGGATTTCAGCTGGAAGGGGAGAAAGGAAGGAGGGAGGATGGAATAGAGTGAGGAGAGGGCTTTCTGATGCCAGAGGAAATAAGGCATGCTTGGGTCAGAGCAGGAGCCACCCAGAGAGGGAAAGGGGACACCTCCTCATCTCCCAGTCACACAGCCCTTGCTGGTGGCTCTATGACCATTAACCATTGCCTGCTCGCCATGGCCCCTGCAGTATTCATGTTGTACCCATTTTACAGAGGAGAAAATAGAGGCTCAGAGAAGCAAAGCTCCACTGGTTCTCCCAGCCTGGGGGTGCTTGGTCTGGAGTTCACAGGTTCTGCTCTCTGCCTGCCCACCTGCTCTCTGTGATTAGAGAAGTACAGGTAGAGGTCTTACTTTTTGTACATTGTCACACTATTCTCCCAGAGCTTGGCCATTGAGCCCTCCTTTGTGGGCTCTTAGGGCAGCAGGAAAGCCCACTTGGGTCATCACAGCCTCATATGTGACTGGTGTTCCCATAGCCCCTGCCTTCCCACAGGGGAAGAGTCAAGCTCAGGCTCAGAAACATGCTAGCAGTTATTGCTGTCTCCAAGATGACAAAATGCTTCTGAGGGTGGTGCTCTCCCCAGCTCTCAGGATGTGCACGCAGAGGCTGGTGCTGTCTGGGCCTGGGCTAGTGTGGTTGGGATCGCTGCCCTGCATGTAAGGTGTCCTGGCCCGCTCCGATGTCCTTCCCAACTCTTAAGGAATTCCATGCCTAATCATGGAATTTCCAGCAGGCCAGTTGATCAGAATGGGTGCATGTGTGTGTGTGTAGGTATCCTCTCAGAGCCCCTCCAACCTCACTGTGTGGTGGGCTGCCTCCTCTCTCTATGTGCCTCTCCCTGCCCCAAGTTCTCCCTGGACATGGTATGGGCAGATCCTCATAGAGACAGCCAATATTCCCTTGTGGGTGACCACAGCAGCTGCCCAGAACAAGAGAGGGAGAGAGAAACCAGGGCCTGGGCATGGAGCAGTGAGCCGGCCTCCCCCTCTAGGCCATGCAGCTGGAGCCACGTGATGCTCATTTGTGGAAGCCGGCTCCTGCAGCCACTGGGTGTCCGTAGGAAGCTGCTAATCCCATCTCATGCCTGTTCTCTCCTGGGGGCCAGCTTCCGGAAGATCAGCCTGCCCACTCTCAGGAGACATTTGGGGTGCTTCCTGGCTTTGCCAACTGATTCCAGGCCCCTGGTGGCTGTGTGAATTTCCTTCCAAGTCCTCGTTTCCACAGATGCCAGCTTGCAGGCCGACTGGTGGTTACCCAGCAACACGGCAAATATTTGGGCCAGCCAGGCTGGTCCATGCCCCCATCCTCGATTTAGTGAGACCCTAGAAGCATGCAACCTTGCCAGCTTTGCCTACTTTGAAAATATCTGGGCACTTAGTAAAAATAACTCCACTCAGCAAAAACCTTTCCACTGACCCCTTACTCCAGGGCTTTCTATCTGAGGACCTGGATGGGTAAGTGGGGGACAGGCAGAGATAGAGGGAGGAGGGTGAGAAGGCTGCAGGGGCCAGTGGAACGAGGAAGCAAGAGCTGAGGGGTGAGAAGGCCCAGGTTTAGACCTGGCTCCCAAACCTCTGACGGGTGGGAATGGCAGACTGCACACACCGCTCAGGCAGGTGTGCCCCAACTCACCCTTGTTTCCCTGGCCCTCAGATCTGTTCTGCTCCCAGGGCTCTGCCCCACATCTCAGTCCTGGGCCTGCAGCACCCCCACTTTATCCATCCCGCTAGAACCTGGCTCCTCCCTCCCAACTCAGGAAACATCTGTGTCCCAGTGGTCTTCACACCACACCCCTTAACTCTTGCCCCACTCCAGCACTCCATCTCTCTCCTGGGGGCCTTAGTGGTCCTCTTGGCTCCTCCAATTCAACCTGCACACTGGACCCAGAGCCTGCTCTAAAATGCAAACCTGCTGCCCTCTGAGATCCCGTTTAGAATCCTCTAGGCTTTCCTGTGTCGCCTGCAAGCCCCCCAGCTGGGTACTTGTGCCCTGCCCATTTCCCCAGTGCCTGCTCCCCCTCCCCTCCAAAATCCCCATCCAGCCATGCTGCCCAGACCTCTGGGCCCTTGCCAGGGCTGTTCCCTGGTACCACCCCCCACTCCCCACACACCTCCCAACATGAACCTGGCTACTCCCAGCACCTTCTTGGGGATGCTCAGATTGGGCCAGCTCTTCCGGCATTCCTGGCCTGACCCCCGTCAGTCCCTCCAACACTGAGCAGTGATTTTACCTTCACTGATCTGTCTCTCACCGTCCAGGCCCCAGCCCTAGTCCTGGTCCATCCACCACCACTAAGGAGCTCCTCCTGGCAGGGACCAGGTCTGCCAGCCCGCACACTGCCTTTGTGAGAATTAGAGACACCCTTCTCCGGGTGGCCACAGCCTCACATTGTGGTGCAAGGCTTGGCAAGTGGAGCATGGGCTAGACTTCAGCCCCTTCCCCCTCGGCTGGGCACGGTGATCCTGGAATGCACTTATCTTGACTGTCTCTGGGGCTGGCTGGCATAGAGCGGGCACTCGAGGGAGTGGGCTGAGTTAAGGAGGAGTGAGCCCTGTCCCTCACAGGGGCCTCTCGTCTTGAGCCTTCTGCCCCAGCTGGTCACAGCTCCCATAGCGGGTTTCAGTTTTCTTCTTGATCTTGGGTGCTTTCAGCTGTGTCTGTGGCAACAGGGCACTCACATGGATGGGGCTTCCAGCCTGGCACCTGGCTAGGTCCAGCTGGCGCTCTGTCTGGCCTCGAGCATGCTCATTTCCCCAGGGAGTGTACTGATTTCACTCCTGCTCTTGGTGACACTGTACAAACAAAAACCACTGTGGGAGGCTGGGCACGGTGGCTCACGCCTGTAATCCCAGCACTTTGGGAGGCCGAGACGGGAGGATCTCTTGAGTTCAGGCATTCAAGACCAGCCTGGGCAGCACAGTGAGACCGGGTCTCTAAAAAGAAAATTATATTGAATTTAAAAACTACGGTTGGAACTGACAAGCTGGGGTGTCCCAGATAGGGAGGGCCTGGAAACAAGAGCCAGGAGAGGTGGCTGGAACCTGGGACAGGGAGGGGCAGATGCCGAGGCAGGGCTGCCATGCAGTCCTGGGGCCTGGGGCCTGCTCAGCCTCACCCCCACCCCAATCCTTCCCTGCATCAGGCTGTGGCTGCCTCTGGGGATTTTCCTGAGAAGAGGCAAAAACTGGCACGTCCATCCTGTCTCAGGTGGGGAGCAGGTACCAGGCTCACTGGGGCTGGGAAAGGCACAACAAGCCCCCACGCAGTCCAGCGTCTGGCGGGGAGAAGGCTAACCCTGCGAGGCTCTGTCACACTTGGAGAAAAGCGCAAGTCCTCACAGCAGCCTACATGGTCATATTGGTTCGGCCCCCTCTCCTCTCTAACCTCAGGGTTCATGCTCCCCCCACCCCCAGCTCACACTGCTTCCCCCATGCTGGCCTCGTCAATGCTCCTTCTGCATGCCAGGCACACGCCCGCCTCAGGGCCTTTGCACTTGCTGTTCCTGTGGCCTCAGATCCTCTTAGCTCAGGCCCCCCGGGACTCACGGCTTCACCCTCTTTGCATCCATACTCAAGGACCATCTTCTCAGTGGGGCCTTCCTTGACCACTTCTTTAAATTACAGCTCCTCCCTAGCACCCCCAAGTCCCTGCTTAATTGTTTTCCATAGTGCCTATCACCATCTGAAATACAATTCATGGGTGGGGATGATGGCTCATGCCTGTAATCCCAGCACTTTGGGAAGCCGAGGTGGGAAGATCTCTTGAGGCCAGGAGGTCCAGGCTGCAGTGACCTATGATTGCACCACTGCACTCCAGCCTGGGCAACAGAGTGAGACCCTGCCACTTATTTCATTTGGTGTTTGTTTCCCCTCTAGAATGTAAGCCCCATGAGGTCAGAGACTTTTCATTGCTCTATCCCCAGTGCATAGGATAGTAGGTAGAATGAATGAGAGCTTATAGAATAAATAACGGAATGACTAAATTACAGTAGTAATAATAACAATAGCAGCTGTCATGTTTGGGCACCCACCTGTGCCAGGAACTTTGCGTCTACTATTTCTTTGAATCCTCTCATGCTTCCTATGGTGAGAACACTCAGGCTCAAGAGGTGAAATGACTTTCCCAAGGTCACCCGGCCAGTGGGGGACTGAGCCAGGCTAGTTGTACCACACATCCTGGAACGTACCCACGACATGGCTGCTAACAGCAGAAAGGGGCTGCCTCCAAGGCCTGCCCTCAGCTCTCGCCATCTGGAGACTGTTGGCTTTGGCCCTGAGACCCCAGTGCACCCCCAGACCCTGACATTCCTGACCCAGGAGTGGGTCAGCGATGGACCAGAGGCTTGGACTGGGAGAGATATATGAGTATCCACCCTTTGCTCCTAAAGCCGTGGACCCGCACTGTTCTCTGTCCTCTGCCAGGCCCTCTGCCAGGGCCATCCGACATCTTCTCATGGCTGGCCCATGTCAATGTTTCTACTTGCAGCTTCCTAAGAGTATGACTTAAAAGGCATGGCTTTTAACCTCCCTGCTGCCTGGCCCGTCCCCTACTGACCATTTCAGCAGCACACGAATTATTTTCCACCTCAACCTCTTTCTAAATCTACTTGTCACTAGCTCTTCTCCTATTAGCCCCCCAGCCACTCAATCCCCTGCCATTACCTCCTCCAGCAGGGTCCCCAGGGAACGTTGTGTATGAAATTATTTTGTGAAACCCAATAAAGATTTTAATCAGGTCAACATCATTACAGGAGAAGGAAATGATGGATCTTCTCTGATGCAGAACAAATGTGGAGAAGAACAAAAGCCCACCAACCCGGCAATCCATGCCCTTGTGAGCACTCGCATCCACGCACGCACTGCCCCCACTGTCGCGCATGGGTGCCCTGCACTTGCACACACCCGTGCATGCCCACGGGGTTTTGCACATCATTGAACAAGTCCCTGCCTCCCTCTAGGTTCTAGTTTTGTCATCTGTACACTGGAGGCTTGATTGCTGAACAAGTCTCTCCTGCCAGCTGGCGAGACTCCGTAGCCTGGTGCCTGCTGGCAGCTGTGCCCTTAGTCACTCTTTGCCGCCCACTGCTGAGAGATGTTACCTCAGAGCATAGGGAATTCCTGTGTAACGCCCCAGCCCCTGCCCCGGCCCACACCTAACACTTGTGAGGTATGGGGTAATGGTACCAATGGAGGCCCACACACCATGTATCTAGATATTTAAAGGTTATCAATCAAGCCAACAAATTGTTAAATAAAACACGTTCTGGGCTCCTCCCTTGCCAAGCAGCAGCCTGGAAGGCCAGGCTCAGCTATGGAATTGTCGGGAAGAACTGACCCTCAGACCCCAGCCCCAGGCCCTGGCCCAGCCCCTCCCCTATTACCCTACCCTGAGCTCTGTGCCACCCTTAAAAGGACCTTGTTCACATATGTGGGGACAGACACCCCGGCTGACAAGGCCAAGCTCTGCCCACTCCCTCCCCGCTGCACCCACCCCCGGGACACCCCTCAGGACTTGAGTGTGCACATTGGCAGGCCGAGGGAAGAAGCCCGTTTTGGCAGAGTTCCAGGGTCCTCTGAAGTGCAGGGCTCAGGCAGGGGCCTGTCTCACCTGGATTGAGGGTGGCTGACCACCCCCGCCCCCGCCATGGGGGTGAGTGGAGGAGAAGCAGCAGAGGTCACCCCCGGGTCCTGACAAGGCCTGGGCCTCCCACCCAGCAGCCAGCCTTTAGTCCCCTCTTCACCTGGACCTCTCTCCACGGTCTTCTTCTGTGGCGAGCGTGCAGCCGCATTTAAGGGGTGTGTGCCAGGGAGACGTGACGGGAGCACAGACATGCCCCGGAGTGGGCAGGAAGTTTCTCTGCACCTGCTCAGTGCTGTGAGCTTCCTCCTTCAGGGATGTGGGTGGGGATGCAGGTGGAGAGGGACACCAGCCGGGGCACTCATGTTGGGGAGAGGACCAGGTCAGTGCAGCGGGAGGACCCCTCGCCACTCTCCTGGGGGCTCTGTGGGTGCTCTCAGAGCCCTGCCCCAAGGATGCCTGAGGCTACTAGAAACCCCAATTAGTGTCTTGCAGATCCTGGAAGACAAATCCACTAACCCATTAGTGCCACTATTACTCTCTTGCAAGGGGAGCCCTGAATGCAATTGAGGGGAGACAGCCTCGCTCTGATTCATTTTCCGCCCATAAAAGGGGCAGTGACAATGGCTGTGCTGGGGATCCTAGGCCAGTTGCAGGGGGCTGGCATCTCTGGTGTGACTAGGGTGGGGACAGAGAAGATAAGCGCCCACCAGCCTGGCTCCCCACTCTCCAGCCCGGCGCCCATTCCTCCTGGCTGGAATGCAGGAAGCTGCATAAACTCCCCTGTCTGGCTCTCACCCTTCTGATATTTACAGAAGCCTCTCCCTCCTGTCCTTCCAGATGACATCTGAGCCTCCATCTGGGCCAGCAGCGTAGTCTTGAGGGCAGGGCCAGGAAGCTGCTTGGCCTGACTCCCTCTCAGGGGACCCCCCAGGCTGATGTGGAGGGGAAGTAGAATAGAGCCAGAGGGCTTGTGGGGGAGGCTTCCACTCCATGGAGTCTCTCCTGGGCTCCTCCCCAGCCTCCCTGGTAAGGGGGCACTGACCCCTCAGCAGACCTGCCGTGATCTCCTTGGCTTCTCACCAGGAGGTTTCTTCTGCAGTCAGGGCCCAGGATTGCTCCATGTTCTGCACAGTCTACCTCTCCTCTTCCTTGGCCTTCCTGGCTTTGGTGCTGTGGCCTCTCTGACAATCAGGATTTGGGATGGGGAGGGGACAGGGCTTGCTCTCTATGGGCCCCCAGGCTCCCGGGTAACACCTTGCAGGCCTCTCTGCCTATGTGCCATGGTCTCCCCCATGTTTGTCTCCCCCAAACTCATATGTTGAGACTTAATCCCCAGTGCAAGAGTATTAAGAGGTGGGAACTTTAGAAGGTGATTAGATCATGAGGGCAGAGCCCTCACAAGTGAGATTAGTGCCCTTTAAAGAAAAGCCCAAGGAAGCTTGTTTGCTCCTTCCACCATGTGAGGACACCATGAGAAGGGGCTATTTACGAGGAACAGGCCCTCACCAGACACTGAATCTGCCAGCACCTTGATCTTGGACCTCCCAGCCTCCAGAGCTGTGAGCAATAAATGTCTCTTGTTTGTAAGTTGCCTAGTCTAAGGTATTTGGCTATAGCAGCCCCGATGGGCTAAGACACCATGCATGAACAGTGGTACCAGAGTAATGGCACTACTGGTGCAAGGAGAGGCCCAGGAGGAACTGTACTCCCTCAGAGGACCAGGTAACCATCTTAGTGGCTTTGGAATAAGCACAGGAGAATAATCACTGATGTCTTTGTTTATAGGCCTGGGGCTCTAATGTGGACTGTGGCTTAGGCAGTCATCAATGACCCTACCAGTGTATTTTCTTTTCCCAAAGCTCCAAAACAGCCTTGAATAGTCAACAATCTTGCCAAAGAAGGAAGCAAATCTTTATTGAGCTCTCACTATGTGCTGTGCACTGTGCTACTATTATCTCATTTAAAGTTCAAAATAACCCTTTAGGGGAGTTGCTATTGTCTCTATTTTGTAGGTGAGGAGATTAAGGCTCAGAGATTACATGATGTTTCGACAATCTCTGTGTGGCAGGTGCTGGAGGGCCCTGCCGGTGCCCTCATTAGTCCTATGATTGTTCACCCCACGGCTTCTCCCTGCAAGCACCTGCAGTTCTTGCTGAAGGGCTACCTCTGACCCCTGGAGCTAGCTCAGCCCGTGGATGGGGTGCCCCAGCAATGCCGGGAGCTGTCACTCCAGGAAGCAACCTCAACCGAGGCACAGGGAGGTGGTGGACAAATACTCCAGCCTGCTCTCCCAGTGCATAGGGCAGCTCGGAGGTGTGCTCTTTGCTGCCCCTCTGAGGCCCCCAGTGAGACTAAACTCCCGTGGCCATAGCAGTCGCCTTCTCATGAATGCACCCTGTACTGGCTTCTGTCCCTTCTCTGTCTCACTTCCCCCTCCCCTCCCATTGCTTCCTGGGGTCACTTCCCAAATAAATTACCTGCACTCTAACCCTTGACTTGGGGTCTACTTCTGGGGAACCCAGCCTAAGACCGTCATGCATGTGGTAGTTGCCTGCTGGGACTGTGTCTCTTGGGGAGAGGACATTTTCAGTCTCACAAAAGCAAACCCTGGGCTCTGATCTCATGCCTTCCTCAGGGGTCCCCATTTCCCTCAGGACAAAGTCTGGACTCCTGGGAGGGGGGTCCCCTCTGGCTCCCACACCCTCGTGCAACATCTGAGAACTCACCAGACTGCGAGGCCCCAGGAGGCTGTGAGCTCCGGGGAGGTGAGAACAGGGACCCGGCCCCAGTGTGGCCCCCGGCAGATGCTTGGGACAAGGACCGGCTCCTGGAGTGAATGAGGGCGCTGGCCATGCTCTGGAAGCCCAGGACAAGGGCATGGTCACTTGGCTGGGGGTGAAGGAATGCCTTTCCCATTACCAGCCCAAGGGCGCTGCTGAGAGGAAAAGACGTGAATCGTGGAAACAACAATTTGGCGCTTGCTGTGATTATTGGAGCGTTGGTGCCACTCTCCTTTGCAATTTCAGCGAAAAGCCCTTTCTGCCAGAAGGGAGTCTCCCAGTTCTGTGGCAAGGTGGCCTTGGGCTCTGCCAGGGCCATCCCCCTGCAAGTGGCAGGAGCCTTAGAGGTGGCTTTGGGTGTACAGGACTGAAGGGGCAGGCTGGGGGAGAGAGCAGGGTGGTGGGGTGGAGGTGGGGGCTGTGAGAAAAAAGCAGCTGCGGGGAGGGGCAGGGCATGAGAGGGGCTCCTCCACTCCAGGTCCTTGGGGTATGTGTACCCCCAGAGGAGGGCGGAGTAGTGAGGAGACCCTGGGCCTGTCACCTATGGGGGCAGCTTTGCAGTGAGTTTGTAATATCTTTCAAATGAAGGACAGGAGTCCTCCCTCCCAGTCTGTTCTATCCTGACGTCTCCATCTCTCTCTCTACAACACAAAGGGCCTGAACTCAGTGACATTTTGGAAAGAGCACAAGGTTTGAAGTCTGTCTCCACATCCTCACTCTGCTACTTACTGGTTTGTGACCTTGGCCTTAATTTTCTCATCTGCAATATAGGAACAGTAATAGCAAAATCTGCTTCCCATGGCTGATGAGGGCATACGGTTCGCTCTTCCATTCAACACAAATTTGCGGAGCACTTTCTAGGTACAAAACAGACATAAATCCCCACCCTCATGAAGTTTGTGAGCTAGTGGGGAATAGTCAATAAATCAGATCAATAAGTAAAATCAATGATCTGTTAGATGTTGATCAATGTTAAGGAGAAAAAGAGGTCGGGAAGGAGACTCTCAGTCATAGTGGCTGGGAGGGGGAGCGGCATTTTAGGGTGATAGGAAGGGCCGCACCAAGGTGACGTTTGAGCAGAAACCTGAAGGAGGGGAGGGAAGAGACCCCGGGGAAAACCAACCACGCAAAGGAGATAGCAGATGCCCAGGCCCCGGTGGGCTCGTGGCAGCAGTCTGGGGACTGGAGTGGAGGGAGCTGGGAAGTGTCAGGAGGAGCCATTGAAGAAGAAATGGGGTCTCATGGTCATGGGAGGACTTTGGCTTTTTCTGAGCCAGGTGGGAGCCACTTGCAGTTTTGGGGAGAGGAGTGATGGAACCTGATTTGTTTTAACAAATTGCTCTGCACTGTGGGGAAGAGACAGGAGTGGAGGCAGGGAGACTATGAGGAGGCCGCTGTAATAACCTTGGCGAGAGATGATGGCAGTCCAGGTGGGAAGAATGAAAGTGGAGGACCAGGTGATGACTGGTGGTAGCGAGGTGATTCTGGGTCACACGCGGACACGCCATCACGTCATCAAAGCATCACCTGGTTAGAACGTTACGCTGTTTTCAGTTGGTTTCAAGCCTTCTGGAAACATTGAGAACGTCTCTAGTTGGTGCTGGTAGGCCTTCAGCACCTCCAACTTTTGCAAACCTTCTCACCTTAACCAAAAATGACCAGACACTCAAAGACTCCTGGCTTCTCTGTCCAGTTAATATTTTAAAATGTGGTTTTGTTTCTATTACTTTTATTGTCTTTGGTTTTACATTGCCTTCTATTTGTGAAAATTGAGACCGGGTTTTGGGTACTAAGAGAAAAGTGCCTTTTAAAATAAACTTTCTAGATAAATAAGTTGATTTAAAGAATAATATAGATCAGCCGGGCAAGGTGGCTCACACCTGTAATCCCAGCACTTTGGGAGGCCGGGGCGGGCGGATCACGAGGTCAGGAGATCGAGACTAGCCTGGCCGATATGGTGAAACCCCGTCTCTACTAAACATACAAAAATTAGCCAGGCATAGTGGTATATGCCTGCAGTCCCAGCTACTCAGGAGGCTGAGGCAGAAGAATCACTTGAACCTGGGAGGTGGAGGATGCTGTGAGCTGAGATTGCACCACTGCCCTCCAGCCTGGCGACAGAGCAAGACACCGTCTCCAAAAAAACAATAATATAGATTGTGTGATGGTTTGGCAAAAATCATGAGATGGGCCTTGAATGACTGCAGTTTGGGAATCTCTGGGCTAAAGTGGAGGGCTCGTTTTCAGCTGCGCATGACACCCATGCCTCCCAGATGCTGACGTGCTAAGGCCCTGGGGCTCTCAGCGATGCTGTGTGCTTCCCAGGGTCTCCAGGCACCTACTGGCCCTTGAATCTGAAAATCACCTCCACACACCAACCCTGCTCCATTGACCCCTCCTCTCATCCTGCCTGCTCTGGTAACTACAGGTGCTATTTAAGAGGCAGCTGAAAGATTAATTAAGAGCTGGGAGATGGGGCTTCAGGCCAGAGAAGGCTGGCTCCAAAAGCAGGGGCTAGATCCCCTGGCTATGCCTTTGTAACAGGGGCCCAAGAGCCTTTGCCACCTGCTCCAAAGGAGGGTCCTGGCGGGGGTGGGAGGGGAGGAGGCTGGGGAGGACTCTAATCACCATGGCTGTCACGCCCCTGAGCCAGCCTCCCGCTCTTACCTGCCCCTTGGGAGCTGAACTGTCGTCACATTTTCTTAGCTCTCTCTTCAGTCTCAACTTGCCCTTTCTCCACGTGCAGCCCATAGATCATCCTTAAAGGTTGGCGTGAGCTAGGAGGGAGGGAGGCCAGGAGGGGAGCAGCCTGCAGGGACGTCCCCAGGAAAGAGGTTTCTTTTGGCCCCGGTAGTTTTCTGGTGGCTCCAATCAAGAAAGATCGATCTGGCCCGTCCCCTACCCAGCTCAGAACTGGCTGGGGCCCTCTTGCCCTGCTCAGTACAAGTATGATCCAGCCAGATCGGCCTAGCCTGGGGCTGGTCATTTTGAGCAGGGTCATTGTCACAGCTCTGGCCCCACTGCCCTACCCATTTGTTCTGTGCCGTTTGCTCACTGGGGTCCCATTCTGGCCACTCTCCCGCTGGGTGCTTGCACTGGATCCCAAAGGCCTACAGGTCTGGATTCAGGAAGAGTGCACTGAGCTGAGCTCCTATACTCCAAGCAAGGTTCCGGGTGCTTCCACAGATAGCATCCTTTTAAAAAGACTCCAGGACTGTGTCAGCATCTCCACCGGAATCTGACCAGGCCAGAGAAGATCGAAGTGGCCTGGTCAGACTGCTGCTGCCTGCTTCCGGGCTAATGTCCCCGGGCCCAGCCCCTGGCCTCCCTCAGGGTCAAAGTCCCAGGGTGGTGTGTAGGTTCTGGTCCTGGATCCCCTGATGGAGTCCACCTGGGATGCCCACGTCCCAGAAGGACCAGGAGGACAGAGGACACGCGGCTTCTCAGGTGCCCTTACTTGGCACTTAGGCGCCCAGTTGCCCGCCCAGGGGCACCCCCGTTGACTCCTCTCCAGCTGTCTGAGTTCCCCCCGCGCCTGCCCCTCCAGCTGGGACCCATTTCTAGCCCTGGCTCTGCCATCCACTTACTACATTACCTGGGGACGGGGAGGAGTGGGGATGGATGCTGGACAGATGTGTCTGCTCAGAAACCCCAGGATGGCTGGCCTGGCCTCCCCAACCTAATTCTAGTCTTTGTCTGGGGCCAGCTCAGGCCGGTTACTGAGGTCCTGGATGGCTCCCTGGAATGCGTCTTAAGCAGATTTTGTAAACTACGTGGGGAAGGAGGGGTACTCTTCCTTCCTGGCCCCAAAACTTGACCTACGAGGCTATGTCGGCAAAGAGCAGGGCTGGTCAGGGAGGCTGTCCTGCCAGCTATGTGCCCTTCACTCTTGGAGAGTGGGTGCCTGGCTGCCAGCTTCTTCTGGGCGCTGGCTGAAGGAACTCACTGCTCCTTTGCTGTCTTCTTCTGGGTTAGCTGGGAGACAATCTGTCACATTTCTAGGGTGTTTTGGAGCAGCCCCTCCTGGACATCAGGAATGACAAGGAGAATTTCCAGGAGCCCCCCTCCTCTAAGGAATGGGAGTGCACCAAGGCCAAGAGGCTGGGTAATGGGGTTGTGACAGGAAACTAAGCCCAGGACAAAGGGAGTGTGGGAGCCGGGGCATGAGCAGCTGTGGAGTCCTCACTACAGCACCCCAGGTCCCAGGGCTGAGAAGTCAGACATTCACAAAGGCACATGTCAAAGGCGTGCAAAGGAAATAGGTCCCAACTACAGCCCATTTGGATGGGAAGTCCTGGGATGGCCCCAGATCCAGGCAGATCACTTCAGCTATAGTTGAGCCCCCTGCAGAGGCAGCAGGGGAGAGGGAGGCGAGGGCAGCACGTTAGTCCAGCTCAGGTGGGAGCTCTTCAAACGACACGTTTCTAAGGGACTGATGTACTTATACACTTTAGTTCCAGGCATCTTTGCAACACCTAAATTGGAAAGATCTAAGACGTGACAGTAATTCTGTTTGTTTGGTTTTTTTTTGAGACTGAGTCTCACTCTTGTCGCCCAGGCTGGATGGAGTGCAGTGGCGCGATCTCAGCTCACTGCAACCTCTGCCTCCCAGGCTCAAGCGATTCTCCTGCCTCAGCCTTCCGAGCAGCTGGGATTACAGGCATGCACCACCACGCCCAGCTAATTTTTGTATTTTTAGTAGAGATGGGGATTCACCATGTTGGCCAGGCCGGTCTTGAACTCCTGATCCCAGGTGATCCGCCTGCCTCGGCCTCCCAAAATGCTGGGATCACAGGTGTGAACCACCATGCCTGGCCAGATGTGCTGATAATTCTAAGGAGTGGAAGATTCCAAGAACAGATTGGAAGAGTACAAGAGTGAGGCTTCCCAACTCTTGAGGCTCCAGCAGCTCTGTCTTGCTGGCTTGTGCCCAGGGGTCGGCGGGGGGCGGTGGGGGGGTGCACGGCGTACTTCCCTGGGCTTGATTCAGGGCATGGGGGCAGTCACTGTAAGATGTTGATTGTGTTGCCTTTGAGCTTCTGATGTTTCTGAAGGTGAAGCACTGATTTGTTTGGAAAGTGTGGCCTCTGCTTGCTGAAGGGACAGAGCCATTTTCCTCCTTTCCCTGGACTGGGCCAGGCCAGGCCTGTTGGGAACTGGCCTTGGGCTTGTGCCAGACTCTGAGGGGGATTAAGACAATAGCACGCTTGTTACGAGGAGTGAGGAGCGACTCAGCCCAGGGCAGCTTTCCCTGCCTGCCAAGGGCACAGGGGCAGGAGGGGTGAGGGGGCCTGCATCGGGGACACCTACTCTCTGCTCACCTGTGCCTGGGTTCTCCAACACTCTGGGGAGAGGGCCAGGGCTGCCTCCAGCTTGGCTACCTCTTCTCCCCTACAGAGACCCCCAAGTCTCGGTGCGGCATCTGCTAGGGACAGGGAGAGAAGAGTGAGCAGGGGATGGGTTTGCGAGGGACTCGGCCTCCTCCTGCCTGCTCCCCCATCCCCCTTACGTGCCTAGACCCCCAAAGCCAGATTTTCCAGGCTCTAACTCCTGTGCGCTCCCCTTCCCAGAAACCCCCAAAGGCAGCAGGGAATGCACCTGTTACCTTACATTCTACCCTGAGGATTTTCTCCCACAGATCCCCTGCTTGAGTGAGTTCAGAGTGCCCTGAAAGCAGGAATCCCAACTTCTCCTTTCCCAGAGCATTTTAACAGAACACAGGGTGCTACTCTCTACAGCTGCATTGTCTAATAGGGGAGCCACCCATATTAGACGCATGTGGCTATGGAGCACTTAAAATATGCCTCATCTGAATCCAGATGGGCGATGAACATAAAATGCACAAATACGCCTGTAAACCCAGCACTTTGGGAGGCCAAGGCAGGCGGATCACCTGAGGTCAGGAGTTTGAAACCAGCCTGGCCAACGTGGTAGAACCTCATCTCTACTAAAAATACAAAAATTAGCTGGGCATGGTGGCGGGCGCCTGTAATCCCAGCTTCTCCTGAGGCTGAGGCAGGAGAATCGCTTGAACCCAGGAGGTGGAGATTGCAGTGAGCCGAGATTGCGTCACTGCACTCCAGCCTGGGTGACAGAGCAAGACTCCATCTCAAAAACAAACAAACAAACAAACAAAAAACCACAAATACGTCCTGGATCTCAGAAGTGCAGAGCAATCAAACACATAAAAGATCTCATTAATAATATTTAATACCTATTGTTGAAACGATGATAGTTTGGATATACTGGGTTAAGTGAAATATATTTTAAAATTCATTGCACTTCTTTTTTAAATGTGGTTACTAGAAAGTTTAGCTTCCATATGTGCCTTTTGTGTGTGGCTCATGTTATATTTCTCTGGGCCTGTGTTGGTCTAAGGGCAGAGTTTCAGACTTCCCTGAACGCAGCGCTGCCTGCAGGATCACTGGGACCTTTTGGTGTTGATCCTGTGAACCCCAGCAGAGTTTCTGCCTGTTTCCTGAGAGCAAGTTCTGGGGTGTGTGGAGGCCACGTGGCAGGTGTGGCAGAGTTGCCGGAGGAGGGGCTTGAGGGCTCTGCCCGCTCCTGGTGAGGGGGTGTCGAGGAGCCTGTGCCCTCCAAGGCAGCCCTTAGCGAGGTCCCAACATACTAGGGCCCTTGTGCATAATGGCTCTGGAGCAAGCAGGTCCAGAGTTCAAGTCCTAGCTCCACTGTCAACTAGCAGGTGGCCCTTGGTGCTCTGTGCCTCAGTTTCCTTCTGTTAAACTGCAGTTAATAGTAGTGCCTCCCTCACGGGGTTGTTGTGAGGATCAGATGGGTTAATGCGGGTAGAGAAGTCAGAACGCCTCTGGCACACAGCAAGCATTCAGCACACATAGCTGGCGGCGTTGGTGAGCTTGTCTGGGTCACTCTAAGGAGGGAGGAGATAGAAGGTGGTGGCTGGGGCAGGCAGGCTTGAGTCTCAGTGTTTCCCATTCACATGAGTATGACCAGAGCCCCGGTAGCCCAGGGTCGGCGGGGGGATCCACGGAGCATGTGTCTTCTCCTGGGAAGCTGAGTGGAAGACTGGAGTCCTGTGCTGGCCTGGCCAGCTGGAGAAGGTGACCTTGAGGCCCGGCAGGTGGAGGCAGGCCAGGCTGGTGAGGGGCTAATAGCTGGAGGACCCAGGAGCCTCGGCTCTGCCAGACCCTCTGAAAGCCTGGTCTTAGCACCGCTGGAAATTCTTAAGCTGGGATTTCAGTTTAATTACATATTGATTAAATGGAACAAAGGCGTGGGGGCTCCAGGGAGCAGGCTCGGTGAGCGCCTGATGGAATTTCAATCCTGCTTTTTCCCTGCCTCCCACTCGCTTAGAGCCTCGGAGCTGTCCCTGCTGGGGAGGCCCGGACTCTGCATGAGCTCTGCGGGCATCACAGGCCCTGTCTTGGACAGAGGCGCAGCCAGTGGCCCTTGGCCACACACAGCTGGGTTTGCTTGCCTGCCTCAGTGCCTAGCACACCCATCCACCTACCATCCCAAACCCAGATCAGGCCTGGAGAAAAGCCCATGACCTGGCCAAGGTCATGTCCAAGGTCAGAGGCAGATCTGGGACTTGTGCCCAAAGACAGTCCAATTCAACAAGTATTTATCGAGTGCCTACTCTGCACAGGTTCTGCTCTAGGCACTGGGAAGTGAGTCAGCTGTGGTCCCTGTCCTTTTTCATGGAACCCTCGAGCTGATTGGGGGACCAGGATGGTCTTCCTGAGGAAATGACATGAGGCTCAGGGGACAAGAGAAGGTAGCCAAGTAAAGGCAGGGAGGGAGGCAGAGGATGGGAAAAGCATTCCAAGGAGATGGAACAGCATGTGTGAAGACTCAGAGGCAAAGGGGGGCACTTTGGTGGGCCAGAGGAGGCTGGATCAGGGAGACTTAGGCAGGGAGTGGTGGGGTGGAGCTGGAGGCATGAGGCAAACCCATCACCAGGGGCATACAGTGGACACAATGGGCATCACAACATCCTCCCCGGCCTTCCCCCAACAATGCAGTTTGGAAAACTGACCTATGATCATGGGAGGCCATGTTGCCAAATTGGTGATTCTATTCCCTAACCAGTGATTGGTTCAGGAATAGGCATGTGACCCAATTCTGGCCAACGATAGGTAAGGAGGAATTACATCTTTGAGCTGCTGAATCAACCAGCCCTGAGGCCCACCTACTTAAGCATTCGTGTTTTGTGAGCCAATATGTTTCTTTATGGTGTAAGCCAGTAGCACCTGGACATTGTGTTACTTGCAGCCCAAAGCTTCCTGACTGATGCATCTGTGTAGACTGTGGTGAGGACTTTGGACTTCACCTTAAGAGCAATGGGGAACCATTGAAGAATTTTAACATGAAAATATTTCTTTTAAAAAAATATCACTCTAGTCCGGATGTGGTGGCTCATGCCTGTAATCCCAGCACTTTGGGAGGCTGAGGCAGGTGGATTACTTGAGCTCAGGAGTTTAAGACCAGCCTGGCCAACGTGGTGAAACCCCATCTCTACAAAAAACACAAAAATTAGCCAGGCACGGTGGCAGGCGCCTGTAATCCCAGCTACTCAGGAGGCTGAGGCAGGAGAATCACTTGAGCCCAGGAGGCAGAGGTTGCAGTGAGCCGAGATCACACCACTGCACTCCAGCCTGGGTGACGGGATTGAACCCCTGTCTCAAAACCAAACCAAACAAAACAAAAATATTGCTCCAGGCTGGGCGCGGTGTCTCACGCCTGTAATCCCGGCACTTTGGGAGGCCGAGGTGCGTGGATCACGAGGTCAGGAGATCGAGACCATCCTGGCTAACACGGTGAAACCCTGTATCTACTAAAAATACAAAAAATTAGCTGGGCATGGCAGCGTGTGCCTGTAGTCCCAGCTACTTGGGAGGCTGAGGCAGGAGAATGGCGTGAACCCAGGAGGTGGAGCTTGCAGTGAGCTGAGATTGCACCATTGTACTCCAGCCTGGGTGACAGAGCGAGGCTCCGTCTCAAAAAACAAAACAAAACAAAGCAAAAAAAACAAAAATATTGCTCCAATGATGAGTGTACTCAATACCACCAAACTGTACACTTAAAAATGGTTGAGCTAGTACATTGCACGTTGTGTGTATTTTACTACCATAAAAAAATTGAGAAAAAATATATCACTCCTGGTGCAAAGTCAAGAAGGAGGAAGGGGTGAAATCAGAGACACCAGCTGAGAGGAAGGGGCTGCCTAGCGGGGCAGTGAGCTCCCACTGAGGGGTGAATAAGTAGAGGCTGGACGGGCATCTGTCAAGGGGCTGGAAAGACATCCCATGCCCTGGGCAGGGCCTGCGCAGGATGCCATCTGTCAGTTCTCGTCCACTATAAGGTTCCACAGTGTGCAGACTTTCTTCCTGCTTCCCTGGGAATTACAAGATCCTTGGCCCTGAATGAAGTTCCCAGACCAAGGGGGCCACCCAGGAGTCAAAGTGACTCTTAAACAACACTCCCTATCCCCCTTCTTTATTTTCCCTCACAGCAGTTACCAATTTCACATATTTGATGTATTTTACTTACTTATCTTGTTTATTATCTATTCCTCCTATGAAACCTGTGTTGTCCGCTATTGTAGCCACTGGCCACATGTTTGATCACTTGAAATGTTGCTAGTCCCAGTGACGATATGCCGTAAGTATAAAATACTTTTGATAAATCTTCAAAATCTGGTTGTGATTTAGTACAAAAAAGTAAAATATCTTAATTTAAAAATATTACATACATGTTGAGGTGATAATATTATAGATATATTGGTTTAAATAAATGATTTTACAAAAATTAATTCTATTTAATTTTGCTTTTTTAATGTGGCTACTAGAAATTTAAAATTAAATACGTCGCTAGCATTATTTTTCTAATGGACAGCATTGCTCTAGACCAGGGGTTGGCAAACTGTGGGCCAGCTTCACACAGCAGCCTGTTTTTGTGCAGCCCACAAACTAAGAATAGTTATTACATTCTTCTTTTTTTTTTGGAACAGAGTCTTGCTCTTCTGCCCAGGCTGGAGTGCAGTGGTAGGATCATGGCTCACTGCAACCTCAGCCTCCTGGGCTCAAACAATCCTCTCACCTCAGCTTCCTGAGTAGCTAGGACTACAGATGCCCACCGTCATGCCTGGCTAATTTTTTTTATTTTTAGTAGAGATGGGGCCTCAGTATGTTGCCTAGGCTGGTCTTGAACCCCTGGGCTCAAGCAATTCCCCCGCCTTGGCCTTTCAAAGTGCTGGGATTACAGGCATGAGCCACCATGCCCAGCTAATTACTACATTCTTAAATGGTCGTAAGAAAATAAACAAAGATAAATATGCAACCAAGGCAGTATGTAGCCTACAAAGCCTAAAATATTTACTATCCGGCACTTTACAAAAAATATATACCACTTCTATGTGAGATTACAAGATCGACAAAGGCAGGAACTTTTGTCATTTTTGTTCTTCAAGATGTCCCCAATGCCTACAGCAGTAAGTGCACTGCTGGGCACACAGTAGGTATTCAATAAACATTCAATGAATGAATGAATGAATGAATGAATGAATGCATTGCCAAACCTTGCATGGCTGCCTTTTGTTCCTGCCCTAGCTGCTGCCTCCCCAGCCGGCCTGGCTGCTCCCGAGAGCAGAGATGTGCCTTTTCCTGTGAGCCCTGCCACACAGTTGAACATTGGGTAGAGCCCATGGGCCAGGGGCAGAGGCAGGAACACACTCAGGGCAGCGTGCTGCCTCCTCCCATCCTTCTAGAGGCCAAAGCCACCACAGTCCATTCCTGTTGCCAAGAGCCTTGGGGGTAGGGGAAGTAGACAGGAATTCACCACTCCTTAAACCAGAGAAGTCCAGAGTCCTCTGAGGGACAGGGCTCTTGATGTTCAGAGGGAATCAGCCTCGGCCTGGGGAGGCTGGGATTTGGGTGGTTTATTCTTCAGCGTCCACTTCTTCTCCAGAGAGTCTGTCAGTGACAGGAAAAGTGACTCAGAACCCCAGAGCCAGGCCTAGTGGACACTAGGTTCTGCCTGTCCCATGGAGGGTGCTGTGGCTTTGACGGATTAGAAGTCAGGACTTGGCCATCATGACTACATGCTTTAAAAAATATGAGTTTTCTTTTTTTGTTTTGGGTTTTTTAAGGCGGTGGGGGGCTACTTTGTGTTTAGGTTTTACATCCTTTGCAATAAAGTTCCACCCATCCAGCTTGTGCAGTGAAAAAGAGGGAAAGGACTTCAGTGGCTTTGCCTTGTCTATACATGGGCCAGAGAGAAAAAAGGAAGAGGGCTGGGCGCGGTGGCTCACGCCTGTGGTCCCAGTACTTTGGGAGGCCGAGGTGGGAGGATCACCTGAGGTCAGTAGTTGAGACCAGCCTGGCCAACATGGCAAAATCCCGTCTCTACTAAAAATACAAAAATTACCTGGGCGTGGTGGTGGGCATCTGTAATCCCAGCTACTCCAGAGGCTGAGGCGGGAGAATGGCTTGAACCCAGGAGGCATAGGCTGCAGTGAGCCGAGATCATCCCATGGCACTCTAGCCTAAGGGATAGAGTGAGACTCTGTCTCAAAAAAAAAGAAAAAAAAAAAAAAGAAAGAGAAAATGTGTTTCTCTTGCTGGGCATCAGAAATAATGGTGCGAAACCCCCAAGAGGTGCTCCAACCACGGGTGGGGTATTGATCCCTCCCACAAGGGAGGCTTGCTCATGTGGGACGCTGTATGATTTTGTGAGCAGTGCAGACTTTGCAATCAGACCCCCTCATAAGGGGAGATCACTTAATCTTTTGGGCCTCAGTTTCCTCCTCTGCAGAATGGCTTAGGGTGAGGGTCAGAAGTAGTGGGTGAGCGAACTGCCTGGCAGATAAAAGACCCTCAAAAATGGCCATTGTCATTGATTATTTAGGAGATAATTCCCTCCCCAGGAACCAGAGAAGGGAGAGGCCTAGGCAGTTTCTATTTGCTTAGTACGGTCAAGAAGTTCTCTGTGACCTGGAGAGGACCCAGTGCATCATGTCTTAGCACTTAGGGGTTGGGCGGTGATGGTTTAGGGGAGGAGGGTCATAGTACCTGCAAGAAAGACAGCAAGAGATTGAGAGAGTGAGCTGTTCTCCAGCCTGAAAGCCTCTGTTCCTCCCTCCCACCTCCTTTTGTCCTGGCTCAGAGCTCCTGAAATGTGGCAACAAGAGATTGGCAGCTTTCTTGTACTTCTTCCCCTCCCTCCCTCCCTTCCTCCCTCCAGTTTATTTATTGTTATATGGGCTGTAGTTAAGGAGGAAAAATCTGTAAAAATTAAGTGATTCTAAAGGTGCTGAGCAGGGACAGGGTGGGGGGTGGGGAGGGAGCTGGAGAGGGCTGTGCCCTTCCCTCTTGCTGAAAACCTTTTGGAGAAAGGGTGCCAGAAGGAGCACCTGGAACTACCCCTCATTGCCTGTTCTGGAAGCCCAGCTAAAGAAAGCGCCTACTGTGCGCCAAGCCCTGGAGTGAGACAGACCAGGGCTCTGGCTTCACGCAGTGGGTGGGCAGCCTGGTGGGCGAGGCAGACACCAAAATAGGCAAGAGCTCTATTGCAGATGACAGAGGGAAGCAGGATCCCTGCTCCGGACCCCTGTTCTCTTCTTGGCTTGCTGAAGAACAAGCTTTCCTGGGCAACTGCTCATGGCGAAACTGGAGATTCTTTCAAATTTGTCCAAAACATAACTTCCCTTATGAGTGGTTCTCTTGGGTGGGAAACAGACCCCAGGGTGGAGGCAGACCCCAGCGCACAGTAGGCGCTTTCCCCAGCTGGACTTTCAGACCGGGCAATGGAGGGTAGTTCCAGGTGCTCCTTCTGGCGTCCTTTCTCCAAAGGGTTTTTGGCAAGAAGAAAGCGCACAGACCCCTCCAGCCTCCCTCCCTGAGCAGACCACCTAAGCCAGGCTGGGGTGGGGACGCGTCAGGGAAGCCATCCTGGAGGAGGTAACTGTGTCACAGGGGTTTGAAGTCTGCTCAGGAGTTTAGCGGTCTGGGGGCAGGGTGAGGGAGAAAGAAATGAATTTCCTGTTAGAGGGAACAATGTGTGTGAGGGCTGGAGACACACTGGCGCCTGGTGCATCCTGCTGGCTGTGTGAGCACATGAATCTGTATGTGGGGCGGAGGGGCCTAGGGAGATGGAAAGGAGCTGGGTCAGGAGGCCTTGAATGCTGACCTCAGCAGCCTGCAGATGATGAGAAGCCATCTGAGGGGGACATTTATGCCCTGATTTACAGGGGAGGGCCCTGAGGCTCAGAAAGGTGAAGGCCTTGCCCAAGTTTCCCAGACTGTGGGTTGGGCCTGGAGGACAGGCGCCGACCTCTGCCTGTCTCTGATACCAGTGTTAATGACTCTAATTCACTTTGGTCCATTAACAAGTCTTTATTGAGCAGAAGCAGGCGCCAGGAGTGCGTGGGTGTGAGGTGCCATGTGGGCGTCCCAGAGCCCTGCTCCCAGAAAAGATGGCCATCTGAGCCTCCCTGGACAGCCACTGGGAGGCTGAGATACGGCCCCCTGCCCCCATCTCCACCCTTGGGCTGAAGTGCTCCCAGATGTCATCCTAGGCTAGTGAAGCCTTCATTCAGGGAGTAAATAGCAGACAAGGAGGTGGGCGGTCACTGCAATCGCTTGTGATCTAGCTGCAGCCTGGACCCTCTTGGGGTCCAACCTCGGCCTTTGGGGATGTGGTGCCGGGATGTGCAGCAGGACTGGCCCAGTGGACACAAGCATCGCTTCCCACCTGGAGGAAGGGTGCAGGTGTGGCCAGAGAAGGAAAGGAGTTAACCTGGCATCTGGCTACCCCCCTTTTAGCTTCCACTGGAGGCTGGGATGGGACTGGGGGTGGGTTGCTGGTGAGCTGCTGGTAAGAGGGAAGCCGGAGGCCCAGGAACAGGGCGGACAGTGGGAGTCCTAGAGCACAGGAGGGCCCCTGTGATGAGGAGGTGCTAGCTGGAAAGTTCCACCTAGCTCAGCTTAGAATAGGAATAACCACGCATATGCACGAGACCTCATGACTGTGCATGCTAGGAAGAAGCCCAGAGGCTCCACGGGGCTGGCTCAACTATGCTTGGGACAAGACAGGGTCCCCAGCCCTACCACCCCTGTGGCCCTAGAACCCTGGCTTATACAGCTGACAGCTGTTGAAGGAGCAGGAACCCCAGTTCCTGCCTTGGTTCTGCTCCTGTCTCTGCTGTAACTCTGAGCAAATCACTGGCCTGCATTAGGCCTCTACTTTCTCATCTGTACAATGGTGATAAATCGCTGCCTAAACTGCCTCCAGGGGTTGTGCTGAAGGTCAAAGCCAGGCAACAATCATTACTTGGATTGGATTCCCCTGGAAAGTTTAAGGGGCTTTAAGAGGCAGGGGTTGCCCAGGTTCCCAAAGAAGCATTCCTACAACATGAACCCTTTTCACAGATGCAAAAACTACGGCCCAGAAAGGTGGAGATGCTTGATCAAGGTCACACTAGTGGATTGTAAGCCTGTGGCCTGGTCCTTGCCCTAGTTGACGTTAGTACCCTGGACAGGACCGCTTCTCCCCAGCCTGGTACCTATGTCATTCCCATCCCTTCGCCAGGGCTTTTCTGAGCCATTTGTTTTTATGTCTGTACATCGGGCGGCCCGCGAGCAAGGCTGGCGTCGGCCTGTGAGTATAAAAGTGACAAGAGGTGCTGGCGGAGTGTGGAAACTGTCAGCAGAACAGCCGCCTGTGAAATTAACATGATATCGAAAGCGTCAATGTTTATTTACTGGAAGTATCTGGACAGGATGCAAAGCAGGCCTGCAGCTGCTGCCTAGGGGCTGAGGGTGAGGGTCACCCCTGCCCATCCCTCCTCGCCAGCCACTAGGCACTGCTGGCAGAACCAGCTGACCCCCTGGCTGAGACCCCCACCCTCTTCTTGACTTGCTGAAGAACAAGCTCTCATGGAGGAAGTGGGGCTTCATTGAAATCTGTCCAAAGTAACGTCCCTCATGTCCCAGAGTTCCAGCGATGGTGTCCAGGAGCTAGTGAATAAGGTGGAGCCTTTCTGAGGCCCATAGTCTCTGGCGCCTCCAGGGTAGAAGTCACTACCCCCAGAGTTTGCTATGCTAGTCATTGCTTCCTTCTCCCCAGCCAGGAAGGCAGCTAGTTCTCCACGGCAGCCCTCCCCCAGTCCCAGCTGATTGGGCCGGGCTGAGGCCACTTGACTCAACTCAGCCAATCAGAGTGCGTCTCATGGGAATTTGAAATCAGGGCACAGAGATTAGGTTAGCTGCAGGGAGCTGAAACACAAGGTGTGTTGGCTCCCGGCAGGGGCTGCCATTTTGGGGTAGTCAAGCTCAGCTAAGCTCAAGTTGATAAATGAAGGAGAAGAGGGGACAAGAAGGAGAAGGGAACAGACATTCAGAGGGAAGAGAGAGGAGAGACTCTGCAGCTCCAGGTGGAGATAGACACAGATAGGTGGTTTTCAGTTTGGGAGAGGGAGGCCTGGGCAGTTCATTCTGCAACTGTGCTTCCTAAAATTTCTCTGTAACCTTATATTCAAAGGGCACTTTGTTTGAGAAGGACAGAAATCCACTGAAACTGGCCTTAAGACAGAGACTGACACCAGGACTGAGGTGACCAGAAATAGACCCTCAGATAAGATGTAGAGTTAGCTGGGAAAGAATGAAGGGGGGAGTCTGTGATCCGTGGTATGTGATAGCAAAGCCGCTAATTATGCCGTGCCCCATAGGTGTTGGGTCCTAGACCTCGGGACCTGCTGGAAGCCAGACTCAGGGGACCACAGAGAAAAGCAGAATCAGCGACTCCCCCTAGCCTAGCTCTGCCCCTCCTCACATCCTCTGTGACCTGCAGACTTGGCTCTCGGTAGCCCCCAGGCTCACCTTTCCCAGCCCCGCTGCAGAGAAAAACTCATAGTGACATGCTCCGGTTCCAAGTTCAACTATCCTAGGGAAGGGCTCTGTTTAGCAGCACTTGAGGCAGGTGCCAATTCCTTGTCCACGCATAGCAACAAGGAGATGTGGGTGTGATTGACCCAGCTTGGGTCAGGTTCCCTCCCCTAGACCAGGCCATGTCCAGGGTAGTGGGTTTCATAAGAAGACAGCAGTTTCTATTCATGTTGTATGATTTGGGGTGGCAGGGCAAGGAACACCTCACATAAACAGGGGCCCTTCTGTGCAGACACACACAAAAACGTCCACTCTTCTTTGGCACAGACATCTGGGGAGGTCAGGCCTGCTCCTACCACCTATTGCTCTCAGAAAAAGCGGAGGGGCCTGGTTGGCCTCTGTTGATGACAATTGTGTAGTGTTGGCTAAAAACTTAGCATCCTCCCTGTTCGGCTACCCAGAAGTTTTCATTGCACTTGGGCTGACTTCCTCCCATGATCTTATGGCAGGTGTGTTGATAGGTAAAGCTACCACTTAGCCCAGTGTTCCCCAGCTTACTTGGTGACAAGACTCACCAGGGGTCCTTCTCAGACATTTTGATTCACAAGAGCTGGACTACGTCTAGGAATCAGAATTCTGACTTTATCTTCGCTTGTGACTGGCCAGGAAACCCTGATTTAGGCCATGGAGGGTAAACCTCTCACCTGGCCTGAAATAAGACCAAACTAGAGGAATGAATGCCATTTGGGGCATGGACTCAGTTACCAGGAGGTCTTTAAAGCAGTGGTCTGTACCCTGGCAGCTGCACCATAGAATCACCCGGGGAGATCTTGAAACGCTTATTACCCAGGCAGCACCCTGCACCAATGAAATCAGAATCTTCGGGAGTTAGATATCCGTATGTTTTAAAGCTCCCCTGGTGATTACAACATTCAGCCAGGATTGAGGACCACTGGTTTAGGGAAAGCCATCATTTTCACTCTACCCACACTCCTACTGCAAGATCCGGCCTCTCCCACAACATGGAAAAGATGGCTTTCCTGACCTTCTGGTCCTGCTTCAGCTAATTGGACCAAGGGTGGACACCCGACCTAATCCTGGCCCATTGTAGTTTCTCTTGGGAATTTGGAATTGAACACAGAGGCTAAGTTGCTCCAGGGAGCTGAGGCTGTCATCTTAGGGTAACTGTGCTCAGTTAGACACCTTGGGCAGAAGAGGAAGCCACTCCTTCTGCAGAGAGGGACAGGTGACCTGAGCCGATGTGCAGCCAGAAGCTGAGCCAAGGGGAGAGAGAGGGAGTGCATCCCCAACCCCCAGGCTGGTCTGGGCTTCCCTGAGACTCTATCCTTACAGAAACCTCCCTGTTAGAGGATGTCTTCAAACACTGTTCCTTGCAGCCAAATAGTTTTGGATACAGAACACTGAAAGCTAAAACTTGTCCCAGCCCAGAGCCCCACACTGCATTCCCTGGAGGGCCCAGCACAGGGCAGCAGCTGGCACCTATTGGGAACATCCACAAGTCAGGTGCTTTCCATGGGCATTGTGTACAAGTTTCCCAACAACGCTGTAAGGTGGGAATGATTGTCCCCTTTTGTAGAGAAGTGTGGTAACGTGCCCCGGGGTATCTGGCTGGTTAGTGCAGAGCAGAGACATAAACCTGGGTATGCCAAATCACTTCCAATGGATCTCACTGGAAACCAATTATGCAAAACAGAGTAGAGTGGAGGTCCTGCTGCAGTAAGGGAGTAGGGGGCTGCTGCTTGCCTGTCCCCAGAGTGGGGACCAGGTGTGAGAGGAAGGCAGGGCTGCCCATTGAGGACAGCTCCACTTGGGCCCAGGCCCTGAGAGATGCTGCTGAAGAGGCAGGGCCCACAGTCCACACACACGGCGTGCTTGGAAGCTGAGACAGGGAGCTATGATTACTCACATTGTTACTGTCGCTGTCATCCAGGCTAAAGAGCATTTGGTGAACCACAGGGCCTGCTCCTCTGCCATCCGGCATGGTTTCTCATAATGCCAGGGACTGGTATCCCTGATCACAATTTTCAAATGTGTATTGTTTGAGTGATCCCCTCTTTGGAATCTGTCTCCCTCTCAGACTGTGAGCTCCCTGAGGGCAGGAGCTTTGCCTACCTTGTTCCTCATAATATTCCCATGCCTAGCCAGTGACTAATGAAAGTAGGTGTTCAATGAATAAGTGGGAAGGAGGAAGGGAGACAGTGTTCCAGAGCAAGAATCATTACATCATCTTATAGATGGGGAAAGGAAAACTCAGGGAGGGGAAACTGATGGGGGTCACAGAGAATGACAGCTGATCTGTGCTAGAACCTGGCCCAGAGTCAGGAGAAAGGAACCAGAGAGAAAAGTAGGAGTGAGATTCTAAGATGGGTGAGGTATGAGCAATCTGGGATAAATGTATAGATACAGACTGGGTGTGGAATGAAGGAGCGGTGAGGACACCCTCAGCAAAGCCCCTTCCTGCAGCTGAGACCACACTCTGGTGAGGAACAGCCTCCCATTCCAGTGGGAGCAGGAGGAATGAACAGTGATGGCTCTCTCTGAGGCCCGTAGCGGCAGTACATGGGCCACGAGCTGGAGATTGCAAAAGGCCTGCAGGGTCTCAGCACAGGGCCTGTTAGAAATCATGCTTGCCCATAATATTCCTACAGAGAGAGACAGATAAGCTTGTCCATCCAGTGTGGTCAAAGACAGTTATGACTGGTGGTCACCACAGACTCTAACTTTCTACCCCAATGAGACAAGTCTCCCTTTTGGACAGGGCACCTGGTGTTGGAATGGGTCTGGCTGTGTGGCAAGGACATGCCCTGCTTGCCCTTCACCGTGAGTCACCTGGTCTAGGGGCCCACGACCGTTCTGAATGTTCTGAATGAAGTCTGGGGACTGGAAGCTGAGTGAGGAATTCCCCGGAATAATAACAGTAGAAGCCAACATTTATTGGTCACTTGCTCTGCACCAGACACTGCGATGAGTGCTTTGCGGGAACGATCTCACTTACTCCTTACATGTTACGTGGGCAACTTGCCCAAAGTTACACAGCTGGTAGGTTGCAGAGCCAGGATTTGGACCCAGGTCATCTGGCTCCAGACCCCATGCTGTTAAAGCCGTGCACTTAGCTGCTTTGACCAGCCTCCACCTCAACATATGCCTTGTGTTTCAACATGATCAAAAACTCAAGGACTGGTAGTGCCTAGTCCCCATTTACACAGGCCCTAAACCAGGGGACTGATTTTGAATATGTGTGTGTGTGTGTCCTATGCCATGAGCTGCAGTTTGCCAGAAAAAAAGTGAGCGTGTGTGTATGTGTGCGCGTGTGTGAGATGGGGGAGAAAGGGTAGGGAACTTTCCGAGCAGAGGGAGGAACACATGGTGAGGCCTGGAGGGAAAGGAGCTTGGGCATCTGGGGAAGAGAAAGGAGGTCAATGTAATCTCTTCAGAATCCTGCGAAGGTGACAGGATTGAGTCACAGAGGCTTCCTGGAGGCTGAGCCAGGTCCCCTGGCAGCCACACAGTTCACCTCTGGCCAGGATGCGCACCTGTCCCCGGCCCATCCACAGGGAAGGGCATCTCTGGGATTCATTTTGGGCTCATTATCAGGCGCCTCTGAGGTACCCCTGCCACTCCTGCCCTCAGCCTAGCCCCATTCTAACCCTTTGAGAATGAGGGTCGAGGGCACAAGGGTCGCGAGTGGTGCGGGAGGTGGGACAGGGGTCCTGTGGCCACGCCCCTCCCTGGCCCCTCCCATCTCGTAGCCTGGCAGCTCCAGCTGGTCGCCTAGGAGACAGTGCCCGGCGCGCTCTCATTGGCCAGCCGAGGCTCCGAGGGCAGGAGCGAGGCTTCCGGGGGCTGCCCCCCTGCAAGTCCGTGTGTGTGTGTGTGTGTGTGTGTGTGTGTGTGTGTGTGTGTGTGTGTGTGTGTCTGTGTCTGTTTGAGGGGGAGGTGAGCACTGAGCCCAGGGGCCAGCCTGGCCGCGCTGTGATTCCAGGAAGGAGAGAGGCCGCGGCATGGAGACGGGCATGCGAGCGTGTCTGCGCCTCTGTGTGTGTGCAGGAGGGGCTGCTCTGTGGGTCTATGCATTCGTGTGAATGCAAGGGCGAGAGTGTCGCGTGTAAGTGTTCCAATGTAACAGCTATTTATCTGGTGTGTATTGATGGTTTGTGCTTGTATGGGTGCCTGTGAAAAGGTTTTGTGTGGACCCGAATTGCTGCCTGGCTTTGTGGGAGAATATGTGAGGCTGTACATATGTGAGCTCCTCCGTGTGCCCACTTGTGCTTGCCTGCACACAAGGGGCATTGTGTGTGTGAGCATAGAGGTGTGCATACTCATCCTAAAGAACAAGCCTTGGCCTCTGTCTCCTCTGTTCCCACACCTCAAATCTTTCCTCCTTAGATTCTGAGATGTGTCCCTCTCATGCTCAAGCACCCACCATAGCTCCCCATTGCCTGGGTGGTGTGCTACAGAACACCCTGCCTCAGCTTCCCTAACCACCCACACTCATCCTACACTCCACATGAGCAGCAAGAGCCAGAAGGAGGGGGCAATTCTGTCTCTGGCATAGGGGAGTCTTCAAGGGCAAGGAGGGAATATTCAAAGCAGATTTTCCTCGTCCTAAGCCAGGGAACTGGAGCTGAGGGCCTGGGGACACCTGCAAAGCTGGTGCCTGCCTTTCATCTCCTCTCTCTACATGAATGGTTACTATCCCTTCGCCCCCACTGCCTGTGGGACACTAGGCTCCATGGCTTCAGGGTGCTCCTGGGGTGTGGTCCTTGTCTTCCCGTAAAAGTGTTTGGAGAGCTTTCTATTGTGGGGGTTGGGCTGGAGGTCAGCTGGAGGGCACAGCTGGGACCTGGGAACCCATCACAGGCTGTCCTGGCCCCTGCAGCTTTTTGCCTCCACACAGAACAATTCCCCATCTACCCCACACTTCCAGCAGTCCCTCCTGCCTCTGGATGACCCTGGGAGCCCGTCAACCTTCCAGCGTCCCTGTCCCTTCCAGCTGCCCTGCAGGAGAAAGGGAACAACTGTCCTCCTGGCTCCTGGCCAGCCAGGTGCCAGCCAGTGGTCAGGCAGTCCTGCTTCACGCTTCTGGCCGCAGGGCTTCGCCACAGTCCCTACTTCCCAGCTAGGGGCTCTGCCTGGACTCACCATGGGCAGAGGACCTTGTTATTCCCCAGAGACCGTCTTGTCTGGTTGGGATCTCAGAGCCCGTTGTACCCAACTCTGGCTGTACAGAGAGGGAAAGTGAGGCAGAGGGGCGAGGACTCCCCCCAGGTGGTCGACGTTGGCAGGCTGCCTGAGAAGGACACAGGAAGACTCCAGAAAGGTGACCTCTGGGTGGAGGGGAGTGACTGTTCTGATGGCAAGGATCCTGGGGGCTTTGGACATCCTGGCTCTGGACTGAGCTGCGCTTGGGAAATGGGCAAGAGGTGGTCCTGGGGTGGCCAGGGTGGGGCAGGCGGATGGGTCAGCAGACCCCTTGCTCTGTTCCAGGAGACTGCATGGCGTGGAGGGAGGGATTTATGGGCCCAGGTATAGGGCTGGGCCATAAAGGTCATTCTGCTAGAGAGGCTGTGACTCCGCCTCACTTTGGCAGTGGCGTGGGGGCAGGGAAGTCAGATAGGGGACACCACTGAGGCCTGGGGTGAACCCTGAAGCTGGAAGAATGTGAGATACCTAGTGTAGGCTTCTCCTAGGCCCTTGGGAGGGGTCAGTCCAGAGATGCTCAGGGTCTTATACAAGGTCACACCACCTCCTGGCACAGGGCTGTGGACAGAGCCCAGGAAAACAGATGCCTTAAAAGCTTCCCCCAGCCCCAGCTCTGGGTGCTGCGGAGGGGCAGCTGCATACCTCCTCCCATCCAGGTCTGCTCCCTGCGCCCTTGGAGTGTCCTGCAAGAGGTCTGGCAGTCAACGGGGGAACGAGGCTTTCCCGAGCCGGCTCTCTCCTCTTTACGACACCATATTTTTTAATGAGCTATGTAAATGTCTGCAAGTCAGACAGCAAAGGCAGGAAGTCAGAGCCTCCAGCTGCCGCCCCCGCCCCTGGGAATGGGTGTCCCCCTGGGGCCAGTCTGACCTTGTGTTTCCCATAGGAAGGTTTTCTGGATGCCATGGAAATGGCCACCTCCCAATTCAGCTGAGTCAGAACTGGTGCTATTGCCGACTGACTTGTTTTGTGACCTTAGGCCTGTCACAAAATGCTGTACCTCAGTTTCCCCTCACTGTACCTCAGTTTCCTCATTTACAGAATGTGCGCACACAAAGGGCATTTTGTGGTTTCTGAGGCTCCATGGCTTAGCCATGCAACTTGGGCAGTGGCTGGGCCTCTCTGAGGTTTGTGGTTCTCATCAGCAGAACAGGGAGCCGGCCATGCTGACCGCTGCCTTTGGGCTGAGCTTGGACCGCAGGAACCAGGAGGGATGCATCACGGGCAGGGCCCGCCTATCCTCTCTCTTGCCTGGCTTTCTCTTTCTTCTGCCTCCAGCTTCCTCCTCCTCTGTTCCTCCGGAACATCCTGCCACCCCAGCCACAGGATTGGCTGTCTACGTGGCTGTGTCACAGTCCAGACCGGGAGTGAGGGGGCGTAGGCAGTGGGTGTACAGGGAGAGCCAGACCTTGGGTCCCTGCTGGGGTCACATATAGGGCATGGAGAGGCCTCCTGGGTTGGCCTGAAGGCTGGGGTAGGAAGGAGCTGGGGCCGAGCACTGGGGCATCCCTCAGTCTCCGTGGCCCCTTCTCAGACACCAGCACTGTCACTTGGCAGGATGACAGGGCCTGGGCTGGGGCCACAGGACGAGCCATAATAGGCTTAAGGGGAGACTGTAAATCCCTTTCCAGGCTGAGCAATCAGCTCCTTCAGGCAGGCAGAGGCTGGAGCTCCCGGGGGAGGGCCCTGTACTCCTAGGGATGTGTCATGTGGTTGCTGTTCTTAGACTCCTGCCCCATGGTCCCTAGTGGCCCAGCAGGGACCAGGCCAGGCCTAGCGTGCCAGTCCCTCAGAGCAGGCTGCGGGGCCTGGGTCTCAGGGCCCCACAGGGATGCCAGGTGGGTTGGGGGCCAGGATGGGGGAATTGACTGGCAGAAGCTTAGAGCACGCCCCCGCCACCATGTGCTCACCCATCCAGGCCACAGCACACCCTCCTCCCCCAACTTCCACAAAGAAAGGAGGCCGTGCCTGCTTCACAGATGAGAAGCCTGAGTCTGGAGTGGTTCGGGCCCAATGTGGGGCTTTGTTTCAGGGAAGTATTGATGCCCTAAGTGTGAATCCTGACGTCAGCACCTAGCTGGTGGTGGGCCGCAGATAGTCACTTCTCAGTATTCTCATCTGAAAGGGAGCCTGTAAGCCCCTCCTCCTGGGATGATGAAATAAGAGAAGGCACATAGAGCATCTGGCCTGGGGCCTGGCACAAACCCTCAATGAACAGTAGCTATTGTGATTATTGCCATACTTCCCCCGTACCCTCACTATGGAAAGGGACTCAGACTGCACAGCAAACTTGGGTTCAGGTCCTGGCTTTTTCCTTACCAGCTGTAGATCACTGGGACAGTCACCATCTCTCTCTAAGCCCCCTACTCCTGAGCAAACCATACAGGGCTGTGCACCTGTGAGTGGTTCCTCAAAGGAATAAGGCACCACAGAGGTCCCTGTGACTTCCAGGGACTTCCAAGGTGATTTCCAAAGGTGGCCGTGACAACTCTCACACCCTGAGTGCCCTTTTGCGTGTGACTGCAGCTTGTCCTAGTGAGAGCTGGGCTCTGTCCTCCCTCTCGTTGAATCTAGGGGGATCTGAGACTGCCTTGGCCAATAGAATGCAGCCAATGTGGTGCTATGCGTCTGCCTGGCCTCGGCCTTGAGAGACCTGGGAGCTTCCATTTATGTCATCTTGGAGTGCTGAGTTACCTTAAAGAAGTCTAAAACTCAGAGAGACCATGTGGAAAGAGAGGAGCCAGCGGCCCTGCAGTCCTTCCAGCCTCCCAGCTGAGGCAACAGACATGGTCAGAAGCCATCTAGGACCTTCAGCGGCAGTGAAGTCTCCCCAGTCGATGCCACACAGAACTGAGATGAGCTGTTCTCACCAAGCTCTGCCCAAGTTCCAGAGCTAGGAACAAATAAACAGTTGTTTTAAACCACGAAGTTGTGGGCGTGGTCGTTATGCAGAAATAGATAACTGATCCAATCCTTCATGCCTTCTGCACCATCTTCACCCCAACTTGGCTTGTGCAAGGTTGAGCTCCTTGGCCCCAGCTGACTGGACAAGGGGATGGGCACCTGACTTCAAGGCAGCCAACCGATTGGCTGGTGAGTGACCATTCAGCCTTTTTTTTTCTCTGGAGACTAGGAATGAAGAAATCAAAGGCCTTAGCCAGACTACAAAGGAGGCTGGAGCTTGGGGTTTTTGAATGGGAGCTGGGGCGGGGATGAGTGGGTGACTTTCAGTCCTGTACAGGCTGTCATGTCATCAGAGGGCACCAAGTTGGGGAAAGAAGCAGGAAAGGTGATATGGAAGCAGGTTCTCTGAGGGTTCCATAAATCACTTAGCTCCAAGTGGGCTGTGCTCCCTGTTCCTTGTACCTCATGAACCCTGACTTCAGGCCCTAAAATACTCAAGGGCCCTTGGCCAGCTGGTGGCAGAACTTCCCCAGGGGCTCCTGATACCAGCCAGGGGTCTACACTCCTCCTCTTACCCCTTCTCCCTTGCTCTCTGTGACATATTCCCCTGTCTCCTTGTCCTCCAGGGCCCCAGGGCACAGCCACTCTCTCTCCTGGGCAAACAGGGCTCATGAGCTGGAGTCTGCTTCTATCCTCTCCACACAGCCCTGAGGCCTCCAGTGGCAAAGCAGAGGGTATGGCCAGGTTTGGTTTCTACCCCAACCCATTTGCCATCCCTGTTGTGTCCCGCACAGTCCCTTACCCTACCAGTTCTTGAGTTCAGCTACCACTCCCTTGCTTGCCCATAAAGATGTCATGCTAGTAACAGTGGTCATTAGTGTACCCAACAGGTGCCACACCCTGTGTAGGTGGGTACTTTACAACACTGTCTTCGATCTTCCCAGACACCCTGTAAACATAGGAGTTAACCCTATTCTGCATGTGGGACTCAATGGTGGAGGTGGGATTTGAACCAAGGTCAGCCTGACTCCAAAGCTCACGTTCCATCTACCACTCTGCTGTATGACTCTAGGCAGGTTACCTTCCCTCTCTGAGCCTTGTATTCTGACTTGTGAGGGGTAAACCAGGGAAGGGTTCTGGTGCTCACTGCTCCCTCTAATACTCATCTTCCTGGTGCCACCCTCGGGTGGGTCCACTTGAATGTCGATGGTGGGTTCCCAGTCTCAGCATCCTTTCTGGTTCCGGCATGTCTGCCTCATAGAGGAGCAGGCCTGGAGGCTGTGCTGCTTTCAGTCTCCTGGAAAGCAGGCTGGACTCTCAGGATTCAATATCTTGCCTTTTCCCCAACAGCTTCTTCCAACCTCATCCCCTTGGCCCCAGATTAAAAGGTGAGCAGAGCAGCGGGCTCCCAATAGGGTTTGAGGCAGCAGGGCATCCTGACTCCAACACCCCATGGGGTCTGAGGCAGAGCAGGGCCATCAGGGCTCTGGGGGAATGTGGGTGGCCCAGGAAGGCTCTGACCCTTCAAACCACCTCTGGGCTCAGGTTCCAGCTGTGTGTGTGCCAGGGCAAGGCAGTATCTGCTCCTCCTTTCCCCGTCTCAGAGGCTGTCCAGGCATGAAGAAAGCAGCCTCTCCAGCCTGGCTTCCCAGACGATGCCCTTTAAATCCAGCAGTGCTTTTAGCAGCAGTTGAGTTCACGACCCTCTTCCACAGAAGAAGGTTACACAGCTCTGAAGGGGCTGCACCTGGACTAAAACCCACCTGGGCTCTGCCCAGTCCCCAGTCCTCTCTGCTTGGGCAAACCCAGTCCATGGGTCCTGGGCACTCACATTCCCCCAAACTGATCCTGCCCCCATCTGAAAACAACCTAGTAATTTTCTCATGTTCTTGAGTTTCCTCAGGGGGCCGTTCTCTCCCAGTAGCCAGGAATAAATTGGCCCCTTGACCTCCCTGCTCTTACCAGCCTTGAGGCATCCCAGAGGGGTTAGTAAGAACCCATATAAGCTGCCTCCTGCAGAGGACGGTGCCAACTGGGCTTCCAGGGCTGGGACGATGGAGGGGGCCCATGCACCAGTCTCTCCTGGGAGGAGGGGCAGGGCTGGGACGATGGAGGGGGCCCGTGCGCCGGTCTCTCCTGGGAGGAGGGGCAGGGCTGGGACGATGGAGGGGGCCCGTGTGTTGGTCTCTCCTGGGAGGAGGGGCAGGCTTGTGGGGTTTTTGAAGACTCACTTGGTCTCCTGTTGTATACAGACCCAAGGACCCCTCCCCCTGTCCCTCGTGCTCCTCTGAATGCTCTCCTGCCCAGAAGTGGCTCTGAGAAGCCTTGAGTCAGTTTTAGAAGTCTGTGGCTCTGAGAGTCTGGAACCAGGCCCCAGATGGGTCACTTAGAAGCTGTGCGATTTAGGATAAGCTGCCACCCTCTCTGGCCCTCCCCCTCTGCATCTGTGTAAGAGTGGGGTCATCACCACTGCCAGTTGTAGAGGACTGACTGAATGGCAGGCACTGCACCAATCCACAAGCCAACCCACGTGCCTTCATTTCATCCTCCTGATGACCAGAACAAGTAATATCGTCTGTTTTACAGGCGAGAAGTCTGGGGCTCAGAGGAGTTAAGTAACAATGCCGAGCAGCTGGTAAGTGCTGGAAATGGAACTCAAACTCAGACCTGACCTCAAACCTTACAGCCTTATAATCACAAGTCTAGGCTGCCCACAGGGACCCTCAACCGTTGCACACCAATAGTCCTGGACTCAGGATCCTATGGGGAGAGGATCCTGTTTCTTCTCAGGGGATAAAGCCTGAGAAAGGGGATAGTTCAGAAGGCTTGAGCCTCCCCCAGAACCAGGGACAGCCTTAGGTGGTGGTTGGGAGATGGGGGAGAGGGCAGGCTGGCCCAGCTACGGCTACCAACTGCTTCAGCTGGAACCAGGAGGCAAGCAGCCTCTCAGAGATGCCTTTAGATTGAATGAATGAATAAGTGATCGAGTGCCAACTCCATACAAGACTCCGCCCACCACGCCATCCCACCAGAGGCTTGGTTTAGAAGGTGCTAGGCATGTAGCTGTGCCAGTTTGGGTGGGGGCGTGGGCCCTGGGAAGAACCCTGGTGGGAGGAGCTGCATCCCGGAAGTCTCCTGCTGTGAGGGCTGACTTCCCTATTGCTCCCCCTCCACGTTCAGCTGGGTCTGTGCCCATTGATTCTAGCATCGCTGGGGTTCTCCCCTAGCCGGAAGAATGAGCAACAGGATCGCCCTGGGTCCACTATGGGGCTGGACCCAAGGAGTTCCCAAGGAAAGAGGGAACCTGGAAGGGAGAAACCAGGCCTCCCTGACCCTGAAGCCCCTCCTTCCTGACAGAGATTGGGGGTGGTCTGCTGGCTGACCTACTGGCCCAGCTTTTTGGGTCAAGGTCCATGGCCGATGGGAAACTTACAAGGTGACTGCCTGGCTCTTCACACTGTGTTGTCAGGGGCATCCCTCTCCAGGGTCAAGTTTGGAGCTGCTGGATTTGGTTTGAATGGGCACGGCTGGAAGCAACGGGTGGGGGGTCTGTTTTCTGAGCCTCCGGGTCTGCTCATGTGCAGGTGGATCCCAGCCCCAAACACAGAAGCCCTAACAGCCCAGGACAGGCTCAGAGCATGGCCTGGTGGAAGATGGGACCAGACTGGGCCTGGGAAGCCTCAAGGGCAGCCCCAGAACTGCTTCTCCCAGTCCCCACAGCCTGGGCACTCTGCATGGGAAATGGCATACAGTAGGTGCTTGATAAATGCTGTGCAAAGAAGGCTTGGGGAGAGCTGATGCTCCCAATCCTTGCATCAGTCTAGGCCAATGCTGTAGGGGGCCTCCAGCTTCTGGGGAGCTAAGCCTTGAGCCCTGTAGAGCTGTTACCATCAGGCCTGGCAGTCAGACCCACCATCAGACCAGAGGTGAGGGACTCTCTATGCCCGTAGCCTCAGGATCCCCTTCAGGTCTACAGCCCCCTTCTCCAGCCAGTGCTGCCAGCCACAGCCCCAGCCGCTGTCCTAGGAGGAGCCTCTGGAAGTCCCTGGAGCAGCACTCCCCCTGACACCCCCCCAGGCCTACCCCCATGGAGGGCCCCTCGGCAGCCCCATCCCCCACAGTGAGATAATAATGACCATAATGAGAACAGTCACCCACACGTGTGCACAGCGCTTTACAGGTTACAAAGTGTTTCACATACATCATCTCATCAATTCCTCACAACAGCCCTGTGAGGTAGGCAGGGCAGGGGGTAATGTTCCCATTTGTACAGATGTGGAGACTGAGGCCCAGAGAGGCCAGTGACCTGCTTGAGGCCACACAGCAAGTGAGCAGCAGAGCTGGGACCAGAGGCTGGGGTGGGCCCCACCTCCAGCCCCTGGCTCTCTCCACTGACTGTGCTGTCCCCCAGGAGGACCCCAGCCTCTGTCCAGAGTCTCAGCCACACCCAAGCCAGGCTCCCACCCCTTGCAGTGGTGCCGCCTGGCAGCCCAGCAGACAGGCTCCCACCCCCATCGGCAGACCTGTCCCCTCCACCTGCGCCCTGCAAAAAGCCAGCCCGGAGCTGGGCCCAGGCCTGCCCCCTAGCCTGCTCCTGATGGTGCCTGGGGCGGGGTGGGCAGGTGGGTGGGGCTGGAACCTCCTTTCCTGTTTTCCTGAGTGATCCCTCCCCACTGGGGAAGAGAAGAGAAAGGAGGAAGAAGAGGAGGAGGAGGAAGAGAAAAACAAGAAACTGAGTTGGAAGAGGGCCCTGGAGCAATCAGGACGTCAAAAGTTTGCATTCCGACTAGCTATAGGAAATAGTTTTTTTCTCTTTTTATTATTTCAAGTTTTCATAAAAATCCATAATTATTGAAACCCAAGTTACAGAGAAAGTTCGTAACTTTTTTATTGAATTATTGACTCTGCCGCGTGTCGGTTCGTCGGCTTTCAACTCCAGTCTGTCAATGCCCCTGTGTAGGTGGGGTCCCCAGGTCTGGGCTTCTGAGGTCCTGGTAGAAGGAGGGCAGGTGGTGAGGGCTGGCGGGGGGCAGCAGGGGACGGAGGCGGGAGGGAGAAAGAGAACGTGTGTAGAAGGGTAGGGAGGAGGTGGGAAGGACTGGAGAGTGAGCAGGTGGCGGCCAGGCCCCTTCCCCTGCCCGGCCGCCCGGGGGTCCCTGCCCCCCGCCCCGGCCTCATATCATCTTCATGTTGAACTTGCGGGGCGCGTCGGCGGAGCTGATGCCTGCGTCCGACTTTCGGGGCACATACTCGATCTCGATGTTGTGCTTTGTGTTGCCCTTGCCCCGGCTCCAGAGAAACAGCAGCACCAGGCAGAAGAGGACGACGCCCAGGAAAGAGATGAAGCCCATGGTGGTGGCGATGATGAGGGTCTTGATGTCGAAGGGGAAAGGCACAGTGGCGCGGGTGCTGTTGGCCTCTCCCTCGCCCGGCTGGTTGGAGATGAAAGCGAAGGTCTTGTTGGGCTGATGGGGCCAGTCGGGCGAGTAGCTGCGCACATGCAGGTGGGCGGGCATGGAGTCGTTGCCGCCCGCGTTGGCCGCGATGCACAGGTACGTGCCGTTGTCCTGTACCTGGGCGTAGCGCACCTCCAGCGTGCCATCAGGGAAGACTGTGAGCCGCCCATTGCTCTTGGCTGAGACCAGGTGCTTTCGGGGTGAGAGCCAGAGGATGGCGGGCGGCGGGTCGCCATCGGCCCGGCACACAAACTGCACCGTGTGGCCCTCGTCCACAAACACCTGCTGGGCCTTGCGGTCCCGGATGCGGGCGCGGCGGCAGGTGAAGTAGTTGGGCAGTAGCACATCAGGGAAGTCCTTGAACTCCTTGCCCTGGACAAACTCGGGCGTGGCGCACGTGGGCTGCTGCCGGTTGAAGTTGAGCCGCCAGCGGCGCCGGAACACCCACAGGAGCCGACAGTCGCAGGCCAGCGGGTTGGAGTCCAGGATGAGTGTCTCCAGGTTGCCCACCGAGTGGAAGACTGATTCCTCCAGTGTGGTCAGCTGGTTGCCAGAGACATTGAGCACGCGCAGGTAGTTGAGGCCGCGGAAGGCATAGGGCTCCACCACGGCCAGCTGCCCGCCCACCAGCTGGATCTCCTGCAGCCGGAGCAGCTCATGCAACATGGAGCCCTCAATGGTGCTGATGGGGTTGTAGGAGAGGTTGAGGAAGCGGAGATAGACTAGGTGGCGGACGGCCAGGTAGGGCACAGCGGTCAGATTGCAGTGTGTGATGGACAGGGACGTCAGGTTGAGGCCGTAGAGGCAGTTGGGTGTCATGGTGTCCAAGTAGGGCCAGTGGGAGATCTCCAAGACCTTGAGTCGGTACAGCCTCTTGAAGGAGTAGTCCCGGATGGCATTGATGTTGAGGTGCCGGAGCCTCAGGACGATGAGGCCGTGCAGGTGGGACAGCGCCTCGGTGGGGATGGAGGTCAGGTTGCATTTCTCCAGCGTCAGCTGCTCCAGGCTGTTGAGGCCGCTGAAGGCGCGGTGAGAGATGTAGACGAGGTCATTGTCGCCAACCTCCAGTGACTTGAGGTTGTACAGGTCCTGAAACATGTAGTCCAGTAGGATAACGATCTTGTTCTCGCTGATGTCCAGCTTGGTCAGGTTGCTGAGGCCAGTGAAGACGCCTAGCGGGATGAGCTTCAGGCGGTTGCTGCGGAGACCCAGCGTCCGGAGGTTGAAGAGGTTGTTGAAGGCGCCGGGCTCCACGGCGCTCACGATGTTCTCGTTGAGCTCCAGCTCCTCCAGGTGCGGGAAGCTGGCGAACTCGTCCTGGTTGAGCGTTTTGATGCGGTTCTTGCCTAGGTCCAGCAGGCGCGTCTCGGTGGGGATGCCCTCGGGGACTGCCACAAAGCGCTTGCGGTGGCACAGCACAGCGCGGTCCTGGGCGGAGCACTCGCAGCGGGGCGGGCAGCCCGTGGCCGAGCCTGACAGCACTGAGCCCAGCACCAGCAGGAGGATGGGCTGCCAGCAGGCCAGGAGGGGGCTGGGCATGCTCCTCACGCCCCCCGCCAGCATCCTCTTGCTCACCTGCAGCCGGGAGCAAGCACAGGACAGAGGTGGCGGTTAGGGGGCAGTGTGTGTCTGGATGCCACCCCAAGCCACCTGGGCCCCTCCTGCCCTGTCACGATGACCCTGATGCAGATAGAGAGGCAGGGTCCAGATGCCCAGGCCAGAGGGCCTCTGGCCTCCTCATGCTGCCCCCTCCTTGCCTCTTACCCTGCCTGGAGTCTTCCCAAAGGACCCTCCCAGCATCCTTGGAATGGAGGGGCTCAGGGAAGGGGCGGGTCACCTCAGACAGCCTGGCATTGGCGCCACCTCCTTTACATTTCACAGGCGGTTGACTCCAAGCACACACCCTGCCCTGAATCACAGCTCCCCTGGTGCTCATCAGGGATAAAACCAGACCTGCTGAGCCGCTCTTGGGCTCACAGTGGGGATCAAAGGGGCTCAAGGGCTGAGGCCTCTAGGAACAGCCCCCAAGAAGCCGGAGCAGAGCAACCAGGAGTGTGGCTACCCCTAGCCTGCACGGCCAGGGCTTCTGAGGCTGCTGGGGGCCCCACTCGCTCAGCCCTGAGCCCTGAGTCTCCCCCGGTGCAGACGCCATGCCCCCTCCCCATCAGCTCTGTGGCTGGGTCTGCAGTAAACCAATGGCACCTGACACTGTTCACGGGTCTGTCACCCATGGGGTTCCTGGATTGCTGGGGGACACCCTCATCCAGAAGGCCCAGCCCTGAAGCTGCCCTCCCTCCTCCCCCTGCACCTGCAAATCCAAATCCAGCCTGGACTCCTGGTGGGATCTGTGACTCTCCACTTCCTCTGGGTCCCATCGGTGACCCAGCTCAGGCTCCTGAGCCCAGGGCCCGGAGAATGTCTTTTCCTGCCTCCTGGTCTTGACTCCTGCAGTTCTTTCCTCTGGCAATGCCCCTTCCCTGGCTGTTGAAATTCCATCCACAAGGCCTAATTGAAGTCCGCTGCTCTAAGAAGTGTTTTCTGTTACCCAATAAGAAGTGAAGTGTGCTCCCCTTAAAAAGACCCTCCAGCCGTCACCTGTCTGTCTCTCAGGGCTCCCACCACCTTCTTCCTAGTACCAGAGTTCTGCACAGCTGCTAGTCTGAGGAAGGCACCATCAGATTCCCACAGGCCAGGATAGCCAGGCAACCCTGGAGGAGTGTGCCCCAACTACAGCACCGAGGCTTGTTCAAGCTGAGCTCTGAAGCCATGCAGGGCTTGGGAGGTGGTGACATGAGAAACCGTGCCAGGAGCGGGGTCCAGCTTGCATATAGGCTGCAGGTGGAGTGAGCAAGGGGTATGCGGGAGCCTCCGTGACCCTCTCCCACCCCCTGTTCAGAGACCACTGGTCCCTACTTCTGCCCCAAACTGCCTCCCATCTCCTCCTTCCCTCTTCTCTCTCCATCCACCCCCATGAGAAACTGGCCTGGCAAATAGGGTGAGTAGGGGGGTTGGGGGAGGGTAGGTCAGACCCTAGGAGCTGCTCCAGGGGTGGATCAGATGGCCTCTGGGAGCCAAGCTGCAGTCATCTAGCTGCTGGTGGGGTAAAGACCCATCCCTGCTCCTCTACTGCAGCCTCCAGTGCCCCTGGGGCTTTGCTGCTGTGTCCACACCCTGTACTCATGGCCCGGAAGGGGCTCAGTGCAGGAGGGGGAAGCCCAGACCGGATGTCCCACCTCTCCACCCTAGCTCAGGCCCTTCTCCCACCCCTTCCCACACCTCACACAGCCCCTGCTTTCATGGCCACAGGCCATCCATCCTTGTCATCCATGCATCAGCCATTAAGGCAACTGAGGCTCACAGAGGCTGTGGCTGTCCAAGGTCACCCAGCCAGTAGAGGGAGCAATTCTGGGATAGGAGCTCTGGTCTGCCCACAAAACCACACACTTGCAAATGCTCCACCAGTCTCCCAGGACTGACGGGAGCTTCGTGGTTGTTGATTGACCAAGTCACTGATTAAGCAGAGAGGATTCAGGGGGGCACTGACATGTTATGGAATCTGCAAGGGTTCTGTTATCCCCAAGGGCTTTGTCCACCCTGACCCTCCCTTCAGCCCCTCTCATCCTCTCTCCAGGCTCTTCTGCAGTTCAGCTTCTCCCCACCCGACCCCCACCAGGCTATTTTCCACAGTCACACACGCTCCAGTGACCCACCAGAAAAGCAAACATCCTGACAGGCGATCAATAAGTAATTGGGCCGGCAGCTGGGGCTGGCGCGGGTGTGAGGCTGGGGACCTCAATAGGTAAATAGGACTTTTAGCATCCAGCTCAGGGCCAGGCTGGCGGGTGGGGGGAGCTGCTGGAGAGAAGGCTGGGGAATGAGGGGGGCTAGTGAGGACACGGGCCACCCCGAGGTGCTGGTAAGCCCCTCTTATACAGACACGAATCTGGCACACAGGAAGCTTGCACCACCGGGCCTCAACCTGCCCACCCACCTCTTTTCCCACCAGTCCCTGAGCAAAGCCACCTGGGCCTCCCCACTTTGTCCTGCACACTCCTACCTCTAAGCCATCTTGTTCTGGAGAACTGTCCCAGACTCCTGCCCCAGCAGCCTTTGCAACCTTCCACCCCAAAGGCCACCTCCTCCAGGAGGCCATCCTTGACCTACTCAGTCAGATATCACCTCTTGTCCCCAACACTGTTATTCTTTTTTTTTTTTTTTTTTTTTTTTTTTTTTTTTTTTTTTTTTTTTTTTTTTTTTTTTTTTTTTTTTTTTTTTTTTTTTTGAGACGGAGTCTCGCTCTGTCGCCCAGGCTGGAGTGCAGTGGCGGGATCTCGGCTCACTGCAAGCTCCGCCTCCCGGGTTCACGCCATTCTCCTGCCTCAGCCTCCCAAGTAGCTGGGACTACAGGCGCCCGCCACTACGCCCGGCTAATTTTTTTGTATTTTTTTTTTAGTAGAGACGGGGTTTCACCGTTTTAGCCGGGATGGCCTCGATCTCCTGACCTCGTGATCCGCCCGCCTCGGCCTCCCAAAGTGCTGGGATTACAGGCGTGAGCCACCGCGCCCGGCCTGTTATTCTTATAGTAGTGATTTTATGAAACTGGTATATAGCACACCTCATTCCCATAGTGATTTGAACCAACTGACAGAAAAATTATGCTACAAGATGATAAGAAGATAAAAGCTAAAAAAGGGAAGCCAGTCAGGAAAGAATGCCACCAAGTCCTGCCTAATGACGAAAGGTGAGAGCTTCCTAGTGACCTTGAGCAAAGAGGGAAATATGCTCCAAAGCCTCAGCATTTGGCATCTCTCCTGTAATGTAATCCTGGTTCAGTCATGGGTGTGTGTGTCTCACCTGCTAGAGAGTGAGGTACCCAGGGGCAGAGAGTATGTCTGTAGCTCAGAGTGAAGTGTGACACAGAACAGACCCCCGTGAATGTTCTTTGAAAGGAAACATGCGCATGAGTGAGTTTTTGCAGGGGTGGAAGCCCTGCAGATGGGGCTAACCCTATATCAGGCCCACTGAGCAATGAGAGACCTGAGGAATTGAAGTATGTTGGAAGCCGGGCATGGTGGCGCTGCAATCCCACTGTTATCCCATTGTAATCCCAGCTACTCAGGAGGTTGAGGCAGGAGGATCACCTGAAGCCAGGAGCTCAAGACAAGGCTGGGCAACATAGTGAGATGCCCATCTCCCACAGAAATTTAAAAATTAGCCAGGCATGGTGGGGTGCACCTATAGTCCCAACTACTCAGGGAGATTGAAGTGGGAGAATCCCTTGAGGCCAGGAGTTTGAGGCTACAGTGAACTGTGATTGTGCCACTGCATTCCAGCCTGGGCAACAGAGCAAGACTCTCCATCTGTAAAAACAATAAATAAATAAAATAAAATAAAATAAAATAAAATAAAATAAAATAAAAAAGAAATACATTGGTAGAAAAGCTGGGTCAGCCTTGCCCTGTACAGCTGCCACCCCCAGGCCTGGCAGTTGGTCCCACAGAGCCATGGGCCATGCTCCGTGGGAGCAGGACAGCTCTGGGAGTGTACGGGCTCTGAGATGCCTCATCTCATGCCTCTTACATGCGGCTGCCCTAACGGTGGGGAAGCTGAAGGTTGAGAGAGGCTAGGATGCCTGCCCAAGCTGGCACAGCAAGGGCACAGTCTCCGCTGGGCCTAGTCTCCTGGTCTCCCACCCCCATGGGGTCCCTGTCATCTAGGGATGCTGGCAGAGTCACGTCTGCGGGGTCACCCAAACTGCTGAGTGGGCAATGTGCCGCTCCTGCCATCCTGGCACTGTTCATTCTGCTGGCTACTCCTGCAACTGTCAAGAAAAGGTATTTTATGCATTTTAATCAGTGTTTTATTTTGGATCCTTGCCCCCTGAAGGGCTTCCTACAAGGGTAAGAGTTTAAAAATTGAACCAATAAATACTAAGGAAATAAAACATCAAAGACAGGCAGGTGGGCAGGCAGCAGAGAGCTGTGCCTGGGGCACCACACACAGAACCTAAAGCATCCAGAGTCCTTCCCAGGCTCAGGCAGTGGGGGACACTGAGCCATCAGACCAGCACTGCAGAGGGCAGGTCCTAGGCTCTGCGCTGCCCCCACAGTGGGAGGGACAGGCTGCTGGCCACCGGCCACACCCTCCTTCATGTCCCGGGGCAGATACGGCCTGGTTCAGGCAATGCTCCCTGACACACGCAGTTCTCTGTGGCCAGCCTGCTGTGTGACCTCGGCAATGCCTGCCCTCTCTGGCCTGCACAGTAAGGGCTCCACTTCAGTGTCCCTGAGGGTGCTGCCACCAGAAACTAGCCTTTTTCCAGCTGGAAGGTCGACATCCTCAAACCTTGCTAAAGGGTAAAGGGGAATGGGAGGCTCAGACCCAAAACTGCAGTTTCACTGGGGCTGGAAGAATCTCTCTGTGGGAGGGGGGCTCAGGATGGTGGGCTCCCTTCCTTGGGGCATCACATTCAGGGCGTGCCCCCAGGGTCTCAGGGTGAAGGACGGTAGTTAGGGGAGATGGAAGGGGCCTGGGATCACCCATGGACAGGTTCAGAGAACACTGAGAGGGCTCAGGAGTCACTCTGTGCCATAGGCAGCATCTGGAGGTCCAGGGGGGCAGGGACGTGACTCCCCCACAGCATCCTCTACAGGCTCATCCACCAGACACCTTCTTTAGAAAAGGGAAGGGACTAACACTTGGACAGTCCCTGCTATGGGCCAGGTTTGGGGCCTTTTTTTTTTCTTTTAGATGGAGTCTCACTGTGTTGCCCAGGCTGGAGTGCAGTGGCGAGATCTTGGCTCACTGTGACCTCCACCTCCCAGGTTCAAGTGATTTTCTGGCCTCAGCCTCCCAGATAGCTGCGATTATAGGTGTCCACCACCACACCAGGCTAATGTTTGTATTTTTACTAGAGACAGGGTTTCACCATGTTGGCCAGGCTGGTCTTGAACTCCTGAACTCACGTGATCCACCCACCTCAGCCTCCCAAAGTGCTGGGATCACAGGCATGAGCCACTGTGCCCAGCTGAGGTTTGGGGCTTTATACCCATTGTCTCAGAGATGCTTTCAAAAGAGATCTTTCTTACCCATTTTACAGATGAGAAAAACAGAGGCTCTGAAAGAGAATTTGCCCTGGGCCTGGGTCACAAAGCCAGAGGGGGGCAGAGCTCTGTGTCTCCTAGTTGGGCTGCCTGCTCCAAGAGCTGCCTGGTGCGACACAGGGCTTAGACTCTGCAGGCCAGGCCAGGGGAGGGGCTGTCCTGTCAGGGTGGTGCTAGGGTGAGGCCCCAGGGCTGAGGGAAGGCCCTAGTCCTCAGAGAGCTACACCCAGGCATCTGCCCCCAAACCCGACAAAAGCCTTTCCCCAACTTCCAGAAAACGGGGTGTTACACGAGCCACGTGTACTCAGTGTTTTTCCACCACACTCCTTTCCTGTGCCTGCGGCTGCTGCCTGGGCCTGAATCTCACCTAATGTGGGGCTGGCTGAAGCACAGGATGGCAAGTTTAGTTATTCCAGGTTTATGGTATCAGTATTTCACGGTGCTCCCACTCAGCGTTCCTCGGGGACCAGGGGGACCCCCTGCACACACAGGCATGCGATCTGGCATGGAGGCGTCTGCCCCACGAAGGCTGGGGCCCAGGGTCCTCTGGGTGCTCAGCCTGGCTGTGTGGCCAGGGCAGTTCCTCACGGGGAAACGAGGTGGGTGTGCGCGGTCCTCGTCTTGCCTTGATGCCCGCCGTGCCCGTGACTGATTGGGCAGCAGGAGAGAGGGAGCGGGGAGGATGGCAGGCCTGGGAAGGGGGCTAGAGCACTTCGGAAAGTCTGCCCAGGGCTCTGCCCAGATCCACTGCCAAGAAATGATGGGGAGAGCAGGAGAGGGAAAGAGAGAGAAACCCAGAGACACCCGGGAGACACGTGGTGGGTGAGGCTGCAGAGGAGAGGAAGAGAGAGGCAGAGAAAGCAGAGTGGGGGGAGGGGAGAAAGATGGGGACACAGGCTGGGGGCAGGGAAGGGAGAGACAGAGGCCAGAACTTGTCCTGCAGGCACAACTACGTTCCCAGCCCCCACCACCTGTGCCTATCAGCCTGGGGCCTGTTAACACAGCCCCGTCCCGGCCACTCCACCAGGTGAGTCTGAGCACTTGCATATCTAGCTGGGGAGGGAGACTCAGAAAGGTGAGGGGACTCACGCCGGATCACCAAGGAAAAGAAGCAAGGCCCAGCCTGGGCTCCTTGTGACTTGTCCTCTCCCCAAGTCCCTGCCTGCCTGAGGTCCCTTCTTTGCTTCAGCTTCAGTATGCGGGATCCGTTTCAGGAAACGATAAAGCGTGTTAGCGGGAACTGTGCCTGCTCAGAGATAACTGGGGTCAAGTGGCCAGGAGTGGGGGCGCAGTGGGGCCCATCTAGAGAGGACTGTGACGGTCACCCCAGCCCGGGTTTTTCCTTCTGTCGCAGCGGCCAACCATCCGTTTCCCATGCCTAGAGGCCTCCTACTCGGCCTTCAGAAGCAGCTCAGGGTTTCTCCCTCAGTGGCTCTCCTCTAGCCTGAGAAGAAGCAACGGCCTCTGGCGGGTCCCCTCTGGATCTCCGGCCACCCTCTGCCCACACTGCTTCTGGGCTTCTCCCAGCTCTGCTGGCACTTCTGCGGCCTCCTCTCCTGTGGCCCCCAGACTGACAGCCTCCGAAGTGGGACCGGGCCTGATACAGCTCCACACTCCCAGGCCCTGCCTGCAGACGCACCCACATCAAAGGAACAGAGAGAGCCCACCAGACAAATGCTGCGAGGGGCAGGACTCGCACTCTGCTCTCCAACTCCCAACCTAGCTCTTAATGAAGGAGGCTTTGTGGTGAGGGGGAGGTGCTGTGTGAGCTCAGGCTGAAATACAAACATTTTCCACAGGCCAAGGAAGAGGCAGGGGGAGGGCATTTCCACAAAGGGAACAGTGAGAGCAAAGGTGTGCAGGGGGGAAGGGACTTGTAGCCTGGTCAACTTGAGAGCATCCTGGGACTCCTAATGGCTTCTCTCTTAGCCCAAATCCTGACCCCAGTCCCTGGACTCCTTTTAAAGATGCTCCATTCTGGCTTTCCAGGGCTAATCCCCGCTGAGGTGTGAATGGCTGATAATGGCATAAGGTAGGAGCTGCTAATGGGAGAAATAATTCCGTTGCTGGCCAGTCTAATTTGGGGGGCTGCCTCCTGGCCCATGGGGAGGTGGTGAGGCAACCCTGAGAGTTGCAGTCCTGCGCCCAGGCTGAGCTCCTGCAGGAGAAAGCCTGGCGGACTGCGCGGCTGGGGGCCAGGCAGCCAGTGTCCGCCGTCTCCCCGGGGGTTGGTCCGCCCCGCCCCCACCTGCCTCCCCTTTCCCCTCCTCCTCCTCAGACCCCCATGGGGACAGAAAAACCAACGTGGAAGAAAACTGAGGTCATGTCCTTTGTTGTGTATAATTCTTTATCTTCCTCTTGCTCTCGGTTCTGGCAAAAAGTTGTTGGGCCCCCGGGGTGTCTGTGTGTGTGTGTGTGAGTGGCCTGTGTGTGTGTGTGTGTGTGTGTCTGTGTGTGAGTGATGTGTGTGTGGTCTCTGTGTGTGACTGATGTGTGTGTGTGGACTGTGTATGTGTGGTGTGTAAGCAGTCTCTGTGTGTGTGGCCTGTGTGTGTGTGTGATGTGTGTGAGTGGCCTTTGTGTGTGTGGTGTGAGTGGTCACTGTGTGAGTGTGGTGTGTGTGTGAGTGCGGTGTGTGAGTGTGGCCTCTGTGTGTGTCTGTGAGTGATGTGTGTGTGTGGAGTGCGAGTAGTCTGTGTGTGTGGCCTGTGTGTGTGATGTGTGTGAGTGGCCTCTGTGTGTGTGTGTGTGTGTGTGTGTGTGTGATGTGTGGCCTCTGTGTGTGTGTGTGTATGTGTATGGTGTGTGAGTGGCCTCTGTGTGTGTGTGCTGGTTGCCTCTCCTCCCCCACTCCCCGGCCCCCAGCTCCATCACTCAGGTGCGCTTTGGGAAGCTCCATCCTCTCCCACATGTGCTCACTGGCCTCAGTGCCTGCTGGAGGATGCTGACTGGGCATGGTGTGATTGTCTGCCTGCTTGTCCTGGGTCACCCTAGGCACGCACTCGGCCACCCTGCACTGAAGGGAGGAATGCCCCTGCCCACCTCACCAAGGCACAGCCATCTCGAGAGCTGCCAGCCTTCCGGCCAGCTCGCAGCCCCTGGCCATTTGCAGGATAAATTATGAATTTTAATTGTCAGAGCATCTTAGTGTTTAAAGGCTTCTATATATAGGCTCTGCCCTCCAGGAGCAGCAGGCTTGGTGGAGAGGAGTGAGAGTCGGGCAGGGCTGACAGGAGGCCCATTCTGGATGAGCAAAATGGGCTCCAGCCAGTGCACCCCACCCTGCTGTGTGATCTCGGGGGAATCCTGGACCACTCTGGGCCCTTCCTGCCCCTTGCACAAGGTTGCCCAGTACCCCCAGTTGGATGGGAGCTGTCCCAGAGCTGAGGTGGGGCAGGCAAGTGCCTATTCGGGGGGGTAACCTGAGAGAGGCCCAAGGACAACCCCAGTCCTGCACCCCAGTATCTCCCTTCTCATGTCTTGAGATGCCAACCCAGGCTCTCGGGGACAGGAAGATGCCCCTCAAGGCCCCCAGCGCCATCCCCTGCCCAGGCCAGTGGCCCCTTGGGACACGCTTGCCTCATCCCCACTCGTCCTCTCACACCTTCCTGGGGCCCCCAGGGGGAACCCTCTCTGCAGCCCCAGCCGTCAGGGCCTCTCTATTTGGGAACAGCTCAGGCCTGGAAACCAGCCAACCCCCGCCTGGGAGAGCTATAGGCCTTGTGCTTGGGGTGGGGGGTGCCACAGCCTCACAGACTGAGGCTGGTAGTGAGAGGCTGAGGGGTGTGGTGGAACTAGCCTGGGATTTGGGATTAGCCAGAGAGCTAAATAGAATGACGATGAGAATGATGATTGGTAAACCCCTCGTAGGTGGCCTTTGGTGTTGCCAGGCGTTATTTCAAGCCCTTTGCATATAAAAATTCATTTAATCTCACACCAACCCATTGAGGTAAGTGCTGCCACTATCCCCATTTTGCAGATGGAAGAAGCAGAAGCACAAAGAGGTTCCATAACTTGCTCGGGGTCAGTGTTAGCATGATTTGAACCCCAATGGTTTGGCTCCAGAGTCCATGCTCTTCATCACTTCCCTATAGTGCCTCTTTTTTTTAAAAGCTAACACTAACATAGCATTGGCTATGTGCCAGGCATGAACCTGTTTGATCTCCATAACCACCCTAAGAGGCTAGTATTATCCCCATTTTACTGATTAGAGAACTGAGGCGCCAAGAGGTGATGCACCTTGCCTAAAGTCCCGCAGTGATGAGTGGCAGACCTGGGACTGGGCCTGAGGCAGTCAGACTCCCAGCTGTCCTGCCCACTCCTGCATACTGCCTCCCTCTGATTCAGGTTCAGGGGCCTGCTGAGCTGTGTCATCTTGGGCAAGTGGCTTTACCTCTGGGGACCACAAATTCCTCCCTGGGAAGTGGGGACGGCAGACTTCACACTGCCCTCACTGCTGGGGGCGGAGAGTTCAGGGAGAGGGAAGGGAAGGGACATTTATATCGAGCACACACACTAAGTGCTTTGCTGAACAACCCCACCAACCCTCACCACGTTACACACCCACTTCACTGATGAGGAAACTGAGGCTCTGAGCCATTAGTTCACCTGCCTGAGGTCCTGAGCTTGTCTGGCTCCAAAGGCATAACACCCTTAGAGACCCTCACACAGATGAGGAAACTGAGGCCCAGGAGCATCAGGGACTTGTTCAAGGTCCCACAGAATCTCTGGGCTAGGGCCTAGGAAGGACCCCAGCATCCCAACCGCGGCCACTTTCTCTCCCCAACATCATACAAGGGTCACATGGCCACCCCATGGCGGGGCTGGGTCAGGGACAGGTGAGAGAGTTTGGGTTATTTCTGCCTCAAAAGGGGAAAAGATTGAAAAATAACCCTCTAAAACATCACAAACCAAGGTCCAGTGAGTTCTGTTTAACATGGACAGGCAGATTATAAATAAAACACTTGCCTCTCTCCTAGCCCTGGCAGTTCAAAGCCCTCTCTACTCAAATCAATCTTGGCCACGCCACTGCCAGAGTCCATTTTTCCAACCTGGTAAACTGAGCCCAGTATCCAGGAGGTGATGGAGCCTCCAGTCAGACACATACAGGAGGAATGTCCTGTTCAGGCACAATGGATGCCACTACCCGGCTGCCCGTTCATAAGAAGCCCAGACTTGGGGGAGGAACTGGCACCTCTGCAAATCTCTAAGGAGCTTATCAAGGCAGAGGCTGCAAAGGTCTACTGCAGGCCCAGAGAGGGGAGCCAAGACCCATGGGTGGGCTCACAGGGAGGCCCATTCAGCTCAGTGTGAGGAATCCGATGAGACATTAGACGGCTCAGGACAGAAGGTCTGCCTCGGTAGTAAGTAAGAAGCCCATCATGGGAGGCATGCAAGCTGAGACCATGGATCAAGGCTACTGCAGGAGGCCTCCTCTGCTGGGATCTACACCTCAGTAGCCCCTCTCAGCTCTGAGATGCCCCCGTGTTGCATCCAAGTAAAGGGACTTGAGATGGCCAGTCCCCGCCCCCCCAACCCCCCATCCGCAGCCCTGCACTGGGCTAGGCAGAAGAAGCGTGCTGGCCAGGCCCCCACCCCCTCCCAGAGGCGAGAGCAGGTTCTCTGCAGAGGGAAGTAGAGGAGGTGGCAGAGAGAGATTAATTCCCTGAAAGGGGAAAAAATAGAAAAACACACACACCACACACCCTAATAACATGTAATAAGAGGTTGGAGACGAGGAACAATGCCCTGGTAATGTCACCCTGGCGGCAATCAATTTGGGTGTCACATGAAATAGGCATAATTATTCCGCCAGCCCCGGTGCTCGTCTTTAACCAGCTCCAGGGGCCCAGGCCCAGGCAGAAAAGGCAGCGTGGAATCAATCGTTGGTGTACCAGGCTGGCAAAGGGAGCTGCTCCAAATTAGCCTGCCAGCACCCAGCTTCTCAGACCCTCTGGGCTGGCAAGGATCTGGAGGGCCTCGCGGGTCGGGGCCCTGCAATGCCCCGGAGTCACCTTGCTCAGCCACCCCTCATTCGATCCATGAGCAAGAGCAGTCAGAGAGGACTCCCCAAGCAAGTGAGAATGGAGGAGGAGCAAGCACACATTTGTTCCATCCGGGGTTCATTCCCTGGGTCACCAAACTCTTATTAAGTGCTCAGCAATGCCAGGCTTCATGCCAGGTGCACAGGGGGGCTGTGCAGGAGGAGGGGATGCTAAAATAATGAAACACAGGCTCCCTCCACCTCTTAAGCTAGGACCACTCCTTCCCATCCTGGGGTAAACACAAAGCCTCTGGGGTTCCTGGAATTTGCTGTCCTTTGTTTGCACTAAACATGCAGGGACTTAAGCCCTTCTTGCTCCTCCTTCATCCTACTTGCTTGGGGAGTCCTCCCTGATTGCTCATATCCATCCCAGACTTCAGGGATGGTAAAGACAGCATCCCCACAACTGGGGGAACGGGTGCCGATGGGATGACTGCTTAGTGAGCACCTAGTACACACTGGCTGCTGCCCATCTCAACCCACATTTCATATACCAGAAACCTTGAATTCCAGAAATGCAAATCAAGGCCATCATGAAATACCATCTTACATTCATTCAATCAGTAAAAATCAAGGCCCCTGACAATACCGAGTGTTGATCAGGATGGGGTGCAATGGGGACACTCATCTCCTGCTGGGGTGATGCAAACTGGTCTAACCAATTTGGAAAACACTTTGGCAAATATCCTAGTAAGAGTGAATGCGAACATGCCCTACAGGCCAGCAATTCTGCTCCTAGCTGTGTGCCCCAGAGACACTGCATGTTGCCTCAGAGATGGGATGAGAAGGTTCCTGGCAGCATTGTTTGTAAGAGCAAAAAATGGAAATAACCTAAATGTCCATTGGTAGGAGAATGTTAATTACACTTTTAGGATCACATGACAGAACATTATACATCAGTGAAAATGAGCTACAACTACTATTATTCACAACAATATAGATGAAGCTTAAATGTGATAAAGAAAAAAGGCAAATTCCAGAGGACTGCACACAGTTCATGCTCTTTTTATAAAGTTCAAAAATAACTAAAACTGAACTACTTATATATGTTAAAATATATAATTTTAAAGAGGCAAGGGATTGTGAAATACATAATTTAGAGTAGTCATTGAAAAAGAGGCAACGGGACGGGGTGTGCAGGAGCACATGGGGAGATGTACATCATTACTGGATTGCTGGTGTTTAAGTTGGAGAGTAGGGTAACAGTGTTCATTATAGTATTATTACTGCTACTACGATTAATACTAAATGCCTCGATTAATTAATTAACAGGCTGGGCCTGGATTAGTGAGTAAGAGCCCCAGCCCAGAGGTCAGGAAGAAGGCATTCTAGACTGAACCGCAGGCTTGCAAGCTGGGGACTCACAGCAAGTCACTCGCCACCTCTCTGGCTCTGTTTTCTTGGGTATAAAATCAAACCTCTGCACCTACCACCTACAAGGATAAGATCATGAGCATATCACTGATGTAAACTATGAGTAGCTAGCACTTATTACAGGCTTACTGTGTACCAGGCAGTGTTCTAAATGTTTTGCATATGTTAGCACACCTAATTGTCACGACCTCCCTTGAGGTGGATACTATTGTTACTCTCACTTTATAGATAAGGAAACAGGCCCAGAGAGATTAAGTAACTTGCCCAAAGTCACAGAACTAGGCAGTGGTGGAGCTGAGACTTGAGCCCAGACTTTTGGCTCCAGGGTCCACATTCTTAACAACTTCACTATGAAATAACATTGAAGAAACTGAACACACACAAGTAGATTGTTGTCAGCACAGCTCTACTGAGCCCACAGCACCCAGGGATATTCATTCGTTCGCTTGTTCGTTCATTCATTCATTCATTCATTCTTCCACAACCAAACAGAGGTCAGCATCAAGAATGCCTTAAATGTATTGGGAAATGAACCTGCCTTCTCACACTCTTTCTACAAAGAACCTTCCCTGATTCTGGAGTCCCCTGCTCTCTGTGTCTCTGCAGTCTGCTGCTTCCCTAGGACTCAGCCAGTCTCCCTCTCTTCCTAAAGCACCTCTGACAACCTCAACCCCCAGGGAGAAATCTCACCCTTCTCTGAGTGCCTGTGTGGGCTACTGAGTACCCTGTCTGTCTCTTCTCAACCCCTGCCTGGGGCATCTTTGACATCATCTAGCTCTGTGCATTCATGCACAGATAGTCCTTGCCGCTAGCCAATAGCTACTCCCTTGTACCTCCAAGGGTCTGTCCCATCCCAGGGGCCAGGCAGGAGGGCAAAAGGAAGGGTACTAGGATTGCTCAGGGTGTTCAAGGCAGATCATGCTTAGCCCAGAGCCGAGCAGGCAGCTTGGCTAGGATGTGCAGAACAAATGCATGCGTGACTGGGCTGGTACAATATTCAGTGCAAACAAGTGTGGTTCTATGCTGTGGGTGACTGGAGAAGGAGGGGCAATGACTTGAAGCAGGCAGAGAGGCTTCTTGGAGGAGGGGGTCAGGAGAAGGAGAGGAAAGGACCTTTTGTGAGGGGATGCGGGGCCAAGCCAGGTGAGGATGGGGGGATACGTGGAGGAACTGGTGGAAACAGAACAGAAAGCCTCCAGAGACTAACCATGGAGGTGGGTGGGGCTGGAAGGCCACTTCCACAGAGTGCCACACACAGGACAGCTAGCCCAAGAGACTCCAGCCAGCAAGCTAAGGCCCTGACTCTGAAACCACCACACCTACTACCCACCGCCCCCCACCCTTCCCTGGCTCCACTTCCCCTACCCTCCACTGGACACGCTGCCTCATGCCTCCGTGGGACCCTGCACGAATGACTGCACTGCCTTATCTCCCAACAGGAACACGCCCCAACCCCAATTGTGCTTCTCCAGATATCTGCGGCTGAAGGCGCCTGAAGAGCAGCACCACACATGAGCCCTCACCGGCACCAGGGATCCCGTCTAGCCTCATGCAGAACAACCACCCACCTCCACAAGAGGTTGTTTTTTGGGGGGTTGGGGTGGGGGAGGTGTCCCTCTGGGAGTCTGGGTTTTAGAAAACAATACCCAATATAGGAGAAATGGATGCCCAGAGGACAGAGGATGAAGATGAGCCCAGATGAAAGAGGACTATCGCAAGGGGTAAGTCTCTCCACCTCCCTCCCAGTCACACAGGGCCCTTGGCTTTGAGCACATGCCCATCCCCCTAAAAGCTGGTTCCCACTCTTTAACTCCAGAACCTGGGGAACACTGCAGCTTTAACTAAGCCCTACCCAGGGGCTCACACTTAAATTGTCAGGGGGTGAGGAGGGGGGCAGAGACAAGAACACCACAGGGTGCCTGTCCCTGCCTTCGCTAAGCCCCTTCCAGGAGGGGCAGCTGGGTGCTGCTGGGATCCCCGATGTGAGTCTGTGCCCTCTTTCAGCACGGTTCCAAGGAGTTATTGGTCTCTCCCCGGTGCCACCCTATACCCTCCCTCCCACCTCGGGCCACGGGTAGAAAGCAGGAAGGACAGGCATGCCATCCCAGTAGACCTGCTGCTAGTGCCTTCCCAGAGGCGTGAGGATTTTGAGCTCCTCCCTGGCTTATACAAGGACAAAGGGTCTGGGAGCAGCTGGCCCTCTTCTCCTCACTGACACTCTGCGCTGGATCTGGGGAAGCCCCAGGCTCTCTGCCGCCTGGGTGTCCCGGCTCATTGCTCCCTGGGCATGGGAGGCACCAGTGCTGAAGCCACTGGCATAATGACCAACAGGGTTGAGCCCAGAGCCGCGGGCCAGGCTGGGCTATGCGCCCTCTGGCTGCCCAAACCAAGCAGAGGACTGAGGGAGGGCTGGGCGAGCAGGAAGGGGCTGTCCAGATGCCACAGCCCCTACCTCAGGGCCTCCTGCACTCCCACCCGCTCAGGGCAGAGCTCTTCCCATCCTCTCAGGCCCCCTTCTGCCCCACCCCAACCCCAAGGCCTCTGAGAACAAAGAGGAGGTGCAGGCACAGTCAGGCTGGACCAGGCTGGGCTGCGACCCCAGCAGGAACCGGGAGGGGCTGCCCACTGGCCTGGCCCCACCCCTCCTTCTCAAAGTGGGATCCGCCCGGAGGGTCACATCTCCTGGCATGCCTTGAGAGCAGAGAGCCCACAGCCCACCCCGAAAAGGGTGTGAGGGGGAGCAGGAGGCTCCCTCCTTACCTCCCTCTTCTCAGCTGGTTCCCACCTCCCACCCGCTCTGCCTTAGAATGAAAAGTGGGGCAAGAGGAGGTGAGAAGCCCGGGCTGAACGCAGACAAAGGGGAGGCCCCTAAAGCGTTCCTGGGCGCTCCCGGTCCCCAACTCCCTTCCTTCCACTCTCCCTACTCCCCATCTCCTTTTCACTGGGCAGGAGCTGGAAAGGGGCGATGCTTGTGTGTGGTGGGGAGCTGCCATCCAGGCTGGAGCTTGTGGAGAAACCCAGCCCCTGACCTGTGTCCACCAGCTAGGGAGTGTCTGGTGCTGGTGGGGGCTGCCTGGGGGTACCTGGGGTCCACGAAGGGAGGTACCCACCCAGGGCTGAGCAGGGGGCTTACCCTCTAGAGTGACCAATACTCAGAATGGGAGGGGGGACAGGAAGGGGAGACCAGAGCAGGTCTGGGACACCCGTGGGGGCCCCTCCCCAGCTCCAGGCTCCCAGCTTACAAACCCGGAATTTGTTGGGGTTGGAGAGAGGGGAGGTGGAAAAGGAAGAATTTTCATTTCTGAGGCTTGAGGGGAAATCAGGCCTATGACCCCAAAGGAGGTCTGGGTGGCACCGAGGTGCCCTGCAACCCCAGGAGGGCGCAGCCAGGGCCGATGGCGGCCCCCAGGGGCACTCGCCGCGGGGCTGCCCGCTCGGGGCTCGGCCGCGGCCGCCTGGCTCACCTGCATCTCGGGCGCGCCTTCGGTCCGCTCGGCTCGGTCACCAATCGCATGTCTCTCCAGCCGGCCCGACCAGGCCCCAGCCCCTGCCCAGCCCCCTCCTCCGTTTCCTCCTCCTCCGACACCTCCGCCCGGCAGTCCGCGCGCCCTCGCGGGGCTGGCTGTCCGTCTGTCCGCCCCGCGCGGGCGGGAGCCGAGCCGGAGCCGGGGCCGGGGCTCGGGAGTGGGGAGGCGGGAGGCCGCGGCCCCGGCGGGCGGATGGGCGGGCGCGCTCAGGCCGCGGGACAGGGGCTGCGCGAGCCTGCTTCTGCCCCCTGGGCCGGCCCGGAGCCGCCGCCGCCGCCTCTGCCGCTGGGGCCGGGGTCGAGGCCGGGCGCGCTCCGCCGCGGGGCCGGGGCCGGCGGGCAGCGGCCGCGCATGCTGCTCGGCGCCCCGCGTCGGGAGAGGGGCCGGAGCGGCGCGGGTGGGGACTCCGCGCCCTCCGGGGCCGGGACCAGGACCCACCGCCGCCGCCGCCGCCTGCGCTGTCGCCCGCCGCCCGCTCCGGCTCCCGCGCCGGCTCCCGCTCGGGCTCCGCGCTCTGCAGCGGCGCGGGGAGGGAGCACTAGGAGCGAGCCAGGGAGGGAGGAGGGATCGAGGGAGGAGGGAGCGAGTGAGCCGCGGGAGCCGGGCGGGGGAGGAGAAGGCGCGGCCGCAAAACCTGGTGATGGTGGTGGTGGGGTGGGGGGTGGTTCGTCTCCTTTCAGCGGAGGGGGCGGAGAGCGAGGGGCGCCCCAGCCGCTGCCCTGCACGCTTAGGGCAGCGAAACAGGCAGGGGTGCGCAGGCGAGGGGCGCACCAGCCAGGCGCTCCAGCTCTGCACACGGCCGCGCCCCTCCGGGTCCGGGGCTCTGGGCGAGTCCCGGGCCAGCCGGGTGTCGGGGAGTCCGGCGTGCGGTCCTCCCTGGGTGTATGCGCGCACACCGTTGTGTGTGATTTTTGTGTTGCCACATGCGTGTGCATGTGAGCGCGCGAGTGTGTTTACACGTGTTAACTGGGCTGTGGACGAACACACGCACGAGGACGGACAGGGCTCCCTACACGAACAGGGTTGTTTGGAGGGCGGCATGGGGAGGCCGACCGGGAGCCCCCGTCCTGGCCCTGTCCCCTCCTCTCGAAAGTCCGCGAGGCTAGAGGGCCCACATTCTAGCGCGGGAGGGCGAGGCAGGCAGAATGGGAAGCTCCAGGGGACGGCGAGGAAGCCGCGCTGGCCCGGCAGCTCTACCCAGGAGCCGGGGTCCCCGCCCAGCCTGGCTTCCTGTCCAGCAGAGGGCGGCAGGCCTCTCTGGCCCGCTCCGTCCGGAGGCCCTGCACCCAGTGGCCAGCAGAGGGCAGCGCAGAGCCTCCGCCTGGGCTTGACTGTTCCCTCCTCCCGGAATGGTCCCGGGGATCCTCGGCTGGGGCCACAACTTCAGACGGGCCCAAGGAATGGGACCTCTCCTCGGAGATCCAGATCCTCCTTGATCCTCAGATACAGAAACTAGGCCAGCAGGGATGTCTTGGCAAAGCCTGCAGAGTAGGTTACCACCCTCAGGACCTCACCTTTTTCCCTATACTACCCCCTCCATCTCCTTGAAGCCAGACGCCCTTTACCACCAAGCCAGTTTTATTAGAATAACCATCAATGCTGACACCGCCCGGCACGGCCATCCCTCCTCCCCTGCTGGGAACAACCCATTAGCACATGAATACTCCTAATAGCTTGAGTCCACAGGGGCAGCTGAGGCTGGGGGAGGGGATCTAGCCCAAAGCCTCTCGGATTCTGGGGCAGACGCTGGAATCCCAGTTCCAGTGACACCCCCTCTCCCAGGAAGCCTGCGCAACATCATTGCAGAGATGCCTGGTTGCCACGGAGGGACCTCTCCCCACCCCCAACAGCACCTTGTTTCTCGCTGTTCAGCCTCACACACAGCCCAAAGGCTTGCACAGACCTTCTGTTCCAGCTGCACCATTTCTGGGTACTTCTCAGTCTCTCTGGCACACCGTTGCTCTGGACAGTCCTGTCTGGAGCACTTTCTCCTGTCTCCTATGTCTATGCCCATCCTCAACCTAGGCCTAGCTAGAGTCCCTCCTAGCAGGCGTCCATGCTATGCTCTACTGTGAACTGTACGTTCACCCTCCAGCAACTCTGGGGGAGGCACTATTGTTCCCCTGTGACAGAGGGAGGGAAGCCCAGGCCCAGAGAGGTTCCAGGCTCTGCCCATGGTCACACAGCCAGCAAGCCACGGAAAGGGAACTGGACTCGTCTTCTATGGCTGAATGGACCAGCAGGGGGCAGGCTCGGCAGAAGGACTTACAGGTGGGAGGTGAAGCAGGGAGGCCAGCACAGGAGTCCCCCTCCCTGCCAGAGCCCAGCGCAGGCGACTCCCCGGTCCCTCAACTCCGCGCTGCCTGGACCCCTCCCCAGACTCCCCAGCCCCCCCACCCCGGCTGTTTGTGAGCTACCCGTGCGCTCCCGCCCTCCCGCGCCGCCTCCTCCCACCAGCCCGACAGGAATAGACGCTCGCTGGCTCCTGCGTAAAGGCTCCGCCAGGCACCCGGCGGGCGCGCAGACCCGCTGGGGGGCGGGGGCGGGGGCGAGGGCTATTCCTGGTGCGGTGACTGACGCAGGCAAGGCGCGGCCACCACATCTCTCCGCCCCCGACTCACCTGCTCCCTGCCTCAGTGATCTCGGCGGAGAAATGGGGGAGAGCCCACTCATTCCACCCCGCTAACCCCCAGGTGCTACCGGAGGAAGCTGGGGTCCTAGGGTGGGGTATTTTGGTGCCCACAATGATCCCTCCGCGCCTCGGAGGCAGCAGGGATGACCACGGAGCTGTGTCTGGGAGGAAGAGCCCCTTGGCCTCGGTTCTCCACTGTCAATGGCATCCAAGCCATTCCCCTTTCCCTTTGTCTCCAAAAGACATGACCCCTCCCAGCTCTCCCTGTTTTATTCCAATGGAAACGACGGGGAGCTTTGGGGGAACAACTTGGAGGATAGGCCTTTTTGAGGGTCTAGTTTGGGCCTGGTGAGAGTACGGGTCCCTGGCATTGTCACCTAGAGACTCCAGGAAAAGGGGGTCTGTCACTGGGTCCCCACCCAGTTACCTCTGCATGAGCTGTGGAACAGGCATCTCTCCTCTCCTGTCGGGTGGGGTGGTTCCCAGCAGAGTCCTCTCAGGGGTCCCAGGGCCATGGAGAATGTGACACACCGGGATGGCCTAGTCCAAGTGTGCTCTGGCACAACCAGGGGATCATGTCCAGGAGCTACAGCTGAAGAATGTTCCCCGCACCCCAGGCCTTTGTGCCTGCTGGACCACCCTGGTGGCGTGCCTTTTCCCTGATTTCTACCTGTGCTTCAAAACCCAACCAAGACCCATCTCTTCTATTCCTGTCTCCTCTCCCCAGACTGAAATGACATTAGAGGCAAGGCCCAAATCTTTTCCCTCTATCCTCAGACTAGGTGCTCCCAAGAGCAGATCTGAGACTGCGTGTCTCATAGGTGGGCACACAGCAGACCCTGGCTGCAGGCTGAGAACTCAGCAAGTCCCAATAAAGCAGGAGCCAGTGGCTGGAAGGAGCCAGCCTGACTGCTCACTGCAAAGTGGAGAAGCTGGAATGGGTTTGCCCGGGAACACAGGAGGAGGGGAGAAGGCCCTCCACCATGTATTCAGCCCTTACTATAAGCCAGACTCAGCCACACTTCACATCTTTGTCTCTCTGCAAGATTGGCATTGCTGTTCCTACTGTACAGATGAGAAGACCGAGGCTCTGGGAGGGCTGGTGACTTGCTCAAGTTCACTCTGTGCACGAGTTAGAGCTGGGCTTTGAAGCTCTGTGTGTATCTAATGTTAGTCCTGCTCTCCTTTCACTCTGAGAGGCTGAGGAGGCAGGAGGTGGAGCTGGGGCAAGGACCAAGGGTCCCCCAGGCACAGAAAGGAGAGGGTGGCACACACAGGCCTGCCTACATGCCTGCTCTATGCTGGTCCTATCCACTGGCATCCCAGCAGCTCGCAGGGTTTTACGATGATGATTATTTCTGAAGGCACTTGAAATTAATGACGGCTCTAAAATGGCTGGGACAGCAGAGTCATTGCTGAGACCTCTAATTAGCAAGAAAAACGGAGACCAGGAGCCTTGGAGGTGAGTGGGGGTTGGGCAGCTGGCATTGGGCATGGAGCAGGGCTGGGGGAGTGAGGTGGAGCCAGCATCCAGCTGGGGGGCCCTGTGGAGCTGGGTGCTCAGGTGGACCCCGTGTTCTACTTTATGCCACAAGTTAACTTGTTAACTTGCTGTGTGACCTTGAGGGGGTCACAGCCACTCCCTGGGCCAAAGTTTCCCCAGCTATGCAATGAGAGGTTGCCCTGGGGGGGTCTCTAAGCTCAGGGCTCCTTGGACGACCCTGATCCCCTAAAAGGCTGAAGTCCAGAAGGTGGGGGCCATGTAGCCTCCAGAAGCCACCACAGAGACCCACAGCCCTCCATGATGGGGTTGCTGAGGCCGCTGTGTAATGAAGTACTAGGCTAGAGTGAAGTGGATTGAGAAGTGGCAGAAAATCCATAGGTCAGGCCCTGCGCTGGTGCACTGTGGAGGCCAGACAGGGATGGAGGCACCTGAGGGGGCTAGCGGGACAGTCCCTTCTTGGAGGTGGTCCTGGAGATGTGGCTCGGTATAGAGCCTTCCTGCCCCCTCCTGACCCCCTCCTCAAGAGTCAGAGCAGACTTGGGGACACCAGCTTCCCATGTAAGCATGTCACAAAGGGTCAGGCCTGAGTATCTTAAAGGAAAGTCCCTCATCCAGTGCTGCCCAAGTCTGGATCCTCCACATCCTGCATGGGGCAGCCAACATGGGGAAGGCACAGGGGCTCACCTGGAGGGGTTCTCTCCCCACAGTGGCTGGCCCAAGTTGGTGTGGAGATATGCAGGTTCCCAGGGAACATCCATGGTGGGTGCAGGCTGAGGCCAAGACTCAAGGGCAAGGGTGTGTGGGAGGCCCACCCCCGTTAACTGGGGCATCCTCTTCCCTGGCATTTACTTCATGCTTGTCTTGTCATCGATAGCTTTCTCAGCCCCTCAAATCCTCTCCCCTTCCAGTTCAGGTCCCTGTGTGTCCCCCTCCTTCCAAAAACCTGCTGAGAACCTCACCTTCCCCTCGGGCGGGGCTGTATGTCCCTGGACACCTTCCTGAGTCTCAGTTTCCTCCTCTGTAAGATAATGTCGGTTTCACGGGGTGGTGTGAGGGTCTCATGGCTTAACGTGTGGCTGGTATCTACCTGATGCTGATGTAGTAGGAGCTTGATAAATGCAGGTATTTTTAGGTGATCATACTGACTGTCATGGTCACTGGCTGCCTCCTGACCCCTTCTCTTTAAAGTCAGGGCTCTAGCCTAAGGTCCCTTTCAGCATTCCCACTCGGAGACACCTGGACCACATTCTCTGTCGCCTGAGAATCAGGAACACCCTGAGGGCTTGGATTCATCTTGTCTCCTCCAGTTTCCACAGCCAGCCCACAGCCCTGATTCCAGAGGGTCTGATGTCTACAAATTACACCTGACTGAAGTCTCTTAATCAGGAAGGCCCAGTAGATTCCCCTAGAGAGGAGGGCCAGGGCATGGGGGCAGGGACACTCTTGAATCCATACTTCTTACTCCCTCTCACCATGGGGCACCCATGCCTCCAAGGAAATGTTTCAGCACCAGTGACAGGTCACTTGTCTAGAAGCAACGTAGTCAGCAGCCTCCCCTACTGGGAATCTCACTGGGAATCCGGGGAAGCCCAAAGGCTCTTGGAGAACTCAAGACAGAAGCCCTGGCAGAGAAATGAGGTCTGGGCCTGGCCCCCACTCAGTGCTGCCACGGCCCTTCTGCACTGGGTGGCCTGGCTGCTGTGTCTACAGTGGCTGAGAAGCAAGAAATTGGTCTGGGGCCAGTCCGTAAAGGGCCCCTCAGCACTACCCCCGCCGAAGTTCCCCCCAGGAAAACACCCAGTGTTCCTGACCTTGAGTTACTGTGGGATGCAGTTAGCTGTTCTTAAGAAGTCAAGGAAGTGTGCACTCCTTTAAAAAAAATTAGATTAGGAGCAAAAACAAAAAAACAAATAGAAAATGTAAGATCACTCCCTGGCTCCATGGGAACTTGGGCTCTGTGCTTGGCAGAGAGGCTCCTCCTGAGAGCCTGGCTCGGCTGTCCCCATGGATCATGTCAGGGGGAATTTGAGCTAATGTGTGCAAACAGGCAGCACTATTAGCAAATCCATTCATTAAGCGCTTGCCTTAAGTTCTGTTGTGCAGGAGACTTGTTTATTAACTTAAGTCGGAGCCTGTTATTAAGTCAAAGGCAGCATAGTGGCTCGAAAGGTGCCCAGCATCAGGGCCAGGCAGTCTTGGGTTCCAGTTCTGACTCTGTCTCTGACTCCTGTGTCACCCTAGGCAAGTCACTTTACCTCTCTGAGTCTCAGTTGCCCAGTGATAGGCAGCCCCTAAGAGGACTCCCAGTGGTCCCTGCCTTCTGGTATTGCCCTGCTTGTGTAATCCCCTCCCCTTCAGTGTGGGCTGGATCAGTGGACCCACTTTTAGTGAACAGAATACGGCAGAAGTGACACAATGTCACTTGTGAGATTAGATTACAAAACAACTGTGGTTTCCATCTTGGGTACCTTTTCTCGATCACTTGCTTTTTGCTATGAGGAGGGCCAGTTGCCATGTTACGAGAAGCCCACATAGAAAGGAACTGATGTCTCTAGTCAACCCCCCATGAGGCCCTGGGACCTTCCAATCGCCACTTGAGTGAGCTTGGAAACAGCTCCTCTTTGAGTTGAGCCTTGAGATGACTGAAGCTCCGGCTGATGTCTAGATGGGAGCCTTGTGAGAGGCCCTGAGCTAGAGGTACCCAGCTAAGCCTCACCTGGATTCCCAACTTACTGAAACTGGGAGGTAATACATATTTGCTGTTTTAAGCTAAGTTTTGGAGTGATTTGTTATGCAGCAATAGATAATTAAACTCATGCTCCATCTGTAAAATGGGTATAGTAACTCCTTTCTCCCAGTGTGGCGAGGGTATTGAGATAAGGCAGGCAAAGTGTCTGCTCTCAAGGGGGGCAAGGAATGGCCCGGCAACTTGGTGGTTATCCAGTAAAGGTGGAAAGACGCACACCCTACGACCCAGCAGTTCCCCGAGGCATGAGCACACGAGGGCAAGCAGAGGAGCGCGCATGGCAGGATTGTTATAGCGAAAAACAGGAAATGGCCTAAGTGCCCATCATTGGGAAAAGGAATGTACAGAACACGGTACATTCGCACAATGGAATACTATGCAGCAGTGAAAACAGCTATGTTGGAGTTACTTGCATCAGCATAGGTGATCTCATAAACACGATGTGGAGGAAAAAACATATGTACAAGGTATACCATTTATCTCAAGTTTAAAAACAAGCCCCAAGCCCTATAAACTGAATATGGATACCTACAAATATAGGAAAAGTATTAAAACACGCAGGACAGTGATTAACACCAATTCCAGAGGACTGTCACCTCTAGGGAGAGAGAAGGGGAGGTGGCAGAGTCAGGCCTATCCTGATCCCCACACTTTGAACCCCACACCATGAGCAGCACGGTGGTTCTAAGTGTGTTATCCACTCACTCAGCAACCCGCTCAATCCTCTCAGCAACGCTATGGGCTCCCTTCTATTACTATCTCATCTTACAGTGGGGAAACTGAGGCACACAGAATCCAGGGAGATATTCCTGGGCTTTCCAGCCTAGCAGGAAGCCAGGACTTGGTTCCTCACTCTGTCATTAACTTGGAGGAGTCCACATTATCTCCCTGGCCTCAGTTTATTTTTCTGTGACTTGGGAGACACTCACTCCTTTCCCTAGATAGGTGTGGCTTGAGAGACTCGCAAAGTCTTGATTAATCAACCTGGAATATTTGCAGAGACCCTGTGAGCCAAGCCTGGTCCCAGCTACATGGCAGGGGAGACTAAAAACAAGGAAGTGTGGACGAGAGAAGGCGTAAATAAGACAATTCAATCCAACGTAATTCAGTATGGTTCAATTTCACATGGGCTCAAATCACGGACAGACAACGGGTGAGGTTAAGGATATTACTTGAGCACCTCTGGCATGCTAGGCCACATACTAGGTGCTTTTACAAATTATATAAGCCTCAATCACACCCTGTAAAGTAGGGACTGTTATTATCCTCATTTAGCAGTTAGGAAACAGGATCAGGGAGGGTGAGCAACTTCCCCAGGTCACACTGACAGCTGAGATTGTCAGGATGTACCCTCCCTCCATTCTGACCTGTCCTCTGTTTGGTGTTGGGGACATAGACGGAGACCAGGCCTTGGTGCCCACTGGGGAATCTCAGCACAGACCAGGAGAGTCTGGAGGAGTCCAGAGGAGGTGGAGCAAACAGGAGAGGCTTCCTGGGGGAGGAGGGTGAAGGCGAATGCTTCAGTGGGCTCATTGGTGGTGAGACAGGTGGAGGCATCCATCCATTCATCTCCTCATTCATTCATTCATTCATTCATTCATTCATTCATCAAATGCCAAACATTTGCCACAGTTTTCTCTAGGCTCCAAAGCCCATGGTCTGGCAGGCAAGACTCAACCTAGTGTGATCCAGGCTGAGGTGGGAGAAGTGGGGGTGGGGCTGCACACACACAGCAGGCAGGTCAGACATCCAGAAGGAAGCAATGGCTGAGCTGAAATCAAAGGATGAGTTGGGATCAGTCAGGTACACGGAAGGTAGAGGCTGGTGCTCCAGGCAGAACAGCAGGTGCAAAGGCTGGGCCCTGGGATGGAGGGGAGAGACAGCCAGCCCTGAGGAAGGCCGCTGCTGGCCAAGGAGGTGCCAGCTCAGCTGAGAGTGGGGTGCGAGGCTGAGGCTGCCACCACCTCTCGCCCAGGTAGGGTGGCTGCCTGCCTTCTTCTCCAGCTGATGGGTCCCCATGCCATCTCAGCCCTGTTGGGTAGGCTGGGTCCCTCTCCAGAGAGATTAAGAGCAGGGGAGTTTGAACCATAACGGTGCATGTAATTATGTGCAAAAACGAAGGAGGGCTCCTTAATAATTGATGGTGGGAGAGAGTAAATATCAGCAGAGGCACCCAGCTGCATCACCCCGGCCCGTCTGGCTGGGACCCAGGGCGGCTGCTTGTCCACTAATATGCCTATAAATTATTGAAGTTATAAAGAAGAAAGCAGGTGTCATGTCGCACCCATAAACAGCTTGTTAGCTAAGACTAACGAAGGGGCGGCCGGCCTCTTGGCACTGCATGGGCTCCCCCTACACCCTCCCCAATTACAGAAGGAGACAGATGAGGAGTGGGCGTGGTAGGAGGCTGAGAGCCTGACTGGCCCCACACCCCGTCTCCCACCATCTTGACCCACTGTGGAGTCAGGTGGTGCTGGGAGAGAGAAGAGGCCCAGAGACACAGAGAGCCAGAAACGGGGCTGTGGCTGTCCCAGCACTGTGGGTTCAGATAGCAGCTGGACAAACCTGCGACAGAGGATGTCAGAGGTCCTGCCCAGCCTGATAGGCTGAGGCCAGCTGGGATGCTGGGAAGAACTAGACACTGGGGTCAGACACTCAGGGTGCACATCCCAGGGAAGCCACCTGTTGGCGGAGTGGTCTTGGGTAAGTCACCTGCCCTCTCTGAGCCGCTTTCCATTCATGCCACCTGGGGATACTCATGCCTATCTTGGAGGGTTGTGGGAAGGGTTCTAAGAGCATATGCGTGTGACATTTCTTGTGGACAGTAGGCCCTCATAAATGGGGCGCTCCTCCACCTCTGCCTTCCACCCCCATATCTCAGGGGCTCCTAATTAGATCAGGCCTAATGAGGCTTCCGTCTGCCTGGCTGTTTACGCTCCATTAAGACCTGAGTCCAGGACAGCAGTGGGAGGGGAGACAGCTGCGGAGGGGGAAGGTGTCCAGTTGCCAGGGCTTGGTTCATCCTAGGCTTCACCATGCATGGGGGACCCCCACCCCCAGGGAGTGGAGGAGGGAAACAGAGGCAGGCCTCTCGAGTCAGAGCTGCCAACAGGGAGAGGCCCCATGGTGTGGGGAGAGGGAGAAAGGAGGATAGAAAGAACAGCTGGGAAGGTTGGCATTTTGGCTCCTCTATGTGAAGAGCTTGGAAGGCCACTTCCCCTCAGGCTGGGGGTCTGCAGTCTCTGAGATGTTCCCTTCCAGGCAGCCTAATTTGGACACTTAGGTGCCCATGGAGTGCTCAGCTCTGCCAAGGGCCACACGAAGGCCAGGAGGGCAGTCTGGGCCTAGGGAAGGTGCCCCTCTCCCCAACCTGGCCCTAGGAAGCCCTTCAGAGCCCCCATAGTCTGCTCCATACCACACAGGGAGCAAGGCTGGGACCGGCACTTGGGCTTGGGCAGCAGACAGGTTCATCTCCGGGTCCGGAAATCCCCCAGCAGGGCATTACTTCTGCAAGTGCTTCCCTTCTCCCAGAGGAAAAGAGGGAATCCCGAAAATTCTTATCAAATACGCTTTGAGCCTCTTCTCCCAGGGGTCCTCTCTGCACCCCTTATCTCACTTGTGCAGCCTTGGTCTATCCCGCTGAGGCCTCTTTGCAGATGCACAGAGAGGTGCCTTAGCTGCCTGAGGCCATGCAGCGAGTCAGCAAGGAAGCTTGTGGAGCCTGGGCTTGGTGCCTCTCCCCACACCACTGGACTTAGCTCTGGGAGGAGACAGAGACTCACACACAGCGCACTCTCTGACAGCCACTGTGGTGTGGTGGTGTGGCATTCCCAGGAGCTCTCTTTCTGCCCAAGAACTCCCCGTGCCCTGGACACCTGCCTGTCTGTCACCCGCTTATCAGGGTGAGGGCAGCTGGGGCTGGCACTTACAGTATCAGTCAGGGCAGCCTGGTCAGATAGGGGATGGAGATGTCTTTCAGGTCCCCTGGATGGTGCTGGGAGCAGGACGGCTGTGTGGGCTGGACTAGGCAGGAGAGCAGGGCTGTCCACAGGATCAGGGGAGACCCAGGGCCCTGGGGCAGGACTGGGGACAGAGGCAAACCTCAGGGTAGGGAGGTCCGCAGTGGGAAGGGCCCTCTCCCCTCCCCGTCTAGGTCAGACCTTGAGAAGGGCTGCTGGGACACCAGCAATGGTCCGGTTACAGGGAGGGGCTGAGAGGCCCATGGGGCATCGGGGTTGGATGGCGGGAGGGAAAGCTGGGAGCCTCAGGCCTACAGAGCTTCCGCAGGGGCTCTCCTGGCTCCTTGGCCTGCCACCCCCTTCCCTGCCATTCTCGGGCATGCCATGCCTTTGGTTATGGGCAAAGTGTCTGAGAAACTCCCTCATCACAGGGGTGGCATGGAGGTGGGGGTACTGCAGGTGGCCACCCCAGCACCATGGTTCAGGGCTTAACCCCCAGAGGGCAGCACCCACAGCCCTGGCCCAGGGGCAGCAAACCCAAGGGAAAGCTTCCTTCCCGAGTCTGGTGCCACCTCCAGGGAGGACACTTTTCATTCCCACCTCTTCCTGCTCCAGCATGGGAAAGGGCAGGGGGTGACAGCTGTAAACAGGGAAATGGGGGTGGGGGTGCAATGGCTCAAGGACCTCCTGAAATGTGGACTCCTCTGGGCAGAGCACTTGGCCAAGTCCCTCCCCGCTCCGCCCTCATTCCTGAATGTGGCACCTGCTCCAAAGAGTGGTGAGGACACGCTGGGAGAATCCATCAGAGCCACGGGGCAGGGCCCGGCACTCAGGAGCCCTCCAGGGGAGAGTCCTTGTGACCGTGAATCTAGCTGGGGCAGCGGCATCTGCTTTGCGAATGTATCTACGCTGGGGAGTTTAGGAAGGATACGTAGCTGTGTTGTGTTGTCGAACTCTGTGGTATGTGTCATGTTGAACATGTGTGTGGTGTCTCTGTCGTGTGTGTCAGGGTAGGTGTCCCGAGCAGAACTTTTCTGCAGCTCCTTCACCAGTCCACAGGCAAAAGCCCCCATTCAGGGTTGCCCAGCTGTGCCGGAGGAGCCACAGCTGTACCCGGGCTGTGCCCTCTCTCTCTATCCCTTCTCTGCCCAGGCCATCCTGGAAGCACAACCCCCTCAACATGGCTGCCCTGAGCCTGCACGGGAGGTGGTCGAGGAGGGGTACCCTGGTTCCAGGGGTCCCCAAACAGGCTTGAGCATCTACCTGCTTCTTCTGAGCCCACCCTGTGGTATTTCCGTCACCTGGGAAATAAGGATGGCATTGGTGGAGGTGCTAGCAATACCAGGAGAGCAAGACAGAGCCCAGGATGTGGACCCAGAATATGACAGGAAATGGGCCCCAGAGCAGAGCTAAGCCCAGGGGCAGGCTGAGCCCGGGTCAGCCTCTCACTGGCCACTTCGGAAGCTGAGGGACACAGCACTGGCTGGCTCCCTCAATCCCTCCAGCAAACACAGAAGTGGCTGCTGTGCCCATTTGACAGACGAGAAAACTGGGGCTAAGAGGGGTGAGGTAAGTTGCACTGGTGGAGCCAGGACCAGCGGCCAGGCCTGGCCCTGGTGACGAGCGGTTTAGGGTTGGATAAAGGGCCACTGGGTGGGCTCTCCTCTATGGGATAAACAATGTGGCTCAGGCCAGCAGCCCGAGAGGCGGAGAGATCTAGAAGGCCCCAGACGATAGGAGGGCTCCCCACACTCTTAAATCAAAACATGGGCGTTTACACTCAGACACAGTGTGTTCACACCACCTGCTGGGGCGTGAAAACCAGCCATAAATACCTGCATGGTGGTGGTGGCTCATCAGGAGTGGGGAGAGAGGCCTGGTGCGCTTTCAGGAAGTTCCCAGTGACTCACAGGCTGTGGACCCCTCTCTGCACTTCCAGACACCCCTCCTCCCAAACATACACACTCAGAACGGGCGGTGCAGGGAGCAGTGCCCATCCATTCCCAACACCAGGGGCTGAGGGCACTGGGAGGAAGGAGCCCTGGCCAGCCAGCTTGTAGGGACTCCACACATCACAGCCCAAGACGCTGGGACAGCAGGCCCCAGGGCCCACAGTGGGGTGGGTGGGATAGGGTGGAGGCATGGCCCTGAGGCCCACTCTTTATCACTGCCTCTCTCCCAAGAGCTACCCAGACCACTCAGTAGACCAGTGCCCAGCTCTCTTTCTAGGCTTAAACTTGGCAGCAGAGTCCCATTTACTTAACGTGCTGAAGGTAGAGCGAGGTGGACGTGCACGCCTCATGGCTAAAGATAAATGCCAGCTAATGCCTGAAGTGTGGAAAACATCGTGAACAAATTCAGGGCTACTGTGTTCATCCTCCCATCCCTAGGCCAGTGGGTCTCTGACTGGTGAACACAGGGCTGCTGCCTCCGTGGGCCTCAGTTCTGAGCCTGCCCGCACTCTGCATCCCATACACGTCTTCCCAGTCCCACCAGAGAGCTGGCTCCAGACCCGCTTTAGAAGAGCTGGTGGCCTTTCCTGAAGCCAGCCGTGTGCACTGGGAACTGAAGTGTAAACAGGAGCAAAGCTCAAGGCCTCGCTGGTAATTCTCCCTTTGTGGTGGGCATTAGCTAGCCTCACTCACGAAGGGGACAGCCCAGGGGTGTAAGATGCCAAGTGCCCTTAGACACCTCCACTGCCTGGGGGTGCCAGGTGGCCTCGGTGTGGCTGGCAGCCCAGGGTGAGTCCTGTGATGAGCAAGTGCATGGGCAAGCAGGCCTGGCTTTCTCCATCTGCAAAGCAGGGATGGTGTCTGCCTCATTTAGAGGCTGGGGAGTGGGCGAGATAAAAGGGTGGTTGAAGGGGCTTCAGCATGAGCCTGGTGGCGTGTGATGGAACAGACACCCAGCTGCCAAGGGGCAAATACATCCATACCCCTGCCCCACCTTCTAGGCCTAGTAAAGTAGTAAAATAGTCAGTAAAGGCACCAATTGTCCCCACCTGTGTCTAGCTGCACATCAAGGAAATGTGTCTGGTCCAGGCATTGTGACCTGTAAGGGACTCCACCCCGCCCTGCCACAGAGCAGTGGGCGGGGAACCCGGACCTACATGGAGGCGCCTCCCCAGGATGGACATGGCACCCACATTGGCACCCTCTGGTCTTGTCCCCACAGGACACCCCTCTGTCATGGTGATCAAGACGGCTAGGGGGCAGGGAAGGCGAGAAGAGGGAGGAGACACTGGTGTGACTCATAGCAAAGTAAGAGCTTCTTCCCTCCTCTCTGCACCCCAAATACGGTAAGTCTGTAAGCAGGTGTGGCACACACAGGCAGGAACCTGGGGTTTCCCCCACTTCCAAGAGGGACAGACCAGGGGCCAGCCTCTCTCCTTGGGGCAGATGTGGCAGAGCATAAAACCACCTTTTCCCCTGCCAGGGTCTGCCCCAATTATTCGCTCATCTCCATCCCCACAACCTGGGGCTTCTCTGTCCCCAGGAGCACCCCAGGAAGGGATGGAGCTTTGATAGTCAGAAGTGACTGGACGGGATTAGCTGACAGCCAGGGAGGGTGGGCTCTTCTCAACTGTGCCCAGAAAGGAGGCCTGGGAAACATTAATAATGTCTAATATCTATCAACCCTTTCCCCTGGGACAGCAGACACCAGGGCCGGCCTAGAATCTAGGCATTTACTCATTTCATACTCTCAATGGCCCTATGAGGAAGGTTCTGTGAGTATCCCCACTTTACAGGGGAGGGAACGGGCATGGGGAGGCTAAGGAGCTTGCCTAAGGTCATGGTGAAGTGAGCAGTGGAACTGGGACGGGCCCCCGGTATTCACTCTAGCTAACGAGTATGGAGGTGCGGGAGGGCTCGGGGCTGGGGAGTGTGGGGTGGGGGGCTTGGAGCTCTTTGGTCCACTTGCCTAGTTTACACGCACTCCCACTGAGGCTGGAAGGGCAGTGTCAGGAGCTTCACTGGTGGAAGTCTAGGGATGGGCAGGGTAGCTCTCGGATCAGGTCCTGGTTATGCCCCCTGGGCTGTCCTGCCCCTGACAGGAGATATTAGGAAGCTAGGGATGAAAGGGTCAGTCTGCCAGAGCACAGTCCAGGGGAGAGGTAGACCCAGCTCACAGGAAGATCTGATCCAAGGTGGGTGGTGATCAGAGCTGGAAGAGAAGGGAAAGGCAGCTGGGGGGTGGTGGGGGGACAGAATCCCAGGGGTCTCCCTGGAGGAGACAGTCTTGCAGGAGTCGTAGGATCCTGACAGGCAGAGAGGGGGTCAAACATTCTAGCAGGAAGGAATGGCAGGTGTGAGTGTAGAGGGTGGACAAAGTGGAGTCTGCACAATTACAGTGCTAAGGATCACAGTTGCCTTTGAACCCAGGTTCCTGCAGGGTGGGCCTGCTGGCAGCTGGCAGGTCAGAGCAGGGGCTGGGTCAATGGCAGCCTTGCTGAGTGCTGTTCCAGGCAGCCCGGGAAAGGCCCTGGCAAAACGTTGCACACCTCTGTGCTCCCCCGCCCCATGCCCTTCTTGTCCCTAACTGCTTTGCCCTTCCCTCTCACCCCTCTCTCTCTTCTTTCCTTGTCTCTCTCTCATTGTTCCCTTTATTTTCTTTTTGGCCCTCAGCACTTTTCCTGGAAGGGAACAGCTGGGCTGCTGGAGTCACAGAGGAAATATTTTTCTGGCTACGTTGCACATTCCCCTTCTCTATGAAAATTGGTGCCACCATTGCTAACTGATGGATGGACAGTGAGATATCTATTTCCTTGCCTCCTTCTTTCCTCCCTCTCTCTGGGCTTTGTCCTGAGACATCCGGAAAGGAAAGGGCAGTCAGACAGCAGCCACAGGGAGAGGGTGGTAAGTGGGGAGGACTTTGGTATCAGGTGTGGATAGCTGGGGCCCTCAGGATCATCATTAACCCCATTTTACAGATGAGGAGACTGAGTCCCAAGATCACCCAGATACAATAATAATTGTAGTATTAACATACAAGTTACCATTGAAGGAGCACCGGCTGCGTTCCAGGCACTGTGCTAGACACTTCACATGCGGTGAACCTGTGAGGCAGATCCATGACTGGCAACATTGTACAGAGGGGAAAACTGAGGCTCAAAGAAGGCAAGTCACTAGCCCAGCTACTGTCACACAGCCAGGCCAGCAGAGCGGCAATGTCCACTCACACAACCATGCACATGGCCACTGTGTCAGCTGCATGCCTTCCCCACTCCCCAGCTGGCTGAAAACTGGTGGAGCTGAGATCTGAACCCACATTTATCCATGTTCTTACTCCAAGGCTGGGCTCTACTCCCATGTTGACTGCTGCTGCCAAGAGAACTTTAAACAGCAGTTCTAGCCACAGCAGGACCCAGCCTGATCCTGGCCCCAACCTGTGGCCAAATGGGACAGAGATCCAGGCCCAGCTTGTCTCAGCCTCTGGCCTGACCTCTCTGGGCCTCAGAGGCCTTGCTATGAAAGGGGGAGCTGTAGGTAGAATAAATGAAGTGGCACTGAGGCCCCCCGGGACCGTACTGACTCACACATGGTGGCCCAGGGCATACCCATTTCCCAAGGGTCACCCCTTGTGCACCCTGCTCTCCAGGGCTGGAGACCTCAGGCAGGCCCCTGATTCTCTGGGACCCCAGTCTGCTCCCTGCTGCCCTGCTAAACAGAGTTCCCAAAGAGAGAGACAACAGGAACCCAGGCCTTGGTCTCAAACCTGCAGCCACACACCCCAGTGGCCTCCAGGAATCCTGCACACACATCCCAGAACCCCTCAGCTCTGCATGTACTATTGTGGGTTCTGGTCCGTGGAACCCAAAGTCCAAACATAGGGAAGTGCCTTTCAGACACATCCAAGAAATGACCCTTAATCCTCCAAGCTAAGAGAGATCATCTGGACTAGACGTGGTAGTGACATAGGCTAGCAGTCTGTATTGTCTGCAAACCCAGAACTGTCCTTGGCTGGCCAATGTAAATGTGTTTTAATAGCCACACACACGGTCATATAAATGGGAATGTTCTAGGTAAATGTGTGGTCTGTGTAAATGTTCATAAATTCAAAGTAAACATGTTGGGTGGTGACGCCTGTATACAATGTAAATGTCCATTCTTTGGTAAGACAGAGGACTTTATGAAAGATACGTCTGGCTGATGGAGACGCACACATGTGCAGTCAGTGGGAATGCCTGTTTAGTACAAATATAAGGTTGAGACAAATACCCACATGAGTCTGTAATATGGGATCAACCATCAGAGATGGAAGTCACCACGGAGAAACAGCAAGGTCATTTCCACCAGGGACCAGAAGAGCAAAGATTCAGGGGTACCACACGGAAAGAAGAGAGTGATTTGGAGGAGGAAGGGGGTTCAGGAAGGAGCTGAGGGGTAGGGCACTCTGGCTTCTGGGTCAGGGTGGAGAGCTGGGTCAGCTGGGGCTAGGGGTACTGGGGAAGGTTTCTAGCTGGAGGATAGAAACCAAGGGAACCCAGAGGGCAGTTAGGGGCTCTGGAATCCAGTGTGGCAGGCAGGACTCTTGCTGAGGCTGGACTCCCACAGCCTGCCCCCCCGAGTGCAGCAGCCCCCAACACTGCTCATGGCTGGGCAGGTGATAGCCACCAAGGGGAGAGTGGAGATGATGAAAGGGTGGAGATCTTTTCCCCGCGACTCCTACCACCAACTCTGTCACCCCAGGGGGTTGGTTATGGCAAAACAGAACTAGAGAGCCAGCAAGACTTAGTTCCAGGTCCACCCAGCCACTGGGTAACAATGGCCAATGCCCCCCAAATCCCAAGCCTCAGTGTTCTCCGTGGAAAATGGGAGAGGTGATAAATACCACCCACACATTCTCACATAAGCTCAGAGGTAAAATTGCTTTGCAAACTGTTAAGTGGTGAACAATGTGAGATGAAGGTGCTTTGCTGGCCCTGGGGCTTTGTTGCCAATTAACAGGCACTGGGGTGGCCGATTTGATGTTTACGGCGTGGTGTGTAAGCCTGTGCACGGCATGTACATGCATGTATGTGTGTTTGTGTTTAAGACTCGAGGCTTTCAGAGACTATGCCATGGAGGTTTGGAGTGAGGGGGAAGAGAAGGAATAATCTTAAAAGCAAAAAAATATACATATTATGTGTCGAAAGGAGTGGGGAGGCTTAAATGGCTCCCAGGTGGGACACAGAATAAAATAGTCCCTGCTATTATTTTGTGATTGTCTCCATGCAGGGAAGACTAGCAGAGGGTCGCCATAGCAACCCTGGGCATCCAGCAGGGGGCAGCCTGGACCCCACAGGTTTGTCTGGGCTGAGCAGTATGAGTCAGCCCATCAGAACCCAGAGGCCAGGGCTGGGTTCAATCTAGGCAGGACCCTTGTCTGTCATGGACTCCCACTTCCTCCTGTTCTGCAAGCCACACCTGCAATGGGGAAGAGGGCAGACTGGAGTTGCCCAGTAGAGGGGCTAGGCCAGGGTAGGACTGCGGGCTGCATCCAAAGTTGGAGAATCTCAAGATGGGGATGGGGTGAAGGCAGGGGCTGAAGGTATGCTGGAGGCAGTGAGGAAGTCCTGCAGGGTGGTCACAGAGGGCAGAGGCTATATATGGCTAACACAGGTGATGGGATAAGGACTGAGAGGTGGGATATGGGAAAGAGAGGGTGGGAGAGTCTGGGTGCTGGAGGACAGGGCACTGTGTGGAGGCTTGGGTTTGGTGGCTCTCCCAAGCCCATCCCTGAGCCTTTGCTACTGCAGGGCAAGTAGACATTTCAGAGGCTAGGTCCAGAGTGGATCTGGCCTCACTGGTAGGCTTCAAAGGTAGGGGTCAAGCAGAAAAGGAGTGTAGAGAAGGAAAATCCTGACGGGAAAAAAAGTAGCTATGGCAGATTCACGCATTTGGGTGCACAGGCAGAGGCCACTTTTGGTGGAAACTGCATTGGAGGGAAGAGAGAGTTCTCTGCTTGTGGAAAGGTAGCTGTGAGCTTGCTGTCTGTTTCACTGCTGTGTCCCAGAGCCTGCCATTCAAGAAATATTTTTTGAATAAATGAATGAATGACAGAAGACTGAATGAACAGTGTTCAGAAAGCTACATGGAAGCTCTAAGGAGGCGTTAACATCCTCTTTCTGAAAATTTGCAGGCTGCATTAGAACTAAGCAAGCTATTGATACCACACTGACCTAAAAATAACAAATGGCGAAGTCAGTGGCCTAGGAGGCTGGAGAATCTTAACACCAGGTGGCCCAGGGCATACCCAGAGCTTCTGGCAACCGAAATCTGGAAAAAGTGGTAACAGTTCCATCTGGTCAAATGACAAAAGCCTAAATTTGTATCAAGTAGTGGCTGATAACAGTCAATTTCTACCTAGAAGGCACTACGTTGGATCTAGGTGTTCAGGGTTCTTTAAGTCATGCTCTGAATGAATAAGCAATGATTCCAAAGTATGTGAAGCTAGCCTCACAGATTGAAGTCCTTGAAATCACACTTTCCAAACAGCTTCAAATGAAGAACAAGCTCATACAAACTCAAGAGTGCTTGATCGATGAGCAACTCCAGCAAGTGAAGACATCACAGTCTGGGGCAGTGCATGGCTGACCCCTTTACCTGTTGAACTAGCTGCTTTGGCCCTTGTTTCAAGGGAAAAGGGCTCTAGAGGAATTGGGGGTTTGGTCCTCTTAAGGTCTGAGGTCTTTGGGTCTCTGGGTTTGGTCAGGCCCTTAGGGACTGTGGGCTTAGGCTGAGCAAGGGTAGCCTTGGGACATGTCTCAAACTCTGGTGAAGTCAAGAAAGGCCACAGAGTGGAAAATCCAGAATCTACATCCCATTCGTGCCAGAGCCCTGTTCCATCCACTCTCTGAGCAGATGTCTCCCTACGAAGGCCCAAGGGACTCCTGAAAAGCAGGCACGAATAGACCGCAGAGTTAAACAGTGCAAGGGCATGCTGTGGACCCACCCACTTTGGGTAAATCTTTTGACTTCTCTGTGAATCAGAAAATCAATGGGATAGACTATGCCTCACAGGGCCACCCTAGGGATCGAATAAGATGATGGATACCAAAGTGCTTCATTAACAATAAAGTGCCAAAAAGAGTTACTACTATTCTTGTTGCTATTATTGATTCATTGGGTAGAAGGGGGGTCTGTTCCCAGAGTCCCCGGGGACTTGAAAGCGTCTCTGGGGCTTCCAGGGACATCCCTTCTCTGCACTATGAAATTATGACTGACAGCTCTTCCGTCTTCCTGAGCAACTCCAACATCTCTTACCTACAGCTGCAGCTGGGGAGGGAGAGTGTGTGTGTGTGTGTGTGTGTGTGTGTGTGTGTGTGTGTGTGTGTGTTGCCAGAATACGGAAATCACATTTCCCTGTGTCAATATATCCTCCAGGTGACGTCTGTCACTCACGCCCACTCCAGACATACCCTACCTCTCAGCTGTTGCTCCTGCTGTTCTCCACCTGGAACCTGCTCCCATCTCTGCCCAGCTAAGTGGTTCAGGGTCCAGCTTCCATTCCTCCTTCACCAGGGAGTCCTGGATTTTTCCAGCCCAGTGGTGGTCAATGGCCAGCACAGTGCGGGAGGAGGGAAGGAAACTGGGCTTAACCTACAGCCTGTCTGGTCTGTGCCATGGCTGGCAATCAGTGACCCTTCCTGGAGGGAGTGTGCCTCTGTCGCCCCACCTGGCTTTTGTGTTTCCTTCCCTGACTGTGAGCTATTGCCGGGGAGTGCATGGTTTGACCCTCAGGGCCCAGCCCAGTGGGTGTAGGGCCACACAGGGTGGATGGATCAGGTCTCTCTCCTATTTGAGCCACCTCAGATTGGGAAGGGGGAAATGCAGATTGGCAAAGAAGCTCTCAGAATCCTGATGTCAAAGGTGGGGACACGGACATAGGCCAACCCCTTAATTGGGGGAGACTGAGTCCCAAAGAGGAAAAGTGACTTGCCCAAGGTCACACAGCCTTGTGGTTTTGGACTCAAGGTTGATGGTCAAGGTGGCTCTGGATTCCAGGGGTCTTGAGGCTCCATCTGCTGCTCCAGGTTTCTGTGAGCTCAAGTGACCCCAAAGTCTTTAGTCACTGTCCTTGCCTGCTGTTCTTTCCCCACCAGGCCTTGGCTACTCATCTTGAACTGACCCTAGACTCTAGGGCAGACCTGTGGCCTCCAGCCAGGGAGGTTGGTATCTTCCTGAGGAATGAGGGAAGTTGCTGAGTGACAGGGGCCTCCCCAGCCTGGTGGGCCATCCAGACTACCCCAGGCCCTCTTGGTATTGAATGGAACATTTGTTGAGTGGAATTGAATTAACTGTTCGATTGCAGGAGATGTAATTTGATCTGGATCTTATGAAGCCCTTAATAAAGTCAAGGTATTACTGGTATCTGCTGCTTTTTCATCTGTTAAACGAGGCACGGGACCAGGGGCAGGTTACCCAGCTGGGAGTGAGGGTGTCCGTCCGCTCTTCCTGCCTTAGCTGCCACCATGCCATGTGCCCCTCGGGAAGTTGCTACTTGTCTCTACCCCAGAAGCAAAAGTCTTCCTGCTCAACTTAGGGAGTGCCTATCAACCCTAACAGTCCATCTGAAAGAGATGGCTCGGAAAGGAAGAGGGGTTGGATCTCTTTGGAGCTGGGGTGGAGGGGAAAAGAGTAACATTTATTAGGTACCTTCTGTGTGCCAAGCTCCCATTCCCTTCAGTTCACTGAATGTTGACAGCATCCCTGTGTGCTAGTTCCCTGTGAGAGTCATTAAGGAATGTTAACTAATATACCAATTTTCTTCCTCTTAGGCACTTGGTGTGGAACTGCAGTTCTCTGTCCCCTTTAACATTAGGTATGGCCATGTGACTTGCTTTTGGCCAATGACATGTTAGTGGAAGTTACAAGTGTCATTTACAAGAGAAGGCTTTAAGACCCAGGGTGGCCTTGGCCTCGCCTCTTCCTGCTACCATGGTAACTGATGCACAGGTAGAGATGGTAGGCACTTCCTCAGCCTGGGGTCCTCAATGAGGAGTGGATATCCCGTGCTTGGAATGGGGGTGAGAAATTACCGTGAGTTGTTTGAAATCTCTGAGATTTTGAGGTTGTTTGTTACTGCAGCAAAACCTAGCCTAGCCTGACTGCTCCAGTGCCACTATTTTCTGGATGACAAAAGGGAGGCTCAGAAAGGTCCAGAAATTTGCTGGGGGGAACCAGGGTAAGTGAGTGGCAAAGTTAAGAGTCAGTCTTAATCCATCGGATGCCAAGACCATGCTCTTCCCTAAGTAGAGGGGTCCTGGGGCTACCTCAGGCTGGCTAGGTATGGTTAGAGCCCAGCTGGTGGGGATTGGGGCTGGGGTCTCAGCACCTATTTCTCCTAATTTCCAACCCATCACTGAGCACAATGCCCCTGAAATCCTCTCTGTGGCCCACCGGAGATGCTAGATAGGGGCCTCCAGTCTGTGAGAGGTGGAGGGAGTCATGGGAGAGAGACCTGGAGAGGTCAATGGAAAGGGCTCGAGAGCTGGACAGCGCTGAGTTCTAACCCTGGCTCTGCTGCCACTAGCTGGGTAATCTTGGGTAAGTTACTGTCCTTTTCTGAGCCTCAGTCTTTTCATCCCGTGTTACATGGAAATAATGCTACTTCCCTGGTTATTGTAAGAACGAAATGAGACGTAAAGATCTTGGCACAGAGTAGGACTCAATACTTGGGCTCTGTTGCTATTGGAGGCACCAGCCAGAGCTGAGGTGGCCCTGATGCTCCACGCCCCCGCCCTTTCCTCTCTGCTCAAGGGAACAAAGCCAGACTTCTCTCCTGTTTTCCCTAGACACACCCTAAAGGAGGCTTGCCCGTTCATCTCATGGGTTCCCACTCAGCCCCTAGGGGAGGGAAAAACAGCCATCCATAACCCCATTTATAACTGGGAAATGGCAGTCCAGAGGGTGTCACACCAAGGAAGCTCTGAGAGAGCAATGTCGCAGTGCTGGCCTCTCTTCATGGCAGCTCCACCTACAGGGTCGGGAGGGAACTTCCTGGAAGGAGGGCTGGTTGCCCCAGACACAGCAGGTGAAGTTCCAGGAAGAGGAGCTGGAGAAGAGCTAGAGATTCCACGGGGCCAGTTCTGCTTTGGAGCTGCCCATGTGGCCTGGGTTGGGCCCAGGTTGGTTCTGCCCCAGCTCCCAACTGCCTACTTAACATTCACAGACTTCTTCCTCCCATCCCACCTTCTCCTCTGCCAGGATAGCCCCTCCCTACAATGCCACCTCCCCAAACATAGACACGCTGGGTCCTACCGCCACACCTCTGCTCAAGGTGGGCACTCCTCCGAGATCAGTACCACATCCGTTTGCTCCTCCCTGTGTCCCCAGTGGATGCCGGCAACCGTGACCTGGGTGACCATACCAATAGCAGCTGCCATTTAATGACAGCCACTCTGGCCGCTCCACTGGCTGCACACCACTGGAAACCTTCAAGGTAGGTACCACCATACCCATCTTACAGACTGGAGACACTGAGGCCTAATGAGGTTCATTTGCCAGGGGTATGAAGAGATGGAACCAGATTCACACCCAGGTCTGTCTACCCCAAGCCTGTGTTCTCAGGACACCCAGCCCCAGCTCCTGACGAGACGGTGGGGCTGATGGGTGGACACCGGCCTCTCCTGCCAGCTCCCCACCTTCTCGCCCTCCTCCCAGCCTTCTCCTCCCCATTGCTTGCCTCTGTGTAGTTTCCTGTTCTCCAAGCAGCCTTCCACTTCTGCCCCGGTCACGTGGAGTTCCACTGCCAAGCTACTAAAGCCCAGGAAGTCTGCTGTGGACTCAGGTTAGGGTGGACTCCTGCCCCTGCTGGGACTCTGGGAGCAGGGTCTGCGTCCTCTACCCTCTGCTGCTTCCAGTGTGGCTGCCCACAGGGCTGGGCACTCAGGGGACAGGGGTGACAGTAAGGAACCCAGAAAGGGCCCAAAGAGTTGACTTGAATCTCAGGCAGGATGCAGGGCTGTGTGTTTTAAGGAAGAGGTTTACCCAAGGCCTGGACAACGAATCAGAGAGAACTCCAGACCCCACTTTGGCCCTGGACTGAGCTTTGGGGAAAGGAGGTCCCTGATCAACCCTTGCAGCCCCAGACAGCTCCACTGCTCCCTCCTGGCTGCCTCTGACTCTCTCTCTCTCCCTCCTTGTCTTTTTCCACCCCCTTCCTCTGCCCTTTTTCCCTTCCTAAAAAACACAGAGAAATGGGATTCAGAAGCCTACACCGCCTGCGAAGTATGGTTCAGCCTCCCCAAAAGAGGAAATGCCAGTGTGCGGGTTCTCATGGCAACTCCAGCTCCTCCCCCCGCAGCCGCCCTGCGCCCATATGGTGAGACTCGTGTGGCACCGGCTCAGAGGGGCCTTGGGGTCTGGGGCTTGGGCTGCAACGGGGGCCATGTTGGTTCCCTCGGCTGCCCTGTCCAGAGCTCACCCTCTTGGGCACACGAGACCACCTCCTGCAGGGACTCCCAGTCCTGTCCTCGGCCCTCCCCAGGATGCAGATATGTGGGGTGATATTCAGAAGCTGCCCCCAGTGTGTTAGGCACCCTCTGCCTCCCCCGTCCCTCTGGCTTTGTCCATGATACATGCCCTGGACTTTGGGAGTTCCATGTTAGGTGTGGAGGGATGGGGAAAACAGGAGTGCAGCCAGGAGCTGGTTTCTTTGTCCCTGGCAGTGGCACCCTGGCTGCCAGCCCCACCCCATCCCAAGCTACTGCACAGGTGCCCAGCAGTCCTGGTCTCTGAGCTGTGCAGTGAGGGAGCAAGGCTTGAGCCCTCGCTTTGGCTGAGCTGCCACAGGACACTGCCCCTTCATGCCCCTAAACTCTCCCCGTGCCCACCCAGGGCAGCTCCTACCAGCTGTGTGGACTCTTGGTTTTCGAGGACAGTTGGCATTTCCATGACATATAAAATGGAAGCTAATGCCAGGCAAGCTTGGGGACTGGAGGGATGGCAGCTGAGGAGCAAATCTTCTAAGGCTTGATACTCATCCTGCCTCTTTTTCTAGGGCTCAGACAGGGATGCCTGGGTCCCTGGTACTGCCTGGCTCCTCCTCCCTCCCCTGACCTCAGGTAGCTGCCCCAGACCTCAGCTAGTCATGGGGCATCTTGAAAGAACCACCCTGGGCAGGCTAGGTGGATGAGGGGCCGGGGGTGGGGGAACGCAAGCCCCAAGCCTGAGGGCAGTGAAGGTTGGGACCCACTCAGTGTTCATGAATGTGGCCCCTTCACCAGCTCAGGCCATTCTCTCTGGGTGTCCTGAATCCCCAAACTCCCCATCTTGATCCCTCCTGCACACTCCATTTCCAACTCTTCTCCCCAGACATTCCCATGACTATCAGAATCAAGGAACCCCAAAGGGGATAGGCTTGACCCCTAGGAGCACACAGATGGGGCCCAGAGAGGGTTAGAGCTCTACAAGGTCACACAGCGAGCCTGGGGTAAAGCCGGGCCCAGAAGTAGGTCCCCTGCCTCCCTGCCCAGGGTCCTCTGAAGGGCCCAAGCTGCTTCCTCTGAGGATCTCTCCCCCTCAACTGAAGGAAGGAGGGATGGATTTAGGGGGGCAGGGAGTAGAGATTCGGGAACAGATGGACTTGGAGGCTCCGCCGCGGGGGCTTGAGGGAGGGGGAGGAGGCCCGGAGAAACTGGAACTGTTACAAAGTTGCGAGTTAAAACATTCTTCACACTCCCGCCTCCTTTACTGTTCTGATGCACCAAGACGTGACAAAAATGTGTCAGATTTTTAAAAAACCGCACACACACACAAATGCCAGTCCCCGTCTCTGCCGCCCGCCCAAGCTTGGGCCATCTGTTTCCCGGGGGTGGGAGGGGAGTGGGGCTTGGCAGTCGGCACCATCACTCTGGATGCCCCCAACCTGGGGTCTGGACCAACGGCCTGGCCCAGAAATGGCCCTCAGGTGACGGCGGGATGTCTAGGAAGGTGAGGACTGTGACACTTCCCCGTCAGCAGGGCCGCCCTGCCCTGCCCACCCTGGAGTCCGGCGCATGCCCAGCCCTTCACACCGAGCTGGGCAGTAGCTCTTCTCTTCACTTCCTGCATGTGGGGGCACTGGGGCTTGGAGAGCCCTCTCTGGGACTCCCAAAGCCCACCCTTGTAGTACAGATGGGAAACTGAGGCCCAGAGAGGAGAGGAGAGGCCAGGTCCACAGTGAAACAGTCTGTGTACACACTTCACCCATTCGCTCAACAAACACTGACCAGGCATGCTCTGGTGCTGGTGCTGAGCACCGTTCTCACCGCACGTGGTTCTGGGCAAGGGGGACTCAGTGCTGAACTGGCAGATGCAGGCTTGTTCTCCAGCAGCTCAAGGCCAGGGGAAGGCAGCCGATCCGCAAGTAATAACAGACTGACAAACTGGGACTTCCAACAAAAGAAAGAGGAAGAAAAGAAAGCAGGCAGGCCTGGCAGTAGGGACTGGAAAGAAATGAGGGTGACCAATCATCCCCATTTGTCTGGGAATGTCTGCTTTCAGCACTAAGAGTTTTGCATCCTAGGAGACACCTCGGTTCTGGGCAAACCAGGATGACTGTCACCTGAAGGCTACTTTAGGTTGAGTACACTTGAGCTGAGTCCTGAACATGATGAAACCAGCAATGTGAAGATCTGGGGGGCAACAGAGGAGCTAAGACTGAGCGAGGACGGAGTGGGAGAGGAGCAGGGGAAAGGGAGGCAGGCAGATCACAAAGGGCCCGTGGGCCCTGGAATAGAGTGGAGTGGAGATTTTATCTAGTCACAGGATTCAATTTTATTGTGGTCATTGAGTCAAACTAGGGAGCAGCTTGGTGCAAAGGTCACAGATTGTAGAGAATTTTAAAAATTCATTAAGGTTGGAGCCCTGGGGGCAAGGGCAGTGGCTTGGGTGCCTGGAGAAGCTGGCTGGGACTAGATCTGAAGCTTCCTCAGGGAGCTGGGACTTCAGCCGTAGGGCAATGGGAGCCACTGAAGCGTATAAGCAGGGCTTGATGGGGTTAGATTTGCAAGGAAAAAACCCTAATGCTCTGGGCTGGTCATGGCTCTGTACAGGACCCTTTCCTGCCGTCCCCAGAACACCATGCACCACTGTCCCCACTCCCAAACCTTAGGGAGTCCTGTCATCTTCCAAGACCCAGCCCAAATGCCACCTCTTCTAAGAAGTCTTCCCTGACTTGCTGAGAGAGACAGGTGCAATCATGCCCTACCTAGGACTCCCCCATCCAAGGACCCTCAAGCAGAGGTCTCAAGGGAGCCCTCATCACAATGGACACTCTTTCGGTTCCCACTTTGTCACAGTGGATCCTTAAGGCCATCTGACCAGAACCATGTTCCAGTTGTGGACATGGAGGCTCAGAGAGGGCATGTAGTTTGCCTGAGACCACACAGCAGTTGAAGTGTGAGGTCAGTTCAGAACCATGTCACCTCTGTCTGAGTTCAGAGTCCCTGGGCTCCTGCCTACAGGGGTAGTGGATGGGGAGAAGCAAAGAGTGGCCAGTCACCTTCCCACACAGGAACAGAGGAGTGGTCATTACCATGGGGGGCTGGATGGGATGGACCATGGGGCGTGCCACCTGGCCAGCTGGCAGATTTATAATGGAAGTCTCCCAGATCAATTACTGTATTACCAGGCAGCCTGACCTTGAAAGCTGGTGGGGCGGGAGAGGCTGGGGTGGGGTGGGGTGGGGCCAGCCTAGAGCAGCTGCCTAGCCTCCTCCAGCAGAGGGCACCCTGGGAACCAGAAGACCTCCTGGTGGAGAGGAAAGGGGCGGGGCCTGGAATCGTACCATTATTGCACATTCTTCTGTTTAAAATAGTGAAAGTCCTTGTTAGAATGCAATAAACCCTTCCCTACACTATGCTCCAGGAAGAGATCATCAGACCATTCTGAAGAGGAGGAGTTGGCACAGTTACTTCTCCTCTCTGAGCCTCGATCTCCCTGCCGGCAAAATGGGGATCCTTGTCCCAGCTCCACTCACTCTATAGGGTTCGTTTGAGGCTCATGGTAAATAGGCTTAGAAATGGGCCCTCGGGCATGTCCAGCCTGGAGTAGAGTCAAGGGTGTCCAGGGGGCCAGGCGGAGGTTCAGCCATGGTAAGACGTGGAGGGGTGCCGAGGCCTCAGAGGACATTACTTCTGATTCCTCCCACAGTCTGTGTGATGATACTCGGCGCCAAGGGACTTTCTCAGGGGTGCTCTGAGATCCGGAGGGGAGGGTGCCTGGCCTGAAGCCCCACCCTTGCAGGCATCTCATGGGAGAATGGTGAGCCCTGGGGGGAGAGCAGAGTCTCCCTTGCTCTCCCGAGGCGACCTCAGCAGATGCCTGACATGGTTTGCAGCAACAGCTGGGCTCTATTCTCTGTACCAAGTGGGAGCAGGGATGGAGCCCTGGAGGAGGGAGAAGTTTGCCTCTTGCTCCCTCAGTTTCCCTTTGTCAACATTTCTCCTTAAACTCCCACCAATTAGAAATTCATTCGGGCTAGTGGATGAATTAAGGGACTTCATACATGCACAGTGTTTAGAACAGTGCCTTCCTGGCCTGGGTGGACAGGCAGAGAGTGGAGGGTGAGTAGCCTTCAAGGGCTGAGAGTCTGTCTGTAGTTTTCCCAGTGTCTGGTTTGGGAGTAGAGGAATGCACAGAGGCAGGGATGAGATCCCTGCCTGGAGCACAGGCCTCTTCCCAAGACAGGCGGGAGGGATGGATGGAGGGCTGCGGCTGTGCCTGAGCCTGGCTGCCTGCTCATCACAGTGCTGGGCACTGCAGGGAGAGTTTGGGGAGACAGGACAGGGTCAGGGGGTGATTATGGGCAAACAGAGTGGAAAATGAAGGCCTTCAGCTGGCAAATGAGTTTAACAGAAATGAGATGGGCAGAGGCTGTGATGAGAATTGCAATGCTGGGCAAAGGCGAGCCGATTTTCAAACTGGCCTGGGTGGGCAGGCTGGGATGGGTTAGCTTCATCCCTTGCCCTCAGGAGCCAGCCAGGTTGCAGGGACAGTGCCTGAGCCCCCAGACCCACCCCACACCAAGAAGGCAGAGGGACAGAGAGACCTTTGGATTGACAAGATCTCGCATGAGTGGTGGGATGAAATTAAAGCAGGAGGGACTGTGGTCAGACTTGCAGAAGAAGTTCTTGGACAGCATGGGAACAAACAGGGAAGGCTGGGAAGTCCTGGGGACAAGCTGCCCCCAATGCCCACCCTCCCAGAGGAGCTACTCCCAGCTCTGCCTCAGGCAGCAAGCAGAGCCTCCTCGCTGAGGGTATTCAGCTGTGGAAGACCTCCCAGAGGCAGGCCTCTCTTTGGGTCTCAGTTTGGATATCTATGAAATGGGAATGACAGTGCCTTGCCAGTTCATTTGAAGCCCCCAATGAGACTCAGCGCCAGACACTATCTGTTTCCTGGGTTGGGCCACCATCCCTGAGAGGGCAGAAGGCAAGACCTTCTCTGGCCCGAGGGCTCAAACACTGCTGGGTAAACAGCCTGAAGTGTGCCTCACAGCACCCTAGACCCTTGTCCTCTTTCCCCTACTGATCGCCCCACCCTCTGCTTCTTTTTCCCTCCTGCCCTTCCCAGCGGGGCCTGAGCAAACAGAGACAGCATGGCCCACATCTCACACAGGGACAGGCCAGCCCTCTACCTTTGCTGGGCCTCAGTTTCCCTGTGTGGACAAGGGCTGTGCTGACCCAGAGAGTCTTGGAGACCCTTCCAGGGCCCATGGTCTGGAGGAGAGGATGCTGTCTCTGATTCTTTCCCAATCCTCATGGGCCACTCCTGCCCAGGATGCTGCCTGCACCCACCCTGCCCGACTCCCCTCAACGGGAGCTTCCATGACCTCTGGATGGGGCAAGAGGAGATGGTAGGTAGGTTGAGGCAAGAGCCACTTCCAGTACAATAACTTATAACTGGCTGACAGATTGAATTAGACCTTTTCCAGCTCCATACCCCATTGATCCAGGAGGACCCACATATGTGAGTGTGTGTGACCCTGGCCTACACAGTTCTGGGGCCCCAGTGCACAGCCCCAGTCAGGTAGGGTTAGCAGAGGGAAGGCGTGGTACTGGTAGCTCCTACCCCCACCCCACCCTGCTCAGCTGCCCCAGCTCCTGCCCAAGGGGCCTCTGAGCACTAAGTTACAGCTTGGCCTGGCTGTGGGGAATGAGAGAAGGGCGGTCAGAGGGAGGAAGGATGGGGTTGGCTGGAGCCCTTGGGGATGAGGGGGCAGGAAACCCTTTTCTATGAGGTTCTCAAAGAGGGAACAGGCTGCCCAGCCCCAACTGAGAACATGACCCCACCCTCACCTTCTCTCAAAGCCAATACCCTCCACCCTCTCTTGAAGCCTTTCCAGCCCCCTCTAACTCCTCTTTAGCAGCCCCCAGCTCAAGGCCAAGGACTAGCTTCCTTGGCCCTGGGTTTCCCTGAATGCCCAGCCTGGGGGTCTCTACTCCATGAAGGGCTGGTGGGTGAAGGCAGGCCTGCCTGCCTCTCTGTGACCTAAAAATCAATCCTTTTAGCCCCTTCTGAAGCCAGAAGGTCTCTGGTTCTATATTTTAAAATACTTTGAAGTCGATGGACTGACTCCTGAGCCATCCTGTGCACATGTGCCCTCAGCTTGGTCACACGCAGGCACACACACTGCACATGTGTATACCAACAGATGCACACGATGACAGCAATATTTCAGTAGCTGACCACCGCACAGAACCCACACTCCCTGGGCTGGGAAAAAGACAGGCACTGCAGGAGGCTCTGGGACAAGCAAGGCCCCTGCAGGAAGGAAGCCGGTGCTTCACCACACTCGAAAGGCAGGACTCCGCCTCTGGGGGAAGGTGGGGATGCCGGGGGTCACCCCCAACCTGACAGGCTTTTTGAGGATCAGCCTCACCTCCATAGACATCCAGTCCAGGGCTAAGTCTGCCCCAGTGGCATCTGGAAGTCCTTCCTAATATCTAACTTAAATCAAATCAACCATCTCTTCCTGCATTCAGTAAACATTCCCCACGCATGGCCATGCCCTGGTAGAAGGAAGCAGAGATGTGCTGGGTCACCTAGAACTGTGTGCGGTGCGAGGGCGGAAGAAGAAAGCGGCTTTGGTGTCTATCAGTGGTCGGGGGTGGGGAGGCTTCCAGGATCCCTGGGTGGCTTAAACGGTGGTCATTCCCCATGATTCAGTTTTCTTGGCTAAATAGGGCCTGGTTCAGGCAGGAAACCCTGCCACCTCCCCCTGCCACCCAGTCCAGTGAACGTCTGCCTGAGCTCACTGGTGGGGTAGAACTCCACCCTGGACTTTGGTCCTGTCTAGGGGACCCGTTTAACCACTCAGGGCTTTAGCTAAATCCCCACCCAAGATGTATCCTGAAATGGCAGTGACATCTTCAGGTATTTATCTGCCCTTCTCTCAGAAACCCCTTCCCACCTCTGAGGCATCCTACCCAGACCCCCAGCCCCTGCCCCACTGCCTGAAATCCCACCAGTAGGGGTCCTTCCTCAGTGTTTGGGTGTTCTCTGCGTGGGGGTGCGCTTACACGCCCCAGTTCCAGAGATACGGGCCTCCCCTACCACTCTGCCGCTCATATCCCAAGTCCCAGGGGCTGAAGCTGAAGGGTCGAGTGGGGGATGGGGAGAGCCTCTGTCACCCTCCATGCAATCAGCTGAGTGTGGCATAAATGACCCATGAGTCCTGGGGCCTGGCAGAGGAAATGCTCAGGCCCAAGAGTGAGGTCACCTGGACAGGGAGGCCCAGGGAGGGGCTAAGCAGGGCAAGCCTGGGCTCCCAAGGCAGAGCCCCTCTGGCAGAGGCTGGGGCAGGACCCGGGCAAGCCTTGCCTTCGGACCTCGGCTGAGCGTGCAACACCAAGCATCTGCTGGGGAAGGTGGGGAGCTGCCACAGAGCCTTCCCTGGGAGACTGACCCAGATTTCTCTCTCCCTTCCTCTCTTCTGCCACACAGGAGCAGTGTGTGTGTGTGTGTGTGTGTGTGTGTGTGTGTGTGTGTGCGCGCGCGCATGCGTTTGCATTCTCAGCCCTGGCAGGCGGAGGGGTGGAAAGGGAGGAGGCTTGCTGAAAGCTCTGGGAAATGAGACAGAAATCCTCCCCAAATCCCTGGCCACTGTCACTAATAGCTGAAATACGCTCTTGACAACAAGGTGAAAGTCCCTGGATGCTGGGGCCTGGCCTTGCCACCAGGAGCTGGTGCCCCAGGCCTGTCTGTTATGGGAAGGCCCCAGGCCTTGTGGATGGTTGGGGGGTCATGGCCAAGCCCTGACCCCATCCTCTGGCACTCCTGACATCTCCTTTCGAGGCAACGTCCCATAGGTTCCCCAGGCGCTTCCCTGGGAAGCAGTGAGCTCCCGGTCAGGAGAGCAGTGTAAGTGGCTGGGGAGGGTAGGTCAGCATCCTGTGGCAGGCACTCAGGTATGTGTGGGGAGGTGGCTTGCACAAAAGAGAGCTGGAGGGCTCCTCCCAGCCTGAGCTGTTTCTTTGATGCCTACTTCTATCCACCAGGAGCCCCTACCTGGTCCAAGTTGGCTGGCCTTGTCCCCAGGAGGCCAAACCTCAGGACTCAGGGGGAGGGCCTTGAGATGGGCCAGGGAGGGCTGGACCCAGGCCTGAGAGCAGCAAGTTCCGGAGCATCTGACTCCAGTGGGAGGGGAAGGGTGTGTCCCTGTGGGGCTGCTGGCCGTGGCAGGGGCTCTTGTACACACATACAGATACAGAATTGTACTTGAAGGGACAGCTCCTTCAGACTTGTAAACACACAGCTGTACACATATGACACACATACAGAGATCTGCATGTGCAAACAGAGGCATGCTTGTACACACGTGTGCCTGAGCTCATACAGAGGTGGGCGCACATCTTGGTATACAGGTCCCTGCCTGTGCACATGTGGGCAGGGACGCCTGGTTCCCTTGTGGGCTGTTCTGAGCCCCATGAGGTGTATGAGAGACATTTTCCCCAGAGACTGTCCACAGGATGTTCAAGCCAAATCCTCGAAAAGCTTCCAGAGGTGACTCCAGAGGCAAGCCCTCTCCTCTGCCAGCACTCAAGGCCCCTTGCCCAACCCTCAGCCTTCTGGTGGGCTCTGTGTCATGTCCTCTCCAGCCAGGCCTTTCCTGCCTTGCTCCATGCTTGGCAGATACCACGCTTTGCCCTGTACCCTGACAGCTAGAGCCCTGCTCCTTGTCAAGGACCCCAACATCCTGCTAGAGGGCAGTGGGAACCTCCTGCTCACCCACTGCTTGTGTGTGACCCTGGGTAGGGTTCTGCCACTGCCTGGGCCTCAGTCTCTCTTCTGCCTATTGGAGGGGCTGCTTTGAGGCCTGGGAGCTCTGAGACCTGGGAGACCCAGCACAGATGAGTGCAACCATAGTTGCGAGTGCCCTTCAGGCCAGCCCAAGCCCAGGTGGCCCTTTCCTGAACCCAAGGAATATCCTTTGTCCTCACACATCCCCTCCACAGCTAGCTGGCTTAGTCGCCATGCTGGGAATTCCACCCGCCTGCAGACGCTGACCTGCCCACACCGCACCCTCCGCCAGGCAGGTGAGGTGAGATGCTGAGCTGACCCGCCTCCAGGCTGCCCTGCATGTGTCCTGGGCCCTTTCAGACCCAGGGCCTTTGCACAGGCAGTTCCCTCTGCCTGTGGTACTCATTCCTCTCCCTCAGCCTAAAAACACCTCCTTTTCCTCAGTGAATCCATTCAAGTGTTTGCTCTTCTGTGCAGCCTCTCTCCCCCATCCCAGCCACCCCCACACGGTGCTCTGGTTCTGGCTCACTGAGCAAGTTTTCCCCAGCACTGGTGAGCCCTGGCTATGCTTCCCCACCACCAAGGCCATGGGCTCCCCCAGGGCACAGCGAGGACCTGTTTATCTCAGTGTGCTTGGACCCTCCAGAGGGCCTGGCTCAGAGCACACAGCATCCAGCAAGTGTTGGCTGAATGAATGAATGAATGAATGAGTGAATGAATGAATGACATGAACATGTGGACATCTCCGCCAAGTCCTGTCTATGAGCTGAGACACAAGTTTCCGAGGTCCCCTTTGAGTGGGTGTTCCTTGGTGGGCAGGGCTGCCTCTCTCTGCCTCAAGGAGTCTTGCAGTCAGAGGCTCGCCTCTCATTCAGCAAACAGCCCTGGTGGAGGACCTGTTGTTAGAAAGTGTGCAGCGCTCCTGGGGGCAGCAGGCACACATCAGAGAACATGGGAGGGAGCCATGGGGCCTGCGTAATATGGGGCTAAGATGAGTGTGCTGTCGTCACTACTACCCTCATCTGCTGATTACCGTGAGCCGGCACTGGGTGAGGGGCTGGGGATTAGCCTCTGCCTGCCCTGGGGAGCACACAGGGGAAGAGATGCAGGTGAAGGAAATGACTTAGGGGCTGAAGCTGGAGGCAGAGGAGGGTGATGGCTCAGTAGAAGAGCTTGGGAGCCACACAGCCTGATTCATGCTGCCCACCACTTAACAACCTTGTGATCTGGAGCAGCTAACTTAATCTCCTTGCATCTCAGTTTTCCTTCTCTATAAAATGGAATGCTAAGTATATTTGCTCCATAGCATTGTTATGAAGATCAAATGCTTGTAAGATGCTTTTAACAGTGCCTGGCACATCATAAGCACTCAAAAAACAAGCCCTGCCACTATGAGTTGTTGGATCATTAGTTCAGAGCAGCCCCAGACTAGGCATGTAGCAAATGGGCAGGCTGGCAGCACAGGAGACAGGCAGGTGGCAAGGGCTGAGGAACTCAGCCTCTCTGAATGATAAGTGGCTTGGCTTCTTGTGTTCAAGGAATGAAAAGATCTAAAGAAGTCTGGCCAGAGGGACACTGAGATGAGCAATGTGGTTGGAGGAGAGGATACTGACCCAAGAATTCTCTGGATAAGAAGAAGGAGGAGGGGAAGCCTGAAGTGGATGGGTAAGGAGGGTCTGGGGTCTGGGAGTGCTAATCCTAGCCTTTCTGATCCTAACAGTGCATGGATGAGGGGGGCATGTGATTGCCTTGCTGTGGAGGTCAGCACCAGCAGAGCTGTGCAGATCGGAGTGTGGCCGGGGGCAAGGGAGGGGAGCGCATTCTCCCACTGGAGGAGCAGAGCATAGGGCTGAGGAGCTGCTCTCCCACCTCCGGCTATCTGGATGGCCCTCAATGGAGCCCTTCTAGGCTGTGGGTGCTCGGGCTGAGGTTTGTGGATCTTCCCAGGGATGTGGAGCCTGCTCTTCAGGCCAAGCCATCCTAGCAGAATAGGGAGGGGCGAGGGGCCATGGAGTGAAGGAGGCAGCTGCTGAATATGTGAGATGAGGGGTGCTCTCAGGGGACTGGGCTCGAGGACAGCAAGTCCCTGGTGCAGGAGGGAAGTGGGTGGACTTTCTTCTCTTGCTCAGCCCCGCTGAGTCTCTTGCTGTCTACCTAAGGCCACCCCCTCCTATCCCACCATCAGCCTTGTCAGTGTGACATTAATGGGCTGACATTAACAAGCCAGAGCTCCTCCACTTGTCTGCCAGGTCGAGCCTCAGCTGTGGAAGAATTGCTAATTACAGCCACCATAAGGAAATATCAATGATGGACGTCAATATTATTGCCTCCTGCATCCCTGCCTGTTTATTTGGAGATGAAAAGCGCCCTAGGGTCATCTCTCCAGGACGAAGATGAGTGATGACAGAAGGGAGGAGAGCTACACATGGAGAAAAGGGCATCCTCCAGCTGGATTCATTCATGAAACCAGGACCCATTTCCTCTGGGCAGAGTTCTCTCCACTGAGGGCCCAGGGCTGGGGCTGAGGGCAAAGGAACCTGCACAGGGAGGAGGAACTAGTGATCCTGCTCCCAGCCCTGGTTCACCAAGTGACTGCATGTATGCCTCTTTGTGCCTCAGTTAACTCATCTGATAAATGGGTATGACAATTCCAGTCCTGCCTACCTTGTGCATTGTGAGGAAGTGAATGAGGTGCAAAATCAGGGTTTTAGAAGGACGACCCATGGTGCAAATGCAGGGGCTTCGTGGGCTGGAGGAGACACGTGGGGTAGCTGAGCAACTGGAAGGCACCAGCAAAGGGATGCACATGTCCCAGCTCAGTGAACTCTCTGAAGCAAATATCCTCCCAACCATCCCCTATCAAGCACTTTGGTGGAAATCAAACAAACACTAAACACAAACACTAAAGCCAGAGAGAAGAGGGGAAAGCTTGACTCAAATGTGTAGTTGGTCTGGTGTCTCTGAGCCCCTGAGCCTGTGGGGACTTGCAAGGCTTCCAATCCACACCCTAAAACCTGCATGTAATGCCAGTCACAGGCTGAACTGTCACGCAGGGCAGCCCTTCATCCGCTGAGAGAATCTCCCAGGCGTGCATACCCCTATTCAGAGAAACAGGGGCCCAGTTGAGAAGCCCCTTTAGAGACAACCTGGACTGTCAGAGAAATGCACTTTACGTGCCAGGGTCACGACGCATGCGCAGGAATACATCCACATGGCAAGTTCATGACAGTGTGCAGAGACTAGAAATAGGCAAGCACACACACACAGAAGCACAGCCCCAGAGACACACGTGGAAACACATACATTGTACGGTATTCAACACACATATACACACACACAGGGGAGCTGCCCTGGGGAGCTCACAGGGGAATACACACACACACACACACACACACACACACACACACACACACACAGAGCATCTTAGGTCCCAAACTGGGTTCTTCCTAGCCCTTGGGGAACCTCTCCCTGTTGAGAAGGAAATAAAAAATCCCATGTGGTCTTCAGACACATGTGGCCTCTCAAGCCACGGACAAGCCAAGCAGCAGCAACTAGACGCTGGGAAGCAAAGCCCAGCGTGGCCTGAATATTTCACAGGAGATTTTGCTTCACAGAAAATCCCTTCTTCGCCGCTGTGCATGTCAGGGTATAATTACCTGTTAGGTAGCAGAGCAGAAACCTGGGAGGATGTGTGCACAGCTTCTGGCCTGGGCCGCCACTGGGCCTCTGCCTCTGCTGCAGGCCTGGCAAGGGCCATCCTGTCTCTCACCTGCTCCCACCAGGGGCCAGAGAGAGGACAACTGGATGCCACTTTGGGACATAGAGTGTCCTGGCTTAGGGTCGCCTCTGCTCCAGGTCCTCAGACTCTGCCAGCCCCTAGCTGAGGAAGAGCCAAAGTCCCCCATCCCTTTGCCTCCCACAGCATCTCCCCCAGCTCTTCAGCAAGAGCACAGAGCCACATCTCATCTCACTCCTTCATCTTCCCCCTTCACCTCGCTAGCCCATCGAGGTGTTTGTAGTCCCCTGAGTGAATGGCAGGGAAAACCGAGAGAGGTACACACCAGAGGAAGGGAGAGAGGACATCCTGGCTGGGCCCTGGAGACCCTGGAACACTCTCCCTCACTCCTTTTGTCCTAGAAAATGTCCACACAGGCTAAGCTAAGCTCAGATTGGATCTCCTCCAGGAAGCCCTCTGGGACTGCTCCCAGGGTCAGGAGCCTTCTCTGGCTCCCATAGCCCACTGTGTTCCTCTCCATCACTGTTCAGTAATCAAGGGCTGAAAACCTAGATGCCTACAGGGGCCAGGGAAGGAATGAAAGTGAGTGAAGGGGCAAAGATAATGCAACAGCGAGTGGGCAGAACTCACAAACTGGAGAGCATGCCCCTGTCTAATGCCTTTCAAACCACATCGCCTTACGGCCCAGCAACTTAGCACCTAGAAATCGACCCAGGAAAATTGAAAACACTTGTGCACAAATATTCATAGCAGCATTATTCATAAGAGCCAAAAAGTCAAAACCACCCAAATGTTCATGAATGACTATATAAACAAAATGTGTGATAGCCATACGATGGAATATCATTCAGCCAAAAAAAAGAATGAAGTACTGATACACACACACTAGAACATGGATGAGCCTTAAAAACTGTGTGCTGAGCAATGGAAGCCAGGCAGAAAAGCCCACATATTGTATGATTCCATTTCTATGAAATGTCTAGAATATGCAAATCCAAAGAGACAAAAGTAGATTCGTGGTTGCCAGGGCCAGGGAGGAGGGGAGAATGGCGGGTAACTGCTAAAGGGTACAGGGTTTCCTTTCGGGGTGATGAAAATACTCTGGAATTAGATAGTGGTAAGAGTTGCACAATTGGGAATATGCTAAAAATCACTGAACTGTATGCTTTAAAATAGTGACTTTTATGGCATGTGGATTATATTTCAATTTTTTAAAACCAAATTGTTTAAAATGGAACAACACATCCACAAGCCACATGTCTGTCTGCAGCCTCTAATTTTCAACCTCTATTTTACACATTTGTTTCCCTCACAAGAGTGGAAGCTCTGGGAGGGTGGGGCCCTACCCGAGGCACAGCCGTGGTCCCCAGAGCTGGCATCTCAGGGCAGGCACTTGAGCCACAACAGTGACCACAGCACCATGTTAACACAGGGCACACTTCATACTCTGTAAAACCTCTGGTCCAGAGCCATGGCCCCAGTCTCAGGTGAGGCCACTGAGGCCCAGGCTCAAGGTCATTTGCCCTAAGGTCACTTGACAAGCTGGAGGCAGAACTGGGCAGAGAAGCCAGGCCTCCAGACTCGGTGCAGCAGGACCCAGGGCGGCCAGGGGCCAGCTGCTGCTGGGCAGGGAAGATGGGCACAAGAAGGCAGGCAGCTCTGTGGCTGTTTCCTGCCTCAAAGCCCCCAGATCCCTGGGGCCTCAGAATCAAGTCCACCTGCTGGATCTGGCCTCAATCCCCTTTGATGGACAAGCACCACCCCTAGCTCCTCCAGCCCAGGCCCTGTCTATCATCCCTTTGCTCACACAGCCTTTGCTCACATAGGGCCCGCTTCCTGGAAGGCTTTCTCAGGCTTCCCAGGCACCAGGCACAGTTCCTCCCCTCCCAAAAGCCTTACTTCATCACCACCTGACCCTCCCGCAGGGCCCCTCCCCAGCTGAGCCCTTGCAGCACCTCTGGGAGGGTGTGCAGGTGAGTACAAGGGAACAGCGGGACTTGTGCCTGACTGTGGAGCCCTACCCAGGACCTGGGCCAGCCTTGAGCTAGAAGCAAGTCTGATATCTCAGGGTCTGACTGCCAGCAACTAGGTGCAAGGCCAGGATTGGCTGGCAGGGAAAGGGAGGGAAGAGGGGAGAAGAGGGAGAAGGTAGAGGGAGAGAGAAGGAGAGGGATAGGGAGGAGAGGGGGTGAGAAGGGAGGAAGGAGGAGAAGAAAAGAGGTGGGGCGAGATGGAGAGGAAGCACGGGCTGCTCTTAGCCCCAGGGTCCCAGGAAGGCTAAGCCAGAGCCCAACACAGTGATGACGCAGTTGGGCAGCCGGTTACCTTCAGACACATGATGACACAGATGTCACAGATCAGTGCCCCGGGGCAGAGTGAAGCTAGGCAGGGAGGAAGCCCCTTTGGGAGAGAGGCCCCAGCTTTAGACCAGCGGTCCGGTCTCCTTCCTATTCTCCCTGCCCCCATGCAGCAGTGAGGTGGGGAGCAGCGGTGGGCAGGAAGGCGGTCCCCGCCTGGTACCCACCTGGGCCTCCTGCTGTGTCCCAGTTCAGCCTAAGGAGCTCAGCCACCCTCCTGGGTGAGACTTCCAGGGTCAGACCCTTCTGACTGTGGTTACAGACTGAGTCTTGACCCTGGCAGGGTGGACTGGCCCCCAGGAAACTGGAGGAGGCCCCAGATGCCTCACTATCTCCTCCTACGCCACAGGGCTGGGTGACGGATCTGGTCTGTGGGTGTCAGAGACAGGTCCTGGCTCTGAGTGACTGCTGGCAGCTGGGCCTGAGGTGGCTCATGGGCGGCTGATTTCCTGACCTTCCTAAGACCAAACACATGATGAGCCTCTGCCTCCTCCTCCTCCTCCTCCTCCTCCTCCTCCTCCTGAGGCCAAGCACATGGGTACAGGAACACAGCAGGTGTCTAATAGATGCCAGTTCCCTCTCTGAACTCCAGCCCCAAGTTTCCTTAGAGAAGCTGCCACTCCTCTCCCCACCCCGACCCCCACAGTGCTCGCTCCCCAGCTCTCCCCACCTCCCCTCCACATGGACTCAGTGCCGCCTCCCTCTCAAGCCCGGGGGGAAGCTGTAGATTGCTGGGTACCCAACCCTCCCCTTTCACCCCTCCCCTCCCTCCTGGCCTTTCCCAACCCAGATACACATCACACCAGCCCCCACTCAGTGTCCTCAGCTGGCTGTCAGCTAATGCCTGCAGAGGTGTTAACTGATAATTAAGATGTTAGCTGTAAACTTAACGTGTGATTCCCTGCCAGGAGTATTTTGGTCTTAACAGGTTGCTTTTGGAACGGGAAAACCTTCAAGACCCAGCCAAATGGCAGGCAGGGATGCAGAGTGGGGTGTCAGGGGGCGCTCTGTGCCTGGAGACCTTCCAGCCTCCAGAATCCCCTCCTCACCTCTCACTTCACTGAGGACAGAAGGCAGGCATGGGAACCCAGAGCTCTGCCTTTCAGTGTCAGCCCCACACCTGTGAGGCGATGACCCTGGACATGAGATGAAACCTCTTGGAACCTCAGTTTTCTCATCTGCAAATGGTGAGACAGAACGCCGACCCTGAAGAATTGCAGTGCAGGCTGACAGGTAAGGCCCCGTGTGCCTAGCACACAGGAGCCCTTAGAGCTCCTGTTGTCCCCGACTTCCCTTTGCCTCTTCCCACACTGAAGGTAACTGTGTCAGCTTCCACTCCTTCCCCCTCCTCACACCAACTCTGATCAATCACCAAGTCTATTTTCTCAACTTCCTAAATCTCTCCCCAGGCAAAGATCAATGGAATCAAACAGCGAGGTCTGGACAGACATGAGACTTTGGGGACATTTCAGCAGATGACAGGAATGGAGCTTCAGAGCAGCAGGGAAAGGACGCTTACCCAACAAACAGTGCCGAAACAACTGCAAGTCATTTGGGAAAAAACCACTTAGATCCCTACCTCAAACCACACACAGAAATACATTTCAGATGAACTAGAGATTTAAATATTTGTGAATATCATAAACAACCAGAAAACAGTATAGGCCAATATTTTTAAAATTCTGCAGTGGGTAAGGCCAGGAACTCTAAAGGAAAGGAGTGATAGACTTGAACACAGGACAATCTAAAACTTTTAAGGGGTTAAATACATCCCATAAACTTAAATGAAAAAAAAAAACTTGTGAATAATGATTTGCACATATGCCAAATAAAGAGTTAATTTCTTTAACCTCTTCTAAATCCACCTGCTCTTGCAAATCAATAAGATGCATTTCACCGCCCCAATCGCTGAAACTATGGTCACCTGTGACCTCGTTACCGAGGCAGTGACCAGTTCTCAGTCTGCATCCTTAGCCCCATTTGACACATGCTTGAAATGCATCTTGCCCTTGGCGTCCAGGACATACATGCCTGGTTCCTTTTCATCTCACTGGGTGTCCCTTCTCAGTCACCTTTTCTGTTCCCCCTCAGCTCCCCACCCTCTAACTGATGGAGGTCTGGGGGTTGGGACATTGGTCTTTTCTGTCTACTCTCCTTCCATGCTCTCATCCAACCTCATGGCTTTAAATACTATCTTTATGCTGATAGCCCCAAATTTGTATCTCTAGCCCAGACCTGTCCCCTGGACTCCAGTCACATACATCCACCTGTCAACTCCATGGTTCTGCCAGGCTGTCTACAGGCATCTCACCATTTACGTGTCCACTGCTAGGGCTGGCTCACAGATGTGTGACCTGGGCTGTGCACTCAGAAGGGCCCCAGGCTTCCTTTAACGCTCTATTGTCACCTCCCACTTTGAAATTCTTAATTTTTTTTTAGCAAAAAGTCACCCGTTTTCACTGTGCTCTGGGTCCCACACATTATGTAACCATTTTTTCCAAATGACTCACGGTTGTTCAGCACTCCTGTCCACCACTGAACCACTCCTCTCCCCTACACCAACCCGCTCCTCTCCGATCTCCCCATCTCCATCTATGGCAACCCCACCCTCCTAGATGCTTGGGCCAAAACCCCTGGAGTCATGGTTGGCTCCCTTCTCTCTCTCTCACACACCACCTCATCCAATCTGTCAGCAAATCCTATTGGCTCTACCTTGAGCATACATGTGGAATCCATCCACTTCTGCCCACCTCCACCAAGACTCCCTGGTTCAGTCCTCCATTGCCTCCTCCCTGGATCACTGCAACAAACAGCCTCCTGTCGGATCTCCCTGCTTCACAGCTGCCAGAGGGATCTGGTTAAAATGTAATTCCAATCATGCCATGTCACTACGCAGAACCTTCCATGGCTTTCCCCACTTCATTTTGGGTAACAGTCAAGTCCTCCAGGCGGCCTGCAGGCCCTGAGTGATGAGTGCGTGGTCCCTGTTCGGCTGCATGGCCCACTCTCTCCCTCACTCACCCTGTTCTGGCCACACCAACCAGCCTTCTTGCCATGTCCCCATAAGCCAGGTCTGCTCCTGACTCAGGGTCCTCAGACCTGCTGTTCCCTCTGTTTGGAAGGCGCTTCCCCCACAACATCCACCCAACTCAGTCTCTCACTTCTTGCTGGTCTTTACTTAAATGCCACCTCTCGAAGAGACCTTCCATGACGACCATGTCCAAGTTGCCCAACACTTCCCATCCCCCTCCTCTGCTTGATTTTTTTTCGCCTTAGCACTTAACACTCCCATACGCATGCTGTATTTTTCCTTGTCTGTCTCTCCTCCATCACAGCTTACATTCCTTGGAGCAGGTATATTTCGTGAGTTTTGTTCACTGTTCGGTCCCTAACCAAAACAATGTCTGACACATAGTAGGTGCTCAGTAAATACTTCCTGAATGAGTGGATACAGCAGCAGAGGACTTGACATCAACAAGCAATTTACAAGTGAAGAAACAGAAATGGCCAACAAGCATATGCAAATATGCTCAACCTCATTAGCAGTCTAAGAAACATAGAGTAAAATCATTTTTATCTGTCAAATTGGCAGGGATTAAGTGATTAATAATTCCTATGATTGGCAAGGGTGAGGGAAAGGGGCATTTTGCATACAGTTTGTAGGAGCATAAATCAGCTCAGCCTTCTGCAGGTTGATCTGGCTGTCCAGAACAAATCAAATGTGGAAATGTGGGTGCCCTCTGACTCAGGAAGTCCATTTCCAGAAACATTCCCAAAAGAACTACAGCACAAGCACACACAGATGTGCAAACCCAGAGGTTCCCTGAGTGAAGTTTATAAATAGCCAAATGCCAGAAACAACCTAAATGGCTGCCAACAGGATTAATAATTGATGAATGATTTGTAGACCATCATACAAGGGATGTAAAAGGGTGGGGAAGAACTCTATGGAAGGACCCGGGATGATCCATATGACATTGTTAGGTAAAAAAATCAAGTGCTGGAGCAATATAACTAATATGAGCCCATGTTTTTCCTTTTAAAATACGTTGATAAGTACATAGAAAAAAGTGTGGAAGGGGACATATCAAACGAGTTATCCGTGTTAGCTCTTGGGAGGAAAAGACTACAGAAGGGGCTTGAACCGCATGCTTTAAATACCGAGAGATAGATGGATAGACGGATGAATAGATAGATAGATACATACATAGATAATAGGTAACATATAGAGAACATATTACCTTAATAATCAGAAAAATGATTCTGCTTAGGGAGAAAATACCTTCTGTGACTCCCCAGTATTAAAGGGTGCAGAAGTAAGCCATTCCAAGCCCTCCATAACCCGTCACTGCCTCATCCCTGTTACCCCCATCCCCACTCTGGCTCCCCAAAGTGCTCTGGGTTCCAAGCTCATGAAGCAATTTTCTATTCCTGGTTCCTTTCACAGCTCCATGCCTGTCTCTCAGCTCTGTTCACAGGCACAAAGGCCCAACCCGCCCTGTCCCATGACCTCCTCAGCCTGGGCTCCGCTGTCAGAGAGCCAGAGGGGGGAAGACGAGGAACCTTACAGCACTCCCAAAGACCAGGACTACTGCCCCAGACCCCAGGTCTCTGTCCTAGGGACAGCCTGCGGCAGCTGGGGGATCAGGAAATGCCCTTGATTGTGGCCTGGGCAGGCTGGCTGCCCCTGGCTCCAGGACACCCACAACAGCCACTGGAGGCAGCTGATCTGAGGCCAGGGTGAGCCCAGCAAGGAGGTCTGGCCAGAGGAGAAGGGAGACTGGGGGTTTAGCCCCCCAACTTGGGTTGCCAGATTTGGCAAATAAAATTGTATGTGCCATGTAATATTTAAGATATATTTACACTGAAAAATTATTTGTTGTCTATCTGAAGTTCAAATTTAACTGGACAGCAGTATTTTTTTTCTGGCAACCCTAGCTGCTACCCCATCCTATTCCTTGGGGGATTTGGCACCAGGCCGAAAGCCTTCACCTGGGATGTCCAGGAGTGGCGCAGAAATGGCCTATCTCAGGCCCACCACAGAGGGGGACTGAAAGTTGAGACAGGCTCGCTCCGGGTGCTGACGATGTCCCACAGAGAGCTGGGAACTTCCAGAATTAGCACCATCAGGCACTGCACTGGGCAGCGGCGGTGAAAAGGCAGGTGAAGGCAAAGGGAGACCAACCTGGGAGCAAAACCTCCTACAGCCAAGGCACTCGGCAGGTGTGTGGCGCAAAACAAAGCCTGAGCAAAGACAGACAGTGAGCATAGGACAGCAACGCTGGGGTTGCAGGGATGGTGTGTCCCAGTGCCTCTCAGCATCCCGGGGACAAAGCCTGGTGAGGAAGAATGGCTGAGGCGTGGCCTTCCTTCTCAGAGGTCAGGAACTCCTCCACAGGAGGCCCCTCTGCTGCTAGGGCCTTCAAACCCCACACTGTGTCCCCCACCATGGCCCCTGGCAGGGGCTCATTCGCTAAACGCCAGCCTGAGTCAGGGGACCTGGTCCTCACACCCAGAGCCTCCCACCAAGCACAGAAGCATGAGGCAGGGTGAGACTGCCTCACTCTCCCCTACCTGGGTCAGATGGCGTTGGGAGGCAAACAGACTGGCCTCTGGGGGCCTGGGGTGCGGCAGCCTGTCCGTCGCGGTCCCAGCATGCACTGTGCGGGAAGAGCAAGAAAGTTAGTGGGGCAAAGACAGGGCTTCCTGCTACCCCAGGTGAGGCCCACCTCAGCACAGCTCCCCACAGTGGATCCCCATTGCCCAGCCCAGTGGGCCTCAGGTGCTGCCTCCCAGCACAGCACATGCTCCTCAGTGCCATCCCTACCCACTTCCCAGCACCCTGGAGTGGCCAGCCCTTAATGGATCACACCCTCAGGAGCATCAACTCCCTGGCCTGGCATTCAAGGCCCCGTCTAAGCCCCTAAACTTCTCACTGTCTCTCCATGTCCTCCAAAGGTCAGCCCACCTCTGCAAGTTTTGTTCACGTGCACAGATACACAGATGGACAACCCCACCCCATTCTCTCTGAGACTCCCACTGCTACCAACAAATGTGTCCCCTGCCTCCTGGAAGCTTCACTTACAGGTCCTCAGCCCCAGCACCGCTCAAGATCCCCAGCAAGGTCCCCAAGGACCCCATCAGCACCCCCAGCTCTCCCGCCTCAGCCTGTGGTCTCTGGCAGCTGACCCCGCCTTGGGAACACCCTCTCAGTGACACCCCGATCCACCCTTCCTCATTCTTCACTACACCCCCATCACTCATCCTAGACATGGCCACAGGTGCTGTCTCCCTTCCTCCCTCCTCCCTCCACCCTCCTCCCAGACCATCCTGCCCACAACTGTGCTTCAATCACCCTCTGCCTATGCCCTCAGTGGCACCCACCATGCCCAGAGGAGGGTGAAGCCCCTTAACCTGGCCCACAGGGCACTGCCCAACCCAGCCCTGACCTGTGGGCCACCCTCACCTCCCCTCCAGACCACACAGCCACCTGCCACCTCCTCAGAAAGCTCTGTGACCACCTCCTTCTCACAGTCTCCAATGTCCTCCATAGGCCACCCTGGAGGAAGCCATCCTCACCGTGTCTCACTGCCCTGACAGACTGACTTGTTATTTGGTTTTCCTTGTTTCAATAGTCCCACAGCAAACTTTTTCCATCAGGTTTATTGAGGTATAATTACCCCACAGTAAAACTGACCCTCTCTAGTGCACAGTCTATGAGTTTTGACAACTGCGTGTGGCTGTGTAACCACTATGGCCATCAAGGTACAGAACAATCCTGTCACCCCCAAATCCCGGCATGCTGTCTCTTTGTAGTCAACTCCTCCCAGCCCCTACCCCTGGCAACCACTGATCTGTTTTCTGTTCCTGTTGTTTTGCGTTTTCCAGAGTGTCATACAAATGGAGTCATCTAAACGTAGCCCTCTGAGTCTGGTTTCGTTCACCCAGCATAATGCACTTCACATTTATTAATATCTGTGTTGCCTCTTGAATCAGAATGTCTTTCTTTTTTGTTGCTGCATAGTACTCCGTTGTTTATCCATTCAGCAGTTGAAGGGCATTTGTGTTGTTTCCAGTTTTTGGAGATTATGAATAAAGCCACTATAAATATTCACATACAGGTTTTTGTGTGAATGTAAGTTTTTATTTCTCTTGGTTAAGCACCTAACAGTAGGATTGCTGAGTTGTGTGGTAAGCCTATTTTTAACTTTATAAGAAACTGCCAAACTCTTTTCCAAGTTGGCTATACCATTTTGCATTCCCACTAGCAACCTAGGAGAGTTCCAGTGGCTCTGTACCCTTGCCAACACTTGGTATTAGACATTTTCAAAGTCAGTGTAATGATATGTAGTGGTATTGCATTGTGGGTTTTTTTGTTTTTTGTTTTTGTTTTTGTTTTTCTTTAAGATGGAGTCTTGCTCTGTCACCCTGGCTGGAGTGCAGTGGCGCCATCTCAGCTCAATGCAACTTCCACTTCCCTGGTGGGGAAGTGATTATCCTGCCTGATTCCTGAGTAGCTGGGATTACAGATGCGCACCACCACACCCAGCTAATTTTTGTATTTTTAGTAGAGATGGGGTTTCACCATGTTGGCAGGGCTGGTCTCGAACTCCTCACCTTAGGTGATCCACCCACGTCGGCCTCCCAAAATGCTGGGATTATGGGTGTGAGCCACCGCGCTCGGCCTGCATTGTGGTTTTAATTTGCATTTCCTTAATTACTAATAATGATGAACATCTATCTGATTTTTTCTAGTGCCATCACTATTGGAGATAAACATCTTAATTTAATTATTTAAATGATTTACCTATTTACTTTCCATCTCTTCCATCACGTGTGAAAGCAGAGACCTTGGTATTTATTCCCCCAATACCTAGAATAGCATCTGGTACTGGATAATGATGATGACGATGATGGTGGTGATGACGGTTGTGGAGGTGGTGATAGCTAACATTTACAGAGCCCTTAGCATTTGCCTAGCACCATTCTGAGTGCTTTACTCATAGTAACTCACTTAGTCCTCACAACCGCCCCAAAAGACAGAGATGCTATCAATACTCCCATTTTACAGAAGAGAAAACTGACATAGAGAGAGGCAACTAGCCCAAGGTCACACAGTTAATAAGGGGCTGAGCCAGTCCTTGATCCCAGGTGTCCTGGAGTCAGAACACCTGACTAGGTCCTTGGCCAAGCCCTAAATGCAACACCCATGGAGGATCCATTGTCCTTGTAAACTCTGTATCTGGAAGCTCCCTGATGAGCTTCCCACTAGAATCCATCCTCTTCTTCACCTTCTGGACAGTGTAGATGTGATCAGGATATTACATAGCCCATAGCAACCACTCGATATGCCCCAGGTGGAGAGAATAAACAGGAGTCACAGCCGTGGCTCTTCTGAAACCTGGCTCTGAAAATGGTCCCACAACAGCCTTTGTACCAGAGAATTTTATTGCTCACTGAATGTCAGCACATTTCCTTGGCATTTCCTCAGCCTCTTTAGAGTTAGTTGGGCCATATGAGAAGTTCTGCCCAACGGGCTGTGAACAAAAGCGATGCGTGTCATTGATGAGCCAAAGCATTTCAGAGCCCGTGCGTGACCTCATCATTGTCTCTTCTCTGCCATGGTGACTGGAGGCCACATGTTCTGGAAGGGGCTACAAGATGATGGAGCTCCTGGCAGCCTAGGTCCCTGAGTTGTTGTGTGGACCAGAGCTCCACTACCCTGCCCACATCCCACACCGGGCATGGAATGTGAGTTCATGTGGTAAACGGAGGAAGGAAGACAGCCTTTGTCACATGAAATCACTGAGAGTTCAGAGAGTACCGGTTAGTGCAGCACAACCTTGCCTATCCTACAAAATCCCCACTGCCCCTTTGGGGGCAGGTCACCTTGCTGCATATGTTGTTAGAACACGTTTGGGTGACTTTCTGAGTGAGAGAACTAAGTCCCATTTGGGAGCCTCTAAGTAACTAAAATTTCAGTGGGGGTAGAATAATCTCACTTCCCAAATTCAAGAGTTCCCTATCCACGAGGAAAAGGGGGAGCTTCCAGGTCCTGCAATGGGCTCCACCTGCAGGACCTTCCCCACATGCAGAAGGGAGGTGTGAGCTGAGGCAGGTAGTGGCATCTCCATGAGAGTTGGGGCCTACGCCTAAATTCGAGGGCCTGAACTTGACTTTAGAGCAAAGGCTGGGGCATCTCCAGAGCTTTTTCCTTGACTTGGGTCCAAGACCAGCTCCCAGAAAGGCTCTGGGACCCCCAACTCATCTGTCCACAACTCAGGGAGATAAGGAAAACTCCCGCAGGGCCTTGGAGTGCAAACTTAATTGCTGGTTTATATTTTGAACTTACTGGTGTTTTACTTTGGCAATTATCACCTGAAATGTTGTGTGCTCCTGTGGGACAACACGAGGAACAAGGAGAAGATGCTACCCCTTAAGGTAACAGGGGCACTAGCAGGCGACCCAAGGGAAAGCCCTTCCTGTTGATAAACGCCCCTGCGACTTCTCACTTTCCCCAATAAGTAAGACTTGGCTGCAGTGGAATCCACCCACCAAGAATCAACAGGTGTGACTGATCCAGTGCAACCAAAAACAAAGTCATACCGGAAACCAGCAGTCTCTGCTCCATTCTTTGCCTCGAGCATCTATCTACTTGGGAGTTAATTTTGATGATGAGAAATTCAAAATGGTACATTTGGTTATTTCTGTGGGTTTTTTTTTTCTTTGTAAATGAGACCTGTTTAATTGGGTGCAGGCTGAGGTTTTCATCCTGCTTGAACACCTTTTGCATCCACCATCATGGCCATAGCATTTGCTCAGATAAGCTTAAGATAAGGAACTGGACAGGGATGCAAGGATGGCTCCTGGCTACAGTGGAGTTGGCTGGGCTGGGGTCAGCTCAGACTCTCAGCTCCAAAGTCCAACTGAGCATCTCACTCAGGGAGGAAGGGGTTGTAGGTTTCGACTCTATGGTCTAATTCACAGAGGCCCAGGCAATGTTGTGATGAATGCACAGGCTCTTGGAAAATGCCTGACTAGAATTGCTTTGAGGGAGGAGTCCCTGAATGCAACATGAATCGTTTTCCCTTGAATGGTTTTTGCTGATTGATTGGGCTTTAGTTCACTGTCTGCCAAGGGTGTGGGGGGGCTGAAAACAGAGGACAAAGGTTCAGAGGCAAATGGTGAAGGCAGCACCTATGGGAATGGAGGAAGAGCTGGCACAGGAATGAGGGGACAGGTGGAGGGAGGGTGGAAGGGAGGGGAGTGGAGGAGGGAAAGTGGCAGACACCCAGGTGAGGGGTGAGCACCATTGCCACTGTGGTTGTCATAATCATCATGGTCCCCATAAATCGCACCCAATGAGCCCCCTGGGCTAAGCACTTTCCTTCTGCTAACTCATCTGCTTCTCACACACGCCCTCGAGGAGGGTACCCTGACCATCCTGGTTTCCAGGATGGGGAAGCTGAAGCATGGAAAGGTGAAATGTCTTGAGAGGAATGGGGTTGTTTCAAACCCAGGCAGTCCAGCTCCAGCACTCGTCCCTAAGAGTCCCTGATAAAACCACAGTGGTGAGGTTGGAAATGAATGGAAGCTCCTCCTCGATGCCATTGGCAGAAATTCTGTCTGTGGGTGGTCAGATCTAAGATGGAGAAAAATTCCTCTGCCACTTACTAACTCTGTGACCTTCAGCAAATTACCTAACCTTTCTGGGACTGGTTCCCTATCTCTAATGCCATACTCATATGGCAGTAGAGATTAAAGTGTGTGTGTGTGTGTGTGTGTGTGTGTGTGTGTGTAGTGTCTCGTCTCATACAGTACTTGGTAGAGAATAGGCACTTCACAAAAACCAGACACCCACGGGGCCACGGTACAGTGGCACCAATCTCCAGAATTTCCAAGCATGTACATATGTGTGCACGTATGTGTTCCTATGTCCATGTGTCCCTGCCAAGGTGACCACTCATGTGCACCTGCATGCATTTCGCTCCCTAGTCCTGTCCCCAACTAAGGGTGGTGGTGGCATCAGTCATGTAGCCCCCCAAGCCAAACACCCAAGCATCACTCCAGAGTCCTCTCTTTCCCTCTTTCACCTCGCATCCTATCACCACAGTCAGCCGATTCCTGAATATTTCTCAAACTCATATTCTCCCCAGTTCTCCCCACCCCCTTCTGGGCACAAAGGTCTCAGCTGCTTCCTATCCTCCTGCCTGCAGTCCCCCAGCCACCCCCATCCACACAGTGGCAATCAGAACGGCCTTTCCCAGTCACAAATATGACCTCATCCCCGCTCCACTTAAAACCCGCCCAGGAAGCCTCGCCAGGCCAGACGCGAAACTCCGAAGCCCTGAGGAGCAGCCTGACAGATTTGACTAAATAAAGATCTAAAGCTTCTCTATGACCAAAGATACCACAGACAAAGTTAAAAAAGACAAACAGCAGACTAGGGAAAGTATCTCCAACACACAAAACAGACAAAGTTTTTAAATTCCTAATGCACTAAAAGCTCTTTTATATCAATAAGAAAAAGGCAAAAAGAAAAGAAAAATGGGCAAAGGACGTGAACAGTCCATTCACAGAGGAAGAAACACCCATGGGCAAAAACTGCACGAAAAGATGCTCAGCCTCGCTGGGGAGAAGCAGAGTGAGTGTGGAGACCATAGTGAGATATTTTTCTAGATCGGCAAATATCCGGAAGATTGAGAATGTTCAATGTGGAGGATGGTATGGGGAAATGGTCACTCTCAGATACCAAGGGGGCAGCATCAGCTGGCCCAACCTTGGGAAGAGCAAGGTTGCTATAAAAACTGAGCAAGCAGACCCTTCACCCCGGCCACTCGCATCTAGAAATCTATCCTGCAGAAAGGCTTACGGGTGTCAGCAAGATATATATAAGGATGCTCCCCGAAGCATTATTTGCAAGAGTGAAAAATGGAAGACAATCTAAATATCCATCAATCCAGGACTAGTTACATAAATTATGCTTTGTACAAACAATGGAATATTAGGCAACGATTAAAAAGAACACGGCAGATCTGGGTGCCATGACATTGACTGATGCCCACAATATACTGGGAAGTGAAAAATGGAACTGGTGGGGTAATGTGCATAATATGATTCCGTTTCCTTTTTTAGCAATACACAATAAATATGTTTGCAATAGCACAGAAAATGTTCTGAAAGGAAACATACCAGGCCAACAGCAGTGGGACATGGGCAGAGTGGGCTTTAAAGGCAAAGAGGGACTTTCCTACTTTACAGGACACACTTCTATATTGTTTCCGTTTTTTAATTTTGCTTGAGCAAATACTGCTTTTATGGTAAAAAAAAAAAAAAAATTCCTCCTCCCATAACCCCTCACAGGCTGCAGGACAAAGTTCAAATTCCCTGGCGTGGCACCCTAGGACCCTGAGGACACAGCCTCTGGGCAACCCCAGCTCTGGTCTTCCCTTTTCCAGCCTTACCTTAAATCCAGATGCTCCCAACTCCCTTACATGTCCCCCAAGCTGCCTCTAGGCCTTTGTCCTGTATGGGTCCCTCTTCCTGGAATGTCCTTTCCTGCCTTCTGTGCCTTGCCTTTTAAGTAACTGCTCAGGTGTCACCACCTTCTGGAAACTCTCCCCAAACACTCCCCCACACTCTGCCTTGGTGGGCCCATTGCTTCTGTAACATGTAACAGTGGTGACAGTCGACATTTAGGAAGTGCACCTCGTTCACTGGGGGCTGTGCAACGTGCCTTGCATTGTATTGACTCATTGAATCCTCCTAGCAACCCTCTGAGATAGGTTTATTATCACCTCATTTAACAGATGGGGAAACTGAGGTACAGAGAGGTTACATGACTTGCTCAAGCTCACACAGCCAGTAATTAGAGGGGGTAAGTGGACCTAGGCAGAGGGTCTTATGCAGCCTTCTACTAGTGCTTGGCACACAGGGCTGGAAACTCCTGGTCCCTGTACCTGCCAGGCTCCAAGACTGGCCTGTGAGCTCAAAGCTGGGATTTGCCTTCCCCTGCAACTGCTCCCCCACCACTGCAGAAGCTGGGCACGGTGGAGGGTGCACCAGGGTCTGCTGGGGTCAGAAGCCAGCCCCCGTCCCAAGCCAGCCAGGACTAAATTAGGCTCCCCGGGGCTGGTCTCCTGGGTAGGGGGCTGGGCTGGGGGTGGGGACCAGTCCCAAAACAGCCAGCTGACCCAGGATGGCCAAGGAAATGGATGGGTTTGTAGAGATGCAGTCCCTCCCCAGGCAAGGACCCCAGTGACCTCCCATGCACCTACTGTGTGCCAGGCCCAGGGGGCAACTGGCCCAGGAAGCTAGGGCAAAGAGACTCCCCTGCCCTCCATGCAGCTGCCAAGTCAGACGCAGGGAGGCCAGAAGCCTACAAGGGGCTGGGCAACAAGCTCGGGGTGGTGCCCGGGGAGGGCTCTGGGTTCTGACTGGGTGAGTGCGCACAGGGTCTCCATGAAGGCAGTGGCACCTGGGCCCAGCCTAGAAGGATGGGGGGTGTGGACAGATAGAGTTGGGGGAGGGAAGCTCCAGGGGCCAGAGGCAGCTTGAGCAAGGGCCTGGAGGGGGTGGGTGTGGGGAGTGGGGGTAAGAGTCATTGGTTGTGGCTGGAGCAAGGTGGGAAGCTGCAGGGGATGGGGTGGGTGGGTATGCTAGAGGGCTCTGGAGAAACACGGAGGAGGAGCTGTGCCTCCAGCCCAGCAGGGAAGGGGTGATCTGTGGAGGAGGCAGCTTGACCGAGGATCTGAGGATCTGAGCTTGTCAGGCCAGCTCCGCCTTTGCAGTTAGCAGTGTGGCTGTGGCCTACTTTCAGGACCTTGGCTCCCTCACCTGTGGACCAATAACCCAACCTCACAGACTGCTGAGGGGACTAACTGAGACAGTGGTTTATGGCACCAGGAACCCAGGGAGGCAGTGGACATGTCTGGGGTATGGTGCTCCCTGGGGATGTCTGCCTGTGTACCAGTGAACTTGTGTGCACACATGCCCCTGAAGGCCTCCCATCCCAGAGTAGGTATTCAAACACGTAGAATCCTTGTTTAAAGTATAACTTTAGGCAGGGTGCAGTGGCTCACACCTGTAATCCCAACAGTTTGGGAGGCTGAGGCGGGAAGATCACTTGAGGCCAGGAGTTTGAGACCAGCCTGGGCAACATAGTGAGACCCCGTCTTAAAAAAAAAAAAAACGCCAGGAATGGTGGTGCATCTGTAGTCCCAGTTACTTGGGAGGCTGAAGTGGGAGAATAACTTGAGCCCAGGAGGTTGAGGCTTCCATGAGCCATGATCACAACACTGCTCTCCATTCTGGGTGACACAGTGAGACCCCATCTCTAAAAAATAAATAAGTAAAAGTGTAAATTCAAGATAATGGGATTTCAGACTCTTCCCCTTAAAGCAATGCAGGAGGCAGAGCCCCACGATCCTGAGCAGGTCCCTACTGTCCTGGGGCCTGGGCTTCCCCAGGTGGGTGGTGGGCGGCTGTCTAGGTGGCTTCTCCAGCCCGGCTATTTGGAAGCAGCTGGAGCATGGCAGGAGGGCAATGGGTGTGAGTGCCTGGAAATCCAAAGGGGTGGGACCCGGAATGGGGAGGGGAAGGTGAAGGAGGCAGAAGATCCTCCTTTCTGGGCTAGTCCCAAGCCCTAAGTCTGTGGTCGGAGGCCTCAGCCTGATGTCCCCTGTCCCCCACCCAACTGAGGCCCTCCTCACTCCCCCTGCTCCGAGAACCTCAACCGTGCTGGAAGCCCTGCACCAGCCCTGGATGCCAGGCTGACTGGCCCAGACTCCCCTGACTGGCTCCCCTGCTCCCGCCGATGCTCAGGCTATGTTCACTCAGGCGAGAGTGGAAGAGTCATAAAGAAGCCCCCAGCTCCTACTGCAAGTTCACCCTCAGCAATACCAGCATGCAGGCCTGGGGGAAGGCAAGACCCGGGAACATGCCCAGCCTGGCTACTTCAAGCCAAGGGGCATCAGGCAGTGCCTGTGTTTCTGTTTCTTCTTCCATGGAAGGGATACATGTGCCTCCCTTGCAGGGTGTCATCATCAGCCCAGTGCCCCCACCGTCAACCCTCTCACAGGTAAGTCCCTTGGTTCACCATGAGCTGAGGTGTTCTGGGGGGTCACAGTCAGTTATGCTGGGAGAACACTTACCCTAGACTCTCTAAACTGCCCATGGGCACCATCCTTGCCTCTTCGGGGACCCCATCACAGCCTCCTCAATGGCCCCTGCCTCCAGCACCTCCATCTCCCACCTGCTGCCAGAGGAACACTCTGAATACAGAGCCATGTCCCTGCCAGTCCCCTGGGCCTCCCCCACCTCAGCTCTGATCACTTGGTGCTCTCATCACCTGTTTGCTTGTGCCCCCACTAGCCCTGTGGGCAGGGATCATGGCTGATTCCTCTAGGCAATCCCAGAAACTAGTGCAGGGCCTGGCACAGGAGCCTTGCCCAGAGACAGCAGACTTGGCAGTGGGAATGGACAAACAGGGCCATTTACCCCTTCTACCCTGGCACCTGCTTTTCTATTGGCATATCCACGACAATGCTGAGCTCAGTGTGGGGCCAGGATCAGGGCTCGGTGTAGGACCAGGATCAAGGTTAAGTCTGTTCAGGATCAGGGCTCAGTGTGAGGCTCGAATCAAGGCTCTGTGCGTGGCTGGGGTCAGGGCTTACTGTAGGACCAGAATGAAGGTTCAGTTGATTCAGGATCAGGGCTCAGTGTGAGGCTGGGATCAACGCTCAGTGCGCAACTGAGGTCAGGGCTCATTGTAAAACCAGGATCAAAGTTCAATCTGTCCAGGACCAGGGTTTAGTGTGGGGCTGGGGTCAGGTCTTAATGAGGGACATTTTCTGTCCCCCCCTGTGAAAAGCCCAGGACTCTCTACCACCTTACCCAGGGCTTTGACAATTAACATAACCTGTCCCCCAGGGGCCAGGGCCTGTCTCCTGAGCCCCTACTATGCCTGCCTTCTATCCTGGTTAGGCTGGTCCTATGCTCCACTCCAGGCAGCTGTGCTGGGATTCCCAGATTCCCTCTGCCCTAGCAGAAGTGGCTCGAGCAGGGAAGCTCTTCCTTGCCTCCCCACCTAGCCTTCAAAAACACAGTGAGGACAGTCAGCCTTCTAGCGTGGATGCACTCCCAAGCCAAAGTGAAAAAGTGCTTTGTGGGTTATCCACCCACTGCCACCCACTGCCCCATTCTATTTGCCCAGGTGATCCAGTGCCAGTGGAGGTAAACCCAGGTCTGGCTGAACATGAAAGTGAAGGTGTTGGCTGGCACATGGCAGCATTGAGATGCACAACCCAAAATACCTCCTCCCGTCACAGGGCCTGAAATCTCTTTTTTCCAAAAGAGGGAAGCAGAACAGTACTAGTCCTGACCTTTGGAAGGCAGAGTGGGCACTGTCTTGGGGCTACCACCATCGGGCTTCAGTTTATCCTTGCGGACAGGCTCAACCCAGCGGCTCCTTGCTTTTAAGCCACCTTGCTGACGCTCCTGTCTGAAACCTCCATCCTGGTTCAGTTTTCAGCTCTCCAAGAGCATGGGCTGTTGGATCCCTGGCCCCGGGTGACCCAGGTTTGACCCAAGCCTACTCACTTACAAACCTCAGAAACAAGGACCAATTCAGAGACTGGCCTGGATGGACATCAGAGCTGGGCTTGCCTCTGAAGACAGCAGGGCCAGGGCAGGAGGCGGCACCTGCCCCCGAGCCTCCCAACAGCCCAGCCAAGCCCCCCACTGTCTCTGCTACTCTCAAGCAGAGGGTCAAGTTGGTCTGCTGGCAAGACACATGGCTCTCATTTTAATTAATTAAAGAAAAATCTAATCACTGCATTAAACTTCTCATTACTCCACTTGAATACCCGTTAAGTAAATTTAATTACCAGAGGATTGGGTTTCCCAGCCTCTTTCATTAGCTTCTGATAAGATGGGGAGAGGGAGGGAAGAGGGCGGGCAGCAGAACAATGCTAGTCCTGACCCTCGGAGGGCAGAGTGGGCACTGTACTGGGGCCACCGCGGCAGGCTTCAGTGTTGCTTGGGGACAGGCTCAACCCTGGGCCTGGGGGAGACCCTCCCACCCGAGATGCCCCTAGGAAAGCAAGGGCCTAGCATTTGGCTGCAGTCGGCACTGAATGCTTCATTTCCCGCCACGGTTGGTTATTTATACCCCACCTCCCTCCAAAAGAATTGGAGGCTGCTGAGAACAACAGAAGCAGCACATGCTGAAAAACAAAGGAAGAAATCAGGACAAAGGAAAAATGAGAAAGAAGAAGCCACAGACAAGGTTATTAAGCAACTGCAAGCCACAGCATCCTGGGCACTTATCAGAAATAGGCCACAAACCAACTATGAGCTTCCTGGCAGTCAAGACAAAGACAGCAATGCACTTTGGTGCTGGGACGCAGTGACTAGCAGAGTATGAATGAGGCAATGCACACTGGGCCTTGGTCTTTCATCTGTGAAAAGGGTGGAGCTGGAAGATGGACTAATGCAGAAAACCACAGGCCGGAGCAGTCAGCAGAGGCTTCCTGGAGAAGAAGGGACCTGAATTGGGCCTTGAAAAGCAGGAAAGGGCAGAGAGTGAGGAAGGGCATAATAGGCAACAGGAACCGCAGGTGAAGGTTGAGAGAAGAGGAATCACTAGAGGAGAAGCAGCAGAGGTGGAGGGCAAGTGCAGAGCCTGGGTGTGGAAGAGGTTTCTCCAAAGAAGGGGCCAAGGTCCCATCCCATCACCAGCCCCCAGGCTGGCTGCCAGCCCCCTATGGTAGGAGGCACCGGGGGCAGGAAGAGCAAAAACCAGAGAAGACAACACACTCAGGAGGTCCGGAACTGTCGAGGCTGGGACACAAGTTCCGCCTCCCTGCGCTAAAGGGTAGGCTGCCCAGATGCCCTCTATGGCCGGTGCGCTACCCTGTCCCCCAGCTGCCCAGAGGGTGGGCTGCTGCAGCTCAATGCTCCCCCTTTTCTAGAGAACTGCCCTCCACAAATGGGGGCCACCTCACCTGGGCCATCCAGGCCCTCCCATGGGTGGCTCACGGCCAATGACTGATTGATACAGGGGCCCAAAAGCCCGACCTCCATGTGGGGGGTGGGAAGGGTAATTCTGTGTGTGAATTATGTTCCAGGGTTCCCTGGACCAGCCCAAGGCCCATCTTTGCCTGCGCTATCATTCCTACCCCGATTTCTTCTCTTCCTCCCTTTCCCTGAGGCCCTGCCCTCAATACAGCTCGTGTACACAAATCTTCGTCTCAGGCTCTGCCTCTAAGGATTCTGATCAACAATACACCCTTCTAAGTTCAAAAAAAAGAAACAAACAAAAAAACCAAACCAGCGATGTCCCAAACTTCCTGGAGGGGGAAGCAAGAAGGGGAAGGGAACAAGGATTTACTGAGAAACTGCTAGATGTCAGACCTTTCTGTACATCATCTCAGGGAGTTCTCTCAGCATCGCTGCCAGGTGAGATTCATTATCAGGTGAGAAAACTGAAGCTCAGAGAGGCATAGAGATTTGTCTGAGGATACACAGCACGTCCACATCCATCTATGACATCATCTAGAATGATTATTTGTTATTTGCCTTCCCTAGTTGGGGAGGGGTCTCCTTTCTCCTGTCAGCAGGATCCTAAGATTCCTTTGGGAAACGCTCACCCCTCATTCCTGGTAACATGGTTGGGGAAGGACAGACCCTGACCCCCAGCCCATCAGTGTTTCTAAGTCCTGTGGACCCAGTTAAAGGTTCAGGATGAGCTGAATCGAGATCAACTCGAGGACTTTCGTTTGTTCTGTCAGAGAAGATTTTGTCTCCACCCCCAACCCTAGTTCCAAACCTAGAAGCATGTTACCACAGAAACTGCTGCCAGGCATCTTTTGACCATGTCATGCCAAATGCCACTAAGCATGGAGCCATCACCAAGGAGAGGAGTGAAGGAATACAGACAAAAACCAGGTTCTGGTTGCACCGTTTGACTCACTGGATCAAGCCCTGCCTGAAGCCCATCTTACCACTAAATACTTTAGTTACAAGAGCTGATAACTTCATTTTAATGAAATAGGGTTTGTTTTAGTTTTTGTACTTTGCTACTTACAATCAAAGGGATCCTGACCGATACAGTGTACAGAAAGATATCCCTTTTGTTCTGGGGATCAAGAAGGCTTGGGTATCTCCAGGAGCCAGGGAATGGGTAGAGGGGGGATGCCACCTACCCTGACTGCTGCTGTGTCCTGCTGGGTCCCAAAGCTTGAGAAGTCCCCTTGGCCCAGGCTGGGGTCAGGAGTAGACTTGGGAGCTGGTCCAGGAGCTGGATAGAGTCAGAGCCCTGGAGATGCAGGCTGAAGGCTGTGTAGCCCCACAGACTCAAGGTAGCCAGGTCATGGTCATAAGATCCCTAGAAAGGAAGAGAAGCAAGAGTGAGTGGTAGGGTTCACAAGCGGCCTGAGGAGTACAGGAAGTAGGGCAGATGGTGGCCACACCTTGGTGAAGGTGAGACCAAAGGAAGATCCCTGGAAGCACCTCTAGACCAGCACTGTTTGACAGAACTTTCTACCACAATGACAATGTTCTGTCTCTGCACTGTCCAATATGGCAGCCACCAGTCATATGCGGATATTGCAATGTGGATAGTGTGATAAAAAAACTGATTTTTAATCTTGTTTTATTTTAATTAATTTACATTTAAGTCTAAATAGCCACATGTAACCAGTGGCTACCACACTGGACAACACAGCTGTGGATCAACCCTTGCCTGCCTCCTGGCCACAGTACATGGGAAAAACTGAGGTCCAGAGAGGAGAAGGGATTTGCCCGAGGTCACACAGTGAGAGGGTGGCAAAGGCAAACACAGTTCCTCCAACTCCCAGCCCTGATCCTCCATAGTACCCATTGCCCTTCCCACCATGGCCTCGTGTTTTCCCATCATGTTCATCGCCAGCAGTGTCTTGCTGTCTTGATACCCATGCTGCCATCCCTAGGGAAGGGATGTCCCTGGGGAAGGGATGTCCCTGGGGAAGGGTGTCAGGCTACCCTTGAAGGGACCTACCTCCTCCAGCCACTGCCACTGGACCCTCCCTCAGCCCCTCTAGCAAAGCAGCCCCAATGCATGTCCTGAGATTGTCCCGGAAAACTGTCACTCAGAGGGGAAGACTCTTGGGCACAGAGCCGTTATTTATAACAGCAAGACACTGCAGGCTGCCTAAACACTCCACGACAGAGATGACGGAGCAATTCACGGCACCCCTGCCAAGAGAGTATTACACAGCCATTAAAAATGATCAAGCAGAGACCGGTAGTGACGCTGAGTAATGTTTTCGTGACAATAACGAGGTAGAAAACTGAGAAAATGAGTGCAGGTGGGGGTTGGGTTGCAGGATGTACGAGGCCCACTCCCATCTGTCACCCCCACCCACGCTGCGGCATCACAGGGTCCAGATTACAGATCCATTTTACAGGAGGAGCGGGTGTTCAGAGAAAGCAACCACATGCGTGCTCCTGGCTCCATGGAGAGTGTGGGCAGAGTGGGGCTTGAACACTTGATTTCTGATGCCAAAGACAGACTTCTACAGCTGCCCTTTGTGCCATGATGGCAGCATTACGGCTGCCCTTTCCTTCTTACTTACTCATCTTACGTAAACACATATGTGCATCGTACTTATTAAGTGCCAGGAACCTTCCTCAGCACTTGACAAATTAAAAGTTAACTCATGGAATCTGCACAACAACTGGGTGAGGGAACAATGATTACCTCTATGGTTTGGATGAGGAAACTGAGGCACAGAGAGGTTAAGTAACCTGGGGCCACGTCTACTTCCCAAATATTCTGCAAGGTCTAGTACTGTCATCACAGGAAGAGGACAAGGGGGCAGGGAGGGAGTGGCTGTTGCCATGGAGGAGTGGAAACACGGACGGAGAGTTTTTCTCCTTTTTAATTTCATGGCAAATCTTTTGTATGGCAATTGAACGGAAAAAGTTCAAGAAGTAAAATAAAGGTAGCAAGGAAAAGGTTTTTTAAAAAATAAGCACACAAACAAAAATTAAAACTTATCAGATTGAAGTTGCGGATGCATCCGAGAGACCTCGACTGTGAATGTAATACACCTCCCAGCAGCAAAACTCATGTCCCTAGGCTTTTCTGCCAATTTCCCGACCTGGGACCACTCCCTCCTGCCTGGGTGAGATCCTCACCTCCGAGGGCAGCAGGGAGCAGCCCTGGGCAGAGGTAAACTTCAATAAACACCTCCTGGCTCCCTCCCGCCTCCAGGGCCCCTGCTGCCTGCAGTGCTCCAGCCGCCAGCAAGTGCTGAACCTCAGGACGCCATGGTATCCAGGCCTCTGCCTCTAGCCCCAGCCAGCCCCATTCCACAGGTGGAGCAACGGAGGCCCAAAAGGTGAAAGACTTCACCAGAGGTCACACTGCTACTGAACACGAAACGCCTGTGTGTGTGCTTATGAGTGTGCATGAACATGGCCCACAGGGACACGTGTGTCTCCTACGCACGCAGGGCTTCAGGCCCAGGTGATTAAAAGGGCAGGTGATTCCCAGCTTACACACCCATGTGCACGCGTGCACACACACACACGCACACACACAAAACTGTCATATCATTAACTGCTACTACAGCCACAATGGCATCATCTGCTATTTCTTCTTGTTTTCTGTGTTATTTTTCATTCATGCATCAAATACTTATTCGGCACTTACTATATACTAGGTATATTATAGGGGCTAGGATTCACTGGGGTACAACACAGACAAGGTTGGTACTCTCATGAGGACAGGGGATACCGATGATAAGCAAATAAATAAGCAAATACATAAACAAGATAATTCCAGAGTGACATGCAATAATGATCATAAAACCTGGTAATGTGAAAGAGAAGACTTGGGCTAGGGCTGGTGGGTTACTCAAGCTAGAGGAGCAAGGAAGGTCTTTCTGAAGCGGCCATATTGGAATTTATTCTATGGGAAATGAAGCTGCAGAGGGAGGCTGGGGCCCTGAGGGCCAGGGTAAGGGCTTTGGATTTCATCCCAAATGCAATGAAAAGTAACTGGAGGGTTTTAACCAGGTAAGTGCTATGATGTTTTCTTCATTGTTAAGAGTTCTCTGGAGCTGCCAAGTGGAGATTGAACTCAAGGGGATCAGGCCTGGGGCAGAGGACCAGTGTCACAATCGCCCAAGGACAAGAAGACAGGCTTAGCCAGGGTGATGGCACAGAGAGGGAGGAAACAGATTCGGGCAGTGTGTTGTGGCAGAACCAGCTGGCTGATCAGCTGGATGTGAGGGGGTGGAGGTAAGAAAAGGAGAGTAATGAAGGAAGACTCGTGGAGCTTCTACCATAGACAAGGACTGCTTTCACAACCAGACCCCACCCCTCAAGAAACCTCGGGGGCCTGATCAGGACTTCCGGTCCCTAATGAACAGACTTGGCATGTGTGTGTCCAGAGAGCAGAGCTAGGCCTAAGGAGAAAAGATTCCAGGGAAACAGATCTCTGTTCAGCATGAGAAGCAGTGAGTCTCCTGTCCCTGGAGGTATGCAAGCAGAGGTCTGGGGACCATGTGTGTTGGGTGGGGATTTGCACTAAAAGGGGAGGTTGATTTCTGCCATGAGCTTCTTCAATTCTGTCAATACATGAATCAGGGCTAGATTGCACGGACTGAAGCGGGTGTTACAGAGAGTCAAGGGAAGGCAAGGTAACGTCCAGCATAATAGTTATTATTATTATTAGGACTTCACAGATCACAGAACGCTCCCACCGATTCTCTACCTGGATCTGCAGCCCACACTGTGAGGCAGATAGGGCAGCATGATCAGCCCAGTCTAACAGATGAGGAAACAGGCCCAGAGAGGGAGTGGGATCAGCCCAGGGTTCCACAGCACATCAGCCTCAGATTCTCCGTGGCCTCACACCCTCTGTGGCCTCACACCTAGGGACCTTCTCCTCCCTCATCCCCAGTAGTCACCCCACCACCCCTGCCCTGGAAGACGCAGGAATCTCCCCACTCCACCCAGGCTTCCATCCAGCTGCCAAGACTCCCATCCCTGGAGGTTAGAGGCACTCTTTGCCCTCTGCCCCAAAACTTGAGAGGGGGTCTCAGCCTAGAAGATTTCCTCCCTGGTTACACAGGCCCTGATCCTCCACTCTGTCCCCCTTTACCCCTGGTGGTTTTGCCACAGCCCCTTAAGTTGGTCCCTTCAAATTAGACCAGTACCAAATACTAGGCTTTGCCCAGAAATGAAATAAAGTAGGGTCCCTCCCACGAGGCGTCGTTCTTACCCCACACCTACAGCTGCTGTGGGCCAGGGGCAACCAGAGCCCACCTGACCACCTTCTGACCACCTTCCCCTTTCCTACCAGACAGGCAGAGAGGGCACCTGGGCAGGTAGGAGTGTCAGGAGGTGGGGTCTCCCCGGGGGGCCTGGGATTGCCAGGTGGGGAAGCTGCCACCCACTGGCACTACATCATACACTGAACACTCGGGATAATCTTTTTTTTTTAATTTTTGACCAGCAGTTTGCCCTGACAGACCCCAGGATAGTCTTGAGGGCCAAGTGGGAGCATCTCACTTTTCAGGTGAGGCAGTGAAAGCTGGGAGAGATTAAAGAACTTGTCCAAATTGAAAATATTAAATGGAAAGAAACAGCTTGTAAGTGCTGGAGCCAGAATTTGAACCCAGGGCCGACTGATTCCAAAGGTCCGGTGCTGTCCCCTGCTCCCTGCTGCCTCGTGGAAGTGCCAGGCAGTTCGAAGAGGCAGCCCGGTGAGCAGATGGGGTGGGCAGGGGGTGGCAGAGAGAGGCAGCAGTTATGGGGTGGGAGGGAGAAGGCGACACAAAGAAAGGATAAAGAGAGCAGCAGAGACAGCTGAATGGACATGGGAACCCTGCAGGGGCCAGAAGAAGGCAGCTCTGGAAGCCACCCTCCTGATCAACGCAAGGCCCGCAAGGCCACCCTGGTGCCATCTGCCCCTCAGATCTAGCCACTAGTGTTCCCTGGGCTCATCCCCAGATGCCCAGGCCCAAGGAGCCCCCAATCATTGAGAGTGCTCCCCAATCATTAAAGGCATCCCCCACTCGTTGAAGGCCCCAGGTCAGGCCCTGTGGGCCAGCTCTGGGGCAGGGAAATGGGTTGAGGGAGTAGAGGGGCCAGCTCTGGCCCTGGGCAAGGCCATCTGCCCAGCCTCCCCCTGCCCCAGCCTGGCTGGAGTGTCCAGCCACCCAGGCTGCCCACCATGCCGGCCGATCTGTGGCTGAGCTCTGGGCCAGCCAGGTGTTCCCGAGGCCGGCTGGCAGCCCAGCACCATCAGCCTGTCCCCAGAGCATGCAAGGTTTAAGCAACAGCCTTTCCACTGAACATTTTAGAAGAAAAATATCTTTTTTTTTTTTTTTTTCAAGAGAGAGAAACGGAGGGAGGAGGAAACTGGCAAGGGAGGAGGAGGGAAGGAGGAAGGGAGAAACCTACCCCATCATTGCAGTCAAGGTCACAGGCACCGGCACAGGGCGGGCTGGGCAAGGAGCCTTTAATCTGGGAGTTCAGGCTGAGGAAACTACACGCTTGAAGCCGGAGTACATTACTGCCCTGAATGATCTGTCGGCTTCTATTAGGCTAAATATCTCTGTATAATGGGGAATTATCCTCTGAAGAGGCAAACTGCCGGCCTCTCCAGGGAGGGGGCGGTGGGAACCTCGCATCGTGAGGGCTCTCCCACGGTGGGGAGGGGGGAGCAGGACCGACTCAGAAAGCCAACCCCGTCCCACACCCCCACCCTGGAGAGTCACAGCCAGCAGCTGCTTTGATGTTTGTGGCGGGTGCCCGCCTCCCTTCCCTCCACCCCGGACTCTCCTCTTACTCCCTCCATAAGAGCCTGGAATGATGCCAGACCTGGGTGGAGGCCTGACAAGGCCACTGGTCAGCCAGGTGACCCCGGGCAAGTCCCTGAGCCTCTTGGAATCTCCGTCTTCCTGTCTCTTAGATGGAGCTAATAATACCCGCCCGAAGGCTGGCTGTGCCGGGGGTGAGCGCGAAGCTGGCATGGAGCCCAGCACAGAGTGGACAGCCTGCTCTGCCCACCGCGGAGGGCCCCCCTATCCTCCTCATCCTCACTGGCTCACCCAGGGCACCACCACCTCCTCCAGGAAACCCTCCCTGCCCCCTATCTCTGGGTGTCTCACACCCTGGGCACCTACAGCCAGAACCCCACCTCCGGGCCCTCCGTTTCCAGTGGCTGAGTAGGAGCTTCAGTTTTAGGAGACTCCCCTGAGCAGAACCGACCCCTCTTCATCTTCCCAACCCCCACCCACACACTCAGGACTGGGTACCGGGGCCTGCCCCAATTTGCAGGCTTAGAGTCAGGGGTTAGGGTGGCACCACAGGCATGGGCGGGGCCCACAGATGGGTGACACTCATGGGAAGGTGGTCAGCACCAGGGCAGCCGGGCCAGGAAGCCAGAAATCCCAGGACAGGGGTCTGCGAGAGCAGGGTAATAGCTGGACCATCAGCAGGACTGGCTAAGGCACAAGGCAGGGCTTGGGGCCAGGTCAGAGGAGCAGAGAGGAGGGCAGGAGCTTAAGGCTGCCGTGAGCTGTGATCATGCCACTGCACTCCAGCCTGGGCAATAGAGCCGGGGCTCAGTGCCAGGTTCCTGGTGCAGGGCTGTGTAGGGGCTGGAGCAGCTCAGGCCAGGAAAGGTCTTCGGGGTCAGGCGGGGGCAGAACTGACCTGTACGTGTGTCAGATGATGGTGGCAGGGTGGGGATCAGGGCACAAGGTGACAAGGTTCTGCAGACCCCAGGCTCTGTTCTCAGGGCTCCTATGCCACCCTCAACCTGTAGTAAATCCCTGGAATGGTTCAAAACCCCTTGCTGCAGATGCAGCCACTGCTGTTGCAGGGCCTGCGGGTGGGGACAATTCCAGGGTAAGACGCCTAGAGCCCAGTAGGACACACAGAAAGGAGGCCAACTCCAGGACAGGTCAGAGGCATGCTGTGTTACCCACTCCCCTCAGTAGGCCCAAAGGTCCAGCCCAGAGTTCCCACAGCCTGGGGGAGCTGCCAGTTCACTCATTCATTCACTCATTCATTCACTCATTCATTCAGCAAATGCCCTCTAATGCTTTCTGTGAATTAAGGGTACAAACACCCTGAGCAGGGTGTGGGGTGGAGCACAGGAAGGTGAGAGATGACAACTCGGGTGCTGTGTGAAAGCGGGAGCCTGAGGGGCTGTGGAAACAGGGTAGTGGGCATCTGATCCAGGGCTGCGGTTTGGGAAAGGCTTCCGGGATGAAAGGATCTTTGAAGGGGTATTAAAGGAAAACGAGTTGGGCTTGGAAGCAGTGGGGAAGGGCACCGCAGACTGCACCAGTGACAAGGCCCAGTGTCTGGAGAGGGAGAAAGCCCCCTCCTTCAGGCAGGGCCTAGTAGGCACCAAGAGGGATGGAGCTCTCATCCTAGGAGCCAGCAGGAGCTTGAAGTTCTAAGTGGGGAGTACCCAGAGTCTGGATTCGTGCTTCAGAAAGATCATTGCAGCCGCCACCTGGGGGAGGATGGATTTCAGGCAGGCGGAAGGACAGGAGGAAGTGAGTTAGGAATGAGGCAGTGGCCAGGGGAGAGGTGGGGTACAGCAATATAGAGGAGGGCGGATGAGGGAGGGTTCTGGGAGGCAGAAACTGCAAAGTGAGGACGGCAGTTACAATCCACAGTGCCAGCGTCCCACTGAGCATCCCCCACGCCTTCTGTCCAAACAGCATCTTTAACTCTGTAAAAAATCCATTAGTTACTTTGATCTGCACAACACTCAGGTGAGGCAGCCAGGCCAGGAATTCACTGCTTACTTAGTTCATTAATTCAACAAGCATGTGTTGAGTGCCTACTACGTTCCAGGCACCATTCTGGCCCACCCAACAGAAGGAAAAACTAAGACTCACAGACGCTGCCCAAGTTCTACAGGAGTGACCAGGACCTACTACTGGTTTGGGAACCCCGATGCCCCGTGTAGTTGGGGAAGGGGCGGGGTCACACACCAGGCAGGAGCTGTGGAAAGGGAATGCCTGACAGTGGGGCTGGCTCATGGTCCTCCGGGGCAGGGATGAGCCTCAGTCTGGAGGAGAAGCACCTCTTCCTCCAAGGCGGGAATGGGAAACCAGAGAGACATAGTGGGGTGGAAGGAGGCACAGTCGCTGGGAGAGGCTGACCTTCATGGGCTGGAGGCTGGAAAGGGTGAGGGGACAGAGATCAGGAATGGCAGGGCCATTAGGCCCAGCGGACTGTGGGCAGGGCCAGAGGGTGAGAAGGGTCGGGTGGGCACAGCAGGAGGATCGGGAGCAGGGCTGCCTTTTTGAAAGTGCCTGCAGTGAGAGGGGAGACGTGCAGGCAGAGTCCCTGAGTCCCTGCGGACAAGAGCAGGCCCCTGGACTGCCCTAGTGGGTGCCCCGTGCAGTGGCCTTAGGCTGCTCTGTGCTCAATAGGAGGCTACGGAGCCGAGAGAAGGAAGACCTTCCTCAGAGGTGGCTCCTAAGGGTCCAGGGATGTGTCAGGAAAGGCCAAGGGCAGCCTGACTGCCTCCTGAGCTCACTCACGCTGCCACGACAGGAGCTGCTGGTCAACTCCTCCTCTCCATTTCCCCCAAGTCCAGCCCTATCTACCCCCAACATTAGCATTCGCTGCTGAGGACCTTGGTAGTCCCCTCGTTTCCCTGGGCCCCACTCTCTTCATTAGCAAACTGGGGTGGCTCCAACCTCACCGATGGTCAGGAAAGCACGAGCCCAGACCCTGCACACAGTAAGTGCATACTAACCGTCATCCCTACACACAGTAAATACATACTAACCATCATCCCCCGCACACAGTAAGTGCATACTAACCATCATCAGCACACAATAAGCACATACTAACCATCATCCCCACACACAGTAAGTGCATACAAACCATCCCCACATAGTAAACACATACTAACCACCACCTGCACACAGTAAGCACATACTAACCATCATCTCCACACACAATAAGCACATACTATTATCCCCACACACAGTAAGTGCATACTAACCATCCCTGCACACAGTAAAGCACATACTAACCATCCCCGCACACAGTAAACACATACTAACCATCATCTGCACAAACTAAACACATACTAACCATCATCTGCATACAGTAAGCACATACTAACCATCATCTGCACACAGTAAGCACATACTAACCATCATTCCCACACACAATAAGCACATACTAACCATCACCTGCACACAGTAAGCACATACTAACCATCATTCCCCCCCTCTACCTCCCTGGTGGCAGGGCCCCTTACAGCCCAGTCCTCAGCATCCCCAGTGTCTCAAACACACTAAGTGCTCAATTAACTTTATGGGCTAAGTTTACCTGCTAACCAGCTGTTAGCAATGTGATCAGGTCAGAATTCTGCCCATTGGACCCAGTAGGGAAGGGGCTGAGAGGAAGGAGGACTTGACAGATGCCTCAGGGTGCAAGGAAGGAGTCAGCAGAGGCCAAAGTAACAGGGATGGTAGAGGCCCTGCTGTCACCACACACGTTAGCATTCTCAGGGTTTCAGGAGGTGGCTGGGGAACCAGCAGAGGGGAGGGCTGAGGGCAGGGCACTCCCAGGTAGAGGGTCCCTTGGCAGATTGGCCTCCTGCCCATCAAACCTGCTCCCGGCCTCCTCAGGGCACCTTCAGCCCTGAGAGCTCCTCCCCCCAACACACCTCTCCCTACCTTGGAATCTATCCCACTGTCTACCAAGCTCTCCCCTAATAAGAGCATTGCAGAGAAACTGAAAAAAGTCAAAAGAAGTTGCCTACTCTGGGAGAAGGGGCAGAGCTGGGAAGATTTCACAGAGGTGGCAGCTTTTCAACTGTGTGGGCCTCACCTAGCCCCTCTGTGAAATGGGATTTCTCTACTATGATGACAACAACTCTTACTACTACCACTACTAATAGTTAAAGCGTTTCGGGCACATACCCTGTGCCAGGCTCTGTGTGAGTACTCAGACAAATGGAGGCAGAGCTGAAGCCAAACCTGACCCTCCTAACTCTTAGTTTGGCTGGACTGGCTGGTGGAGGAGGTGACTGGGGCCCGAGCCTTGGGCCAGCTGCAGGCGGGGTGGTAGGTGGGGTCGGTGTTACCAGTGGTCAAAGTCTCCGAGTTGTATTACTCCAAGTGTTTTTCACATCACTGCAAGTAGCTGCTCCTGCTAAACCTGGGTGAGCAGGGGCGGGTAGGGGAGGGAATCTTCCAGAACCAAGCCAGAGCCAGCAAGGTCAGGGGTTGCAGATGGCTGCAGCAGCTCAGCTTGGTCCCCTCACAGTGTTAAAAACACTGGTGCTATGTGCGGCCTGCTACCCGCAGCCTCTCCCTTCCTGTCTTCCACAGGACAACCTCACCCACGGACCAGGCTTCAGCTCTTGGTCTAAACAGGCAGGAGTGGGTGGGAGGCCAGCATCACCATGGAAGAGGGACCAGGGGCAGGAGGAAAGCGGCAGTGTCCCCTGCTATGTGCACTCCTACACTGAAACCACACACTGTGGGATAGGTGTTCTTATTCCCACTTGACAAATGAAGAAACTGAGGCTCTGAGGCATATGTCCCTTGCCCAAGGTCAGGGGAAATGACAGAGCTGGGATGCACACTTAGCACTGTCTGGTTCTAAAGGACAAGGAGATGCCAAAGGCTGAAAGGTGAATGACACAGGAATTGGGTGCATCTCAAACATAACCAACAGGCCTGGGGGGTCTTTTTGGGGGAACCCTTCCTGGCTCTCCTCTCAGTGGCTGCAGGTCATCCCAAGCCCAGGGCCAAGGTGGTCTGGCAGCCTGAGGAGATGAGGAGAAAAGAGGCAAAGGAGAGTGAGAGAGGTCTCTTCTTTGGCTTCCAGCAGCTCTATACCCACCAAATTCCTGCCCCAAAGCATCCCACCTCCCTGGCGGGGTGGGAACCCCGGAGGCCCCAAGTTGATCAAGAGGCCTGAGAAGGCTTGTGATATAGTTTGGGTGTCTGTCGCCTCCAAATAGCATGCTGAAATGTGACCTCCTGTGTTGGAGGTGGGGCCTGGTGGAAGATGTTTGGGTCATAGGGGCAGATCATTTATGAATGGCTTGGTGCCCTTCTCGCCCTCTAACGAGTAACAAGTTCTCACTCTATTAGTTCCCATGAGAACTGATTGTTAAAAAGAGCCTGGCACCTCCCTCCACCCATGGCTCCCTCACTTCCTTTCTCTTGTCATGCGATGCCAGCTCCCCTTTGCTCTCTGGCACGAGTGGAAGCTCCCTGAGGCCCCCTCCCCTGATGCAGATGCCAGCACCATGCTTGTACGGCCTGCAGAACCATGACCCAAACATACTCCTTTTCTTTATAAATTACTCAGCCTCAGGTATTCCTTTAGAGTAACACACAAACGGACTAAGAGAGCTTGCATGGGGCCAGGAGTTTGGGGGTGTGGTTTAAGAGAGATGAAGGCCCAGCTGAGAGCTAGGACCCAAGCCACCTGGGGGCTGAGGCTAGTAGAGGGTGTCAGGGAGGCCCAAGAGAACAGGTGTCACAGATGGTGCCTGAAGGCCCACACTAGAGCTTCATTCCTTTGGGTGCTCCAAGGTGTTTAGTTCCCCCAAGGCTTTTGCACCTGGGAGAGGCAACAACTAGGAATATTGGCAGTGGATGGTAGGGCTGTGGGGCTCTACCCCATCCTCCACTAACACACTGTTTCTTGGCTCAAGTGTCTTGCCCTCTCTGGTTCCTAGTCATCCTGTCTGCAACATGAAGTGTCCAGGCCTACAGGCTGGGGGACACCTGCATCAGGCGGGTGGAAAGGCTCCAGACAAGCTGCCTCTCCCCATGCCAAGGGGAAGTGCTGACCCTGTTACAGCACCTGCCATTCCTGAGGGATCATGTGCCTGGGGTCAGGTATCACAGATGACCCCACCCTCCACCCCAGGGGCCTGGGGAGGAGGCTTTGCCTCCTTCAGTTGGTGTTCCCATTTGGAAAGCCTCAACAAAACACAGGCTGCATGCTCAGCACAACATGCCATGGCCTTCCTGCACCCTCTCAATGAGACCGTGATGCAGGTATCAGTATTCTAATTCTCTAGGTAAGGAAACTGAGGCTCAGACCAAAGTGGCCAGAAAGAGTTGCAGACCGGCCCCATGGTGGTGGTTTGGTTCAGCACCCCGGACAGCTGCCTTCCTGACTACCTGACTACCTCCAGTCTGCCTGGGCTACACACACACACACCAATGGCTAAGCTTGCTCTTCCCAATCCCTGATCCTATCTAAACTCCACCCAGCTTTTCCCAGCAGCTTCAGCGGCATGGCTGTGTTCTGTGCCATACAGCACTGAGACTTCAACAATGCAGCTCTTGCTCCCTAATACTTCTTCTGACTTAAATCTCATTCTCCCAGCAGCTCCTGGAGGGCAGGCAACAGTCTCTTTCCTTCTTTCTGTGACACAGTCCGGCCACACAGAGGGGACTGGAGAGAACCCACTGGCTTTGGACCAGGCAGATGTGAATGAGAACTGAGCTGGGAACTGCTGAGCACATTGCTTTGCCTTACTGAGCTTCAGATCCCCCAGCTGTGAAGCAAACTGCTCTGTCCATCTCGCAGGCTCGCAGATAAGCCACGGCAAGGGGCTACTCCTTCTTCATGTCAGCAGGGGCCTCCTTCCAACTCTCCCTGAGTCCCTTCCTCCTGGAACTTCACTTAAATTCTGGACCAGTTCCCCCATGAAATTTTCCAAATGACTCACAAATGGGGGGATTCTTGTAACTGAGAAATGTCAGGAAGGCCCAAGAGAACAGCTGGTATAGTGCCTAGAGTCCCACTCTTAGAACGTGATTGTTTCGTGTCCTCGTGGGTTTTCAGTTCCTACGAGGGTTTTGAGCCAGGAGGAGGGAACACCTAGGAATATTGGCAGTGGGAGGTAGGGTTCTGGGCCCCTCCACTACTAACACACTTTGTGTCTTGGAACAAGTGTCTTTCCCTTCTCTGAACCTCATCTGCAACATAAGGTGTCCAGGCCTACAGCAGGAGGGGTGGCAATCTTCCCACCACTTCCTGGAAGCAAAGGAAGAAATGCTTGTGGGGTGATGTCAGGGATGCTGGGAAGGACCCTCCAGAGCTCCAAAATCCAGGACCACAATGCTCAAAATGCCTCCAATGGGGCTGACACATTCCTTTAATCTCTAACAGAGAAGCCCGATCCTTGGGGTTTATGGGACCCTACAGACAGGCTATGCCCAGTCCCCAGCTGCTGGTGACAGGACCTGCCTGCATGCCTCAGACCTTGCAGGAAGGTCTCCTTGTCCATCCTCAGGCCTAGTTGGCCTTCCTAGGAAGTTTTGGCTTAAGTAAGGCTGAACTCACAGTCCCCAGTCTAGGCAGAAAGAGGAAGAAGATTCTATGGGGGACCCATAGGAAGAGAGCTCTGCCAAAGGTCCCTCTACCCCAGGGAGAAATGCTGAGGGACCCTGAAAAGGAATAAAGGGACAAGGAGTTTGAGTCCGGGCTCTCCCACTTAACTAGCTGTGACCTCAGAAAGACACTTTATCTTTTGAGTTCCAGTTTCCTCATCATCCTGTAAGATGAGGGCAATAATACCCACCATCAGTCCACAGGGTGCCTCACACATGGCAAGTTCTGAAGGATCTGCAGAAGCTACGACCATTCAAGCTTCTGCTCATCAGGGCTCAGAGAGGTGGCATCAGTCTTGAGCACTTGACTAACAGGCCCCATGGGAGAGACAAGCAGAGAGCTCAGAGGGAGTGTGGATGAGGCAGGGCCTCCAATCTGCCCCTGAGGCTACACATAGAGCACTATGCTGAGCTCCAACCATGGCCACACATTAAGCCCCGACGCTGGTCACATACTGAACCCCGACCCTGATCACAGATTGAACCCCAACCCTGGCCACACACTGAATCCCGACCCTGGTCAGACACTGAGTCCCGACTCTGGTCAGACACTGAGCTCTGACCCTGGTCACAGACTGAGTCCTGACACTGATCACACGCTGAGCCCCAACCCTGGCCACACACTGAGCCCCAACCCTGGTCACACACTGAGCTCTGACCCTGGTCAGACACTGAACCCCGACCCTGGTCACAAGCTGAGCTCTGACCCTGGCCACACACTGGGCCCTGACCCTGGTCAGACACTGAGCCCCGAGCCTAGTCACAGACTGGGCTCGGACCCTGGTCATACCCTGAGCCCCGACCCTGGTCACACACTCTAACCCTTGACACATTAAGCAATGGTCACACAGTGCAAGCCCTAACACCAGTCATAGACTGTGTTCTGACCCTGCATACATACTGAGCCCTGACTGTGCACACACTGAGCCCTGGTCCCACCCTGAACCCTGTCTCTGGCCCCACAGTGTAAATCCTGACCCTGGTTGCACATAGCCCTGACAGTCACCAGCCACCATGCCCAGTTTGCACCAGAGACCAGTGTCATGGTCTAGGCCCTAGGGAGGGTGGCCAGGCTCCCATCTCCTTGTGGAGAAGTTGCTGGGTTAATCTTCTGTCATATAAGCCGGCTCATCCCTGGCAGGGGCACGGGGAACCTGTGGGCCCATCCTTCTTGTTCCCAGTCCACACCCTCCCCACACCTTCCCTCATGCCACTGGCCTCTGCCTGAAGATACCCCCCTCCCCCTGCCATGACACACACACACACACACACACACACACACACCAGTCCACTTCCAGCACCCTGGACCTTGCTTTCCAGGTTCCCCGACCAGTTTTATTCCCTGACCACAACTCCACAACCCAAGCCCTGGAGATGCTCCTTGGCTCCCACCTCAGAAGATAGGAAGGTGGGATTCCTGGAATGCCGGAAGGAAAGGGTGCTATGCCTCACTCGTTCCCGGGGCTCACTGTCCAAGGGGAGACACTGAGGTCACTGGGAGGTGCGTGGTGGCCCCAGGGCTCCCGTCCTGGTCCAGGGCTCTTTCTACCCAGTCCTCTGGCTGCCTAGGGGTTTCCCTCCTCTCAGTGCCCCCACCGCCCAGCTGGCAGAGGAGGGCCCCTGTGGTGGGGACAGGCAAGTGCCAAGCACCCTCCCAAGACCAAGAAGGTGAGGTGGCAGGGGCTGGCAAAGCCTCGGGGAGCCACCCTGTCCTGGGCACTGCCACGCTCGGAAAGCCCTGACTTGGAGCTAATTTTTTACTTCTTCTCAGGCTGAACAACGGGATATTCTGGATCCTCTCAGGCACAATGGTGCCAAGGGGCTGAGCTGTTCCCAGGCTTGCAGGGTGGCTGAGGCCTTCTGGGCTGTGTGTCCTAGGGGAGAGTCAGCCACTGACTCCAGACACAGCCCCAGGTGAAGACCACCACGGTCACAATGGAGGTGAGGGGCCCACTGATGCCTGAAATCCCACCAGTCATTCACCCTGTGGGGCAAAGCACTGCTCTTCTCAAATGCAAGCTGAGATGGGGGCCAACAGCTCTGGGTCCCACCCTGGCTTGGAGTGCTGCCAGCTGTGTGGCCCGGGGTGGGCCGCACTTTACCTTTCTAAGCTTTGGATCCCTTGTCTGTAAGATGGGGATAATAACATATAAATCCCATTGTTGTCACAACTAAGATCCTGATATCCTCACCATCTCCCCTTGATGTCCCATAAACACCTCATCGTTCCTCGTCCCCAAACCACTCCTTCTCCAGGGCTCCTGCCTCAGCAAACATCTCCACCATCAACCCAGCTGCCCAAACCAGAAACCTCGCCTCCCTGTGATATCCCCACCCAACCCGGCACCTGTCCTGGGCCAGGCCCACCACGGCCTGCCAGACCCCCTGGAGTGGCCCACCTTACTCTTCTGTGTCCCTGTGTCCCTCTGCTCTTCATCCAGCAGCCAGGGCAGCACTGTTGAACCCTAAGTTAGATTAGGTCCCTTCCCTGCTTAAAACCCTCCAGCAACTTCCTCTTTCTCTTAGACCAAAACCCACCCACCCTCCTCACTATTGGCCTCAGGCTCTGTCTGACCCAGCCCTGACCACCTACCCAGCCCCACCTCCTCTGGTTCTCTTCCTGTTACCCCACAAGTTTCCTTCCAGCTCCTGAACACACCAAGGTTCTCCAGGACATGGAATGCTCTTCCTGCTCCTTGCACACAGCTCCTTCTTATCCATCTGATAATGGGATAAGACGCCTCCTCAGAGAAGCCCTCCCAGACTGCCCAGTCTCAGTATGCCAGAAGCCCATCCTGACCCCAAGAAGAACTGTGAGCCTCACTCGGAAAGGGGCCATGGCTGCCTTGCTCACTGTATGCCTAGCCCCTAGCACAGAGCCCAGAACATAGCAGGTCCTCAAGAAGCAGGAATCCCTGCTGAGGAGCAGACCAGAGACTCTACCCTCTCTGCTTCCCCAGCCAGATCCAGAAGCTATAGCCAGAGTCCCAGAGGAGATGCTGGCAGGAGAGACACATGGGTAGGCATGGTTCTGCCTCCGTGGGCAATGCCCATGGCTGTGGCTGTGCCAGGATGCCACACGGATTCCCTGTAGAAGACAGTACAGCTAGGGACTGAGCAGAGAAGGACCTGCAACTACTGAGACCATGCCAGCAGCTGGGTGTTCTCGAAACAAATTGCCTCAGCAGGTGGCAGGCTGCAGGCTGCAGGCAGGGATGCTGGAGGGGAACAGGATGTGCCATGTCTTCTGATGCTCCAGGAGAGAGAGAGGGAGAAGAAAGAGGGAGAAATGGTGGGGAGGAGGAGGAGAAGTCCAAATGGAAGTCTGCTCCACCCCACATTAGGCAGAGAGGAGAAAGAAAAGGGTCTCCACGGTCAAGCTCCCCTGGAAAGTAGAAGCAATGTAGGTTCACTTCCTGCTACATGCCCAATGATGGGCACCTGAGGCCTGTGGCCACAGACCCTACTCACCATGACTCTTGAAGCACAAATGATCCCAACCATTCTGCAGATGAGAAAACAGCTCAGAATGGCCACATGGCTTGCCCAAGGTGGCACCGCCAGCAAGAGATGGAGCTTAAAATCAGGTCAGAACTGGGGCACCAGGGATTTTAGCCAGACATCAAGAAAATCCCCTAAACAGGTCAGGGAAAAACCCTGGTCCCAGGAAGGGCTACGGTTCCCCAGAGGCTGCTGGGCAAAAGGACTGGACAAGTGGCTGAGGGCAGGAGGCTGAACCTATTGGCCTCCAGAGTCCCACCCAGCTGTGACGTTCTGCAACCACTGGGCAAGCTCCAGCAGCCTCCAGGAGGGCAGACTCAGGAAGAGGCTGGGCAGCCCTTGAGAACCCCTGGGGAAGGCTCTGACCATCAGGGTTTGCCAGGATGCCAGGCAGGAGCACAGGCACCAATCCAAGGTGGTTCTATTCTCTGTGGGAGGTCTTGACCTTCTAGGGCCACCAACAGAGACATGGGTGACCACGGGTCCCAGAAGAAAAGGGGCTGGAAAGGATGAGATGAGAGAAAGAAAGAGCTCTCTCCTATGGCCAAACCAGCCAGCGGGGAACCCTGTCCCACAGTTTTGACAGGCACCAGGCACCAGCTTGCCCAGAATTTCTGTCTTGCACAAGGTAATTACAGTTCTTCCTGTGTAATGAGATGGTTTTTAAAGGACATTCAAAAGAAATTTCCTATAATGAGGTGAATGGGTTTATAGTGTTAGACATCAAGGAAGCTGGTAATTGTTGGGACCCAGGCTGAGTCCTGGAGTGAAGCGACGAGTTTCCACATATAAAAGGCAAGAAGAGCAGGAGGGTGGATGGCAAGCCCTGGGAAGGAGGACAGACACTTTACCAGAAAAGTTTCTGTGACACCAGCAGCCCAGTGTGCCCTGAAGAGCAGAGTGGGGAATCGGGAGGCTGGAACCCTGTTGGGGCAGAGGAAACTGATGGAGCTGGGGCTGGTCAGGAGCAAGGGAAAACCCACAGGGGTGAAGCCACAGGGTGGAAGTCTGGGCCCAGAAGGAAAACGAAGGTACTAGGTTGAATAGTGTCCCCCCAAATTCATGTCCATCTGGAACCTCAGAATGTGACCTTATTTGGAAATAGGGTCTTTGCAGAGGTAATTAGTTACAAGGAGGTCATACTGGAATAGGGTGGGTCCTGATCCAACGACTGATGTTCTTATACAAGAAGTCAACTTGGCCGGGCGCGGTGGCTCATGCCTGTAATCCCAGCACTTTGGGACTTTGGGAGGCCAAGGCAGGCAGATCACCTGAGGTCAAGAGTTCGAGACCAGCCTGGCCAACATGGTGAAACCGTCTCCAATACAAAAATTAGCCAGATGTGGTGGTGGGCACCTGTAATCCCAGCTACTCGGGAGATTACTGGGTTCAAGGCAGAAGAATTGCTTGAACCCAGGAGGCGGAGGTTGCAGTGAGCAGAGATCGTACCACTGCACTCCACCCTGGGTGACAGAGCGAGACTGTCTCAACAAAAACAACAAAGAGGTCAACTTGGACGTAGACACACTCAGGGGAGGAGGCCACATGAAGATGGAGGCAGAGGCTGGAGTGATGCATCTTCAAGCCAAGGAATGCCAGCAACACCAGGAGCCAGAAGAGGCCAGGAATATCCTCTCCTAGAGCCCTGAGAGAGAGCACGGCCCTGCACCTTGATCTCAGACTTCCAGTCTCCAGAGCTGTGAGAGAGTAATTTCTATTGTTTTAAACCACCAGGTTTATAGTAATTTGTTACGGGAGCTCTAAAAAACTAATACAATAATTGTTCTAACAACTGCAACTATCTGGCCATGGAAAATGGCCTTAAAATGGGGTGAGCCTCCCATCTCCAGAGGTGTGCGAGCAAAGCTGGAGCATCCCCAGTGCCCCCAGTACTCTGGACAGCTCCCAAGGCAGGTTCAGTTAGTCTTCCATTTGACCTCACTGTATGCAGGGAGCCATACAGACAGGGTCATCATTCCCGTCCCACCGATTTGGAAACTGAGGCCAAGAACCTGCTCAAGAGCACAAAGTGGCCAGTCAGGGACAGCGGCAGGCCTGGAATCCCAGCATCCTGACCGCCAGTTTGGGGCTGGTTCAGGCTCACTGCCCTGGGTCTTCCTTTTGTGCCTTCTCTGTCTCTAGATTCAACTGTGGTTCAACGTCCTGGAAGGCAGAGAAAAACCCAGCCTTCCTGCACCCGGCTGTTCCAGACTGAAAGTGGCATCACTGCTGAAAGGTCTTTCCCAACTCTCTCCTGAAGCTTTCCAGTGGCGCTGCAGGCCCACTGCTTTGATGTGCCTGTCCTGATGGAGCCACAAGCTTCTCAGACATGACTTGGCTTATGGAGAAGCTACACTAGCTGGCAGTCCCTTGATGAGCACCTACGGTGTACAAGGCCCTGGTACAGTGAAGGGCAGGGGTAAACACAGGGAAGGTGGGAGCCAACATATCAGGGACTGAGTCCGTGCATATCAGACCACCCAGTGAGACCCCACACGGTGTCCCCAGACCTAGTTTGGCTTCTGACTGGGCATCCCAGACCCTCCTCAGGAGGATGGAAAGAGATGGCAAAAGGGTGGGTCTGAGAAGGGCACAGGGGAGTTGGAGCAGAGAAGAGGAGTCCCCGTGGAGGAGGAAGGGAGAAGAGAGGGTGGCCGAGGGAAGCTGCAGCTCCTATGGCTTCTCCTGCTCCTTCCAGGCCTCTGGAACCCCAGGGGGGCAGGGGCTGCCGTGGGCTGTCCCTCACCCCCACCAACACCCGGCACTCAGCTCCACCCTTCACGTGTCTGCCTGCATTGCTGGAGAACTTCATGGAGGCCCCTCAGCTCCGACACCAAATGAAGCAGGAGCATGGCCAAGCTTGCCAGCCCAGGCGGCCCAGCTCTAAATGCTGGTTAATTGGCGCTGAGCGGCAGAGGGACGTGAGGAATGGGCTTTGAAGTCACCTGGTGGGACTTGTCCAGCAGGAACAATGGGCCACCCAGCTGGTAGAGAGTCTCGGCTCCTAATTAAGAACCGCTTTGAACATAGAGACATCAGATTAATGAGGTTTACAGAGCTCAGTTTCACGGTGTGGCAGGCTGCCTCTGTTCTCTGATCGCAGTTTGATGCCAAAACCTTGTTCTCTAAATCAAAGGTTCTCCAGAAACTCCGTTTTCTGACATGCCTTGGATTTCTGCTGGGCGTCTCTGCCAGGGAGCTAAAAGCCTTCACCTCCATTCCTTCACTTTGCCGCGGTGCTGGCTTTTGTTTCGCTGAAGAAGACTTCACAGAGCTGGAACACCTCACACAGCCCACCTGCGAGGGAGGACGGGGCGGCTGGGGTAGCCCCATTTAGCAGAGCATGCTTGCTCAAGGTCACACAGCAAGCTGGCCAACCGTGCCGGGCCGCCAGGCCCCCAGATTGCAGGGCCTCTCTGCTCTTGGCAGCTTTGATGGTGCCAGGCCATGGAGGATCCACTGGCCAATTTCCCGCTGTTGGCATCTGTTCACAGGCCTCAGGGGCCTCTGGTTCACCATTCTTGGGAGAAGATTGAGACGTCTGCAGGAGGCAGCCCGCACGGCCTTGCTTTCTGCCTCTTCTGTTCCAGTGGGGCACCTTCTTCCCCAGCCCCCTCTCTGAGCCTTTGCTCACCCAGAGCCCTCCCTTCTTCCCCTCCAGAATGTCCCCTCTCTGATCCATTTCATTAAACTCGCACCTCCCTTCAAAACCCAGCTCAACCCTTGCTCCTCCTTTGCCACCACAGTCCCTGGATCTTTCTCTTCTTCCCCAAGAATTTCAGCCCCAAATCCCTGTTTCCTTGAACAATTGCTTCTTGCCCTATGTTCCACTGTTTAACATTACTATATTTGCTTATTATTTTGTCCTGTCTCCCCTATGAGACTGTGGCTTAAAGAGAGGCATGGTGCCTGTGTCACCTCTGTGTCCCCGACATTGAAGACTGGCCGATAACGAAGATTCCATCCTCCTTTGACACTCTGGGGGCCACAGGGAGAGAAGACACCTTCCTGCCCTGTTTCCCCAACTTCCAAGTAGGCCTGAGGCCTGCATCCTGCTTCCTTCATGAGGCTGCTGAATGAGTGTTGGTAAAGATGGCAGCCCTGGGGCAAAGACAGGGAGGCTGAGGAACACTGAGGCTTGGACAAGTCAATTCCTCTCTCTAAGCCTCAGGTTCCCTATCTGTAAACAGGGTTAGCCCGAGGATTCACAGGATGCGTGCATTAAAACTCAATCCTCACATCCACCTTGGGAGTATGTACTGTCATTCTGCTCTATTTCACAAATGAAGAAAGGCCCAGAAAAGTTGGAGGAGGCAGTACTGAAACCTAGGCAACAGGCGGCTCTGGAATCCAGCCTCCACCACACCACTGACTTTCAAGCAGACCCTCTGAACGCTTCAGCGGAGCTTGTTCCTTCTGAAACGTGCTTACCCTCTCTAGGCCTCTGTTCTCTCCTCTGAGGGGGGGGCACACAGCGACATTCTGCAGATGATTTCTGCTCGGCCAGGGCAGGCTGATGTGCTCCCTGCTCCTCGGGGCTCTTCTAGACCTCAGGTCCAGATTCCTCCCATCTACAGTGGTTCTGTCCCTGTGGGACCTAAGAGGTGGCTGTGCCTCCCTCTGCCTTCGAACTTCCTGGCCACTTCCCCTCACCCACAGAGGGCTCCTGTCTGTCCTGCCCTGCACCTCAACCCTTGCATCCTTCTAGGTGACTTCCCCATGCTGGGGGTGCCCCTACTGCCTGCTTCCAGTCACCTTCAGCTGCCATTCCCTGCAGCCTCTATCCCAGGCCACACCCTGGCCCTGTCACCACCATGGCTCCTGGTCAAACCTCCCAGCTGGCCCTCCAGCTCCTCTCCTTACAATCCTCACTGCACCGAGACCTTCGCACCTCACCTTCCATCACTGCCCTTCCGCCCTCACTGCCCTTGGTGAGCTTGAGTTCCATGGTCCATCAGCATAATGGATGCTCAAATATCTTGCCCCCCTCCCCCTAAGCAGTACTTTCATAAAACCCCAACCTGGATGAATCCAACCAACATCTTGGCACTTATAGCTGGGAGGCCAAATACAGCTAGAGAAATGACCCCACCGTGGAGGCTGTGCCCTCTGTGAGCTTGAATCCCAAACCTGCAGCAATTCCAGCACTGCCCAGCAGTCCCAGCTCCAGCCACCGGCCACCTCACCTCCCCACTCTCCAACCTGGCAGTGGCCCCACCTCCACTCTCCTCCTGCCTCCCTTCCTCCATGTGACCCATCACTCTCCACTGAGACCTCACTTTGTTTTCACTGGGGAAGCAGAAGCCAGCAAATATGAACCCCAGTCCTCTGCCCCTGCACATTCTAGAAGCCCACCAGCTTCGGCCTGCACCCCCCTTCCTGCCTGATGAGGGGTCTCGCTGCTGTTAAAGGTTAATGGCTCCACTTGGACTCTGAACCCACCCCTCATCCTCAGGAATTCAGCTCCCTCCCATCATTACATTATCTTTCAACATCACCTGTCTCTCCCTCTTTTCTGGGTCTTTTGTTCTTCCCAGCAGCAAACAATTGTGTTCTGGTATCTGCCATCCTTTAAAAATCCCCTTCCTTCATTATGCTGGGGTTTTGGTTTTTTGTTTGTTTGTTTGTTTGTTTTTTGAGACAGGATCTTACTCTGTCACCCAGACTGGAGTGCAGTGGTACAATCTTGGCTCATTACAACCTCCACCTCCCAGGCTCAGGCAATTCTCCCACCTCAGCCTCCCAAATAGCTGGGATTACAGGCACACACCACCATGCCCAGCTAATTGTGTGTGTGTGTGTGTGTGTGTGTGTGTGTGTGTGTGTGTGTGTGTTGTAGAGACAGGGTTTCACCATGTTGCCTAGGGTGGTCTTGAACTCCTGAGCTCAAGTACTCTGCCTGCCTCGGCCTCCCAAAGTGCTGGGATTACAAGCGTGAGCCACTGTGCCCAGCCTATGCTGAGTTTTAAAAAAATCAATCTCAGAAGGTGATATACTGTATGATTCCATCTATGTAACACTCATGAAATAACAAAATTACAGAGGAGGACAAATTAGTAGCAGCCAAGCGGGAGGCGTGGGAGCAGGGTTGGGCGGGGAGGGGTGTGCTGGCACAGGGAGTCTTGTAGTGTGGTGCAGATCTACGTCTCCATTGTGGCGCTGGATACACACACAGGACTATATATAAACACTTACATACACACACGCGCACACACACACGAGTGTATGTATAACTGGTGAAATAGAATCAGGTTTGTGGACTGTGCCAACGTCAGTGACCTGTCTCTGATATTGTCCTGGAGTTATGCGAGGCTGGGTAAAGGTATACGCGTCATCATGCCCGCAGCTGACTGAGTTTGCCCTTCCTTTAGGAACCCTCTCCTGGCTTCTGGGATTCCACATCCTTTTGGCTTTCCTCGCACCCCCTAGGTGTGCCTTCTCAGCCTCCTGTGAAGGTTCCTTCTCCTCCCTCAACTCTACATGGTGGTGATCCCAGCGTCCAGGACTTGGTCCTCTCTCCACCACCCACGTCGCTTCCTGGTGGTCCTTGGCTTTGCCCAGGTCTTTAAACACCATCTACAGCTGCTGGTTCCCACGTCCCCATCCCCTATAAAGACCTCTCCCCTGAGCTCCAGGCTTGTGACCACAACTGTCAATAGGACACCTCTGCAGAAGGAGGTGGTCAAAAACGAACTCCTGATCCTCCACTGCACCTCCACATCTCAGAGGATGACCGCAGCGGCTCAAGCCAGGAATTGAGGATCCTTCTTGCCTTCTCCATGACCTTCTCCCTGTCCCCAGTTCTGCTGCCATGATGGGGTCTGCCACCCCCATCACCATGGTTACCATTTTGACCTAGGCCTCCATCATGTCTGCCTCACTCTCTTTCCCTACTTGGCCCTTCCTGCAGCAGCTGGAGAGATCTTTTTTAAAACTTAAATCAGATTGTCACCACCCTTGCTTAACCCAAGCTCATTCACGGCCCCCTGCCCCTTGGAAAATATCCCACAGCCCCAGAGTGCCATGCAAATGCCCTCATTTGGCCCTCTCTCCCCCTGCCACTGCCCTTTGCCACATAGCCTCCTCATCCCCCTCACGGTCCTCCCACAGGTGCTCCCTCACCTGAGGGCCCCGTTGCCCAGTCTTACCAGCTGTCCCTATTCATCCCATCACTGCACCATTAGCATTCTCTGTTTGCCCCAATGGCATGAGAAGCGTGCACAGCCAGTGCCTGGAGCGTGGCAGGCACTCAGTAATGTCTGTGGAGTGAATGGGTGAGCTCTCCCTGCTCTCCTCCCTCTCAGCAGCATCCTCTCTTCCTCCCGCGATAAGCCTGGCTTGCCTGGGCACGGGGGAGGGTGCGCACGTCTCTACGCGCCCACACACTCCACTTTCCCCCAAACAATAACTGATACCCAGATGACTCGATGACATGATCATTTCCCCACGTCTTGGCTGGGAGCTGCTTCCAGTGGTAAAAGTTTGCTGCTTTATGGTCCCAAGAAGACATTAGCCATAACGTGCTAAAATTATCACCTAGTCGAGTCATCTGTTTAAATACTCTGGAAACCAAATACTCCAGGGCTGAGTGCTATTCCCAGTGGTCCTGGATGCCAATGGTGGGCCTGGTTGTCTGGAACACTGAGCTCTTGGGTCTGAGCCCACCTGAGCTTGGCCAGCCTACTCTGCAAGGTGACTGTGGTCACACGTGGGATGTGGCAATGCGACACTTCATGGCTGGCATGCTGCACGTACCCCATATGGGGTACTCTCCACCCCTTTCACACATCCATGGGGCGCTAGGAGGAAATGGGGCAGCCCTATCAGCGTGGGCCCAGCAGGCAGCCTCAGGGCTGAGCAGGGCGTGGCTTGGGGGCCTAGGAGGGGTCTGAGGAGTCAGTCAGTTGTGACAAACAGATTTGGGCCCAGCCTGAATATCACTGTTGGAATGAGTGGAATTACATGAAATGTCATTAACTGTCCTGAGAGGTAGTGAGCTCCCTATCACCAGCAGTGTCCAAGCAGAGCAGGGCATTTTAGGAACAGAGTCTCCAGCCCTGTGATGCTGGGACTTGGGCCACAAGAAGAGTGGAGTTCCAGAGCCAAACAGACACAAATTCAAATCCCACCTGTACCACTGACAGCTTGGGTAACCCCGGGCAAGTCACATAACAGTACTCAGATGCAGTTTCCACAAAGAAATAATGGGAACAAGATGTCTGCATGCAGTAGGTGCCTACTAAACACTAGCCCAGCCCCTCCTGCGCTGGGGCCTGTATCATTTCCTACTTCCTCCTCATAAATACCTCCACCTTGGCCTTAGTATTCTCCAAATATCCTTTCTGCCTGTCCCCAACAGGTGCCCAGGGCCACCCTCCTCTCCATTCATCTCAGGACAAGTGCTGGGACCACTTCCTCCAGGAAGGTGTCCCTGGCTGCTCTGAAGGGGGCTGGGCTCCTCTCCACTGGCACGCTGTGCACATCAGGTGTTTGAGGCTGGTACGGCTCTGGTGTCTCACGGTCAGCTGAGGGAGGGAAACATACTGTGTGTGAGTGGATGTGTCCTGCAATAATGACGACAAATACTTAACATGCATTTACTATGTGCCAGCCACTTAACAGGCGACCAGCTCATTCAACCTGCACAACAAGTTATGAGGGAGGCACTCTTCTTATCTCTATTTTATAGAAGGGGGAAGTTCTATAAACTTCAGTGACTTCTCCAAAGTCTCACAGCAATAAATGGCAAAGCCAGATTTGTAGCCAGGCAGTGTGGCCCCAGTGTCTCCATTCCTCTCAGCTTCTCAATACAGACACTGCTCCCCACTTTGGGCTATTTTCTTTCTTCTTCTTCTTCTTTTTTTTTTTTTTTTTTGAGACAGGGTCTCACTCTGTCACCCAGGCTGGAGTGCAGTGGTGTGATCACAGCTCACTGCAACCTCCACCTCCTGGGCTCAATCAATCCTCCCATCCAAGCCTCGCAAGTAGCTAGGACTACAGGTGTGCACCAGCACACCCAGCCGGGCCCTCTCACTAGTCCTGCAGGGAGTCAAGAGTCATCCTAGGTGTATGGCTATGTACACTGTGATCCGGAGTCCAAGACACGTGCAGGAATACACACACACACGCACTCATACACACACACGTCTATGCAGCATTAGTAACACAGACTCAGGCATACACAACATGAGTGAAGAGCCATCTACTACCAGTTCATCGCCTGAGTGTCTCTGTCTCCCAACTCTCCTCCTCCCAAGCCAAGATGGGCAGGGAGCGAATGGTGGAGACTCAGGTACTGTCCACCTCCACTACCAAGTCTGTCCTAGATGTCAGCATTTCAAACCTCAGTCCCCCCATGTGATAAGATCCCTTTGTAATGGTGGCAACTTCGAGGCTCAGAGAGGGTTGGACACTCCCCTCAGCTCACACAGCAAGTCAGGGCCCAGGGAGTTCCCAACAAATGCTTCCCCATGCCTTCCCAGGGTCACCTCCAGAATCTCGGATTCCAGCCATTTCCCTTATTCTCACTTGCATTTAGCAGGACGTAGATAAAAAGAGAAGAGAAAACAATAAGAGAAAGAAGGGAAACAGGAGAGAGGAGAGAGACCCAGGAGGAGAGGAGATGAGGAGGAGGGGAAGCCTGAGCCGCGGGGTGCTCAAGCTCAGCACTCTGCTCCCCAGCGCCCCTTGCCCACAGCTGCCACCCAGAGGAGTGCAGCAAGGCGGGGGTTAACTCTCTGCCGTGGAGCAGAAAATGAGGTTCCAGTTATTAGTTGATTTATTGCTCTGTCCTCAATCTGCGCTCAGGTCCTGGAAGGAAATGTTCCACTCGAAAGCATTAAGCGTCTTCAAAGAGCAGAGGCATTAAAAATTGAAATCATAAAATAGACACGTAAATACAGTGGAGGTGAGGGGGGGCAGCCCCCAGGCGGGCAGAGGTGGGGGTGGCAGGCCCAGGTGCCAGCCAGCCTGTGGGGCCGCCACATGCATGTAGGAGCCAGTGTGTCTACCAAGGCGAGGGGGGTGTTCCTGCCCAGAACTGGCACCCCAGCCCTGCTCACAGTGCCCAAAAGCCCTCCACTGGCACACCACGTGTGAGAGGATCAGAACTGTCCTGCCTGTGAAAGCACGTTTCCCTCTTGGCAGAGGGTCAGAAGCTCAGCCCCGATAGTTGGGGAGGAATGGCAAGGAGAGGCAGACAGGCAGGGAGGGCTCAGCCCGCTTCTACCTTAGCTGGCACTAAGAAGGAAGACAGCCTCGGGAGCCTGGGCCAGGGCGGCCCCCACCAAGCCCAGGCCCGGGCTGTTCTGCACAGGAGGGAGCCTCAGCAGACAGGGTGCAGCGGAGGCCCTGCTCAGCACGGCTCAGACCCCATTGGATACCTACAGTCTGGCTCCACTATGGTGGGGAAAGGCCCAGCCCAGCCAGGCTGGACCTCAGAGGGGCCCAAGGGGGCCCGAGTGGAGAAGGAAGGCCCCTGCTCCATCATCAGCTCATCTGGGCAGTGGAGTCATGAAGCAGGTGATACAGCCTCTGCTCCCTCCGCACAGGCAGAACTTTCCCAGGGCTGGAGGCCCAGGGAGCTGGGAGCAGGGCCGAGGCCTGCCCAGAAGCTGGTGCCCAAGAGGATGCTCATGAGCAGCTACAGAGACAGCGCCATCCCCCATGGGAGCAGGGCTCCCAGCCCAGGCCTGAGCTCACATCACTGACTCGCTACCACCCACCTAGGGAGCCACCTTCTTCCAGGGCCCACGGAGGGGTCTTGCCGTGGCCCTCAGCTTCACACGCAGACCTACACAGGAAGACACGTATGTGTGAACATGCAGGGACAGAGCTGGAGAAGTGCAGCACCCCAGACACGCGGGTTTAACAGCCACATGTATGAATGCACACGCTCATGCATACCCACGCCCATCCCATGTATACAGAGGAGCATGCCCACGCATGGCTGTGCATGTGATATGCACACAGCGCCCACATGTATACACACACGTGTCAACATGCACACCTGGACGAGCTCACACACGCCCATGTGTGTATGTGTATACAGGACCACACACATGTATGTATTGCGTGCCTACACATGTACAGACTCACACATCCACGCATATTTGCATGGCACATGTCCACACACACGTCCACAGGCAAGCCTCTAGACCCCAATATCGGACCCCAGAGATGCACGCTGGGAGCCAGCCTGCAGTCTTCTCATGGGAAAGAGGCAGGGGTCTAGGGACCCATTAGCATCACTTTCTCTGGCAGTATAGACCCCTTAGTCACAACTGCGTGGCCTTGGTCACCATCATAACCCCCTGGGGTCAGGATGCCTGGGCTCTGTGCCTGCCCCAGCCCCTGGTTCCCAGCTGTGTGACACGGGCCCGAGCCCCCGACCCTCTTGGTCCATGTACTCTGTGGGCTACCGGGGCCTCCCTGACTGCCACAGCATCTTCCTCAACCAGGTGGTAGGGCGAGAAGAAGCTCCTAACCTTATTTCCTCATTTCTAGCAGCAAGAGAGGCTGGGGCTGGGCTGGGGTGGAGGGAACTGGGGAAACCGACAAGGCCTCAGTCTGTGTCTGGGGCAGAGTGTGGACCTGCCTGAGTGGCACAGCAGCCAAAGTCCTCCATAAATGAGGAGCTTGTCCAGGCAGGGCGGAGGGTCCAGAGAGAACTGGGGCCTCCGGGAGGGGGCCAGTTGACTGGGCAGGCAGTCAACTCTCCCTCCCAGGGGCACCTCCTGGGACGTCCTCCTCACTGCCTCTTTGAGAGTGAGGCCAGGTTTGCCTGAGCCCCTCTGGGCAGTGACAGGACTGAGCGGCTCCCCAGGCCTGGGGTGGCTGGGTGGTGGAGTGAGGAACCCCACAAAGTCTCCTGCCAGCACCAGCACCAAGACACTTCTACTCGGGGCTTCTGGGACCCCATCTCCATTCGGTCCCTTTAGGAGAAGGGATGGTGGTCAACTGAGTGCCCCTCCTCCATGTAAGATCATCCCCCGCCTCCACCCTCACAGGCAGATCAGAGCCACACAGTGCCACGAAACCCAAACGCCTCCCAGGTCAGGCTGGCATGGACATGAGGACGGGGAGGTCACGGGAGACACACGGGGGCAGCCACCACGCAGCACTCGGCTCCTGCCGGCATATGCTTGCTGGGCCTCTGACTTTTCAAGAGACTCCAGAAGCCAGATTTTGATAAGAAACCTCTCAATCTTCCAACAATCTGTGGGCTGAGGTTTTTGCCACACTCTGTGGCTAGAACACATACACACACACATGCTCTCATACATATGTGTACTCACATTCACGCACATATATACAATCTCATTCACACACTCACATTCACACACTCACACATACACAAACTCACATTCACACACACACGCACACTCACACGCTTTCATACACACATATGTACTCACACACACACAGACTGGCACTTATACACATGTGCATGCATACACACACATACACACACACACACAACTATGAGACAGATTCTGCCTCTGAGCCACCACTTGTGACCTCTAACTTAGGCAAAGAGAGGAACTGAGGCTGGGGACAGTGAAGCTATGCTCAAAGCTCTTGTTCCCTTCCACTCAGTCTCCCTGGCAGTGAAGCCCCTGCCTCACCACCCCTCCTGCTGACTTGCATCCACCTCTTCTAGCACACACACCACCACCCCCTTGGCTTCACCAAGGACCCCTGCTCCTACCACCAGCCCCACCCCACCCCTCCACTCCAATACCGATCCTGGCCCTGACACCTCAGTCCCCCACATGTAATTTTTCTTAATTGGGAGCTCGTTAATTATCTCCATGCTGTCCAGAGGAAATAAACAGCAATTAGAGGAGTAAACGGCGTTTTTATTCTGCAGCCGACTCTGCCAAGCAGTGCCCCGGCCTGTCCCGCCCCAATGGCCAGTCCCGCCGCCCGCCAGGTCCACGCACCTGCCCCTCTGCCTGCATCCGCCCCCACGTGTGTGAGCGCAGTGCCTGCCACCAGGCCACCCGGCAGCAGGTCGCCTTTTGGAATCTGCATGAAGAACCATAAATTGTTGAGAAAGGGCCTCCTTCCCCATGCAACAGAAGGTTAGAGTGTTTAAAGAGAGCAGTGGAACTGTTTTTATTAATCAGAACTGCTGTAAAGAAAGCATTTTAATTAACATAATTATCCCGATTGAGAAAAGCAGTCCTTACCCCATAGATACTTTTCAGACTAAAGATGTAAGCTGTCACAATCAGTCATAATTAAGTCAAGCAAGCTATTTTTTTTTTTCTTGAGCTCCCTTCCCCTCTCGGGCACCCGCTCCTCCTTGGGTTAGATCTCAGAGTGGAGACCAGGCAGACGTGACAACGTCCGCGTGCTCCTGTGCTCACACCCCAGCTGCCTCTTCAGCTGCCTTCCAGACAGGGAAGGCCCCAGGCCTGGGGCCCAGCACCATGACTCCCTCCACAGCTGGCTCAGCAAAGCCTCCCCGCCTCCCTCATCCCTCCACCCACGGCTGAAGGACTGTCCCTCCCAGACACCTTCCGGGACTCTCCTGGGTCAGCAGGCCTGGAGAGGATACAGGGGAACAACAGAGAGCCAGAGGGCAGCCTGACCAATACCATGGTCTGAGCCACCGCCCCTCCTGCCTCAATGCTCACATTCACCCCTACCCACTCCCCAGTCCACTCCTGACTCAAAGCCAAGGTCGTTTCCTCCTGTGACAGCCAGAAATCTGTCCATACCACAAATCCAAGTGTCTAACCCTCCCGCCCCAGTCACCCCGCTTCATGGCCCTCGTGAGACCCGGCCCTAACCCCCTCCAGCCATACCTCCCCAAGCTCACTCCACTCTAGCCACACTGGCCTTTCAGAATCCCCTGGAGCCTCTGCCACAGGGCCTTGGTATGTGCTCTTCCCTTTGCCTGCTGCCCCTCTTCCCCCAGCCACTGCCTCCCACCCTCTCGGCTCACACATTCATCCTGCAGTGCTCAGCCCTGGTGTCACCTCCTCCCAAAGCCCTTCCCTGCCTCCCCGACCTGGTGGGTCTCCTCTTAAATACCCTGACAGCACCCCACATCTGCCCCTTGGTGGTAGATACACCGCAGCTTCACGACATTGTTGGCATTCTTTATTTGTCACCTCCATTCAACTACAGAAGCTCCATGAAGAACCCGGTTTGATTGACTGTGTTTTTTATTTGTTTACTATTGTATCCCCAGTGCCTACCACAGTGCTTGGCTCCTGGTCCAGGCCTGCCCTAAGTCTGAGAAAGTCTGTTTTGAGGTGGGATGAGAAGGGGCAGAGGAAGACAGGAGCACCTCCTGCATAGCGTTGGCCTTGGGCTTGGGGACCAGGCTTGGGGCAGCTCTCAGGATGTATGACCTCGCAACTTCATCCTCCCACCCCGGGCCTCAGCTTCTCCATCTGAAATGGGCAGCCTGGAGCAGGTAACTTCCCCTGCCCCCTAATTATGCCCCTATCCACCCCAACCTCTAACATGACCCCCCAAAGCGTGACCTCCCTCTTCCCGCTGCAGAGCCAGAAATGCTGACAAATCCACTTGCTCATCAAGTACCTGCTCACCTTCCGAGGCTGCCTGGTGGGGGGTGAGGCTGGGTGCTTGATGCTCCCACCCCTCTCTGCACCTGCAGGGTGACATGTGTGTAGGTGACACCACGGACATATTTCACCCCGACATGCTGCAGTTTCCTCCCTGAAAAGGTGCTTATTTTTTAGTATATCTTAAATAGGAGCCTGCAAAATGTGTTGTCAGCTTTTAAATGGCCCGGTAAAGCTCAGCACACCGGCCAGGGAAGACAGCTCACTCGCAGCCCGTCTCTGAGTACATAACCTGGCTGAGCCTCTGGGCTGGACTCTGGGTTTATCAGGAGGCCCAGGAACTAGACTGTCCCCCAACAAAAATATGCCAGGAGCTCCTTGCCCTAGGGCCACAGGGCGTGGCAACCCTCTGGAGATGGCAGGAGGCAAGCTGGGGCCCTGCCTGGCAGAGGAAAGAGGAATGAGCACTGGCTTTAGAGTCAAGTGGCCCAGGTTCAAATCCCCACTTGGCCACTCACAAGCTATGTGAACTCAGGCCAGTGACTAATCCTCTCTGGGCCTCAAGTTTCCTCATCTATAAAATGGCGATGCTAACTCCTACCTCAAGGCAATTTTTAAGAGTGATGCAGGAAGTGGATACTGTGCCAGGTAACATTTAATTTTTAAGGTGTGGTAATGGTATCACGGTTCTGTCTTTTAAAGGGTCCTCATCTTTTAGAGATATGCGCTGAAATATTTATGGAAAAAATTATACAACATCAAAATAACCTGGTGGTGGTGGAGAGTGCGTGGGTGTAGAGGAAAGAGGGCTGGTCATAAGTTGGTGCTGGTTGACAGAGCATGGAATTTGAGAACCATCACAAGGGCACCCGATGGATGCTCAGTAACCCAGGGGTGCACTCTCCAGCCCCTCACGCAGTAACCCGGGGAGGGCAGCAGCAGGGCTGTGGAAAGCACCAGCAGGGCGCTCCGGGGCTGGGCCTTCACAGCGCCCCTGGAGGCTCCTGCAGTTCACAGAGTGGAGACAGACAGGTCGGGGGCCCTCAGGACCAGCACACTTGCAGGCTCCGTCCCAGCTGTGTGACCCAGGGCCCATCGCTTTCCCTCTCTGAGCTCTAGTTTTCTGTCTGTCGTTAAAATGGGGATGGTAACAACATCCCATCCTCACCTTCCATCCCACCCCGCCCCCACCCCCAGACAGGCACTGAGGGGAGTAAGTGTGAGGATCAAGACAGCCACAGAGCAGTGAGCGCGGCCTGAGGCAGGGGTTTCATCAGCCTTAGAGCCCCTTGCCTTCCTCTGCGAATCTAAATGCAACCGTGTCATCTATTGAATGCTGCTGTAAGCAGGCAGGCCTCCTGCTGAGCACCATGATGCAGACCTGCTAAGAGTCATCCTGCCCTCAAGAAGCTCCTAGAGGAAGAGTCATTTCTGTGGCCAGGATGAAGGCGGTGGATAATTAAAATAATAACAATGACGACAACCGAGGCTGACGTCTCTGCGTGCTTCTGACGTGCCCGGCACGTGTCCCAGGCTTTACCTGCGCCTCTCCATCAACCCTTAGCACCACCTACGAGGCAACTGGTATCACTGTCCCCTTTTAGTTGGGGAAACTGAGGCTCAGGGAGATTGAAAACAAGTGAGTGCACAGCCAAGTCCTGGACCCGGGCCCCACCCTAGTCCAGGCTCAGCAGGGCAGGGAGGGACTGCCCCCAGGCCTGGGCATCCTGGAGGGATGAGCAGCACAAAGTGCCACACCCAAGCAGGCCCTCCCCAGGCCTCAGTTTCTTCACCTGTGACATGGGGATGGAACGACCCCAGCCCCAGCTGGGGGGCATCAGGGGAAAGTGGCACAGGTGGGGGAGGGGGCAACAGTTCCAAACGGAGCCGAGGCGGCTGTGAGGTAAGTCGGGGCGCGGGGGCGGGAGGCGAGAGAAAGAGACAGATCTCTCAGGCTCAGCTCAGGCGTTGTGATATTTTTCCCCAGGTTATATTTTTAGATGGACTACTTTCTCTCCCCTCCCCCTGCCTCAGTAGGAGGAGGAACACAGAAATAGCCGGGCGTGCGTGTCTGAGCTGGGCTATATATAGTGGGCACAAACCCAGTCACCCGGGGCTTCTCCCACTCCTTGCACCCGGAGCAGGAGCGGGGAGTGGGGAGGGGGGCCCCTTCCTCTTATCCAATGGCCCCAGGGTCTGCTCAGCTCTGCCCGCTTCCTCCAGGTACCCCCATCCCAGCACATACCTGTGCCCACACATGCACACATACAGATGCACACATGACTGAAGCCTGTCTGCACCGACTCAGCATCAGGGGCTTTTGAGGGGTCCAGAGCAACCTTAGGGGTGTGAATTGGGCAGGGAGGGTGGCGTGAGCCAGGCCAGGAGATGATTTTGGCTATGACTCTCTCAGCCTCGGTTTGCTGATCTGCAAACGCGGGGACTTATCAGGTCTGTGGGCCCTTTACCGCTTCAGAAGACGCAACTAATGTCGAACACATTCCCCCAGCTGCGCCCGTCTGTGTCCCCGTTGTTGAGATGAGGAAACTGTGCTGGCACTGGCCAAGGTCACCAGCAAGCCTGCAGTGGCAGAGGCACTTTCTAGTTTCAACCTCGCCTCTCCGGGCTCAGTTTCCTCATCTGTGAAGTGGAGATAATAAGGTCAGCACCCACTTCATGGGCTATGGTGAGGAATGGATGAGGGGGAGGCACATAAAGTGCCTAATGTGGGCTTCCATAACTAGGGAGAGGGCCACGAGCACCCAGGGCAGTAAGCACCCCCGAGTCTCCCTACTACCTCCCTTGGCCACAGCCCACCACTGGGCCAGGCTCTAGCCTCATGTTCAGGGGCTGAACCATGCCCTCCCCCACAGTCTACCTTGGCAGACCTTCAAGAAAAAGCCCACAGCCAAATCACCCACACCCAGCCCAGGGCAAGTATCAGCAACTGCTTCCCAGACGGTGTGTGGACCCGGCCACCGCCCCACCCCAGGAGAGCCTGAGATGAAGGCCTGGCCTCCTCCCAGGCCTCCCAGTGCTGGTCACACTAGCCATGCTGAAGGATCAGAGCAGAAGGACCTCACGCCCATACCCACCCTTTCCTGATGGTGGGGCTCCCTTCTGGGTGTCCAAGCTGGTTTGGGTGTGCCCAGTCCAGAGGCAGGTCTACACAGGCTCTGCTGACTTTCTGCCCCAGGACCTGAGAAGGACAGAAAGCCCTGAACGGGGAATTCAGCCATGGGGGTTGGGGGTTTCAGTTTTCCCATCGGTACTTATTCTCCACAGAGGAATTTAAATCCATCACCTTGGCTGGGCGAGGTGGCTCATGCCTATAATCCCAACACTTCAGGAGGCCAAGGCAGGAGGATCACTCAAGCCCAGGAGTTTGAGAACAGCCTGGGAAACATATCGAGACCCTGTCTCTACCAAAAAGAAAATAAAATTCTCTAGGCACAGTGGCGTTGCACCCAACTACTGTAGCAACCACTGGGGAGGCTGAGGTAGGGGGATCACTCGAACCCTGGTGGTCGAGGCTGCAGTGAGCTATGATCACACCACTGCACTCTAGCCTGGACAACAGAGCAAGACCCTGTCTCCAAATAAATAAATAAATAAATAATCAATGATCTTGTTTAACCCTCACAACTTCCCTGAGAAAGGTACAATGGTTATTTTGCAGATGGAGAAACAGAGGCACAGGGTGGGGAAAAGGCCTGCCTGGATCACACAGAAAGCGACAGGCAGCTCCTGTGAGAGGTAGAGCCTGCATCTGCCAGACCTGGGAAAGCCAGGATGTGAGCCTGGAAGGTGGACTCCTGTGTTGAACAACTGGCTTGGAAAATTCCTGAATATGTGTCCATGGGCTTGAAAGAGAGCTGGTCTGAGATGGCTCCAGCATAGCACGCCCAGGGAGCGTACATAGAGCGGCCGCCCCACCACTACTCCTGTATCCATCCCCTGGCCATTGAGTGTTTGAGCCCAAGTGCAAAACTTCATTTTCCTGGCTGCAGAGTTCCATTTGGTTGGTAGGTTTCAGCTCAGAGCTTCTGCCAGCTGAGCACCCATGGTGAGAACTGCCTCTCACTGGCAAATGTGGGACTCAGCACCTTCATCTGAGTCATCGGAAGATTAGGGCAGGAGGAGGCCACAGCCCTAAGCTGCCCCACTGAGACCTTTTTCTCCCCCAGACCAGTGTCCAGTGTTGACCCTTTGGGCTGTTGACTCTACACAAGTCCTCCTGAGTGAACTGAGCACCTGTGTCTCCGCCCCTGTGTCTGATGGAGTTCCTGACCCTACCCAGAGGTCCCCAAAGCACTGGAGATGGGTGAGGAAGAAGCCTGCATCCCTGCAGTGGGCTGCCTCCCCCACAGGCACCCCATCCTGCCCTACCTGGCCTGGGTGCAGCAAGACCCAAAGACCCAGAGGAGGAAAGACTCAGGGCCAGAGCAATAGGCATCATCAGGAAGAAGGAGCACAAGTCCTGTCCTCATTAGGGCACCCAGATATCAAGACCCTGCACAAGAAAGAATGAGCTTGCAGTTGCTACGGCCTCTGCTCAGTTTCTGGATTTCCACAAGCAAAACAAATGAAGCTGGACTCTTACCTTACACCATATACAAAAATTAACTTCAAATGGGTGAAAGACCTAAACACAAAACCTGAAACTATACCACTCCTAAAATAAAACATAGGGGAGAAGCTTCATGACATTGGATTTGGCAATGATTTCTTGGACATGACACCAAAAACACAGGCAACAAAAGCAAAAATAGACAAATGGGACTACATCAAACTTAAAACCTTCTGCTTAACAAAGGAAGCAATCAACAGAGTGGAAAAGCAACCTACAGAATGGGAGGAAATGTTGGCAACCCATGTATCTGAAAGGGGTTAATATCTAGAATACATAAAGAACTTCTACAACTCAACAACAAAAATAATCCAATCAAAAATTGGCAAAGGACTTGAATAGACATTTCTCAAAAGAAAATATACAAATGGCCAAAAAGCAGATGGAAAGATGCTCAGCATCGCTAATCATCAGGGAAATGCAAAGCAAAACCACAATGAGGTCTCACCTCACCTCAGATAGGGATGGTCACTACGGAAAGAAAAATAAGTATTTGCAAGGACATGGAGAAATCAGAACTTTTGTGTATTGCTAGTAGGAATGTAAAATGGGGCAACCACTAAATTAATTGTAAAAATTAAAAATAGAATTACCATTCGATCCAGCAATCCCACTTTTGGGTGTGTGTATGTGTGTGCATATATATACATATCATAATTGAAAACAGGATCTCAAAAGAGGTATGTGCACACTCATGTTCATTGTAGCATTATTCACAATAGCCAAGAGATGGAAACAACCCAACTGTCTATCAACAGATGAACAGATAAACAAAATGTGGTGTATACAGATGATGGACTATTTTTCAGCCTTAAAAAAGGAAGGAAACACTGTCACATGCCACAGTATGGATGAACACGGAGGACATTATGCTATGTGAAATAAGTCAGTTACAAAAAGACACATATATATGGTTTCCTAGTATGAGGTACCTAAGGTGCTCAAACTCTTAGAAAGTAGCAGGAAGGCTGCCAGGGGCTGTGGGGACAGCCAAAGGAGCGGTTGTTGTCCAGTGGATACAGAATTTTGGTCATGCAAGATGAAAAGGAATCTGGTGTACAGTAAGGGGCATACAGTTCACACTGCCTTACTGTGCACTTATACATGGCTAAGATGATACATTTTATATGTTTTTTTTTTACCATAATTTAAAAAAAAAAAGAAAAGGAAAAAATGAGCTTCATCCCCATCCTATAGATGAGGAAACTAGCACTCAGAGAGGTGAAGTAATTTCCCCAAGGTCACACAGCTGGCAGGTGGCAATGCGGATTCAAAGCCCTTTTGCCTGGCTCCCGGGGACACTGCACATTCCTTTGAGAAAATGTCCAGGGCTGTCACATGGGCACTCTACAACAGCTTTTGGAGGAGGCAAGTCTTAACCATGCATCTTAAAACAGGATAAATGGCTTTGCAGCACACTAAAGGGCCGTCCCTGGGAGAAGAGGAGGAGTCCCCTCTTACCAGGCCTCTTCAGAGAGCCCCAGGTCAGGGCTGTGTCTCCTCCCCCAGTCCAGGCCTCTTCCCTGACTGCCTGCCTGGCAGAAATGGCCCCTGGCTGCCCTCAGCCTCCTGGCCCGGCCAGGTCTGGCGGTGATCGATCCTGCCCAGGTGCAGGCATTTTAGGCAGCTGCCTCTCCCACTGCCTGGCAGTGTGATTAATGCTCACCCTGCGAAGAGCCCACTCATCATGGACATGCCACATGCCCACCAGCTAGAGGCAGGTGGGCTGCACCAGCGTCTGCTGAGTCCCAACCCCCAGAGCTCACCCTGTTCCGGCCAGGCCAGAGACCAAAGCCTCGTTCGTCTCGGCTGCTGAGGGCTGGGGGCTGGGAGTGGGTGCCACACACAGGGGCCACACCTGGAAGGGGGTTTCCTGTGGCCCTCACAGCCTCACTCCTACCCTCTCCTCCCAGCCTCCAGGGAGGGGTCTGAGGGCAGCTCCAGCTCCAGCTTGGGGATGGGATGAAGCTAATGGGAACCCCGCCTCATCCACTCCCTCCTAGCTGTGTGACCTCAGGCAGGCCTCCTTGTCTCTGGGCCCGTTTCCATGTCTGCAATGTGGGCATCACACTTCTCCCTCACTAGCCCTTGGGAGGAGCCATGAAGACAAATGCTTGGAATGTAGTCCAGACTGCCGAGGTTCAAATCCCCACTCTGCCACTTAAGGACTGTGTACTTTTGGGCAAGTTTCTCATCCTCTGTCTGCACTTCAGTTCTCTGTAGAAACAGCTCATGGACTGTAGCGAGGATTAAATAAATAACTATTTGTAAATTGCTTAGCACAGTGCCTGGCACATAGCGGGCACTGAGGAAACAGGAGCTGTTATTACTCTGGGTCTGCTGTTGCTGTCCTATTTCACAAAGCTGTTTTGAGGTCTGGACTTGGCCAAGTATTTGCAAGGTATTCTGCAAAGTGGAAAACCCACTCTCTGCGATGACTGAATGTCCATTCTCTTTAACCCTCCTTCCCTGCAAGGCTTATGGCACCCACACCCACCCAAGCGCCCAGTTGGCACTAGGAGGGCCCAGCCGGCACTGGGAGGGAAGCTGGGAAGACTCCACTCTGCCTCTGGGCAGCTCAGTGCCAGTGGGGAGATGATGGAGGCACATCCAGGTCAGAGAGCACTTGCAGAGTTGGGCTAAGGAAGGGGATGCAAAGAAGCCCCAAGGGCTGAGCTAGGCTCAGGATTAGAGATCAGAGGCCAGGTGCAGGGAGGCGCAGCTGATTATCAGCCAATGAGGAGACACTGAGGGTCCTTGAGGAGGAGGGCAGAGCAAGCAGAGCTGGTCTCAGGCCCAGGACTGCAGATGTGCAGACCCAGCTTAACCCTTGCTCCTCCCTGTGCAGACCCAGCTAGACAGAAGAATCCAGAGCTGGGAGGGCTGGGAGCTGGTGGAGGGAGAGCAGGGCAAGCATCAGGGGCTGTGGCCCAGTGGTCCTTGTCCTGGGCCCCAGATCACTCTGTGCAGGAAGAGGATCTCCCTGCCTGGAGTTGGCCAGCCCTCTGACCCAGGTCTGAGATCTGACCTCCACTCTCCACACTCTGAGCTGCCGTGGGCTGCAGAGATGTTGGAATAGATATGGCTCCCGCTCCTCCAGGAAACCTACTCCTTCTCAAGGACTATATGCTGTTTTGCTCCTGTGGACAGCACAGTTCTCATAACTGATAGTTCCCTTTTCATTCTGACTACCAGGAATCATAGAACCAACTATTCAGCCCAAGATTGGACCCTCTGTATCCGTGTTCTAATGCTCCCCAAGCTTTTCCTTGCTATTGCATCCTATTTTCCCCTGCCTTGAATTGTCTACCTTGGTATCACAATTATGCTTAGCTCTCACAAATACTTATTGGAATAAGGTAGGTATAAATATAAAAATAGTTAATGTGCAAAATGGCAAATCCCCTCCGTCCCCCACATTTACCTGCTCCCCAGGGAATGAAAAACTCAGGACTGGAGGTCCGGGGTTGGGAGCGTTGTGGGGGGAGTAGGGGGAAGGCTGAAGCAGGCCCCAGCCCTGTCCCTCTTGGCTCTGGCATCTAGTTGCACATAGGAGGAAGGCTCTGCTTTCAACCTAGAATGTTCTATAGCCCTGCTAATAACAATGACAACTTTGACTAGAATTTACTGAGTGCCTACTACATGCCAAGTGTCATTCCTAGTGCAGTACCTGACTATGCCATTTATCCCCTAACAGCCCTGTGAGGTGGGTTCTGCTATCATTTTCCTGTTACCCAATGGGAAAACTGAGGCCCAGAGAGCTTAAGTAACATGTCTAAGACCACACAGCTGGTAAGTACTGGAGCTGGGACTCACGCTATGCTGTCTGATGCCACAAACCAGGTTCTCAGTAGCTACCCATCTTGCCTCAGGGGCTCGGGCAGTGCACATGACTTTCTGAGACTGAGATGGTCCAGCGCCTGCCCCGTACCCGTCTGTGCCGGGCTGCCCCTGCCTCTCTGTCCCTCTATATCCAGACTGGTCCAGACTCTCTTTCCCTCTAGCTGCACAGGCAGGCATCAGGCCTGGGCCACAGCATCAACCTGGGGGAGACACAGGCAGAGGGCATCAGTAGACGCTCTGGAGCAGCAAGGCAGGGGGAAAAAAGCCAGACTTTGGCATCAGAGTGGCATGGGGCCCTCTTGAGCCTCAGTCTCCACATCTGTAACATGGGAACAGGAAGGACTTGCAGGCAGGTTAGACTGAGGGGAGGTGTGGCCCATGCCTCCCTCAGGCCTGGCCACAGAAAGGCTGGTAAATGACAGCTGGGGCAGGGTCCTGGCTCTTCAGCACCTTGAGGTGCTGTCCTGGGACTGCCCACTGAGAAAAACCAGAGCTGGGTCCCCCAGGACCTCTGGCCACCATTAGGGTCAGAATCCTGCCCCACAACTGCCTAGCTGTGTGGCCTTGGGCAAGTCACTCTGCCCCTGTGGCCTTGGATAACGGGAGAATGATGTTTACTCATGCTTGGCATTCAATGTCTTAGCTGAGAATTATTTTTATTATTCCGGGTACCTTCCAGCCCCCCAGACACCCCTCCATCCTGGCAGGCAGGCTGGGGTGGGGGCAGAGTCATGGGAGGCACATGTGCGGGAGAACAGGCTGGGCCCAGACACCAGGCTCCAATGTAGAAGCCGCCCCCAGGTGCCAATACTGTAGGAGGTGGCAGAGAGCCGCCCCACTGCCCTAGTTTCCCAGAGAGCTTCCTTGCTGAAGTGGGGAGAGACTCGGCACACAAATGCACATGCACACACATGCACATCCAGACCCACGCGTGTCCCCTGCCCGGGACAGCCAGAGCCTGGCACTAGAGCCTGCCCCACTCCTGGTGCCCTCAGCCCCTTCAGGGCACAGGACATGGGGAAGGGGATTCAATCCCAGCTCTGCCTTTTCTGTGACTTGGGTCAACTCAGCTTCCATATGTGGGCCTCCATTTTTCATAGGGAAACAGGGATCATGGCTTCCCTCTCCTGCGTGAGAACCAACGATGTTCCATGTGTGAAGAGCCTGTGCCAGTTCCTTCTCCTCACTCTCCTCCCTGCCACCATCCCAATGTGCTAGGCCTCTCCGCTCAACCCCAGCATTGCCACTGCTGCCTCTCTGTGCCCCATGAAAGCAGCCTCCTTATTTCCTCTAGGCTCAGAGATTTCATCCCTCTGTGCCTCCCCTACCCAGGTGGCTGAAAGCTCCTGTCACTGAAGCAGGGACAAGCTCTCTCCAGCTGCACACCCAGCTCCCTCCTGTCCAGCACTATCCCTGGCAGCCCTCAGTAACTGACACCCAGAGGGAGACAGCAGGGAAGAAGCTGGAGCCGCCTCCCCCACCACAACCACAGCAGCCTGGATACAGGAACCCGAATGTCACTCAGTTCAGACTGAACTGGCTCTGCTGCCCACCCCAGCAGCCACCAACCACGGCAATGACAATCACAACTCCACTGACAGGCCCTCACCACGTGCCAGGTCATGCATCATCTCATCTCATCTTCCCAATATGCCTATGAGAAAACAACTGCTGTGCCCATTTCACAGATGAGGAGACTGAAGCACAGAGAAACCATGAACCCAAGTCTAGCTCAGGACTTGAGGTCTGCACTCTACACTTTACTGCTAGGTCCACCCACAGCTCCTCAGAAATGCCCAGGACCAGAGGGCTGGCAGAAAGAGCAACGAGGCCTCCCTTCTGTGCTGGACTGAGGTGAAAACCAACAGCAGCGTTTGCAGCAGACACATTCTGACCTTAAAGTTAAAAATTAAGTTCCCAAGTATAGGATGTTGTTTAGGGAACTGGCCTAACACCCACCCCCGTGGTTCTGCTCCCGTTTTAGAAATGAAGGTAGCGCTAGCTTGCGTCCGCATCTCAAGCTCACACAAAACGTCAGGCTGGTAAACTCTGGTGGTGATGATGGGGTGGCAAGAGGTGCCCAGCAAATGCACCCATCCAAGCAAGACCCTTTCCCCATGCCTGCTGGGCAGTGCCAGGTGGACTGAGGTCCCTTCTGGAGTAGGCTTCACATGTGCAGTCCCGTCAGATGGGTGCTCGAGTGTGGCTTCCCCTCAGGCAGAGCTTCCGGCCAAGGCTGGCCACAGCCCACGCCAGCCCTGCCTGCACACAGAGCCCATGGTGGCTCCCTGCTCTGCACTCGGACAGATGCCGTTGTTGTAACTGTGGCTCCCGGGTTTGCATAATGCCTCCTTCCCGGCTCCCATGCCCCCCAGCACGCATGTTCAGGCTCTGATCTAGCACACAGGCTGCTTTTATTTCAAAGATTTCAAGAGGCCATCCCACGAGTCATAAATAATCGAAGGTGCTCTGATGCTGCGTCCAGGTGTGTTGACTGATAGCCCTCCCCACCGGCCACGGCCGGCCTCCTGGATTGGAGCCTGTCCCTTCCCAGCTCTCCCCTGAATGGCATCCCTTCCACTGAAGCCTGTGTCTGTAGATCCCTGAATTGCCTGCCCACCCTCCTTCCTGTTTCCAGTCCCTCTCAGCGTGCAGCAGCCACCCCCACAGCTCCCCCATCTAGGTCAGGACAAGCGCCTGGAACTCATTCTCACTGAACCGAGTGGGGCTGGGGCCCACTCAGCCACCCACAGGATGGCAGCTGAGGGCAGTTACTGTGGGGTAGCTTCTCAGAGGAGGCACACTCCGAGCAGAGGGGGCTGTTAGTGTCCAAGTACGGAGGAGAGGGAAGAGGGCATGTCCAGGAAGGACGGACGTGCCCCAGAGACAGAGAACCCAAGAGACTAGCCCAGGGGCTCCCTCTCACAATCTTGCTGGCTGTGGCTGCCTGGTCCACACACACATCTTCATGGATGCAGCCTCCAGCTCCCACCCCCATGCCATGACCCTTGAGGGCCTGACCAGAGGATATGGTGGCCAAGGGCGTGGCCTCCAACCATAGCCCTCCTCTCAGGTAACCCACCACTGGGAGACAAAGTGTAGGGAGAGAGACGGATAGACCCATGGAACCTGGAGTAGAGACCAAGACCAAATCCTACCTCGCGACCGAGGCCTCAGGAAGGGAACAAAGTGCTCCCTCTCATGGCTTGCTGTTGCTAAGATTAATGAGCTAATTAAAGTATGAAGATGGTTTCTTGTACACTTAAAAAGAGGTGATCAACCAACACAAATTAATCACAATTAGCAACCCTCCTCCACGCAGTCTGCCTGGATTAGGTCCACTGAGCGTAGTTTCTCCTCTCCCAAATGACAGGAGGCTGCACTGGCCCTTGCAGGGGTGTCTGAGCTGCCGAGGGCTGCACTTCTCCGATCCCCAGAGTCCTTCAAACTCCTTCCAAGACTCTGCTGCAAAATGACTGTGTGTTTTCACATCTATTGAGCACCAACTGTGTGCCAGGCTCTTCGTACTTGGCCTTCTACACACGACACAGTGCTCAGGAGGATGAGCTACGAGGAGCTCCCTTTTACAGATACGGAAATTTGAAGCCAGAGCCCTAACTCCCGATCTCAGTTAACCCCTGCCCTGGGCCGTGCGGCAAGTTAGGCCAGGGCAGGGTGGAGGATGGACAGCCACACCCCTCCAGCCCCCACTACTTCAAATCCGCTAGTACTGCTGCTGCAGGCTTGTGAGGAGGGGTGCCGTCTCCCCAACTTCACACCCCTTCTGCTCCCTCCTGAGCACATAGGTAAGGCTGACTCGGAAGAGACGCCTGGGCCCTTGACACCAAATTAAAACCAGAATTCCGGAGAGGGAGGGAGAGCATGGAATTTTTTTTTTAATTAAAATACAAAACAAAACAAAACCAGAAACCCTCCCTGTAATCATTCCCAGGACAGAGTGTCCTTGGAACTGAAGTCAAAGTTGGGGGCTACTGGGGTCAGCCTTGCCGCCCCTCATCTAACAGTGATCCCCAGACACAGCAATAGTGTCTGAAAAATGCTTATCACAGAGTACAACCAGGCCCTAAGGTCAGAGCCTGACCACCCAGAGCACACCCTGCCCCAACAGATTCCCTGGCCTGTCCCCCACAGGCCGCCCACCTTACCTGGGTGGCCCACAGCTCTGCTCCTCCTCCAGGAGGAGCCTCCAGGATCCCCAAGTTCAAGGCTGGCTGGTGCCTGGGTCAGGCACCCACACTCCCCAGGGCCCCAGCGGTTGCTCTCCAAGGGCCCCCAGCGCCTATAACCCTGACCCATCAGACCAGGGAGCTGCCTTCCTCCTTTTTCCTAAAAGCTGATCCCCAAACCTTCCCACCCCCTACCTCGCCCAGTGACTCAAAAGCGCCCCTCCCCAGGAACATGGCTGGGGAAGGGAAAGGGGGGTCCAGGAGATGGGAGGGGAGAATGAGGTGGTAGAGAGAGGGCTGCTGCTCTGCACAGACCCCTTGGCCCTGCTGCATCCACCAACACAGACAGCAGCTGCTCAACTCACTCAAGCATCGTCTCAGGGCTCAGGGCTCCGGGCTCAAGATCAGGGCCTCCTCGGTGGGACACCTGCAAAGAGACAGCAGGGAAGAGGTGAGAGGACAGTCAGATCGGGGCCTGCAGACCCGTCCTGTAGTCAACCCCACCCAAGTCTCTGCCCAGCCTGGGCTTCCCTGTGTACTGGGCCAGATAGAGCAGGAGGAGACCTGGACCCTGCCCTCTGGAAGCTTGCGGGCAAGCCTAAAGATGCCACATTCATTCCAGAGTCAAGATTGCACTTTCGGTAAAGCAAGGGCCTGGGCTACAGCAGGCTGGGATTCAGGCACCCGCACAGCCCCGGAGGACATACAAACTAGACTTGCAGCGCAGCCCCCACCTATCCAAACCTGTGTGCAGCGGAAGCCACAGTTCTCTGGTTCCTGGACACACAGGGCTGAACCTCAAATCCTCCCTCCTGAGGCCACGTGTGGCTTATGGTCCCAAGGAGCACAGAGGAGCTGGTGGGAAGGGAGTACCCAGGGCCACCTTCCCATGTCTGCCTGAGGTCTTTACCTGGGCCCAGTCTCAGCTTTGTCACTGGCTCACCCTGGGACCCTAACTGTGCCTCCCATCAGTACAGGCAGGTGCAGCAGAGTTGCTGGGACTTGTGCAAACACAGCTTGCTGGGCTCCACCCCGAGAGTTTCTGACCAGTAGGTCCTGGGGGTGGTGGGGCCTGAGGATCTGCATTTCCAACAAGCTCCCAGGTAATGCTGATGCTGCTGGTTGGGGATCACACTTTGAGAACTGCTGGCCTTGAAGATGTGTCCAGCCTGGAAAGTACAAAGCCCACACCCTCAAGGAGTTCACAGGCTAAATGGGAGACCACTCATACACACACATGCATGTGTGCACACATATCTTACTCCCAGCAGCCATAGTGGAAATGTGGTTTCTGAACACTAAGGCGATCTGACAGGGGAGGGCTGTGGGCTGGTGCAGTCACGGAAGGCTTCCTAAAAGAGGTGAAGACCTAAATGACTACCTTCACATATTATGGCCTTATTATGCAAATAACACATGAAAGCATTCTCTTTTTAAGAGGTTCAAATACAGTAGTCTGTAGAGTAAACACTCTCATTCCCAGTCACCTCTCCAGAGGTACTGACTGCCATCCCTTTGGCATGAAACTTTAACTGTGCATTTGTACACATGTGCAAATGTGTGTGCAATCCTACCTGAAGGGGTAGGATCACTTGAGGTGCACACAGACATAGGGGTATATACCAGGGAGCACAGCACCTGTGCTTGTGTGCACCTGCATTCCTCACTTCACAACAGATTTTTGAGACCTTTCCCTGTCCATACATAGCAATAACCATGCTTGTGCTCACTGAGCACCTACTGTGTGCCAGACCCTGGGCTGAGTGCTGTACCTCTTAACTCGTCTGATCCTATTAATAGATCCCTAAGTGGGTGCTGTGTTGATCCTCATTTTGTAGATGAGAAACTGAAGTGGGCCAGATGTGGTGGCACACACGTGTAATCCCAGCACTTTGGGAGGCTGAAGGGGTAGGATCGCTTGAGCCCAGGAGTTCAAGACCAGCCTGGGTGACATAGCAAGACCCTGTCTCTACAAAAAAAATAAATTAATTTAAAAAATTAGCTGGGCATGGTGGTGTGCACCTGTGGTCCTAGTTACTCAGGAGGCTGAGGCAGGAGGATCACTTGAGCCCAGGAGGTGGAGGCTACAGCGAGCTATGATCGTGCCACTGCACTCCCGCCTAGGTGACAGAATGAGACTTCATCTCTAAAAAAGAAAAACCAAAAAGAAAGAAAAGAAAAAAGAAAAGAAACGAAAACTGAGGTGCAGAGTAGAGTGGTGACCAGTAAGCCGCCTGAGTTTACAGCCAGGGCATAGTGGAGCCAAAGTTTGGATCTGGGCTGTGAAGTTCCAGCATGTTTTCCTAACGGACTGTCACAGCTGAGCTTTCATGGTGCTGCACTGAGGCATGCCACGTGGGGTGTACCCTCACCTGTGTAATCAGGCCCCCAAGGATGAGTGCTTAGGTGTTTCCAATTTTTTATTTCAAACATTGCTGGAAAAAAATATCCTGTCTCATTGAACACATGTGTAAGTATTTCTCTGGGTGCCTTCCAAAAGGGTAGATCAAAGGGTATCCACGTTTTACATGTAGATACTTGCTGCCAAGTTGACCTCCATAAAACATCTGTACTGATCTGCAACTGTCCATTTCCCCATGTGAGCCCTAAGTTAGAACAGTTCCCATTTACTCAGCACCTGTTGTGCATCAGATCCAGTAACATCTGGGTTGTCACCTCCATTCTGCAGAAAAGGAGACTGGCTCAGAGAGGTTATGCTGCTTGCCCAAAGCCACAGAGCAGAGCAATTTGCCTCAATATTGTAAAAGAAAGAGAAGGGAGGGAAGAAAGGAGAAAGGGAGGAAGGGGAGGAAGGAGAGGGAGGAAGGGGAGGAAGGAGGGAGAGGAAGAGAGAGAGAGGGAAGGAGGGAAATTCCTTGACCTCACATGCCCTCCCATTTCTCTGCTTCCCTTTAATAGCAAAACTCAAGAGCTATCTCTACTGTCTCCACCCCTTCACTTCCAGTTCCCTCTCCAGTTCTGTCCCCACCACTCCACAAAACTGCTCTTATCAAGGTCCCCCAGAAACCTCAGTTTTGCCAAGCCCAATAGTCACTCTCTGTCCCCTCACTGGTCCCTGAGCTCTCAGCAGCATCTGACATGGCTGATTGCTTTCTCCATCAGGTGACATTTTATCTCTGGGTTTCCAGGACTCGGCCTCTCCTGGCTGTCCTCCTACACCTTCTCCCCTCTTACCTAACTTCCCTCCAAGCATCCGAGGCCCCAGGGCTCACCAGGACATCCTCTCCATCCCATCCTGTCTGCACACTCCTCAGCTTAAACCCCTGCTGTGCCCCCAGGTCCCTCTCACCAGCCTCAGCTCCCTCCTGAATGCCAGTTCGTGTTCAGAGGCCTATTTGTCATCTCCGCTTGCTCATCTAACAGACCTGTCCAAAACAGAACTCTTCATTTTTATCCCCAAATTATGTTTCCCTCAGCCTTGACTTCTCTCTTTCTCCCTCGGCCCATACCCAAGCCATCAGCAAACCCTATCAGGTCTATCCCAGAACACATCCAGAACCTGACTGCTTCCCCCAGCTCCTCTGCCCCGCCCTGGCCAGCTCTTGCCTGGATTATTGAAACAGCCTCCTCCCTCACTCAGCTTCTTGCCTCCACCTCTGGCCCCAAACTATCAGAGCAGCACGATGACGGAGAGAATCAGGCCCTGTGGCTCCCTGCCATAAGCCCATGGTACAGACTGAAGTCCAAACTCTCTCCAAAGCCTTCGAGGCCCTGCCCACCTCTCAGAAATCATCTTCCACCATAATTGGCCTCCTTCCCACACGGGCCAGTCTCAGGGTTTTTGCCCTCTCGCTCCTTCTACCAAAGGTTCTTCCCCCAGACTTTCTTACCATCCCATTCAAATGAGCCCTCTTACCATCCCTAGGCACCCTAGGTAAAATGCCCACCATGCACCCCAGTCTCTCCCAATTTTCTAAGCATTTCCTCCGCCTGACATTATATTGTCTATTTATGTGTGGCCTTGTTTCCTGTCTGCCTCCTCATCACAACATAAACTCCATAAGGCAGGCAGGGCCCGAAGCCACCTTGTTCACCTCTGGATTCACCTCTGTACTATGTGCAGTGCTTGGCACCCAGGAGACAGTCAATACATATTTGCTGAAGGAAGGAAGGAAGGAAGGAAGGAAGGAAGGAAGGAAGGAAGGAAGGAAGGAAGGAAGGAAGGAAAGAAGGAAGGAAGGAAGGGGCACAGCCAACTCTACCAGACTCCGAAGCCTGTGTTCTTACTCCCTACATGAACTGCCTCCCATATGAAGAAGCAGGCAGGAGCCAGAGGGCATGCCCAGCAGGCAGGACACACTGCAAAGGCAGGGAGGTGGAAGCGAGACTGAGGTCCGGCCAGCTGGCGCAGCAGCGCACACTGCACAGCAGTGGGGCCCCAGCCTCCCTGGGATAACAGGCCCAGCAGCCCCCACCCCAGGGAGTCTGCGGCTCTCACACCTGCCAACCTGTCCCATTCAGGAGGGAGCCTTGGGGGCGGCCGGCAGCTGAACGCAACCGGCGGGGGGCCAGGATGCCTGCCAACAGCTGGTGCCGCTGCCAGGCAGCCCAGTAATTGTGTTCGCAGCGGAAATTGGTCCAGGGAGTTTTTTCCTTTCGCCTTCCATTTTCTTTCTCTTCCCTTCCCCCCTTGGAGCTGCAAGACCCAGAAGATTGATCTTTGCCTGAAACGGAGGAGATAACTCGATATAATGAACTCCACGGTCCCTCTTGCTGTTTGGAGCTTTTAAAAAATTTAAAAGGGCCAGGGACAAAAAACCAACCCCTTGGGGGCCTCAGGGGCTGCTTCCCCTCCCTCAGAAGCCCCTGGTCCTACTTCTGTGCCCCTCTGCAGCTCCCCATCTCCTTCCTTTCCCCTCCTTTTTCCCTTGGGATGCCTTGATGGAACAAAGGTTAAAATACCCCTTTCTCTTGCAAGCTTTAAAAATACTTTTGGTGAGGTCAGGGCTGGGTCCACCAATCACCCTACCTCCCAGGCCCCTGCCACTGTGACGGCTCCCTCTCCCAAGAGTTACCAGCCAGCCTGGGGGTGACAAGTTGGCTCAGTCCACCTGTTCTCAAAGCATTTCAGGAGGCCCAGCCCACCCACTGAGGTGCTGCCAAAGACAGCTTTTGTTCCTACAAGTGGTTCTTTAAAGAGCCACCTATGATACACAAAGGGAGCACAGCGGTGGCTGGGATGGCTGGAACAGAGGAGCTGCCCCTGCTTCCTGGAGGTCTGTGCCTCCCCCCAATGCATCAGCCAGCAGCCCCTCCAGCCAGTTGCTCCTGGGCTCTGTGCCCTGCATGCATTCACATATTCAGCCAGTGTTTATGGAGCACCTATCCTGTGCCAGGCACTGAGCTGAGAGCTGGGGACCTAGGGGATCACCAAACCCTTCTGATTCCTGCCCTCAGTGGCTGTAAAGCCTGGTGGCAGAGGCAGTCATTAATCAATGGCCACACTTGGGTGGGAGACACACTGGGATGAGGGCTTTAAAGGAAAAGCCAAGGAGCCCTGACAGCATGGACAGTGTGGTCAGGGAGGGCTTCCCTGAGGAAGTGTCCTTGGAGCAGAGGTCTGAAAAACAAGTATGAGACCGCCAGACAGAGGATGTGGGTGGAGGGCTCCACGCATTATGGGAAGGGTCTGCTCCCAGGAGTGTGCCATCCAATTAGAGCCTCTCCCCTGGTGCTCTGCCTGCAGAAAAAGGCCAGGTCCCCAAATTACTTACCTGGCATTCAAGGCCTTTCCTAGCCTGATGTCTGCCCCCAAGACCCTCTTGTCTCCAGCTTCTCCCTCCAAGATGCAGCACAAATGTTGCCTCAGTGGCTCCACGCCTGTGCTCCTCCCCACCCAGCACAGACCACGCTGGCCTGTTATGGGATGTTACAGGCTCACCTGCCCACACAGGTCACGCTGTGGGGCCTCTGCATACCTGGTGCCCCACTCACAGCCAAGGGTGTGTGTCAAGGGGAAGACAGCAACTGGAAGCACCCTCAGGAGGTTTTGACTCCAATCAGCGAGGGCTGGAGGCATCAGGGAGAGCTTCCTGGAGGGGCAGGGTGGGGCTTTGAATACACAAAGATTTGGATAGTAGGGTGGGGAGTCCAGGGCAACAGGGACAGAGGCTCAGAAAAGACCTGCAGAGGTGGGCACCTAAAGACCGAGGCTGCCCAAGCAGATCTCTAACCTTCAACCCCCAAAAGGCCAGGAGGAGAAGGAGAAGCTGAGGTTCCAAGAAGGCAGTGCTTCTGCCGAGCTATGCGGCCCGGCAACAGTGGCCAAAGGTGGCAGCAGCCTCCCTCCTGTCCCTAAGCAGTCATTGTCCACACATGTCCATCTCCTGGGGCTCAGGCATTCCCAGCCCCCAGCCCTGCCCTCGCCCCCAAAAGAGCTCACACACCAGGAGTCAGGCAGCTACCCTACCATGTGGCCAAGGAAGGGAACCAGGAGCCTGGAGAAGCCCAAACCTAGGCCAGCGGGGGCAAGAGGCACCTGAAGTGCTTCTCCAGGAAGGAGACATTGGCTGGGCTGGGGAAGGCACTCTCAGCAGGGGACACCCTGCAAAAAGCCCCAGAGGTGCCCCCTCTAGATTTGCTTCTTTGCCTTCTAGGCTTCTGGCCTGGCTGAGCTCCTGGGAACACGAGTCAGCAGCACCCCAAGCCTGAGCCTTTAGGGAACCAACCCCCGCCCCACCCACATTACACTGTCCTGAGAGGCTGGGAAACTCCTGGAACATTCCCTGGCCAGTCTCAGGTTTTCTACCCTCTGCCTTTGGGCCCTGAGGACCCCTTACCCCAGCCACCTTTAGAGGATACAGCAGAGGCCAGGGCTCTTGCCCCAGGAAGGCCCCTGGCCACCCTTCCCTGGTGTCCTCAGGAGCCTAGGCCCCAGCATCCCCAAGAGCAGCCCTGGAAACAGGGCCTGGCCACCCAGGAGGGGCAGGCCGCAGGCCCCACAGACTATGCTGTGGCCAGCCGCTCTCCCCAGGGCCCACCACTGCCAGCAAAAAACAAAACCGCTTGACCTTGTGGTTCCGCAGACAAGTAGCTTCCCGCCTCAGCTTCCCCAGTGCAGTCCCCTGAGGCTGCAGGCTCTGTGGGCATCAGGTACAGTTGGAGGTAAAGGAAGCTCTGTGCAACCAGCCCTGCCTTGCTTCTGGGGGCCAAAGAAGCCCTTGTCCCCATACATACTCAGAAAGCCTGGCCTAGAATGTTCTCACCTAGAATGTCGAAACACAAGACTTCCCAAGACCTCAGCTGAAACCAGAGAGGAGAGGGGCCAAGAGGAATCCTTGGTTCAGATGGAGAGAAAGAGATGGGCAAGGGAGAAAGGCAGAGGGGGGGTTGGGCCATCCACAATGGGCAGGGCCTCCAATGCCAGGCAAAGGTGCTGAGCATCACCCTCTGTGCCCAGGAGCTCCATGGACCCATCCAAGCAGGGCGGGGCCTACTGCCAGGCACTGGTAAGATGAGAGGCCAGGCAGAGGGGCCGCTCCCAGGGAGCTAACGGACCTGACTGAGCCCCACAAGCCTAGCTCAGACTGGGCCAGAGAAGCTGTCGGGGACACGTGTGGAGGAGAGTGTTCTCTCCAAAGCCTCTGAAGGTGAGAAGGCCCAGGCTGGCCCCCACCCTGGCTTGCAGGCCAGCCCAGCCAGAGCTGCTCCCTGGCCTTCCTCCCCACAGCCTCTGGGAGGCAGAGGCACAGTGAACAGAGCCTCACAGAGCCACTCGATGGCCACTTCCTGAGCACTTCCAGGTGCCGGGCACATCAGCTCACCTCCCTCTCAGCAGTTCACTGAGCTGGGCACCAGTATCCCCCTTTCCAGAGGGGAAACTAAGGTGCAGGGTGGGGATGACTCACCTAAGGCACACAGCCAGCACCTGGTGGAGGCATAATTTGAACCCAGATCTGGGTAAATCCAAAGCTGTTAACCATGAGAGCCAGAGACAGAGGGATTCTGCCTCATCCAGGATGTAGAAGCCACAAGAGAGCATCCCTCCCAGCTAACAATGAGAAAAAGCTGGATATTCTGCAAAACCATAACTTTCATTTAGCCTGCTGGAGAGCTGGTGTTACAAGGCAGTCAGGGGGACCGAATTCCAAAGACTGGTGTGCTGTCCAGGGAGAGTGGGAGCACGGCCAGCTTCACCTTTGGCAGAGACTGTAGAAGAGAGCCTGCCAAAACAGCTGGAAGGGTAAGAAGGAAACAGCTGGAAGGGGAGGAATTCTCAGCAGCTAGGTGTGGACCAGCCCTGGCAGTTCCAGACACAAGGAGTCCACCCTCACAGCCAGTGCATTTCCACGATGCTCCAAGAAAGCTTGGGGTGCGGTGAGAGGATGGACAGAACCCACGGTGGTGCACGGGTGCACAGGGCCCCCAGCCCGACGCCCAACCTCACCTTCTCAGAAATTGAGAAGAATCTGGTGAGGAAGGTGGGAGAGATGGAGTGACTGAAAGGGTGGGGGGTGGAAGGAGAGCCCTCCTGGGCTCCATGCTGCCTTGGCTCTCCGGACTACCCCCTACCCCATGCTCCCCCTGCCAGGAGGGCCTCACTGAGGAGTCGTAGGCAGCACCTTTCCCTCCTCCCTCCATCCACCTATGCCCACCTCCAGCACACCTTCACCGGGAACCCACTCTGCTTGGCACAAGCACCCAGCGTTCTCCAGGGGCAGGGCAGAGGGGACAGAGAGCCCCAGGGCCCCTATGTACTCTGTAAAAGGAGGGGCATGACTCCTTTCCCCCATTACAGGGAGTCAAGGGACTAAGAGGGGCACAGATTCTTGAGGGGACAGCATCAGAGCCCAGGCTTCCTGGCCTCAGGCCTGTGCCCTGTACCCTACCTTAAAGACAGGTAGGCTGCAAAGACCCCCAGTCTAAAGAGGGTTGGGAGGTTTTGCTCCATCCCTCCTGGAGACAGAATCTACTGTGGGCACAGAGTAGGGAATGATTTTGCATTTCTCTCTTCTTTAAGAACCTTTAGACAGTCAAATTACAACGCAATATAAAAGCAGAGGCAAAAGCATCGTGTTCAGGGCTGGCTGGGGAGTTATTCTCGAGTTAACAAGCAAGCGGGGAGAACCCAGGGGCGCAGGAGGGATGCTGAAGATTTGCCTCCTAGGGAGAGGCAGGCAGCTGGGTGGGCATCAAAAGGGCTGAAGGGGGTGCTGCTGAAAGCCAGACTGCGGGGGTGGGGGAGTCCTCCCAATCTGGAACAGAAGATGGAGGTGTGAGAGGCTCCCATGGTGAGCGCCAGAAGCCCTAGGAGCAACCAGGTAACCCTCCCTGCCTTCATTTATTGATCCATCTGTAGCCAAGCCACAAGTATTTCTTGAGCATCTACTATACGCCAGGTCCTGAGGGTCCCCAGTGGATACAGAAGTGAGTGAGACAGACAAGGTCCTGCTCTTAAAGAGCCTTGGGAGAGAACTCACCGTGGGCAGAGCCTGCCTCAACCTCTCCCCAAACGAGGCCTGGATTCTGTCTGCACATCAGGCACCTCTGGCAGACACCAGGGCTGCCTGGAGCAGAGGAAAGAGCATAGGTTTGGAATTAACAAGCTGCGTGTCTATGAGCAAGTCCCTAACCTCTCTGACCCTCAGTAAGAATAACAAAAGCCAGCCTGGCACAGTGGCTCATGCCTGTAATACTAGCACTCTGGGAGGCCAAGGTGGGCAGACTGCTTGAGTCCAAGAGTTCAAAACCAGTCTGGGCAACATAGTGAAACCCTGTCTCTACTAAAAATACAAAAAACTAGCTGGTGTGGCAGTGCTCATCTGTAATCCCAGCTACTCGGGAGGCTGAGGTGGGAGAATCACCTGAGCCCGGGAGGTTGAGGCTGCACTGCGCCGAGATGGCACTACTGTACTCCAGCCTGGACAACCAAAGTGAGACCCTACATCAAAATTAAAATAAAATAAAATAACAAAAGCCGCTAACTTGTATTAAACAGTTAATATGTAGTCAGCATTATTCTAAACTTTACATGTATAAACTCATCTAATCAACACGACAAGACTGTGAGCTAGGTTCTATCAGTATTCCCCTTTTCAGAGGAGGCAATCAAAACACAGAGAGGTCTAGTGCTTTGCCCAAGGTCATGCACATAGAGCTACTGAGTACAGCCAGGATCACAGCTGGACAGGCTGGCTCCAGAGGCCTCACCCTTAACCACTGCACCTTGCTTAAGAAGCTGTTTCCTAGCCGGGCACAGTGGCTCACGCCTGTAATCCCAGCACTTTGGGAGGCCAAAGCAGGGGGATGACTTGAGGCCAGGAATTTGAGACCGGCCTGGCCAACATGGTGAAACCCCATCTCTACTTTAAAAAAAAAAAAAATAGCCGGGCATGGTGGTACACACTTGTAATCCCAGCTACTCAGGTGGCTAAGGCACGAGAATTGCTTGAACCTGGGAGGTGGAGGTTGCAGTGAGTCGAGATTGCACCACTGCACTCCAGCACTCCAGTCTGGGCGAGAGAGCAAGACTCTGTCTTAAAAAAAAAAAAAAAAAAAAGGCTGGGCACGGTGGCTCACGCCTGTAATCCCAGCACTTTGGAAGGCGAGGCAGGCGGATCACGAGGTCAGGAGATCGAGACCATCCTGGCTAACATAGTGAAACTCCGTCTCTACTAAAAATACAAAAAATTAGCCAGGCGTGGTGGTGGGCGCTTGTAGTCCCAGCTACTTGGAAGGCTGAGGCAGGAGAATGGCGTGAACCCGGGAGGTGGAGCTTGCAGTGAGCCGAGATCTGGCCACTGCACTCCAGCTGGGCGACAAAGCAAGACTCCGTCTCAAAAGAAAAAAAAAAAAAAAAGCTGTCCCCAGCAGAGACCCTTAGCACCATTCCATGTGTCCTGCTGAAATCCAGAATCACTGCCACCCCAACCTGGCGGCTCTGCCCACTGAGCGTGAGCTTCTATTCATTTGCTGGAGACCATCTCAAATGTCCTTTCTTCAGTGAAACCTGCAGGTCTTTTTCAGGATAAAGGAGGAGACCCACATGCATTGGGACCCTGCTGCGGACGAGACCCTGTGCCAATCACCTCATACACAATTGCTCATCTCTTCCTCACAACCCTGGCAGGCAAGACCAGCCATCTTTATTTCATAGAAGGGGAAACCAAGGCTCAAAAGATGAAGTGGCTTATCCAGGGTCGGGCAAACTTTGCCATATTCCGCATGCCTCTAGCAGGGATGGATGTTGTGGGGGACTGTGTGATGGAGGCTGGGGTGGGGTCACCAGATAGTTCCTGAGCCACTTAGGAAGGGTAAAAGAGCACCTGAGTCTGAAAGAACAAGAAATTATAAGAACCAGGAGCTGGGCACGGTGGCTCACATCTGCAATCTCAGCACTTTAGGAGGCTCCCCAGGAGTTCAAGACCAGCCTGGGCAACAAAGTGAAACCCTGTCTCTACAAAAAAAAAAAATTATATGGGCATGGTGGCATGCACCTGTGGTCCCAGCTACACAGGAGACTGAGGCAGGAGGATCACTTGAGCCTAGGAAGTCCAGATTGCAGTGAGTTGTGTTCATGCCACTGCACTCTAGCCTGGGAGAGAGAGCGAGACCCTGTCTCAAAAAAAAAAAAAAAAAAAAATGAACTGGGGACAGGATCAATCAGTCAGTCAATAAACACTGTTGCCTGGGTAGCTTTCATAAGCAAAATGGGTATAAACAACATGAGTATAAGCATGGGACCTCCCTCACTTTGTTCCATGAATTCCATTCCTCCCTCAACGCCAATACTGAAAGCACTTAGTCTTCTTTCCACCTGTCCACTTCCTGCCTAGATACATTTTTAGGTCTAAAGCCAGTACTGCCACCTCCTTCAAGAAGCCAGCCCTGATTGCCCCAGAACTCCTTAGAGCACCCTGAACCTGTGGTCTGGCTGGGGACCAGAGCAGACCTAAGGGGTAGAATTGCCCCCATGCCACAGAAGTTGATGGGTGGTCAGGTGCAGGAGCAAGGCTGGGGGCTGGGGGCTGGGGGCGAGGAGCCCTGCCTGGAGGATAACAAGGCACCCTATCCTACAGGAGGCTCAGGCAGGAGCCAGCCGCGCCATTGGCAGCAAAGCTAACATGATGGATGGCACCATTCAGGAAGAAATAAATCCAGAGGCTCATGTGCCAGGTGAACTGGGGGGTGTATCCATCTTACAGATGCTTAATGAATGTGCTGGCCAGAGCACACAGCAGCACATACATCTGCCTCCCACCCCTCTCCAGCTCCTTGAGCTCCAGAGACCACCCCCCACTCCCAGGGAAGGAGGGTGCTGAAAGGGGCCATAGATTAGCTGGCCCAGACCAAAACCCCCATTGGACAGATGGGAAAATCTAGGCCAGGAGAGGGCAGGGACTTACCCACAGTCACACAGGAATCAGCTGCAAAATCTGGACTAGAACACAGGCACCTAGGCCCGGCCCATGGACCTCTCCCTCAGGACCTCTTCAAACCCTCCCTGCCTTTAGCTCCACTGAGTTAGCTAAGAAGAATACCCAACCACCCTATCCGCAGGCCCAGGACTGCTCCTCCAGAGCTCCAGTCCCCTGTCCCTTGGTCCCCCGCCCAGGCCTAGCAGGGGGCCACATCTCCTCCTCCTCCTCTCCCCTGGCAACACAGCCAGGGTTTGGGAGCACTTCTGATAGCACTGAGTGGATGAGGGGACATTGCAAGTCATCTGGAGTGCAGACAGGTCCTGGGGGTGGGGTGGGTGCTGTCTTAATGAACAGATAAGATCCATCATGCTCAGCTCAGCATGCCCAGGGACTCTTCCCTGGGACAAGACCTCCAGGGTTCCCCCAAGCAGGTCAATCACTCCCCCTGCAAGCCTCTTCATTACTTTTTCTGTAACCTCTCACTGCCTAGAAGAGCAGAGCTCAGGCTGGCCCTCTCTGTGTCAGAATGCCCACCAATTCCCAGTCTGGGCTTCTAGGAGCTGTAGAGTGAGCACACTCAGAACAGATCCCTCAATCAAATTAACAAAACACTGACCTGCCTGCAAGACAGCAGCGTGAGCCCTGGGGGAGGGGAGTGGAAGAAGGGCCAGAGAAGGAGGCTGCACCAATGCAGAGCCAGGCGGGCCCCCGCCTCCAGAATCTCCCCACGGCTGTCACCATGCCTGAAATGTCACCATTAAAGGGAAACATCGTTCCGCTGGGGTTCGGAGGCATTAAAGTCTCTTATTAAAGTGAAACTATCCCAGAGAGAATCATACCCTCAGTCATTACCCACCTCCACACGTCAGTGGAGGAAGGAGGCAGGGAGGAGGAGGGTGGGTGGGTGGTACCACGTGTGTGCTGCGTGCCAGACAGCAGTGGCCATGCTGTGGGTCAGGGGTCAGGTGGTTGGCCAAAGGGCGCACAGCTGGTGTGTAGCAGAGCCAAGATTTGAACCCCGGTGCGACAGAGCCCAAAGCCAACCTTTCCCCTTCCACACAACTCTAAACAGGGACTGTGGTTGCCCTTTTGAGGCACCCTCTCCAGTGGGTTAAGACTCTGGCCACACCAACAGCCCTGCTGGGCCCCAGCGGGTGTGAACACCAGGACTAGAAACCCTTCTCAGCACCACACTCTCTGAGCTGTTCCTAAGAGGGCAGTGCCTTCACCCTGCACTCTGACTATGCCGTCCTCCTCCTCCCCACCTTGGGCCACCAGAGTTTGCCAGTGGGCAAAGGAACTGTCTTTGGAGTCAGATGACCCAAATTCTAATCATGTCCCTCAATCTCCCTGAGCCTCAGTTTCCCCATCTATAAAACGGGGATAGTAGCACCCACTTTACAGTGTCACTGCAGGGATTCCATGAGAGAAGATCAGGAAGAAGCCCAGCACAGAGCCTGGCTCAGGGCCCGCCCTCAAGGTAGCCTCTGGGCGTGGCCAACCCCTTTGATGCCCTGCAGAGCCCAGGAACCCTGAGGTGGCCCCAGCATAGTGGGCAGGACCAGGACAGCATGGGAAGAAGCAACACATGGAGGAAGGCGGGCCCCTGCCTTTTCCTCCCCACAACTCTGCTCCAGGAAGAGGTCATGGACCCCAGTCCCAGCTCAATTTCTTTTTTTTTCTTTTTCTTTTTTCTTTTCTTTTATTGGGGGTGCGGTGCAGGGGAGAGACAGAGGTTTGCTTTGTTGCCCAGGCTGGTCTTGAACTCCTGGCTTCAAGCAATCCTCCCACCTCAGCCTCTTGAAGTGCTGGGATTATAGGCAAGAGCCACAGTGACTGGCCCCTAGCCTTATTTATTTATTTATTTATTTATTTATTTATTTATTTTCCTTCCTTCCTTCTCTTTTTTTTTTTTTTTTTTTTTGGAGTCTCGCTCTGTCTCCCAGGCTGGAGTGCACTGGCGTGATATTGGCTCACTGCAACCTCTGCCTCCTGGGTTCAAGCTATTCTCCTACCTCAGCCTCCTGAGTAGCTGGGATTACAGGCGCACACTACCACGCCCGGCTAATTTTTGTATTTTTAGTAGAGACGGGGTTTCGTCATGTTGGTCAGGCTGGTCTCGAACTTCTGACCTTAGGTGATCCGCCTGCCTCGGCCTCCCAAAGTGCTGGGATTACAGGGGTGAGCCACTGCGCCCGGCCCCCCAGCCCAATTTCTATGGGGTCCCTAGAGAGAGGTCTGAGCCCAGCATCACCTGCCTGCTCCATTCCAGGCTACTCTGAGGCCCCTGCCTTCAGCCTGGCCACAGGAAGCACTGTCAGAAAACAAGCCCAATGCCATTCCCCAGGTGGGCCCAGTGAGTACTCAGCACCTCCCACCAGCCCCATCTCCAGGCCTTAAACCTGCCTGAAGCTCTTCCCTGGTTTTATTTCTCAGTCTTTTACATCCTGGCCTCACAGCCCTGGTAAGAAAACAAAAGAGACTCAGCAGGGGCTACCAGCTTTCCCAGACTCTCCCCAGCAGAGTGGGTCTGGGTCTCTAACTCCTGACCTCCTTCCTCCAGAGCCACCATGTGGCCCATGCCATGGACCCTTCTTAGGAATGTGTCATCCCCTTTGCCCACTCCCACGGCTGCTGCGTGGACTGCTCCCTGCTGCCCAGTGAAGCTGCTCCCGCCACCAGACCACCCTCCAACCCAACTCAGCCCTCCAGCTCTCCTAAGGGGTTATCCTCAAATAAGGGGAAGAAGTCAGTTATTGGCCATAGAGTTAGTCAAACATCTTCTCTCTGCCAATAAGCTGAGGGCTGGCTGGGCATGTCTGGAGCCCAAGGGCCAGCTTGAGGGCTGGTAAGAGGAAGTAGGGTGCGGAACCGGACTTTCTGGACAAGCTGCCATGGGGCAGGCCGGCTCTCTCCAATTTAATCCTCCCAGCAGCTCTCAGGGTGGGGGTGGGGAGTGGGTGATAGCACTTTACAGGTGGAGAAAGTGAGCCTGTGAAGTTAAGACACATGGATTTGAACCTGGGTCTGCCTGACTCAGGCTGGGCTCTCTCCATGACTCCCCCTCACCCACCCCTGGGGCTGAGTGAACACGTGCCCTGGAGTCAGAGCAGGGGCCACGTCCCCGATGCCCCCCGAGACAGCCTTGCCAATGGCCCCTTCCTCACTGCCCTCAGTATCCACCCCTGAGCTGGGCCCACCCCAGGGTCGGGGGACACCTGCTGCCTTCCCGTGAGGCCGCCTCCTGCTCCCTTCTCTCCCCTACTCTCACTAGCAAATGAGTAAGAAGAATAGCATTACAGTTTGGCTACATGAGAAGTAGAATTAGCAGGATTAAATATAAATAACTATTAAAAGTGCCTTATAATTAAATTCATTTTCCAGTTATTTGTTTTACACACACACAGCCGCCCACACGCGTGCACACACGCACGCGCTCCAGTCCCCAGCTCCACATGGAGTAGGTGTCAGGGTCCCCAGCTGCAAAGCAGCCTTCTCCCTGCTGTTGCCTCTTCCTGGGAGTTCCGGTGCGTGCCTGCTTCTCTCCCTGTCTATCTCTCCCACCTCCTGGGCCTGCTTCTGGTCTGGTCCACCCACCCAACCCCTTCCAGAAGAATGGATGCCAACAATACGGCTTTTACCATTCCCCTGTGCTGAGCCTACTATGAGCCAGACACTTGACACCCTGCACCACCTCCTTTCCACCCAAAGATATTTTTTCACTCAATAAATATTTGGTTGAGTGCCAAGTATTTCATATACATGGTCTCATTTAATCCACACAATGACATTTATCCCACCACTAAACAAGTATTAGGTGAGCCCCTACTACGTGTCAGGGCTTGGTAAGTGCCAGAAATACTTTGGCCAATGAGACTGGAGCCTCTGCCTGTGAAGCCTACACTGAAGGGACTCCAGAGTCAGAGGCAGGGCCAGTCCAGTGGGAAAGATGCAGCTGGCACCTCTGAGTTGGGGCGAGGAGGAGGTCAGGAAGAACAAGGGCAGCGTGGAGGGTATTCCGCGGACCATAACCTGCTTGAGGGCCTGAGTATGTACCATCTCCCTCTCTGTGTCCAGGGCGGGGCACAGAGTGGGCACACCACCGTGATTGTCAGCCTAAACTGACCTGAGCCAGGTGTGAGCACAGGTGTGAATCTCTGCCTTTACTCATGCTATGCCCTCAAGAGGCCCCTCTCCCATTCAGGCCTCAGCTTCCTTCTCCGTAAAATGGGAGTCAATCCAACCCTGTCTACCAAAAGTAAGGGAATGATCCTTGCAGGGTGCCTTGACCTGTGCCTGGCACATGGTAAGTCCTCAGCAAGGCTGGCTGCTTTTAGGATCATTACCTTGAACACCATGACTACTGCTCCTACTATTATCTACCTTGCCCGTGGGGTTCACGAGTCACAGGTATGAGAAATTTAGAATACCAGAAAGCCTCACAGAGATGGGAGTGAGCATAAGACCTGTGATAGTTGGGGGCAATGCCCTGGGAAGAACACAGTGAAAGCCTATGGGGTAGGGGGGACACAGAGAAAGAGCACCTCCAGCCCATCCCTGGAGGGCTTCCTGGAGAAGGGTCAGTGCTTCAGGCCTTTCCATCCTGGCCCTCCCTCCTCTGATCACTTGGTCTGATCTTCAGCCCCTTCCCACTAGCCCCAAAGCCTAAACTGTAGGGTAAGGAGCACTTCAAATGCTTTTGCCTTTGAATCCAGCCATTCAACTGGCCCCACTGCCTCCCAGTCCCTGGGAGAAGTTAGGGAAGAAGATCTCACCCTTCTACGGGCTCAGACGGGTGGAGAGCAGGATACTTGAGCTCTAGATGAACAAGGCCCGAGCCAACAGCAAGGTAAGGCTGTGATCCTAAGTAATGAACATGAAGCCACCCACATTTCCCAAGTCCCCCCTGTGTGCCAGGTGCTTTGTTCCATCATCTCACCAAGCCCAGGAGCCGCCCTCTCACATGTGACCATGCCTCCTTCTTCAGAGAAGGTGACTCGAAACCCAGAGAGTCAGCTGTGTCTTGCCCAAGGCCATGAGGCCTGCAAGTGGCAGGGCTGGGGACAGAACCAGGATCTATGTCATCCCAAGGCCTTTCGTTACCCCATGCTGCACCTGTGCCAGGAAAACGCTGCTGGGGGACAGAAGGCCAAGGAGATAGCATCCCTGGAAAATGTTGGCCCTGCCTGCCCCAGCCCCTCTCATCCTTCCATTGTCTCCCCCAAGGTGGACTGCCCACCACACTGGCTCCCCGCAGAGCCCCACCACTCAGCCAGCGACAGGAGCCTAACAGTAAAGACTTTTGTCCTAAAAGTAGGCAGCTGAGCTAATTAGCAAAGGCTTTCTCCTTTCCTTGGTGAAGACATTATTTCATCATCCAAAGCCAAACACAGCCCCATGGTGTCCGGCAAACCCACTCAGGCAGCTGGCAAAAGCAACACAAATCGATGGGCAGCAAGAGGCCTTCTCCGGCCCAGCCTCCCCACAGGGCTCTGGGGCTCTGTCCCATCTTTTTGACAAATGCCAGGGAAAAGAAAGGAGCCTGTGTTGGATGGGAAAGATTACAGGTTGGGCAATAAGGCACAAAGGCCCCATAGACAACCACAGCTTATTGTCACTTCCAGATGGAATCAGCCAACCCTAGGTAAGGGAGGGAAGGAGAGGTAGGGGCTCGGATTCTGACACCAGAGCAGGCTGTAGCACTGTAGAGGGGAGGGGAATCCCACTGTGTCCCTGTGCTGGTCAGCCTTCCCGTGTGCCCACAGGACAGAGGCCAGCCCCTCATAGGGCACTGCAGACCTTCCCAGGCTCACTGCCACCAGCTGCCCTGAGCCCATTGGATGGACTTCTCACCATCACTCATACACAGACCAGCTTCATTCCAGCCCCTTCTTCAGCAACCAGCTTCCCCCTCCCTTCTGCCTCTCTAGGCTGGGTGCCACTTCCTCCAAGCAGCCTTCCTGACTGCTCCATCCTACAGGGACCTGCTCTGCCTCACATCTCTCAAGTACTTCTCACAGACACCACAAAATCAAGCACATACATAGTGTCATATTTGCCATCCCTGGCTTTCTCGCCGTTGTCATGGCTGTGGCTGTTGTTTCATGGGTCCCGCGTGCTGGAGAGAACAGAGACCTGACTGCCTCCAACTAACCTCCATCACCGAACCTGGTATAGAGGCAGACACACAGTAGGTGCTTGCCCAGTGTTTGCTGACCAAACACTAGGAAGTCCTTCTAAAGCTTCCTTGTAATGCAATGGGGAGTTCAGAGACCAGGGCTGTAGGTCAGCTCTAAAGCTAAGCTTCCGTGGGCCCTTGGATAAGTCACTGGCATTCTCCTGGCTTTGGTGTCTGGCTGTGGAAGTAGGACTTGGGTCAGAATGACCTGTGGAGGCTATGTTCAGCTGGGAGGAGACTCTGCGGGCCTGGCTGAGCCAGGCGCTGTTCATGGTGCTGAATCTGGGAGCAGCCCTCCCTGGGGCTGGTGGGCACAAAAGATGAACATCGTCATGGAGACAGAGGACTGGGGGTAGGGGGAGGGAAGTAGGGTGCAGCTGAGAGAGAGAGTTTATTTGGATTGCTGTTTCTGGGCACTGCCAAGGACTGTCAGCATGGGGCCGCTTGCTCACTCAGTCTGGTGGAGGAGGGTCAGCCTCAGCCATCAGGGAACCAACAGCCAAAGACACAAAGCCATATTGAGAACACGGTCTGAGGGAGGAGAGGGCTGGAGGCACACACACACCAAGTGTGCACACACAAACACACACACGATGTTTATCTAAACAACGTATGGCAGAGCCTTACAGGCGTGAAGTTTGCAACACAGAAAGTGCCCTCCTGGGCATTGCCACTCACCCAAAGAGGCAGGGAACCCCTTATGCACCCATTTAACAGAGGAAAAAAGTGAGGCTCAGCTTCTGGATCCTTCCCACTTCCAGTGAGTGAGAAGCTACTGCCCAGTCTCTTCCTTCTCCAAACCTTGCCAGGTGCCTGTCTTCATGACAGAGAAGACAAAGAAGGCATTTGCTGTGGAAAAGCAGGAAACAGGCCCAGAGCTGGGAGAGAGAGTGGGAGCAGGGATGGGGGAAAGGAAGAGCAGAAAGGCAAGGGGGAAGGAAAGGGGGAAAAGGGAAAAGGAGGAAGGGAAAGAGTGGGGCAGAAGGGAGAGGGAGGGAGCAGGAGCAAGAGGATGGAAAAGAGGGAAGAAGGGAAGGAAAAGAGGAAAGGAGGAAGGGAGGGAGTGAGGGGGGAAGGGGATGGCAAGAAGTGTGGAGGGAAGGGAGGGAGGGGAGAAGGAAGGAAGGGAGGAAGGGAAGAGTGGAAGGGAGGGAAGGAAGACAGATTCCCCCATTCTTGAGAAGCAGATCTTGGCAGGGCCCTGTGCTGGCCCAGCCACCGTCCGCTTCTGAATAATTTCTCCGGCAGAAACTCCATAATTATGGATAATAACAATCACTCTGATTTGCATGTATTGAGCACCTTTCAGCCCAAGTTCTCCAAGTGCTTTGCCAACATTAATTAATTCATTAGGCACACCCGCCTCCCAGGGACAGGGCGACAGGACGCTCCACCCAACTCAGCACAGCTGCCTCTGGAGTGCGCAGTGGGTGGCAGTCCCAGCCTAGGCTGTGCTGGGGGTTCTGGGGGTGGGGCTCTGAGAAGGAAGAGCCTGCAGAGTGGCCCCTCCAGCCCTAGGCCCTGCCTCTGGCAACCTCCTCAGAAGTCAGGGCTGCCCTTTGTGCCCCACAGTGCAGCGTCCTTGGCCTGGCCTATCAGAGGGCCACGGTGAGGGTAGGTCCGGTAGGCAGAAGATGGCCTAGCCCAGCTCTGCCCTCAGTCACTGAGGACCCTGGGAAATTCACAGGCTTCCACGAAACTCAATGTCTTTGCCTATAAGATGGGGCCTGGTGGTCTCCAGCTCCCAACGCTGTTGTGAAGCTTGAGGCAGGCCATGCAGGTAAGACACTTTTTGACTTATCTGGGGGCTGTGCACACAAAAGGTATGGCCTCTCCCTCTGCCAGCCACGTCTGTAGGGAAGGAGACCAAGCCACAGATGGATGCACAACTCCCTTGAGGCCAAGGCCCTCCTACTAGGACCAGACTGGAGCACAGCCAGGTCCCCACTCAGTTCGCTTCAGGAGCACAGCAACACCCCTCCCTCCAAAAGGCTCTTGGTACTCTGCTCCTGCCCATCCCAGGCCTGGCCCCATGCTGGCCTAGGGGAAGGGAGGTGACCCCAGGGATCTGATGGGGAAGGAGGAAGCTCCCCAGGCCAGGCACAGAGTCTTACTCAAAAGAGGGAACTCTGGGGTCAACAGGCTCCAGCCCCAAAGCAAGCTAAATATGAAGTCCTCTCTTCCAGGCCCTCATGGTAGAAATGAGGAAACTGAAGCATGGAGGGGAAGCAGCACAGGCTTTGGCGTCAGACCTGGAATTGAATCCTAGGACCAACATTGATTTGTGCTGTCACGCTGAGCAGGCCACTACCTCCCTGACCCCGCATTTCTTTATCTGTAAAATGAAATAATACACTGGGATAATGTGTGTAGGGTGGCAGGCACAGTGCTGCCTGCACTGTAGGGGCTTAGGAAATAGAGTTGCTATCATTGTTTATGTTACAGTTATACCTTCTGGTTAACACCTTCCCAAGGTCACAAGGAAAACTCCATAACCGGACCCCCACCTGCATTTCAGATATTTCCTGGGCACCTACTATGTGCTGGGCATTCTGCAGCCACCTCTCCAGCTCTGTGCCTTTGTCAGTGGCCCCACCCCACCTGGCTGCCTCCCTGTCTCCCCCACACTCCCACCTCCTTCCCGATGCCACACATCTGCCCTTGATGTTTCCTCCTTCCTCCCGCCAGCAAAGCTAAATTCCCCTTCAATCTTCCAAAGGCTGATCCAGCCCAATGTGGTTTAACATTTAACTGCTCCAAAGTTCTTCCTCATCCTGACTCCTCGGTGGGAGCAGGGTCTCCTCCCCATCCTGTCTGGACAGTGTGGCTCAGCAAAGGCTTGCTGGTGGGAAGTAGGGGGGTGGCAGGGTGTTGAGGCCAGGCTAAGGCAGGGCTGGAGAGGCTAGAGAGCCTCAGCAACAGGGAGGGCATGGGCCCAGGTACACGCAGAAGGGCCAGGCAGGCCCAGGCTAGACCCTGCCCCATCCAGCCCACTTTCTTCACTGCAGGGTCCTGATCTCTGCATCCCTCCTCCTGTGATCGCAGCAACTGACCCATCACATGTGGACAATGCTTTACAGTTATGGAGCCCATAACTCTCATTAAGGTCCACAAGGAAGACTGGGCCCAAAAAAGCTCGGACATTTTGACACCCACAGTCAAAAACATGTCCACACACAGAGGAATGACACAATCAAGCATGCATTCTCAGACATACACACAACACACACAATGACACACACTCACAAATGTGTTTATACATGGTTTCACAATACACTGACATACAATGACAGACAGACAGACACACACACACACACACACACACACACACACACATTCCTGCACACAAGGTACCATAAACATACACATACATACCATCAAGGGAGGGCCAAGCCGGGGCTGGGAGCCCAGGCTCAGCAGCCCTGGTTGGTGAGGAAGTGAACGTGACCATTTTCCCGCATCTGGCGTCTAACTGTCTGGCTTTCAATTACTTCTGCACATTTTCATCGCAGTGTTAAGAACATCAACATGCTAACTTGAAAGACAATTGCAAAGGTGTCACTTTAGGAGAACGTGCTCAGGGGAATGACCCTGAACCACCATGCCACCCACTCTGCCTCCCTAGAGGGCACTGAATGTCCCCACGTATATACACCCTGATACTCCACCGCCCCCCAATGCCAACGTGCACCACCTCGCACACAGACTCATCCATGTTCACACACTCATCCCTCAGGGACACCTTGGAGCTCAGCCTTGGGGAGGGGCCCCCACCTCTGCTGTGCAGGTTTCCCCACCCATACCTTCAGCCCCTACAGTCTGGGAGAGGCAGAGGGGCAATAGGAAATGAAGCCCAAGCCTGGGAAGGATCCCACAGTCTTTGGGCAAGGTTAGATGCTGGAGGCCCTACTGCCCCACTCCTTGGCCAAGCCACCCTGCCTTCCCCTCCCCACCAGTGTCAGTGTCCCTGATTCAAGGGCCACCTCCTCTAGGAGGCCTCTCTGGCTCCTCAGGGATCATCTTGGTTTGACATTTGAGACTTTGATATCTTTGAGATGGGTTTTCTTGGGCAGTCTGCCGCAGGGGCCCAGGCTCTGGTCTGACAGGACAGAGAATCTGAGCCCCCAGAACAAGAGTGGCCAAGGCTGGGCTTGTCAGGCACTGACCATGCACAGGGTTTGACTCCAGCATCATATGGGGGGTGGTCCACTCAGCCACAGAAATACTGAGGTGGCTGTGGGAACACCACAGAGGTGGAGGCTGGGCCCCCACAGGCTCACAGGGATTCCTTTCCATTTTCCTGCCTCAGTTCCTTCATTGGTCGATGGGGATACTGTGAAGACCAAGTCAAGGTGTCTTTTAATCTAAAAATATTAATACCACGTAGATGTCATGGTCTCATGGTATTTTCCTTGCAGGGTTCTATTCCCTCCATGGACCGTGAGCCAGAAAGATGTCATTTCAAGTCCCCAGATAAGAGGAGACTGGGTGCGGGGACAGGGCAAAGAGAGCCAGCAGGGGCAGGGAGTTGTCCTAAGGGACAGATGGAAGAGGAGGAGGAGAAAGCAAGGCACCATAGGCCTCCTAGCTTAAGCAAGGGCTGGCTGGAATGCCCCAGAACAGGGGCTCAGTCCCCAGCCCTGGCCCAGGCGCCAGGCATAGGCCCCCCATAAGGAGCCCAACCTCCGGCTCATTAGCCCAGACCTGCTCGTTAATCACCGTGGGCCGCCTTTCCCTGCCTCGGCTGTGTCAGGCCATAATAATATATGAAGAACACTCATTTATTCACCAACTTCCCACTCAGGAAAAATATATGACACTGTAGGAATGGATTTATCCTGACACCCAGCTTTCAGCAAAGTGAGGCTAATTTAAACATTTAAGTCAACAGCTCGCCCCTCCCTCGCCTCCCAATTTTTGTTTTAATGGTGGGAAGGTGAAGGATGGGAGGGAGGTTGAAAATGTGCAAGCCTGCATGGTTCGAGGGTTAGAGGCAAAGGAAAGGAAAAGGGGTCTTAGCCAGGCTCCCCTCTGGTCTCTCTCCCACCATGCATCTGGGCCTGTCTCTGAAATAAAATCAATGCAACAAGTAGGTACAGAAGAAAGAGCACTGGACTGGAGGTTGAGAGTCCGGCTTCACCCCTCACTGACTGTGCACCCCAAGGCGGGCGCTCCCCATCTGCAGGCCTCCGTTTCCTTTCCAGCTTCCAAAGCCAACTCACTTGACCTTTCTTGGGTATTTCCTCTACCCTGTGGCCCATCTGCAAGCTCTGAGAGGAGAATGGCCAAGACAGCCACCCTGGAAGAGAGAGACAGCTGTACCTGGGGCAGTTCAGAGCCAGCAGGGGCAGTCAGGGTGTGCTTCATGGAGGAGGCCAGGCTTGAGTTTGGGCCAGGAGGACAGCCAAGCCTCGTATTCTTGATGAGCACATTCTCTGGAATGAGATGCCTGGACTCAAATCCCTGCTTTCCCATTTACTCTGTGACATTGGCAAGCTGCTTACCCTCTCTGTGCCTCAGTTTCCTCATCTGAAAAACAATGAGACTGCCTCCTATATGGGGGTTTTGGGGGGATCAGATGGGGCCACCATCTATGAAAAGCCCCTCACACCATGCTTGGCACAGAGGAAGAACTGTGGCAATGAGAGGATCACCATTGTCGAGGAGGGGGCGGTCAGAAGCGGGGGGAGGAAAATAGTTGGGTGAGGTCCTGAATCTCCCCAGTGCTATCCCCACTTCAGCCTGGGCCTGTCTGAGGTGTTCCAGAGTGGGGTCCACTCCACTCAGCCCATAGGGAGCCCACAAGGCCCCTAACAGAGAGAGCACCTGAGACCAAACCACCCCACCCTCCCTGAGTAAGGAGTAAAATCAGGGCTTTCTCTGAAGACCTGGAAAGCACTTAACAGCAGGGCTGGCAAGTAAGTAGCAGGCACACAGGGGATGGGCATGTGACCTACGCAGATTAAATGCCCATGTGTGTGCAGCCACCCATGCACACGCACATGCATACCCACACACTACCTTGCACATTGCTTCCCCTTCCTTCACTGGCCTCTGGCTTGAGGTTACAAGCCCCCTGTGGCCCCTCAGCACCCTTGGGCCTGAGAGTGAACTGGCATGGAGGAGCGGTGTGGACTGGAAAGCTCTGCCCAGATTGAAGGCTGGAGGGCAGCTGGGAGGGAGGCCAGGGGCCCGCAACGCCTGCTAACTCCCCAACTGCCAGAGGCAACTCGGTCCAAGTGGGCCTGAGGCAGCAAGCTGTGGGCAAGTTTCTCTCAGTTTCCCCACCTGAAAAAATGGAGCCAATTACACTGACATCACAGGGTGGCTGTCAACAGTAAGTGAGGTTGTATATCGAAGCACCAGGACCAGTGCCCAGCACACCATAGGTGCTCAGCAAGCGTCACCTTCACCTCGATGCCCCTTCCCCTAACTTCAGAAGTGCAGGGGAGCTGAAAGAAGTATTTGTCTCATGCCCAGCTGAGAAAGGAGACCACATTAGACAGTGACGCACTGGAGCCGGCGACTGGGGAGAAAGGTGCCAGTTTACATGGGGGCGTCTACCTCTCTGTAAATCTTGCTCTAATTGAGTGTCCTATTAAAACATGTTGATTGGTAATACAGCTGTTTTAATAAAAGAGTCCCTGTGTTATTTTTTAAAGTCATAAGTGAACAAACATGCTGAGCGCTCTGCCCTGGCCACGGCCGTGGGGAGCCTGGCACCTGAACCACACCTATAACCAGGGCACTACTGCTCACCTGGTGCCAGCCAGGGCCCACCCCGGAGGGAGGGGATGTGGCCCGGAAATAAACTGCCAGGTCTCAGAGCCCCACTCACCGCCTCTCACAGTGGGCCTGGGTGACGATTCTAAGGAGGCGGCTTTTTTTTCCTCCTTAAAAGACAGCGCGGCAATGACTCATGCCTGTTTCCCTGCAGCAGCCGTGTTTCTGGTTGTCATTCCACACACCTGATGACTCTCTCCTCCGTGGTGAAGGTAGCAGGGTGCCTGCCGGGGTTGGGGTAGGGAGGGGAGGGGAACATCTAACAGCCCAGGCTGAATATGGAGAGGCTCAAGGAGGTGGGAGACCAGGGGGCCTCTGGAGTGAGCCCAGCCACTAAGGGTGTCCAGGCTCCCGTCCCCCAGCCCCACCAGGCTTCAGTCCCTGTCTGCAAATGCAGGGGCTGAACCAGCAACAGGGGTTACGAACTGAGCAGCAGAATGTTTTGTTTGGCCTGCTCAGTGGTTTTTTAAAAGATTAGAATCAGTTGCCAACTTTTGCAAATTACATAGGAATCTGGATTTCTGGTTTCTCTTGGAAAAGTTGAATCTGGCCACACAGGGCCTGCATTTATTTCCACATGGGAGCAATCCGCTGGGGCTGATGGGTGGCCCTCCAGTTATCCACGGTCCTTATCAACCTGCTTTGCTCATTTCCAGCCCCTTTGCCTGGCCCCTGGGGCATCTGAGTTTGAGACCCATAGGCTAGCTGCTCACTGGGAGCCAGCCTCCAGTTCTGAGGTTCCAAATATCTAAATCTCCCCCTATGTCCTGCCTGGGGCTGGAGGAACTGGGACACAGGAGGAGGAATAAGTGAGTACATCCTGGGTGCTGGGAAAGGAGGTGAGGGTAATAGGACTCACCACTGGGCCCAAACTGGGAATATGGCCAGAAACAGAAACCACAGAAATTTGCTAAAAAGCTTTATTTTGTTGTGATTGTTAATAAGTATCTTTTTTTTTTTTTTTTTTTTTTTTTTTGGAGACAAGGTCTCACTCTGTCACCCAGGCTGGAGTGCAGTGGCATGACCTCAGCTCACTGCAACCTTTGCCTCCCAGAATCAGGTGATTCTTTCGCCTCAGCCTCCCAAGAAGCTGAGACTACAGGTGCGTGCCACCATGCCTGGCTAATTTTTTTTTTTTTTGTATTTTTAGTAGAGATGGGGTTTTGCCATGCTGCCCAAGCTGGTCTCGAACTGCTGAGCTCAAGTGATCCACCTGCCTCCCAAAGTGCTGGGATTACAGGTGTGAGCCACTGCACCTGGCCCAAGTATCCATTTTTAATTCACATCTTTCTATTAAACCAAAAATTTGCTCCAGTGCATTGGGTGGGGCAATACAGGGACCCACCACCAAATTGTGAACACAATGCAAATTGTGAGGAACAAGGCCACAGCAGCCCAGTCCACAGGCACAGGACCACTTGCAAGCAAGCAAAGGCTGTCCTCACAGTCTTGCTGATGGCGCAGAAGTTGGGACAGGCATTCTTTATTTTCATATTTGGGGACATAACAACCAGTTTAAAGGGCTGAGTTGTAATTGTTCAAATACACGTAATGGGCTAAAGGGCTTTTTTCTCCGTGACTGTGCTCCTTTGAGTTAAGATGTCTAGACTACAAATGCCATTAATCTGGTCCAAGTCAGGCACAGGACATTCCAGGTAACTCATCTCCCACCATAACTAAGTGCTCAAAGGAGAGATTCTGACAGGAGTTGCAGAAGAAAAGGCCCCAAGGGCTGGGGAGCCAAGGCAGCTTCTCAGCTTCAGGGACATGGAGTGGAGTCCCCTCACTAGGTGTCTGTAGCCTCTCTGCAAGGCTCTCCTCTCCAGGGGAATGGCATCAGAAGAGATGACCCAAAGGAGCTCATTGAGGCCCTGTCACATGCCCAGCCCCTGGAGTCTCCATCCCTGGCATATAGCCTCTTTGAGCCTCAGTATTCCCATCTGTGGAGTGGACATGAGTGATGGAGTGAGGCCGGGATGTGATGTGCAACTCCACGCCAGGCCCTGACCCTTTCTGACCCCATGTCTCCCATCTCTAAAATGGGGCTTTATGACCTCTTGGGTCTTTTGAGGCCTAGAGTTTGATGATTCGGCCCTTAATTCACCCTGGCAGGTTTGGCTGCAGCCAGAACAGCCTGAGGCTTCCTGGTACTTGAGGGTGAAAGAGAACAAGGAGAGGCAGAGGCAGCATTAAGCAGTCCTTGCTGGGGGAAGGCACAGTGGACCGAGGCGTGGGTAGAAACTGTGGCATGAGGACAGTGTGTGCAGGCCAGTCTTTCAGGCTCCTGGCTATGGTGGTCAGGTCTGGAGGGTGGGGCCATGGTACACACCAAGCACATGTGTTTGCTACGCTCAGAGACTCAAATGCAAGAGCAAAATACAGAGTCTCATAGCTCCAGAGGAGCAGGCCGTGGAGAGGCCTCCTCCAGGAAGCCTATCCTGACCACCTTCTTCCCTGGATTGAGACCAAAGACCCAATTCAATTCCTAGCCAGGCCCTCAGAGTAAGATGGAGTGAGGCCCTAAGAGGAGCAGATACCTGCCCAAGGCCACTTGGTGGCCCTGGGCAGAGCCAAGGCTCTCTGAGGAGCCCCCTAAATTCCTGGGCTTCAAGGCTAAGAGATCTGGATTAGAGAGGGAAAGCACACAGGGGTCGAGGCTTTGAACACCAGGTCTTTGGCCAAGCGGGACCACCCTCCACCCAAACTCTCAGCCTCCTATCTATCTGGTGAATACTTTTCCACTTTCAACACTCAGTCCACAGATCACCTCCTCCATGAAGCCTTCCCTGACCCACCACCCGAGAGACAAACCACTTCCTCTTTGGGACCACCCGTGCCTGCCAAGCAGCCCCCCACACCTCTTCCCTGCCCCAGGGCTTTTGCTGCAATACATACTTACAAACCTACCTCCCTACAGGGCAGGGAGCTCCCTAAGGGACTGAGGCTGATTGCCCTCTGTCACCCCAGCACCAGCTCCAGGACTGTGCCTGGCACGTAGTAGGTGCTTACCAGATGTCTGAGGAACAAATGGAAGACCAAAAATGAGGAGCCATCAGAGAACTGCCGAGAAAGGGAGGTGCCCACCCCGCCCTCGCCCGGCTGGTGGAAGATGCAGAATTAAGCACAAGTTATAATTAAGACGGGATGTTTGAAGAGAAACATAATCCCCGTTTCTGTGGGATCGGCGGGCACAACAGTAATTAACGTCTCATTAACATTCGCCTAATTAAGCAGTTTATGAAAGTGTATGGATTTACATACTGCCACGCCAGGCTTGCTCAGGCGCCTCAAAATTAACCCCTCAGGCCTGGGTGTGCCAGGAGGTAGAAGGCCAGCCTGGGGCCTGGAGAGGAGGAGGGACAGGGATATAAGTGAGAAGGGGTTGGGGATGGGGATGGCCCCCTGACTCTGGGGACCCAGTACCTCCCCCAGCCCTCACCCATCCCCTCTCCCCAGTCACTGGACCAAGTCAGTTTCTCAAAAAGGACCTTTTACAAGGAAATGAAAGGCACTGGATCCCCTCTACCACCACTGCAGGCTTTGCCCACCCCCCACTGACTGACCCTCGAATATGTCCCCATGCAGCCCCACTGCTCTGCCATTCTCCCAGGTGCCCACCCTTCCCCCATAGCTCTCCTCAGGGAACAAATCTTCCACCTGAGAGCACCTTTCTGGCTTTAGGAACTCTTACCTGCATTATCTAACTCAGCCCTCCAGCTCCCCCAGGGCTGCATCTGCATCATGCCCTTTCTATCCAGGAGGAGACAGGCTCAGAGAGGTCCAGAGCCTGCCTGAGGGTCCGGAGCTGTTAAGAGGCAGCACCCAGGGCTCTGTGATCCCAAAGCCCCTCCCACTTCCCCAGGCAGCACAAACACCCCATTGCCAGCAAAAACACAGGGCTTCTGCCATGGGAAAAGGTGGCCGCTCATCCCCCCTTCCCCTGGACACTAATTAACCACCCTCCCCCAAGTCTCCTCAACTCTCAGCCCAGACACCTCGGCTGGAGCTGAGCTTGAATCAAAGTCACCTGTGACCATGGCGGGAGGCCTCAGTTCTCCAAAGGAGAACAAAGAAAGGGGCCTTTTAGGAGGGTGTCAAGGATCAAGTAACGCATTTTCCCCCACAGCACTTTGAAGCCTTGTGCACTGTATGCATTTTAGTTATTCATTAATTATCCCACTCCTGATCCCCACTCCGTCTGCGTTCATGCCCACCATATGTGCACCTGGGATGCCTGTCATCTCTCTGCCCCTTCCAAGGGCAAATTAGGACAACTTTTCTCAGTGATAATTTAGCCATATACATCAAGAGCCTTAAAAATGCTCATCCCCAACAAGTAATAAAAAGCATAAGCCATAAAGGTGAGAAAGTTGACTTTGTTACCATTTAAATCATCCGTTCAACAAAAGACATTACAACGGGAAAAGACAAGCCACAGATGGACCAGAAGAATATACCTGCAGCATAGATAGCTGACAAAAAAACTGTTTCCAGGCTATATAAAGAATTCTGCAAATCAATAAGAAAAAGACAAATCACCCACTTTTTTTAAAAGGCAAAGAATAGGAACAGGCAACTGGCAGAAGAGGAGCGCTGAAGGGCCAGTAAACACATGAGAAGGCTTGCTGAAGCTCAGCAGAGTTCCGAGAAATGCCACAATCCTTCACTCATTAAGTTGGTGGACAGCTAAAAAGCCAGAGAGTGCCAAGCATCGCTGGAGCAACACCAACTACTCATACGTTGCTGTTGGCCATGGAAGGTGATGCAAGCACTGGGGGGAACGATTTGACCTTATCTTGTGAAGCTGAAGATACATGTATCCTACCACAGAGCAGTTCCACTCCAAGAGTCTCCCACATGCACAAGGGGAATGTCCACAATGCTCACAGCAGCCATGTTTGTAAGAATGAAAAGGAGGAATGCTGCAGATATCCACCAGCAGGAAAGGAGGTCCATGTGGATGTGCAGATGAACCACGGCAGATTGAAGGCATGCATTGCATTTACCTCCACTTCCTTCCAAAACCCCATCACAACAGTGAAGAATCTTTTCTGTGCATAAATCCACAAGGACCAAGAATGAAAGAAGAGGAAACAGCAACATGGTTTTGAAAGTTGGAGAGCAGATGGATGAACGGTGATTTGTCTGGCAGAACTGGGAAAGCAGGCCTGGCATGGTGGCTCATGCCTGTAATCCCAGCACTTTGGGAGGCCGAGGGGTGCAGATCACTTGAGGTCAGGAGTTGGAGACCAGCCTGGCCAACATGGTGAAACCCCGTCTCTACTAAAAATACAAAAATTAGCCAGCTGCGGCGGTGCACACTTGTAATCCCAGTTACTCTGGAGGCTGAGACATGAGAATCGCTTGAACCCAGGAGGTCGAGACTGCAATGAGCCGAGACCGTGCCACTGCACTCCAGCCTGGGCAACAGAGCGAGACTGTGTCTCAAAAAAAAAAAAAAACCAGAACTGTGAAAGCAGAGTCCTAAGCCCCTCTCCTATTAACTGGTAGAATCCAAGCTCAGGAACTGGTAGCACCAGGCACCCCTAGACACAGGAATGAAAGACTGCTTGGAAGTCTGTATGAGAAGCAGACAGACCCCAAGGAGCTCCTTCTCTACCTCTGCCCAGGGAAGACTGGTAGTGAGTTTTTTCCAGTGGGGAGGATCAAACTGAGGGTCTCTGGCCTGGAAGGCACCCAGCCCACCCAGCCTGGGTGGAGAGTGGGGACCCATACTGAAAACTGAAGGAGTAGTTGAGTTTGTACGCTGAATTTCAGGTCCAGATCCCAGCCTTCCTCTCCCACTCGCTCCAGAAGAATCAGAGTCCTTCTAGGAGATGCTGCCATTGGGGCTTCCCTGTGAACTGGCCCAGGAAGATCAGCCATGGGGCAGCCATGGTTGACAGGCCCACCCCTGCACAAGGGACACCAGCCTTTAGCACCCCACTCCTAAATAGAAACAACCCACTGAACATCGTCAAGCATTTGGATGTCAGCTCCACCAGCTCAGGGACTTCTGACCATTTGTTCAGGGCTAGAGAATGGAGCTGGCACATAGGTGGTACTCAATAAATGTTTGCTAAGGGAATTAACTGAGGGAATCTCTAATATGAAAGACAGAGTTCCAAACAGGGAAGCAAACAGAAACAAAAGTGCAATGTGAAAAAAACAAGTGGCTGGGTCAGCCAGGCATGGTGGCATGCACCTGTAGTCCCAGCTACTCCAGAGGCTGAGGCAGGAGGATCGCCTCAGCTTGGGAGATAGAGGCTAGAATGAGCCATGACTGCACCACTGCACTCTAGCCTGGGTAACAGAAGGAGACCCTGTCTCAAAAAAAAAAAAAAAAAAAACACACAAACAGAGAGAGAGAGAAAAGAAAAGAAATGGGCAATGCAGACAGAAGGAACTCAAAAAAAAAAAAACCTATCATTTTCCGCAAAAAAAACTCAAAATATGGTATCCATGAATAAGAACTGATTGCAATACATTTTAAAGAGAATTGATATGATTTGGCTCTGTGTTCCCACCAAAATCTCACCTCGAATTGTAATCCCCATAATCCCCACGTGTCAAAGGCAGGGCCAGGTAGAGGTAATTGGATCATGAGGATGGCTCCCCCTTCATTCTCGTGAAGTGAGTGCGTTCTCATGAGATCTGATGGTTTTATAAGCATCTGGCATTTCCCCTGCTTGCACTCACTCTGTCCTGCTGCCTTGGGAAGAAGGTTGACTTCCGCCATGATTGTAGTTTCCTGAGGCCGTCCCAGCAATGCAGAACTATGAGTCAATTAAACCTCTTTCCTTTACAAATTACCCAGTCTCAGATATTTCTTCATAGCAGTGTGAGAATGGACCAATACAAGAATATTCACCAAATAAGAAAGAAGCTTTGAAATGTAATATTGATAAAGCAGAATTTTTAAAAAAAAATCCATTGGAAGGACAGATTGATAAAATTGAGATTTCCCAGAAAGAGGAGAAGATTTTTTAAAAAAGTGTAAAGGAGGGAAAAGATAAGGGAGCCAGAGTTCCCTCCAGGAAGCACAACATCTGGTTAACTGGGGTTCCAGAAAATGAGAAGAGAAAAACACAGAGGTTAGGAAACATGAAAGGAGCAATTCAAAAACTTTTCCAGAGCAAAAAACATGGATTTCCAATTTGACCCTCATCAAGACAGAGAGCACATAGTGAATTATCAGAACACAGGGAGAAAGAGAAGGTTCTAGAAGCTTCCAGAAAATAAAAATTCCCAGTAGCTTGCAAAGAATCAAATCTCAGAGCAACTGTGATTTCTTAACACCAGCACTGTAAGCAATGACTTTAGAGAGAGGGGCTCCTTTAAAATTCTGGGGGAAAAAAGATCTCCATTCGGAATTCTACACCCAGTCAGACTGTCAGGATTCAGGAAAGAATGAAGAAGTTTCCAGATATGCAAGGTCTCAAAAATGTACCTCCCAGGCAACTTTTCTGGAAGCTATTAGAGGGTGTGCTTCACAAAATGGGAGTGTAAACCAAGAGGAAGACGTGGGGTCCAGGGAGCAAGAGGGTCAATGCAAGAGTGGTGACAGGAATCCCCAGGGTCATGGAGATGGAGATCCTGCATGTCTGCTGCACAGAGGATGTCAAAATAAACCAAATCAGAGCAGCACAGAGGCTCAGGGAGAGAATTTCTTCAAGAAGGTAACATTGGTAGAGGCTTTCATGTATTATGTTGAGAGGAGTTGTACTCAACTGGGGAAAGTTGGGAACCGAATTAGTGATTTTCAAAAAGCCTCTCTCCACCCCCACTAAAAAGACAGTCATTAACTCCAGGGAAAACCGAGTTGTGAAGAAAGGAAAAGTAATCAGAGTACATTACATAGCTCAGCCAATCAAAAATGTGGGTGAGTGGGGTGGAAGCTAAATCCTCAGCTTACACAGTAAAAGTCAATAGTTAATGCCTGAAAAAGGAAAACCAAAAAGCAGCAAATAAGCCAGTTATTTAGACGTAGGGAAGTAAACACTCAAACAATCCACAAAAATTGTTGGAAGAGGTTGCTCCAGAGGAGTAGCAAATGGCCCAGGGAAGGACAGAAGACTGTGGGTTTGTGACAAAGCAACACAGTGGCCTCCCCTCCCCTCTGTGGGGCCACCCCGGGCTCCTAAACACCTGCTTTCCTGCCCTAACCTGCAAATGTTCACTGTCCTGTGTACACCCACCCACCAGGACCCCAGCCTCCCAGCAACCCCTGCCTCCACCCCTGTGGGGTTTCCAGGGAACACCTGGGCCCCTCCCCTCCCTTCTCATAAAGGGCCAGATGCAGGGTCCCCGGGCAGACAGGAGGCCCTCAGCTTCCTCCTCCCTGATTAGCGCCTCCTGAAGGTGGGAGTCTGCCCCCGCCAGAGGCCTCCTGAACTTTTCTTTCTATTTTTCATGTAACAAATATTTTTCGAGTGCCTCCTGCGTCCCAGGCACTGGGGACAAGACTACAAAAAAGGCAGCCAGCCACAGCCTCTGTCCTCACATTAAGCAAATAAAGCAACAAATACACATTGTGAGGAGAGCCATGAAGGAAGAGAACCAGGTCTGTGACAGGGGAGCCCTGGTTTACTCACAGGGACACTGGTGGGCAGGTTGGGACAGTGACAGAGACCTGCGTGCCTGGACTTGGAGGAGGGAGGAAAGGAATATATGGGGGAGAGAGGCTTATGAGTGTCCCTACCCCCACTCTGTCCCTACCTCCCGACTCTGTCTCTCTTCCCCTCCTTTGCTCCCCGCCCCTCTCAGCAGCCAAGCCCTGGGCCTGTCAGAGGACGGCAGGAGAGAAAAATTCACGACCCAGCCCTTTAATGGAAATCGATGCCCACTCACCAGGGTAATCTACACCCTGGATTCATCCCCCACTCAGGGCAGATGAGGCACTGCAGCCTTGCGGGGCAGCAGGGGTGTGGCCACAGGTCCCCCTGCCTGGGGTTTCTCTCAGCCCACTGCAGCCCCATCACTGCAGGGCCTTCTGCCCTGTCCCCTCCATAGAACCCTGCTGTCATCCCAGCCTCCACTGCCCAGGACCCTTCAATGGCTCCCACTGCTGTCAGGGACAATTTATGGGTCCTGGTGTGCAACCCTTACCTGAGTCTCTGGCCTCCCTGCTCCAGACCCTGGCCGCAGCCAGCACCACGCCAGGCTCAGGGCCACAGAGCCACAGAAGAGGCTATCCATGACAGGGTGGGGCCCAGGGTGGGAAGCCCCCATTGGCTGCCTAAAGGCAGCAAAGGCCTCCAGCGGAGCTGTGCCAAGGCTGAGGCTTAGATGAGCAGAAATTTGCCAGGAGCTCAAAGAGAGGAGGAAAACCCCACTCGTCCCATCCCCACCTCTGGCAGGGCCACTTGCCTTCTCCTACCTACCCACAGTAATTAGCTTCAAGTCCTGCCAAGGTCCCCCCCCAGCCTCCCCTGTGACTGGGCCCTTTCTTGCCTCCCACTCGCACACCCTGGGACGTGCTCTGGCAGACCTGATGGCTGATGGAGTGGCCAGGGTCAGCCAGGGAGTGAGAAGGCACGTTCCCATGGGAGGAGCTATCAGGGTCTGACTCTCCCCATATCCAGCCATACCCCAGGTTGAGCTGGGCAATGTCGAAGCCAACTGGAGGCAAGGATGGAGGCAGGAGGATTGCCATGGAGAGAGGCTGGGGGAAGACTGCCAAGCACCTCAGCCCCCACCCACCCCTGGGGGACAGGATCCCCACTCGACAGTGCTGGACGGCTGTTTATCTACTCACCTCATGCCCCAACCCCACCCCATGGACAGAGGCATTCCCTGGAAAAGGAGACGGGGAGGGAGGACCTGAAAGAGCAGCCATCAGCAAGTCTCTCCCGGTGCGGGTACCTCACAAAGACCTGCCATGTCCTACACGTGCAGCAGACGTGAGCCTGTGCAATTCTGAGACCTGATCTGCCCCATTTTCAGGTGAAGAAACCGAGACTCAGTGTGGTTTTGTGACTTGTCCACAGAAACACTGCAGTAAATGGTGGGCCAGGACCTGGGGCCAAATATGCTGTCCTGGGGAGCTCTTCTTCCTGGGGTCCACCTGAGATGGGGGTCCCTGGGATAGAAAGACATAACTTGGGGCCTGAGTCCCAGGAAGCAAACAAGCCTTAGTGCCCTCAGCTGGAGAGGGGGACCCTGTGGTGTTCCCAGGCTCACTCCAGAGCAGCAGGCTCCGAAACCAATGCCTTCTTTCCAAGGAGAGACCATACTAAGTACTAGGCACTGGGTGGGGCTCTACTGACTGGATCTGGTTGAATCCTCACCACTGCCCAGAGGAGTGGATTGTTGCTACCACTTAAAGATGTGGCAACTGGCTGGGCGCGGTGGCTCAAGCCTGTAATCCCAGCACTTTGGGAGGCCGAAGCAGGCAGATCACCTGAGATCAGGAGTTCGAGACCAGCCTGACCAACATGGAGAAATCCCGTCTCTACTAAAAATACAAAATTAGTCAGGCGAGGTGGTGCATGCCTGTAATTCCAGCTACTCAGGAGACTGAGGCAGGAGAATTGCTTGAACCCAGGAGGTGGAGGTTGCAGTGAGCAGAAGATCGTGCCATTGCACTCCAGCCTGGGTAACAAAGCGAGACTCTGTCTCAAAAAAAAAAAAAAAAAAAAAAAAGATATGGAAACTGAGGCTCTGAGATCTTAAGAAAGTCACCTAGGCCTCACTCCACGAAGAGGGGGTTTAAATCCAAGCCTAACTCCAGATCCGGGGACCCTTCAGGACACAATGCATCCTCCTCACTTCAGCAGGAATCGACAGGCCCTTCCTAAGCCCTAAACTGGCCAAGGCCAGGGACACAGGAGAAGGGAACTCCCAGCCTGGCCTGGCAGGCTGCCATCCAGGGCCGGAGAGAGCACCCAGATGCCCACCGCCTACCTGGCCTCCTGCCTAGGCCAGTCAGGGAAGTGGGCGCGGAAGCAGTGGGCTGGTCCACATCTTCAGGACCCTGAGTAGTGACTGTGACCCTTCTCGGGGCTCAAATCACTCAGAAAGCTGAACCCCACCTCTGACACAACACCTCTCCACACACCAGCACCTCAAAGTGAGGCAGGGTCAGAGAGAGGAGAGGTCAAACAGAGATGGGATAACAGCATCACAGACCTGGGGGAGGAGAAGTCCTTCTCGAGGGAGAGTTGAACCCGCAGCTCTTAAGGTTCCTCCCGACCTTCCCCTGGACCTCCAAGTTTGTCTGGGATTCTAAGATATCATGATCCTGGGAATTTTATATTTGCAACCACTTTTGAGCACTGACTACACATGCAATATCATTACAGCATCACATTCACACCTTTCCCAACTCCAGCAGGACATGGCATTATTAACCCATTTTCCAGATGAGGGAACGAGACTTGCCCAAGGTCCCCAGTGATAAGGGCCAGGGCTGGGCTCTGACTCCGGCACATTGATGTGGAGCCACTGGACACTGACCCCACAGTCTAGTGTCCCCATGCTTCACACTATCCCAGGTCAGGGCAAGAGTCTGCAATAGACTCCTCTGACCTACAAAACCAAGGGTCTGAGAGCCACTGAATCCCCAGCCCTAGGATTCTCCACAGCAAGTTCTCGGATCATGGGAAAGAAGCCTCCAACCTGGTCCCGGCCTCCAAGACCCCCACCAAGTTCCGTAGATAAGTCAGTGCTCATGGGCACACCCGAGGAGGAGGAGACTGCTGGAAGCTAGGCTAGGAGGCTGGGGTGGGGCCCAGGAAGGAATGGGACTCTGGGAACTCCAGAAGCCTTGGCCACCCCCCGCCTACATGTCGACAGGGTGTTGTGGGCAACTCCACAGGGGCAGCAACTAGGGAAGGGGCAGGCCTGGGCTCAGCTCTGCATGCCTGTGGACAGGATACCTGCTCCCCTTCCTGACTCTGGTCCTGGCAGGCCCCGAGGTCGCCTGCCCTCAATGGCCCTGAGTTTCTCCTCGTTCAGAGGTTGGGCCATCCCCCTCCAGCCTGGCTCCAAGGTCTGGTAGACTCATTGGAGGGATCACTCTCTGATTTAGAGACTGCAGGGAAGATGGGACACCCACCTCCACTGTGTACCCCACCTCTAGGCCTGCAGCAAATGCCATTCAAATAGTACCCTCCATACAGAAAGAGGAACCTTGGGCCTCCTCCCAGGCCAGTGCAGCCACAGGTGCTCCAGGGCCAAGGCTGGCCAGGGCTGGTAGACTCCACCTGGCTTATCTAACCTGAGCTTCCTCTCCCTGTCCCTGAGAATGACCTGGGTGGATGGTCTCCCACCAGGGTCAGGCAGTGAGATGAAGTGCTAAGAGTATGGAGTTTGGTGTCAGGCAGCCTGGGTTCCAACCTCACCCACCAACCCTTAAAATTCCAGGGCAATTTGGGGCAAGTCTTTTAACTTCCCGTAACCTCGGTTTCCTCATCCGTAAGAGGAGGGTGCAAGCACTGGCCTCCAGCATCCCCGAGTGTACAGGAGCTCAGCGTGTGAGTAGGCAGACGCTGCGGCTCAGAAGGTGGGAATTCTGACTGCTCCCTGAGCAGTCGGCCTCCCCAGGTCCTGCCAACCTGACACCTTGGCTTCCGCTGTCAACGCCCCAAATCCATAGACTCGGCTGGGGGCTGGGGTGGGGGGTCTATGGTTTAAAATAAAGCAGAATCTACCTCTCATTAAAATGAAATTTGTCACCTCTATCATAAATTGTCCTTCTCAGCTGCAGAAAAAGGTCCATTAACACATTTTTTTCCTTCTCCAAATGAGGTGAGAGTGGGTAAGTTTGAAAATCCCTGTGGACAGTAATAAAGCCAGAAAAGCCCTCTTTCCCCCCACCTCCAGCTGCCTGCCCCCAGCAGCCAAAAACATCATCATAATTATCTGTCTGGGAGCAGGCTCAGGGGGCGCGCCTTAGCATGGTTCGTTAAGGCGCTAATTAGCAGGAACCAGCTTCGGCTCTGGGGACTGGGAGGCCAGGGGAGTGGGCTTCAGTCTCTCCCTCCCCTCCTACCATCCGTCAAGCTACTACCCACTCAGCCTCACCTGGTCTATGGGCATCTGCTCTTGGGTGACACCTGGTCGAGAGCCAAGGCGGGTGTCCCCCATGGCAACGGAGAATAGGCTCATGGAGGGAGGAGAAGGTGGCTGTGGAAAGGCCAGAGAAGAGGCTGCCAAAATGGAGGCCCCAGAGCCCAGGTCCCTGCCATAGCCCTATCCTATAAGGCCTCAGTCTCCACATCTGAGCAATGGGAGGCCGGACCATGTGACTGCTGAAGATCCATGGGACTCCTGGGAGGCTTTGGCATGTTGCAGCAGGCTGTGGGGGAAGAGAGTTGCCAGGAGCTCTGAGCAATTTCAATTCCAGCGTTATAACAATGTGGCCAGCATGAATGAACACCCACTGTGTGCCAGGCTTGAGTGAAATGACTCACTTGACCTTGACACAGCAGCCCCTGATGTTGGCAGAGTCCCGACTTTACAGATGAGGCTGGTCGCAGTGAAGTTAGGTGACAGCTAGTAGGTGAGATTTGAACCAATGCAGGCCAAACTGTGCCTGGCCTCCTGTGCCCCTCCACCACCCTGGAAGCCCATCCCTCCCAGCCCCGGAGTCCAGCCCCAGCTCCCTCTCCACACAGGAAGGCAGGTATGACTCCAGCCTGGGCACCTCTCGGCACAAGCGACCCTGGAGACAGAAGCTGACCAAGGCCGCCCAGCACTGATACACAGGCTCGAAGGCACTTGCCTGGGGTCACACTTGCCTGGGGTCACACAGCCTGGGCCGTGAAGATTTTAAGCATATGACCTCTCTCTGACTTTGCCCAGGGCAAAGCTTCTCTTCCAAAGCCCTCAGCCTGGGGACCTTCCCAAGGAGCAGTGGCCTTCTCTGGCTGTCCTACCTACTCAGGGGTCTCTGGCCCCCCACTCTCTCCCTTAAGTCCTGAGAACATCCCCTCAGGCTCCTGCTGGTCCCCACAAACAACATCTCTCCTCAGTCCCACACCACCAGGGCTCCAAAGGGGACACTGGGTCAGGAGTTCCTGGAAGGGAGCAGCAGTTGCAAGTCCCCACATGGGGAGCCCCTACCCACCCACTGCCCTCCTTGGCTGCACAGCTCCTGAGGACAGGGGCTCCAGGGATGCCATGGGCATCGATGCCCTCTACAGGGAGAATAGGTGAGCGAGGCTGGAGAGCCCTATACCTCTCCCAGGTGTGGGGGCACAGCCTAGAGGGTGGTGAGTGTGCACGGAGGAAGTTAACTCAGATCCACAGGTGAGCGGGGGAATGGGGGTCTTCATTCACATCAAACAGCTGGCACTGGCCTCGCCCAACTGCCAGATACCCACTTGGTCCCCAGCCAGACTCTGCCAACAGCCCTCAGCCCTCTGCCCACCTCTCCCAGGGCCTATCTCCCCTCAAGCACCTTCCGATCAGATTCCACCTCAGAATCGAGAAGCAGCCCCCACCAATTCCACTCCCAGCCCCCAGACACCACAAGCAGCGGGGCACCCTACAGGAGCCCTCTCCAACCCCGCCGGGAACCCCACGGGAACTCCATGGGCTGCTCTGTGGGATCACGCATGGCTGCCCACACTTAGTGCACACACACAATCCCGGGTGCCTGATCCCCAGCAGGGCATGAGCCCAGTGGCTCAGCCCACCCACCACACAGAACCCATCAGCCCACCCACCACACAGAGCCCATCAGCCCATCCAGTTTGGGGCCCAGGGTGGTGATGTCAGTAATGAGAGCAGCAGTCTAACAGGGTTGATGGCCATGCAGCAGAAGGAGATGAAAAGAAGCCTCCTGACCCTGTATTGGGTCCTGACCCTGGTCATGAGGTCATCAGTGGGTGCACCTGGATTTCTATCCACGTACAGAGAAGAGTGCCCAAAAGGAGCTGGACTCGGCAACCAGCCTCAGTGCCCAGTGTTCTCCCTCCACAGCCCTGCACCTTCACAGCCTCAGTACTCCTGCATCCTGCCCCGGAGAGGCCAACAGCTCCAGCTAAATTCACACAGCAAGTCAGAACCTGGCTGGGACTAGAACCCACGTCTCACGTCGCCTGGGGCTGGGCCTCAGAGGCGATGCATGTTGAGGGTGGCAGAGCCACAGGCCTGATGCTCAGACGTGGGTCATCCTATTGCAGGGAACTGGGGATGGCAGCACCTCGGGGCTAGAGGGATAGGCCTCCAACCCGCCCCTTTCTCCACCAAGAACTCCCTCTCCAGTCTCCTTGGCCATGGCCTTCAAGCCCCCACTTGATGATAGCAAGGTCACCTCCACCCAAGGCAGCCCATCCATCTGAAGCTCTAATTGAGATTCCCCTCCCTGGACCTGGCTCTGCCCTACAGCAGTGGGTGCCCACTGCAGGCCCAAGTTTGGGGCAAGGCTTCCAGGCCCTTAGACATTCCTAGACAGCAAGTGCAGCCCCTGAGCCTACCACTACCCAGTTTGCAGGTCCCGGTCTCTCCTGCCTGCCACCTCCTGTTACTGTCCCTGTGGGCTTAGGTGGGGCTCAGAGTGGAGCATCAACTGGCTGGGTGGCTGAAGGCCAGCTCCTCCCTCTCTCTGAAATGAGAAGACTTAAGGAAAGCCTCGGCCCCAGCAGCTCTGGTAGTGTGGGCCCACCACACCCAGCTCTTGACAGGGTCGTGCACAGCAGGCGTGACTGGGCCATCCTCTGCTTCCTATCACACTCATTGCTCCTTGTCATACAGCCTCCCATGCCTGAGCCGAGGCTCTCCAGCCCACGTCCCTCTGTCTGTGCCTCTCTAGACCCGGCCCAACATGGCTAAAGAGTTAGTTTCCTAAGTCTGAAAATTTCTCCCAGCCAGCTTGGCCTGTCTCTGAGGTTGGCCCTGGGCCATAAGCCAGAGGCTGGAGGGTCTCCCCAAACCCCACACAGCAGCGGGCACCCCACTGCCCCACACACACGCAGTTCCAGGCCTTCGTTCCTCCGTCAGCATCCCCCCCATGCCCTCATTAGCACAACCTGATGTCTCTGAGCCCCAGGCCTGGTGAGTTACAGCCCATCCATCCCTCTCAATGTCCTCGTCACCGCCTCCATGGACCCATATTACAGCATGCACATCTGTCAGCCTGTGGCCGCCACCACCACGGCTGTTTCCAGGGAGACAGTCTCCGTTTATGACATTACCCAAAAGCCCAGCCCCTCCCTCCCCCTCCCAGCTCCTCCCCCTGCCTCCCTTTATGGGGACAGAGATTTGGGCTGTAAATATTACGTCTTCCCTGCAGATTCTAACAGGGCCTGAATACATTGCTGTTCCCGAGGTCATCACAACCACAAATGCACTGCCATAGCTGTTTGGGCACATTAAGGCATCACTCTGACTGCCCTGGCCACCCTCCCTGCCATGCCCAGGGCCCTTCCAGCACCCCCTCCACCATGGATTCCCTCCTGCCCTGCAAGCCTTAAGACAGAATCTGCTTATGGTGGAGGTGGTCTTGGGGGCAGGTCACCTGTCCCGGGGCTTTAGCAGGAAGGCAGGAAGGCAGGAAGGCAGGAAGGCAGGAAAGCAGGAAGGCAGGAAGGCAGGAAGGCAGGAAGGGAGGAAGGGAGGGAGGGAGGGAGGGAGGGAGGGAGGGAGCTGACTCTGGCAGAGCCCTCAACTTTGGGGCCGCAATATAACAGGCCCTTTGCATATCAGCCACCATGTCCTCCATGGCTGTGCAGGAGGCTGGTGTTATGAAGAAGAAAACAAGCCTCTTGTTCAGGGTCCCACACCAAGCTTGAGGCAATCTGGGATTTGAAACCAGATCTTTGGACTGCAAAGCTCCTTCTACCGCAGCCTTGGCCCTCAAGGCCAGAGGGTTAAGAGCTGACACATTCTAAGCATTGTACATATTTTAACTAATATAAGCCTCATTAGACCCCATGAGGTCAGCACTGCTAATACACTCATTTTATAGACACGACACTGAGGCATAGCCAAGGCCACCCAGCTTCTAGGTGGAAAAGCAGGATTCAAAGTCAGGCAGGCTAGACCCAGAGCCTGGCTCTAAAGACTTTGCTTAGAGCCACTACCAGCCTGGCCAGGTGGGGTATTCCCACCATCTAGGCAAATCTCAGTCCCGTGCCAGGGCCCACCCTGCAGAGACGACCCTCATTGCTGACATAGCACTACGGGAGGAAGCTCAGGAGCTGGGCCTGCCACATGGAAGGTGCTCACCCCAGCCTTTCCCCAGCCCCAGCCTCAATTACAGGGGATAGTGAGGATCAAATATTTATGGTGCGGTCAACCAGCCAGTGGTGTGTGGTGGTATTATTGATTACTGTCGTTGTTATCATGGTGGGGGGGTCCAACCCCATCACTGTAGGCCTTCTGACTTCACACGCCACAGCACAGGCGCACACACTTGCCCCTCCCATACACACACACACACACGCATACACATATACACACACAAATACACACACCACACACACATATGGACACACACACACAACTGGGTTTTGGCCCAGTGAAACAGATTTTGGACATATACACACACGCACACACACACACACACACACACACACACACACACACAGCTCAGAACACAGTGCGAGTGCACGCCATTCACTCTCCCTCCAGGCCTGTCACTGTATTAGTGTCCTACTGTTGCTGTAACAAATCGCCACACACTTGGTGGCTTAAAAACAAAAAATTTTATAAACAGAAATTTATTCTCAGCCAGGCTCAGTGGCTCATGCCTGTAATCCTAGCACTTTGGGAGCCCGCGGCAGGAGGATTCTTAAGGTCAGGAGTTTGAGGCCAGCCTAGGAAACTTAGACCCCATCTCTCCAAAAAGTAAAACAAACTAGCCAGGTATGGTGGCACAGACCTGTGGTCCCAGCTACTCAGGAGGCTGAGGTGAGAGGATCACTTGAGCCAGCAAGGTTGAGGTTGCCATGAGCCATGATTGTGCCACTGTATTTCCTGTCTGGGCAGCAGAGCAAGACCTTGTCTCAAAAGAAAAGAGGAAGGAAGGAAGGAATGAAGGAAGGGAGGGAGGGAGGGAGTAAGGGAGTGAGGGAGGGGAGGGGAGGAAAGAAGGAAAGAAATGTATTCTTTCACAATTCTAGAGGCTAGAAGTCCAAAATCTGTTTCACTGGGCCAAAACCAAAGTGTTGGGGGGACTGGCTCCTGCCATAGACTCCAGGGGCATATCCATTCCTGGCCTCTTCCAGCTTTTGGTGACCACGGTCATCCCTTGGCTTGTGGCCACATCACTCCAATCTGCCTCTGTGGTCACATGGCCTTCTCCTCCCTTGCAGTCAAATCTCCCTCTGCCTCCCTCTTATATGGACACTAGTGATTGCATTCAGGGCCCACCCAGGTGATCCAGAATCATCTCCCCAGCTCAAGATACTTAACCACCACTCTGCAAAGACATTTTCCACGTAAGGTAGATTTCACAGGTTCCAGGGTTGCGGGCCTGGATATCATTGAAAGCCACTGTTTTGCCTGCCACAGATACCTGCTCAACACCGCATCCCAGACAACTAACGGGCACATCAAACTTCACATGACCACAGCTGAGTGCCTCATTTCACCCCAGCTGATTTTGCTGACTTCCCCTCTCAGATCAGATAGGTTACTCCCATCTTTCCAGCTGCCCAAGCCAAAAACTGTGGGGCCAATTCTTTCTCTCATCCTGCAGCAGATCCACCATCAGCAAAGCCTGTTTGTTGAACTTTCAAAATCTATCCAGAATCAACCACTTCTCACCACTCCACGGCCACCAGCACAGACCAAGCCACCATCTCCCTCCGGGATTATTTCAACAGCCTCCCCCTAGGGCTTCCTACTTCTGTCCTGCCTCCCACAGTGTCCTCCACATAGCAGCCAGAGGAATCCTTAAAACCCAAGTCATGGCATGTCACTCCTTTGCTAAAACCCTGCGGTGACTCCAGTCTCACTCAGAGCAAAAGCCAAAGCCCTGAGAGCGATCTCCAAGTTCTGGACCCATCTGCTCCTTGACAACAATTCCTCCCCTCTCTTACCACTCACGCCCACCGCCTTCTCCACCCATTCTGGCCTCCTCCTTCTCCCCTGGCTGCTCCTCACACAGGCCAGGCACACGCCCACCTGGATGCCCCTGTTTCCTCTGCTTTGAATGGTCTCCCCAGGCTTCCATATGGCTCCCTGACCTCAACACCCCACTTTACCTAAAAGTCTCCTTCTCAGAGAGGCACCCCCACTGCTGACATTTCCTTTCCCCACTTCTCCTTGTATTTGTTTCTCCTTGACATGATCACTACCTAACACAGTACATATTTTGCTTATTTATCTTGTTTAATATCTCTCTCCCCCACTACAGCAGTCCCCAACCTTTCTGGCACCAGGGACCAGTTTCGTGGAAGACAATTTTTCCACAGCCCAGGGTTGGGGAGATGGTTTTGGGATGATTCAAGTGCATTACATTTATTGTGCACTTGATTTCTATTATTATTACATTGTCATATATAATGAAATAATTATACAACTCACCATAATGTAGAATCAATGGGAGCTTTGAGCTTTTTTTCCTGCAACTAGATTGTCCCATCTGGGGATGATGGGAGACAGTCACAGATCATCAGGCATTAGATTCTCCTAAGGAGAGTGCTACCTAGATCCCTCACATGCGCAGTTCACAATAGGGTTCTCGCTCCTATGAAAATCTAAAGGCTCCACTGATCTTATGGGGGCGGAGCTCAGGCTGTAATGCAAGCTATGGGGAGTAGCTGTAAGGACAGATGAAGCTTCACTCGCTCACTACTGCTCATCTCCTGCTGTGTGGCCCAGTTCCTAACAGGGCCAGTCCCCCGGGGGTTGTGGACCCCAGCCCTACTGGAAAGCAAGCTCCATGATGACAGCCTCCCAGATCCTAAAACAGTGCCTGGACTAGGAGGTGCTCGATAATATTCACCCATCCATTCACCCTGTAGGCTAGCATGGAGCCAGGCACCAGGAGGATACTGGAACCCAGTGGTGAGCCAGACACCGCCCCTGATAAGGACCATCCAGGGTCTTACACACAGTGACGGGGAAGCCCAGAGTGCCACAGAAGCTCAGAGGAGGGAGAGATCAACTCAGCCCAGGGGGCTGGGGACAGCCATGCTAAGGAGGGCTTTACAGGATAAGTAGGAGTTCACTGGCTTGAAGAGACAGCTTCGCAGCTGGCAGGTGGAATGGCAGGTATGAACACCAAGAACAAAATAGTAGAATGTGTTCTTGACACAGGGGAGGGTATAAGAAGTGAGGCCAGTGGGCTGGGCAGGAAGTACTTGAGGGCCTTGGAGAGCAGGCCAGGGGAGTTGAGCTTCTCTCCATGGACAATGGTGGGCCACTGAAAGGGAGAACATGGCAGGCGTGTGGGTCTGAAGGCTCCCCACTCAGATGGCCAACACGCAGCCTAGGCATGGGGAGAGGCTGGGGTACAGGGCCCACCTATCATACACCAAGGTAAGGGGTTGGAAATGCCCCCAAGTGCAGCCTTATCTGGGAAGCAGCTCAAGCTACAGTGTCATTATGGAGTGTCTAGTATGCCCAGGCCTGTGCTGGGAGGAGACCTTGCGGAACATTAAACCAAATAGTTTGCAACACAATGCCAGCCTGTGTGGATGCAATATCGTCAGAGGACAGGAGTGCAGGGGTGGCATTATGGACTAAACTCTGTCCTGGCAAATTTATACATCCAGGTCCTAACCCCCAGTGAGACTGTATTTGGAGTAAGGAGGTAATTAAGGTTAAATGAGGTCACAAGGATGGAGCCCCAATCTGAGAAGATTAGTGTCCTTATAAGAAGAGGTACCACATAACACTTGCTCTCCTCCCCCCACCCCCACCATGTGAGGACACAGCAAGAAGGTGGCCATAGGCAAGCCAGGAAGAGAGCCCTCCCTCTGACCCCGACCATGCCGGCACCCTGATCTCAGACTTCCAGCCTCCAGAACTGGGCTTGTGTGGTTCAAGACCCTGAGTCTTGGTATGCTATTGTCACAGCCCGCATGGACTAAGATAGATGAAGAAGTCAAGGAGAGCTTCCTGAAGGAGATGAGGTTTTGGGCTGTCATAGCAGAGAAGACAAGCCTGGGCTGACTGTACCTTGGACACCGCAGACCTGGCCAAGGCCCATCCTTCAGCCAGCCCGCAAATCCTCAGTGATTTCTTTGAGATTTAATTTCTCTGCTGAGGAGCACAGGGACAGTCCCCAGATTGATGGAACTTTTCATCTTGCGTAAAGTCCAGCCGGTTCCCTGAAGGCATGGGTAGGGGGCTGGAATTTCTGGCTCCTGAGCACTGGATTCCAGTTTTCCTCTTCTGCCTCCAGCAAAGGTAACTCAGCCAGGCCGGAGCCAGCCAGGAATCAATGTGCAAAAGCCTCCCTCTCACCCAGCTCCCACGCCGAAGGAGGCTGCTTGGAAGTGGGGATCTGAGCTGGGCTCTGAATGGCAGCAGTGATCAGGAATGCAGTGAGAAGCTCTATAAATAAATATACATTTTCATAAGACATGTTTAATTAAAGTGGATTAAAATTAATTTGCTTTAAGAAAATTAGAAGTGCCCTAGAGGATTTCAGAAGCAGGCCAAGAGTCCCTGAATCTAAAGGCTCCTTAGAAGGCTTGGGGGTGGGAGGCCCCCCAGTCGCTGCACGTGGTGCCTCAGAAGGAAGCAGCTCACATCTACATCACACTCCGCACTCCGTACACCACCAGGCGTGTTCACATGGAGATGGCAGGTGTGATCAGCCCCATGTTTGCCAGGCAGAAACTGAAGCTCAGAGGGGGTAGTGACTTGCCCAAGGTCACACAGTGGTCTGTGGCAGGCCCAGTGGGGAGCTGCCGGTGTTTTCTGCCAGTCCTGGACATTTCATTCATGCTTCGCACACCGAAAGCCTCTCTCGCCCTCAGGGCCCCCGGCCAGAGCTGCTGCCTCCCAGGTTCCTCCCATCTGCAAAATGGTAGCCCTGGAGCTGTGACAATCTGGCTCCTCAGAGGCCCCGCATGGGAAGGCAGAGGGAAGCAGCCTGGGGGTTGGGGACAGGAGCCAGAAAGGGAAAGGACCCGAAATCAACAAGCGTTCCAGAATTTTAAGCAGTTTTTGGAGGAAAACGAGGAGCAGGTTCAGCTGTAGCAATTTGCTCCTGGGGAAAATTATGTTCCCGTGCTCTATTATACAGAACAGAAGGAACATTTGGTGGGTTGAATACTTGTTAATTTATTTCTCTGTTTGTTAATGGGCTCCACACGATGCTCAAGTGTGCGCACGCGTACACACACACACACACACACACACACACACACACGTGCCCGCATACACATGTGCGTCAGCAGGAGGTGGCTCTAGGCTCCCACTCCCCGAGTTTTCCTGCCACCTTCCTATCAGGCACCACTCAGGGTCTTGCTTTCTCCGCTCCACGCAGGGATCTGAAAGAAGGCCACGTGCAGTCTAAAGACTGCGGTGAGCCCCTCAGTGTCCTCATCTGAAAAATGGGCTGGCAATGAGATGACCCACATATTAGGGCAAAGCCTTTGACCTTGGACCAGAAGTGAGAAGGTCCCCGATGCTGACCGAAGGCCCGATGCTCCACTTGCTTGGCTTACTGGCTCCTCAAACCCGGCAAGTCCAAACCAGGATGCCTGCACCTCCACCTGCGCCATATTCCCCATCTCAGAAAACGGTGCCACTTGGGCCAAATTGAACCCGCCCCGACCAGGACTCTCAGCCTTCCCACCCCATAGCCACTCTCCAACCCCTTCCCCAGCCACCCACTCTTCGCCATCTGCACCCCCACCCTGTGGCCACGACTCCACCTCTCTCCTGGGTCCCTGCACCCACCTCCCCTCAAGGGTCCCTGCTCTCCCTGCCACAGCCTCTAATCCATTCTCTCCACCCAGAGGCCAGAAAGGAATTTGGAAAGCACAAATCAGGCCCTGTCACTCACTGGCTTAATCCCCTCCAGAGCACCCCCCTGCTCCTCAGCAGGGCGGCTAAGGCTGTTTCCCACCCCTGTCCCCGCTCTCTCCCTCACTCCCCACCCACCAGCCACACTGTCTTCCTCCTGGTCTCCAGACACAGCCAGCTACTTCCCACCTCCCAGCCTTTGCCTTGACATTCAGCCCCTTCAGCCTCAAAGTCACCTCTTCAGAGAGGCCTGCCTGGATGCCCATCGCCTGGATGCCCATCGGAGCTGCTCATTCAGCCCCAGCCACTCCCTATTCCACGGCCCTGTCGTTTCCCTCCCGAGCTCAGCACAGTCTGAGGTTACCCAAATTACCTGTTTGCCATGCTGTCACTCCCTCAAGATGGGAAGCTACCTGAGGGGAGGAGCAGTGTGCATAACGTTCTAGCTGCTGGGGATACAGTGCTTCATAGGTGTTTCATCAAGTGATGAGCGGGTGAATGAAGGTGTGAATGAAAGGGCAGGCTGGCTCCAAGCCAGACGGGAGAGGTGAGAAGGATCAGGGTCCCTGCTCCCAAAGTCTCCTGCCCCTACCTTGGTAGGGCCTCAGCACCTCTTCTGCTCAGGAAAGGGAGCAGGTGGGGCTGACATTCATGGAACAGAATCTATAATCAGGGCCCTTTTCTCTAAACAACTTCATGAAGCAGCTACAAGGAAGCAGAGAGAACCAGGCTTCACCCCTCTGAGCCCGGTTTCTTCGTCCATTTAATGGGGATAATCCCAGGTCCCAACCTCTAGGACGGCTGTGTGGATAGATGAGACTGTATCTCAAAACCGTGAGATGCTGCTGCTGCTGCTAAAACGAATCCCATGTCTTATAGAGGAAGAAGCTGGAGAGATTGTGGGAGTTGCCTGGAGTCCCAGAGTCAGAAAGCAGGGAAGCTAGACCCAAATCCAGGCTCGCCTGACTCAGGAGCCAGTGCTTTTTTTCCTCGGTGCTGGACCCACTCCAGCCGGGAGTGGGAGGTGGGATACAGGAAGCCTTTCTCCGTTTGCACCTCAGTGGTGTTCATTTATGTTCCTGGGTGCAGACTGACTTTGCCTCGCCTTTCCTCCAGGTTTGGCACAGAGACATTAGGAAGCTGGGAGGGCTGGCCAGGGAGGACGGTGCTGCGCCCACCCCACTCATCCCCGAGGCAAGGGAGCTGGGGAGGAGGCAGCTGCCCAAGCCTGGGACAGGTAAACTGAGGCATGCTGAGAGACAATCTGTCAGGACCCTCCTTTGGGTGGTCTGAGGTGGGGGGACTGGCAGGCCGGGGTCTCCGGGAGGTCCCAAAAGGAAGAGTTGGTTCGCATAGCAGAAGAGGAAGAATTGGCCTCCAGCCAGCACCTTCCCCACCCTAGCCAAAGGCACAGAGCCAGCAGGAGAGAGCAGAACTCAGAAGGCCATGGGGCTCTAAGGACACACGCAGGGCCCACTCAGTCCCACTCAGGCCAGCTTGTGAGGTTGGAAGGTTGTCACTGAAGGCCAAGAGGCTTACAGGTAAGGCTGCCCTAGCAGAGACCCTGCCCAGCAAGCGGCTGATGAGGGATCGTGCTGCAGGCAGCAAAGGTAGCTTCCCTTTGCAGCCAGTGCACATTAAGAATTATTCCTCCTGTGAGCAAACAATTTGTTACAATATCCACTGCGCACTTTTCCCGGCTGGGTGCCCTCCCATACATCCTGAATTAATCCCTGAAGTCACTCCATTCATTTAGGACATGCCTGAGTGTGCCTCTCCTTTTATTAGGGAAATTTTTCATTGTTTTGAGGAGCTCATAGGTTTTAATTTGGAGCTGAGATTTTAAAGCCTCTCTCGGTGGCTCAGAGGCATGAGTAGTCTTACACCTGGGAAGGTCCCCTGGGTTCTTAGACCTGGTAGGGCTTGGCTGGGGCCACCAGACCCCAGGGAGAAGGGATCATGGCACATGCCCTCCAGGGAGCCAGGTACTGCAGACCCCAGCGCTGTGTGGCATTGGATCACTCCCTTGACCTCTCTGAGCCTCCCTAAGAGAGGCAAAGCCAAGGAAGACTGCATACTTGGGTATAGCTCTTCCAAGCCTGCCCAGGGAAGTCCGGGGTCATCACCTCTAAAATCCACAGCCCTGGGGAGTAGCATGGGGCCACTGAAAAAGCATGATGTGTGGAGTTCGATTTGAAACACGGCCAGGGCAGGCCAGTCATTTGCCTCTCCCAGTTTCCAGCTCCTTAGAATGAGTCTAAGAGCCGGCGCCCTCTCCAGGCTGTCATGCAAATTACACAAACCCAAGTTGGGAGTGAGTCTGACTCAGGGCCTGGCACACAGTGGGTGCTCCACCAAGGGTGAGCCTCCCAGCCCTCTCAGCCCACTGCAGACCCCTCCCACATCTCCCTCTCTTGGCCCTCAAGCAGCCAGAGCCCCTAGTTCACACATTTTGGCTGAAGGCGGCCCGCAGGCTGATCTCCACAGGTGGGGTCCTGCCAGTTTGGGCAGCAGCCACCAGCCTCTTCCCAGGCCTTACACAGGCCCTTGCACTTCCCAACTGAGGCCCTGGAGCGTGGGCAGTCCTGTCCACAGACCCTATGCTAAATCCTGCCCCTCCCTGCAACCCCCAGGTAAGGCTGTGTCCCAGGACCGTGGCTGCATGTTTGCTGTCCCCCTGCCCTTAGTCAGGAGACAGTGGTCCCACCCCCAACTCCTGGTCCTCTACCCCGACCAGGGCTCCAGGGCTGGGACCTCTCAGGGCTCTGACCCCCAGCCCCCAGCAGCTCTCAGACAGCTCATGCCCTGTCCTGGGCTTGCTCCTCCTGCCTGATCTTTGTTCACACTATTCCCAACCACACGTGCTCTCTGTCACTCTCTCCCACCCCCAGCTTCCCCAAATCCTCCCGAGCTCTAAGGACCAGACACCTCCAGGAAGCCCTCCCTGACTTCCCCAGCTTTTATCTCCTTCCCTTTCCTGAGGCTCACAGCATTTCTCCTTGATCCCTCTAACTTCATGTTGCTATCCAGAGGCAAGGACCATGTCACCTACTCATGATGTGGCGGCCAACCCCAGGCAAATCCCACTGTGTACCTAGGGAGGACAGGCTCATTCAGTGAGGCGGGGGAAGGGCACAGAGAACTCCCACTGAGGGAGTACAACGCCTCCGTGAGGTAGGTATCATTATGTCCATTGTGCATATGGGAGAAACTGAGACTAGGAGAAATGAATCACTTGCAAGAAGCAAGCAGGGCTGAGACAGGAACCAGCACCACCAAACAGTGCCGTTAAGACACAGCCCACAAATCCAGGTTCCACATGCAAGACCCACCAGCCCTGGGCCCAGCAGGTTCACCTGTGCCATCCCAACTGATCCTCACCACCCCTCAGGGAGGTTAGTATGCCACTTGGGAGGAAAAAGAGGTCCAGAGAGCCTGAGTCACTTGCTCAAGGCCACCCAGTAAGTGGCAGGGCTGGGACTTGAATCCAAATTATTTCAGCTCCCACTTGGTCAGGGCAGCCAATCAGGACACCTCACCTCATCCCGCCCACCACCCCTGGGATCTGCAGGACCCATTCTCCCCTCCCTGGTGGCCCAGACTGCTGGATGGTCCCCAACCCCAGGCCTCTGGGGAGTGCCTGCGTGGCTATTTGACCTTTCAGAGGGGCCGGGCTCCTACAGTTCTGGATATTTACACAGACGGCCTCGGCTGCAATGGCGCCTGGAAAGTAGGCCATGCAGAGGAGGGAGGGGATGGCAGGTATGGGCTACAAACACTCCCGCCGCCCTCCATGCCGCCTGGACAGAGGAGCCACCCGTGGCACCATCTCCTCGAATGACCTTGGCAACTACTGGGGCAGCCTGTACTGGGGCAGAGTCAAAGCCTGGGCTGGCCACTGAGGGGAGGGGCTTGGCCAATGTCTCCAGTTCTTCTTTGCTTAGTGACCTGGAGGGCCCTGGAGGACAGAGGATGACAAGTCCTTTCAGCAAGAACCCCTCTCTGCATAAAGGGTCACCTCACTTCACAAAGCCTCTGCTTCCTCTTCTATAAGAAGGGTGGTGGTAGCTGCCTCTCAGCTGCTGTGAAGATGGGAAGCACCCAGCCAGGCCTGGCACTTTCAGGGCACTCTGCACACTGGTCAGCCCCGCAGGACCTGAGGCTGAGCCTCTCGTGGGACACCCGCAGACACTCAGCTCCAACTGGGACAGACCCAAGAGTCTCCCAGGAAACCAGCTGGATCACACTGGGTGGGGGTGCCTGGCTGAAAGGCAGGTAGACACACCCAACAAACAGCAACAAAACCACCCCTGTGAGAGCACAGCATAGCAGGTGTGGCATGGGCACCAGGGAGCTGGGATCTCAGAAGCCAAAAGGACGCCGCCCCCATCCAGAGCGCACGGTCGGGCCTGCGTCCACTGCCGCATACCATCCTTAGCAAATCCCAATTCGCCTCTCCCACCTGCCCCCTCCTCTACCCTGGCTTGAGGCGAAGAGCCAGAGGAGCCTGGCAGGGTGCTCCCAGGATAGCTGAGTGTTAGGAAGTGGTCAGGCACTGATAAAACCGAGAGCCAAGCAGGACAAGAAACACAGCTGCAGGGAGCCTCCGGGAAGTGTGCAGAGGCTAAGCACAGGGTGTGGGCCAGAAGGACACAGGGGTCCCGGTGGAGGGTTCCCACGCATGCGGCTCAGGCTGGGGACTGGAGGGGGCTTCAGGGCTGTGGGGGGTGGGGGTGGGAACAGTCCCCTCCTCTTTGCCCTCCCCATGCCAACCTCCCTGCCAACCGCTGAGCGGAAAAGCGTTCCACTCCTTTGCCACCCCATCCCACACGAGGCCGGTGTGCCCATCTTCAGCGTCCCCACCTCCTTGCTGGCAGTTTAGGCTCCACTCCAACCCCAGCTCAGCCTTTTTATTATTCAGAAGAGCCTCTTGATTGAAAAGGCCTCTAAGGCATCTCACAAATAAGAATCCTTTAATTGGGAAGTTGTTAACTTCTCAAAGAGGAATTTTAATTTTGCTTCCTCACCATCTCCTCTCCCCAGAACCTGCAGACTAAATGCAAAGGCTAACAAAGCCAAGCACCAGGCAACAGCTGCCAACCTCCCGAGACGTGGAGCTGTCCAGGGGCAGAGACAGGAGAGGCAGCCTCGTGCCACCGCATAGAACCCCGGAGCCACACAGACCCCTGGAGCCCCACCAACTGTGAGAAGGCTCCTGCCTCTCCCCGTGGGCATGCCTGCTCCATACCCCTCCTTACCACCCCAACCCACAGCGAGACACCTGGAGTGGAGGACGGCAGGTAGCTCAAAGATGAAGGCGATGATAGCCCCGCCCTGCCCTGCCTGGGCCACCATGTTTGTCGGGTTCTCAGAGCCTAAATTCAATGATTCAGTGATTGCCCCCTATAACCCCCTCTGCGGCCCTCTATCATACTCCCCTGGATGGGCCACTCATATTTATCAGGCATTTACTATGTGCCAGACACGGCTCTAAGCCCTTTACATGCCTCAACCTACTTTATCCACGCAAGGTAGACGTTCTCATTATTCCCAGTTGGCTGACGAAGAGACTGAGACCCAAAGGCCTTAGGGAAATTGTCTAAATTCACACCACTGATGCGTGGCAGAGCTGCGACTGAGTCCCGGGAGTCTGGCTCCAGAGTGGTCATAACTTCAACTACCACCTACACCTGCTGCCCCACCCATGGCCTCGGCACTCCTTGAGGGCCAGGACCAGGACCACCTCTGTGTCCCTGGAGACAGCACAGAGTCTAGCATGCAGCTGAGCTTAATAACTATTTGCAAAGTGAATACATGAAAAAAGAACAAAAACAAAGCACCTTCTTATTCATTCTCTCCTGTGAGCCTAACCATAGGCCTGTGACAAAAACAGGCAGGCAGACTAGTCCCCAGTTCAGTCCGGTAGACCAAGGCCCAGAAGTCGAAGCCACTACCTGAGGGCACCCTGCTAAGAGGCGGCAGAGCTCAGGGGTTCTTCCTCCTAACCCAGTGATGGGAACCTGCCTTTCACCCAAAGGATACGGGGATTGGATCACGACAAGTACACACCATGTACCATGTTCCTGGGCCCCGATTAACATCCCAGGCTGAAACTGGTCTCAGGGAAGCCCTGGTCCTGGCCATGAGGTAGGAACCTCCTCTCCATGTCCCTGACAGCTTGGGGCGGCCTCGATACTCCTCCTGTGCACCCCACGGCATGAGATGCTCACCACCGCCAAGGCTGCCAGTGGACAGTTCACTGCTGTGAAAATCATAGCTCTAGTCGCCTGCTGTTAGGGATTGAATTGTGTGCCTCCAAAGATGACATGCTTAAATTCTAACCCCCAATACCTCAGTATGTGATCTTATTTGGAAATTGGGCCATTTGAGATATAATTAGCTAATTAGGAAGAGGTCATACTGGAGTATGGCGGCCCCTTAATCCAATACGACTATTGTGCCCATAAGAAGGAGGCATTTGGAGATACGGTCTAAATTGTTAAATACTGGCTGGGTGCAGTGGCCCACAGGCAAGTGGATCATCTGCAGTCAGGAGTTCAAGACCAGCCTGGTCAACATGGTGAAACCCCATCTCTACTAAAAATACAAAAATTAGCCGGGTGTGGTGGCGCATGCCGGTAGTCCCAGCTATGCAGGAGGCTGAGGCACGAGAATTGCTTGAACCCAGGAGGCAGAGGCTGCAGTGAGCTGAGATAGAGCCACTGGACTCCAGCCTGGGTGACAGAGTGAGACTCCATCTCAAAAAAATAAATAAATGATTAAATAGTTAAATATTGTATGGAGAACAATTTGGCAATGTGGCCATGTAAAGAGACACGGGGTAGCCATCTACAAGCCAAGGAGAGAGGCCTGAAACAGATCATCCTTCACAGCCTTTGGAGGCAACCAGCCCTGCTGACACCTTGGGGTTTGGGGATTTGGGGCTTTGGGGTTTTTTTGAGACAGGGAATTGCTCTTCACCCAGGCTGGAGTACAGTGGCTCAATCATAGCTCATTGCAGCCTCAGCCTCTCAGGCTCAAGCAGCCTCCCAAGTAGCTGGGACCACAGGTGTGTGCCACCACGACCAGCTATTTTTTTTATCTTTTGTAAAGACCATGTCTCGCCATGTTGCCCAGGCTGGTCTCAAACTCCTGGGCTCAAGCGATCCTCCTGTCTCAACCTCCTAAAGTGCTAGGATTACAGGCATGAGCCACAGTGCCCAGCCCCTGCCGACACCTTGATTTCAGACTTCCAGCTTCTAGAACTGTGAGACGATCCATTTCTGTTTAAGCTACCCAGTTTGTGGTACTTAGCTATAGCAGCCTAGCAAACTAATACACCCACAGACCTGGTTTTAGTGCTGACTTGGCCCCTCACATTGGGACACTGGACACACCCCTGCCCCTCTCTAAACCCTAGTTTGTTCAACTTATCCCCAGAACACTGCTTGGCACATAGTAGGTGCTTAGTAAATGCTGGCTGGAAGAATGAACAGGAATGGCAGCACCCACCTTCCATGTGGCTGTGATAAGGAGGAGATGGGATGTAGGATGGGCTGTGTTCTGGAAATACTAAAGCTCTCGACACCTGTAGCGATGGCTGGAACAACAGACACACAGAGGGGCTGGGTGGTGTGGCCCCAGCCAGGGCCTGAGGGTAAGGGCCAGGGTGGGGGGTGGTCTTCCAAGCCCTGCACTGCTCCATGAGTTCTCTTCTTTAAGAGAAGACTGGGGAGGCACAGATGAGAACAATGCCCTGGGGAGGCCCCAGGAAGGCAGGGGTGGAGGGAGGCAGGTCCTCCACCAAGCCACAGACATTGCTGAAATCCCCACCACGTGCTGGGCCCCCCGCTGGGTTTGGGGGGGTGGAAAAGGAGAGCTTCCAGATGCTAAACATAGCTCCTGCCCCATGTGGACCCTAGAGCCATCCATGGAGACTTCAGGGAGGCGGATTCAGCTCAGTCAGTATAAGGAAGAGCCATGTAAGAGCTCCCTCCAGGGCCTGAGCTGCCTTGGAGAGAGTGAGGTCCCTGTCCCTGAAGGTGTGCAAGTAAAGGTCAGAGGACCACGATCTCAGGGATACCTATACTCCCTCATCATGAGCTTGGGTTGGGCCAATGGGTTCCAACCTGGCTGACCATCAAAAGGTGACTATGGGGCTTGTGAACCATGCAGATTCCTGGGTTCTCCCAGCAACCCTGGATCAGGAGGTCTGGGTGGACCCCAGATGATTCCTGTCTCTAATAACATCCCTGGGTGGTCCTGATGCAGAGCCAGGCTTGGACACCCTGGCCCACAGAGCACCATGGTTTGAATGGGATTCTGTTTGGGAAGAGCTTTGACAACAGTACTTGAGGGTGGGGCAGCAGGCAGACAGGAGACATGAGGGACAAGAGGATGAGGAGGGCAAAGAGGAAGACAAGCTGAGGATCATGACATTGCTGAGTTGGGGTGACCAGACAGGATAGCTCACCACAAGCCATGAGGCCTGGGGGAACAGGCGAAAGGCACACGTGGACACGCAAAGAGGCCGAGGGAGGCGGGGGGTCAAGGGAAGACATTCTGGAAAATGTGAGATTTGCTGGTGGTTAAGAAAGCATTCTACATGGAAGGTGAGGCTGAGCCTGGTGTGTGGGGGATGGAGGAGGAGAGTCACCTGTTGGAAAGAAGGGCGGGGAAGAAAGTGTGGGCTTGAGGCAGACCATGAAAGGCCTTGTACAAGCAGGAGAAGGATTCTGGATGTCAACCTTAAACAACAGGGAGCCACTGAAGGTTCTTGAGGGGGAACATGACCTGGAGGAAGGCCTGCAGTAGTCCCCACTAGTAGGGCTCAGAAGGGCCTGGCCTGCTCCAGACTCACCAGTTAAGAGTCCCTTACAAGAGGAAAGGGTGAGAGGATTAGGCCTAGTACCAGCCTCACACTTCCTGCTGACAGCAGCCGTGACAAGTGTTACAGAATGATGGTGCCATCCATTAGGCCACTTGGGAGGAGCAGCTGGGAGGGCGAGCTGGTAGCAGTTTCTCCAGGCTGGTAAATCAGGGGACCTTGTCTGCAAAGTTAGAGTAACAGCCCACCCAGAAGCAGGAAGCTCCCCAGGGCTGGATTCACCCCAAGCAATGAGGCCCAGATTTCTTCTCTACATCATCTTGTCCAGGCTCAGAGGCTTCAGATACCACCCAGATGCTGACTCCCCACACAACTGCCTCTCCAGCCCAGCTCTTCCCGCAGCTGCAGGCTTACTGTCTGTGCAGCCTCCCCTCATGATGCCGGCACCTCAAACACTTCCAAGCAGGATCTTGCTTCTCCCTCCAAACCCACGCTCCACCCCTGTTCCTCGGCTCGGGCCAAGGCTCCAGTGCCCGCCCCATTCCCAGGCTGGCCCTCTCCCAGTCCACAGCCCATCCTTCAGCAACGCCTTCAAAGTCTCCAAACGCAAGCCCTCCTCCCACCCAGGCCCGGCCCCACCACCTCTGGTCTGGACTGATGCTGGGGTCTCCCACTGGCCTGCCAGCTTCTACTCTTGCCCACCCACCCTACAGTCCTTTCTCCAGTAGGCATCACTCTGTAACTCCTGGCCCTGCATGCCTCGTTTCTCAGCCCCTCTTCCTCAAGGGCTGCCCAGCTGTGAGGGCCTCTGTGCTGGTCCCAGCTCCAAGCCCATCCAGAGCTCCATAAGGCCTACTCCCTCTCCTCAGGCCTCTGCTGAAATGGCCCCTCATCCGAGAGGACTTTCCTGAGAAGGGCTCCAGAGAAGGGCTCCAGAGAAGAGCTCCGATTTCATGCCTGCCCCCTTTTCCAACCTTATTTTTCTCTGTGGCATTTATTACTCCCTAATCTTATATTACGGATTTACTTATCTGGTTTCTTCTGTCTACTCTGTTACAATTTAGGCTCTATGAGGGCAATGCCATGGTCTAACCTATTCACCCATGGATGCCATGCTGGGCACAGAGAACAATGCCTCATGTGTAGCAGGCGCTCAGTGAGTATGCGCTGAAGGAAGAATGAACAAACCACTGCACATTCATCCTTGGGAGAAACAGGCCCACACCCATAGGTGATCCCAACCCAGCACGACAGCAGTGCTGGGGCCAACAGATGTGCACAGGGAGGGTGGCACTAGGGAGAGGCCATTAGCTCTACCCAGAGGTCAGGGGAGCTTCCTGGAAGAAACGACAAACCACCTCCAGCCTCCTCCCTGGCCCTCCAGGGTCCCTGTCATAAGCCACCCCCCAGTGAGGGGATGAAGGAGAGGCTGGTCTGACCAGCTGTGCTGACCCAGGAGTCTGTAAGTATTCAGAGTTGGTGCCTGCATCCCTCCTGCCTGGCAGGAGGAGACCTGGGCAAGGCTCCCCAGAGAGCAGAGGGTCTTGGTTTAAACACCACGGATCCCACCACTGAGGGAGGGAGAGGTCATCTGGGATCCACAGCTTTGCCTACCCTTTCCTCCCGAACACACAGCATCCTGCCTCTTCCCCTCTAATCACTGGAGCACCGAGGGAGGGAGCAACAGAAGCAGGGGCAGCAAGGACAAACCTGAGCTTCCTCCAGGAGTTTAGAGCTTTGCTGAGTGAAGCTCCAATTCCTCAGCCTCCGGTGCAAGCCTCCGGTGCTCCATGCCAGCCCTGGCCCTGCCACTCCCCAGACACACTCCAAACTCCCCTACCACTGCACCTTTGCTCAGGCTGGGCCTACCCTGCCACCCTAAACTTTCCCTGCCTGTCACAACCCTACATCCATGACTTTCTTCATCCAAGCATTATTTATAATGACAGAACATCAGAAACCATCAAAATACACAACAGAGAATTGGCTAAACGCACTATGGTACACGCAGGCTGAAACATTACACTGCCATTAAAAATCACATTATAGAAGAGTATTTAATGATGGGAAAATAATCTTGGTATGGGATTAAGTGTAAAAGGCAAGTTAGAAAACAGTAAGTACAGCTTGATCCCAATTATGTCATAAATACATGTTTTGTAGAAGACTGACGGGCTAAACACCCAAGCGCTCACACTTTTCTATAGAGAACACACATTACTTTTTTTATAACCAGAAAAATAAAATGTTTGAAAAGCACCTTACAGACTTCAAGGCTTAGCCCAGGTGTCACCTGTTCCAACAAGCCCTGCCAGACCCCCAGCTGACTGTGGCCCTCCTGCCCTGCGTCAGCTCCCGCCTGCATCTCCCCGCCCACTGAGCTCCCAATGCCCCCGGGCTGTGGTGCCTGTGGGTGCTGCCGTCTGCCTGGGCAGTGGGGAGGCTGCTCACGCTCCTGCCCCCTGCCCTTGTCACCCCAGTTGCTGCACAGACAATCCTGACGCCATCTTCTCACCCATCTCTCAGCAGCAATTACAGGTTAAACTGGAGGGACTAATTAGTTGCTCATTCTACCCAGAGCCAACTAATTAGCAGAAACATATACATATATATATATGTATGTATATATATACATATATGTGTATATACATACATATATGTATATACATACATATATACGTATATATGTGTATATACATACGTATATGTATATACATACATATATACGTATATATGTGTATATACATACGTATATGTATATACATACATATATACGTATATATGTGTATATACATACGTATATGTATATACATACATATATACGTATATATGTGTATATACATACATATATGTATATACATACATATATACGTATATATGTGTATATATACACACACACATATATATATATATATATATTTTTTTTTTTTTTTGAGACGGAGTCTCGCTCTGTCGCCCAGGCTGGAGTGCAGTGGCGTGATCTCGGCTCACTGCAAGCTCCACCTCCCGGGTTCACGCCATTCTCCTGCCTCAGCCTCCCGAGTAGCTGGGACTACAGGCGCCCGCCACCACGCCCTGCTAATTTTTTGTATTTTTTTTAGTAGAGACGGGGTTTTACCATGTTAGCCAGGATGGTCTCGATCTCCTGACCTTGTGATCTGCCCACCTCGGCTTCCCAAAGCAGAAATATTTTGATGGTGCTAACTGGGCTTCGGAGCAAGGCCTAGTGCCTGGGAAGGAAATCCAGGCCTCCGCTCCCACCAGCTTCCCAGTGTGAGGACAGGGTTGGCTAAGCCTCAGCCACATACAACCGTCACCCTATCCCTCAGGAGAAGGGAGTCCAGGCCTGCCACCAGGCTTCTTCATCTGAAAAATGAGGACAATACGCCAGGCCAGCCTGCTGCCCTGAGCCCACCCCACCGTTCCCTCTGTTTAGCAAAGTCCCTCTGCAGCCCTCTCATGGGTGACAGAGGCCTGTTGAGAACAGAGGATTGGCCCAGATATGGGGTAGAGGTGACTTGTCCAAGGTCATGAGCAAGCCGGGGTCAAGCCAGGCAGCAACCCAGGTCCCCCTCCTTCCCCATCTCCCACTTCTCTGGAACATGCTGTCATTTCTCCACATCCCCTCACACGGACCATGAAGTGAGAGGACCTGTCGCCTCCCACATTCTGGGGGTCCTGCTCCTCGTGATAAAGTCCAAGAACACATCTCCTCTGTTCACAGAGAGCCAAGGTCACCTGGCTGCCAATGACTGTCGCACAAACACACCTGGGGTCTGAGCCTTATCCTGCCCTGAAGGTGTCTAGACCCTCACGCTGTCTCTGGTGTGGAGCCCTGTTAAACTCCACACATTAGAGCCAATGTCAGCCTCTTGACAGTTTCTTGGACCCTGATTGTCTCAGTCCACATGTTCTGGCTCCCTCCTGACCTGAAGTCAGGCACACATTTGGTCAACAATGTGACAGGACCAAGGACAGAGCCCTGCAGCCTGCCCTTAGAGACCTCCCATGCCACGCGGGAACCCATTAGCCGGCACTGTCCGTGAAACCCACTTGCTGGGAAGAACGCCCCACGCTTCCAAGCTGCCTGCCGGAGCCCTGCTTCAGCCAGGTCTGGCAGCAAGTGGCACCGCCACAGCAAACCTCCTGGACGTGGCTGCATGTGGGGAGGGAGAGATGAGGAAACCCCCAGAAAGATGGCCCCATGACAGCCTCCCCTACAGACCCCACACCCTCCATGCCCTGCCACCCAGAGTGGCATCTTACCTCGGGTTGGGTGGGTGTCTGGGGAGTACAGCTGGGCAGGGCTCAGCCTGGGCTGGACTCAGTCGCCCTCTCTGCCTGTGGGCACTGGAGCCTCAGGGCCTGTGGGTGCCGGAGGCTGTGGGGAGAAAGAAGAGGTGGCTGTCAGCTAGAGCAGGGCAGCAGGTGGTCGGGGTGCAGTGGGGGCCACGCCTGCAAATGGGGTCTGATCCCGCCTGGCTGAGCCATTAAAAACTCATACATCCCCCCCACACACACTCTGACATGCACACACTTGCACACACTCACACATGTACTCTCATTCACTGGCAAACTCATGCTTACACACATAGATGTGTTGTCAATTGTGCATGCCCACATGTGCGTGCGGGCGTGCACACACACACACACTCATGGCACTAGCTGGGGGCAGGCAGGGCTCTGGGAAGCGCAGAGTTTGTGGCCCCAGGCAGGCTGGAGTCTGACTATGCCTCTCCCACCATCCGGCTCTGTGGCCCTGCAAAAGCCACTTCTCTTATCCATAAAAGAAAAATACCATCTCTCCTGCCAGGACTGCTGGGAAGATAAGAGAGAGAGAAGGGACACATGGCCTGGCTCACAGTAGGTGTGCAGCCAATGTCACTGCCTGCCTTCCTCCCCAGCCAGTTCCCAGGAGGCAGGCCCCAGGCTGACCCCGAGAGGGGATGATGGGCAGCACCGGGGTGCCTCCCTTGGGCCTGAGCCTCAACTTCCCAACCCCCATCTACTCACCCTCCCATTCCCCAGCCTCTCCTGCCTTTTTTTTTTTTTTTAAAGAGGCAGAGTCTTGCTCTGCCACCCAGCCTGGAGGGCAGTGGTGCCATCATGGTTCACTGTAGCCCAAACTCCTGGGCTCAAGCGATCCTCCCACCTCAGCCTCCCAAGGAGCTGGGACTACAGTTGTGTGTATCACCACACCTGGCTAATTTTTTAATTTTTTTGTAAACTATGTTGCCCAGGCTGGTCTCAAACTCCTGGCCTTAAGCAGTCCTCCTGCCTTGACCTCCCGCAGTGCTGGGATTATCGGCGGAGCCATCATGCCCAGCCATCCTACTTTATTTCTTCATCATATATTCTCCAAGGGTTCCTCTAGACCAGACCCTCCATCCTCTGTGAGTAGGGGAGGGCGCTAGGAAGTTCTGGTTCCTTGGCAAGGCTCTGAGGCGTCCATGGTGCAGGACATAACCTCAGTTCAAAGTCCAAGGAAGTGGGTTAACTCCTAGCTCTCCCTCCTTCTGGCCAGGTGGCCCTGGGGAAAGCTTCTTCCTCTGTACCTCAGTTTCTTCAACCTCTCAGACCAAGTCCCAAATATCTTTCTGAGCTGCTGCAGAAAGGTTTCAATCAGATCTGTGTTTCCCAAAGTAGGAGACACATGCTTCTGGGGGTGCACAAGGGGATTTCGTGGTGTGCAGACAAATGTTTTCATTTTCATAGCTACGTGTTTCTCTTTCTGTGTATTGGAAAAAAAAACATGACAGGCACATCACAGGTGTGATTTCCGGATGTGTGCTTGGGGAGCATTGTGGTAATCCACCTTCAAACGAAAGTCCACACGAAGACAAGGATTAAGAAAACACAAGTGCAGGTGGTGCCCAGGGGTGGCTTCAACCGTGATGGTGAAAGGGAAGCTCAGGAAGCTGGCATCGAACCAGCACCTGGCTCCCAGCAGCCCTTGAGAGGGCAAGCAGCTTCCGCCTTCCCTGGAGGGCCAGACCAGCCCCTCCTTTCTGCTCGATTCCCTGTTGGGTGCCGTCCAGCACAGGCCTAGGACCCCAGGGGCATTCACAAGGCCTTCCAGATGGGATAGATGGAAGGATGGGTGGATGGGGCTCCAAGGTGACAGCTATAATGTGGGCAGAAGATGGAAAAGCCCTCAGGGTCCCTCCCAGAATCAACATTCTATCAAATCTAAGATGCAAATGTTGGAATTTCTAGCCGCGTGGTAGGTGAAGATGTAGGAGATGCTTTGGGGCCAGGGTCTTCATATATTATGGGCTGCAGACTTCTCCAAGGAGGCAGAGAAGTGGGTGCTGAGCAGGCTCCAGGGCCCACTTTGGCTTTCCAATCCTGACAACAGAGCCACAAAGCAGCCCAGACCAGTGAAGAGAGACCTGCTCAGCCCCACGGTTCACCAGCCCCAAACTAGGCCCCTGTTGCCAGCTGGCCCTGGGTGCATCTCCCACTGGTTGTTGATCCTGGAGGACAGGACAGAACATAGTGGTGCCAGCCTAGGACACAGGGGTAGCAGAGCCTGGGCAGCTCCTCAGGCCCGGGTACCCCAAGCCAGGTCTAGTCAGACAGGGGCACTGTCAGCGGCCTCCCAAGCTGGATCCCGATAGACTGGCACAAGCCAGTCAGGCCCAGGCCAACCCGGGCAGCCCTGTCCTTGGAAGGCCTCCAGACCACCTGGCTGGCGGCCCTGAGCCCAGCTCCACCTGAGCTGGCAGGGTAAGCCATCCCCACAGTGCCATTCCGGGCCCCCGGCTGCCATGCTCCAAGACAATGAATGGGCCTCCCGCTCCCTTCCCCCCAAACCTTCCAAAGCTTCCTAAAGCTCCCACTCTCCTCTGTGGCATCACAAGGAGTTGCTATGGAAATGGGGCCACAGGCAGAGCGTGACAATGATTTGGGGCAGGGGAGGAGACGCAGTGGGAGCCGGGCACTCTCCTGGACACGAGGTCTGCCAGTGTGCCAGGTCCCAAGAAAGACATGAAACCCCAGCTGCAGGCCTCACAGCCAAGGAGGGTGGAGGGGGCTGCAGCCAAGGTTGGGGGCCTCCTACCTGCCCTCTTGGCTCCTTGCCACCCCAGTGGAGCCCAGGGAGCTCTCAGCCTGTGTAGTCTGTGTGTTCAGCAGAATGAACAAATGCCCCGGAGAATGTGAGACCTCCACAGAAACAGCTCTTCAAGGACTCTGACAAAGTGGGTTCAGCACTGAGTGGGGCTGGCACCCGGTACACACTCAGCAAACACTGATCAGAAAGCAGGGCCCTGGTATGTGTGCTGTGTGGGTATGTCACGTAGGCCTGTGACTGCTCTGGACAACATGGTGCATAATCACAGAGCTTGAGAGGCCCACGCCCACTGTACAGATTGGGAGACTGAGGTCCAACCAGGGTCAGGGTCACACAGAAAGTCAACCAAAAAGCCAAGCCCAGAGCCCAGGTCTCCTCTTCCCCAGACCTGAGCCCCTCTGATCAATACCCCTAGCTATTTCCTCATTATTCATTCTACTTTTGTTAAGTACCTACCATGTGTTTGGTCACTGGAACAGAGAGATATAAAGGACACTGCTCTTGCTCAGAGGAGACAGACCATCATGATCAGAGGGCGGGCGCCAGGCCAGAAGGCCAGGGACTGCAGGAGCCCAGGGAAGGGTCCCTCAGAGTTTTAGGTTATGCACTTCTGAGCCATGCTTCTAAGAGACCTCTGAGTTTCCCCAACTTTTCTCCCAGCTGCTCCCACAGCCCAAGGCCCCCTTACAGTCCACCTGGGGCCCACACCTCCAGGAGGTAAAGGGTGGTATTTCTCATTAGCACCCCAGGCCCCAGGAATGACGGACTGTGAGGAAAGTGCCTTGCTACCCAGAAGTAACTCAAAGAATGTGGGCCCCAGACTTGCCTCCTCCTCCCCCAGCCTCAGCAGCTCCCGCTTTGTTCATTAGGTCCTTGCCCTTTCTCTCTCTCTTTCCTGGGCACCTCCCATGAGCCAGGCATGACACTGAGCCTGGGGTGAGCAGAGAACCAGTGAGCCCTGCTGGCCACCATTCTGACGGAAGGAACACAAGTCCCTATCTCTGTCAGCAGCATGCAAGCTCTCCCCTGTGATTTTTGGTGGGTTTTGTTTTGTTTTCTTTTTTTTTGAGGGATGGGGCTGTATTGAGAGAGTAAGAGGGAACACCTTCCAGAGTTTGGCTTGGAAGACCCGCCAGCTGTGTGTGTGCCATGCCTCCCAGCGGCTGTGACAGCCTCCCAGGACCTATGCTACACAGGTGGAAACCAAGGCCCTGAGAGGTGGCCAGGTGGACTCCAGGAAGCTCAGCACTGAGAAGGCAGGACGGGGAAAGAGCCGCAAGGAAAGAAGGGAGGGCCAGGTCCAGAGCTGTGGGAAGGGAGGAAGAAGCTGTCTTGGAAGGCTTCCTGATGGAGGAGGGACTAGGATTGGCTCAGAGCCCTCCCTTGGGCTCTGGCAGGAAAAGAGTCTCTTCCAGAGAGAGAACCAGGCCAGGGCCTCCCCTTCCAGCCCACATGACTTGGGGCTAGGCTGGCAGGTGGAGGGCAAGGGGGGCACATTCCGTGACAGCTGCCATCCTGTCCCCAACTAAGGGCTGCCACCACTGCCACCTCACGTCCCTAGTTACTGCTGTCTGATGGGAAACCAGCTGGGGATGGGAAAACAGCAGAGACAGAGGAGTGGGGGCAGAGCATACGAGAGACAGAGGCTCTGAGAGAGACAGAGCAGCAGTGACCCCAAAGCCAGCTGGACAGAGGGAGAGTAGAGAGCTGAAGATGGATATGGAGCCGAAGATGGAGATGGAGCATGGACGGATGGGGCCACCCCTCCCCTCCCCCAGAGCCAGGCCTGCAGCTGCCGAGAGGAACAGACACACAGCTGGGAAGGAGCCTACAAACCAGGGCTTTGCAAAGATTTTTCAGCAATAAAATTCTTATTTGAAATGAAATCTGATGCAGTGGAGGAAGCGTTTATATGCCAGACATTAAATCCAGAAGCCATAAAGTGAAAATTCAACAAATCCAACTACTGTACATAAACGTGTAAAACATCCGTACAGCAAAAGACACATAAACAAAGTTAAAAGGCAAATGAGACAATGGAAGAAAATGTCGCTAATATGCAAAGAGCCCCTACAAATCAATAAGAAAAAAGACAAAAGAAGAGAAAAATTGGCAGTGAATTAGAAATCTGCAGAGGAGGAATTAAATTGGCCAATAAATGCATGAAAAGATGTTCTATCTCACTAGCAATCAGGGAAATGCAAATGAAAGTGACATGCTACCATTTTTTGCCTATCAGATTGGGAAAAATTTAAATGATTGATAACAAGCAGTGCTGGCAAGGATGTGGGGAAATGAGCACTCCCAGACCATTGGATGGAGGGGGAATTGGCTCAACCTTTGGAAGGGTAATTTGGCAACACTGATTAACATTTTAACCCAAACACTCTACAACCTAGTAATTCCACTTCTGGGAGCCTCTCCCATGAAATAATAGCACAAGCATTCATGTATACATGCTCAAGGATGCTCACGGAAACATTGCTGGTAAGACCGAAAAAGAAATTGGAAATGGCCTAAACGTTTATCGATAAGAGAAAGTTCAAATAAAATATAGCATGTCCACACTATGGAACACTCTGCAGCCATCTGACAGAGTGAGGCACGTCTATGTATAACAATAGAGAAAAAATCAAGCTGTAAAATGCTATTTCAGCATGAGCCCATTTCTGTAATTAACGATTTGTTGCTATATGCCCCAAAAGGCTGGAGGACAGCACGCCAAGCTTTACAGCAATCACCTCCGAGCAGTGGGACAAGTGGGCTTTCATGGCCTGTTTTCCACAAATGTATTGTTGGGTCTTCTGTTGTAATCAGAAAAACAAAATCAATAAAGAGTTAATGGGTTTTTTTTTTTTAATCCTTCTCAGACCCTAATAGGAAATGCAGATCTAAGCAGGGCTGCTCTGGCTAAAGGGGGAGGGGACCAACATCCATCCATTCAGCCCCATCCAGTCCCAGCCCCACCCTCGTATCCTGAGGCCCCTTCTGGAAACACTAGGGCTCTAGGACCAGTTTGAGAAGCTCAGCTGGAGACTGTGGAACCCATGCCTACGCTCCCCCAGGCCAAGGTCGACAGGGTCAGAAGGTTGCTCAAGGTACACCGGCAGCCAGGGCCTGTGACTCCTCAGCACGTCTCCGGGCCTCCCAGGCGAGGGTCAGGGGTTTCTCTAGGTATCCAGAAAACCCTGAGATGGTCACAGCCCTGGGGAACCCAGAATTGGGGCTGAGGGATAAAGGGAACATAGAAAGGGCCTTTGCAGAAAACTCCAGGAAAGGGGGCTTCAAGGCTCCAGTGCTGCAGGAAGGGAGAGAGAGAGCGAGGAAAAGAGGGAGAAGCTGGGGTGTGTTTCTCCCTATATGTACAGAGAGTGGGGGGATGAGCCCATGGGGTGCGTGGAGGTGACTGGGGCATGCAGGTATGTGGTGCTTACAGATAGAGGGCACATGTGGGTCTGCGGAGGTGAACTCTGGAGGGTGTGTGGGTTCCAAGCGGTGCAGAGGCGTGTCTGTAATCTAGAATCAGTGTGTGTGTATGTGTGTTGTCACTCTCGGGGATGACAGCAAAGAGACAGCATGTGTGTGTCTGGAGGGAGAGGAACACAGCAGATCCACGTATATGTGTGCATAGTGTGTGTAGTATGTCCTGTGCCCCCGGGTGTTCCCCCAAGGTGTGTGTGTGTGTTTGTGTGTATGTTAGGAGGTATAGGCAGCCAGGAGGCCTGCAGAGGGGCCAGGAGCAGGTGGCAAACTGCAGAGATCAGGCCATTCTGGAAATGCCCCTCCCACTTATGAGTCAATCAACAAATTCAGAGAAAACTGCCCAGAAGGAGCATAAGGCCCCCTCCAGTTCCAGAAGGCCCCCTTCCCTTGAACAATTGTTTGCACAGCTCGTGTTCCACCTGCCTCCAGGAAGCAGGGACTGCGGGAACCAGCAAACTCCTCCTAATGAGTGGTGAATGACACTCTCTACCTGGGTCTGAGCCGCAACTAACACAACTTCCTGGAGGTCTCCTGTCCCCACCTCCACACTCACCCATGTTCCATCTGCAGCTGCCACGGGAGCACTCCAAAAGGCAGATCCAACCACATGGCTGCCTGCTCCACACCCTTCTATGGCTCCCTATTGCTCCCTGCCCGCACTCCTTACTGGGACCACCAGACCCCCTGGGGCCCATCCCCAAGTGGCCTTCAGCTTCATGTCTGACCCCAGTGCCTCCCAATACTACCCTCCAATCAGACTGGGCCTCCTGTGTTCCTCAACAGAACTGAGCCTCCAAACCTTTGCACCTGCTGTTCCCCCTGGGGGATGCCTGTCCTCCCTGACCAGTCCCCACCACCCTCTAAGAAGCCTCTCCCTACAGGGCTGGAGTGAAGCCCCTCTGGTACACCCACCCTGTGCTCACCTCTGTCCCACCCTCATCCCCTAAGCTGTAACTGCTGACAGGTCTGGCTTCCCCAGGGGTAGGGGCTGGGTCTTGCTCTTCTCTGTACCCTAGAACCCAGCCTAGGCCTAGCACAGAGGAGGCATTAGGCACAAATGTTATAGACTGAGCCAGGAGTGGTGGCACACACCTCTAGTCCCAGCTACTCAGGAGGCTGAGGTGGCAGGATCGCTTGAGCCCAGGAGTCTGAAGCTGCAGTGAGCTAAGACCACACCGCTGCACTCCCTGGGTGACAGAGCGAGACCCCATCTCCAAACAAACAGACAAACAAAAAATCTGAAGAAAAAAAAAAAAGATGTTTATAGAATGAATGAATGGGTTCTCACAGTGATATAGTTTGGATGTTCCCTCCAAATCTCATGGTGAAAGGTAATTCCCAGTGTTGGAGGTGGGGCCTAGTGGGAGGTGGCTGGGTCATGGGGGTGGATCCCTCATGACTTGGTGCTGTCCTCGTGATAGTTGAGTTCTCAACAGATCTGAGATCTGGCCGTTTGAAAGTGTGTGGCACTCCCCCATCTCTCTCACTCCTACTTTCACCCTGTGAAGTGCCTGTTCCCGCTTCACCTTCTGCCATGAGTAAAAGCTCCTGAGGCCTCCCCAGAAGCTGAGCAGATGTTGCCACCATGCTTCCAATACAGCCTGCAGATCCATGAGCCAATTAAACCTCTTTTCTTCATAAATTACCCAGTCTCAGGAATTTCTTTATAGCAACACAAGAACAGCCTAATACACACAGTTCTCAGCCCCTAAGCCACGCACAGTGGGCCCTTCTTAAGGCAGCAGGGTAGAGCAGAAAGGGTGTGGCCTGGGGGCTGGAACACCTAGCATCTCATCCTAGGTAGCACAACAGGTGACATTAATCATGTCACCTGGGGAATGAGTAAAGCAGGAGTTCCCAGCAGGGTTCACAGGGAGGGAGGACTACAGAGGTCTGTGAGCCCCAAAACTGCACAAAACTGGCTATGATGATTCACATGCAGGAGGGGCTGGGCCCCCATCTCTAACACAGGGCCATGGCTTTCATCAGATTCCTCCAGGTGCCCCCAGCCCAAAGATCCAGAAGCACCAGGCAGGAACAGGGCAAGGCTCACCCCCAAAGGAATGCAGACTCGCACGATATGCACCGAAGGCAAGAGAGAGTGCTGAGGGGAGGGACTAGTGCAAGTCATGTGGCCCCGGGTCCCAAGCCAAGATCCCTGTGTGAGTCCCTAGAAGTAGATGGCCAGAGAGGGGAGGGAGCTGTCCAAGGCAGGCAAGCTGTCTGGATAAGGGGTGAGCTCCCCATCGGGGAGGGCGAGAGCACAGGCTGGATAGGCAGAGGTCAGAGTGAGTGAGCGACAACCCTGAGTCTCATTCTCAGACTCTTGGCCTCAGCTTCTCCATCTTACACCCGGGGCTAGACAAGGTGGTTCACGTGAGTCTATCTGAGTGTGTGCAAGGATGTGCAGGGGTGTGGCTGGCCTGACCCCGGCTCCAGGCTGGAGGGCTGAGAGGTCTGTGCAGTCTGCCCACCCAGCAGTGGCCTGAGGCCCACTTCTCTCGTCCTCCTGCTTCCCAGCTGCAGCAGGCTACTGGCTGCCTGGGCTGTCCCACACTGCTAAGTGAGCCTGCAGAGCCCCAGGTCCCTCCTGGGTACTGCGGTTACCACCTCCCACGTTATAGTGACCATAGAAATGACAGGAGTGAGAGGGTTCATTATGAGCCTGGGGCCAAGGGAGCCCAAGGGCTGGATGGGAGTGCTGAGAAGGGCTGGCAGCCAAGCCCAGGCCACATGGTCTCAGTGCCCACCCCCCCAACTGCTCCTGACCCCTCCAGGGGCCTCCCTCGGCCTGGCCTGGGTCACACAGGAAGTTGGTGGTATATTTGAGCCAGGATCCCAGGCCTTGCACCCTGGGCTGGGCTTACTCTGGGCACCAATGCACCTTGTCCCCCTTGGACAACTCTGTGCATGCCTCAGCATCCCCTAATCCTGCCAGAAAGAGATGGCCAGCATTGGGGTTCCAAAAGACTAATTCAAATGCAGGCCTGCGGTGTTCCCTGGATGCAGCCACCTGAGCCTCAGTTTCCTCCTCTCTAAAACAGAGTACAAAAATTGCCCTCCTACTCCTGCTGGGAAGATTAATAAGGGCAGGGGTGCACCATATGACAGAACAGAACAGAGACCTTCCACCCACCCTCCATCTCTGGGCCTCAATTTCCCCATCTCTAAGCAAGAGGGTTACTCTGAATGATACCCCAGGTCCCCAGAGTCTGATGCTTTGTGGGAGGCCTGCCCAGGTGCCCAGCCTATGCCTAGCTGGGCCTGCCGTGGAAGGACAAACTGCAGGGCAGAGACTGTGGCCTGCCCTCAGGGGGCTCTCTGCTAGTTGGCAGACGAGAGCTGTGGCTGTGGAGCAAGGGCACTGTCTACTTAGCAAAACTGTGTGGAAGTGCCCATGGCAGGGCTTCCAAACTGGTGGTCTCGGTGCCTCTGTGTTGCCACAGTCTCTACCACCCCATATTGCATCACACCCAGCCAGCTCCATGCATTTCCTCCATGCGTTTCCTGCCGGGCCCCTGTAGGCTCCAAGGGCCACAAGAAGCTTAAAAATGGGAACAAGTGTGAGCTGGGCATTGATCAAGGAAGGTTTCTTGAAGGAGACAGGACAAGAGGGCCAAGGACTCACAGGAGGCCTTGAATATCCAGATGAGGATCACACAGACACCCAGAACCACTGATGGTCTTCCATGTACCCCCTCTCCTCAGGCAGGGATACCTGACCCCACCCGGGGCTGACCTCAGAGCTGTGACCCCGGCAGAGGGCTTTGGCGGGAGTGGGGAGCTAAGCTCGAGGTTCCCTCCACCTCTCCTCGGCAGCTATGGACTGTGAGTCCATCCCGGAGAAATCAGTCCTGGTTGGTGATGTCCAGCAGCCGCCGAAGCCTCATTGCAAACAGCGATGCCACTGGTGAGTGCCACCTGACCACGGAGGGCTTCCCGGCAGATAAAGAGCAATGCTGGCCCCAGACTCATTCATATTCCAGTCTGGCTGCCGGCTTCAATATGGCTGAGAGACGCGAGGGCAGAGGCGGCCCTCCGAGAATGCCCAGTGATGATTCCTCTCCGATTCCAATTTATTTTCTATCATTAATGGTTTTGAAAAGCCCCACATTCTCTGCAAACAGGAAGAAGCACAGGGCTCAGGAGGAGAGGCGAGGAAGAGGGTCGAGGGCGGAGGGGTACTCGGCAGAAGTGGAGCAGGCAGCAGCCTGGGTTCAAATCCCCTCCCCAGCTCCACCTGCCTTCAGGTCCCTGGGGCGAGCTTGACCTACATCTGTCCACAGGGGATGGGCATCCTGTTCTGCCCACCCCAGGGGACTGTTTTCAGATCTACCTAGGGGTCAGAGGTGAGTGGGCTTTACAAACTGTAAAGGGCTATACACTTGAGGAAAAGAGAATGAAGCAAACCCGACCATAGCAGCAGAGGCCTATGAACTGGACGCCTGCTTCCTCAGATACTCTAGGGGACCCCGACCCCCCAGTCCAGGGAAGAACTGGAGTGCCTCTCCCCACAGCACAGGCAGAGGAGGTGAGCGCCAGGATCTGGGTCTCCAGGCTTGTCTCAAATTCACACCACTATCCTCCCATCTCCCCCCAGGCCGTGGTGACCAGCCTCCCAGCCAGCATCTCTCCTGCCCCATCATCCACACTATGGAGCCAGAGGGATCTTCCCTGCATGAGTGTCCTGCTTGGAACCCTTCCAGGGCTCCCCGTTACCTTGAGATCAAGTCCAAACTCCCCACCTGCCATGCAAAGCTCTCCCTAGTAGCTCAGGCCCATCTGGGCAGCCTCGGCTCCAGCCACACCCAGCTTCTCAGAGGTCACCCTTCTCTGCCTTCGCATGCTGTTTCCTGTCTGGAATTCCTTCCTCCTTGACCCAGTTCATCCCATCTCCTACCCCTTCTTCAAGGCGCAGTCCAAATGCTTCTCTTTCCTGCAGCCTTCCCCGAGTACCCCGGCATGCCCTGCTCTGGGCTCCTCATACCCAGGACCCACCTGTAGTGCAACTCAGTAATGTAGTGATTATGTTTGTGTGGTGGTGCCCCCTCTAATCAGTGAGCTCTCCTGGGCAGGGGCTGCTTCGGATTCATCCTGTGCATTCCCAGTGCTTGGCAAAGTGCCTGGCTGCCAGTGGAGCTGTTTATCCAACTGGCCAACCTTAATGGAACACCCATTATGTGTCAGGCTCTGTCCCGGGTGCAGCAGCCAGTCCTGGCCCTCAAGTTGCTTCAAACGGATGTGCTCAGGGAACCTCTAGGGAATGAATGGATGGACATATAATCACTCTGTAATGGGGAAACTGAGGCGCAAAGAGGCAAAAATGCCCTTTTCATGGGTGTTCCTGCCTCCCTGCACACGTCTCTTCTACTCCATTTCTCTCCCAGGACCACAGCAGCAGTGCAGAGAACTCAAAACGAAAGGTTAGAGTCAAAACAGGGGGAAAGAAAGGAAGAAGAAAATCTGGTGGATTTTCCCCTTTCCTCCATAATGTAAAGAAAATTGCTTTTGCCAACTATCACAGCTTAAAAGCAATTAGAGTTTTTGGAGGGGACTCTGGGCACGAGCAGAAGCAACAGAGCGAGCGCCCGGCACGGAATTTTTCCAGCGTTCGTTTGTATCAAGCAAAAGAAAAAAGGCGTTAAGAGCAGCAACTTCCAGCAGCAGAGATGGTGAAGACAAAATATTTACAGTCTCTGAGGGAGGGGCCTGGAAGGGGCCAAGGACCTCCTCTGGTCCCCACCCAGCTCCACATTCTAGGAGGCAGGGAATGGGGTGGAAAAAATCAAAGATAAGGAGATGAGCCTTACCCATGCAGGCTTGGGTCAAGGGGGAGAGAAGCCCCCAGCTGCCCCCTGCTCGCTCACCCCTTCCCCACCACCCATGGCCCCCAGCCACCAGAGATCCATTCTGTAAACCTCAGACCTGGACACAATTCTCCCCTGTTCAAAATCCAGAGAACATCCACCACTGCAGGCTGGCACTGGAGGCCTGCACAGCCCGGGCCCCTCTCCAGCCTCATCTGCAGATGCTCCCCAATGTGGCACACTGCCCTGACTGTCCTCTGAGAAGCCACGGTCAGTTTCGCCGCAAGGCCTTTGCCCAGATACAGGAGCATAAGGATGCATTCCTGTATCGGGGCAAAGGCCTTGAGAGGGAGGTGAGGCAGGTTTGAGGATCTGGATCCAGTGCAGGGAAGCTGAGCCAAGATCCCACAGCCCTAGACCCGAATGCTGGCCTGCCAGCCAGGCCTCTGCTGCTGAATCCCTCCTTCACCTGGACTTTTGCTGGACCCTTGACCTCCTCCCTCCAAATACAGAGCAGACACCTCTTCCTGAAACCACACTGCCTTCGTCCCAGCTGCAGCACAGACTCCCCTCTGTCTGGCACACAGACACAGCCTCCTGTAGAAGCAATGCTCCTATGTTCAAATGCCAGCTCCTCCATTCATTAGCTGCGTGATCTCCACCAAGTCCCTCAATCTCTCTGAGCCTCAGTTTCCTCATCTGTTAAATGGGGATAGTAATAGTGCACAGCTCATGGGGTTGTTGTTAGGATTAAATGAGGTAATACAGGTAAAGCATCTGGCACTGTGCCCAACACTTAACAGGGGTTCAGTGAACTCTCCTCTGCCCTATTTCACGCTCAACCCTCAGGTGTGACTCCCCAGGCCTCGGATGGCCCATATATGCGCACTCAGGCTCCCACTCCACATGCAGTCACCCAACAAATGCTCACTTGGAAGGCACGTGCCGGCTAGGAGCAAAGGGCACTGGAGGCTCTAATGAGCCTTGCACACACATGGAGGCCCAATCCCTGAGCACAGGGCCAGGATCCTCCCATTTTGCTTGGCTTAGGAAGGATTCCTCCAAGAACGCTGGTAAGCCTCAGCCAGAGCCCTTAGAATCTGCCAGGCCAGGTGGAGGAGGTGAATGGAGGTTCAGCCTCCCAGGGGGATGAGGAGCATGCCTCCCCTCCAGCCCGAGGCCTGCAGGTCAGCTCTCAGCCATCCTCCCAGCCCTACTGGACAAAGGCAAGCACCAAAACCCAGCAGGTAGTGATGAGGATGAGAGCAGAAACCAGGCCTCAAAGGCAGCGGGATCCGGGGAAGCCAGGCAGTCCTGAACTCAAATCTCACCCCCACCCCTAACCAGGCGGGTGACCACCCTGAACCTCAGTTTCCTCATTTGTAAAATGGAGTCGATAATGCCCACCTTGCAGAACAGCTGTGCACACAAATGAGGGTAACGTTCTTCCAGGTCCCTCTGGGATCTAGCATATAGTCACTGTGGGAACACACAGAGGCTATGCCCCGCCCCGACCCGATTCCTGGACTATAAGCATGGTGCCCTCCCCCAACCCCCACAGCACTGGGAGAGCAGAGGGAAGGCCTGGTGGGCTGAGGGGACACCAAGGACCCGTGCTGTTTCCTGTGACCCTTCCAGTCTACTTCCTGCCTGGCAGGGGGGTGAAGGACCAACCTACAGCCAGCCATGACCTGTCCTCCCCACCTGGCTCTCAGAGCAGAGGACGCCCAGCCCCTGCCTCGTTTTGCCAGGGAAGAAACATTTGCCCAGGAGAGGTGGCAACATGCCCCTGTCTCACAGCTCCCATTGAGCCACTCGTCCGAGGTGAGGTGGCTTCCTCTCCTTCCCCAACCGCAGAGAACAGACAGGCTTGCTGTGGGTCTGGTGGCGCTGCAGGGCTGGAGAGCAGGGATCAGGAGGTGTCCTGATGTCTCTGCCTTTCACTCCCACTCTGGCTGCCTTTCTCCCAGTGGCCTCTCCCACCCTCCTCCCCCAATGACCTCAAGAATAAGCCCAACAGTAAGCCTGGCACTAATCAGGGCACTCCTCCTTGCTGTGGGGGCTCACTATGGACAGGAGACCAGTCTCAGTCCCAGATGGCTGAGCCTCAGGACACTCCACTGAGGCCTCCTCCCTAACCTGCACAGCTCTTCTCCTCTCGGGTAAGTAACTAGGCACACACACAAACATACACACACACACACACACACACGCATACACATGCACACACTCACACACACATACACAAGCACACACACACGGGTAACTAGGCTCACACACACACATACACATGCACACACACACACATGCACACACACACACACAGAGGAATCTAGGGAGGAGAGGGAGAGGGACAGCGAGGAGGGCAGACTCTAATAGGGGAATCCTAGGCCCATCCCCCAGGATGACTGGCAGCCCTTCCGCAGCTGATCCAGCCTCCCGGCTCTGTACCCAGGGGAGCACTAGTGGGTCCTGAATGACAAGCCCATGTGGCCTGGAAGCAGAGGATCCTGGGACTGAGAAGCCAGATGCCTGACTTATTGCCAAGGCTCTGCAGTGCTTCACCATGAGACACAAGACAGAACTGGCCACTCCCTGTGCCTCAGTTTCCTATCTGGAACCTAGAGGAGGAATGAGATCATCTCTAAGTACGCCTTCTAGTTCCAGCATTCTGTGACTCCATACCTGTGACCTCTGGGACCCCTCAGGGAGTCCAAGCATCGGAGAGTACTGGGGGAGGAATCACCCTAACCCCAAGGAGGCGGGGAAGCCCAGGGAGACCTGTAGCTACCTTGGGCTGGCAGAGGGCACTCATTCTGCCACAGCCTCCCAGGGAGGAGTCCAGGCTCGGGCAGGAGGCCGGAAGACAAAGGAGAGCTCCTCAGTAGGGCCTCAGGCAGCCCGAGGCCCTCCCGGATGTCCACATATCCCCCAGAAGCTCACCCCCTTGAGTTTCACTTCCGATCTGTTCCGAGGTTACAGAGTCTTTGGTCCAGCCCAGATCTCAGGTGCAGCCCCAAGCCCCCAACACCCCCCCACCCCAATTCCCACAGCTGTCCAGACCCGATCCCAACCCCTCCTGCCAGGCCAGCCTTCCCACCACCTTCCCGGTTGCTCCCACAGGGTGGCCGGTGGGGGCAGCCCAGCTGCTTCTGCCAACAGAGGCTCCCCTGGCCCTGCATGGCCCAAGCCTGATAACATTCTCCTAAATTAAACAATAAACAAGAAGTTGTTTTAGATTTTCCTGACGCTGCAGTTCCTGATTAATCCCCACAGCAAACAAGAGAGATAATTAACCTAAAAGAGGGTCACTTCCTGTTTCCAGGTGGACCCTCCAGCCTAAGCCAGAGGAACCTGTTCAGAGGGGTCCAGCTCCAGACCACCTCTCCCCTCCCCTGCCTCTCCTGTGTCTGCCCAATCCTGGGCTACATCCGCAGCCTGCCTCCTAGATCCCACCTAAGCAAGTTGGGAGCAGGCACTCCAGCCTGGGGTTTTCCTGGCTGTGCCTGCGGCTTGCTGGGCAGGGGTGGGTGGGGTGGCCGGGGCCTCAGGGCCTTTGCAGAGGACCCTCCCCTTCACTGCTATGTGACCTTGGACAGGCCAAGTCACTTCAGAGGCCTCAGTCCGCTCATCTATCAGATTCTTTATCTCCCAAGGATAAAATGAAAAAAATTTGAGACCACTTAAGATTAGGCAGAAATATTTTATCTTATTTTTTAGAGATGGATGCTGAAATGTTTAGGTGTGAAAAGGCTTGATGTCTATAATTTAAAATACTCTGGAAAAAACAGATAAAGCAAAATGTGGGAAAATGTCAACAATTGTTAAATCTAGATGAAGGGTATACGGAGTTCCCTGTACTATTCTCTCTACTTTTTCGTATGTCTGAAAATGTTCCCAACAAAATTAAAAAAAAAAAAAATAGCACAGTCACGTGAGCCAGGCAGGAGCCCCACACACAATGCCTGGTGCTCCTGGTATGCCTGAAAGGCAACTGGGTCTCTGAAGTAGGTTAAACATCCCCCTGCCATCTCCTTTATGTTGTTTCCCTAGAAATCGCTTTTCACAAATTCCACTGAGCCCTAGCTGCACATTTAAAAGCCTTAACACATTCAGAAGCCAGATGCTGCCCTTTATTGAGGTGACTGCTGTCTTGTGACCACACCTCCCCCACCCACCAGGCTCCCCATGCCCTCTGCAGAGCAGCCCAGGGCTGGGGGTCCTGATACTGATTCCATCCTCATGCGGCCACCATCCTCTTGGAGCCTCAGAATACCCCTACCGGTGGAGCAGAAATGATGACAAGTCAGTAACTGCCCGGGCATCTCATTCAAAGGCAAAGTGTCACCGGACAAAGAGACTGAAATCTCCACTTAACAGATGGGAAAGCTGAGGCCCAGGGCCAGAAGAGACTGGAAGCAAAATAAGGAAGGTGGAGAATAGAGGGTGGAGGAGGTGGGCAAAAGCTCCCCAGCTGCTCCAACTCCCCCTCCTCCCCAGCCCTCTAGCCCCACCCTGGCGGTGTGGGTCACAGACAGGGGGGCTTGCGTCTCTTTCTCTGCCTCCTGTTTATTGAGCTTCCTGGTCAGAAATAAATGGCCATGATTGCAATCTCCCAGCCAGGCCCAGCTGACCCTCGCCAACAATGGCCAGGCTCACCTCCGTGGATCAATAATGGAGATTTATCAGTACCCCAAATGATCAATCACTAATTGCTGAGTGCCGTGCAATTCATCGGGGAGAGTTATGTATGGCTAGTGACTGGGTGGCCCCGCCCCATCCTGGCACAGCCATCAGGGACAGGGAGGGCCGTATCTATGATGAGCGTCTCAGGAGCAAAGCAACCCATAACTCGGGAGCTTCTCAAACAGATGTTTTGGGCCTAGCCCAAATCCCCAGGCCTAAGGGACTACCCAAGGAGGAGGTGTCAGTGGCCACAGAGGCCCCAAGGGAGGCACTGCATGACCCGGATCAGCCTAGTTGGCCCCCAGGCACGCCCAAGGAACACAAGATGGATAAGCCCAGTCCCTGCCACCAAGGTGCTCCCAAGTCAAAACAAAGACAAACCGCCCCCAGGCCTTGCATATAGTGGGTACACAGTAAATAATAAATGTTCCCTAAATGTAAAGCTGATACACTGCTCTCAGAGTTCTGAGGAAGGATGGGCTGCTTCCAGGAGGGGTGGCCAATAGAAGGTTTTTTTTTTAATGAGGCATTTGGGCTAAGCCTTAAAAAGTGGGTGGGATCTCCACGGACAGGGATGGGGGAGAACTCTCAGGTGGAAGGACCATGGAGGAGGACAGCGACAGCCCATCTGATTGGCTGGAGCCTGGGGACACAGAGAGGTGCTTAGGAGAGAGGGCTGGGGTGGGACATAGGCTTGGGCAAGGTGCCGAGGGGTCAGAACGCCAGCCTGGAGGTAACAGGGAGTGCTGGGAGGGTGTTGGGTGAGAGCATGACAGCCAGCCTGGGCTTGGGAAGGTCTGTCCATGGTTTCCACCAGGCTGCATGCCCCAAGAGGGCAGAGGCTGGTCCTACTCATCTCTGTCCCTATAGCACCCAGAACAGCCAGGCCCAGAGGAGGCGCCCAAACAGTGATACGTTGAATGATCATAGATCATCAAATTGCAGGACAGGGGAGTCCTGGAATTACAGCCGTGAAATAGCATGTTTTTATAATGCCCTGCCATGTAGAAAAATACGTATTAGAGCCTCAAAAATAGCCTTGTAAGGCAGGCAGGGAGATCATTTTGTCCCGTGTCCAAAGGGGAAAGCCGAGGCTCAAAGAAGACAGTGAGCTGTCTAAGGTTATACACCTTACACAAAGAAAGGGCCAGGGCCCAGCGCCCTCCCCACCCTGCCCCAGAAGGCTCAGGCCTGCTCGCCTTAGCATGGCCAGGGTTGCCTGGGAGGTGAAGGTCCATCCCTCACTCGTCCCTGGGCTCTCCTGCCCCCTAGGAAGCCCCCCCAATCTCAGCCCCTCCCTGTGCTGGGGCAGATGAGAAATACAGCAGATGCTGCCTCATTGAGCATCCCTCATTCCAGCCCCAGCTGAGACTGGCTACCAGTCCATGACAGCCTGTCCTTGTACCTATAATGGAAACAGGGCCAAGAAGGGAGTCTCTAGAACCCCCAAGTTGGTCTAGACAGAAGACAAAGCCACTCCTCCCCCAGTCTCCACCCCAGAAGTTTGGAAAGCCTCACTGTGGAGCAAGAACACTGGACCAGGAGTCCAGAGACAGGGTCAAGCCTAACTCACTGTGTGGCTTCTGGAGACCCACTTCCCACCGTGCCCTCAGTTTTCTCATCTGTGAAACGGAACAATGTTGTCTGCCTACTTTATTGGAACTACCATGAGGACTAAACAAAAGAAGGAGTATAAAAACACAAAATTATAAAGCAGATTTTGCCTTGGAAAATAATAATAATAAGGCTCCTCTTTACTTCTACCTGGACATTGAAACTCCAACCTGACCCACTTCCCTTTCCTGCAGAGGGCAAAACATCAGCTAACATTTACTGAGATCCTACAATGCCTCTGGCTAGTGGCTGCTTTACATGCATTATTTCCAAGTGGGCTACGGTAGACATCATCCCCGCATGACACCCATGAGGAAAGTGAGGCTCAGTAAAGTGACTTGTCCAAGCTCACCCAGCTTGAAGCAGCTGAGCCAAGATTCAAACCCATTTCCATCTGGCATCCAAGCCCAGGCCCTTTGGATTCACCAGACTGATTCGAGGAGCCACTCCATACCCCAAAGTCTCAGAGTTTCAGAATCAGCGCCTAGGGTTTGGGGATATGTCACATACACACACACTCCACTGAGGCCAGTGACCCTGACATCAGAGGCACTGTGCCACCCCATGGTAAGGCCATCAGAGCTGGGTGGGGCATGTGAGGAGGGTGGCTGGCACAGCTGGCCTTGAGCTAACTGGATCAGTCCTGGGCATGGAGCTGCCTATCCGGCTGCCCTGGCAGATGGGTGCTGGAACTGGGCCACCTGCCAAGGCCCAGTCTCCATGTCCAAACCAACCTGGACACCGAAGTTCCACTTTAGCCTCCTCTCGCCCTGACCCTGGTGGCTAGCAGTGCCCACATAGATCCAGAAGACCATGGTGGCAGCTGCTATCCCTCCTCCAGCGGCTGGCACCTCCCCTGATGTGGCCATATGGCCCCATATGCTCTCCGACAGCTGGAGTGCTGAAACAACTGCCTAAGGACGTCCTCTGCAGAGGCCCTGAGGCCCCGGCCACCCCACCCACCCCTGCCCAGCAAGCACAGGCACAGCCAGAAAAACCCAAGACTGCAGTGCCCACTCCCAACTTGCTTAGTGACCTTGTGCTAGCCACTGCCCCGCTCTAGGCCTCAAGCTCTTCCTCTATCAAACAGCAATGCCAAACAGCCCTCTACCCCTTTTCCTTCATAGCCCTCCTCCGAGGTTACAAAATCCCACTCAAACTCACTCCAGTTATCCACGGAGACAAACAAATGTGTTCACTTTACAGACACAGAAACTGAGGCAGACCCATGGGCCTCAGCGGCTTACTGAAGTGCACACAGTGGCAAGGCCAGTATTGGAGGCTGCATCTATGACTTCAGGACACTTGCCACCTCTGTATGCCCAGGTGGTAGGACTGGTGAATCCTGAGCCCTCGCCGAACTCTGACGACCTAGATCACCCCACCCAGGTCTTCCCAGCACCTGGACAACCCCACCCAAGACCACCAGAGACGTGGTTTATATCGCACATCTAATTGTGTTCCTCCAGAACTTCAACGCTGCAAGCCCTGAATTCAGAATCAGCCCACACTCCTCAGATGGGCACTGAGGATCCTCTTCTGTCTGGTGCCAACCTTCTCCATGCCCCCATGTGAACTACTCCACTGCAAACACGTTCTACCCTTGCCCAGCGCTTCCCACCTCCATGCCTTTGCCAGTGCCGTGCCATCTTCCTAGAAAGCCCCCACTCACGTTCGCATTCTCCATTCACTCATTTAGTCAACAATTATTTACTGAGCATAGATCAAGTGCCGGAAAATCTCAGCAGGTCAAGGCCCCGCCAGTCCCCTCCTTCTGAAACAGCCCCTTGCCACTCCCCCACTGAGCCTCTTGGTTACCCAGCCGGCTTCACTAATACTCAGAGGTATGGGTCCAAATCTGTTTCCCCTTTGAGAGCCCATCCGGGGAGGGGCCCAGGCTCATCACTGGTATCCCCAGCACTCAGTCCAGGTCTCAAGCCAGAAGATACCTCCAAATGTGAAGCGAGGCTCCAGGCCATGGAGAGTAACAGCCAAGGTGTGGTTCCTGGGAACAGGGGTCTGGGCCCCAGAAGCCCACGGAAGAAACTCTGAGACTGGTCAGGGTAGCCCTCAGCCCCCACAAAGCTATGCCTGAGAGGTCAGGGGCAGCTTTTCCACCTTGAGCCACCCCAAGGCCCAGCCCACTCAATAAATTCTTATCACTGGGTTTGTTAGAATATCTTTACAATTTAAAACACAAATATAGCAGGGTCAGGTCTTGCCTGGGGAGGGAAATTAAGGGGGTCACACTGGGCACTGCTCCCTCCCAGTCAGGAGGCTGGGGTGAGGAAGTGGCTGTTTTCCTAAAGGGAGCAGCCAGTAGGGGTGGGGAGCCCCTGGCTGGAATTTTCATCCCCGGCAGAATAGACCAGGGGCCAAATAAGTGCCCCTGGTCTCCCCCTCACCATGGCTTGGGACCCCAAATGAAGGGTTCATTTTGTGGAGTTGGTTGGGGTGGGAGTGGAGGTACCAGAAGAACCGGGGCAGGGGTTCAAGCAGGCATGGATGATAGGGGTGGAACCAAGCTAGGCGTCTTGCCATGCTCCAGCCACCTGGATGTCAACCAGAGCTTTGGTCAACACTCAGGAGGCAAAAGTCTGGAGCTTAGGGAGCCACAGGTGAAGAGGAAGAGGAGCTGAGAGAGAGAGAGAGAAGAAAAAAACAATGGCAAAGAAAGGCCATGATCAGCCAGAGCCAACAAGGGAGGAGCAGGGAGAGGCAGAGAGAGGCCGCCCGGGACGGGGAAGCCAGCAAAGGCTGAGGAGGCCACCGCCAGGATCCAGCAGGCCCAGCCCCACCCCCAGTGGTAACTCCCGGGCAACAGCTCTTACCCCGAAGGCCCTGGGGATGACTCCAGGCTGCCAGCAGGACTGAGGGAAGTCACAGAAGCCTGCCTGGGGCTGACAGCTCTGACCTCCTGTTCTTCAGGTGGGCCACCTGGGGAGGAAGTGGCCACAATAGCCACCAGAGTCCCCTCCAATTCCCCCAGTGCACATTTAGATCTCCACGGGGCATCTTTGGCCCACAGAGGGGCTCTAGGATGGAGAGGGTAGGAAGGCTTTTGGGGCCCAAACACAAGGACAATGCCAGGACCCAGCATAGAGTGCCAGGTTGGGCGGGAGTGATTCGGATCCCTGGGATGGTAGTGAACTCCCAGAGCTGTGCAGAGGATGACAGGAGCCGGGCTTCCAAACCATCAAGCAAAGCACTGACAGCCTCTGGCCCCAAATCCAGGAAGCACATATTTAACCAAGCTAGGGTCAAAAGGTCCCACAGGTCAGGAGCTTTTGTTCAACTGCCTCCAGCTGAGAACAGCCGCCAGCCCAGTAAACGTGCCACACGCAGCAGGAGCCCGCCTGCCAGGTCAATAAAGAAGGCCTGGGTGTCCTCCATGCCTCACCAAAGACCAGGGTCAGCGGATACCCTCGCAGTGGAAAAGGGCTGTCCTAAGACTTAGAAAACTACCTCCATCTCTGCCACAAAATCCTCCTCTGTGAAATGGATAAGCAACTTGCCCACCGGTCCTGCATTCTCACAAAGTGGCTGAGAGATTCCAGAAGGATAATGGAGGTGGAAGTAAGGTTTAAGCCTGAAAGCTGATATTACCATAGACATTACCATACTCCAGAGACCCAGGTAGATACTGACTGGTCCAGCCACCACACCCCTCCACACAGCATCCAGGCTGAGATCAAGACTTCTAACCACACAGGTTCACAGGCGAGTGGCAGGAAAGAAGGCATATGGATGGGGGCTGCTTGGGATCCCAGCAGTTACAACCCCAGGGAAGTCCAAGCTGGAAGGACTCAGGAGCAACCAGAGAAGGCTTCCTAGAGGAGGAAAAACCTGCCCTGGAAACAAGGAGGATGAGGAACCTGCAGGAGTCCTGACCCCAGATCCTTCCTTGGGCCTCTCACTCCAGGAGACACGGGGTTCTCTCCCTCTCAGAGGCACCATCTTGGACCACAGCTTTCCATCCCATCTTCCACAGGACTGGCTGGGTTGGCACTTAGGGGTGTGGGGAGGTTCCCTCAGGCAGCCAGTACAGGTCCAGAGTGTGGGAGGAGACTCACAATGGGAGAGGGTACAAAGCACAGCCACAACCTCAATGTAGAGTGAGGCACGCGGGGGCATGGCTCCAAGCAGGTATGGGGCACCAGGCCGGCAGACCTGGAGACGCCCCCGGCCTCTTGGGAGCTCCTGAGGGTCCAGGTCGGGTGGGGCGCGCCTTGCGGCAAGTTCCCTTCTTCCAGCCACCGTCCTGAGGAGCAGAAGGCGCGGGGACACACACATACACGCCCGGGCACGTCGCCGCACTCCCCCAACTGAACCTTGGTGTCTTCCTCCTGCCTGCAAAGACATCCCAGGCCCTGGGCCTGGGAGCTGTCCCCGCGCGGTCCTGCCTGACCCTAGCGGGGTCATAGTAGTCTGGCGCCCGGAGCGGCTCCAGCGCGGCGCCGCGGGCCTAGGTGGGTGTCCCAGAGAGCGGGCGGCTGCGCGACTGAGGAGCTGGAGGCGCACCCCTCCGCCCGCCAGACGGCCCGGCCCGCGCCCCCGCCCCACTCCCCTCGCGTTCTCTTCTCTGGAAAGGAAGGCCGGAGTTGCACCCTCAAAGCGCCTCCGTCCCCACCCCTCCCGGCCCGCCGCGCCCCAGGGGCTCCACAAACTTGCTGCAAGTCGTCGGGGCTGCAGCTGCAGGTAAGGGTGAGGCGGGGCCGCGGCCTGGGCTGCCGAGCACGCCCCCTCCCAGCCCCAAGCGTGCACGCCCCCCACGGACGCGCACCCAGCACCCCACCCCCGCCGCTGCCCCCGAGGCTCCCGCCCAATCAGAGGCCGCGCGCGCCGCGCCGCCGGCGGGCAGACACACCGGCTCCCCGGCCTGCGCCCCTGCGGCCCTGGCCCCGCTGCAGCGTCCCGGCCCGGCCACACTCACCGTCCCGGGCGCGCCGTCCGCGCGCGGCTCCGCTCCGGGCCGGCATCCCCCGGCTCGGCTGCCTCCGGTCCCCGCTCCGGCCTCGGTTCCCGCTCCGCAGGGCTCGGCTCCGCGATGGTGGCCGCGGCGGCGAGCGCGGCAGGGAGGGCGTGTGTATGCGCGTGAGAGCGCGCAGCGTGTGCATGTGCGTGTGCGCGGGAGGGTCCCGGCTCCCCTGCGCGTCCCGCTCCTGCCTCCTGCTCGCCACGATGCGATGCCGGCAGAATCTCTACCGCGCGCCCCCACTGCCCGGCGCCCACACTCGCGCACACACGCGCACACCCAGGCGCGCACACCCGGCTCCGCACTCCCGACTCGCCCTCCTGGAGCGCTCACAAAGACCCCCTGCCGGGACGGCCGGAGCCTGCGGAGCGCGGCCCTGGGCCCCTCCGGGACCCGCCGGCCTTAGGTGCCCCGCTGCTCCCCGTAGGGACCCCGCGGGCGGCCCGGCTCCCGCACCCTGCCTGGCCGGGCCGCGGCCGCGCTCCCAGCCCGAACCTGGGCCCAGGTGCCGACTCGGGCTTCTCGCACTCCCGCGGGAAGCGCCGGCCCCCTCCGCGGCGCCGCCGCCCTTCTCCCCCCCTTCCAGTCCGGCCTCTCCGGCGCCTCCCTGCCTTGTCCCACCTGCCCAGCCCGGTCCTCGTTCTCCCCGCTGCTCTCCGTCTGTCTCGCCGCCGCCCTCTCCCGCGCCCCTTCCTCCCCACCGCCCTGCGCTGCCTCTCACATTCTCCGCATTACAGCGGGTGCCGCCCGCCGCTCGCGGGGCCCAGGGTTCGAGCGCGCAGTGGGCGGCGAGGGGACCCGCCACGCCCGGCCCCGCCGCCCCCTCCGCTCTCCGCGGCTCCGCGGCTGCTAGCTCCGGCCTGGCGCTAGGGTGGCGACGTCCCGCGCTAGCCTCGGCTGCCGCTGACAGCTCTCATCTCGCCCGGGCTTAAAGGGATAGCGCACCCGGCTCGACCGGCCCCACCCGGGGGCCCCGGGGAAGGGACCTCGCTGCGCGGGAACAGTCCGGGGCGGTGGCACAGCCGGGGCCGTGCGGGCGACGCCCTCTCCGCCGCCGTGGAGCCCGGCCCTCGGGGCTGGAGGTGAGTCAAGGAGAAGGACGGTCAGACCACGCCATCCAGGGGGCGCTCAGCGGCCAAGCCTCTGGGCCGACAATGGGTGTGCGGCGGTGTAGGCTGAGCGCCCTGGACTGCGTGGCGGGGGATGGGGGTCAGTGAAGCTGCCGTCTGAGTCTGAACTCCAGGTGAAGACACCTGTCATGCTGGGAGGACAGGGCTCACGGGCTGGCGTCCCGCTCCTGCTGTGTGACCTTGGGCAAATGCCGACCCCTCTCTGCACCTCAGTTTACCCCCTTTGGGAAGGGCATGGCTTCCATCATTTCTGAGCCCATGCCCAGCTCTGATATGGTGTTAGGTCCCCATAGAAGGGGGAGTCCCAAGGTAGTCCCTCAGCCCCCAGAGTCCCACCTCCTTGCCTGTGAGAGCTGAGGCCACCGCTGAGACTGCAATCCTTGCCACCCCGGACACTCACCAGGACTGGTCTGCCTCCTCCTTCCAACTGCCTCATCAGGGAAACCAGGGAACGAGGTAAAGTTGAGTCAGTACAGGGACCTACCGTTTGCAGAGCTCCCTCACATCCAAGATCTCCCTGGACCCTCATGACACCCCTGGGAAGTAAAGTGCACCCCTACGCTCCCGGTCAGCCTGATCCTGGACAAGTCTAGCACGTGAGCATTTCGTCTTCAGGGCCCCCTCCCCACCCTTACTCCCACCCAGGCTGTCCCTTGCTCTCCAGAGGGATGCATTTTGCCCATTGTTCAGGAAGTTTCTGTCATATGCCCCATCCTGTGCTAGGTCCTGGAGACACAGATGATTTAGACACATTCCTACCTTCAGAAAATAAGAATAAGGGAGGTATGATAGAGCTGTGGTGGGTGGAGGAGGTCCTGGAGGAGGTGACATTGAAGCCAGATAGTGAAGGATGAGTAAGAATTGGCCAGGCAGAAAGGAACACGAAGGGTATCCCATGCCAAAAGAAGAGCATGTGCAAAGACCTGGAAGTGGGAAATGGAGTGATGGGTGTTTTGGAGGGAAGAGAAGCTATAAATCCTTGATTTGAGGAGTTTCGACTTTGTTCTGGGGCAGCAGCAGAGCTGCCACTTGGCAAATCTAGGCAGCAGCCCCCACCCCCACCTTTCAGCCGTCACAGAGGTATGGCTAAGGGCTTCCCAAACCCAGCAGCTTTTGCCAGAGGCCACCCCCTCTTCTGTTTCTCCCCTCTAAGCCCAGACCCACTTCTGCACCCATATCTACAGCCAGACGCAGCACAGCCTCCCCCTGCTGTCCGGAGCTGGAAGTAGGAGAAGCCCAGGCTGCGCTGTGGCTGTGATGTGAGTCCAGGAAGGGCCAGGCTCCTGTACCCACCCATCATGAAGGTGCCCTGTGAAGACCCTAGACTTTGGTATCAGGCAGATCCAGTATCAGTTCCAGCCTCAGTGTCCTCCTTGGTACAATGGGAATAAAAATACATTGCCAGTAACATGACTGGCAAAGAATCCACGAGGGACGATGCTCAGGAATGGCTCAGCACACAGCGGGCATGCGGCAAATGGCCTTTTCTTCCCCGTGTCCGAGCTTGGCTTTGTGGCCCATCCCAAAGTCCCTGTTGTCTCCCCTCTCCCTCTTTCCCTGACCATTTTCCTTCTACCTCCCTACCAGACTTCCTGGGGGTCTCAAGGGAGATGAGCTCATGGCTGTTGCCTGCTCTGGCTCAGCACGCCTCCTGAGGAGTCTTCCCAGGGCTTCCAGGTGAGCCCTAGGGAAGCCACACAGAGACAAACAGCCTTTCCCCAGAGTCTCTGACATCCTTGCAGAGCAGCAATTTCAGCCTGCATCCCCATCCATTTCCCACCATCCAGTTCTCCCGCTTACTTCTGCTGTCTTGGAAGCCACACAGCCTTTGTGTCCGTGCTTGGGAATTTATGCCCAGCTATGCGGTGCAAACTCAAATAGGTGGCACACTTTCTCTGAGCCTTAACTCCCTCCCTAAGTATGGGAGCAAGCTGATATGCACCACAGGGATGACGAACCTGAGTCTATGTCATTTATTTTCCCCAGCAAGTCCAAGCCTAGGCCCTCTATCCAGGAGTTCTGCACAAAGGCAGTCATGTGCAGAGGCCTCTCTGGGGTCCCCTTGTGTCCTGCCCTTGTGCTGGTGGCCAGAGGCTGTTGCCACGTCTTCCTTCCAGCAGGCTTTACAGAGAGGCATGGCATGAATAATGACCAGGCCCACTCTACGGCCAGAGCAGTAGTAGCTGGGGGCCTGGGGCAGGGACCAGGAACAAGACCAGTTGGACAGCTAGCTCCAGGAGGTAGCTCCTCTACCAGGGGCTGGTGGCTGGCTGCTTTCCACCACAGAGGCTGGGTCAGTGCCCCAATAAATGCCTGCCCAGGGCCGCTCTGCTGTTTCCAGCCATCTTCATGGGCCAGTCATGGAGAACTTTGGCAGTGTTCCAGATCTAATCATCACACCAGGTCCAGCCGAGAGACTGAGAGTGGCCCACATGGAATTCGAGGAGGCAGTGGGCATTTCCCACCCACTTCCTCTGAAACCCCTGGTTTCCTAAGCCAGGCTGAAAAGCAGGTCACCAAGTGTTCAGAGAAATGCCCCACCCAGCTGGGCTGTCTCCTTGCTATCTCTAAACACATCCAATCTCCCCACCTCCACGTCTTTCCCCACCTGTCCCCATCACTTTTGGTTTCCACACGTCTCAAGTCCTTCCATCCCTAAGCAGCTGGCGTCAACCACCCCCTCCCCACCCCGATCTCCCTCTTTACTCTTGGCAGAGTGTGGCCAGGAGATTTTCATTCATTGGCTCACCCTCACACTAATCTTGGTGTTATCATTCCCATTTCAGAGAAGAAAAAAGCAAGGCTCAGGGAGAAGTTCCAGGATTTGAACTGAGAGCCAACATTCTTTATTCTTTCCATGAATATGCATTGTGGGCCTACTTCATGCCACACATTGCGCCAGGCATGGGGAATACGTGGTGGAGACCTCAGAGTCCAGATGAGACAGGGAGAAACCAAACCACCATGCAAACAAATGTAAAATGACAACTGGGACAAATGCTGTGACAAGGTCTGTGGGGACCTGGTCTAGTCTGGACTAGGGAGTCAGGAGAGGCTTCTTGCAGGATGTGACATTCAACGTAGCACCAGAAGGTGGAGTAGACAATGACCCAGAGAAGTGGGGACTCCAGAGAGAGGGAACAACGCTTTCAAAGTCCCCATGGTGAGAGGAAAGAGAAAAAGGCCATGTGGCCAGAGCATGAGGAGAGAGGATTAGAGATGGGGGTGCAGGTGGCATGGGTCAGGACAATAGGTTCTAGTGGGACCAGCAAGGAGTTGGGGTTTTAGCCTAGAGGCTCTGGGCTGGCCCTGGAGGTTCAAAGCAGAGGACAGTGCTGCCACTGTTCCTCCAACTGTCACCTCCCAGCCCACCACTCTGCACCCAGGGACCACTTCCACCCTCTTCTCTGATGCCCAGGCCCTGGCACAAGGTGAGACATCCTGGGGAGTCAGACTGGGCAGCTGAGTGGGCGGCCTCGTGAGGGAGCAGGAGGCCTTGGCCCCGCCTCTTGTCAGATGCTAGCTGGATGCCTCCAGGCAGCACTTGCCCCTCTGTGTCCCCCAGAACTATGAAGAATGGACTGATTGTCTTCTGCCGTCTCTGGTTGATCCTGTAACAAGGGAATGGAGAAGATACAGCATGACTCCAACCAGGCCAGATTCCAGGGCCTTGGCCCTGCAGTGAGCAGAGGGGCTGCCTGAGGCCTGCTGCTGGCCTATGCCTTCCCATCCCTCCTCCACCCTTGAGCCTGCCTCACCTGGCTCTTCCCAAGGAGTGCACTCCAGGAAGCTTTCTTCCTCTCTCCACCCCAGACCTCACCTGCACCCTCACCCATGTCTCCACTATCAGCCTGGCAACTGCATCAGATGACTGGGAGTCCCTGTTGGCCTGTCAGTGCTCAGCTGGACTGTTGAGCCTCTGGTTTTCCAGCTGTAGAAGGGTGTCATTCTGTACTCTTCCTGTCTCCCTGGACAGGAGAGGACGGTGTAAACTGGAATTCTTGTCATAACCATCAGCTACTCTGCCAGAGTGCTCCTTGCTGTCAAGCATCCTCCTGAGACCCTGAAGTCAGCACCACCGTGGGCCACAGACATACCAGCTGACCCCATAAAACCTTCCCTGGAAAGTTGTAGCCAGCTGCATCCCCCGAGTAGGACTGTGTCGCCGTCGTGGGCACCAGTGAGCAGAGACAAGATTATAGTGCCCATTAACAGCTGGAAAACTGAGGCTCCAGACAGAAGGGGCTGGCCCAGGCCACCACAGCAAGCCCTCCTACCTCACCCCATCCTAGACTGCCTGGGTGGGTCCAGGGAAGCAGGACTATGTGGGGTGCCATCTCCCATCCCCCAGTGTTCCCTCGCAGGTTCAGAAAGCAGCTGCTCCCTCCCAGGTGACACTGCACCTTGCCATCTGTGTGAGGGGCCTCTTCTCTTGTGTGAGTTGCAGTTTCTGCTTGGGAGGCTGCCTTACCTTGTTAAGGGCCCTGCCTAAAGAGGCAGGGGTGGCCCTGTAGGAGCTGTCCCCAGGTCAGCACAGGGCCTTGAGCTCATGGAGCAGGGGCCAGGCCCACTTGTTGAGAGGGCCGAGGTCAATCCACAGTCTGCCACATCAGCTTTTTCTATACTTAATCACACCTACCTGAAACGTGGGGAGTGCTTTGCTGTCCACAAGTCTAATTGTACGTGTCTTCTCAGGGAAGGCGCCCTACAGCCCAGGGAAGCAGGAACAGGGATTATCGGCATTGTACAGATAAAGAAACCAAGGTGCAGGGTTATGGCCATCTGGACGCTGGATCCCTGCAGTCCAGCGCAGTCACACAACAGGGCCTCAGGAAAGGGTGGTGCTGGAGGCAGCAGGGCAGCAGGAGCTGTGGGTGTCGGGGTTCTGGGCAGAGAGTGATCCTTGCCTGTTACTGAGAGATAGAGATAGGACTGGGCTTGCACTTTGGAAGGCCGAGGAGTGGGATGGGGATGGGTGGTGGGAATTTGGGGACCTGGGAGTATGCATAGTTTGGGGAACTGACTGGCCATGCAGTTCCCACTCACCACGGTGGGCCCTGTGCTGGGCCCATGGGGTCTATCCTTAGGGAACACACAGGCTGTGGGCAGACAGGCACATGGATAGCCATGCACACAGAGGAAGGCCAAGGTTCCAAGTTCTGGAGTGGGCACTGTGTTGGGGTGGGGGCTGGAGGCCAGCAGTGTCACAGAACTGAGAGTTAGGAGTCCATGGAGCCTGGACCTGAGGAAGGGATGGCCTGGCGACGCATCTATGCAGGCATCAGCGGAATCTGGCTCTCCCAGAGAGGCGAGAGGCGATGGTTCGCTGGGCTGGGGAAAAGGGCCTGGGGCATGGGGAGTACCCTGGGGGAGGAAGCATGACTAGGTCCATGTCCCTTCTGAGTCCTCAACTCCCACCAGCCCAGGCCTGGCCCGATGCAGGGGTTCAAGGAGTATGTGCTAGCCACATGGATGTGTTTGAATGCAAGAATGCAAGAAAGAAGAGCAGGGAGAGGGAGAGAGGGAGGGAGGAGGGACCAGCATGAGCACAGACAGAAGCCTATGAAAGTACCTCCACTGTTGGGGAAGGAACAGGATGGTGAGTGGGGTGGGGCTGGAGGGGACCCCCCAGGCCTTTTCAGCAGATTAACTGTTTCCTGGGAGCTGACCCCTGCCAGGCTTCACAACCTTGTTCCAGGGAACCCTCACCCGGACACCTGCTGTGAGCAGTCGTTGGATGCAGCTGCCCCTGGAAGGGCAGGAGTGCTGCAGCCTGAAGGGGCTCCTGGGCAGTGCCCTCCTCCCCTGCTGCTGGGTTGCCAGAGCTGATAGGCCCCAGGTGAGGACCCTCCCCCTGGCGAGGAGGCTGAAGAGAGAGCCTACTTGCCCAAGGCCTTACTCTTCTAGGGACAGCTGCATCCAATGACTGCTCCAAGCATGGGATAAAGGCTGCCCCTCTTGTCCCATCTCAGAAAACCCCTGCAGAGACAGCTCAGATCCAGAGCTCCTCACAGAGACTGCCTCGTAAAGGCGTCATGGCCCAACTCCCCCGGCCCCATCCTGCCTGCCTCCACGCGGATCTCCCTCACAGTCTGCTTCCTGGGGAACCAGCCTGTCCACACTGGCGTCCCCGTTTACCCATGAGGGAACTGAGGCACCAAAGTGTTAAGTGACATGCCCGTTGTGCCCAAGGTTGCCCAGCTGATAAGTGGCAGGTCAGGTCCCAGCTGGGGAAGGAGGAGACCAGGGCCCCAGGCTGGCTGGAGGTGGGTGGGAGAGGTCAGTCCCCAGGTAAGGCTGGCCCGGCCCACAGGCCAGCACTGGAACCCACAGGGACCTCTTCCATCTGCCCCCTCTCCCCATTCCACAGACAGAGAAACAAGTCAGAGAGAACAAGACTTGCCCAGGCTCATGACATCAGTTAATGATGGCCCCAGGAATATTCTCTAGAATATTCTCTCTGCCTCCCAGCCCAGCATAGTTGTTACCTTTGGACAAGAGTGATGTTCACTTTCTGCCTGCCCCCCTTTCCAAACTCTGCACTGGGTCTCAGGGTCATGCGTCTGGCTGGATTGACCCTTACCAAATTTCCCATGGCTGGAATGAGGTGCCTGAGGTTCCCCCAAGCCCTTCACAGAGACCCCTGCAGCTCCCTGAGCTGTCCAGCTCTGGCATGAGGATGGGATGTATTGGGCTGGGTGGGCAGGCAGGCATCTGACTGGCACAGCAGAGCAAACAGACGGGAAGGAAATCAATTTGAGTGTTTGATTAATTTTAATTTTTAATTTTCAGGGAGAGTAATGCACCCCATTTGACACCGCACACTCGCTGTGAGCTGCTGGCATTCACCATTGCTGCTACCACTGCAGCCTGGTGTGCCCAGTGGCTCCCTGCCCTTCTGTCAGGCGAGCCTGTCCCCTGCATGGCAGACTGGCCTTCTGCAAAGCTGGGAGAGAGGGTCCCCTTGCAGGGTCGTCCACCCCTTCCGCCTAGGAGAAAAGGGTCTACTAAGTTCCCTCTGTGTGAGATGAGTAGGGCCAAAAATGTGTTCCCTTGGGGAAGAGCCCAGTTGGACAATGTCTATTCTAAAGTCAGGGTGTGTGAATGGACTCTCAGACTTGGTGGCAGACCAGTTTAAGGGGCAAGGGAGACTCTAAGCACACCTCGTCCCGCAGGTACTGAGTAGTTGCCCAGCCTACCTACATTCATGGATGGCCCTATACTTAGAGTCAGGTCTGTCTTAAAACTGGAACAGTCCTAGCTCTGTGTCCTGCCACTTTGAGAGTCAAAGCTCTGCTGTCTCTTTGTTTATTTGGAACTTGACCATGCATGGGCTGGGGAAAGATGGCCTGACCTGGGAGAGACTAAGTCTCCCCCTCAACTCTGTGGCTTCTCTCCCACTGCCAGGGCCCAATCCCTGAGAGCAGTGTCCTATGAGGTTGACAGCAGAGGCCCTGGAATGAGGCAGGCCTGGCCAGAACTGTGGCCCTGCCACTTGTTAGCTGTGTGACCTTGGGGAAGTCACATGTTCTTGTTGAGTATAGCCTTCAGGGACCCTTCCAACTCTTCTCCTTCAGGACTCACCTTCTCTTGGTATCTTCAAAACGCGAGGGTCGATGGCCTCCTCCAGGAAGCCCTCCATGATGAAGCCTTTTTTCTCCACCTCTACTATTCCCAGCACTGAACATGAACTCTCTCTGGCCCCTCCTTGGCCCTCAGTAGTTTGACTTTGCACACCTCACCCTCTGCATGGGGTGTGTGCCAGAGACAGCATGGCCTTTAAAGCAGACATCCCTGGTTCAAATCCCAGCTCCGCTCTATGCTGGCTGCCTAGGCCCATCCCTTGAGCACCTCAAATGCAATGGATTCAAAACTGAACTTACCACCCCTCCCCAAGTCTACCCTTGCCCCTTTTTCATCTCAGTAAACGGCACCTGAGTTTACCAGTTTCTCAAGCCAGAGAGTTAGGAGCCATCTGAGACTCTCCCTCTCTCCTGCCTCATTTCCTGCATCCTATTCTGTCCCTGTCCTTGGCTACATACCCCCTGATGGGGCAGGCAGAGGGGAGGATGGGGATTCCCTACTGCCTTGCATGGCAGGGCTGGGAGAACACTCAGAGAACACCCAGTTCTCCCCTCCCGTTTTATAGATGAGGACACTGAGGCTCAAAGAGGGTCAATACCTGCCCTGGGTCTGATGGTGAATTGTTCATAGCAGAGCTGGACTGAGAAGCCAGGTCTCCTGTGCAACCTAGGTGGGCATCTTGGTCAAGGCCAGGCCCTGTGACAGTGGCAGAAAGAGACCAGATTTCCTGAAGCCCTGGCCTACTTCCCCCTACACCCCAGGCCCAGAGAGTTTGCAGGGGAGGAGCGAGGGAGTGGGGTTGTGCTCAAGTTCCTGGGCAGAGTGAATGATCTACCAGTGAGAGTTCATGAAACCAGACATCACAGTATCCAGAACCACATCATCATGGGTGATTCTGCAGCCCAGCTCCTGGGAGTCCTGCTTGAATCTGGCCGCAGGAGCAAGCGAGGAGAAGCCTCAGTCATGGAGCCAGTGGCCATCCTCTGTGTCCCCCCACCCAACTCTCACAGTACCTGAAATTCCACTGCTGCGTCTGGCCCAAGTGCAAATTAATACATTCTCTGACCAATGGAAGAGCTGGTACAAGGGTGGGAGAGAGGGCACGAAGAGGAGTCAGCCAGGCTGAGGGTCCCATGGGGCATCCAGGATGACAGGGCTTAGTCCCCTTTATTTTTTTATTTTTATTTTTATTTTTTTTTGAGACAGAGTCTCACTTTGTTGCTCAGGCTGGAGTGCAGTGGCACAATCTCAGCTCACTGCAACCTCCACCTCCCGGGTTCAAGCAATTCTCCTGCCTCAGCCTCCCAAGTAGCTGGGATTACAGGCGCCCACCACCATGCCCAGCTATTTTTTTGTATTTTTAGTAGAGACAGTTTTCACCATGTTGGCCAGGCTGGTTTCGAACTCCTGACCTCAAGTGATCCACCCACCTCGGCCTCCCAAAGTGCTAGGATTACAGGCATGAGCCACCACACCCGGCCTAGTCCCCTTTATTGAGCACCTTCTGTATGCTGGGCACGATGCCAAGTCCTTTGTAAGCTTTAGCTCAATTCTTCTTCCCTGTAGCTCCAAGGTTTCCCACCATGAGGCCCAAGCATCACCCAAACTTTCTGGGTCTCACTGTCCGCCCCTGTAAGATAAAAGTATAATCATATCTGACTGACTCACCTGGTATCCACAAAATTTTTTTAAGAAAATTTAAGAAATGAAATTAATAATAATAACCACTTCTAGAGGCTGCTGGATGATTAAACAAGCACATGTGTGTAAAGTGCTTCCTACAATGCTGGACACAAAGTAGATGCTAATTAAATGCTGATTATAAATGAACTAGCTCATGTGGTAAGGCCCACAACTTGCTCAGTTCATGCTTGTCAAATCTGAGCTGTTAGTAAGGTAAATGCTTTGCCACTTTCTCCTGGAATGGGGCAGAGCTGGGCGTAAAGAGGGGTGTCTGGCCAGGGCTAGGGCACAAAGGAGTTGTCCAGAAATCCAGAGCACTGACACTAAGACAAGGCAGAGAGGAGTGAGGTCACAGGAAATGAGCCACAATAGACCAGCCCCCGATCTTGTCTTCTAAAAGCCTCTCTCCCTGAGGTTTGAGTCTGGGTGGGCCAGATCCAAAGCCTCCAAGTTCTCTGGTGCTTCCAAGCCTGGAAGTCAAGAAGAAGGAAGGAGAGCCTCACCCACTGGGAGGGAGAGGGGAGTGGCAGAGACCCAAAGTGAGACAGAGACGTCAGGATAACAACCACGTGACAGCCACCACTACGAAGCACTTACAGCATGCACATGTGCTCAGCCTGCACTACGTTTTCTCATTGTAATCCTCTAAACAACCACATCAAGGATACTGTTAGACCCATACACAGATGAGACTCCAGGAGGCTAATTATGACTCACCAAGGTCATGGCCTGTAAACCTCAGAGCCAAGATTTAAGCCTGGATCTTTCTGGCTCTAAAGACCATTCTTGGAACCACTATGAAAAAGAAGAAAGAACGGGGAAGTTGGTGCCAAGGTCCAGCATCTCAAGGTCCCAGACTCCCCGGCCCAGGGCAGTGGGGCCTCCAATCTCCCAAACTAATACTTCCTTAGACAGCCTTGCAGACACTCCAGTGGCTTACGAGCCCAAGGAATATCTGCCTATTCCGAGCCTTTGACCCTGGAGGTAAGACCAGGGGTACCATGGGAAAAACCTGGCCATGCATCAGAGCTGAGGCAGAATGCTTGGGGTTAAAAATAACATTTTTACAGCAATAAGTCCATGCCAACCACTGCTCTAAGTTTTATATATATATATATGTTTAATTCTCACAATAACATGTAGAAGTGAGTATCATCCCCATTTTATAAATGAGGAAACTGAGGCATACAGTGCTTAATGCACCCAAAGTCTCACAGCCTGAGTGGCAGAGTCCAGGTTTAATTTCAGGCAGTGAGGTTGCAGAGGCTGTGACTATAATCATTCAACATCCTGCCTATAAAAACAACCAAGGGCTGCTCTCAAGCCCAGAGCTATGCAGGATGGTGTTGGGGATAAGATTTGACTTACAGCTACTACTTGCTCACAATTTTTAGAATGCAGAAAATAAGACACCTGTGTCTTTGCAGACTTGGCACAGAGCAGCAAGCTGGGCTGCTCCTGCTCTTGCCTTTGCTTGGGGAGATATAGCCCCAGGCAGCGAGGCTGACCCACTGAATGACTTGGGCAAGTCATGTTCCTTCAGGGCCCAGCACCCCCTCCCTTTTTTTTGATACAGAGTTTCATTCTTGTTGCCCAGGCTGGAGTACAATGGCTCAATCTCAGCTTATGGCAACTTCTGCCTCCCAGGTTCAAGTGATTCTCCTGCCTCAGCCTCCCAAGTAGCTGGGATTACAGGCATGTGCCACCACGCCCAGCTAGTTTTGTATTTTTAGCAGAGATGGGGTTTCTCCATGTTGGTCAGGCTGGTCTCAAACTCCTGACCTCAGGTGATCCACCTGCCTCCATCTCCCAAAGTGCTGGGATTACAGGTGTGAGCCACCTTGCCCGGCAGCACCAGCCAGTTCTAAAAAACCAGCCTCCTCATTCCACCCACCTCCTGGAGTCTGAGGCACTCTTCAGGGTTCTGAAATACCTCTCCTGGCTGTAGGCCAGTGGTCTGGAGACCCCAAAGCTGACCTGGTTCTCTAAACACGTTCTTTAAATCCAGGCAGGAAAATCGACATTTTGGACATGGACTGTTACTCTAAACACACAGGGGGAGCTGTTTCTTAGATCCCCCCACCCCGGCAAGAAGGGTCACTTTGCGAAGTTCATAAATCAGTGCACCTCTCTCTCCTCCCTGTGGATGGCTCCATTGGCATCTGAATTTCCATGTGATGAAGGTGCCTTAATGAGATGGGCTGTTCTGTAACCGCAGAATTGGGGTGAGTGCAGCAGGAGGTGTTTAGCACGGGGCTGAGTAAATGTCATCAGCTATTGTCGTCACTACCACTATTGTCATCTGCCCTGGGCAGCCCCCTCTTCTGGGACAGCAACCACACCCTGTTGTGCACCCCCAACTTGCAGCTCCAGAAAGCACACCCAGGAAGAAGGCAGTGGTCTTCATCGCTATCTTAGAAAGGCGGCCAGATGGCAGTGTTCTGGGAAAAGGGGAGGAAGCTCTCCCTTTAGAGGCTGCCAGCTGGGACACAGGACCTCATTAATCAGTCTCCATTGCAGAGTAAACATGCTGGCTCCACCACTGGATTCAAGGGCCTTCAACTCCTTTCGGAGATCCCCTTTGTGCTAAAGCCCCCTGCCTTGGGGGACCTGGAATATCCTTGTCCCTCTTGTGCTTTCAAACTAAAACTAGGTAAAGGTCTAGAGAGGCTGTACTGTGAGGTCCTGGAGGGGCAGCCCCATGAGGTAGCTCCATGACAAACTGACTATGAGGCCAGCTGTTTCCTCCACACTCCACTTCTCTGGGCCCCCAGGCTCCCCATCCCAGTTGGAAACCAGGCAGCCACATTCTAGCTGTTGAAGAAGGCAGGGGCCCTCCCCATTTAAGAAAGGGGCCCAGCTCATGGGGAAGGGGCTATGCACCCACAACAAAGGTGGGGGGTAGGGAGAGAGGAGAAACTATGCCTCTTCTCTTTGCTTCCTCACCCCCACATTCTCCCAGCTACCCCAGCTCAGAAGGGGCAAGGCCCAGGGAAAATGCCCCTCACTCTTGTCGTCATATCTAGCCCCAGCCAGCTGGGACACAGGACCTCGTTAATCAGTCTCCATTGCACAGTAACTATGCTGGCTCCACCACTGGATCTGGGGACCTTCAACTCCTCCTTTCAGAAACAGAGTACCAACGGTGTTCCTGACCTGTACCAGGCCATTCTCTTACACACTTTTGATCCCATTTGATCTTTATGATAGCATGTGGAAGTAGAGATTTTACAAATGAGGAAACAGGCTCAGAGAGGTCAAGGCATTTTCCCAAGGTCACACAGCTGAGAAGGGGTGAATCTGGAAACTCCAGTCTGCCCTTTTGTAGCCTGATGAGAGCAGCTGTGCCAGCCCTGCCCCAAATGGTTGAGCCCACAAGGTGGCCACAGCATCTCTGCCTGAAACCTACATTGAGGGGTCAAGGGGAAAAGGAATGCCTGGCCTGGCACTGCTTACACCTGCTCTGGGAGAACCTGTCCGTCTGGCTCCCTGGGCCTTCAGAGAAAATGCCGTGTGGGTAATGGTCAAGGTGCTAGATTTTCCTGGAGAGGAAAAGCAGTCACCCCCCAAGGCACAACTTCTTCCTTGCTCCCTGCTTGGCAGGGAGTCGGGCACCCAGCACACTGCCAGGGCTGAGAGTGGGAAACAGAGAGGGAGTGGGCATTGAGGGGTCCAGGAGGCAGCTGTGCCCTCCTTCCCACCCACTTGACCACAGGCCACTCACTTGACTGGGCCACTGAAAAAGATTCATCAGAAAATGTTAATATGTTCTAAAAGGGTCAGGGGTCACAAGTGTCACCCATCCCCCAGGAGTTAGGCAGTTAAGAGGAAGTGGGCCCACTGAGGGGGTTAGGGAAGTGCCACCCCACATGGGCACACAGTCTCAGGACTGCCAGGCCTCCCGATTTTTCAAGAGAAGCCAAAATTCAGACTTTGTGCAGAAAATGCCCATTTTTTAAAGGTTGGCCACTAATTCGATTTTTTTAAAGTACCATGTGGGCCAAACATCTTGCTTCTGCCCTTAGATGTTCCCATTGACCCAGGCTCAGTGGATATCAGCACAGTGTAAGCCCTTTGCTCACACAGGGCTCCCCACCATGGACACCCTCCCCTTCTTTCTGAATCTTCCCATGTCACTTCTTGGGTCCTCTCCATCCCCAACCTCCGGAGCCATAGAGGGGTGCCTGGACCCAGGCCCAGCACTTCCCAGTTCCCAGAGCCCCTTTGCTGTGGTTTGAGTATTTCTGTCAACTCCAAAATTTATGCTGAAACTTAATTCCCAGTGCTACAATATTGAAAGGTGGAACCTTTAGGGAGGTGGTTAAGTCATGAGTACTCTGCCCTCATGAATGGATTAGGGCCTTTAAAAAGGACTTGTGGCTGTCTGGGCCCAGTGGCTCATGCCTGTAATCCCAGCACTTTGGGAGGCCAAGGCAGGTGGATCACCTGAGGTCAGGAGTTCGAGACCAGCCTGGTCAACATAGTTAAACCCTGTCTCTACTAAAAATACAAAAAATTAGCTGGACATGGTGGCACACACCTGTAATTCCAGCTACTTGGGAGGCTGAGGCAGGAGAATTGCCTGAACCTGGAAGGCAGAGGTTGCAGTGAGCCCACATGGCGCCACTACACTCCAGCCGAGGCAACAGAGCGAGATTCAGTCTCAAAAGAACAAAAAAAGTGGGGGCTTGTGGTATTTGTGGGCGTGGGATCACCCTCTTTTACTCCTCTACCATGAAAAGAAATCACATTCCTCCCATCAGAGGATGCAGCCTTCAAGGCGCCACCTTGGAAGCACAGAGCAGCCCTCACCAGACAGCAAAACTGCCAGCACCTTGATCTTGGACTTCCCAGCCTCCAGAGCTGTAAGAAATGAGTTTCTGTTCTTTATAAATCACCCAGTCTCAGGCATTTGGTTAGTGTGGCACAAACGGAATAAGACATCCTTTCCATACACTCGCATCTGAGCCTCAGGCATCATGGTCCCCTTCTAAAGATGTAGAAACTGAGGCTCAGAAGGGACAGAGTCTTAAGTGGGTGGGCCCTGACCTCAGCCCAGGCCTCCTTCTGCTGCCCCAAGTCAGTGAGCTGATCCCTCCTGCAGCCCAGGGAACACAGGCAAGCCCTTTCCTCCTGTGCTCCACCAGACTGAATTGGCCTGAGCACAGATGAGGACACCAGGCTGTTGTGAAGAGCAAGACACCAGGATTCTGGGGGCAGAGGAAGCACTGATTTTACTCAACTCTCCATCCTCAGTAGGCCTTTAAAAAATTTTTTTTTTTTTGCAACAGGGTCTCATTCTCTTACCCAGGCTGGAGTGTAGTGGTGCGACCATGGCTCACTACAGCTTCCACGTCACAGACCCAAGCGATCCTCCCACCTCAGCCTCCTGAATAGCTGGGACTACAGGTGTATGCCATCACTCCCAGATAATTCATTTATTTCTTTTTTGAGACAGCATCTCGCTCTGTTATCCAGGCTGGAGTACAGTGGTGCAATCTTGGCTCACTGCAACCTCTGCCTCCCAGGTTCAAGCAATTCTCCTGCCTCAGCCTCCTGAGTGGCTGGGACTACAGCTGCGTGCCACCATGCCCAGCTTTTATACTTTTAGTAGAGATGGGGTTTCACCATGTTGGCCAGGCTGGTCTCAAACTCCTGACCTGAAGTGGTTTGCCCACCTCAGCCTCCCAAAGTATTACAGGCGTGAGTCACTGCGCCCAGCCTTAATTCATTTGTTTTTTATAGAGACAGGGTCACTATGCTGCCAGGGCTGCAAGTGAACACTTTTGATTGACATTCTGTGGTGGAGCAGGGCCCCAGTCCCCAGAAAGGGCCAAACTAGGCTGTAGGTAGGCTGCTAGTGGCTTTGGTAGTGGGAATGGATGATGGACTAGTTGGATTTTTCTCCATTTGGAGGTGATGCTGGCTCTGTTATGTGCAGTCTCATTGATTTTTTAATCAAGAAATTGCTCCATTGGTGGGGTAGGCAGGGATGGGAATTAGGCTCAGGGGCCTAGGCTCACAGAGAGCTGGGGCTCAGGACCCAAAACAAGGCTCGTCATGGGAGACTGGAGAGGTGAGGAAATCCACAAGCCTAAGACATGAAAGAACCGATGTCCTTTCTCTGTGTTTTACACATACGCACACACGTGCCCAAGGCATGTATGGAAACACCAGCACATGCACACACATGCGTAAACAGGCAGATATACACACAAACACACTCATAAGCCTCCAAGCCTTTGCTCACACAGGGCTCCCCACCTGGGACGCCCTCCCCTTCTTTCTGAATCTTCCCATGTCACTTCTTGGGTCTTCTCCATCCCCAACCTCTGGAGCCATAGAAGTGTGCCTAGACCCAGGCTCACACTTGGGGTAATACCCATACCTAACCCTCTACAGGAGTTCTGGGTGTCAGTGGGGTGAGGGCTGGGGGAAAGGGTCCTGAAGCAGGTTCAAGCCCAGGGCCCAGGACAGTCCCAGGACTGACAGCGGGGCAGGGAGGCATCCTGAAGCTGCCAGGATGGGAGTGCTGAGCCTGCTGGCAGGGGTCTGATGAGGCCCCTCTGTAAGGAGAAAAGAACAGCCCAGGCTGGGCCAGGAAGGGCCTGAAAACGCCTCCTTCAGTGCCCTCTCCTGGAAGCCCTCCAGGACTGCCAGCTGCTCTCTCCTTTCCCTGAATTCCTCAGCCCCGACTATTGGCAGAACCCGCTGGATACTATGCTCAGGGAATTTTAAATCCATCTTCCTGGAGCCCCCAACCTTTGGGATCAGCTCAGACCCAGGATTGGACTTATAAAATCCAAGCCCCTCAGCAGTGAGGAGGCAGCCTCCTGCACCTAGCAACGGAGAAACCAGACCAAATATGATTGGTCACTTCTCTCTCATGGGAGGGAATGCATGAGCTGATTGGCTGGTGATGCTTATAAAAGGGAGAAGCCAGTGGGCTCAAAGAAGCAAACCCATGCTAAGAGAGATGGTCGGGCTTGGCTGTCTTCAAAGAGGACAGTCCCAGCTCAGAAGTCCTCCGTCACCCAGGCAGGCCAGAGCAGAGAACTATCCAGTGGAGGGGTCCCGTTTCAGCCACACTCCCAGCAGATTTCAACCTTGGTATTCCCAGGAAGGTGGGCCCAAACTCTCAGTCTGCTCATGGGGGAGAACTATTTGCAATGAAGTGAAAGGTTCTGGCACTCGGAGGGTTAAGCCTAGATTAACCAGAACCAACCTATCCACGTTCCCCAGAGGGCCCCAGCACCCATAGGCGAGGGTGTGTTTCTGGAAGGTAGGCAGGGGTCCAGCCACATCTGGGAGAAGCCAAGAGCTTCCAAGCTGGAGGGGCTTTGGGGATGATGTAGCCCAGTTGCTACTACACATATCAGGAAACGGTGGCCCAGAGAAAGGGAGGCAGGGGAGAATTTGTCCTTGGTCACTCAGGTACTTACAAGCAGATGGGACTGGGACCCAACTGGTCTGTCCAGGGCTCTTTCCCCTGCACCACTCAAGCCTGCAGATCCTGTGTTGGGCCCGGCTCTTGTTTACCTTCCTGCCTTTGCATATACGCCTGGGATGCCTTTCCCTCCACCTCCACCAGGTAAGCCCCCACCCACTCTTCAATTTTCAACCCCAGGATCACCTTGTCTAGGAAGCCCTCTCAGGTGCCCTCTTTGTTCATCTTTGTGCTCCCGAGGCCTCCTGCACACCCAGCTCTGGTCACACTGGACTCTCACTGTGTGTTTACATGTCTGTCTCCCCACAAGGCTGTGACCCCTCGAGAACAGGGTCCGTCTGCTCCGTCCTCATGTCTCCGCCAGCCTGGTCAGGTCCAGGGCACAGCTAAAGGCTGATAAGTAAATGTCTCTTCAGTAGAGGAATGACAGACTTTGGTATTTTAATCTCACAGTTTTCTTCCAACGTGATTCCCGTTTTCTGTGTGCCCAGCCCTGTGCTTGGTCAGAGAAAGAGGGGGAAGAGCAGAGGTCCAAGCCCCACTCTCAAGAGCTCCCAGTCCGGATCAGGGCAGATGTGTTCAGTCAAGGGTCCAGGCATCGTGAGCTTGGGGTTATTACTTAGAGACCTGGGTGCCAGGAGTGGGAGCACTAGACGCGGCTGAAACTGGTTTTGCCCTGGCCTGGGTGCGCATGCAGCAGGCAGATCCTAGGAGGGGGCTGTCTGCTTCCCTAGGTCTTCCGGGCCCATTGTAAAGCTGTGAGACCACTGCTCTGAAGAGCTCTCAGGCCCCATTGCACAGCTCCAGGGGGCATTTCCTATGTGAGCAGCACAGCCCTGGAACTCTGCTTCATAGACTACAGTGTGAGTGACACCCACCCCCGCCCCCCCAACCCCCTCAGAGCTATGTGATGCGGTGGCCCTTGGGGGCTCAGGGCACATGAGCTGATGGTGGGCCCCAGTGGGAGTCCCTAGCCTCACCTCTGCAGCATCCCTGTTGGTGGCCGCGGATGAGGGCTGATGACAGACTTCCAGCTGAGACGCCCCCGCCCAGGACGGTCTGGGTGCTCCCAGCTCTGTGTCTCTTCCCAGCCCCTGCTCTCAGCCTCCCACCTCAGGCTTCATCCTGCCAGAGTGGAGGTGGCCAGTGGCCCTCTAGCTGAACGGGCCCCTGGATGGCAGCCACGCAGTGGTTAACCACAAGATGTCTAGCTACTGCAAGGCCGTATTTACATTTTCCAATATCAGGCCAAGAAATGGCTAATGTAGCAAAAAACGGTTACTCCATGTAATAGTGGCACCACCAAGCCATTGTGTGCCAGTCACCATACATCATTCCTAACTCGCACATAAATTCTGGGGAAAATGTGTTATTAGTCCCATGTCGCATATGAGAAAACTAAGGTTCAAAGAGGCTCGGGCCACACTGTGTCATGGCAGAGCTAGGACTGAAAGGTGTCCTGCCTGACATCAGAACTTTCCACCTGTCCCCTTCTACCCCCACCCGCAATCACCCTCTGGCCTCAGGGACTGTAAAGGCAGCAATGGATTGGGTCTGAAGTAGCTTTGGCCAGTGTGAGCAGAGAGCACTGTACAGTAAGGGGCCCCTACTCAAGGCTGTGGACTACCCTCTCCTGCAGCGGACAAGAGCCGTCTTCTGTGTACTGCATGTCAGTGTGGTTGCGTGTACATGTGGCAGTGTGTACATGCAGTTGTGCATACATGTAGCTGTGTGTACATGTGGCTGCATGTGCATGTGGCTCTGTCTACATGTGCCACATGAAACAGTTATGTGCCCTGGTCCCAAAAACACCAGCATCAATTTCACTCATTCACACAGGCACTAAGAGCAGGGAGCCTGGGAGTCACACTGCCTAGGATCATGTCCCAACTTTGCCACTTATCTGTGATCTTGGGTGAGTTACTTAATCTCTCTGTGCCTCTGAGTCTTCATCTATACACTGGGGATAATAATAGCTTCTAAGTGGAAAATCTGCAAAGGTCTCTTGAATGGCCAAGATGTCTGTGGAAACTCATAGGATGTGGGCAAACAAGGCATTGAATCCTTCCTCACAGAGTTAAATGAGTTTCTATCCAGGACCTGTGCCTGGTAAGTGCTATACGGGTGTTAGCCACTGTATTTTTCAGCAAAGGCTTATTGAACACCTACTGTGTGCCAGGGAGCATGATAGGGGCTGGTCTACAATGCTAATCAAATTGACAGGCAACAATCCCCGCCTTCAAGGGGATCACAGTCTTTTGAGGCTCCTCAAAGCAGTCTCCTTCCTTCATCCACAAACATGCACTGACGGAGGAGACAGGTGATGACTGAGGCCAACCCATCTGGGAGGATGGAGGAGGGAAGAGGTGATGTCGGGACTTCACCCTCTCTAGTTTTCCTCCTGTCCTCCTGGCCGCACCTTCTCAAACTGCCCTTGGGCTCCCTGTCCTCTGCCAGCCCCAGTCCTGTGGGGTGCCCAGGACTCTGTGCTCCGGCTCTTCTCCCTTCCTGCCCACCCGCACGAGCCCGCCCACCTTCTCCCATCTCCACACAGATGGCCCCTACATCTCTGTTCCAACCTGGCACCCCCAGCCACTCAGTCACCCAAGCCAGTAGCCTGGGAGTCCCCTGTATCCACCCCCATGCCCACCCCACCCAACCACTCCCTAAGTGCTATCCACTCTACCTCTGGCACCGCTCTTGAATCCACCCATTTCTCTCCAACCCCACTAGGCCCCTGCTCCAGTCCATCTGTAGTAGGTGCTGTTGATGCCTCACCCAGACTCCGTTTTCAAGCCAGGACATTTGTCTACTAGCTGCGGGTGGTGTTGGCTGTTAACAACTCACAGCTGTGCCCTTCTAGGGAGCAGTGCCCTCAGCCAGTGGAGACCAAACTTTGGTCATCAGGAAATGCCTGGGGGGGGGGTGCCTACTCTTCCCCAGGTGCAACCCACGGTCAGCAGGCAGATCCAGGAACAAAAGCCGCCCCTCGTGCCCTGACAACTCTGCAGTGCAGTGCAAGCACCAGAGCTCCCCAGGGGATTGGGTCCAGACCAGACTTTGGCTGAACCAGTTCCTCACCTTGGTTCTGCTCCTGTCCCACCCTGCTCCCCTCACCCCTCATGTGTGTCACTGAAAGCACTCAGATCCCTTTCCAGGCTCTGCCTTCCAGGAACCCAACCTAAGACTCCATCGCCCATGTAGGGCCAGTCACAGTGACATCTCCAGGCCCTGGGAGGCAACCCAGAGGACAGGTGGGGCCACTGGGGCCTGGGGAGGCGAATGCCAGGATGCTGAGCCCCCAGCCACCTTGCCCCCAGGCTACCCTGAAGGAACCAGCCAAAGCCTACCTGGTCTCCCTGACGCTGTGATTAAGTTTTGTGCCAGACAACGGGGAGCTGGAGCTTTCCCTCCTCCCTTTTTCTCTTTCCCTTTCTCTTCTTTTCAAAGGCTGAGCCCAAGTTAATCAGATAAATTCCTCAGCAGTCGCACCAACAATTTTTCTAAGGTTCAGTCTCCCCAGAGCGACTCATAATTACTCCAGACTGAGACATTAAAGCAAAGGGGAAAGAAGAGTGGGAAAAAAAGATGTTTTTAATTAAAAAATTAATTTTTCCAACACTGACGGCTGCCCAGCTGTGGCACTTCCCCACTCAGGAGACCATCCCCTCTATCCATCTCTTCCTCATCAAACCTCAAGGTTGGGGGGTGGGCCTGGGAAAAGCAGCCCCCTCCCTGAACAAAGTCACCTCCCCCTCCAGCGGAAGCCTCTCTGTCTCCCCTCCCTCACCTGCAAAGTAAGTGGTAGGACTGCAGGATTCTACATGGGAACCGCAGACAGAGGACACAGGCTTTGGCGTTGGGCAGATATGGGTTCCAGCTCTGTCACTGAGGATGCATGTGGCTTGCCTAAGTCCCCTCACACTTCTCTACTCAAGTGAGGTCCTCAGGCCAGCGGTGTCGACATCACCTGGGGGCCTGTTAGAAATGCAATTTGGACCCCATCCCAAATCAGCTGAATCAGAATCTGTGTTTGAATAGGATTCCCCGTGACTCATACCCACAGAACGTTTCAAGAAGCACTGCTTTGGTCAATCCGAGCTTCAGCCACCTGGAAAGTGGCTTAGTTTGCAAAGATTACGAAGTTGTGCAAGAAAACAGTTTAACAATCTGTAAAGCAGGAATCTTAAAAAAATATTCACGAGTTGTTAACCTGGGCCATTCCAGTGCCTGGAATCAAACCTCATATCTGGTTCAGGAGCTTGACCCCATGAGCCAGAAGCTTTCCTGCTCTCTTGAATACTTTGCTCCCTGTATCTGGGGCCCAGCCAGAAGTTTCCTAAAGGAACCAAAGAGTTTGCAATGCAGGAAATCTTGACTGGAGAAAATAGCCGCCCACTGTCTGAAGCACTGACCATTGTCCAGGTGCCTCCCCTGCTCACTGCGTGCTGGGGCTGCTGGTGGGGTTAGGGCTGCTGTGGGTGAGGGGAGCTCACACTCCAATGCCATGAGGATGGACCTGTCCACACTAGACAGATATCAACAGCCACAGGCTCCCATTCTTACCTTGCCATTCCTTTCTGGGGTCTTTCCTAAGGACACAATCCGTAATATGGACAAGTTTCACACCAAGAAGATTCATCAGGTTACCTTAAATAGGGAGTAAATATAAATAACACTGAGGGCAAGGCTAAGTGATTGTTAGTAAGGACGTTTCAAATGATATTAAAGACTTTGTAATGACAAGAGAACATGTTTATGATGTAATATGGGATACAGAACAGCTATACACTCATCTATGTTAAAAAAAAAAAAGTGTATGTACAAACACATCCTTATGCTGAAGCCCTAACTCTCAATGTGATGGTATTAAGAGATAGGACATTTGTGAGGTAATTAGGTGTAGATTAGGTCATAAGTGTGGGACCCTCATGATGGAATTAGTGCCCTTATAAGAAGACAAAGAGATATCTCCCTCTTCCTGTACATGGTTGCTCCGAGGAATGACCACGTGAGCATGCAGTGAGAAGGTGGCTGCTTACAGCCAGAAAGAGAGCCCCCATCAGACACCAAATCTGCCAGCACCTAGATCGTGGACTTTGCAGCCTCTAGAACTGTAAGAAATAATTGTCTGTTGTTTAAGCCACCCAGTCTTTGGAATTTTGTTATAGCAGCCCAATCAGACAGTAGTATATTTTAAAAGAGGTAAAACCAAGATAACAAAGAAAAAATCCAAAAATGGATTTAAGGCATGGTTTTGTACTGGAGACTTCAGAGGACTAAGGGAACAACTGCAAAACCAATAGTTACAGGGACAAGAAGAGAAAGAGAAACTCTCCCTCAAGATGACTGTGCAGAGTAAAATTTTAAAACACATGAAGAAGATTGATGCCAAAGCAAAATCAACAGTTAGGAGGCTTATTGATTGCAGAAAAAGTAAACAATAGGGAAATATTTAAATGACTCAATAGAAGCCTATTTGGACCCCTTAAAAAACTAAAGGAAGGCTGGTCATTGTGGCTCACGCCTGTAATCCCAGCATTTTGGGAGGTTGAGGCAGGTGGATCACCTGACATCAGGAGTTCAAGACCAGCCTGACCAAAATGGTGAAACCCCATCTCTACTAAATACAAAAAATTAGCTGGGCATGGTGGTGCATACCTGTAATCCCAGCTACTTGGGAGGCTGAGGCAGGAGAATTGCTTGAACCCGGGAGGTGGAGGTTACAGTGAGCCAAGGCTGTGCCATTGCACTCCAGCCTGGGCAACAAGAGTGAAACTCCATCTCAAAAAAAAAAAAAAAAACTGAAGGAAGCCAGGCACTGTGGAGCATGCTGGTAATCCCAGCCAGTCAGGAGGCTCAGGTGGGAGGATCACTTGGGCCCAGGAGTTTCAGTCCAGCCTGGGCAATGTAATTAAACCTTGTTCTTTAAAAAAAAAAAAAAGACTCAATAATTGGACAAATTTTAGACTAGACCTGTCCAAAGGAAAGTATAGTGAATTATAAGCTTATATTAAGAAATTTACACTCACGCCTGTAATCCCAGCCTCACACCTGTAATCCCAGCACTTTGGGAGGCCAAGGTGGGCGGATCATGAGGTCAGGAGATTGAGACCATCCTGGCTAATGCAGTGAAACCCCATCTCTACTAAAAATACAAAAAATTAGCCAGGCATGGTAGCGGGTGCCTGTAGTCCCAGCTACTCGGGAGGCTGAGGCAGGAGAATAGCGTGAACCCTGGAGGCAGAGCTTGTAGTGAGCTGAGATTGCGGCACTGCACTCCAGCCTGGGTGACAGAGTAAGACTCCATCTCAAAAAAAAAAAAAAAAAAGAAAAAGAAAAAAAGAAATTTACTCAGAAAATAGTATAAAAAGATAAAGAGATGAAAAATATGGAAGCTTCATTAAAAAGAACAAAATCTAATAGGAGTTCGAGGAGAAGAGAACCAAGGGATGAAAAAGAAGCAATAGTCGAAGACATAAAAACAGATCATTTCCCAGGATTAAAGAGAAAGATAAGTTCTCAGCTTGAAAGGAAAGTAAACATTGAGTGACTGTGCATCATAAACACAGCCAAGCCACTACGTGAACAGATGGTGGTACACTGAAGAATATAACAGACAGAGACAAAAACTTAAAGGCGACCAAACAGAAAAGACCATTCATTCACCAAAGAATGACAATATGGTTTGGATCTGTGTCCCCAACGAAATCTCACATCAATTTTTGTTTTTTTTTGTTTTTTTTTTTTGTTTGTTTGTTTTGTTTTTGTTTTTGAGACAGAGTTTCACACTCTTGTTGCCCAGGCTGGAGTGCAATGGCGCGATCTCAGCTCACCACAACTTCCGCTTTCCGGGTTCAAGTGAGTCTCCTGCCTCAGCCTCCCGAGTAGTTGGGATTACAGGCATGTGCCACCATGCCCAGCTAATTTTTGTATTTTTATTAGGGATGGGGTTTCTCCACGTTGGTCAGGCTGGTCTCAAACTCCTGACCTCAGGTGATCCACACACCTTGGCCTCCCAAAGTGCTCGGATTATAGGCGTAAGCCACCGCGCCTGGCCTCATGTCAAATTATAATCCCCACTGTTGGAGAAGAGGCCTGGTGGGAGGTGATTGGATCATGGGGGCGGACATCCTCCTTGCTCTTCTAGTGATAGTGAGTTTTCATGATATCTGGTTGTTTAAAAGTGTATAGCAGCTCCCCTTCTCTCTCTTCCTCTGCTCTGGCCATGTAAGACATGCCTCCTTCCTCTTTGCCTTCTGTTGATTGTAGGTTTCCTGAGGCCTGCCAGGCTATGCTTCCTGTACAGCCTGCAGAACCATGAGCCAATTAAACCTCTTTTATTTATAAATTATGCAGTCTCTAGTCGTTCTTTACAGCAATTCAAGAAATGAGTAATGCAGAAAATTGGTACTGGGAAGTGGAGCATTGCTGTAAAGACACCTGAAAATGTGGAAGCGAATTTGAAACTGGGTAATGGGCAGAGGCTGGAACAGTTTGGAGAGTTTAGAAGAAGAAAGAAAGATTAGGGAAAGTTTGGGACTTCCTAGAGACTTGTTAAATTGCATGACCAAAATACTAATAGTGATATGGACAATGAAGTCCAGGCTGAGATTGTCTCAGATGGAGATGAGGAACTTTTTGGGAACTGGAGTAAAGGTCACTCTTGCTATGCTTTAGCAAAGAGGCTGGTGGCATTGTGCCCCTGCTCTAGGGATCTGTGGAACTTTGAACTTGAGAGTGATGATTTAGGGTATCTGGCAGAAAAAATTTCTAAGCAGCAAAGTGTCAAGATGTAGCCTGGCTGCTTCTAACAGCATGTGATCATGTGCATGAGCAAAGAGGATCTGAAAGTAGAATCTATATTTAAAAGGGAAGCAGAGCATAAAAGTTTAGAACATTTGAAGCCTGACCGTGTGATAGAAAAGAAAATCCCATTTTCTGGGGAGGAATTCAAGCCAGTTGCAGAAATTTGCATAAGTAAAGAGGAGCCAAATGTTAATAGCCAAGACAATGAGGAAAATGCCTTGAAGGCACTTCGGGGACCTTAACAGGAGCCCCTCCTATCACAGGCCTGGAGGCCTAGGAAGGAAGAATGGTTTTGGGGCCAGGCCCAGGAACCTGCTGCCCTGCGCAACCTCAGGACACTGCTCCCTGTGTCCTAGTCACTCCAGCTCCAGCTGTGGCTAAAAGGACCCCAGATACATCTTAGGCTGCTGCTCCAGAGGGTACAAGCTGTAAGCCTTGGCAGCTTCCATGTGGTTAAGCCTGCAGGTGTACAGAGGGCAAAAATTGAGGCTTGGGAGCCTCTGCCTAGATTTCAGAGGATGCATGGAAATGCCTGGATGTCCAGGGAAAAGTCTGCTGCAGGGGCAGAGCCCACATGGAGAATCTCTACTAGGGCAGTGCAGAGGGAAAATATGGGGTTGGAGCTCCCACACAGAATCCCCACTGGGGCACTGCCTACTGGAGCTATGAGAAGTGGGCCACCATCCTCCATACCTCAGAATCATAGATCCACTGACAGCTTGCACTGTGCACCTGGAAAAGCCCCAGGCACTTGATGCCAGCGCATAAAAGCAGCCGAGGGGGCTGTACCCTGCAGAACCACAGGGGCAGAGCTGCCCGAGGCCCTATGAGCCCATTCCTTATGGCAGTGTGGCCTGGCATGGAGTCAAGGAGATTATTTTGGCATTTTAAGATTTAATGACTGCTCTGCTGGGTTTTGGACTTGCATGGGGCCTGTAGCCCCTTTGTTTTGGACAATGACTTCTTTTGGGAAGGGAATATTTACTCAATGCTTATAACCCTATTGTGTCTTGGAAGTAACAACTTGTTTTTTATTTAATAGGCTCATAGGCAGAAGGTACTTACATTGTCTCAGAAGAGACTTTAAACCATGGACTTTTGAGTTAATGATGAAATGAGTTAAGACTGAGGGACTGTTGAGAAGGTATAATTGTATTTTGCAATGTGAGAAGGACATGAGATTTGGGAGAGCCCAGGGGTGGAATAATATGGTTTAAATTTGTGTCCCCACCCAAATCTCATGTCAAATTATAATCCCCAGTGTTGGAGAAGGGGCCTGGTGGGAGGTGATTGGATCACAGGGGCAGACCTCCTCCCTGCTGTTTTCATGATAGTGAGTTCTCACGAGATCTGGTTGTTTAAAAGTGTGAGCACCTCCTCCTTCTCTCTCTTCCTCCTGCTCCAGCCACGTAAGATGTGCCTCCTTCCTCTTTGCCTTCCACCATGATTATAAGTTTCCTGAAGCCTCCCCAGCCATTCTTTCAGTACAGCATGCAGAACTGTGAGCCAATTAAACCTCTTTTCTTTATAAATTACCCAGTCTCTGGTAGTTCTTTATAGCAATGAGAGAAATGACTAATACAAGTTATGCAGACCTTGTGCCAAGGAGAAAAGAGGCCAGAAAGCCACGGAGCAAACACTTCAAAGTACTGAGTGTGAAAAAATGGAGGGTAAAATTCCATTTGCAGCTAAATAATTACTCAAGATTAAAAAGGAAATAAAACCATTTTCATACATATAAAACTGGAAGAGTTTATACCCAAGACATATTCACTGAAAGAAGTCCTAAAGATGTACTTTGGCAAAATAAAAAGTGAACCTAAGGGGAAAATTAGAGTGTGAAAAAAAGGAGTGAGTGCAAAATTGGTAAATATATAAACTGAGCTATTGACAATAAAATAATAACAATGATTATAATAATAATAGCTATAGCTGTGTTTGAAAAAAGATGCTACCAAGATTCTAGAAAACATTTTAAAAACTTCTTTACTTGTCCACAAGGATGATAGAGATATTGAATATTCTTGGACTTCATTAAAAGAACTTATATGTATATTGAAATACAAGTGACTTTAATATCACACTGTCAATGAATGGAACAACCAGAGAGAAGGTTAAGTAAAGAAATAGAGGACTTAACACAATAAACCAACTAGTTCTAATGGATGTATACAGAACACTCTACCCAACCACAGCAGCATACACATTCTCAAATGCAGATGGCACAATTCCCGGGATAGACCATATGCTAGGCTGCAAATAAACTCTCAATAGATTTTAAAAGACACACATGATGGAAAATATATTCTCTGACCACAACGGAATGAAGTTAGAAATCAATAACAGAAGTAAAACTGAAAAATTCACAAATTTGTGAAAATTAAACAGCATACTCTTAAGCAACCAATAGATCAAAGAAGAAATCACACAGGAAATTGGAAAATACCTAGAGATGAATTAAAATGAAAATGTCACATAGAAAAACTTATGGGACAAAGCAAAGGCACTGCTAAGGGGGACATTTATAGCTACAACGTTTACATTAAATAATAAGAAAGATCTCAAATCAACAGTCTAACTTTACAACTAAACCCAAAGCTATGAGAAGGAAGAAAATACTAAAGATTAGAGCAGAGATAAATTACAGAAGTGAAAATCAATGAAATCAAAAGTTGGTTCTTTGAAAAGACAACAAAATGGACCGACCGTTAGTTAGATGAAGTAAGAAAAAAAGAGAGAAGACTCAAATTACCTTACAACTAAACCCAAAGCTATCAGAAGGAAAAAAAAAAATTCTAAAGATTAGAGCAGAGATAAACAAAATAGAGAATTAAAAAATAGAGAAAAATCAATGAACTCAAAAGTTGGTTCTTTGAAAAGATAACAAGGGCTGGGTGTAGTGGCATATGCCTGTAATCCCAGCACTTTGGGAGGCTGAGGCAGGCGGATCATCTGAGGTCAGGAGTTCGAGACCAGCCTGAGCAACATGGTGAAACCCCATCTCTACTAAAAATACAAAAATTAGCCGGGTGTGGAGCCAGGTGCCTGTAATTCCAGCTACTGAGGAAGCTGAGGCATGAGAATCGCTTGAACCTGAGGTGAGATTGTGCCACTGCATTCCAGCCTGGGAGACAGAGCAAGACTCCGTCTCAAAAAAAAAGAAAGAAAGAAAGAAAAGATAAGATAACAAAATTGACAGAACTTTAGCTAGATGAAGTAAGAAAAAAAGAGGACTCAAATTACTAAAATCTGAAACAAAAGTGGGGACATTACTACTAATTCTACAGAAATAAGAAGGATTTTAAAAGAGTATCACGAGCAATTGTGCACCAATACTGGATAGCCAAGATGGAATATGGACAAATTCCTAGAAACACAAAAACTACAAAGATTAAATCATGAAGAAAGAGAAAATCTGAATAGATTCATAACTAGTGAGGAAATTAAATCCATAACCAAACATCTCCCAACAAAGAAAAGCCCTGGACCTCGTGGCTTTACTGGTAAATTCTACCAAATATTAAAATAAGAGTGAACATCAAATCCTTCCAAAACTTTTAAAACTGGAAACACCTTTTTTTAATTAAAAAAAAATTGTTTTGAGACAAGGTCTTGCTCTGTCACCTAGGCTGGAGTGTAACGGTACGACCACAGGTCACCATAGCCTCACCCTCCCAAGTAGCTGGGACCACAAGCACATGCCTGGCTAATTTTTCAAATTTTTTGTAGAGCTAGGGTCTCCTTATGTTGCCCAGGCTGGTCTCAAACTCCTGTTCTCAAGTGATCCTCCCACCTCAGCCTCCCAAAGCACTGGGATTACAGGCGTAAGCTGCCACACCTGGCCAGCCATATCGAATCCTAAGGAACCCTAAATAACCAAAACAATCTTGAAAAAGAAAAACAAAGCTGTAGGACTCATACTTCCTGATTTCAAATCTTACTGCAAAGCTTCAGTAATCAAAACAGTGTGGTACTGGCAAAAAGACAGACATATAGACCAATGGAATAGAAATAGACAGACATATAGCCCAGAAATAAACCCTTGCAAAAATGGGAACATGAGTTCTGACAAGGATACCAGGACCATTCAACGGGGAAAGGACAGTCTTCACAACAATGATGCTGGGAAACCTGGATATCCACATGCAAAAGAATAAAGTTGGACTGTTATCTAACATCACCTACAAAAATTAACTCAACATGGACCAAACACCTTAATGTAAGACCTAAGACTGTAAAACTCAGAAGAAACCATAGGGCGAATCTTCATGACATTGGTTTTGGCAATGATTTCTTGGCTATGACAACAAAGGCACAGGCAACAAAAGAAAAAAACAGGTAAATTGGATTTCATCAAAATTTTAATACTTCGTACATCAGAAAACATTGTCAACAGAGTAAAAAGGCAACCCATGGAGCAGATATTTACAAACCATGTATCTGATAAAAGATTAATAGCTAGGGCTGGATGTGGTGGCTCACACCTGGAATCCTAGCACTTTGGGAAGCTGAGGTGGGTGGATTGCCTGAGCTCAGGAGTTCAAGAACAGCCTGGGCAACATAGTGAAAACTCGTCTCTACCAAAATACCAAAACTTTGTGAGGCATAGTGGTGCGTGCCTATAGTCCCAGCTACTTGGGAGGCTGAGGCACAAGAATTGCTTGAATCTGGGAGGTTGCAGTGAGCCATTGTAGCACTGCACTCCAGTCTGGGTGACAGAGTGAGACTGTCTCAAAAAAAAAAAAAAAAAATTAATAGCTAGAATGGGCTGGATGAGTTGGCTTACACCTGTAATTCCAGCAGTTTGGGAGGCTGGAGTGGGTGGCTTACTTGAACTCAGGAGTTTGAGACCAGCCTGGCCAACATGGTGAAACCCCATCTCTACTAAAAATACAAAAATTAGCCCGGCCTGGTGGCAGGCACCTGTAATCCCAGCTACTCGGGAGGCTGAGGCAAGAGAATCACTTGAACCCAGGAGGCGGAGGTTGCGGTGAGCTGAGATCGCACCACTGCACTCCAGCCTGGGCAACAAGAGCGAAACTCCATCTCAAAAAAAAAAAAAAAAAAATAGAAATAAAGAAACTATAACCCATGCTACAATTTGGAGGAATCTTGAGAACATTATGCTAAGTGAAATAAACCAGCCAAAAGAGCAGATATTGTATGTTTCCACTTACATGAGGCATCTACAATAGTCAAAATCACAGAAATAGATATGTTAGAATGGTGGTTGCCAGGGACTTGAGGGAGGGGGAAATGGGGAATTATTTAATTGTACAGAGTTTCAGTTTTACAAGATTAAAACAGTTATGAATCTGAATGGTGGTGACAGTTGCACAACATTATTAATGTATTTAACAACAACAACCCTGCACTTTAAAATGGTTAAGGTGATACATTTTATGTTAGGCGTATTTTACCACAATGAAAAAAATTGGAAAAAAGTAACCACTAAAGGTTATAAATACAATTTATAGCTTGTGAGGTGCAGCTAAGGCAATATTTGGAAGCAAATGTATAGCCTTCAATGAATTTACGAAAGTAGAGAAAAGATTCAAAGCAAATATCAGTGATTTAACTCAAAAAGGAAGAAAAAGAACAAAAGAATAAGCCCAAAGAAAGTAGAAGGAGGAAAAGAGAAAAGAAAGGAGCAAACTTTTTTTTTTTTTTTAATTGAGACAAGGTCTCGCTCTGTCACCCAGGCTGGAGTGCAGTAGCCCAATCTTGGCTCACTGTAGGCTCAACCTTCTGGGCTTAAGCGATCCTCCCACCTCAGCCCATCAGTAGCTGGGACTACTGGTGCACACCACAAAGCCCGGCTAATTATTTTTGTATTTTTAGTAGAGACAGGATGTCACCATGTTGCCCAGGCTGGTCTTGACCTCCTGGGCTCAAGCCATCTGCCCGCCTTGGCCTCCCAAAGTGCTGGGATTATAGGCATGAGCCACGGCACTCAATGAAAACTTTTTAAAATTGGAAACAAAAAAAAAAAAAAGAGAGGTAGAGAGGTGAAACAATTTCATCTATCATAACCGAACTGCAGAGTCTCATTTTACATCCTGTAAAAACTTTTCATTCTGTGTCTATCTTTGAAAAGTTATAACTTGTTTGGGTAGTCCCATTATACCTGATTTTTTTGGAGGTTTGAGGATGGACTTTAGATAGAGGCATGAATGTGTTGACCAAGGCGCCGGGGGAGAAATCTTTGCCAGATACTTTTAGGACCCTAGCCTCATGTTTATCCTGTCAACACCCAGGGAAGTGGGGAGTGGCTGAGGGTCAGAGAGGCACAGGCGCTTGTCTGTGGTCACGTGATGATTAATGGCACAGCTAGAAATGGAACGCAGGTTGCCTCCCCTCACCACCCCAGCTTTTCCCCTCTCCCCAGACCACCCCCAAGATGCAGGGAGATTGTGAAGTCTCATTCCTGGGGCTGATTCAGACCAATCTTGTGTACGAGACCTCGTTCCCCAGGCCAGAGACAGGCAATGCCAATGCCCCAGGGGATGCTGTTTAGCAGTCCAGCCTCCCCTCACTCTCTCTTGGGGAGTCTGACAGATCTTAGAACCAGATGGAGCTGTGGCATTGATGGACAGAGCACTGTCTCCATCACCTGGTGTCTGAGGCTCACCTTTACTCGCAATCAGCAGGAAGGATTGTCTTACAAGTCCAGAGATAGAGCATTCAAGGTGGACAGAAAAAAAGCTCTTGTTAGAAAATCATCATTCTTCTTTGCAGCTGCTTAAAGTGAGGCCCAGCCATCCCTTAGTTAATATCTCCGCCTACTTGGGAAGAAAGGTAAATCATTGACAACTGCTCATGAGAGTGACTTGGCCCAGCAGTGCGCTTATAAAACCCCGGACTGGTAAAGTCCCTCATCTGTGAAATGTCCTTCCCCAGAGAGCTTCTAGAGTGCACAGGCATCCAGCGATCTGTGGGCACAATTAGAGCAGAGGCTGGATGCAGCTCTGGGCTCTCTGCCAGGCCAGCTCTGCCACTTCTCTCCCTTTGTGGGCTCCCATTGATTGAGTCAGGATGGCATCGGATTCCCCCACGAGCTCTGACCTAATGGGTTGGACTCTAAGGCAGCCTTGAAGAGAGTCACCAGCCCACCAGCCTGGGGCTAGTAACACGTATCCCAAGGGGAAAGAGGAGTGATGCCCCCATTGCCTGGAACTCCCGGGGAGTAGAGGGAAAGCAGGTCCCACCCAATTCCTTCACACTGTCACAGTCTTAGAAGAAAACATTGTACAAATTCACATCGAAGACTCAAAAATAAGTCACGGAGCAGTCAGGGCTAAATGAAGCCTCAGAGCACATTAGCTCAATCCCCTTATTGCTCTGGGCAGGAGATGGAGGCCCAGAAAGGGTGAGCCCCCTGCCCAAGCTCACACAACAGGGAAGCGGACCTGAGTCTGCAGCCTCCAGAGTTGCAGCAGTTGCCGGCACCTCACAAGCTCGAGGCCTGTGGCAACGGGGACCGAATCTCCACTGCCCAAAGCGGAAGCCTCAGGAGCAGAAGAGAGAGGAAAAGGAGGGGAGAACAGAGCGCAAGGGGCAGGAAGGGGCATGAATTTGCTCAGTCCAACTGCAGCTTGATCAATTACAAACGGGGTGTGGCAGCAGAGCGGCTGCTGGAACCACAGCTCCCCGGAGCCCCATCAGTCAGCGATATAGTAATAAAGCGACCAGGGCTGGAAAAATGCTATGAGACTCCAGGGAGTTCAGTCTCATCCCGCTGGATTATAACCCTGTTATCGACACCCCAGGGACTTATTCTGTTTCTTTCAACCCAGCTCGGGAGATGAAACCTTCCGCGGGCGCTAGGGGTGGGGTGCTGGCTGGTGGGATGCAGCCCAAACCCAAAGGAACGGCTGGGAGCAGGAGAGGCAGGAGCGGGAGTGGGTTCAGCCAGAGGCACGTCTGCCAGACATATCTGGGGCGACCCTTCTCCCTGACCCCCAACTCCAGTGTCCACTGAGGCCTCAGCTATGCACTGGGCTGTGCTGTGGGGGTCAGAGGGAGGAGAAGCTGGGGGCCTGGCCTGGGAGTCCCAGAGTGCCTGGGGCACAGTCCTCACATGCCAAAAGATCAAAAAGAATAGCAGATACTCAGCGGTTCAGCTGCTGAAATGCACAAGACAGAAAGCGCCCTGGAGGTTTCAGAGTGGAGGACAAGCTTCCTGGAGGAGGCGAGGCCACACCAGCGATCGAAGGGTCATAATTCTGTTGCTGAACGTTGGCCACAGTTTTCTGCAGGCCTCCACCTCCTCCTTATCCTTGCATCCAGGGTCAGAAACTGTCCTAAACAGCAGGTGTTCTCTGACTATAAAACTCTCCTGGCAACCCAGTGCGTCCAGGAAGAAGTCAGAATTCCATCACATAATAATAAAATTCAGCCATAAACAGAAATGAAATTCTGATACATGCTACAACATGGGTGAAACTTAAAATCGTTATACTAAATGAAATGAGCCAGACACACAAGCACACGAGGACAAATGTTTTACGATTCCACTTACATGAAGTATCTAAAATAGGCCAATTCATAGAGACATGAAGTAGTAAAGAGGTCACCAGAGGCTAGGGGAAGGGGGACGGGGACTAACTGTTTAGTGGGTACAGTTTCTGTTTGAGATGATGCAGAAGTTCTTGAAATGGATAGTAGTGATGTTTTGTTTGCACAACATTTTGAATGCACTTAACGCCACTGAATTGTACATTTAAAAACGGTTAAAGGCCTGGAGTGGTGGCTCACACCTATAATCCGAGCACTTTGGGAGGCTGAGGCAGGAGGGTTGCATGAGCCCAGGAGTTCGAGACCAGCCTGGGCAACATGGCAAGATCCCCTGCAGTGGGCTTCTGTCCTGGCCACTGCAAATAACTCACTGCCTCCTATTGGCACCAGGTCCTGTCATGGCGCTGCACATGCTATTCTCTTGTCCTGGAATTCCAGCTCTTCTCCTCTTCCTGGATAACACGAGCTGGTTCTTCAAGACTCCACTGGTACACCACCATCTCAGTGAATTCCCCTACCGACGTGTTCCCTACACAAGCAGAGTCAGAGGCACCCTCATCTGGGGACCCACATCTCCTGGGCTGCCCACATCAAGGTCCCTAATTTGTGGGTACATACAACAATGCCACCCTCTTGAAGTGGGGCTGGACGAGGCAGCCCAAGACATCACAATAAAGATTCCAGCATGCCAGGCACACGCCGATAGCCCCAGCTATTTGGAAAGCTGAGGTGGAAGGATGCTTGAGCCCAGGTGTTCAAGATCAGCCTAAGCAACATAACCAGACCCTGTGGCAAAAAAAAATGAAAAGATTCCAGGATCACTTCCCGTAGGTACTCTTAATTAAAGCCGCAACAAGCCACATGACTGATCAGAGGTAGGATATGGGTTCTTTCTCCAGCATTTCAGATGTGAATGTAAGCCATTGCTCAAAAGCAGTGGAAGCATTGCTATAACATTAGGGTCAAGCTGAATATTAACTTCCCAAGGGAATGCAGGGATATTTTGGTCCACCAGCAACTGAGAATAAAAAAAAGAAGATAAAGACCAGGAGAAGATCAAAAGCACATCTGAAAGCTGCAGCCAGCCTATCTCTCTAGGGAAATTTTAAAGTGACCCAACTAGAAGAATTAAAAACAGGTATTAGCTCAGGAACTTTATGATCTATAAAAATAATACCCATCAATCAAGATCTGGTTTCTCATTCTATCCCAGTATAGATGATGCCAAATTTACGTAAATAAAATCATGTTTATTAGATAGGCAGAGAGAGACATGGAGACATATATGACTAGACATACTTAGATTTATAAAATCGCAATGAGACTTAGACACCTGCACATCTTATGTGTCAGCAAAAACAGTGATTTATTTATGTCTCTGTTTCCTCAACTTGACTATGAGCTCCTTGAGGGCAGGTCCTTTATCTCTGTGGTCCCACTGTAACGGAGTACCACACATAAAAGGAAGGAAATAAATGTCTGCTTTGTAAATGAATGAGTTATTCTTTGCATCTCCAGCACCCAGCACAATGGGTGTTTCTCAGAGGAAGCTTCCCACCTGACATGCTGCCCTCACCTGCACCCCAGCTCTGCCTCCCATTGTTAAGATGAGAGCAGCAGGAAGCAGAAGTTGCTGCACAGAGGGGAGGGTTGTGCACTGGCTCCTTGCTCAGCTGGCTGGGAGGGACCACAGAGAATTGAGGAGCCTCCACCCTGAGAGGCTGGACTGCCTGGGACCTGGGGCCTGAAGACTGAGGCAGGAGCTGCACAGAACTCTCAGGAGCTGCAAGTAGCTCAAAATCTGCAGCTTGGACTGATGAAATCAAAATGAAGTTGCAAGAAGAGACCATTCACAGGAGCAGTGTCCATTACAGCAAACAAATTAGAACAACTTAAATGCCTTTTGAAAGGAAAATGGATACATGGGGGCAGAATCTTTCCATGGAATACTGTACTGCAATGAAATTGAAAAAAAAAAAAGACCACTATGTACAATAGTATGTGTGAATCTTAACATGATGTTGAGTGAAAAAGTAAATCTCAGAAGATCATATATAACACGATGCCTTTTTATAAAGATCACAAACAGCTCAAATCAGCAATGTATTGCTTAGGCATCCACAGATATGTGGTTGTGGCGGAATTACCCATGTTCAATGAGTCTTCTGGTTCTTCCTTCATTTTGGAAGGCATTTTTCCTTCATGCCCTCTTGAAATTAGGGATAGCCTTGGGAAGAGCTTTGGCCAGTAAAATGTCAGCAAAAGTGCTCGGCATCACTTTTGAGCAGAAACGTCTAAGAGCTGGCACATATTTCTTATTCTTTTCCTCCCCCAACCAAAGCAAACCCCAGAACTTAGAGTTGAAATGGCAGTATCATTAGATAGTGGCTGTGCCATCCACATGCCTGGGTCCCTGAGTGCCTGCAATGAGCAGAGCCTCTGCCAAACTGCATTGGCAGAAAAAGAAGCCTCTTTCAGGGCAAGCCACTGAGACTGGGGGTTGTTACTGTGGTGTAACCTAGTTTATCCTAACTGATACAGAAACAAATTTAGGCCAGGCGTGATGGCTCATGCCCATAATCCTAGCACTTTGGGAGGCCCAGGCGGGCAGATCAGTTGAGCTCAGGAGTTTGCAACCAGCCTGGCCAACATGGTGAATCCCCATCTCTACAAAAAATACACACACACACACACAAAATTTAAAAATTTAGCTGATCATGGTGGTGAGTGCCTATAGTCCCAGCTACTCACAAGGCTAAGGTGGGAGGATCACTCGAGCCTGGGAGGTGGAGGTTGCAGTGAGCTGAGATCGTGCCAGTGCACTTCAGCCTGGGCAACAGAGCAAGACTCTGTCTCCAACAAAAAAAAAAAAAAAAAAAAGGAAAAAGGAAAAGCAGAGATAAATTTATGTTTGAAAGGGCAAGAGGGCCTGGACATAGTGGTTCACACCTGTAATCTAAGCACTTTGGGAGGCCAATGCAAGAAGATCACTTGAGGCCAAGAGTTTGAGGCTTCAGTGAGCTATGATCACACCCCTGCACTCCAGCCTGGGCAACAGGGAGAGACCCCATCTCTTAAAAAAAAAAAAGAAAAAAAAGATAAGGGAGTAATACATACAAAATTCAGCATAGTGCTGACCTCTGAGGAGGCGGCAGGGAGAAGGGAGAGGGACAGAGGGAGGGGCACAAAGGTAGGTACAAATATTGTTAAGGTTCCAGATCTTGGGTTGAGCTCTGAGTTTAAAGGTGCTTGCTGTGTTATTGCAAACACATTTATTAATTACAGTGGCCCTGCATGAGCCAATAGTAACAGTGCATCCTAACTAGGGGGTGTGATTAACTCAATTGTGTGTACCTGAGGTTCATTTAAAAAGGAAAAGAAAAGGACTATTGCTCAACTATGAGCTGGAAACTCAGTACTGGGTGTGCCCAAGGGGAGCATGCAATCTCATCTTGTAGGCAATGGGCACCCACTGAGGGTATAGGGGAGGGCAAGGGTGGGGCTCAGAGGTGTGTTTTTTCTCCTAATTCCCTAAGGTCCAGGACCTGAGATTCCATTCCCCACAGCCCCTCCTCCAGGCCCCCAGGAAACTCTCACTCTAGCCAGCTGGTTAGAGGTGGGAGACAGGATGATCACAGAGACTTTGTTCCTGGCAGCTTGTCAAACCTGCCACAAAGCCTCATTTCAATGTATTTGCATGAAATGATTTTATCCCAGCTGCCTCCTCGTCCCTGCCCCCACCCCAGGGGCCCTTGCAGGCCTGGCTCCCAGGCAGTGACCTTACAGGCCCCTGGACCAATCCCAGACCCCCTTTGATTATATCAAGTTTATTGGTAAGAATTCTGCTTTTCCTGCATGCTGGGAATCATGAATCTTACACAACTTTCTCTCTTTCATGATCATTGCAGTCCATGGGGAGCCGCTGAGGAGTTGTAGGCAGGGGGGACGTGGTGGGATGTGCAAGGTGGAAGCTCACTCTGGCTGACAGGGAGGGACAAGGGTGGAAGTAGGGAGACCACCAAGGCAGGAAAGGGAGGACATCTGGACTGGGGAGGGACAGAGGGACGGAGCCATGGAGCAGATCTGAGAGCCACTCAGAAGGTAGGACCACGGAGCTCAGCAGCGAGTCCCAAGCCCAGCTTCATGGCCACGGGGAGGAAACAGAAGCAGTCCTGTCCCCCGGACTCTGGGCACCACAGGTCACAGCTAAGGCTGAAGCCAGATTGGATGGTCCAGTGCCAGAGAGAGGAGTATGGGGTCGGGGGGCAGGAGGGAGGCAGGGAATAAGTGACTATTTGTCATTGGACCTTTAGAGCTATTTGAGTATATTAATTTGACCCCAAGATTTCAACGAAAAAAAAAAGAAAGCACATTAGAGTCAGACTGCCACGGCCTTGGACATTCACTATCCACACCGCACAGGCAAGCTGCAGGCAGTTCACGACCCCTCAAGATAGTGCACCGAGTTGGTTATGTGGATGCAGATTTTTTCTGAAAAGTATGTTCTATTGAATTCTCAAAAGGGCCTGTGACCTGGCAATAATGATAATACTTAACATTTAAATACACTAACATGGTATATACCATATGATATAGATACAGACATAGACATACAGACACATAAACAGACATGGATACAGATACAGATCAACTCATTTAATCCTCTCAATGGCTCAAGGAGGAACATTGTATTGTCATGTCCATTTTATAGATGTAGGGACTGAGGTACCAGGAGGTTCAGTGGCTTGCTGAAGCTTGCTCAGTTAGTGAGATTTGAGTCTAGAGTTTCAGCCACAACTCTGGCCCCATCTGGTCTAATACTGAACTTGTCAGGTAGACAAATGAGACCCCGGGGCACAGAAGCGTTCACCCTGGGTTCCACCAACAGAGAGTGCTGGCCCCTGTGGACTCACAAACATCTGTGCTCCCAACCCTTCTTGGGCCTCTCACTTCAAGAGTAATAGGAAATCTCAAGGCCAGGTGCAGTGGCTCACGCCTGTAATCCCAGCACTTTGGGAGGCTAAGGTGGGCGGATTACTTGAGGTCAGGAGTTTGAGACCGGCCTGGCCAACATGGTGAAACCCCATCCCTACTATGAATACAAAAATTAGCTGGGCGTGGTGGTGGGGACCTGTAATCCCAGCTACTGGGGAGGCTGAGGCAAGAGAATTGCTTGAACCTGGGAGGCAGAGGTTGCAGTAAGCCAAGATATCACCCAAGGTCCAAAGAGCCTGGGCAACAGAGCAAGACTTCACCTCAAAAAAATACAAAAATAAAAACACAACAAAACACACACAAAAAAAGAGCAATAGGAAATCTTGGTCCCTCCCCTCATCCATGCCCACAGCTGGGAAGGTGGTTTGGTGCCAGGGACATCTCAGGAGCAGGTGTGGAGCAGGGGAGAGCTCCCACCCGCCAGCACTACCGCTGCTACTGACAACCTAGGTCCCAATGCAGGGAGAGCCCAGCCAGGCAGCCCTCAGCAGGGACAGTGTATTAGCCTGTTTTCATACTGCTATAAAGAACTGCACGAGACTGGATAGTTTGTGAAGGAAAGAGGCTTAATTGACTCACAGTTCAGCGTGGCCAGGAAGGCATCAGAAAGCTTACAATTACAGCAGAAGGTCAAGAGGAAGCAAAGAACCCTCTTCACAAGGTGACAGAAAAGAGAAGTGCTGAGCAAAGTGGGAAGAGCCCCTTATGAAATCATCAGATCTCGTGAGAACTCACTCACTATCACGAGAACAGCATGGAGGAAACCATTCCCATGATCCACGAATTACCTCCACCTGGTCTCTCCTTGACAGGTGGGGAAAATGGGGATGATAACTCAAGATGGGATTTGGGTGGAGACACAAAGCCTAACCATATCAGACAGGGATCCCCGTCCTCCATAACCATCCCTACTGTGTCCCTAGTCTCTCTTCCCCACCTCCACCCTCCGCTCCATCTGAGACTGAGGAACAGGAGCGGGCTGGTGACCTTGGGCGGGGCCTGGCACCTGGAACCTCAATTACCCTGCCTCTCCTCCCTGTAGTCCCACCCCCGAAAGTGTTGGGCCCTGCCCACTGGGATGTGTCCTCCAAGGCCTTGCCTGAGTCTGGCCCTGCCTCCCTCAGGAGTGTGTGAGCCCCTGAGCCAGGCTAAAGGCCACCTCCAGGGAACTGTGGCAGAGGCAGGAGCCTGGAGAAGAGGAGGGGGAGAGGAGGCCCATGGGCAGATGCTGGGCCCCCAGACCTCTGAGAGGGGCCTGAGCCAGTGCTCACACCTGGGTCTGAGAGTCCCCTGTAGGACTCCATGTGGGGCCAGATGACAGGATATGACAACATGGTATAAGTCAGGTGCCAGACCCTGAGTCTGCAGAGGCCCAGACAGGACCAGGGGCTTGCTCAAGACACCACAGAAGGTCCAGCTGCACCAGGGGAAGGGAAGCCTCGTGTCCCTGGATGGCAGGGGAGGAGGGATTGTCTAGGGCAGGGATGGAGCTTGGAGGAGGGCTAGAACTCTGAGAAGGAGGATCAGAGGGGCTTCCTGGAGGAGGAAGACACAGGAGGGGTCCCCAAGGTAGGGGTGTTCAGACAGGCTTAGAAGAGGAGGGCCACGAGCAGGACAGGTTCAGGCGAGGCAGGAGGTGGCCAGAGTCAGACCTCCTGATGGGGGTGTGTGGGGGACTTTGGACCAGAGCCTGTGAAGGCCCCATTGAGTGGAGAGTCCACTACTGGACCTACTCCTCCACCCAGGACAGAACCGAAACTGGTGCCAGCCTCAGCCTGGCAGGAAATTCCTGTTATCCTAACAGTCTGGGGAGGTTGGTCTGGGCCCCCTCCCCCCACCTCAGACTGGGGCCTGCAAGTCAGGGTTCTGTTTCACCACGGTCATCCCAGGGCAGGACTGTGGCCCTCCATAGCCCCACCCCACCCTGGGCCCCAGCAAGCAGCCCTGAACCAGATTTCCCCAGGTTCCAGCCTCCGCCAGCACAGAGCGGGCTATTCGTAGAGGGCTCTCTGCAGCAGCGGGTTGGCTCAGGGGTGCCAGCGTGGTCGGCAGTGTTCTCAGCTTTTCACTCTTGCAGGGAGTGGTTCTCCCACCCAGCATGCTCCAGTGAGCAGGGTGACCTGAGCAGCTGTGAATCTCCTCATCAGCTGAGCCCCCAGGTGGTCACAGGAGAGGAGGCTGCAGCAGACCCTCCCTCTGCCTCCCACAGCCCTGCTGCCCCTGGGCCACTCTGGCCCCCTCGTCATGGGAACCAAGGGTAATGATGGGGTAGCCCAGTGGACCTCATAGCCTAGACTGTATCATGTACATGGTGCTTCATGGGAGGTAAGGAACATGCTGGAGCCGGCGAGCCCCACCTGCCTCAGCCCCTCAAAGAAGGACCCCCAGAGGAGGGTGGGCCAGGCATAAGTCACCATCATAAGGAGGAATTTGTTGAAGAGAGCCCCATACTCCCCTTGAAAGAGATCAGAAACTCCAATGTTTTGGGGGGCTCAGTGGGCGCCAGGAGGGACACTGTCTGCTTGCAGGTTGGGTGTTTTGCTTGTAAATGGCTCGTGCCATTCTTTGGCTCCACAGAGGGAGAGATGCGCACTGTGTTGACAGGGCTCCTTGCATTTTAAGAGAACTTTAAAATGCAGAATTTGTGGTGGAATCTCTCAGGTTTTTGTTTTTTTGCTTTTTTTTGTTTTTTTTTTGAGGCGGAGTCTTGCTCTGTCGCCCAGGCTGGAGTGCAGTGGTGCCATCTCGGCTTACTGCAAGCTCCCGCCTCCTGGGTTCACACCACTCTCCTGCTTCAGCCTCCCGAGTAGCTGGGACTACAGGCGCCCGCCACCACACCCGGCTAATTTTTTGTATTTTTAGTAGAGACGGGGTTTCACCATGTTGACAAGGATGGTCTCGATCTCCTGACCTCATAATCTGCCCGCCTTGGCCTCCCAAAGTGCTGGGATTACAGGCATGAGCCACTACGCCCGGCCGGGATCTCCCAGGTTTTAAATGTTGACAACCAGGTCAAATTTCAAAAGAATGCATGGTTTAAACAAAACACATCCAGGAACCACACTGCGGGCCAGGAGATGGAAGCAAGGCATCCATGGTGTGGCCCAATTTTCCAGGGCTTCCTCGGCCCCATATCAGCAGGTGCGCTTATGGGAGCCCCTGCATGCCAGATGGGGGAAGCAAGCCTCAGGACCCCAGATCCCCAAAGACAAGGCACCACACTTTACGGCCCCTCCAGCATTTTCCAAAGGGTGGTCCAGAGAAACTTGTTCTTGGTGTTATTCATAGACCTTCCTTATTTAGAGCCAAAACACTCTGGGAATCTCGGGGTTAAATAAATCAAAACAGACTTCTTTACTCCAGGACCTCTGGGAGCGTTTCACCTGTTACAGTGCCTTGTGAGTATCCAGGAGGCAGAGGCTGTGCAGCGCTTCCCAAACCAATTCCACATGGAACCCATTTTCAAGATATACCTGTTAATTCCAGAAAGACGCTACTGCCCCATAGAATGCAGTTCTAGAAGCGGAGCTCAACACACCACCCACCCATTTCACAGACCCAGCCATCCCAGGGTGGTGGGAGCCCAGGCTGGGGTAGGGAGGGGCAGAGGAGCTGCCAGACTGTCAGGCGCTGGTCAGGAGCAGGGCTTGTCCTGAGGACAGTGGCAGCACCCAGGAGGAGCAGACTGAAGGAGCCAGACCCCCTAGGAGGCCCCTGCTGTCATCCAGGGGACAGGGAAGGGGTGGAACCAGGCCTGAGGCAGGGAGGTGGGTGCAGAGTGGATGCCTCCCAGGGAGATTTTACAAGTGGAAGGAACAGTCAGAACTTGGTGACTGGAAGCCTGTGTGGAGTGTGGGGGAGGGAGGAGGCGAGGACGAGACCAGGTGAGGGCTAAATGGGCAGAGCTCAGATGGAGACTCTGGGACCCAGGGGAGGGGTGCTCAGAGCCCAGGCTGGGGACCGGTTCCCTCCACGTCCCCTGACCCACGGCCCATCTCAGGGAGCTAGGCTCAAGCAAACTTCAGCCACCTGGAGTTCCCATGGCGACCACGGGAGAGGAGCCCCAGAAGACCTGGGCAAGCAGGAGGAGGAGAAGTGGGTCAGGGCACTGGGTGCTCAAAACCCGACCATCCCTCCCTCAGGATCCAGCAGTGGACCAGGGGGTGGCCAGGAGAGAGGCAGGGCCCTCCTGCTCCTGCTGCAAGCTCCTGTGCCCCGAGTCAGGCCGGAGGGGGACCCAGGTTCCTGCTGCTGTAGTGCCCCAGTGCCGCCCGGGCCCAGGCCTGGCTCCTTTCTGCCTCCAGCCGTCCTTCTCCCTCCCTCTGAGAGGAGAGGCGGGGGCGATTCCCATGATTGTCTCTCCCGTTGCCCCCACAGCCACCAGGCTAATTTTAGCCCTGCCATCAGGCTGCAGCCGGGGGCGTTGGGTTGGAGAGAGCTGTGTGTCTGTCCAGTTCTGAACACAGGCCCTGGGGGCCCAACAGGAGGCCCAGATGGGTGGCCCTACCCAGACAAATGGCTCAGCCAAACAGGCCCTCCCGACACCCCATGCCACCCTGCCTCCCTGTGGGCCTTCTTCCTCCCACGGGGACCCCTCTGGGGCCTCCCGCTGCCTGCCAAGCAACAGCCACACCCTGTTCACTCTTTGGTTAATCCCCACTGCTCTAGGTGTTCTCACTAACCAAGTTAGGCTGGTGGTTAGTCGTCAGCTCCTCCCGCCCTGCTGCCAAGCTGGGCCTTTGTTCCCGTGGTTCTATCTATTCTCCCCAGGGTGTTTCCAGCAACCTTGGAACCAACCACACATTAAAATCCCACCTTGTGTTACACGTCAAATATCCCCGCTCCGTGAAGCATCCCCAACTCCTCAGCCAGAGCTGAGTTCTCCCTTCCCTGAGCACCTCGTGCTCCTTACAGCCTGGTATTCGGGCATCTGAGGACTCTCTGACTCCCACATGAGACCCTCATCTCCTCGAGAACAGGGTCTGAGTCCTGTTCATCTAGTTGCCCCATAAGCCCAGCCTGGTGCTGGGCATACAGCAGGCATTGCTGCAGCCTGGGCGGGTGGTTGGAGCTGGGGTGAGGGTCGCCTCTGGGCGAGGCTGCTGATGCCATCTCAGTCACTAGTTTGCCCTGTGGTTGAGGTCCCTGCCCGCTTCCCACCCTGATCTAAGGAAGACTGCCTCACCTCCAGGCCCCCATGGCTCCTGGCTGCCCTGCAGAAAGCAATGAGTGTCTGACCCCAGAGGCCAAGCCTGGGACATGCAGAACCTCTGGCCTGATCATAAACGACTCAGGCCAGACTGTCACCTTAGTAACTTGAACCAGGACCTCCCAAGCGATGTAGTTCATTCATGCAGAGGCAGAACCCAGATCACGCCTCTAGAGCAGCTGAATGCAGGTCAGGGCCACATGGGGGGACCCCGAGTTATGGGGGAGCAGAACCCCAAGGAAGATGAAGAAGCCCATGAGAAGGGAGGAGAGAGCAGAGGAGACCCTGGGGCGCAGCCAGTGGGGAGAAGCCCCTGTTACCACTGCAGCCAGACGCCTGGCTGCACACACATGACCCAGAGAACAGATTCGGTGAAGACCATTCCATTTAACTGGCAAAGTGGGATCATTCCCGCAGAGTGGAAAAGAGCTTTTCCTGCCACCCGGAGCCAAGATGTGGCCCCCTCCAGGAAGAACTGAGGAACAAGGGCTTTAGAGCCATTTTGAGGAGCATCCCGGGAGTTCCAGGACGGCCAGGCTGCCGAGGTGATGGGGGAAGGGCTGAGAGGAGGAGGCAAATCCAGAGGTGCCCTGAGCTGGAGCCCACAGCCTGCACTCGCTGCTGTGCTCCTGGAAATGCCACTGAGCTGATGCTGGAACCGCTGAGAGGCACGTGTCATGCAGGTACTGGAGCCTGCCAGCACCTCCTCGTGGAAGAACTGAACGAGAAGCAGCACGCAAGGGGGTGTGGAGAATGTGCCCCGCAGACGTCTATCCTGCTGCCCAGACAGCACAGAAGGGCCAGTGTGGGGCCCAGAACCAACAGCAAAGTCACCTGGGGGAGACCCAGAGAATCCACTGTGGCCTGTGCCCTCGCACCCAACTCGAGGACTAGGACAGACAGGAGAGCCTGGCGGTGGGGTAGCGGGGGCTAGGGGCTGCACTACCTCTCACTTTCTGCAGCCACAGGAGAGCGGCCAGCCAAGGCTGCGGCTGACCAGGCAGTTGGCCTGTGGCTGTCCATCCAGGCACCTGGATGCCCTGACCTGTGGGTGTTTCTGGCAGGACAGGCCTGGAGGGCAGGGCCCGGGCAGGCATCACTCACTGTGAGGACTCTGCCTCAGAGAACCCCTGTTGACAGTGGGGGAGGGAAACATGAGAGAGGCAGGCAAGGAATAGGAGGCACGGTTCTGCTACCCCCACCTCAGCCTCAGCCCTCCCTCCATGGAGCCCCACCTGCCCCCATCAATGCTACCTGACTCCACCCCCACCCCTGCTCTGTGCAGGGCCCCGGGGCCACTCAGCCTGGAGTGTTCATGATTCACTGCCTGCATCCCACACAAACAGATTCCACCGCTCGGCCCAGGCAGCAGGTGGCTGTCCAGGCCCTGCCTCCCAGTGCAGGCTCCTGTTCAGGGCAGGGAAGCCCAGCCTCCATTTCCTGGGAAGAGGAGACTCGGGGACCCTGGAAGGGAGAACGCTCCACACCCCCCAGTAGAGGCTGGTGGCTTTCTGCTGTGGGAAGGTGGGTGCCCTGAACACAGGGTCCCAACCCAAAGAGAAAGATGCCCCTCAGCATGTGAAGGTGGCAGGAACCAGGGTGCTCAAGTCTGAGCTCCAGCTCTAGGAGGAGAGGCAGGGAGTTGCCTTGGGGCCTCCATTTGTGTACCCGTTGAGAATGAGCACATTCCTTAGATGGTGGAAGGGTCTGGATAAGCCAGCATGGGGCAAGACCCATGTCCTCTCTGGAGGATGTCAGAGAGAGAGCTGCCTGCCAGTGGGCCGTGACCTCCACCCCGGGTCCTGCTGCTTCCCTTCCAGGCTGAGGGCTTTGGGTGTGCTGGGCTGCGGCCAGACTCTTGGAGGCCACCATTGGCCATGTGCCTCTCCTCTCTGGCTTCTGGCCTGCTCCAGAGTGGACCCGGGTCTTGCCCCATGCTGGCTTATCCAGACCCTTCTACCATCTGTTTCCCTTGAGTGAGTTTCTAAGGGCAGGACCTAGGGTGTCATCTCTGCTTCGCAGCTCAGAAGCACCCATGGGCAGGATTGGAACGCCTCTGATTTTATCCAAGTGCACCAGGGCTGGGCACACACCAGGCCTGACACAGATGTGGTTCCATCCCTCCCAAGCAAGGAGATGCTGGAGGAGGAGAAGGCAGGAGAGGCCCCAAAGGCCTAGGACGGAGCAGGCCTAGGAATGATACCCCCTGCCTTGCCCCACCTCACCCCAGCCGGCAGATCCCAAGGAGCCACTTCTCCAGGAGAAGGGATCCAGGTGGCCACTGGCGGTCATAAAGCCATCTGGAAAAGCCTCTTGATGGTCAAGCACAAGTGCCCAAGCCCCCGCAGGTAGCAGAGCCAGTAAATTACGGCTGAGGGCTGCACACCCTCCCCTCTGTATTTATATCTGCCTTGGTGCCTAAAAATGGATATTTATGCATTTTCAATATTCAGGGCAAACGCTCCATCGCTCCATGCTCATGGCTGCAGCACATGACACCAGCCCCACAACAACTTTCCTTTCACCTGGTTTGCCCACTCAGGGCCCTGGAAGGGAGCCCCCCACCCCCTTCTGCAGGCCTGCATGACTCAGGGGGGAGTAGAGGGAAGAAAGGGACCGGGCCAGCCTCCTTGTGGAGCCTCAGGGCCCTCTCGGAGACAGGGCCGGTCCCCCTGCTTTATAGACCAGCAACCGAGGCTCAGAGAGGTGGGGTGCCTGGGCGGGGTCACACAGCATCCTCTCTAGGCCAGGGTCATGCCCCAGGCCCTAAGGTGACTCCCTCCTGACCAGGGAGAGTTGCAGAGCCCGGCTGCCTTTCCGGACCCTCAGACCTTTTTTGTTTCTCTGGTTCTCTCTAGCGTCTTCTCTGTGTGTCTCTGGGTCTGACTCTCACCATCCCGGCCCCTCTCACATCTTTCTCCATCTCTTGCTTAGTGTCTCCCCATCTCTCTCACTGCCCCCCATCTCCCTATTTCACTCCCACCCCGCCCCACCTCCCCTCTCTCCTGACTCACATCCTCCCTCCCCCTCAGAGCCCCTGTCCTTGTCCACCTCCATCTCCCTGACTCTGTCTCATTGCTGAGGTCAGGGCAGGGGTGGGAGGAGCTGTCCTGGTGCCCAGCAGGGGCCTCCCTGGGCAGCTGTGTCGCCCCCACCCCGGACCTGTGATAGGAGAGTCCCCAAGGCCCTAAGCCAATGCAGGCACAGAGCAGAAGTGGGACTGAGCGTGGGAGGTTTGGGGTTGGGGGGCAGGTTTCCACTCGGTGGGAGCAGGTGAAAGCTGTGCATGCCCTGTCCCCAGAGCTGTGTGGAGGGGGCACTGCGGGTGGACTTCTGTGCCAGCCCCACCACTTGACCTTGAACGTCCCGTCTGGTTCTGGGATTGGGGCTGAGTGATGAGGTCCCTGGGCCTGCCCTAAGCTGAAAAGGTTAATGCCCCTGGGCCCAGGGTCCCTCAGCCTCCTCACTGCCCACACCAGCTCCTTCACCTTCACCCTCCTGCTGCCCCTCTCCCCTCTCCTTTCCTCTCCTCTCTCTCTCATTTCATTCTTCTCTTCCTCCTTCCCTCTTTTTCTCCCTCTGCTGGGAATGAGAAGAATTAATTAAATGTGTCCTCAACTCCAGTCTCCTCACTTCCTCCAGGGAATTAGCCACTCCCTGCTCCTTGGGCCTTGTTAGATTCCAAGAAAAAAATAACTGGTGTGTGCTCTGCATGCATGTACGTGTGCACGTGGGCCTCCCTGCACACACAGTGGTACGCCCCGGGCTGGTCTGCAGGTTTGTCAACACGTACTCATGTGTGTACAATTCCATGCACACTCCGGAGTCTGGAGACAGGACTGTATGTTTGTGTGAATACACGCGTGCATCTCCTGGGGTGCACGTGCACCTATGTTCCATATGGGTCTCTATACGTGTGCACTGTGGGGCTTCACACTGAAACCCACCCCTGTGTGTACACGTCTCTGTTGGATCCGTGTGCTTGCACCGTGTGTCTGGGGAGTTGCGCGTTACCGTGCAAGTCTCTGTGTTGTGTGTGTGTGCGCTAGACCTATGTGCACACCTCTATTAATGCAGTATGTGTGTACATGCATATGAGCATATCTGTGTGCCGGCGTCTGTGTGTCTGTGTGTGCAACATACACGCACCCTTGCCACCCTGCACACATCTCCTTCCTGGCTCCCTTGAGCTAGCAGCCTTGTCCCCAACAGGAGGCCCATCGTGCCGCATCTCTGGAGTGATGGCAGTGGTGGCAGTGGCAGTGTGGGTATCAGGAGCCTGCAGGTGGGAAGGTGGAGGTGGCGCAGGGGAAGGTGCTTGCTAATGAGGCCATCTTCCTTGCCAGCCTGAGAGTCGTTGCCACTAATGATCTCTTCAGTAAGCAGCTCCCTGGGGAAGGGTTGCTGCCAGAGCCCTGCTCTCTCCCTCCCCTGGGACTCTCCTTTCCCCACTTCCCCGAATCCCGAGGCGCTGCAAGAGCCATGAGCACCAGGATAAAGCACAGACAGAGCCAGGGGCCAGTGCCTGGTCCCACCAGGACCCAGGAGACTGTTCGCCTGCCCGTCAGCCTGCCACCAGGAAGCCCACCTTGTGATGAACCCTCTGTGTTAGGGCACAGTCTCCAAAAGGCCTCTGCAAGTCCACATATGCTTCTGGAGGAAGGGGCCCTGCACACCACAGACAGGGAGTGTGCTTCTGTAAAAGGAGCACTCAGCTGGGAGTCAGGCAGGCTGGCCACTAATCCCAGCGCTGTGTGACCTCGGGCAGGCCCTGCACCTCTCTGGACCTTGGTTTCCTTGTCTGTAAAATGGGGGAAGGCTAGAATGGCTGGTAAATGCTCAGCTCTGTGAGCCATCTGAACCTGCTTTGTTTCACCAATAAGGAATCACCCATAATGCGGGGAGAATAGAGCCACTCTAAACCTAAAGCAGGATTAGATGGTACATGGAGCTGAGCATTTGCTATTTTAACTTTGTGTTTACTTTCATGGATATATTTCATGTGTATATTTTCACATATATGTGTATATGTATGTGTCTGAGCGTGTATGTGCACATGTGTATGTGTACATGTGTGCGGGTATTTGACTAGTACATCAGACCCTGATTTCACAAATATGGCTAAAGACGAGGCTAAAACACACACTTAAATTTTAAAAGTAAGCTGATTTTTAAAAAACGCTAAGTAAAGAAGAGTTCCAGTGGCATCTGAGTGTAGCAAAAGTCCTGATGAAACATGACAAATGGCTGCAGCCCTGGCCTGAGTGGCCCTGTCCCCTTCCTGCCTAAGGGACAGTGGATTCGGGGCCCCGGCCTCCCTGGAATAAGAGATACACAGACTGGGCTCTGATCTCCCACCATGTCCTCACAGCCCCAAGACAGAATGCCATGCGGATTGGCAGGAGACCTCGCTGTGGGGTTGGTGGAGCCAACCCTCCAGGCCACAGGCCCCATGAGATCTCTGAGGCCACAGAGCGTGTCCACACGTGTGACCTCCAGGGTGATGCGGGCCAGGGCACACGAATGGCCCAGGCAGAGGTGGTCTGGGCAGAGGTGGCTCAGGCTGGGCCTGAGGCATCCTGGGGACTCAGCATCACATCTCCTCAGAGGGGCCATCTGAGACTGCTGGGCCCGTGAAGAGGCTTCTCCCCAGTACCCACCTGTCCAGGGGAGAACAGCCAGCCCCACAGCCCCAAATGTCTCTGTCCTCCAAGAGGCCGGATGTGAATCACAGGAATTTACAGCCTGGCCTGGCATGGGATTTACGAGTCTGCCTCCAGCCGGGGCTGGCGGGGAGTGGCTGCTGTCAGCCCCCCATTGCCGTGATGGATGAGGCTGTTTCCTGCAAGACAAACTCCCCTCTGTGGCAGGCAGTGGAGGGAGAAACATCCAGGCCCTAGGGCCAGCCCCATACCTGTCCCAAAGCCAGATTGCTCATGCCCTCCCTTGGATCTGCCCAAGATGGGACATACCACACTCAGAGCCAGAATGGATCTCTGAGGTAACCCAGAACACACACACACACACACACACACACACACACGCACGCATATATACACACACGTGCATGCATGCACATACACAGTACACAGATGAGGAACCAGGGTCCAGAGAGGAATGGGCCTTGCCCGAAGTCACCCAGCAGCACAGTGGTGAAGCTGAGACCCCAGCCCACAAGCCCCCTGGACTGGTCATTTCAGTGTCCGGTCACAGTGGACTGTCATATGGCCACGGGGGTAGTTTTCACCTCCAAACACGGGCATCTCTCCAGAGAACAGACAGTCCTGGGTTTGAGTCCCTGCCCCACCACTCTGTGTGTAAAGGTCATAACCTCTCTGTGCCCATTTCCTCACCTGAAAAATGGGGCTCAAAATAACCCCAACTTACCAAGGTTCTTACGAGGTTCAAGTGAGAGGATGCAGGTAGAGCCGCAGGACAGAGTGGGCCCCTGGCACATGCTCCCTGAGTGGTGACAATGGTTCTCCACCATCTCTCGTGTCTCAAGGGGCCCTGCTGCCTGATTTGCTGCGGGCAGGAGGACAGTCATGGTTGGGTGGAGGAGGAGGAGCAAGGAGAGTTCGAGTGTGGGACTGCAGGGCAGGAGTGAGGCCACTTCCTACTGGAGGAGACCCTGGAAGTCTCCCTGGAGGTGGTGGCGTCAAGCAGAGGATGTAGAACTCTGTTTCTCTTGCTCTGAAGCTGACTGGAGGCTTCTTGAGTGCCACAGGGACAGAGGGAAGCACCCTACACTGCACTGAAAGCCCAGCCCAAGCTTCTGCCCTGGATGACCTGAGGAGGAGTCCCTCCTTTCTCTGGGCATCCGCGAAATGGGGCCAGGGAGGACCAGACAACACGCAAAGGCGCCTTTCTGCTCTGGCCCTTGTGCAAGCTGAAGAAGGCTGTCCAGACTCACCCTCTGCAGTACCCAATTATTGCCACTGGGCGGAAGCAGGGAGTAAATCTGCGGTCCGGCCTCCTTTCCCTGCCGGCCAGTCCTTCCCTGCGCACCTGGTGATCTTTGCTCCTCCACCCGCCAGCCAGCTCGGCGGAGAGCCAGAGCTGAGGGTCCTTCACATCCAGACATCTGATGCTCCCCACAGCCCTGCAGAGAACCAGCATGGTGGCTGCATTTCAGATGGGGAAACTGATGGCCAAGAGGTGAGGACTTGCTCAAGGTCACGCAAGAGCCAAGTGTGCCCACAGCAGAGGCGGTGTGAAAGGAGACTGCGGTCACACGGACCTGGCTGGGATCCTGGTCCCCTCACCTCCGGCTGTGTGTCATCGGGCAGGTCACCCACCCTCTCTGAGCCTCAATTGATATAAGTGCTGAACACATGAAGCCACCACTTTGTTTCCAATAGAGTTTATGCCCCAAGAGTGCAAAGTCATGTCTGTCACTCACCTCAGCACCCCCAGAGCCTGGCACAGGGTGGGATTCAGAGAATAGCGCCTGCCTCCCGGGGCCTGCCTGGCACTCAGCAGATGCTGTGTCTCCTCAAAACCCCCAACAGCCCTGGATCAGCGTCGCCTTGTTCCCCTCCCATCAGTCCTTCCTGCAGGACACCGACCCACCCGGCCTTGAGGGGGGCTCCTGCTCACCTCCCCACCCCATCCCTCTCGTCCCCCTTTCTCTGTTCTGGCCTCTCCCTTGTGTCCCTCTCTCCTGCCGAGCCCCCACTTGGCTCTACGCTGTTTACAAGACAACGATGACAGTTTTTCTTTCTCTCTTTTGTCTCCCTTCCTCCCCTGAAGGGAAACGTGCTTCCAATCTTCCAGGAAAAAATGAAGGCTCCGGATGAGAAAAAGCAAACAAAGGACAGTGGGACCGTGGGTGTCCCCACCCCCGCCACCTGCAGGCCCCACATGCAAACCAGCGCCCGTGCCCACGCCCGTGCAGCCATCCTCCGCCAGGCCCCAAGAACGGCTCTGTTATTTTTGGGGTAATTGAAAATGTCGATCTTTATTCTAGAGGATAAGCAGGTCACAGGGACACAGGGAGCCAGAGAGAGAGAGAGAGAGAGAGAGAGAGAGAGAGAGAGAGAGAGAAAGGAAAGCCAGTCATGGGGGAGGATCTGGGGGAGAGAAAGGCCAGATGGGAGGACGTGGGCACTGAGAGGAAGAGGGAGCGGGAGAAACGGCAGGGGTGGGCAACTCCCTGCCAGTGAGCAAGGCCACGCGGCCCCTGACCCCAGGACTCAGGGGGATGTGTCCTCCCACCAGCTCCTGACCCCACCCTGTAAGGAGCTGGTGGCAGGAGCTCCTGTTTAGTCCTCCTGTGCCTGAGCAGCCCCGAGGGTGGGCATCTCTGAGTGCTGGGAGCAGGAGTGGGGACCTGGCTTGTCTTCATGGGAGTGCCCTCTCATGACCACGTGCACAGCGCCCAGAGGCCAGGCCCCAGGCTGGAGGGCTGAGAGCAGCCAGCGGTCCCCTCTCCTGGGGGAATGCAGGGACTCTTCTGACCTCCCTCCCATCAGCCATCCCACCTCTCTCTGGATGTGGCGGCATCTCATGGTTTGTGGACTTACTTCTCCAGGGCAGTGGGGGGCGCCAGTGAGCCTGGGTGGGTGCATATCTGTGCAGGAGATGAGATTCCTGGGAGAGAGGGACGGGGTGGGGTGGGGGGAGTAAGAGGTGTGGCTGTGCATGGCGTGGGGCCTGTGCGCATGTGTGGTATAAGTGTGGGTCGCGTCTGCTTTTTCCCGTGACTAGCATGAAGCATGCGTTTGAAGGCAGTGGTGGTACCAGGTGTGTGTGTGTGGAGTAAGGTGTGGGTCTGTGCATTTGTGTGTGTGTCTTGCTCCACGTGTGTGCGGTAAGGGACATGTGTGTGTGCACAGCCCCTACCTGTGTGCCTCCAGATGGTGTGTCCATGTGTCCCTGCAGGCAGGGCCCCTCTTCTGCTCCTGGCCCAGGGCCACCATCCCCCCAGGTCCTGGGAACCAGAGTGGCAGTTGGCCTTGGGGTTCCCTCCAGCAACAGTGGAACAACAGAGACCAGCCCCCACCCCAGCCAGTGTCCAGGAGGCTCGTGGGACTGTGATGTCAGCACCAAGCCCTGGCTGAGGTAACCCAACATGGAGCCAGGCCTGTCTTGCCCCCTAGAGAGAAGGGAGGAACCTCAGGTGGGCCTCCTGCCAGGCAGCGAGCCTCATCCACCCTCCAACGTCTCCTCGTGGCGGGAGAGGGTGAATTCCCACCCTCTCACTGACACAGCCTCAGACCTCCTGGAGGCCAGGGCTCCAGGTGAAGACCAAGTCTTCGTATCCCCGGACCCAGCCAGAGCCTGGCACAGGGCAGGAGCTTAGCAAATGTTTGTTGAATGAATGGATGGATGGATGGGGGCTTTGTGTGTGATCAAGTGCCAGGCTCTGGGGTCTAGTGACCTAAAGATACGGATTCAAGTCCTACAAGGATCAAACCAGGGCTTCCTGCAAGGTCAAGCGAGAACCCCCTGAGTTGTTCAGAAGGGGCCACGCAGCAGTTGGCCAGACCTGGAAGGCCGTGCCTGACCTTCTGCAGGTCACGTCTCTGGGGGCACTACCACAGGAAAGGCAACGTCAAGCGATGGGACTGCTTCAACCAAAGGTCAATCCCAAGCTAAACGACCCTGTCATTTTGCAAGCCGAGGCACAAGGGAGGCCCCATTCATCTTCCCTGGAGTCGGCATCCCTTTGATTGCGGGGCCATCTCTCATCTGAACATCTTCACCACCCCCCCAATATTCCTTCTGAACCCTCCATCCTCCTTCTCCCCTTCCCTTGGGACCATAAACCCACCCCAAGAGTGAGTCCTAGCTCCAGGGCCAGCTCCCAATCCTGCCCCTGTCTGGTGACAGCTGGGGCCAGGCTGAAGGTCTGTCCTAGACTGAGCCATAAAGGCAAAAATAATACTTAGTCCTAATAGAAGTAAAGCACTTCACCCCAGACGAGCCCTGGTCCTGGTCACCCACTGAGCCCTGGTCCTGGTCACACACAGGACCTAGACCTTTATTTAGAGATGGGCCACTAATCTGTCACGTGGGCTGGGCATGGTGGCTGAGGCCTGTAATCCCACTTTGGGAGGCGCAGGTGGGAGGATCACTTGAGGCCATGAGTTTGAGACCAGCCTGGGCAACATAGCAAGACCACGTCTCTACAAAAAAATTTAAAAATTAATCAGGTATGGTGGCGTGTGCCTGTAGTCCCAGCTACTGCAGTGAGCCAAGATTGTGCCACTGCACTCTGGCCTGGGCAACAGAGCAAGATCCTATCTCAAAATAATAATAATAATTGTCATATGACCAAATTTTTTTCCAGGCTCCGAGCGCCAGCTTCCTCATCTTTCCAACAGAAGGTCTTCGCCTGGGCTAAGTGTTAAATCAGAAAACCCCTATTCAGAGGTTGGCCTGCAGTTCCCTGACCTGGTAACACTGGGGAGCATTGGCTGCTGTCACCTGCCAGCTCCCACCCCCACCCAACACTTACAGACCAAGCATCACTAATTTTTGCAGCTGCCGTGATAAATGGCACTGTCTGCAAAATGACATCTGTCTAATCTGCCACAAGACAGACGGGTCCCCGAGCTCCCACAGCCTCCCGAGAGCCAGCCCAGGCCAGCCTTGTTGAGATGATGGGCAGACACAAAGCCCAGGGCCTGGGGGCAGGTGGGATGGAGAGGAGACCTCAGGGCCCAGAATCAAGAACATCCCTAGAGGGGTTTACCACAGGCTGTTTCCTAAATATTTAGTAGTATGTGTGCTTTTAAAAATATTCCAAAGAATATTATATCCTCTGTTCCTTTCTGACCAAAGTTAGGTCTTCAATTCAGTTTTCTTTTCTTTTTTTTTTTTTTGAAACAAGGTCTTGCTCTGTCTCCCAGGCTGGAGTGTGGAGTGTAGTGGTACGATCACAGCTCACTGCAGCCTCCATCTCCTGGGCTCAAGCAATCCTCCCACCTCAGCCTCCCAAGTAGCTGAGATGACAGGTGCCTGCCACCATGCTCGGCTTATTTTTGTATTTTTAGTAGAGACAGGGTCTCGCCATGTTGTCCAGACTGGTCTTGAACTCCTGGCTTCAAGTCATCTGCCCACCTCGGCCTTCCAAAGTGCATGGATTACAGGCTTGAGCCACCACACCCAGCCTCAATTTTCACTTTAAATTAAAACCTGGAAATTGTTCAGGTTTACAAGGATGAGCCATTAGACACCGGTTCTGAAGCAGTGCTCTCTTCCCATCTCCCTCTACTCTGCGGAACAGCGTGCCTCTGCCTAAGCCATTGGGTCTGGGGGCTCTTCTCACCCCCCTCCTCCCTCCCACTCCCTCCATGGCTCCCACCCTCCCTCCCAGCCCCTCCGCTGACCTCAGCCGCATCCCCTCCATGCCTCAGGCTGGCCTCGGGCTGCCAGGTCAAGGTAGAACTCCCCTCACACCTTCCTGTGTCCAGGAGTAGAGGTGAATTGGGGCTCTGGATGCCAAGAACGGAGGAAGGACAAATGCCAGCCCCAGAGACCCTCGCCTCCTCAAGACCAACAGGAGCTGGCGCCTGTCCACCCAGCAGCAGCAAAGCAAGAGCGGGTGCCGGCTGGGGTGGGTGGGCACAGGCCTGGGCTTGAAGATTGAGGTAACACTGCCCCCTCCTGGCTAATTCATGGCTGCTCCTCTGACAGGCACTGCCAGGCTAAGCTGTTGAGGCTGGGGACATAGCGAGTGACTCTCCACAACAGCATGTGACAAGCTGACCCTTCCCTGCAGTCTGCCCAACTGAGAGCTGCCTCTTGCTCTGCCCATCCTGCCCGAGCTAACAGCAGCCCCACCAGCTTGCTCCAGCTGTCTCTTGGTTGTCAGTCTTGCCTCTCCTCCAAGGGACTCGGGGGAGTCACAGACAGCAGGACCCTGGCATAAAAATCATCATAACCACCAGGCACTTCAGAGTTTATAAAGCTCCGGCGCTTCTGTTGAAGGCCATCATCCAAGCACCTCGGTGGCTGTACATTTTACGGATGAGGAAAGGGGTACAGAAAGGCGAAGTGACTTGTCTGTGGCCACATAAAAAAAGGCTTGGCAGGACCGGGCTCCTGGCTCCTGACCCCACCTTCTTTCCCCTGCCCTGCCCAGTGGCCAGCTCAGACCCACATCCCCTGACATCTACTGCAAGCCTCATTCCCAGCCCTAAGCAGGTATTTCTCACCCTCCTTCTGGGAGCCCCAACCCAGCCCTCAAGCAAATATATTCACAAATTTTTCATCCAGGTGGGGACTGTCCACTCTACTTCCAAGAGGCTCTGTCTGCAGGCAGCCGGCTGTCCACTGGGGCAGCACAGCAAGGGTTAACAGCAGGAACTAATATTTAGAAACAGCACTACCCCAGAGGAGTCAGCTGTGGCCAGCTGGTCACAGCCACTGAAGCCACCAGCCTTTGTGAGTGTGATATGGAAGACGAGTGCCTGCTCCTGGAAAGCAAAGGCTCCAAGAGGGTCCTTCACCACCCCGGCCCTTGTCCTCCCAGCACGGCTTGTGTGTGGCTCAGAGGCCAGGGCAAAGCCCTCCACCAGCCTCCCTTCCACAGCTGGCTCCTGAGGGTGGCAAACATAACTTTTCAGCTCCCGAACTGTGTAATTGTTGGGACTGGCTGCTCCCTCCCCTCCTGAGCCTGGCTGCCTGTACTTGGAGGAGCCCTGTGTGTGCCTCTGCCAGAAGCAGGATCAGGACCACTCCTAACAGAGGCCCCAGGTCAAAGGCCCAGGCCCAGGGCCCGCTGCCATGGAGCTCTTGGCCAGAAAACTGCAGGGCCACTGAGCCAGCGCCTAAAGCCCGTGCCCTCTTGCACAGTAGTGGCCTAGGTTCTGTGACCTTCATGGCAGAGGGCCAATTCCCTGAGGGCGGGCCCTGGGCAGCAGGAGCACACCCCTGCTTAGGCACCACCCCATCTAGGGCACAGGCACACACCATTTCCCAGCAAGCTGGCTTTGGCCACAGGCTTCTTGGGTGGGGCCCAGGCAACGAGGGTGCAAAACACCCTGGCCAAGGGTGGGGCCAAACCACAGCCACTGCCCAGAGCGGGGACTCTTAGTCCAAGAAGCACTAGAGGTAGGAGTGACCAGCAGTGCTTGGCCAGCATGGTTGGGTGAACTCTGCTGGCAGGGAGGTGAGTATTACTGGGCCCTCTGTTGTCTTGTTCTCCAAGAACAATTGGAGAAATGGAGGCAGCACATAACACAGGTCACTGTAGCTTCAGAGAAGTTTGAATCTTCTTTTGCCCCTGGGTGGGAACATCCTTCTTCCTTCTTATAAGTGTGTTCTAAGCCTCCTTCTTTCCTCCTCCCTCCCACCCTGTGCTCTGTCCCATGCTTGGCTGGGGAGGCATGGACGCACACCTCCTGACCCAGCTAAGCAGGCCCCAGGTGAAACTAGGAGAGCTACGGAGATCAGGATTCCAGGGAATCTTTTGAAAGAGAAGTCGACGTGCACGAAGGAGGGCTAGGAGGGCTTGTTGGAGGAAGGTGAGATGTGGTCAGGGAGGTAGGGGCAGTCAGGGATGGCCACCAAGGATGCCTGGCCAAGCAAAGTCATGGGAAAGGTTGGAGGGCAGAAGGAAGAAGGCCCGAGCCAGACCTGAGGATGCCAGAGAGGCCCAGGTCAGCTCTGTTCAGCACTGAGGCTTCAGGGCCTCGGGGGAGCTTGCTGAGGAGCTGGAGAGGGGACAGTTGAGGAGCAGGCACGGCTGGTCCAGCAGCCTTTGTTCCAAGACAGTGGGAGGTGGTCAGGGGTCAGTTCCAAAGGCACACAGGGGCCTCGACTTTCTGCCAGTCTGCCTGGCATGATGCTGCTCAGCATTGGTCCAGAGTTCCAGCCCTAGGTTACGGCTGAGCAAAGGCCAGGCCTGTGTGCGCTGGAGCCGCAGCATCCCTTTTTCACTGAGAGCCTCAGTTTCCTCATCTGGAAGCAGGGACACAGTTGGCCAACACATACGCTTCCCAAAGTTGTCAAGAGACCAGGTGAATGTTTTTTGTAAACTGGGAAGCCCCAGCAGAGATGCGCCAGCCGGGTTATTACCGCCGTGCTGGTTGCCATTATTTTCCAGGCCTGTGTTTCTCTGCCCAGCTAGCAACAAGGCAGGGGGAGGCTCCCAGCTAATCCAGACTTGAATCTCAGCTGTGGGTGGGAGCGCCCTGTCTGGAGGCTCCACAGACATCTGTGTAGGTGGGGAGCAGGGAAGATGGGGAGGGGGAACGGCGGGGGAGATGGGGCCAGCAGAGATCTTCACCCAAATTTTTGATTCATAGAACAAAAAGCCTTCTGTCTTATTTTTTCATTCCTGAAAAGAAAGCTCTTTTCCTCCAAACACAGTCTTCCAAGCAGCACCCCCAACCCCAGGCCCACAGTTGGCCAGTAATTAGCCCCTAATGAGGACCAGGTGTCCTGCTGACTTGAGGAGAAGGAAAAACAAGGGACAAATTGTGGAATCAATGGCTTTACCACCACTGAGGCCAGCCTGGCACAGCTTTCATCCCAGGCCTCCTAGGGCACATGGATGGAAGCTCTTAGGTTTGCCAAAATCCCCACAGAACAGCAGCAATTGGTTTCTTAGTCAACTACAGCAGGCATTTATTGCACACCTACTGTATGCAGCAGCCTCCGGAGGGGAAAATTGAAGCTTTGCAACAAAGGAAGTGATATGTGTAAAGCTATATGTAAACCATGAATCACAGGGATGTGCAGGATGACAGAGACAGAGGAGAAAAGATAAGCATTTATTGAGCACCTACTGTATGCCAGGTCCTGGGCTAGGCACTTGAGGTACATTAAAGCATTTAATCCTCATCAACCCAATTTTACAAGTGAGGAAACTGCCACAGAGAGGTGAGGTGACTTGTTCAAGGTTTGACAGCCAAGTAGGAGAGCGGGGATTCGAACCCAGGTCTCTCTGGTTTCAAGACCAGTACTCATAACCCCCGCATGGATCAGTCACCATCACACCTCGAAAGTCCTGACACTCAGCCAGCCGGGATGCAGTCCACGCCACAGCCCTCACCTCCAGCCCCTGCCCTGGCCCTGGCTTTGACCCTGGCTATGTTGGCCAGACTTGCATCCGTGGATGAGTGAGGGGCCTGAGACCCTGACCCAGCCTGGCAGAACTAGAGGGGTTCCTCAGGGAGGGAAAAGGGACAGGAGGACCCAGAAGTGGCCCCCAGATCAGAAGTCAAGCAGGCTGCGCTTCTCCCACCACTAGCTGGGGTCGCCAGGGGTTCAATCCTGGGGCGGACACGGGACCCCGCTATCTCAGGTTATGGGGTTTCTAGCTAGCCAAGGCTGTCCAGTTAGGGGCGGGAGCAGGCGCCCTAGGCATGGATTGCCTAGGGCGTGGCTTTGCCCGTTTGGATTGTCTGAGACACCAGTGGGGCCACCCCAATGCTGTCCGAGCTTTGTTTGCCAGGCAAGTTTGGGGTGAGTATGTTGGGGTCCAAAGGGACCCGGCGACAGTGAGAAGTGGGTCCTCCAGCTTCAGATGCCCTGGGCCAGGAACGGGGAGTGCTACAAGGTGGGAAACGAGGAAGGAGCCACCCTGCCCTCCCCTGTGAGGAGCACCCCCACACCCCTCCAGCTGCCCCCCAGCTCTGCCCCTTCTCTCCTCCCCTTGCTTCCTTGCAGATCCATCTATCTGCCACCTCCCCTCTTCATTCTCTCCTCTCCCTCCTCCTGTTGGTGACAGGCAGGACCCCCCACCCACTACCCACTCTCAGCCTCCTAGAGGGAGAGCTGGTGCCCCTCAGCGGGGCTTGTCCTACAGATAGCTCTGGACCACCCCCTGCCACACCTCCTCATCCCAGCACTGATGCCTGACCCAGCAGAGGCTGAATGGAAGTTCGCTTTCAGAGAAGTGCTGGGATATATCCCCTCTCTGTCCCGATGCCAGAAACCCCAACATGACAGCATTCTTCCTTCAGCGAAGGCAGCTCTAGTTATGCCATAAGAACTGCAGCCTTAGGGCCCATCCATCATCACTACCCATGTGTGATTCAGTGCTTCAGCTACACCTTCGAGATCATTCCCAAGAGCAGCATGGAGCAAAGGCAGGGCCTGAGCCTCCTTCACAAGGGCCCAGGCTACACCCTTCTCTCCTTCAGATGGAGAAGCCAGCTCTAAAAGAGGGCATCACATGGTTCCCAGAAGGGAAGTGAGTCAAGGGAGGACCCCCGCGGGGTGAATCAGGGCTGGATCCCCAGGCTCCCTGTTCCTGCAGGGACCAGATCCCCTAAGATCTCAGGGCCTGAGGGATGGGCTGGGCCGCCAGGGAGATGGGAAGGGAGCATCCAAGGTGACCAGGGTGGTCAGCTCATTCAGGCCCCAGCCTCCAGCCAAGGAGGGATTCCAGTACCCCCACCTCCTTGGGCTTCAACTGAGAGCCATTCTCAAATACCTTCTTAGCCCTGACAGCATGCAGGCATGGTGCTAGGCTCGCAGGGGCACGGGAAATTGAGAGGCTGAACTGAGACTCATTCAGGAGGCAGAAAGGCAAATTAAATCTCAAACAGCAAAAATCTGGATGAAAAGTACAGAGGGGAGAAAAGCAGGGGCAAGCTGGGGCAGGACACAGGGTGGGCCTCAAACCAAGCCTTGGTGGATGGGAAGGGAGTCAGTCCTCCAGGCAGGGGCGCTGACTCAGAGGCACCAAGGTGGGTGTAAGCAGAGGGGTGTTGAGACAGGAAGGCCAGCAGCCTGGCTGGGAGGCATATTTCGAGCACAGGCCAGGGAGAACCACTGGGCTGGGGCACAGAAGCCTTAAATGGCAAAATGAAGCCCACGGCCTTATGCCCTGTTGGCAAAGGAGATGCCACAAGGGTTTTAGGGCAAGAGAGCAGCATGGTGCTGTGGGGTTTTATAAAGTTACACCATCCCCTGCCTTTAGGAGGACTCGGAAATGAGGAGGGGCTGTGAGAGCTCCCGTCCAGCAACCCATCTCTGTCACCACTCCTGGTCCAGCTGCCTGCCCTGATTTCTGCAGTAGGGGCAGCCCCTGCCTGAGGAAGGCGTCCCTCCCACCCCTCCCGGATGCCCCTGGCTGCAAAGGCCCTCGTCCTCCCGTATCCGAATGAGGCGTGCTGGGAGGCTCTCCCTCTACTCATCAACATTTGAGGCATCCGGGTCAGGGGGCCTGGCAGTCAGCAACCTAGAGGCCATCTGGGCCAATCTTCCACTTGTATAGAGAGGGAAACTGAGGCCCCAGAGAGGAAGAAAAGTACTCTGAGTTCCACCAAGAACCCCAGCAGCCCAGGAAGAGCCTCCAGCCCTGCTTCGAGGGTGCTCCCAGCCTGCGTCGGGGCCTAGGCTTGGGCCACTGAGACAGTGTGGGTGACAGATGCGGTGTCCACCTCCTTCTGAGCTGTATGGGAGGCCCCAGCAGAGAGCCAAGCATTGGGGAGATTGGATTTGAGCTGATACTGGAAGGACAGGCAGAGAAGGAAGGAGGTGACATTCTAGTCGGGGGGTCACAGTGAGCACAGGGCAGGCAGGGGTGGTGGCTCCCACACTTCTTCCCTGGCATCGCTGACTGAAAGGCAGAATGTGAGGGGTTGAAGTGGGACCCAGGTGGGGGAGTACCTGGCAGGGAGGGCTTGTGTGTTACCTGAGTGGGGACTCAGAACTGATGGGGGTATCTTAGTGAGCAGGGCCACAGGGACACCAGGTACAAGAAATTGAAGCAGGGTAGATCCTGCTGCCTCTGAGGATGGCTTGGGGGGACCGATGGTGCTCGGGACAGGCACTGAGCCTTGTGTGCACCTTGTGTGCCACCCCAGGCCTCCGGAGCAGGGCAGGGCCCAGGGGCCAGAGCCCTTGGCCCAGCCCACCCGGACTCGAGAAAAACTGTTCTAGAGCAAGTGTAACGGAGCCTCCCTCCCTACGCCTGCCCGCCCGGGCAGGACAAGAAGGGCCTTTTAGTGCTGCCCGCCTGGGGGGCCTGGGGTGGGCCATGCCAGGTGGGCCAGGCGGCTGTCGATGATGGCAGGAGGGGAGTGGGGTGCGTGTGGAGCTCGCGGAGGAAGTGTATAGGCTGTGTCTGGGAACTGGGAGTGCTGCCCAGGACGGGTGGGCAGGGGAGGGGGAGTTGGAAATAGCCCTGACATCCACACTTACTGGCGCACACAGATGTGGGCACACACACTTGCACACGGCCACTCTCACAGACCTGGACGAGCATGGCTACTGCCTCTGTCTCCAAGTCCCCTACCTTAAAGATCTGGGCCAGTGGCGCTTGCGAGGAAGGAAGTGAGCACAGGATGGGGACGGGGTGCCACCCTGAGCTGTGTCTTCTATTCAAGGCCAGGAGAAAATGAACAGGGGCTTGTGGGTCTGGGACTAGAGATTGGCCCCTCCCTGGTCCCTCTGCTCCTTCATCGCCTTTCTCCCGGACTCCTGCCCCATCCAGCTCTCCTCTCGCCTCCAACATGCCCTCCGCCCCAGCATATGTCAGTTCAATAGAGCATTCCAGAGTTAAGACTCTTCCTCCAGCTGCAAGCTTAAGACAGGTTTCAAATTTACTGTTTTACCATTCCTACTGAGTTTGTATGAGGAATTTTTAAATGAACTGAATTTGTATGAACAATTTTGTACTTGGCTCCTCCATGGGGCAAGGGTATCTAGCTCTCTCCACTTCTCAGGAGGGTCCGTAACTCCAAACAGGAGAGGACAAAGCTGTCTTATTGCTGTGCTTGCACTAGAGGTACGAGCTGGGTGTCCCATGTCCCAGGGTGTGCACTAACCATGTTGTTAGTCCTGCAGCCCCACAGCAGCCCTGCCGGTCAGGAAACAGTCACTGCAGCCTCAACCTCCCAGGCTCAAGCGATCTCCCCACCTCCGCCTTCTGAGTAGCTGGGACTTCAGGCATGTGCCACCACACCAGGGTAATTATTTTTTGTAGCGACAAGGTCTCACGATGTTGCCCAGGCTGGTCTCGAACTCCTCGGCTCAAGCAAGCCTCCCACCTGGGCCTCCCAAAGTGCTGGGATTACAGGTGTGAGCCACCATACCTGTCCAACATTCCCATTTTACAGATGAGGAAACTGAGGCTCAGAGAAAAGCAGGGACTGCCTCAGGTCTCTCTTTGGGCACACAGGCCGTGGTATTCTCACTCACTCCAACAGCAACAAGCTTCCCTACATCAAGCCAGGTGGACAACCACCCACCAGTGGGCTCGGGCCCCAGCAGGGGAAAGAGAGAGGTCTGCAGGGACAGACAGCTCGCTGAGGACTCCAGATGTTTGTTCTGTCTCCCCATCCCCCACCAGCCAGCGTTCTCTCCCTTTCCAAACCCTCCCCACTTTCTCACAGCCTAAGCAAATCCCCTTCAAAAAACCCTCTCCCCCCAAAGCTAGGGTTGCCAATGAAGCCACTTTTGTCTCTGATGTAGGGTGATAGCTGTAGGGCTGCTGTCAAGGTGGCCTGGTGGCAGGGGTGGGCCCCATCAGGGACAGTGCCTGTCCTGTTGAGCATTCCTGCCTCTCGCTCAGCTCCTTCCCACACCCAGGCCGGCTCCCAGCCTGTGGAGGAGGCCGCTGGCTCTGCCAGCCCTGGCATGCATGCGTTAGCCAGGCCTCCAGCCATCGCTCCTGCTTCAACACTTCAGTGTGTGGCTCTCCTGCGGCCTAAGGTTGAGGTGTGTCAGTGACGCTGCCTCCCTTCCCGGAACTTACTGCAGAAACCCCTGACCCCAGACCAGCCCCCCATGGATCCTGGGGAAACCCGGGCTCAGACAGAGGAGCCTGCTTGTTCAGAGTCACACAGTGAGTCCTCAGGAGATTAGGGGGAGGGCTCCCTACTCTTTGGCCCTGGTTTGGGAGGTAGCTTCACCCTCAGGACCAGCAGCTCCCCGGGAGCACACATCCCACCTGCTTTGCTCAGGGGTCTCCCCCATTGTAGGGCTCACAGCCTGGCCCCCAGAGGGGTGTAGAGATCACTGAGCCAACCAGGGATTTTCTGACTGCGCTCCAGCGCACCCCAGGGCTCTCCAGCTGAGCCGGCCTGGAGACAGCTGAGCTTGGGAATATGGGACGCCTGCCCCACCCCAATTCATGCAGAGCCACTCCACAAACCTGTTTATAGATTGGGTTCCATGAAGATTGGTACTAAGGGTCCTTGGAAGATGTCCTTCCCCAAGTCTGGGAGCCTGGAGGCCGGGAGCAGAAGGCAGTCCCAGCTTCCTCACAGCAGGCCTGGGGCTGCGTGGCCTCTCCTGCCCCAGCTTCCCACTCCTGCCCGCTGCCTGCTGGCCCTCACTCCACACTGGCTGAGTGTCCCTTATCTGAAACGTTGGGGACCTGAAGTGTTTCAGATTTCTGAATTTTTTTTGGCTTTTGGAATATTCGCTTATATATAATGAGATATTTTGAAGATGGGACCCAAATCTAAACATGAGATTGATTTATGTTTAATATACACCTTATACACATAGGCTGAAGGTAACTTTATAGATTTTTTTTAAAGAATTTTGTGCCTGAGAGAAATTTATGTTACGTTCTTACGTGTGGAGGCCAGACGCGGTGGTTCTTGCCTGTAATCCCAGCACTTTGGGAGGCTGAGGCAGGCAGGTCACCTGAGCTCAGGAGTTCGAGACCAGCCTGGCCAACACGGTGAAACCCTGTCTCTACTAAAAATACAAAAATTAGCTGGGTGTGCTTGTGACGCCTGTAATCCCAGCTACTCAGGAGACTGACGCATGAGAATCGCTTGAACCTGGGAGGCAGATGTTGCAGTGAGCTAAGATCATGTCACTGCACTCCAGCCTGGGCGACAGAGTGAGTGAGGGTTCATCTTAAAAAAAAAAAAAAGTTCTTATGTGTGAGATTTTCCACTGGTGGCATCCCATTGACACTCAAAAATTTTGGATTTAGGGACATTTGGATTTTGAATTTTCAGATTAGGGATGCTCAACTGTGTTGTGCTATGTCCTTCTCTCCCTAAATATATCATCCTCCCTGGTCAAGGTGATCCCGTGTCCCACAGACTGGCTGATCAGATAGAACTAGGCCATCAGATAATAATCCATAACCGCTGGCACCCTTCCACTTCTGCTCAAGCTGCTCCATGCAACAGGCCTTCCCTTTTCCCCCATCCTCCAAGGCTCAGCTCCAGTATCGCCACCCCCAGGAGCCTGTTCTAACCACAGATTGCTCTGAGACCCATGACCTGGATGGCCCCTCTCCTGGGGCCCTGCCCTCCATCTCTGTGGGGTTACAGGCCTTTCTTCCCCTACCCTCAGCTGGCCTCTGTCCCTGGTCCATGACTTTCTTCAGCCTGACACCCAGTAAGTGCACATGCGTATGTGTGCACACACACACTTACACATTCACACACATACACTCACACATACACATTCACACACACTCACACACACATACACACACATACACTCACACTCACATACTCTCACACTCACACACACACACACACACAGTGTTGCTCAGCAGGCAAGGAGTGTCCCTCCCCTGAGCCAGCAGCCCCAGGGAAAACCCCCCCAGAGCAGGCCCTCTGGCCTGGGCCAGTCCACTCTCTGGGGAGTCAGAGGGGGCTGGGGAGAGGAGACGAACTTCCGTTCCCATCTAAGAGCAGCCCCTTCCCCCACCCACATTTCAGGGAGGGGCAGCTATAAATACCAGTGGGACCAGGACACTGATTCCCACGACATCCACTTCTCCCTGCCCCTTCCCTGTGCACAGTGGCTGGGGCCAGACCAGCTCTCCTGCAGCTGGAGGCCAGCCAGGCAGGCCTGAGGCCTAGCCACACACACACACACACACACACACACACACACACACACACACACATACACAGACACACACATATGCAGACACACACAGAGACACAGACACACACACACATACACACACACACACACACAGAGACACAGAGACAGACACACAGACACAACACACACACAGAGACACACACATACGCACACAGACACACACAAATACGCACACAGACAGACATACACACACACATACGCACAGACACACAGACATACACACAGACACATACGCACACACAGACATACACACAGACACACACACGTGCACACAGACACACACACACACGCACACAGACACACACAGAGACACAGACACACACATACACACACAGATACACACAGACACACATGCACACACACAGAGACACACACAGACATACACACACAGACACACATAGACACAGACACACATATGCACACAGACACAGATACACACACAGACACACACAGATACACACACAGAGACATACACACACAGACACACATATACGCACACAGACACAGACACAGATACACACACGCGCGCGCGCGCGTGCACACACACACACACACACACACACACACACTCTCTTACTTCCCATCCTGGTCAAGGAAGGAGCAAATCACCCTTTTTGGGAGTCTGCGAGCAGCTAAGAGGGAGCCCCTCCCCTGCCCCTCAGCCCTGACCCAGGCCCCATCTCTCCCTCCTCTGAGTCCTGAGCTGTGGGAACCCACACAGGGAAGCAGGAGGCCAGGCACATGGTGGTGAAACACGGCATTAGAGAGCTCAGGTTGAATTCCAGCCCTAACACTCCATGCGTGACCTTGGGCAAGTGACTGTTTTTCTGAGCCTCAGTTTTCTCCTCTCTAAAATGGGGATAAATAATTTCGACCTCTTACGTCGAGGATTACGTGTGAGGATTAAGCAAGACACTTTGCCTGGAATCAATGCTCGGTGGACGTCTGCTCCTGAGGCTGCAGTCACTCTGCTATTAGCATCTTCTTCCCAGGGTGGAGTGGCCTGGTGACATGGGGACTTCTGCTTAGGAGTCTTTCAGGAAGATTCCGAGGCAAAGGCCTAGAGGAGGTGGCCCCGTGAGTCCGTGTGGGACCAAGGGACGTGGAAAAGGAGAGGTGGGCTCTGGAGAGGGTATCAGCCAGCGGCTGCCTGCCAGCCCAGGACCCTTCAGAAGGTGGGAGGGGGTGGGGGTCTGCATCTCTGTGGCTAACTGGGCTGAGGCCCACACCCCTCTCCCAGTGCTAGAAGAAGCAGGGACAGCCCCTGCCTGGCCCTCCCCAGGGCCTGTTTCTCCCAAGCCTAACAGCCCCTAGGATGGGGCTCACTGGGCCGGGGCACAGCAGGAACCCCCTGTCCCCAGAGCAGGTGAGTGAGAAGAGAATGAGCAGGTATCAGGACCTTTTATGGGACAAGGGACCCTAGAAGCCTGTCTTTTCCCTGCTCTCTACCAACCCCTCGCGAATCCCTCTCTGGAGGTGGGGGCTGGAGGCCAGGGCCCAGGGACGCAAGATAGCTCACCTGCCAGGGCCACCATGGGGCTGTTACCACCACTCATGACATAAGCAGTGGTGGCTGCATCACGAGGAGCAGAAATCCGGACTGAGGGAGGGGACAGCCCTCTCCGCTCTGGGCTGCTAGGACCCCTCAGGGGGATGGGTGTATGTGAGCTCAGAGTAGGGGGAGGTGTGGGCAGGTGACTGAGGTGACTGCAGAGTGGGGTGTGCAGCTTGGGGCTGGGACACTGGAGGGACCCCGGACAAGGGCCGGCCCGTGCCTGAGCCCTCAGGGCAAGATCCCATTGTGCAGGCCCCCACTGCCTTCACCCACGTAGAGGTGACTCTTCTCCACAGACCCCTGGACAGGGCCCAGACAGGCCCCCCACCCACATGTGCTAACAGAATCCAAGTGGCTGCCCCTGGCCGAGATTCTATCTCTGGGCATGTGGGGCCCATGTGTTTCTGGCCACCCACCTGGAGCCTGGCTGAGCCCCTCCAGGGGTGGGTACTCAGACAGGGGCTGTCCTTCCAACCGTGGACAGCCCTGGGGCCGGTGAGATATTGTAGAGACCTGAGCCAGCTGGCTGATGGTGCCACAGCCCTTGGGCTACCTGGCCCTGCTGTGTGGCCTTGGGGAGACCCTGGCCCTATCTGGGCCTCTGGGTGGAATCTTCAGTCTCCTAGGTCAGCTCTAAATTCTGAGCTTGAGCCTCTTGGGAACAGGACAGGGGCCTCTGCCTCTATCTAGAGAGAGCCAGCTGCTTGTCCTGGGCCAAGCAGCAAGGCAGGCTAGGCCTGGAATGGGGCTGAGAAGCAGCCCAGCCTGCCAGGACTCCCTGGCATTGGAAAGCCACTTTCCTAAGTTGGCATGGAGCCCTGGGGCTCCCCCCGGGATGAGAGCAGCGGCTCCTCTCCACCCCCGGTTCCCATCTTCCACCCCCTGGCCCCAGCCCCGCCCTGCCAAAAATAAACCCAGACCACCCCATCTTGTACCAGCCAGACCCACCCAGCCCCTCCAGAGCCAATTGAGTCACCACTCAGAGCTGCTCCTTTTTTAACTGTCTGAGTCACTGCTTGTGGCTCCATGACACATGCCCCAGGCTACGGTTACCCCACAGCCCCTACAAGCGCAGCCAAGGGAGGGGTCTGCGTAGAGGCTGGCAGCAGGTGTGAGTCCAGGCCATAGCCTTAGCTTGTGAGCCCTCCAGGCCTAGGGAACTCACTCCATAGCAAGCCAGAGACCAGACCTGTCCCTCAAGGTCCCGGCCGTGCCCAAGACAGCCCTTGGGGATCTTGGTGACAAGGTCAATCTGGGCTCTGCCCCACAACATTGAGTTGCCTCCAATAGGCCTTGGGCCTTCCCCGTGGAGACTGCCGGGAACGGAGGGTCTCCAGCCCCTAGACCCTGGAGGCTGGGGGTGGGCGAGGCCACAGAGACGCCTGCTTCCTCCCTCCTCACCGGCTCCACCCGGACTCTGACCACGCTGCCTGGAGCACCATGAAGACTCTATGGAACGGAAGCCACACTTCAGTCTCCCCTCACGGCTTCTGTCTGCCCCTGCGCAGGGTCACCCGGGCTGCAGAGCACCCCCGATCTCTCAGTCCATCCCCCCATCCCGCTCTCTCCATCTCTCTGTCCTTTCCCACCCCTGGCTGTGGTTCCTCCATCTCTTTCTGTCTGTCTTTCCTACCCTGTCTCTCTGTCTGTCTGCCCATCTCTCCAGTCCTGCTCTGTTCTCCTTCCCTTCTCCTTTACCGGGTTCCACGGCAGTCAGAAGTGCTCCCTGCCGCCAGCACCCCACCCGTCCCCAGGGCCCTCTCTGCCTTCTCAGTAGACATAACAGACCCTCACCTCCTCCCATTCCCACAAGGGACTCTGGGCCCCAGGGACCAATCCTGAGAAATGTTCCGCTCCCCTCACCAGGTCCTCCCGTGCCCCAAAGTGCAGGCTACATCCTGTCCCAGGGAGTGTCAGGATCCCACAGGCACTTCCTTGGGGGTTGACAAAGGCGGGCAGGGGGGCCTGGGAATGGCCCCACCTCCCAGTCCATGCTAGAGCAGGGGCCTGTAAGCCTCAAACCCCATCCGTCTTCTGTCTGTGGCTGTGGCCTCCGGCTATAAATAGGGGCTCAGATTCTATTTTCTTTAAAAACAAGCACAAGACTCTGTCATCACAGGCCCAGAAAAGCAGTTTCTGGCTGGGGCAGTCCCTCCAGCCCTCCCTGGCCATTATGTCCAGCCCCCTGCCTCTGAGCCCTGGGGCCCTGGAGAGCAGAAGAGGCCTGGAAAGGAGCCTGGAGGTAAGACAAAGTGGGGAGGGCTGGGGCGAGCTCCCAGAGGCAGCCCCTCCCTCCTTTCTTTTCACCTCCTGTCCCCAAGCAAGGTCAGTCTAGTCCCCAAGGCTCACAGTGTAAATGGAGAGAGGTGACAACAGCACAGCCCCCTGGGCCACAGCGAGTGTCTTTGCACCCCAAGGACAAAGAAGGCGCTTTGGGCTTTTTTCCCAAAAGAGCATGAGGACATTTCACAGGCGGACAGGAGAGAAGAGCTGGCCCGGCAGCAGGCCCAGCCTGAGCGAAGGCAGCAGGTCGGGCCTGCTAGGTGTGCGCAGAGTCAGTGCAGAGTCTAGTGAGGCGGAGGCGTGGAGTGTCCGTGGAAGAGAGCAAGAGACCCTGCAGGCAGGGCCGAGGGCACCCTGGCTTTCGTCGCCACCCAGGGGTGGGGGCCTGACCCTGGGGCAGTGGGAGCCAGCAAAGCCAAGGGAGGCTGAGAGAGCGGCTTTCAGTTTGGGTTAACTGGGGCTGCTATTAGCAAAGGGAGTCAGGAGATTGATTAAGCCAGACCAAGGACGGTGGCCAGCCGCCTTATGGATGGACCAGGGAGCAAGAGAGGAAGATGAAGTTGAAGGAGAATTTGGGGACTGGATGGATGGAACCTGAGTATTAATCAGCAGTGGCTGTGGGGAGGGAGGAGGAGGAGAGTTCAGCGCGACCCTCAGATGTCTACTCAGCAACAGGTGGACAGTCGGGCCTTCACGGGGCTGGCGAGCCGGCTGTAGGGGAGACGACACTGAGTCCTCCTTGCTTTGGGTGGGGCTGGGCTTGGGGGTTCCTATGGGTGTTCCTGCCGTGGACATCTGAGGGACACTGGCAGTGGGCCTGGAGCCCTGGAGAGTTGGTGCCAGTGAGAGAGACGTGGTGCATTAGCAGAGGCTGGGCCTGAGGCCGGGAGAGAAAAGGAGGGCCAGAGGGAGTGTGGTGGCGGTGGGCACAGCTCCAGGGGGGCCCACAGGCTGCAGGCTTCCAGGCAGTTGGCAGGTGGGGGTGCTAGGCAGGAACCTATTCCAGGAGGAGCCAGGCCTGCCCAGGAAGAGAGGTCTCAGTCTTGGGATCCCTGATGGGCCTGGGTAGCCCAGAGGTTCACTAGCAAGGACACTGAGGTTTCCTGGTGCACCCCCCGGCAACGCCCTCCCGCTGGAGCACCACCAGTGCTGGGGGCTTGCTGTGGTGGGACAGCTCTGCCTGATAGAAAAACCCTCACATGGGCCAAATGCCACATTTGATCCTTTCATTCTCTTAGCATGTGGGCCCTGGTCCTGTCCTCAAGAGCTTCCAGTCTGGCCAGACCTGTGGCCATTTAGGCCAGAGATGGCTCTACTGTACCCACGGTAGTGGCCACACCTCTTGCCAGTCTGCTGGGCTGGTTAGAGGCCAGATGTGTGTCAGTCCCTCTATCCAGGTCCCCTTTTACAGATGGGGACACTGAGGCCAGGGAAAGCATGGAAGCACATGGCTCTGAGCCCTGTGTGTGTGCTGGGGGTGTGAGCCCTGACCCAGGCATCTGCCCTGGACGTGGACTTCTGCCTGTGGGGTGAGCCCACCCTCTGCCCTGTATTCAGATGGGGGAACTGAGGAGGAGGCACACAAGCCACTGTACACAAGTTGTGCCACCAGATTTCAGGTCCAGGCAGCCGTCCAGACCCACAGTCACCGTTTCCTCTGTTCTTCCCCCATCCCAACTCACACACTCACTATCTCCAGACCCAGCCCACCAGGCTGGGGAAGCCCCGAGACGCCGCCCCGACAGCCCTGTCTTCGGCAGTTTCTGCTGCCAGAGCCGAGGGGAACTCAGAGATGAGCCATGGGCTGCCTGGTCCTGGACACTGCCCAGGAGAGAGCCTGGCCCTCAGCCTCCTGGGGGCAGCTCCCACCCAGACCCCTGTCTCTCCACCCTCCTCCCAGACCTCCAAGTCCCCAGTGGGCAGGGCTGGCACTTATCACTGGCTTCTGGACCTAGTCATCCCTCGCCAGCCCCTGCAGAAGGGCCCTCCCTATTCGGCCAGCCCCAGAGCCACAGAGGCGGGGCTGCCAAACCGCCCAAGGAGAGCAGATGCTTCCATCCCCTCTTCGCTGCCCCCTCCACCCGGCCCTGACAGAAGAGTCCCAGGGGACAAGAAGGGAAAGAGTGTGTGTTCCCCAGGCTGGGGTCCAGCTCTCACACCCTCCTCCCACTGGGGCCATTGGCAGATGCTCCACTTCCGATTCACAGGCAGCAAGCAAACCCACCACGCCTCTCTGGGTGCACACACGGTGCATGTGCCCTGCTGACACCCACAGCCCCTAGCTCTGGAGCCACACCCGCGGGAGCTTAAGTCCCAGCCCTGCCACTGCTCCACAGGCTAGCACGGAGGACTGCCCTCTCTGAGCCTCAGTTTCCTCACCTGTAACATGGGAGATGCCTCCCAGGAGCCTGCTGGGCCTGGGGGGCTGGGCAGCACCAAGTGAGGGTCCTTCACTCTTCTCTTCCCTGCCAGAAACCCTACCCCAGCCTGGGTCCACTGAGTGAGGGTCCCAGGTCCGCTAGGGCCAGGAAAGTGGGGGAAAGGAGGGTACGGAAGGGGCCTGGAAACCCACCCATCTCCCTGTACAAGAGGGAAAATTATAAGGCAGGTAAAAGCCTCTTGGAACCGCTCCCCACCGCAGCCACCCCACCCTCCTCGCCTGAGGCCTGGGGAGCAGCAAGGCTTCCACAAAGACACCATTGAGGCCCCGCTTCCTCCTCCCCCAGCCCAGCCCTCCCGCCTCGTTGGACTCTGGGCTGCTTCTTCCCTCAAAACCTCTCATTTCCTCTCCTTCTTCCTCTGTGCTCCACAAGGCCCCAGGGTTGGGACATGTGGCTGGGAGCCCAGGGCGCAGCCCCTATCAGCCTCTGTGGACCAAGCTCAGCTTCTCCCACCCCACCTGCCCCTGCTTCCACTCATCTTCCAGACGGGTTCCCTCAACTGGAAATGTTCCCCAGTACATGCCCCTCTACATGGGTGACTCAAAGCGCTTGGTTAGAGGATGGTAGCTGAGGCCAGTGACCAGGGTCAGGGCCCAGCCAATAGCTGAGGAAACTGTTTTCCTCCCTGGCCTCCTTGGCCTTGCAAGGGACCAGAAAGGCAACTAAACAGAAGGTCAGCTGACCTGAGTGTGCATCTCTTGGCTCAAGAGTTCTTGGGGCAAGGAGGGATGGGGCTGCCCTGACCCTGGCAGAGGTCTCTGCAGCATTTAGACGTGGAGGCAGTCACCTAAGCAGGTGCCTGGCACTCCAGCACCCCCACTGGGATAAAGCAGTGTCTCCTGAGAGGATGGCTGCTGTTGTAAGCTCCATGGGATTTGGAACTAACCTACTGTTTTGTTTTGTTTTGTTTGCAACAGAGTCTCGCTTTGTCTCCCAGGCTGGAGTGCAGCTCGGGTCACTGCAACCTCTGCCTTCTGGGTTCAAGTGATTCTCCTGTCTCAGCCTCCCAAGTAGCTGAGATTACAGGTGTGTCCCACCACACCCAGCTAATTTTTGTATTTTTAGTACAGACAGGGTTTTGCGATGTTGGCCAGGCTGGTCTCGAACTCCAGACCTCAGGTGATCCGCCTGCCTCAGCCTCCCAAAGTGCTGGGATTACAGGCATGAGCCACCATGCCTGGCCCTTAACTAACGTACTGTTGTCTGCATTTCGGTAGCTCACGGGACAGGAGAGGAGCAGGCAGTCTGTGGGCTGCGGGGATGGCCCTGGGTGGTGGAATCCCAGTCTGGAAGCAGCCAGGAAGAGTTGCTAAAGAGCAGTGAGCCCTGAGGGGTCTGCAGGTGTGTGAGCGTCTCCCAGGCAGCCCACCCTGGCCAGTGATGAGCCATCTAGGCCTGGGCCCTGGTGACCCCAGTGTCATCACTGGGCAGGTCGCTCCCCTTAGTCTGACCTTAAGTCTCCCCTGTAACCTACCCCCTTGTTACCCTCAAACTAACAGGGTTGGGGGAAGGTGATAGCTCAGTGTGGGTGGCTGAGCCTTGGGGAGTCTGCTGGGAGGAGGTTTGAGAGGGGCCCACCCCTGAGTAGGCACACCAGACAGCTTCTCCCTTGCCTGAGGAGCCCAGGGAGACCAATGTGCTGGGGAGGGGACCCCCAGTAATGGTTCAGTATCCAGGGCCCACAGTGGGGCCAGACCATGGACCCAGTGCATGCCCTCCTCGCGTGCCTTGCCGCCACACACGTGTGTACATGTGACACTGACCCACACTCCCGCACACACTCGCCCATGCCCTGCCTGCTGGGTTGGAAGTAGATTGCTGTCGGAAGTAAAATAGGGGAGTCCCTTGAAGGTGCAAGGGGAGGGAAACTGACCTGAGGTCTAGAGGGCCAGGTGACCTCAGGGAGGGTCTGCTGCTGGGGAAGCACACCTGGCCCGTCCATGCTCTCACACAGCCGGCATTCAGCCCCCAGGTGGGCCACGACCCCACCCCTGCCCCGCCACATACACACCCATGAGGGGAGACAGAGAGCCCTTCATCCCGGCCTTGGCCCTCCCAGAGCACCCCATCCCACAGCCCCCTCAGATTCCCTCACCCCTGCCTGCCCAGACCTGGAGCCAGGATCTCCCCCCGTGGTGCCAAACCCCGAGGGGCGGTGATGGAGAAGTCTGGCTTCGTCTTGGAGCAGGGCCCTCCCTCCCCAGCAGGCTGGCTGGGCGTCCCCTCCTCACTCCTGTGCACAGCAGCAGGCTTGCTGCCAACGTCCCGCCTTCTCTGTCTCCCTCGAGTTTTCCTCCTCCGTCTCCTTCCTCAGGCCTTGGTCTGTATGTGAATCCAGTCTTTATGGAGGAGGGCATCTTGATTTCTCCTTCTCAGTTTTAATAATTTTCTCCCATGTTAGCTGTCTTCTTCCATTCCCATCACTGTATTGCAGCTAAGGCCGGGCGAGAAGTCGAGCACAGCAGCTGCTGGCCCAGGTGCTAAGCCCCTCACTGCCCGGGGCGGGCGGGGCCGGCCAGCTGCTCCGAGTGCGGGGCCGCCGATCCCACGCCCACCCGGAACTCGCGCTGGCCCACAAGCACCGCGCGCAGCCCCGGTTCCGGCCCGCGCCTCTCCCTCCACACCTCCTGGCAAGCTGAGGGAGCCGGCTCCGGCCTTGGCCAGCCCAGAAACGGGCTCCCACAGTGCAGCGGCGGGCTGAAGGGCTCCTCAAGCGCGGCCAGAGTGGGCGCCAAGGCCGAGGAGGCGCCGGGCTGTGAGGGCTGCCAGCAGGCTGCCACCTCTCACTGGGACCCGGGCAGTGCTCAGAGGCAGCACCATACAGCAGAACCATGAGGGTGCGCCAGCATGGACCCCTTTCTGCAACCCACCCGTCCCTCTTTGCGGCACCTCGCCTCCTCCAGGCAAGAGTCTGAGCCTTGACCACAGCTCCCTCTCTCACACAGCTTCCTTCTTCGGTGAGAACCACCTGGTCGGTCGGCTCTGACCGACATAGACCTGCAGCTGCAGTTCTCCACGTCCCAGCCCGAAGCCCTCCTTCTCCTGGCAGCAGGCCCAGCTGACCACCTCCTGCTGCAGCTCTACTCTGGACGCCTGCAGGTGAGTGACGTCCCCCTGAGATCTGGGCGGGATTCGGGGTGGGATTCCTTCTCTAGCTTTGAGTGAACCCCAGCTGGCTGTGTGACCTTGTGTAAGTCACTTTTATCTTGGGGTCTTAAGTTCTCCACTGTGGGATGGGCAGCAGCAGCCCAGAAATGGTAAATCCTTCATGAACTGGCTCTGCCCACCGGCTCCCTCCAACCATGTTTCCCGCCACAACCCCTTGCTGGCCCTTTGTGCTCTGACCGCCCTGAACTGCTTTCAGTTCCTGGCCATCTTACAGTCGCTTGCTGCCAGGCTCTTGATGCACACTCCTTCTGCCAGGTGTGCGCCTCTCCCGTTCCCTGCACATGCCTAACTCTAGCCTCTCCTTGAAGTCTCAGTGTGGGCATCCCCTCCTCCTGGGCTAGGCCCCCTCCTGAGCCCCCATGACCCCTGTGCATTCCTGTGGCACTGCACCAATTTGTCTGCAGCACCACGGTCTGTCCACGACAGTAACAGCACCAGTACTGCCTCAGCTTCCTCATTTTTCCATTTCATCCTTCAAAACACCACAAGCTTTGTTAGCAAGGAGTCTTGTGGCTTTCTTGAGTCTTCCCCCAAGCCATGAAGAGTTTAAGAACCCAGGGTCTTATTCCAAATTTGTGCCAGGCTGAGTGCAGTGGCTCATGCCTATAATCCCACCACTTTGGGAGGCCAAGGTGAGAAGATCACTTGAGCCTAGGAGTTCAAGACTGGCCTGAGCCACACAATGAGACCCCATCTCTATTTTAAAAAGAAAAAAATAAAAACAAATTTGGGTCAGCCATCTCCTTCCACACCCTACTGGGGAGAGGACTAGGGCTTGGTCAGTCTGCTGCTGTCATTGCATTCCCAGTTCCCTATTATTCCAGGGCTGAAATCTAGGTTCCAAGACAATATTTCTGGCACTTCTCACTCAAGGAGAGAGGAGAAGAATTTAAAAATACAGGTTGGATTTCTAGGAGAGCATCTTGCTGTATGTCAGTTCCTTGTGGGCAAGGACGACATCTGATTCACATCAGGGTCCCCAGAGCCCGTCCAGCCCTGGCCCAGAGTTCCCTTTGGTGAGTGTTTGGAGGATGAGTAAAGAGATGGCAGGATGGCAAGAGGAGTGGCACCAGAGGCCCTTGTCCTAGGTTTTCCGCTCTGGGGCACCAAGAGTGGGGAACCCACTATGCTTTTATAAGGGAAATGATGGATTCCAAGTGCTGCCCCCCATCTCCCACTCCCCATCTCTCTTCAGGTCAGACTTGTCCTAAGCCAGGAGGAGCTGAGGCTGCAGACCCCAGCAGAGATGCTGCTGAGTGACTCCGTCCCCCACACTGTGGTGCTGACTGTCGTAGAGGGCTGGGCCACATTGTCAGTTGATGGGTTTCTGAACGCCTCCTCTGCAGTCCCAGGAGCCCCCCTAGAGGTCCCCTGTGGGCTGTTTGTTGGGGGCACTGGGACCCTTGGCCTGCCCTACCTGAGGGGAACCAGCCGACCCCTGAGTGGTTGCCTCCATGCAGCCACCCTCAATGGCCGAAGCCTCTCTGGCCTCTGACTCCCGACGTGCGTGAGTGCTGTGCTGAAGAGTTTTCTGCCAGTGATGATGTAGCCCCGGGCTTCTCTGGGCCCCACTCTCTGGCTGCCTTCCCTGCCTGGGGCGCTCAGGACGAAGGAACCCTAGAGTTTACACTCACCACACAGAGCCGGCAGGCACCCTTGGCCTTCCAGGCAGGGGGCCGGCGTGGGGACTTCATCTATGTGGACATATTTGAGGGCCACCTGCGGGCCGTGGTGGAGAAGGGCCAGGGTACGGTATTGCTCCACAACAGTGTGCCTGTGGCCGATGGGCAGCCCCATGAGGTCAGTGTCCACATCAATGCTCACCGGCTAGAAATCTCCGTGGACCAGTACCCTACGCATACTTCGAACCGAGGAGTCCTCAGCTACCTGGAGCCACGGGGCAGTCTCCTTCTCGGGGGGCTGGATGCAGAGGCCTCTTGTCACCTCCAGGAACACCGCCTGGGCCTGATACCAGGGGCCACCAATGTCTCCCTGCTGGGCTGCATGGAAGACCTCAGAGTCAATGGCCAGAGGCAGGGGCTGCGGGAAGCTTTGCTGACGCGCAACATGGCAGCCGGCTGCAGGCTGGAGGAGGAGGAGTATGAGGACGATGCCTATGGACATTATGAAGCTTTCTCCACCCTGGCTCCTGAGGCTTGGCTGGCCATGGAGCTGCCTGAGCCATGCGTGCCTGAGCCAGGGCTGCCTCCTGTCTTTGCCAATTTCACCCAGCTGCTGACTATCAGCCCACTGGTGGTGGCCAAGGGGGGCACAGCCTGGCTTGAGTGGTGGCACGTGCAGCCCACGCTGGACCTGATGGAGGCTGAGCTGCGCAAATCCCAGGTGCTGTTCAGCGTGACCCGAGGGGCACACCACGGCGAGCTCGAGCTAGACATCCCGGGAGCCCAGGCACGAAAAATGTTCACCCTCCTGGACGTGGTGAACCGCAAGGCCCGCTTCATCCACGATGGCTCTGAGGACACCTCCGACCAGTGTCAGTGACGGCTCGGGTGCCTCATGCCTGTGGAGGGGCCAAACTTACCTCCTGCCCATCCAGGTCAACCCTGTCAATGACCCACCCCACATCATCTTTCCACATGGCAGCCTCATGGTGATCCTGGAACACTTGCAGAAGCCACTGGGGCCCGAGGTTTTCCAGGCCTATGACCCGGACTCTGCCTGTGAGGGCCTCGCCTTCCAGCTCCTTGGCACCCCGTCTGGCCTCCCCGTGGAGTGCCGAGACCAGCCTGGAGAGCCGGCAACCGAGTTCTCCTGCCGGGAGTTGGAGGCCGGCAGCCTAGTCTATGTCCACCGCGGTGGCCCTGCACAGGACTTGACGTTCTGGGTCAGCGATGGACTGCAGGCCAGCCCCCCGGCGACGCTGAAGGTGATGGCCATCCAGCCGGCCATACAGATCCACCGCAGCACAGGGCTGCACCTGGCCCAAGGCTCTGCCATGCCCATCTTGCCCGCCAACCTGTTGGTGGAGACCAATGCCGTGGGGCAGGATGTGAGCGTGCTGTTCCGCGTTACTGGAGCCCTGAAGTTCGGGGAGCTGAAGAAGCAGGGGGCAGGTGGGGTGGAGGGTGCTGAGTGGTGGGCCACACAGGCATTTCACCAGCGGGATGTGGAGCAGGGCCGCGTGAGGTACCTGAGCACCGACCCACAGCACCACACTGACGACACCATGGAGAGCCTGGCCCTGGAGGTGCAGGTGGGCCAGGAAATCCTGAGCAATCTGTCCTTCCCAGTGACCATCCAGAGAGCCACCATGTGGATGCTGCAGCTGGAGCCACTGCACACTCAGAACACCCATCAGGAGGCCCTCACCACAGCCCACCTGGAGGCCACCCTGGAGGAGGCAGGCCCAAGCCTCCCAACCTTCCATTATGAGGTAGTTCAGGCTCCCAGGAAAGGCAACCTTCAACTACAGGGCACGAGGCTGTCAGATGGTCAGGGCTTCACCTAGGATGATGTACAGGCTGGCCGGGTGACCTATGGGGCCATGGCACGTGCCTCGGAGGCAGTCAAGGACACCTTCTGTTTCCATGTCACAGCTCCACCATTCCCCCTGCTCTGTACCCTCTCCATCCACATTGGTGATGACCCAGACGTTCACATCCTCACCAATGTCCTCCCTCATGGTGCCTGAGGGTGGTGAGAGTGTCCTCTCTGCTGCCTACCTCTTTGTCAAGAGTCTCAACAGTGCCAGCTACCTCTATGAGGTCATGGAGCGGCCCCGCCATGGGAGGTTGGCTTGGCATGGGACACAGGACAAGACCACTATGGTGACATCCTTCACCAATGGAGGCCTGTTGCGTGGCTGGCTGGTCTACCAGCATGATGACTCCGAGACCACGGAAGATGATATCCCATTTGTTGCTACCCGCCAGGGCGAGAGCAGTGGTGACGTGGCCTGGGAGGAGGTACGGGGTGTCTTCCGAGTGGCCATCAGCCGTGAATGACCACGCCCCTGTGCAGACCATCAGCCGGATCTTCCATGTGGCCCAGGGTGGGTGGCGGCTGCTGACTACAGACTACGTGGCCTTCAGCGATGCTGACTCAGGCTTTGCTGACGCCCAGCTGGTGCTCACCCGCAAGGACCTCCCTTTGGCAGTATCATGGCCATGGATAAGCCCACGCGGCCCATCTACTGCTTAACCCAGGAGGACCTCAGGAAGAGGCGAGTACTGTTCATGCACTTGGGCTGATCATGGCGGGATCCAGCTGCAGGTGTCCGATGGGCAACACCAGGCCACTGTGCTGCTGGAGGTGCAGGCCTCGGAGCCCTACCTCCGTGTGGCCAACGGCTCCAGCCTTGTGGTCCCTCAAGGAGGCCAGGGCACCATCGACATGGCCGTGCTCCACCTGGACACCAGCCTCGACATCCGCAATGGAGATGAGGTCCACTACCACGTCACAGCTGGCCCTCGCTGGGGACAGCTACTCTGGGCTGGTCAGCCAGCCACTGCCTTCTCCCAGCAGGACCTGCTGGATGGGGCCGTTCTCTATAGCCACAATAGCAGCCTCAGCCCCCGTGACACCATGGCCTTCTCTGTGGAAATGGGGCCAGTGCACACGGATGCCACCCTACAAGTGACCATTGCCCTAGAGGGCCCACTGGCCCCGCTGAAGCTGGTCCGGCACAAGAAGATCTACGTCTTCCAGGGAGAGGCAGCTGAGATCAGAAGGGACCAGTTGGAGGTGAGGAGTTGGATGTGGTGAGCGGGGGTGTGGGCCAGGTAGAGGGCCTCCCGCCCAGCCTCCATGCCAGGAACACGTGTGACTTGGGCTGTGGCTGTGGTGGCTCCAGGTTGCATGTGTGCACGTGCCTCAGATGTGCTCCCGTATATGTTGTGCTCCCAGGAGTTTCTGGGGAGCTTGCTATACACCCATCCTCCTGGGAGTTGTGTGCGCCTCCAGAGGTTGTGTCCACTCATGTCCATGACATGGCTGAGCATGCAGATTCCTGGACCCCACCCAGCCCTACAGAATCTCTGACGTGGAGCCCGAGAATCTCCATTGCAGTCAGTTCCCTGGGAGGACATCACGGGTCCTGAGCTTTGGGGATTGCTGACCGTGGAGGCAGGCCGCTACTCCTCAGACCCTCATGTCCCCCACTCTTTTCTCAGAGCCCAGACCAGGACTAGGAGGTCTGTCAAGGGCTTCTGCCCACCCAGGAACCCCACAGAGCAACCACGGGCCCTCCAGCAGGCTCACTGACTTGCCCTGTGACCTCAGGCCAGTCCTTGCCCGCTCTTGGCCTTACTCTCCTACACTGCTCATTTCGGAGACCCTTCTGGTCTGCATGTCTGGAGCTTGGGGCCGACAGCAAGCCAGCAGATCTGGAGTCAGGAAGGCCTCGTGGGAGGAGGCAGCGTTTGGGCCGGGCTCTGAAGAGCACAGGCCATCAGGAGCAGAGAATGGGGAGTGGTATTCCAGGCAGAAGGAACATTCCGGGCAAAGGCATAGAACAGGAATGTGAGTTTGGGGGTGGTTTGGCCTCTTGTGGCTGGCCCATCAGGTGAGGGAGCCCGTGTGGCCTTTGGGGCGTGAGCTCTGTAGGGCCTGAGCTGAAGGCGGCTGTGCCTCCAGGGGGGTGGGGCGGGGCGCCCTCTGATGGTCCTGGGTGGTAATAGCAGGGGCTGGGGAGGTGCTGCCTGCAAACCAGCCTCAGGCCTGACAGATCCTGAGCAGGGGGACCTGTGTGTGTGCGTGTGCACACGCGCATGTGTACATGTGTGACCGCGTCAGCGTATGATGAACTTGTGTGTCTGTGTCACTGAGTCTGGGGACATGTGATTATGCACCTCCCTGAGGGAGTGCCTCTCAAGCTGTGTGACCGACCCCCTGCAACCGTGTGTGGGGTGGGCATTAACACGTGACCAGCAGCCGGGGCAACCCAGTGAAACCCCATCTCTACACAAAAAGTTAAAAATTAGCCGGGCACGACCAGGTGCGGGGGCTCATGCCTGTAATCCCAGCACTCTGGGAGGCCGAGGCGGGCAGATCACGAGCTCAGATCGAGACCATCTGGCTAACACGGTGAAACCCCATCTCTACTAAAAATACAAAAAATTAGCTGGGCCTGGTGGCATGTGCCTGAGATCACAGCTACTTGGGAGGCTGAGGTGGGAGGATCCCTTGAGCCTGGGAAGTTGAGGCTTCAGGGAACTGTGATCACACCACTGCACTCCAGCCTGGGTGACAGAGTGAGACCCTGTCTCAAAAAACAAAAACTGTGACCAGCTGCATGTCTGGCGGCTGTGTGTGTGAACCCACGTGTGTGTTTGTGTGTCTAAATGAGCAGTGATATCTAGAGGAATAAGTGGGGCAAGATCAAGCCTGTTCCGGCTGCTTAGGGCCACAGTGGACCCCTCTGAGACCCCCTCTGTGGTCATGTGAGTCCTCATGACCTCTTAACCAGGCAGCCCAGGAGGCAGTGCCGCCAGCAGACATCATATTCTCAGTGAAGAGCCCGCCGAGTGCCAGCTACCTGGTGATGGTGTCACGTGGCGCCTTGGCAGATGAGCCACCCAGCCTGGACCCCGTGCAGAGCTTCTCCCAGGAGGCAGTGGACACAGGCAGGGTCCTGTACCTGCACTCCCGCCCTGAGGCCTGGAGCGATGCCTTCTCGCTGGATGTGGCCTCAGGCCTGGATGCTCCCCTCGAGGGCATCCGTGTGGAGCTGGAGGTGCTGCCCACTGTCATCCCACCGGAGGTGCAAAACTTCAGTGTCCCTGAGGGTGGCAGCTTCACCCTGGCCCCTCCACTGCTCTGCATCGCCGGCCCCTACTTCCCCACTCTCCCGGGCCTCGGCCTGCAGGTGCTGGAGCCACCCCAGCATGGAGCCCTGCAGAAGGAGGATGGACCTCAAGCACCTTCTCCTGGAGAATGGTATGCCTGTGAGAGAGGCCCAGGGGCTGCAGCCCGGCTCTGGGGGCAGAGTAGAGGGAGCCCCAGGGACTCCCAGTCTGGGGGTTATACACAGAGAGGAGACGGGGAGTCACATTTCAGAAGCACCTATGCTTTAAATACTGTATCTTCTTTCTTCCTTACAACTCCTCTGGGAGCCAGAACTTATGGTCCCCATTTTCCACCAATGGAAGCTGAAGCCCTAAAAGAGTCAGTCTCCTCCTGCACCCAAAGGCAGGGCATGAAGGGTGCTGCTGAGGCCTGACTGCCATCCCTGGGCCTGCCCCTAGGTGGAAGAGCAGCTGATCCACGTACGTGCACGACGGGAGCAAGACACTGACAGACAGTTTTGTCCTGATGGCTAACCCCTCCGAGATGGACCACCAGAGCCATCCTGTGGCCTTCACTGTCACTGTCCTGCCTGTCAATGACCAACCCCCGGTCCTCACCACAAACACAGGCCTGCAGGTGAGAGTATTCCTGGGACCACCCCCAATTTCTGCTTCGAGAAAGAGGCCTGCGTCCCCTACTTCATGACACAGAACTCCCCCTCTCTGAGCCTCAGTTTCCTCCTCTGCAAAATGGGGACGCTGCCGCATGCCTCATGGGGTTGTTGGAAGGGGAGATGTGAGATTGTGCTGAAATAGAACACAGGTGGGAGATTTTGTTACTGGACACTTGCAAGTGCGGTAGGCAGACTTCCGAGTGGCCACAGGTGGCTCTGCTGTTCCTTCTCCTGTGGCTCAGAACCAGAACACCTGACAGAGTCACTTACAAACCCTTAAGGGCAGGCATCAGGGCGGGAGACATTAAGCTTCCCACCTTCACCCCAGCAAGTGAAGGCCATGGCTTGGCTCCCCAAACTCCTGCCCCTTGTGCCACAGCAGAGCAGGGCCCCCATTCTGCAGAGGTGGAAGTTGAGGCCCAGACGTGGGATGGAACTTCTCCATGGTTGCAAAAGTAGTTCTGGTGGAACAGAAAGGGCATGGCTTTACAAAGCCCACATGGCAGGGCTTTGAACCCCAGCTTCTGGGGTGTGTCCTCCCTGGTCAGCAGGAGCCACTGAAGGTTCCACAGGAGGGCTGACTTGGGCTGTCTCTGACCTGGGGCACCGAGGGAACTTTGGTGGTCTAGGACGTGCCCATAGAGGGTGGCCTCATGGTGCAGAGGCCACAGAATAGTGGGACACAGCACCCTAGAACCACAGGCCAGGACGGCTGTGTGGCAGCATGGCCACCAGGTGGTGCCATCCACCCGTGTTTGCTCCGGGAGCCCAGTGCTGGGGTCCTGCCCCCCACATTATGGCCCCTCCTGCCAGGGCTGGGCCTGAGGGCTCCCTGGGGCCGGGGGAGGAAGCCCAGGAATGCCAGAAGGCTCTGTTTTCCAGGCATGTGAGTCCCAATGCAGCTCTGCCCGCAAGTAATTGACCCAGCAAGACTGGTACCAGGACCTCAGGAACAGGCGCACCTGCTCTGCTTGCAAGTGGGAGGCCTGAAAAGGGGTCCCCTTTGCCCAACATGAGGAGGGCCCCTAACTGCTCTGGAAGCACCTGGGCCCATCCCACACTGATTCTGTGCTGCAGAATAGTGCCAACCATCAGCCCCCCACTCTCTGCGCCATGCATCCCTCCCTCAGCTGGAAGGAGGGCCCATTTCTAAAATCACCATTCCCACCTGTGCCCAGCCCCGGCCAGGCACACACGGAGGCTCTGAAAGGAGACCCCTGCCCCACCAGTGAGACAGATTAAGGAGCACTGTTGGTCAGCGCTGGGGGTTTCTGGGAGTGAGAACTTGGTGAGGGTAAGAGCTGGGGTCTTTCTGGGTAGGGGACATAAGCTGGCCTTGAGGGACACGCAGGACTAGGGCAGATGGAGAGCAGGGAGGCTGGGCCTGGAGGGTGACCTTCCCTGGGGCCTTCCCTGGGGTGACAGGGAAGGTGAATGTGGGAGGCCCTTTGTGCAGGGGAGCCAGAGTGGCGCCAGCCTCGATGCCACCCGAGGGCCTGAGCCACAGCAGGACTGGAGCCCTGGTGGCAGCCCAGGGCCAGGAAGGAAGGGGTGGGTGAGTGTGGCAAGGCAGAACCTTCACAGGCCTGTGTCCCCAGATGTGGCAGGGGGCCACTGCGCCCATCCCTGCGGAGGCTCTGAGGAGCACGGACGGCGACTCTGGGTCTGAGGATCTGGTCTACACCATCGAGCAGCCCAGCAACGGACGGGTAGTGCTGCGGGGGGCGCCGGGCACCGAGGTGCGCAGCTTCACGCAGGCGCAGCTGGACAGCGGGCTCGTGCTGTTCTCACACAGAGGTGGGTGCTGAGGGCCGGGCCTCGGGTTCCTGCTGCCCACGGGGGTGCCCTGAGATGGGGAGCCGGCTCGGGCCAGCCGGACCCAATGCCCCTGTCCCCAGGAACCCTGGATGGAGGCATCCACTTTGGCTTCTCTGATGACAAGCACACTTCCTCCGGACACTTCTTCTGAGTGATGGCCCAGAAGCAAGTGTTCCTCTTGCTGGAGGGCAGCTGGACACTGACTGTCTGCCCAGGTGGGTGTGCTGATCATGGGCGTTCCTGGGTGCCGGGAGCTGGGGCGGAGCTGAGGGTGGCATGCCAGGGTCATGCTGCCTCTCTGCAAACACAGGCCTGGGCCTGGATCTCAAAGGGTGATGGCCCCTTGTGCCTCTGGCAGGGTCCATCCAGCCACTCAGCAGCCAGAGCCTCAGAGCCAGCTCCAGCGCAGGCACCGACCCCCAGCTCCTGCTCTACAATGTGGTCTCGGGCCCCCAGCTGGGCCGGCTGTTCTCACCCAGCAGGGCAGCACAGGGGAAGCCCTGGTGAACTTCACTCAGGCAGAGATAAGGGCCCCACTCTGCAGCTACCACTCAGATGCCCCCAGCCTCAGGTGGCCGCTGTGCCATGGACATCATGTGGACATGGGTGCCAGCTCCAGCATCACTGGCAGCAGACACCCCCAGGCTGGCCATAGTCCAGGCCCTGGTGTCCTGCCCTCCAGGAGCTGCCACACTGGCAGGGCAAGTTCATGTTCCCAGAAGGAGGGAGAAAGATGCAGGAAGTCAGGGATACAGGGCCCTAGAGCAGGGCTGTGGTCTTGGGGTGTGGCTTCCAGAAGGAAGCTACAGCCAGACCCGAGGGTCTGGAGAGGGGGCACCATGTGGGGGCACTAGTGGCACCCCAGTAGCTGGCAAGGGGTAGTGCTTGGTGGGGGATGGAGTTGGAAGTGAAGCAGCTGCTGGGCCTGTGGGCAGAGGTGTGAGCCTGGGGCTCAGGTCCGGTGCCAGCCAGAGGCAGAGTGGATCCTAGGGGCAGATGAGCTGATGAAAGGCAGCTGAGTCAGTCAAGAGGGTGAAGCCGCTGTTCATCCGTCCTGGTGGCTTCAGAGACCACCAGGAAGAACTAGAGCTCTCAGCCATGGGTAGCAGCAGACTCTGTGATAACTGTGCCATGGGGGCCAGCCCAGTCATCGCTTAAATGAACACCTCTCCCTGAAGGCACAACAGGAGTTGTTCCATAGCAGGGCAGAGCGGGGCAGACTCTTCCATGGGCTGTCCTGGGCAGGTGGTGCACCTGATGCTCCCACCAGGAGGCTGCGTGGGCATCTGGACCCAGCACATGACAGTGAGTTCTGGGTAGGGCGCGTTCTTGCGGGTGCAGAGCTGACTCTGTCACTCAGGAGCCACGGCACGTGATACTGCCCCAAGTACCTCCAGAGGGGTCCCCCCGCCAGCCCTTGAAAATGGCAGAGCCCACCCCTAGCCCCCTTTCCTAGCTCCCTTGCTGGGCAGGGACCTCGTGAACCTGGCACTCTCCCTCCTGAGAGGCGCAGATGGTATTCAGCAAGTGCAAAGCCAAAGTCCCCGCCCAGCAAGTGGCTCAGATGGGGAGCCTTTGGACAGCTGGAAGGAGGTGGCTTTGACAGGTGGAATGAAGTCTCTTGGGCTTCTCACATCAACACCCCCCAGTGCCGGGTTCTGTATTTCCCTGGCTCCCCACTCCTGCTATGGCCCCCTCCCCACAATGAGATATTTGTCAGGCTGGTGTCTATAGCTGCTGCGTACCCTCAGTTGCTGGGAGCCTTTGTCAAGAATGCCCAAGAATGGGGAGGGCACAGGACCAGGCCATCAGCAACCCTCTTGCACTCTATAGTCCCACGTTACTCAGAGCTTCCCCGTGCCCCAGAAATATGAAGGACTAGATTGAATGGGCACCAGGGGGGCAGGCTGGCAGTGCCACCCAGGAAAGCGGGGAAGAGGCTATGTGGGCTACCTGGCCCACTCAGGGAGGAGGGCAGGACTGGGTATTGTCTTGACAGCAGCCCTGTCCCACAACACTGAACTGGGCAGGGAAGGGGTCAGGCGTCCCCCTGACATGGGGCTGGATTCCAGAGCATTGGACCTGGCCACCAGAATTGGCCGTCTCCATCCAAGGCACTGGGGCCATGGGTGCCAGAGCCACATGTGGCTGAGCTGGCAGAGCCTGCCCCCCAGGGAGCGCTGAGTCCCGGAGGTGGTCATTTCTGGGGAGGGGTCTGTGGGGCTCATCCCACCTGCCCCCTTCTTTCCAGCACTTGCATGGCGCTTCCCTCTATTTTCACTCTTGGCGGCCGCCCCACACGTTGCATTCCTCCTCCTTTCTTCTTCTCGCTGTCCTCCATCCTCCATTCCATCCAACTCCTCTCCCAGCCCCCGGGGAGCCTCCCTCAGGTCAGAGAGTCTGAACCCCGAGATGTTCTGGGTGTGTGGATTTCCTTCAGCTACCCTGATGTCCCCATTTCCAAGTCCTGACTCCTTTGAGCCATCCCAGGGGGTGTCTGGCCACTGGCCCACAGGAGCAGAGGCCAGGCTGCGACTGTGAGCATCAAGGTGTGTGATGTGTGTGTGGGCTTGCACACGAGTGTGAGTGGGAGAATGGCACCAGGCCTGGGCTAGGACAGAAGCAGCTGGGGAAGGAGCCTGGGGGGCATGGGCAATCTGATTTTTCCTCCACCCCTGCCCCTGCCCCCGCCCCACCCTACCCTGTCTAAACCAATGTGGTAGGGGTGGCTGCAGGGGCAGGGACGGGAGTGTCTGAAGCCTGTTTCACTCCCAAAGATTTCTAAGGAAAAGCGTTCTGCATCCTCTGGCTTGGCCTTGTTGGCCCATGGCCCTCTTTCAAGGACATTCACTCTGATTCCCAGTGTGCCATATCCACTGGCCACGTTCTCTAAGAAAGAACAATAGCATCTGTTTTTGTCTCCAAATGACTGTAGGGTAGGGCTGTGGGTTCAGCGCCCATAAACCAAAATGAGGCAGGGATTGGGGCTTGCCCTATGATGCGCTGATGAGCAACAGAAATGGGTAGAGGCAAGCAGCATAGCACTGGGCAAGAGCACTGGACTGGGAGTCCAGAGATGCTGCTTCACCCTGGGGCTTTAGGCAAGTCCCTTTCCCTCCCAGAGCCTCAGCATCCTTTCTATCAAATGATGACTTTCTGCCTTTCTCCCAGGGTGGCCATGGGGATCAAGGGAGACAGTGGCCATAGGGATGCTGTGTTAACTGCAGATGTGGCCGTAGGAGCACTTTGCTAACTGCCAATGTGAGTTCAGACTCTTCAGAGTATTTGACACCCAGGTTTATGGTGAGGTGTGACATATGGGATGTAAGGTTTAATGCCTGCTCCGACTCCAGTCTTGCTAACACATGCGAAACATTTGGCAAATCATGACCCTCCCTTGGGGAAAAGAGCAGTCTGGGAGAGCTTCTCCAAGGCAGCCTGGCTTCAACGCAGTCCGGGGCATGACTGAGATAGAATTATGTGGCGAGGAATTGGAGGGTATCTGGGTACAGAGCTGCAGTGTGGGCAGAGGTGTAGTGTGGGCCGCATCCAGGACAGCCACTGGCCAAAGCAGGGAACAGAGACGGAATGAGGAAGAGCTCTGTGGGGAGGGTGGGGCATAGGGTGGAGAACCTTCAAAGTCCGAAGAGTATGACTTGTTGGGGCTCAATGCTGTAGGTAGTAGGGAGCCATGGAAGGCTCTTAGGTGGAGAAATGACAGCTGGACATTAGCGAGCAAGCCCTGTCTCCATGAGCAACACCGGTGGTCCTCTGAGCACGCCAGGCACGAGTGTGCAGGGAGCTGCTGCAAATGCCTCGGTGTGCGGGTGAGCTTCCGCGTTGTGACTCTGCCCATGTGTGTGCTTCAGTGTGCTGAGTGGCTGCACGCCCCAGATCTGTGCTGCACGTGCCAGCCAGTGAGGGTGCTGGGCACCGGGAGGTGGCGGGGAAGGAGGCGTATGTGTGTTGTGGACATGTGTGTTAGCGTGTGCATGCCGGCTGTGGGGCCTCACAGCATGTGTGTGCACACCCCGGCATGCGCATGTGTGTGTGTTCCACAACCCCAGGCCTGCCCCACCCATGCGTGTGACCTGCCATGTTGATCTGATGCTTTCAGAATCACTATCAGTGGCCCCTGAGGAGCATCAGCCATGGTAGGTACATGCCTCACCGCCTGCTGCATGAACGGTGTTCCCGCCCCGCTGCACCAGCTCCACACGGGGGCGCACCTGGGACCTCAGATCCAGGCTCCCTGCCCCTCCTTTCTGGAGCTGCAGATTTGCTCTTTCCTCTTTCTGTCCTGGTGCTGCTGGCTCTTTCACCTCCCTTCCCTGCAAGCCATGGGACTCAGCGCCACTGCCCAGGGCCTCCATGGCTGAGCCTGGGGGCTCTTGGAACAGGCTCCATGCCCAAGCTGGCAGACATGAGTGCTCTCTGGAGCTGTCAGAGAGGACAGAGAGCTTGTGGTTTATGGTGTAGGGGCTGGGAGCTTGGAGGGCGTTGTGTGTGGGGCTGGACTCTGAGGCGGCCAGAGGTCTAGGAATGCTGTGCCTGTCGTGCAGTCTGAGTCATGCTGCCAGGTCAGGGTATCCAGCTCCCAGCCTGGGAGTGCTGAGAGCCAAATCCACTGCAGAGCAGGGGTGATAGTCAGGGTCCCACCTCCTCTATCTGTTGGCAATCCAGTGGTGATCTAGGATAAAACCCTGAGAGTCCCATACACACGGTCATCCCACAACACACCTCACAGGCCAGACAGGGACACACAGCCCCCTTCCCTCCCTCTGAGGTACCATCATAGCTGCTAGCATGTGACCGAAGGCAGGGTCCCTGGCCCCCACTGAAGCACTATCGCCGACCAGCAGGCTCACGCACCTTGGCCTGTTGCTCCTAGGGGTCGCCTGTGCTATTCAGCCAAGGGGACCACAGTGCCTGCTGGCCCAGCTGAGCTCCGCCTAGTGAGCCCACCCGCCTCCCCTGCCACGGACTCTCCCTCTTCTGCTTTTCCCAGCAGGAAGGACCCAGCCTCAGCTATGAAACCTGCAGCCCCCCCACCCCGCAACCAACTGAGGCTCCCCTCTTAAAGTCTATGGCCAGTGGCATCCGGCTACCTGCCCTCCCTGCCTTCCCCAGGGTCCCTTCAGAGGACCCTGGACATTCTCACCGCCCAGAGGGGCCTCTGGCACTCACTCCAGCCATCCAGCCCTTATAGCTTCACCATTTTGGTTTAAGCAGTGTTCCTTCTCTATCAGGCCTGGTGGCTGTTGGGTGGGGCTCCCCAGGCAAGAGGTGGCCCTGGGCCAGTGGGTTGGAAGAGAGGGTGAGCAGAGAAGAGAGAAGCCCAAGGCGGCTGAGCATTAGTCTGAACTCTGGGTGCACTGCCTGGGTGCCATGGGAGAGGCCAGCATGTGTGGGCTGGGGAGGGCTGCCACAGCCCCCAGGCACTACCTGTGAAGCTCCGGCTCCTCCCTCCATCTTCCTCCCCTTTCCCTTCCAGCCCCTGTTTTCCAGGAACCATTGCTACACCCGCACCTGCACCCTCCCCACCCTGGCCCTCCCACAGCTGCTGCAGCGTGCCCGCCCGTACTCTGTGCTTGCCTCACCCGCTCTCTGCTTGCTTTTCTCTCTCCTATTTTCTCTCTGCTTCTCTCCAACTGCCAGCTGATTGGGTCAGGCAAGTCCATCCCGTCCCGAGAGCCCCAGCCCCACTTCGACCTCTAAACAGATCCTCCTCTTCTCAGAGACCTCCCTTTCCAAGCCTGCCTGGGCGGGTGTCCTGTGACTTGACAGTGGCTCCCCCAGCCCCAAAGCCAGCCCCCTTCATCTGTGACTTAGTCTGTCATAGTGGTGAGCTGACACATCCAGGTGTGACCGTTGCTGAAAACTTGGGCCCTTTCTGTGGTATGCCCCTGCCCTGTTCTATAAATATCTATAAATACTCATACATATATATACACCTACACATGGCTGACCGCCTTGCCTCTAGCACTGGGAATCAGTCACCATACTGTCCTTGTGGAATCTTGTGGCCCAGCAAGAGGAAGCTCTCCCCTGACATTGCCCCTCCAAAGTGTGCCACCTCCAGTGAGCCTCCCTGTCATGCCTGGCCTGTGGACAGCCAGCCCCCGCCATCCCTCCCACCCCCCACCAAGCATGGGGGTGCTGTGCAGGCAGCTTTGTGGCCTGACAGTCTCTACCAGTCCTGGTGTCCCTTGGCTGAGAATCAAACCCATTTCTGGATGATGGGGAATGTGTCCTCTGCTGGCTGTGTTCTCTGTGGAGCTCAGGGGAGGGAAAAGGCCAAGCCATTTCTAGGGTGCTGTTGGGAGTGGTGAAAAGGCCACACCTTTTCCAAGGGACACTTCCTGGAAAGCCCCTGGAGCTTAGCTGGCTCTTATCCTGTGAAGCTGGCTCTGGCCACTAGGGGGCAGGGCCATGAACTCAGCCTGGAGGAGCCTGCGGGGCAGCTGACACTCTAGAGGGACAGACAGAACAGGCCACCCGGTGCAGACAGGAGAGGGAGGCAAGGGGACGGAACGGAAGATGCCGGGGGTGGATGGAAGTCAGTGCCCTTTGGTGCCGGTATCTGTCTTCCCGGCCACCGCTAGATCAGGCTTCTGAGCCTGTTGGCTGTCAGGGTCGGACTGTGCCCCATAGGCGCCATGGCAGTCCCCATGCAATCCACCAGGTGTCACCAGGCAGCATACAAGTAACAGGCCTGGAAGGTCCCCAACAGCCCAGCTGGACATGCTCACTCTGGGGCTCTTCATTCAGTGGCACAAACTCCAGGACCCAGTGAGGGAAATGGGAACCCACCACGCTGAGCAGTATGGCTAAATCCATTTATTCCAAAATGGAAAGCAAAATAAACAGGAGTCGCATCACCAAGGCAGCCAGGACCCCATCCCCTCCTCCTTCCTCTGTCCTATGCTATCAATAAATAAGTTTCCCAGCCACAAATAATGATTAGAACCTCCTCCTCATATGCCAGCTCCAACCTCCGCTAGGTACTATACAGGGGGTGGCCCTACCACCCGGAATATACAAAATGTTACACAGATACTATATGTACACTGCGGAAGGGGGGCCACCACAGCAGCCCATGCCCTCGCCTGCTCTACGGTTAGCTCCACTGTCCCACCTCAGCTGCCTCTCTGAATAAGATGGGAGCCCCCTGAGGGAAAAGTTGCTTTGGTGAGAGTAGGGAGGCCATCAGGCCTCCTCCAAACAAACCAGCTCTACCAGCCTCTGGCTCTTAAATAATAATCATCATCATCCAGAAACTTAAGGACTCAGCCCTGGTCAAGGTGGCAAAGGGTCTGTTTTTCTCCCCCCATTAGACAGGGGTCTTGTCTTGCTACCCTAATGGTAAAGGGGTGACTGGGAAGGGTTGGTAAGAACATGGTAGGGATGGAGACTCCAGCCCCACTTCTCTGGGCTTATGCTGACAGAGACCTGCTTTTATTTTTATCCCTTGAGTTTTTTAAAAAAATCCAGTAACTTTATTCATAACTTTTTCAAAAACTTTTCATAAAACATTTTTCTACTTTTTTTCCACAACTTTTGCCGCAACTTTTCCACAGCATTTTTTATCCCATAACTTTTTCATCCCACAACTTTTTTTAATACCTGTAACTTTTTTGTTTGTGTTCTTTTAATAAACACACTTGCATAGTTACATTACAATTTTGTAAAAATAAAAACCGATTATCTCATGCCAAGCGTGCCCAGCATTTGCGCAGTCTCAATACCTTTAATACTATAGTTTTCAAGACACACAAAATTTTAAGGCAAAAACAGCACTTTGCAACAATTTAATAATTTATTACATTACAGTAGCATCACAGTAGCAGTGAATAATGCCACTTTAGGCAACAGTGTTTCCGTATTTCCATTATACATTCTGTTTACAGGAATTCATCAGTTGGTAAAAGTCATTCTAAGAAAACTTGGCAAATAAAGCCTTGCATTGGAATTGGCATTTCTCTACTTTTCCTTCCCCCAGTTTCTTTCTTTTAAACTACAGTATTCATATTTTAAAATGTTTTAACTTATTTTAAAACTTAAGATAGCAGTTACGTTTTTGAATAGTTATATTCTTTTAAAATGACTGTTTAAGATAAAGTTTTAGAGAAACTATACTATGGATAGCACTGATTTACATTTTCACATTTTCTAAATATCAGCTTTGGTTTTAGAACTGACTTTTTTTCATTTCTGGAAAGCCTATCAGGTTTAATCAAATACTTTAAAAATGATTATATATTGCAATCTTTAAATAGGTTTTTAATTCTTCCTACAGAAATTCAAATTTATTCAGTTGAACCCACACTTTAAAATTCTATGTTTCTGATTAAACTCTACCCTTCTAATGTTGCCTTCTAAGCAAATTGAAAGCTGCCTTATACTGAATGAGGAAGAGAACAAATACTTGGCTGAATGAGGTATTGCAAAGGACCGCATGCACTTTGAAGAAAGACTTAAGTTATTGTCATATGATTTGCATTCTATTTAATTTTTCTTAAGTATATGACAAAATACCTACACAAAGAGTGGTATTTCAGTTAATATAGTACATTCATTTTCCAGACTGACATTCAGCTTAAATATGCCAGTGTGTGATTTAATCCACAGGTACCTGATGAACACATTATTGTCAGATTGGTTACAGGTGCTAAAGGCTATCTGAAGGTCATTCCTAGTCGTTTATCTTTATCAGGGTAAAAGTGAAGATATAAAAATACCTTCAAAATAATTTATCAATGTATTAGGTAAGCCCACCTTCAGAATTATAAAGAAAAACTGTTAGACCAAATAAGGTGGCTAATTAACAGTGATATGATTTCTAGCCTGAGGGTCTAAATTGGACTTAAACTGTCTTTAAACTGAACTCAAAGAATGCAAAAGCAGCAAGTTCAGAAAATAAAAGGCAAGAACAGGTCTTTAAGTCCATTTTAAACCCTCAGGCTAGAAATCGTCCTACTGTTAATTAGCCACATTCGTTGGTCTAACAGTTTTTCTTTATAATTCTGAAACTGAGTTCATCTAATGCATTGATAAATTCATTCAATTTGGAAGAGTCAGTTGAAGTCACAAGGACTTAATATTTGCACTATTTCAGTGAATGCAGGCACATCTGTTATTCCATCTGTAAAATCGTATTATTGCTCTCCTATTAATGTCATATGTATAAAAGTATCGTGAGGATGTCAAGTGGTAAAAATGGAGATGGTCTAGTAACTAGAAATGCCCACCCCAGGGAGCGCACACGCATCTCTCCCTGCATCCTAATAATGTGACGTATTTTGGAACACAGACATTAGAACTTCATGAAATTTTAGCTGTTGATTCTTTCCCAAGCATCTTAAAGTTATGACTTAGGCAATGTATGACTGAAATAACTCATTCATCATGTATAGGCACATTAACATAAATATGGCACAAAATATGCCTCTAACTGAAACCGAGAGGTATAAAAACATCTTTCACTCTTTGTGAAGAACTTTGTGAGGAAGCATAACTCTGTGATTGTATAGACACTTTTCCTCATAATACTTGGACACTCACAAACAGTAGATTGCACGGCAGCTTGTAAACATTTTAAGTTGCATAAACTTCACCTTGATTTTCATATGTAGTATAATACTGTCTACTAAAACTCCTTTTTGTTTCAACTAAGTACTCTCTCATATATTGGTTTATAATAATGGTTGTTATTATTTTTAAAGTGTTTTCCATTCAAAGAAAAGAAGTAAATTCCTATGTCAGAGTAACTAATGTGGTTGAAGAATAGGTATTAGCCAGAGAGGTCTAGATGATAAAATCAATCTTCTAGCCTCAAAGAAGCTCCATGAACATAGAGGAAGGCCAGGTGTCACACAGCTTTCCTTCACTCGAATTCATTCTTGACTAGCGCCCGTATGCCTCTTCCAGGGACATTTAAACTCTTAAAGGATTTCTTATGATCTTCACTAAATACCTTAAGAAGAATGCCAACCGGTGCCCTTTTGTGTACTGGGACATATACTCATGTGATTAAAACAGGTAACATGAACTCTGACTTTAAAATGTATTGTAGATATAAATGCTCTACGCTAGAAAAGGTTTTCCACATCCACAGTCAATGATGGGAGCCTTTCATTCCTCAGAAATAATCCCTTTTTAGGTCATCGAGAAAGGGTACAACTGCTGCAGCTCATGATGCAATATCTTCATAAGCCCAGAGCACACACAAATCCTAAGGGAACTACCATAGTACAGTGCTCATTCTTGGCACCAGAACAAATGAAACACACTGTATCCTGCACACACCTGCCAGAGCAGGCCACTTTCCTCTTCTGTGAGATTTAAAAAGCTCCCCAAAATGTTATGACTCCCATCCCCAATACACAGAAAATAGGGGAAAGGCTGTTTCCAGTTCTCGGCCTTTAAACAACTCTAAATGTCAGTACTCACAGTGGCATATTACAAAGTAATAAACAGTGCGCACTTGAGGGCAAACCACATATTGAGCTAATGAAGAGCTCACTGTGGTTAGGATTCAATCAAACGTAATAGCAGAACATAAGCACATTTTATCTGAATTCTGTAATGAATATATGTGCTGCAATAACATTTAAAAAGCATGGCAGCCTGTTCCAAACCAGCAAGAATAGTTTTGTGCAAATAGTGGGTCTTTGTGTGTATGAATTCCCACCACCTAAGGGCAAACTCGATATGCGTGCTAATGACCTACAATTATCAAGTAAAAAATAAAAATGCTAAAGGATGCCAGAAAGAACATCAGGGAAAGACCAACTCTCCCTTAACTTTTTACAAATAAATTTAAACGGTAAATTAGAAACACAAATAAATGTGAGTGGCTCTAGCATTCAAATGGAGTAAATGAATTGTGTAGGAGATGAACCCTGTAACTTTTTGTTGTTGTTGTTGTTTTAAATTTCTTGACCAGCTCTTAGAAGATGATGATGTTTATCTCCCTGTTCTCGGCTGCCTGGTAAAAGAATGGCACGCAGGGTTTGCTGGGCAAGCCTGGGTGCTCCTAGGTGTCCTGCATTACAGGAGACAGCTGCACGATCTGCTGTGCAGTGGGGTTGTCATGGGGAGAACCCTCCCTGGCCGCTCCTGGTGCAGGCTCCACATTGTTGTCCAGGCTCACTTCATAAAAATCTTTGGAGAGAGGGAGGCGGGGGTCTGAGCACAGTGCGAGCCTCCCCTGCTCCTGCCTGCCCACCCCGCCTGAGAGCTCTACTCACCATCCTGCTCACCGGCAGCCCCCAGTTCCTGGGGGGCTGGGGGCCCTGGAGTGGGCTCATCAGCAGGGTTCTGGGCAGCGGTGAGGAATTTGCCATGCCCCTCATGGTTGCCCACAAGGGGCAACACCAGCTCTTGCAGCTCCAGCAGATTCACCTGAAGGGAGGGTGATCAGCTCCCACCCTGGAGCCTGCGCCAGCGCCCATGCCCACCCCCACCCCCACAGAGATGTTGCATGCCCTACCTTCATCTCCTCCTCCTTCTGGGCCAGCCTGATGACATCTTCCATCTCCTGGTGCCACGTGTTTGGCACTGCCCCCTGGCTTTCATATACGGTGAAGGACTCTCCTGCAAGAGGACACGGCTCAGACACTAGGGTCCCTCCGATGGCCCTGCAGCTCCCCGTGCCCATGCCCTGGCCTCCTGCTCACTCATGCCATCTGTCACTCCAGAAGGCTGGACGAATCCAAGCTCTCGTCTCTCCACCTGCTCCGTCCCATCTGCCTTCTCCTTCGGGAGGTCCGTAAAGCTGCTCTGGAGCCAAAATAATGGGGTCACATCTCGGGAGTGACCTGTTCTGCCCCGCCCCCACTTTTCTTGGCCCATGCCAGGACTCACTCACTTTCAGCTTCACCATGGCCTCCTTCAGGGCCCGGTAGCTCTCCCCACACACAAACTCATCTCCAGTCCTCCCTGGGGCTGGGGCCTCTGCCTCTGGCTTCTTCCAGGCCAAGGCCACCAGATGAGCCAGGTGCAGGCAGCACAGCCTTCGCACCTTCCGCTGCCCACATAGCCGGGCCTGCTCCTCCTGGGAACTGGCTCCAGCGGAGTTGAAAAATGCCACTTGAAGGCAAGAGGTGAGTATTCTTTTAGGGGCATAGACAGAGCAAATGAGGCAGGAAGTTGGAGCACAGTCCCTTCCCTTGGGGCCTCAGAGAGTGCACCTGTTGGTCACAGGTGACAAGGTGTCTGACCACTGCCTCCCAGAAGAGGTGAGGGGCCACAGAAATCAGAAGGCGGGAAAACCAAGAGCATAACGGGCTCTGGGAGGGACCACAGAGGAAGGTGGCAAAGTGGGGCAGGGAAAGTCAGGCTCACCGTGGCCTCCCGGCTCTCCAGGTCCTCTGGGATGTTTGGCGTGGGCCGAGGCGCCTCCTCCTCCTCACTGTCCAGATGTTCTCCTCCATCTCCTGTGGGGAGGTGGCCAGAGGGGTCCTCAGACAACCCAACAAGGAAGGTACGGTGGGCCCACCTCTGTCCTCACCCTCAATGTGTAACCCTGAGCCAGCCTCTCCCCAGAGGGGAATGAGCTGCTGTTCTTTATTTTTCCTTTTAAGAACAAGATCTTGCTATATTGCCCAGGCACAGTCCCACTACCAGTCGGTGCGGGAGTTCTGACCTGCTCCCTTTCTGATCTGGTCCAGTTCATTCATCCTTAGGCAACCTGGTGGACCCCTGCTCCCAGGAGGTCACCATATTGATGCTGAACTTAGTGCGGACACCCGGTTGGCATAACGACCAGCTGTTCTAAAGGTCTCTTCCAACCCCTCAATCCTATGCTGCTAACAGTCCCCCCTTCCTCCTGGGGCTCTCTCCTCTTCCTCTGAGTGGTCTCCTGTACCTTCTCCAGGGAGAGCCACGAGGCTCAACCGGGTCTCTAGCTGTTGGTTCCGCTGGCTGGCAGCTTCTAGGTGCTCCCAAGGGGATGGGAAACAGAGTGAGAAGGCACGGAGGTTGCCAGGTCATCCCCCTCGGGGCCCCATCCTCAGCAACTCCCTCCCCTGGGTCTCCTGCAACTTTTGGCGGGCCATCTCAGCCACCGCTTTGCCCCAAGCTTCCTGCTGCTGCAGCTGGTCCACGAGCTGGGTCTGCAGCAGTAACTGCCTGTGCAGCGCCTCCTTCTCAGAGGTCAGCTGCTGATAGGTGGCCACGTACTGCTGCAGGTGACCCAGGTACTAGTCTCGCTGCTGCTGCAGACTCTGAGACCCTTGGCTCTTCAGCTCCACCTGCAGGAAAACCCTGGGCATGAGGGCACATGGTGGCTGGCTTCCAGGTTCTGGGCCCATTAATAGGGTAGCTAGGGCACTGTGGGGCTCTGTCACCTGCCCAGGACCCTGGTCCCTTGCTTCAGGCCTAAGAGGCTTCCTCCCTTGCCTAGAACCCCATACCTCCTTCCCCAGCCTCAAATCTCATGTCCTTCTTCCCACCATTTAAACTGTAGGCCACAGACTGGTGGAAAAGCAGAGGGAGCCAACCACCATCTGCTAAGTGTGCTACATGCCTAATGCTTTCCAGGTATTCTATCATTCAATCCTCAGCACCTCTGCAAGGAAAATGCTAACTTCCTTTTGAAGTCACAGAAACAGAGACTTAGAGATGAACAGTAGTTGAACGGTGACCAGTGGAACCCAGGCCAGAATCCAGTTTGAATCTAAGGAGGCTTTTTTGTTTTGTTTTGAGACAGTGTCACTCTGTGGCCCAGGATGGAGTGCAGTGGTGCAATCTCAGCTCACTGCAACCTCCACCACATGGGCTCAAGCGATTCTCGTGCCTCAGCCTCCTGAGTAGCTGGGATTACAGGCATGCGCCACCATGCCTGGCTAATTTTTTGTTTTTGTTGTAATTTTAGTAGAGGTGAGGTTTCGCCACGTTGGCCAGGCTGGTCTCAAACTCCTGACATCAAGTGATTCTCCTGCCTCAGCCTCCCAAAGTGCTGGGATTACAGGTGTGAGCCACCGTGCCCGGATAAGGAGACTCTTGTACCACTGTCTCTTCCCCTGTGACTGGGGGCTCCATGCCTCTAGCTGGGATGATGATGTCCCGATCTGGGAGGAGCCCAGGGCTACCCACCTCTAAAAGTCAGAGGGCAGGAAGCAAGAAACAGTCATAGGGCTGCCCTGGAGGATGCTGGGGTCACCTGCCTCCCAGCTGGAGCTGCCTTTGGCCTGGCACCTCCCCTCCCCAGAGGCTGGTGCCCGCCTCCCAGCCCTTCTTGGATGGGGTGGAGGTTACCATCTCCTTCACCTCGTCTAGCTTCTCCTGCAGCTCCTTTACTTGCTGCTCCAACTGCAGTGCGCTCTTTTTCTCATTGTTCTGGACAGAGAGAAGCAATCAGTGGCCATCCACTGCAGCTGGAGACACCAGACCTTGGTGTCTGCCTCCCATATCACCAGGAAGCGTGGAGGCAGGTTAGAAAAATCATCCCTTCTCCCCCACAGCCATCAGAGCAGAGCCTGATGAGCTGTAGCTCACAGGTGCCTTTAGAAGTAGCATTTCATGTGAGGGCTACACTGGCCCATTTTACAGGTGGGGAAACAAAGGCCTGGAGGGATAGGGATGAGTGCAGGCTCCCCAGGTGGGGCAACCCACCAGATCCTCGAAGCTGCACTGTGGCTCGGCCAGCTGCTTGTCGAGCTTGTGGTTCTGGAAGAGCACGAGCCTCTCCTCCTGCTTTTGTAGCCTGTCCTCCTTCTTCCACAGCCTCTCCTCCTGGTCCCACAGCCTCTTTTCCTGCTTTTGCAGCCTCTCCTCCTCCTTTTGCAGCCTCTCCTCCTGCTTGCGTAGCCTCTGCTCCTGCTTTTGCAGCCTCTCACCCTGCTCCTGTAGCATCTTCTGCTGCTCCCGAAGCCTCTCGTTTTGTTCACACAGTCTCTCCAGCTCCCGCACCCTCTGCGCCTCCTGCTCTCGGAGCATCTCCTCCTGCTCTCGGATCATCTCCTCCTGCTCCTGGAGTCTCTCCTCCTGCTCCTGGAGTCTCTGCTTTTGTTCCTTGCTCAGGACACTCAAGGCCTGATTGTTTTCCACCTGGGATTGGAGCTTTCCCTCCAGACCTTCCACCTCCTGCCTCAGGTGTTTGGCCTCATCTTGTAGCTGTTCCACCACAGAGGTCACTGCTGGGGGCGCCAGGGATAGGGGCTCAGCTGAGAAACAAAGCAGACAATAAGGGCCTCTGGATTCCCCAACCCCTCTACCCACCCCCACCTCAAAAAAAAAAAAAAAAAAAAAAACCTCCTCTTGATGCACAGCTCCTCTCAGGCTTCCCAAACTTGGCCTCACTGCTAATCATTCCTCGCACCCGATGGTAGCCAGTTTCCAAGCCACTTTCACATAGAGAGCACTGTGGGTGGCTGACAACGGGTGCTCCTCCCTCTTTGCTGATGGGGACCCTGAGGCTCATGGAGATGACAAAACTTGCCGTCTCCTGGCACAGACCTCTTTCCCTCTGCCTCAAAGCCCTTCCACCCACCCACCTCCCTGGGGCATTCTAAGCCACCCCCACAGACCTCTGATGCCAGTCCTGCTCCCAGGTCACACCAGCCCCATCTTACCCATCTGGTTTTTGAGTTCGGACAAGCTCCTCTTCAGCTCCTGTATCCGATGTATGTCACGCTTCTTCTCTTCCTTTAATGTTCGAGCCTGCCCAAAGCACAGGGGAAAGGGCCCTGGAGAGAGGGGCTGGTGGCTGGATAGGCTACCATCTCACTCTGTGCCCCCATCTCCACAAAGCCCAGACCCATGACCACCTCTGGCTGTACTATTCCCATTTTACAGATGCCCAGAAAGATCCAGTGACCTATCTAAAGTGGGGGCTGAAGGGTCAGACCTCACCTCCACCGACATTTTCCACATCCTCTCCTGCCACCGGGCCCTCTCTCCTTTTATGTGTTTAGCATATTCGTCCTGCTCTAGCTGGACTTGTTTTAGTGACTCTGTCACCTGCAAGAAATGGGCAGAGAAGTTAGGAAGGGCTGTCACTGGTCCTCACCTGCTCCTGGCCACCTGGGGTCATCTTCCTTCCACATCCCTCCCTCTGCAAAGCCTCACCTGTGTCACGTGTGCGTTCAGCAGTGCCTGCTCCTTTATGGTCTGCTGTAACCGCCACTGGAGGACCGCTTCTCTGCAGCTCGAGGACTGGATGGTGAAGAGTGAGAAGTTTTGATCTGGGGAGCTCAGGCAGTGCCCCTTAAAAGGGCTAGGGCTAGGCTCAATATACAACTCGGTTAGTAAAGGTCAAGGCATTTCCAAGCCCGTGGCCTGGTTATTAAAAGAACTCAGTAAATTTGGAAGGGAGAGGGAAAGAGATCGAATTTACAGCTGGCTAACAGAGGCCCAGAGAGATCAGATAATATTGCTATTGTTATTACTGTTATTACTACCACTGTTTGAACCGTTATGGAGTGCTTCACCAGGTTCCATGCTAGCAATCCCATTTAATCCTCACAACCACCATATGAGACAGTTACTAGGATTACCTCTATTGTGTAGATGAAAAACATCGAGTGTTCGAGGTTAAGTGCTTGCCTAAGATCACTTAGACAGAGCTGGGATTTGAACACCCAGGTCTATCCTATTCTCTAAGCCCATTTTTCTTGCTGGGGGTGGGGACACAGATAGGAAGGGGGAAATTAATCTTTTGTTCACTTTTTGAAAGGATGATACATTCATATAGTCCAAAACTCAGAAGGTACAGAAGGGAGGTGTCTCCCAGGCACCCTGTTACTCTCTCCTGAGTTTTTTATGAATGCTTGCAGACATGTTTTTGTATATTATCATAGTACACACACACACACACACACACACACACCCCTTTCCTCTCTCTACAGAAATGGTAACATACTAAAGGTGCTCTTCTGTACCTTCACAGAACAACTATCCAATACCCCACCTAGGACTTGCCCAAGGCCACAGCCAGGAAAGGGCAGGGCAGGCACTTGGCCTCTGAGCTCTGCATCCAGTGCTCACTCCCCATAGTGCCCCCCAACTCACCCACAGCAGCTGACTCAGCCCCAGGCTGCCTCTAACAACCATACACAAAAGTAGTGAGAAATGACCATGCTGCCTTCTGGGTAGGACACTCCATCCTGCAGAAGGGACCTTTAGGCTCACTCCTCCATCTGGGAAGCCAGGCTGCCAGGGGATGGGGCAGCTGGTTGGACTCACCCTGTCCTCTTCCTGCTGCTGTGTAGACACAGCACAGAGAGCCCGCTCCAATTCTTGAATACGCTGCAAGGCGTATTGCAGGCGGCCAGCCAGATCCTTGGACTCTTCTGTAATGAGAGAGGTTGAGATGGGGCCCAAAAGACTCCCCCTAAAGACCTGTCAAAGTGCCAGGTTGAAGGATGATGGGGTGCCCAGATTCCCACCTTCGAAGTGTCGGGCAGCACGTTTAGTATGGTAAAGGGTGGTCTTCAAGTCTGCCTTTTCCAATGTGAGGATGTTGATTGTCTGGAATTGAACTTTTGGGAGAAAAGCCAAGCAAGTGCTGAAAGGGAAGGAAAGAAACATTCTCCAGAGGACAGGAGAAAGCTCCCCACCCTCCACTCACCTCTAACTGCTCTGTTTGTGCTTTGTGTATTTCATTGTTTGCTTTCTTTGCCTATAGGAAGAGGAAGACAGAGCTCTTGCCACAGGGAGGCCGAGATGGCACAGCAGGAGGCACGCCCCCAGAATGCCACCAATGTCCCAGGACAGGCCCACCCATGGAACCAGGTTATCAGGGACCCCGTGGGGATGGGGTGGAATCTGAGGGGTGAGCCTTCTTCCCCAGGCTGGGAGTGGGCAAGATGAGACTGGCACCTCTGCATCTGAGTGCCCCCCAAACCCAGCAGTCATGTTGTAAGCAAAGAAAATCACGTTATTTCTTCCAGCTGATGTTCCACTTGTTTCTTCTGCTGTTTCTGTGGGGAGAGTCAAATTCAGGTGACTGAGAGTGGCCCCCTCAACTCTATTCCCCAGACCTGGAAGTGGTAGGCAGGGACCAGGAATGGATTTTAAAGGCAACATTCTCAGACCCAATGGCGACACGAACTGGTCAACCCTCTTCAAGCACCCAAGGACAGAGGATTTGGGTCTTTGTTGGTTTTTGCCCAAAGCCGCAGAACTCAAAGTTTGAATCTGGATTCTCTCAAAAGGACAGTAACATAAACCTCTAGAGAGGGAGTCTCAGGAAGGCCCACCCTTCTGCCAGCTTGTGATTTAGAAAGGTGCCTTCATTCAACAAACATTTACTGAACACATACGGGCCAGCTACGGTTCTTCACAGCAGATATAGGATGGAAAAGGACAGACAGGAGCCCTTGGCCCTCAGGTTTCCATTCTAGGGGCCTTTAAATCTCAGACTCTCAGAGCTAACAGAGAACTTTGATGCTCTACCTCCTCCGGAAACACGAGCCCAAGGAGGACAGGTGGCTTGTCCATACTCAAGGCAAATTAGGGACTGAGTCAGGGCAGAAATACAGGGCCCCTGACAACCAGTCAGGCTAGCGCTTCCCTGAGAGGTGACAACCCCAGGGTGTGTGTGGCAAGGACTGGAGCAGGGGTGTCTGGAGAAGAGAGAGTTGGCAAAGAGGGCAGTGACAGAAGAGCCATGCTGCGTGCTCCTTGCTCTGGGGTCCCTCCAGGTGAGGCCTGGGTGCTCCAGCTCCCCATTTGCCCTTGGCACCAGGGGCCCCCAGCCCCTTTCTTCAGGGCCCCAAGGGGAAACTAAAGCCCAGGATTGGCAGCATGGAATCAGGGGACCCCACTGGACTCTTACCAATGATTCTATGTTTTCATTGAGTTGATTGATTGTCACGGAGCTTGACTCCAGGGCTACTGCTAGTTCTTGGTACTGGCTCTGAGGCACATGCAGAGAGGAGGAGTTGGAAGAGGATTGTGGGGAGAGGTAGAGAGAACAATCATTAGGGCTGGGGTGTGTGTGGGCTGTCTCAGCTGGCAGAGGGTCACCCAGCCCCCACTGTGAGAGGAGGTTGGAGGGCTGGCCTGCAGAGTCACTGCACCTCGGCCCAGGGCCTCTTACTTCCAGATCCTTCAGGGTAACAGATGATGCAGGAGTAATAAAAATGAGAAATTTAAAAAAAAAAACTTACATGGGAAATAGTTATGTATATAGAGAAAGTATAAAAACAGCAAGGAGCCGGGCACAGTGGCTGACACAGGTAATCCCAACAGTTTGGGAGGCTGAGGGGAGTGAATTACTTGAGGTCAGGAGTTCAAGACCAGCCTGGCCAACATGGTGAAACTGCATCTCTACTAAAAATACAAAGATTAGCCAGGTGTGGTAGCAGGTGCCTGTAATCCCAGCTACTCAGGAGGCTAAGCCAAGAGAATCGCTTGAACCCAGGAGGCAGAGGTTGTAGTGAGCCGAGATCACACCACTCCACTCCAGTCTGGGTGACAGAGTGAGACTCTGTCTCAAAAAAAAATAAAAAATAAAAAATAAAAAGGCCCAAACCCCACATGCCTGCTCTGTACGTTATTCCCAAATTACTTTTAAACTTTTAGGTCTCACCATTTCCAAGATGATAAAAGATGCGGGGAAGGAAAAAACCCAATCAATCAAGCAGGTGAAGAAGCAGACAGAAACAGGCTGAAGGTTAATGGCAGCAACATAAAACAAGGCAGAGGCCAAGTATTCCCCAAACCAGAGAAGCCTCAGGGCCATGCATAGCTGGAGACAGCAAGCCAGAGAGGGGTCTTGGCACTGCCTCACCTTCCACTTGTCCAATGGGGGAGCACTACCCCATTGGAGTATTAAGGTTGGACACCAGCACCTTCAGAATGTCCTGAATCTACAGGAGGTGACAAGGGAAAAACAAGGGCAGGAGGTGAAAGACAGAAGTGGCTTAGAGAGAAGCAAGAAAGTCAGGGTAGGAGGAAGATGTGGGTTCAGGAAAAGGAAACGCTGAAGAAGAGCAGAGGAGATTAAAACCATGGCCTGTGCCATTCTTCCAAATGGCCACCTGCTGCCTTGCCAGGGGCAGGAACAAATAGATGGAAAAGTCCCCTGAGTGACGCAGTCACAGAGTGGAGTCAGCTGACCAATGCAGATCTTAATATGCTCACTGGTCCCCTCTCCTCAGGCCCAGGACATGGGTGATGAATCTGTTAGAGCTCCAGACCTCCACCTCCATTAAAAAAAACAGACTTCTGAGTAAGAGCTCACTTGAACTAAGGGGATTCCAGCTAAAAAACAAGTTTGAAAGACACTGATCTTATCCAGTATCATCTTACAGAGGAGGAAACTGAGGCCCAGTGGAAGAAGTGATTTTTCTGTGGTCACCCAACAAGCTGGTGGCAAGTTAGATCTTCTCTTGCTCCTAGTGCCTGGGGCTCTCCTCACCACACCCTGGGCCCCCTTCAGTGACTCCTAAAGGGACAGCCTGATGGCAAGTGGCTGTACTCATTAGCCCAACTTCCCCTTGAGAGTGGGGATCAGGAAAATCAAACAACAATGATCATTTCCTGGGTATCCTGGGTGTTTACAGCAGGCCACGTACTAGGAGTTAACATGAAAACAACAACAATAAGGAATCTCATTTAAACTTCACAAATGGAAGTCAAACAATACTACCCCTATTTCACAGATGTGAAAAGAGAGGCCCAAAGAGCTCAAGCAACTTGCCATAAATCAGATCGCTAGCAGATGGAGAAGCAGGATTCAAACCCAGAATTCTTAACCAGTACCCAGCAATCTCAACAATTACCCTCTACTGCCCCTTGGGCCCCCTGTCCCCAGGAGCCTGGCCAGCCAAGACTCACATCCCCAGGTGAGTGGCAACCACCAGAAGTGGTTGTCTCAGGGCTACTGCCAGTTTTTTTCTTTTTTGTCTTTGCTCCTGCTGGAACACCAGGGCTCTTCCTTTGCTGATATTCTTTTAGCTGTGGGAAAGAAGAGCAGTAATACTCATGAGAACTACCAGCCCTTACAGCCACACCCTCCTTACAGTTTTTGCAAAATACTCTTATACACCATCTGGTTTAATGCCACCAACAACTGTACAAGGTGTTGTCACAATCACTTAGTGATTGAGAGGGATGGATATTATGGCTAAAAAAAAAGTTGGGGGGGCAATAATGGAACTTAAACTTGGTCTTCTGACTCCAAGCTCTGGGGTTTTGCCATGATCAGCAGCTGCTGGGGACCAAAACCAGACGCAGAGCAAGAAAAGTAAACATTACATAGGCAGGAACTACATGCTGTGTGGTTTAGAGTCATACATCCTCACATGTCTGTTAGTGTGAAGAAGTGCACCAGTATCTCTCAAACTTTTATATCAATGTGTCCTCATGGCAGAAGGCAGCTTTTTTGTTAAATCTGGGAATTTGTCAGAAAGAGGACAACCCAAGTCTCATTTCAGAGAGAAGTCTGGTATACTCTTAGAAACCTATGTGAGGGTCATCCCTAAGTACATTAATGTTTTTTCTCTCTCAAGAGAATCAAGGGAAACTGGTGCTTCAGAAAGATCTCCCACATTTATCCTGTGGCACTCAATGTACCCCAAGTTGAGATGATATGAGGAAGATTCAAGCTGTCAAATTCAGTTTCCCAAGATCTATTCCACAGAAGATGAGCAAATCTCACTTCAGAGACCACTGACTGAAGGGCAGTCTGGTCCCAGAACCGTGGAGAATTAGAATATGAGGTGGAGAACTCAGAAAAAAATGTTAAAATCTCTCTGGAGAGTAGAAGCCTGGGAGAAAACCAAACCAAACCCATTCTCCCATTACCACCCAGAGATACTGTCAACGTTTTGAGCTCACAGGGGAAGTGTAGGCTTTTCACACTGTCGATGTCTATGTGAAGGGAGTAAGGCAGCCTGAAACCTCTTGCCCCTAGGTCCCATAGTCCCCATTTCCCTTCTAGCTGGAAATTTGTGCTGTGACCAGAGGAACCAGAAATGGGGTGAGAATGCTTAGGGGACTGGGTTGTAAGATCAAAGGCCAGTCTTGCAGCAGTAATGACAGTTCCTAGGAGGACTGTGACATCACTACATTCCACTCCTCCTGGGGGTGGGGGGAACCTCATCAGTGCAATGGCTGAGTTGCCGATCCACGATGGGGGAGGGGGGATGTGGGGCTGGGACCCAGGTCCTTGGAGATGCCAGTCCAGAGAGCCCAGGGAGGTCGGGCTTGGGTCAGCAGGAGGGGAGAGCAGAGTCTGCTCAGGGAACCCCAGGAGTCACCAGCCCAAAGTCACCCCGGGATGACTGGCGATGCTGGGGTGTTGGGGCTGGGGGACCCAGGTCCTTGGAGAGGTGAGCCCAAAGAACCCAGGGAGGTTGGGCTTGGGGCAGCAGGACCTGAGGGCTGAATATGGAGCAGGGAGCCCCAGCAGTCATCCGCCCAAAGTCACCGCAGGGTGATTGGCGAGGGCAGAGGCCAGGCTGCTTGCTGAAGGGGCGGGGCTGACTGACAAGACTTTGGTGGGGGGAGTCCAGAGGCGCCGGGGTAGGGGGGCCCAGCCCGGTGTGCCTCAAGAGTGGTATGGACTCTGAGAGTGGTCTTGTCATCAGAGGGGATCTCTGGCTAGGTTGGGGGGCCATGACCTTTTTCTTGGCTTTTTACCTTTTTCTTGACTGCTGCCAATTTGTTCCATCGAGTTTCTTCTGGCATCATGGGGTCGGGAGGGAGGTAGGGTTGGGGCCACATCAGCGAACACCTCCAGTCACCTACAAGGCTGCTGTGTGACTGAGCCAGAGGAGGCGTAACCAGGGCCACACTAGAATGCAGAATAGGGGTGTGGCCTTAATGCTCCGATCCCATTGGTCAATGAGAAAGATGAAAAGGAAAGGAGGCGTGGCCAGGCAGCAGTGTGTCCAGAGGAACCTGTGACATCACAAGGAAAGCTGCCCATGCGACTGCTGTCCCCGCCCATTCGGGGAGAGGGGCGGGGCCTGCCTACTCCGGGAGAGGGGAGGACCGGCTTTTGCTTTAAAATGTTAAACTTTAAAAAATATATGTGTTTATACTTTATATATATGTGTGTCAGTGTGTGTGTGTGTCTACATGTTCCTCCAGAGCTGTCTTCATTATCCAGCTTCTATGCATGGTCTATGATTTTGGCCTACGTTTTTCATCTTCAGATGGAGTATAAGAATTACCAGTATTACCCCAGTGAAGACACAAATCCTATAAAAATGGAAAATCCATAGTATGTTTGATGATTAATGAATGAAGTGGACTATATTATCCAACATTCCAATAAGGTAAAATAATCACAATGATTTCTCGGTTTTGGAAAAAACATTTCTCTTATTCTCCTACATTATTAAGATTTTTTAAAAAACAAGAAACATGTCTAATATCTTTAAAAACACAAAGCTTTTGGGCCGGGTGTGGTGGCTCACACCTGTAATCCCAGCACTTTGGGAGGCCTAGGTGGGTGGATCACCTTAGGTCAGGAGTTCAAGACCAGCCTGGCCAACATGGTGAAACCCCATCTCTACTTGAAATACAAAAACTAGCCAGGTGTGGTGGTGGGTACCTGTAATCCCAGCTACTCGGGAGGCTGAGGCAGGAGAATCACTTGAACCCGGGAGGCAGAAGTTGCAGTGAGCCAAGGTCACGCCACTGCACTCCAGCCTGGGTGACAGACTGAGACTCCATCTCAAAAAATAAAATAAAATAGTCAAAAATAAATAAAAACACAAAGCTTTCCATTTAATAAGCACTCAAAGCTCTTTACTGGTTTAAAGCAAATACAAGGCCTATTTTTCTAGAATCACCTGGCCTCTCTAAGCCTTGCAAATGAAACTGAATTTCTCATTTGATACTTGGCTATGACTTGCAATCATGATAACCAAGAATTGTGTTATGTCACTGTGTATTGTTACCTGAATTCCACACGAGGCTGGGATCAAGGGTTGAATCTTTCATGATTTGCTCCATAACCTGTGAGCTTCCTTTCCCACACCAAACTAAGCTTTGTTCTAGAGTTCTACAATTTACAGTTAGTAGACAAGAGTGGTTCTCAAAAATGTAGCCTCTGGACTAGCAGCAGCAGCAGAACCTGAGAACTTTTTATAAGTGCAAATTCTCAGGCCCCACCCTGGACATGGTGAATCAGAAACTCTGGAGTAGGGCTCAGCAATCTGTGCTGCAGTCATCCCTCCAGGTGTTCAAGAACCTCTGGCATACAGCAGGTAGAAAAATGTGTTTCCTTCTGTAGGTCCAAAGCCAGGGATACCATATGTTCTGTCTTGATATGAAACAATGACATGCAATTAAAAGACATAAATCTCCTTCCTACTCCCACCCTCCATCCAATGTGTTTTATTTTTATGAGTTAAATAAGAAAACAAATGGCAATCAGAGATTCAGCCTAAAAAGTATGTTTACAAGTGTCAGTTCTCATCCAGCCTGATCTCACACAATACCATTTACACCCTCTTACCTCTCAAGTTTTTTAAAAAGTGTCTTCACAATGTAAGTCTCAGGCACACTAGCAGTTCTATAATAAAACACCAAGTAGATCGGAATGTCCAAACTTACTAGAGAAGAAAAGTGGAATCACTGGCTGTATTTTCAAATTGCATTCAACAGGAAATGTAAGTTTTGAATTCTTTTCACCTTCACACTTCCAAGTTAATAGCATTAAATCAGAATACTCCATTCTTCCAAAGCCTCTAGCCAGGCAAAGTTTTACTGTATTACTTCTTGCTTTCGATAGATATAAAGCAGAGTCCTGGTAGGCACATTTTGTATGCCTGCAAAGATGCAGAAGTAAACAGTTCCATGTATTCAATATTAAAACAAAAGTCCTGCAAACCTCGGATGGTGAGTGTAATACTTCAGCACTAGCACCAAAGCCTCAAATATAAAAAGATACCAATATCACCACTAGCAAACAAAATGAGCTCTCGGCCGGGAGCAGTAGTTCATGCCTGTAATCCCAACACTTTGGCAAGCCAAGGTGGGAGGATCACTTTAAGTCAGGAGTTCAAGACCAGCCTGGGCAGCATAGCGAATTCGCATCTCTACAAAAAATTTCAAAAATTAGCTGGGCGTGCTGGCACACACCTGTAGTCCTAGCTACATGGGAGGCTGAGGTATGAAAATTGCTTCAGCTCAGGAGTACGACGCTGTGGTAGCTATGATCATGCCACTGCACTCCAGCCTGGGTGACAGAGCAAGATCTAGATAATTACACTCTGTCCTGCTCCTGTTTATGTTAAAATGCTTTCAATCAGCAGGATAAAAATTAAGTGAAATGTGACTTGGGAGCTTGGCCAGAAAATAGGCAATGGAGAAACAGGCACTTCCCACAAGAATAAAAATGGCCAATAAGCACATAAAAAAGATTCAAGGCCGGGGCCGTGGCCCACGCCTGTAATCCCAGCACTTTAGGAGGCCGAGGTGGGTGGATCACCTGAGGTCAGGAGTTTGAGACGGGCCTGACCAACATGGTGAAATCCCATCTCTACTAAAAAATACAAAAATTAGCCAGGCATGATGGCGGGCACCTGTAATCCCAGCTACTCGGGAAGCTGAGGCAGGAGAATCGCTTGAACCCAGGAGGCAGAGGTTGCAGTTATCCGAGATTGCACTGTTGCACACCAGCCTGGGCCATAGAGCAAGACTCCATCTCAAAAAAAAAAAAAAAAAAAAAGTTTCAAAAGCACTAGAAACCAAAGAAATACAATGAAAACAATGAGATTTTCTCCTTAAATATCAGCAAAGAGGACAAATGGAAGGGGGACACTGGAGCTCTGCCCCTGTTGGGAGTATAAACTGAACCAATTTTTCTGCAGGATAATTTGAAAATTTCTATTAAAAATCTTAAAACTATTTTATGTTATTTTCCTCCAGAAATTCTACTTCTATGACTTCAGCCCCAAAATGCTTGCTTGCGTCCATTAAAATATATATATAAGAAAATTTACTTCTGGGGTGGCAATGATTAACTTAATATACATCGAGCTTTTAAGAAGATGATGCCAAGGATATATTTACTGCCATAGAAATATGCCCAAAACATAGTGACAAAAGACTATATATTACGATTCTACTTTTTAAAATGTTCATATGCATAAAAAAATATAAAAAGCAACAAACCAGAATGCTTTCAGTGGCAAAATTAAAGACTTTTCTTCATATTTTGTCTTCCAAATTATTACAAAAAGAAAGCAATTTTCTTTATAATCAGGGAGAAGTAGTATTTTCATTTATTTACATATAAATTTCTTTTCTTTTCCTTATTTTTTCTCATGTATGTATCACATGTACCCTAGAGAGCTTGAATCCCTACCTCTTGAGGTAAATCAGACCATTTCCATCTCTATCAACTTGCCTTTTTTGGACATTTCAAATCAATGGAATTATACAATATGTGGTCTCATGTCTGGCTTTTTTACTTAGCTAATGTTTTTGAGGTTGGTCCATGACATATAACAGGTTTTGGTAGTTTGTTCCTTTCATTACTGAGTAGAAGTCCATTGATGGATATATACCACATTTTGTCAGCAGAGAACATTTAAACTTTACTTTCAACTTCCCGTGGTCTAAATGAAACCGCTGGAACACAGGACTTAACAGCGAAAGCTGCTGTGCATGTCAAAATAACTACTTATCAGAACCAGCTTTGTCATCAGGAGCCTGAACTGCTGCAGAAATTTTTATCATTTTGCAACTTCCTTTTTACAAGCAGCTTTTGTGCTACTACACATCAGGACTTTTGAAGCATCTGATACATCCATCTAATAAGTATGAGCATGTGTCTGAGTGGACAAGTAAAACCATCTATGCTACACTGCATATTTTTTCCTCCCCCAGACTGGACCAGGGAATCTCTCAACTTTCTAGAGTATCCTGTCTCCATTGACAAAGCTGAACAGTATTAAAGATCCTGCTGCCTTTGTTAGGCAGATTTGGAAGGGAGGCCCAACAGCAAGGGTGGGGAGGAAAAAGAGAGGGGAGCTTGTGGAACAGGAAGCCCCCTGGGGTCTGCGCATGGCTCCCAGCTGTTGAGGATGTTGTGGATGGGGAAGTGCTGATGGCGTCCCGAGGCAAGCCTAGCACCTGCACTGGGCCCAGAAGGTCTTGACTTTGGCCCCTTACCCACGTTCCAGAAGTGTTTACAAGCTGGTTTTGCTTTTCTTCTTTTCCTAAATAATCATTACTTGGTAGTTAGTTATTAACCTTTCTTTGGGAGAGAGATGGGGCTTTAAAACTGAAGAACATAATTTTCATTCAAATATCAAAAATGGAAAAAAGTTACTTTATAAACAATTTGCTAAACAAACCAAATGGCAGCTGTTGAGAATCTCAATAAAATGTTAAATGCATTTGCTGCTGTTAGAAGAAATACAGAAAAAAATTTTTTAAATAAAGAAAAAAATGCATTTGCTGGCAGTGGTACCATTTTGCCCAAGGTTGGATTGCTGTGCCATCATACTGTGGTGGGGGGTATATGTGGTGTATACGTGTGAAACTTTTCATCTCAGGATGGATCATAATGTGAGCTGCAGTTGTCCTTCCAAATAGGGTTACAAAGTAGTAAAACATGGGCTTGGAAGTGACAGACCTGAGTGAATCAGCCAAGCTTAAAGGAAATAATAAAAAATTATTAAAAACTAACTTTTAATAATCCTGAGGTTGGTTTTTGAAACGATACAATGATTTACTCTAAGCATCTGGTTATGATTTTCAATTAGTAATACATACTGTCTCGACCCTTTTTTTTTTTTTATGGAAACAGAGGTTTCACCCAGAAAACCCCAAAACAGTGACTTTTTTTTTTTTAAGACAGGGTGTCACTCTGTCACCCAGGCTACAGTGGAGTGGTGGATCTCAGCTCACTGCAGCCTCGACCTCCCACCTCAGCCTCCCGAGTAGCTGGGACCACAGACACCACCGTGCCTGGCTAATTATTGTATTTTGTGTACAGATGGGGTTTTGCCATGTTGCCCAGGGTGGTCTCAAACTTCTAGGCTCAAGCCATTCACCCACTTCAGCCTCCCAAAATGCTGTGTGTACAGGTGCGAGCCACTGTGCCCAACCTGCAGTGACTTTTTAAAACATAAGTTCAAGCATCTCTTCTTAACTCCTTTAATTGGAGGTATCTCTTCTCTCATTCTCCTCATCTTTGGTGTTCCCCCAGAGTTCACTGCTGTCCGGATGTACAACATATATTTCAAAGTCAAGGCTGGGCTGGGTGCAGTGGCTCACGCCTATAATCGCAGCACTTTGGGAGTCCAAGGCAGGCAGATCGCTTGAGTTCAGGCAAGGTAAGGCAGGCTCCCAAGGCAGAGACTGAGGCTGACCCCTGCAGCCCCCTACTGCAGGGGGGGAACACCGGGATAGGCAAGGGTCTTAACCTAGAAAGCTCCAGCAGTTCCTGGGCCCATTAAGACACCATTGAGGCTTGGCGGTGGTGGAACCCAGGAATGGTCTTTGAACCCACCACTTGGAAGGGGAGTCAAGGATAGTCCTGGCCCAAAGGCTCCCCTACCTGCAGGCAGTGGGCAAGCCCAGTGAGCGGACCCCAGAAGCCCAGACCATGAGCTTACCTGGCCAAAGACAGCAGCCAGCACCAAGACACCAAAGAGGGTGGGTAGAAAGATCATCACATAGGGGTTGACTGCGGCCGGCACCAGGTTCCTCTGTACTTCTGGAACACACAGGCCTCTCCTTCCTATCCTTGAAGTGCCCCTGCCCCTACCCCAGCACCCTGAAGACCAGCCCAATATATGCATTTGTCCTGGGTCAGCCCCACTGTCCAAGCAACTGCAGTTTCTCACTAGAGAGCCAGGGCAGGGCAGGGTATAGGAGGGGTCCCTTGAAGATGCCACCCGGAATGCCCTGATGCCTAAAACGTTCCCCGTTGGGCCTTCTCAGGGAGGGAGCGTTAAGACAGCCTTGTTCTCTCCAGCTACCTCCATCACCACTGGAGCCCTTACAGGCGTCAGGGGAGAGAATTGGCTCAATGGAGCCAGGACCAGCATGGACACAGCCCTGGGGCTGAGGCTAAGTGGGCTCTGGGAGACCGTCACTCTCTCTTCAAGCTTTGGTCTCCTGGCCCTCTACAAGCCAGGCTGTTTCAGGCTTTGCGTTAGGCCTTGCTCAGAGACAGAGTTGAAACACAGCTGGTGGACACAGTGGGCTTTAGGGAGGGGGCACGTACCTGGGGGTGGGGGCTGGGTAACAGGGAACGGAGGCCCTGGGGCTAGCATGGCCTGTCTGGAGGTGGCACAATGGGACCTGCACCAAATGAGGACAGAGGGTCCACCTGGAAGAGTGGACCAGCCAGATGGCCACCAAGCTGGATGGCCACCGCCAGAGCCTGCAGGACAGCAGAGGGGGCTGGGAAAGGACAGAGGATAACTGAGGGGCAGGGAATGTGGGTTCCTCCATACAGACACGAGTCTTCCCTAAGTGGATCTTCCCCGTGGGGGCGAGGGGGCATTCAAGACACACCTCCAGCCCACCTCAAACCATCTCAGGAGGCCACCACCAACTCACACAGGCCAGTTGCATTGTCACAGTGACCCCAGAACAGCACAGCCCTGTCCTTCAGATAAATAAATGGAGAGAGTGACGCATATCACAGCCAGGAGCTGGGACTCAGACCCAGGTCCAGCTGCAGTGCTGCCTCAATGGCTCCGCCTGCACCTCCTCCGGGACTCAGTTCCTGCTAACAAGTGAACACTTGAGTATGGGTGAACTAGGTGCTATTATCCCTTCTGGCTGCTGGGGAAAGGGAAGCAAGGCACAGATGACTTGCCCAAGGCCAATGTATCATGGCTGGTTCAACCCCATCTGTCTCAGCCAGCACATCCCCATGGCAGAGGCTTTACTGTGATCCAAACCCCGAAAGTGGAACTCCTTCCACTGTCCCACCCAGGGCACAGAGCATGCAGCCCTATGTTTGGGGAGGTGACTGGGTGGAGAGGTGACAGTGTGGGAAACAATCTGGCTAGGCCAAGGCCTCATGGAGCCCAGGGTTCCCTAGGGCCAGGAGAGCTCTGGAGCCCACCCCGACACCCATTGGAAACCTGGAATCCACACCTGCAGGAGATCAGGAGAGGGGTTCAGCCTCTGATGTACCTGCAGCGAGGTGAGACAGGCACAGGTGGGCGCCCTGCTTCCAACCAGCATCAGGAGGGCAGGAAGCAGATCTCCTGCCTGACCTTCCTCTCCTGCCTCCCCCAAGCACAGAAGAAGGGGCAGCCGCCCATCAGGCCATTGCCTAGATTGAAGCCACTGAAGCCAGGTCCCAACAGGTGAGTGTGACCCCTTGACTATCCCAGGCCTGGCCCAAGGCAGTCATGTCTCTGGTGAGGACCTGGTAGACAGGAGATGTGATGTCCCCAATTGGCTCTATAAACCTCTTGAGGATAATCAAGGAAATGGGCAAGACCATCACGCTTAGCCAAGAACCTGGCAGGCACAAGGGGGAACAGGGGCAGGTAAAAGTCAGTTTGGGTTCAGGCCTGGCCCCTGGAAGGATAGTGGATGAAGGGCCAGCCACGGTGAAGGGGAATGGATGGCCACGGGCTGGGTGGTCAGGACTGTCAGCTCCTGCAGCCCCTGCAGAACATCCGCCCAGGCCTGGCTCTGCGCTCAGCCTTCTGCCTGGAGCCACAGGTGCCTGGACACCAGCCTCAAGTAGGGATGGTGGTAGGAAAGGCACTTGTGGCCACACGTGGGCACCTAAGCATGGGACAGAGGGGTACCATGCCCTAAAGAAACCATAGAGGCCAAGAGCTTAAGCAGGTCTGACACCATCAATAAATCCCCTTGTCCTGGGTCACATCAATTAAGTCAGAGCCTACCCTGACCCTGAAGCTGCAGCTCAGTCTGGTTGAGACTCACAAAGAGACGTTAGTGCTGGTCAGGGGGCCTGGCCCAGCCTGCGATGTCCAGCAAAGCTGTGGGCTGGACAAGAATCTCTGAAGATTAGTCCAGGACAAGAAGAGCTGTGTCTGGGCAGGGAGTGGGGGCAATGCCCAGGGGGCAGGAGACCTGAGGACCTTTAGGTAGGGTGCCAGGTCAGGACGTGCAGAAGAGAAGGTGGCACGGCAGCTGCCCGAGGCCAGGCTATAAACCTTGGGGCCACCGTGTCTACCCTAAACCATGCTGCCACCTAGATGCTATCCTTCAAATGTGAGGCTGGGCTGGGAGAGCCCCCAGACCCTTCATCCCTTTCGCCCCAAGCTGCTTCCCATCCCTCACCAGAAGGAAAGTGAACTCTTCTATGGGGCACAGCCTGCCAGGTTCCCTATCACCTGGTGGAAGGGGCAGGTGGGAGGGGGAGCTTCAGCTGGGTGAGAAAGAACCCAGGTCTCACTCTGTCCCTACCTGACAGATGACCTCAGGCAAAATGCTTTCTTTGCCTGGGGCCAAGGAGAGTCACAGGGGAAAGGCCAGGTTAAGAGGGCTCCACCCTGGAGCTCAGAGCTACCCACAGAGAAAACCTCCCATCCTCCCAATTCTGCTCCCAGCTCACACTGCTGGGATAACATCCTCCCCATCAGAGAGGCTGTGGGAGGTAGAGGCTGACCCCTGCTCCTTCAGGCACCTCAGCGGGTTTCGGTCTGCCTTCATCATGATCAGGGAGTGGGTCCCTGGGATCACAAAGGTGAGGGGCAGCTTCTTGGGCTCCAGGTGCTCCAAGGTAGACCCTGCAGGGCACCAGAGCTAGAAGGGTGTTAGGGAGGCCGAGTGCAGTGGCTCGGGCCTGTAATCTCAACACTTTGAAAGGCTGAGGTGGGTGGATCACGAGGTCAGGAGATCAAGACCGTCCTGGCTAACACAGTGAAACCCCATCTCTACTAAAACTACAAAAAATTAGCCGGGCATGGTGGCATGTGCCTGTAGTCCCAGCTCCTCGGGAGGCTGAGGCAGGAGAATCACTTGAACCCAGGAGGCAGAGGTTGAGCAGGGCTAGGACCTGAGCTCTGCCTGGTCATGGTGACTCTGAGCCAGGTAACACTACGTTAGTCTCAGTCTGTCACTGTGTCTCACGGGGGATGTTAGCATTACCTTTGGAGTTAAAGTAGGTAAGCCAGGGTAACCAGAGGTCCCAGCAGGGACCAAGACCAAAGGGTGCAGGGGTTGTGCCTGTCCAGAAGGTCAGGCTGGACGAGGGGCTCCATGAAGTTGGGGCAGCTGAGGGCCTGCCCTTCAGGTTACAGGCATGTGGGTCCTGGTCTAGACCCCCATATGCCATCCAGAGACCCAACCCTAGGGACAATTCCTCCTAGGCTGGTAGCAGAGAGTCAATCCTTGTACTCACCCTACCAAAAGCTCTGAAATGAGGGGCCCTATGGGTGGGGGAAAGACTCTTCAGAAAAAGGTTCTCAGGGGCAGGGAAGGTTTGAGCTGGGCCTTAGGGCAGCCAGAGAGGTAGGTGACAGGTCCCCTCACAAAGCCTGCCAAACAATGCAGGAGGAACACAGGTGTAGTGGTGGGAATGTTCTGGAAGACAGCAGGAAACCTCCCACTCACTGATGGGGCTGAGTGAGGTCAGGTCCACACACCAGTAGGTGGTGGCATCCACACACTGGTACACTTTGTTTCTTGTTTTAGAGACAGGGTCTTGCTCTGTTGCCCAGGCTGGAGTGTGGTGGTGCAATCATAGCTCACTGCAGCCTTGACCTCCTGGGTTCATGTGATCTTCCCACCTCAGCCATCTGAGTAGCTGGGACTACAGGCACATGCCACCATGCCTAATTTTATTTTGTTAGAGACAGGGTCTGGCAATGTTGCCCAGGCTGGTCTCAAGCAATCTTTCCACTTCAGCCTCCCAAAACACTGAGACTACAAGAACAAGCCAGCACTCCTGGTCATGCTGGTGGATTTTGGCTGCCATGGTGCACAGGAGGTATGAGCTTGGGGGCAGAGTCTGCTCCTGCACCTCTACCCAGGCCTGCACCCAGACTGACCCCTGGGCTGCAGGGAGCAGGTGTGGAGAGAACGCAGCAAGCAGAGCGGGCTAGCCCATGATGGAGACCCAGGCTGGGACTAGGAGAGATAGGGCTCCAACCCTCGGGCTAGTGGCCCTGCCCAACCCCATGGGGCCAAGATGACTTCCTAGGAAGCCAGGCATGGAAGCCAGCATGCACCTGAACTGAAGACAGAAGACTCTGATGAGAGGGAGGGGGAGGCCTCTGACATAGTTTGGATACTTGTCCCATCCACATCTAGTGTTGAAATGTGATCCCCAATGCTGGAGGTGCGGCCTATAATGTGAGGTGTTTGGGTCATGGTGGAGGATCCCTCATGAATGGCTTAGTGCCCTCCCCATGGTAATGAGTGAGTTTTCTTATTTTTTATTTTTTATTTTTTTATTTTTTGAGGCAGAGTCTCGCTCATAGCCCAGGCTGGAGTGCAGTGGCATGATCTTGGCTCACTGCAACCTCCACCTCCCAGGTTCGAGTGATTCAATGAGTGAGTTTTCTATTAGTTCACAGGAGAGCTTGATATCTCCTCTGTCTTGCTTCTTCTCTCACCATGCGACACGTCTGCTCCCTCTTTGCCTCCCGCCAGGAGTAAAAGCTTCCTGAGGCTTCACGAGAAGCCTAGCAGATGCTTGTACAGCCTGCAGAACTGTGAGGCAAATAAACCTCTTGTATAAATTACCCGGTCTCAGGGCCAGGAGTGGTGGCTCACGCCTGTAATTCCAACATTTTGGGAGGCCGAGGTGGGTGAATCACTTGAGGTCAGGAGTTCAAGACCAGCCTGGCCAACCTGGTGAAACTCTGTCTACTAAAAATACAAAATTTAGGCAGGCATGGTGGTGCATGCCTGTAATCCAAGCTACTTGGGAGGCTGAGGCATGAAAATTGCTTGAACTGGGAGGCAGAGGTTGCAGTGAGCTGATCACACCATTGCACTCTAGCCTGGGCCACAGGAGCGAAGCTCCATCTCAAAACCCTGTCTCTACTAAAGATACAACAAATTAGCCAGGCATGGTGGTGCATGGCTATAATTCCAGCTACTCAGGAGGCTGAGGCAAGACAGTAGCCTGAACCCAGGAGGCAGAGGTTGCAGTGTCCTGAGATGGTGCCACTGTACTCCAGCCTGGGTGACAGAGCTAGACTTCATCTCAAAAATAAATAAATAAATAACCCAGTCTCAGGTATTCCTCTAGAGCAATGCAAAGTGGACTAATACAGTGTCCACTGGACGTGACACTCAGGGAAGGGCTGGTCTTGACTCTGCCGTTAACAGTCAGACTATGACAGAGTTGTTCCCCTGCTCTGCCTCAGTTTGTCCTCTCTCAGCTGAGCAGGGCAGGGATAATTGCTTCTCATGTGGGCCACAGGACAAAACAAAGCCCTGAGTCCCACAGGAAGGTAGGTGGGCTATGTCCAAAGGAAGACAGACCTGGGGCAGAATTTTATGTTCCCAGGGTGGCAGAGGGACATGGAGAAGACGCCTCCTTCGTGGGCAAAGGAGAAGGGAAGATAAGCAGAGAGGCGCCAGACACCCGCCTCGCCCCCACCTCCCCCACCCCACACCAGGCCCATTCCCACTCAGCCCCCAACTCAGGCTGCACCATTCCCCTTACGGTCAGCGTGACTTCCCGGCCAAGCTGACAGAAGCTGACAGCTTGGATTCATCAGAGACAGCACGTAGCGTAGATGATATGCAGGACGGAAGTGGAGAGGGGACATGGGAGCCGTGGTGTCAGGTCTGGGGCTGCCAACATGGTACCTGCCCTGGCTGGTCCTCCCTGCCAGATGTGGCCTCTAATTCTAAGGTCTCTGAGTTCCAGGCCAGGACTGGAGCCAGACTCCCCTTGGGGACAGGGGACACAGTCCACATAGACATCACCTGGGTTTTGGGCAAAGCCAGCTGGACAAATGAATGAAAGGGGCCCTGCTGGAGGGTAAAACTGGGCCTGGACTCCTCAGACCTGCCTCTGGGACAGCACAGTCCCATCCTTCCAGTCAGACTCCTGAGCTGGAAGCCCACCCAGCCAGGGAGTGGGGAAGGGGTGGCCTGCAGTCTCCCTTGAGTCTGTAGCCCCTCCCACCCACGGGAGCTCCATAAAAAAAGATGCAGAAACACCACGTGCTCCTCCCAGCTGCTGGCTGCTTCCTGGCATGGCCTCCAGGACCCTGGATGAGTCAAGACGGGGCTGCCAGCAGCTGGGGGCAGGGGGAAGCTGGGTCCCCAGGGTGGATGCCTAGCAGGAACATGCAGGCGTGGCAAGTGATGGGCCCTCAGGGCTGAGCCCCTTCTGCCCAGGGGACCTTGGTGACACACCTGCTGCTGAGCTCAGCCCAAGGAGTAAGAGCCTGGTGCCAAGTAGCCTCTCTGCTTGCGAAGACAGTCCTGGGATCGTTACCCCTCTGCCCAGGGCTCGAGTATCCAGGCTGGGGAAGGGCCAGCAGTCAGAAAGAAGGGGGCCGTGGGTGTGGGTCCCCCAGCAGTCAGGGGCCTTGGTGGACCAAGCCCCTATGAGGGGCATGAGGGGGAAGGGAGACTGAGCTGTACCCCCTACCCTGAGATCTGTGGTACCAGGCTCCAGAGGGGGCCCCGGGGGGAGACCAGCATGACAGGAACTGCTACGATGCCTCTAGGCACCTACTCTGCAGGGCTGGGCCAGCCTGAGATTGGCAGCAGAGGGGTGGGCCAGGCACCACCAGGAATGAAGCTTCGTTTGGTAGAGCTGTGACCCTCTTCATCCTCTCCTGACCCCCAGCTGACCCTCGTCCTCAGATCTCTGCAGAACTTTGACCAAGTGGTGGTGGAGGAATTCCGGTGGGTCCAGGGTGGCCCTGGGTGACCCAGGGCTCAGACCAGCATTGTGGGGTTGAGGACAGGAGGCTGGAAAAGATGACCTCCCCTAGTCCCGCAAGGCTGCACAGCCCCCTGAAATCTGTGATAATCCTCTCAGCAGGCCGGACCCACTGACCGCCAGAGTGGGTGCCACCTTCTTCAGGGTGGCGCCAGCCCAGGCCGTCGTGTGGGACTGTGCACGCCAGGGCCTGCACACCCTGTGGGAGGCAGAGGGCGTCTTGGTAGACACGGTCATCACCTCCTTCCCTCTGCAGGCCCGCCTCCCTCTGTTCCTCTGCCTCCTCCCTTGGGCTCGCTGCCTCCACATGCCCTGATCTGAAGCCTGCCTCCCCTCCTCATGGAGCCCTCCAAGGTGCTCCTAGTCCCAGCTCTCTGGTCCCGCAGCAGCTTCTGGGCCCAGATTCTGTCTTCTTAGAAGTCTGGGAGGCAAAGCCCCGCCAGGCCATGGCCTTCTTGCTCTGCTCTAGGCACTCCCAGCCCCAAAGCCTCCAGCCTGCTGGATGCCTTTATCTCCAGCTATGCTGTGGCTCTCCTCATCCTGGGCCTCCTGCTCGTCACAGTTGCCCTTGTCCTGGTGAGTGTCTGGCTGGGCCAGGTCTCCTTCCTGAGTCGCAGGCTGAACCTTTGACGCCTTGAACCTTTGAGCCAAGCTGAGGGGTGAGCGGGCCCCTTTACACCCTTGATTCCCCCATCCAAGCTCAGCATCTCCTCATCCTCCAGCTGGGGCCGTGGGATTTGGGGCCAGAGGGTTGGGCCTGATCCCAGTGTCCCCGCCCTTCTTGTCAAAGTGCTAAACTTGAGGGCATGCCTTGGGTGCTGACTTTCCCAGGAACTCACAGCCAGAGAGGGCCAGGCACCAGCCTGAGGTCACACAGCCATGGGCTTCTTCCTTCCTAGACCCACAAGGATTGGACTTGCAGGGCTGGGACAAATGTGGGGTGGGAGAAAACAATGCCTTGTCAACCCACGCAGGGAGCCCCACTCCCATCCCCAAGGTGCACAAAGTCGAGAAACACCCCTGCTCCCACGTCCATGCTCACTCAGGGCCCTGCTCCAAGTGCTTGGCACTCACACCAGCCTCCTGCCCTCCATGCTACAGGTATCGGTCTCATTTACAGACGGGGAAATGGTGGCCAAAAGCCTCCCCCAGCACACACGGCTAGACCACACAGAGGTCTTAGGTGCAGCTGAGGGGTCCACAGTCTCTGCTGTCCCTTCTGCCACTCGTGCTGCCAGGGACCACGCTTTGGAGAGGGAGGAATGAGAGTGAGCTGGGTGCTCACACATGGGGCACGGGGGACTAAGGAAGGGTCAGCCAGGAGGAAAGGGCAAGGTCTGATCCTGTACGTACACATCACAGAGCGCGCGGGGTCAGGAGACCGAGGGCCACGTCCCGGCTCTGCGGCTGCTCGGTATGTGACTGCGGTTAAATTGTCTCCCTGGACTCTCCACGCACTTTGTGTGCTGCGTGCACCTTCTAGGATGAGCCTGGACCCTGGCTGGCCTCATACTTACTGCGTAGGCTGCAGACCCGCAAGTGCTTCTGCAAGGGGCTTTGCTTCTCCTCATAACAGCGGCACAGGCTGGCCGCGTGCTCTGGGGGTAGAATGGAGAAGCTCTGGAGGTAGCAGGTGGGGGCCTGGCTTGGGCTCCTGGCCCAGACAGGGCAGGGTACACCTCAGGGTCACAGGGCCTGTCCCCTCTCTAGCAGCCCTTGGCCCACAGGCTGCCCAGCTGCCCACCCACAACCCGTACCTTTGGGCAGCCCCAGCTGCTGCAGTTCACTGGCCAAGGATTCGCCATCGACACTGTGCTTGGCAGTTCCGGAGAGCATGAAACTCAGCACTGCCACTGTGGCCTTCACATCGCCTGACTCTCAGGGACCCATGCATGGGACAGGGGGTGTCACTGTGGGCCCAGCCACCCCCCTGTTGCCCTATTAACTTCAGCTCAAAGCCCCCAGGCCTCCTGGAGCCACAGGCACTGCTACTGCTCCACCAGGAGCTGGCAGAGGACAGGAAGGTGGGACTGTCAATGTCTTTCTTTCCCTCATGCTCCTCCACTAGGGAAGGCAGGTTAAGGATACTGCTGGGATGTGTGTGTTGGCGGGGGGTGGGGGGTGGGGGCGGGCTCTGTACCAGGCACCAGGCCGAGGTCCCAGGGTTGCCTGGGGCCTGTGAACTCAGTGGGGTGCTCACCAAACTTGGCATCAGCCGTGAGTTTCAGGATCTTCTTATACTATGGGGAAAGGAGACCTTCAGGCGGTGCCAGGCCCCTGCTCACCAGCCCCTCACCTACAGCCTGGATCCTGCAATAAGGAACAGACAGGCTGGAAAGAAGTATGGGAGGTGCCCAGAGAGGTTGCAAGGCCGGGTCACCCGTCTCCCTGGGCCTAGTGCAGTTTCAGGGCAGGAGGGGTCATAAGGGCATGGGACAATGGGGTGCTGGATCTTGTACTCACATCAATCCCCTGTCCCAGCAGCTCCTTTAGTACCTGGCTGCAGAGCAGCCGCAACTTCACAGAGGACTGGAAGGGAAGTCCTTACATCAGCCAGGCTGGCAAACCTCACCCCTCCTTCCTGGGGACTGGCTCAGAGCAGGCCAGCCACTGATCAAGGTCACAAAGCATGGTAGCACAGGCTGAGAGCACTGAGGCCCTAACCCCAGAGAAACCTCATCATCATCTACACCCACAATCCCCACCCCCAACACCCCTCCTCCACTCAGACTACACCCTGTGCACTCAACCATCTTGGCCAGCGTGCTGATCTCTGCCAGCACCCAGTCGGGACAGTCCAGATCACCACAGAACCAGAACCTCTGCAAGGGAGGGAGTCAGGTAATCAGGCTGGAGGGAAGGCTGAGGTGTGGCCAGGATCTGTGTGTCTCCCACACTGCTGCCCAGCAAGGACCCCTGGTCCCCATCATAGATGGACACCCTCTGGCCATTTGTTCTCCCCTATCACCAGGCTATTGAGTAAACTCTCTCCCTGACCCACCCTGCCACCAAACCCTGCTCTTTGGTCTACTCCAGGCATTCATCTGCTCAGCAAACATCAATTGAGCACCTTTCTTTGTGCTAGCTCCCACTCTAAGAGCTGGGGGTACAGCAGGAGATAAAACAAAGTCCTGTGCCTCACACAGATGAGTGACCTCTCTCCCCTCTTCCCCATACCCACACAAGTCCAGCCACTCCGGCTTCCCTGCTGCTGCTCCGGGACACCAGCCTTGCTCCCGCCTCCATGCCTGCTGCACTCTCTACGTGGCTTGCTATCCTTTATTTCATTCCACTCTCTGCTCAAGTGACACCTCATCAGACCAGCCCCTCTTTTTTTTTTTTTTTTTTAAAGATGGAGTCTCGCTCTGTTGCCCAGGCTGGAGTGCAATGGCACAATCCACAATCTTGGCTCACTGCAACCTCCGCCTCCCAGCTTCAAGCAGTTCTCCTGCCTCAGCCTCCCAAGTAGCTGAGACTACAGGCATGTGCCACCACACCCGGCTTTTTTGTATTTTTAGTAGAGACAGGGTTTCACCACGTTGGCCATGCTGGTCTTGAACTCCTGACCTCAGGTCATCTGCACACTTCGGCCCCTCAAAGTGCTGGGATTACAGGCGTGAGCCACTGTACCCAGCCAGGCCCGCCCTTCTTGATGATACTTCCTAAAATAGCCCCTCACACAAGGAAATTTTGGGGGCCGGTGGATATTTCATTATCTTGATTGTGGTGATCCAACAGTCAGGAAGATTTGGTCTTTACTTGTCCAGCCTCATCCTTCCCTAACCTGCAGATAATACTCTCTCAGCTATGGGAAATGCATTCATTCCTGGGGAGTCATGCTCTCTCTAACCTGAAGTCTCTGCACATGCTGTTCCCTGTCTGAAGACACACGCCTCCCACCCTTGCCTCCCAACCCCTGGTACACAAACTGTACTTCAGCCAGCCAGCTCCTGCCATCCATCCGCCTTTAAGGTTGAAGGCATCCTCAGGAAGCCCCCTTAGCACTACACACAAGGCGCAGTTAGGTCTCTGCCCCTGGAGCCTTGACTATGACTCCAATTCAAGGCTCCGATTTCCCCTTCCCTCAGCAGCTCAGGTCCTCCCAGTGCCTAGCACACTTCATGGTATAGACTAGGCGCTTAGAACGTAGGGATGGATGGACTGGATGGATGGATGGATAAGTCTCAACCCCAAAACTACTACTTTCTGACTCTGGAAACAGCGGAGGGGCTGCCTAACAGTGTGGAAGTGTGATCCTAATTCTAAGCGCGTTCTTGTCTAAGTCCCACAGCAGGGCTGGGGAAGGGAGTGTCCTTGGGAGGTCCTCTTGTGGCTGGGGAAGACCCGAAAGGACTCCCAGCTCCAGACAAGCCCTAGTTCCTGCCCCGGGAGGCAGGGGCCCTTCCTTTCCCCAGGGAAGCACGGGGACTCTAAGCCGGCCGGCCTGCGCTGTCTTACCCGCCCCGTACCCCCGCCCCTGTCTCGGGAGCGGAGTAGCGGTGGACTTTTCTCACGCCCGCACACACTGTTTGCGGAGAGGCCAGGGCAGACAACCTCCACCCGTTTCCGGAGCCACTGGCGCCCCCTCATTCCCGCTCCAGCAGCCCATGCCTCGCTTCACCCCTGGTGCCTCATCATCGCACCAGGAAGCCAGGGCCCGGGAATTTCTTTTTCCGGTCCGACAGGGTCAACTGAGTCGACGATCACTTGACTTGGACTAACGGCCTCTGGGAGGGCGGGGCCTGCTCGAGTGAGGCCGGGAGCGGACCGCAGCCCGCTGGAGGTGCCGGGGGCGAAATGCTGGCGTCTCCTCCTCCGTCTCCCAGAATCCTTCCCTGGAAAAAAACAGCATCCACCGTCAGTTTAACTGAGGACCGAATTAAGGCATTAGGAAAGACAGTGGAAGTTATTTCATTTGTTTAACTTAAGGGGGTAGGATCCCGGGAGCCAGGGGGATTCAGGTCATTGTCATGTTTTCCACTGTTAAGCGAATAGCATTATACACAGCTGCGGACTGTGGCAAAAGACATTTTAAAAACTATTGAAGTCTACTACACATACAGAAAATTGTACCTATTAGAAATATAAAGCTTAATAAGTTTTCATCAACTGTACACCTCACATAACCAGCACCCAGATAAGGAAATAACCAGATAACTTCTTCAAGCGCATGGGTATTTTATTTCATTTTGATGAATCGTCTAGGTGCCTAACAAAAAGGGCTGTCATAATTAACATGCTCAGGAAAACTCCCTACAGCTTCAACATCAACAGATGCTTAATTTTTGCCAGTCTGATGGGGGAAAAAATCGGTTGCTTAGGTTGCAGTGGTAGTCTGCTTACTGGTAGCTCTGAGCTAATGGTAGCCTGGAACAACTAAGTTTCCGACATTGACTTGCAGAGGCAAAAACAAAAAGACAAAACAACAACAAAAATACATCAGAGAATAAACTAATAACCAAAGAAGAAACTGAAGACAGTCATCCCTTAGTAACTTCAGGATATTGGTTCCGGGACCCCAGAGATACCAAAATTCACTGATGCTCAAGGCCCTGATATAATATGGCATAGTATTTGCATATAACCTATGCACATCCTTCCGTATATTTTAAATCATCTCTAGATTACTATAATACCTAATACAATGTAAGTGCTTTGTAAGTACCTGTTATAAAGTATTTATAACTTTTTGCTTTTTATTGTTTTACTTTTTCCAAATATTTTTGATGCACAGTTGGTTAAATCCAAGGATCTTGAACCCGAGGATGCAGAGGGCTGACCGTAGTTTGAACTCTCTCCTCAATTCCATGCCTATCCCATGCACCAGGTGCAGCTGGTTTTATTGCTGCAGGCTTTCAAGTTTTCAAAAGACAGCTCATGGCAAGTAAACTGCTCTATAGAATAGAAAGAAATGGAAAGTGTCCCAATTCATGGTAAAATTGAGCTCATTTCTGAAGAGTTCTTTTACAAGTCATAAGCACTAGCCTGTTGAAAACCACAGTATGTTAAGTTACTAGACTATCCTATACCATGTCAAAGAAAAACTTTAAGGACATAAGACCTGTAATCATAACACTTTGGGAGGCTAAGGCCGGTGGGTCGCTTGAGCCCACGAGTTCTAGACCAGCTTGGGCAACATAGGGAGACCCCGGTCTCTACAAAAAATTAGCTGCTTCTGCTGGTGCACACGTGTCGTCGCAGCTACCTAAGAGGCTGAGGTGGGAGGATCTCTTGAGCATGGGAGGTGGAGGCTGCAGTGAGCCATGATGTCGCCACTATACTCCATCCAGCCTGAGCAACAGAAGGAGACCGTCTCAGAAAAAAGAAAAAAAAATGGCTGGGCGCAGTGGCTCATGCCTGTAATCCTAGCACTTTGGGAGGCTGAGGCAGGCAGATCACTTGAGGTCAGGAGTTGGAGACCAGCCTGGCCAACATGGCAAAACCTGTCTCTACTAAAAAAAAAAAAAACAAATGAATTGGGCGTGGTGGCGGGTGCCTGTAATCCCAGCTACTCGGGAGGCTGAGGCACGAGAATCGCTTGAACCCGGGAGATGGAGGCTGCAGTGAGCCGAGATTGCACCGCTGCATTTCAGTCAGCTTGAGCAACAGGGTGAGACTCCGTCTCAAAAAAAAAAAAGGTAACTTTTACTTCATCCTATCAATAGGTTAAAGAAGAGTAAAATGGACAGATTTGGAAAACCATTTTTTATTTAAAAAGAGAAAATTAGGAACAGATGAAAACTGTCTTAAGAGTATTTGAGAAACAAAACAGCAAATTTAACATCAGACAAAATATCTAAATTGAGAAATAAAGTTAAAAGGTGGATGGTGTGCCCTTTTAATGTCATACTGGAGCATTGTTTCATAGATACTTGTTTTACTATTAAAGATTGACTATTTAGAGCAGTGGTCCTCACACATTAGAGTGCATCATCATCCCCTGCAGGGCTTGTGAAACCGGCTGCTGGGCCTCACACCAGAGTTTCTAACTCAGTAGGACTGAGGGGGGGCCTAAGCACTGCATGTCTATGTTCCCAGGTGACGCTGATGCTTCCAATTTGAGACCATGCTTTGAAAAGCAGTAGTGTAGGGAAATATACTACAGAATATGTTGTGAATATACTGGAGAATATGTATATATGTTAACTTACAGAATTCTGTCCAGTAGAAAAGATAACTCCCAAAGATGACATTTTTATTTCCCAATATGATTTTTTTTTAAGTCAGAATCTTGCTCTGTCGCCCAGGCTAGAGTGCAGTGGCATGATCTCGGCTCACTGCAGCCTCCACCTCCCGGGTTCAAGTGATTCTCCTGCCTCAGCCTCCCAAGTAGCTGGGACTACAAGCGCCCAGCACCGCACCTCGCTAATTTTTGTATTTTTAGTAGAGACGGGGTTTCACCATGTTGGCCAGGCTGGTCTTGAACTCCTGACCTCAGGTGATCCACCCACCTCGGCCTCCCAAAGTGCTGGGATTACAGGTGTGAGCCACCATGCCCAGCCTGCCTATAGGATATTAACAAGTTTTGTCTCTATCTCAGAATGCATTTCAGAATGCCCTTCCTGGAGCACTACAGACACTGTCTCTCAAAACGCTCCTCTAACTAGCTTCACCGTGTTGCTGACTCCCTTGTAAATTAAAGAAAATATCTTATACATATTCCTTCATTATCTGTATGAAAGTCAAGCTTTTCACATTGTGAAAATTATACTTCAGGCTGGATGCAGTGGCTCACGCCTGGAATCCCAGCACTTCGGGAAGTCGTATTGATGGGATCACTTGAGGCCAGGCATTTGACACCAGCCTGGCCAACATGTTGAACCCCATATGTACTCAAAAAAAAAAAATCAAAATTAGCTGGGTGTGGTGGCACACACCTGTAGTTCCAGCTACTTGAGAGGTGGAGGCACAAAAATTGATTGAACCTGTGAGGCAGAGGTTGCCATGAGCTGAGATCGTGTCACTGCACTCCAGCCAGAGCCAGAGCGAGACTCTGTCTCAAAGAAAAAATAAAATAAAAGAAAGAAAATTATACTTCGATACAGTATGCTAATATAAAGGATATGATATTGTTTGGCTCTGTGTCCCCATCCAAACCTCACCTTGAATTGCAATAATCCCCACGTGTCAAGGGTGGGACCAGGTGGAGATAATTGAATCATGGGGGCAGTTTCTCCCGTGCTGTTCTCGTGATAGTGAGTGAGTTCTCACGAGATCTGTTGGTTTTATTATAGGCTTTCCCCTTTGCTCGGCTCTCCTTCTCTCTCCTGCTGCCCTGGGAAGAGGTGTCTTCTGCCATAATTGTAAGTTTCCTGAGGCCTCCCCGGCCATGCAGAACTGTGAGTCAATTTAAACCTCTTTTCTTTATAAACTACCCAGTCTTGGGTATTTCTTCATAGCAGCATGAGAATGGACTAATACAGTGTACTAATAACAGCCCAGACAGTAGTATACAGGTACTACTATACTTTGATGCTAGAGGTATTCCCATTAAGGTCAGGAGCAGTATGCGCTATCATTACCATGATCTAACATTGTTCCAGAGGGTTTTAGGTCAGCAGTTCTCAACTGGAGGTGATTTTGCCGCCCTGGGGATATTTGACAGTATCTGAAATCACTTTGGCTGTCACACTGAGGAGTGCTGCTGGCATGTGGCAGGCGGAGGCTGGGGATGCTGCTAAACATCCTGCGAGGCGCAAACAGCTCCAGAACAGAGAACTGTCCAGCCCTAAACATCAACAGTGCTGCTGTGGAGAAAGCCTGGTCTAGACAAATAAAACATGGGAAATCCATTAACATACATGTGGGTGGATAATCAACTGGCATTTGCCAATGGCAGTCTAGCTAGGAGGTCCAAAAGGAGCACCTGAAGGACAGTTAGATTTTGCAGGGGCTGCATGGTGGCTCATGCCTGCAACCCCAGTGCATTGTGAGGTCGCATTGGGAATATCTCTTGAGGCCAGGCGTTCAAGACCAGCGTGGGAAACATAGACTGCATCTCTACCAAAAATAAAAAAATTAACCAGATGTGGTGCTGCGCTCTGAGAGTCCCAGCTGCTAAGGTGGGAGTATCGCTTGAGCCCGGGAGCTGGAGGCTACAGTGAGCTGTGATCATGCCACTGTACTCAAAAAAAATTTTTTTGAGACAGCGTTTTTCTCTGTTGCATATGGGGTCTTGCTGTGTTGCCCAGGCTGGTCTCAAACTCCTAACCTCAAGCAGTCTTCCTCCCTCCGCCTCTGAAAATGTTGAGATTACAGGTGTGAGCCACTCCCCCAGCCTTAAAAAATAAAAATAAAAAATTACAAGGTATTATGTGGCCCATTGAAAGATGTTGGAAAACAGTTGTGCATGTGACCCAGCTGTAACCAGTTATAAAAGTGTCAGGATCATTAAGAAATGTACTGTGTCTGGCTTTCCCAAGTTTGGGTTCCTGCTGAAGGAATGAGATGGACCTTTTCTTCCTCCCCTCCTCACCTCCCTGCAAGAACCAGGATTGTGCATTTTGACGGGCAGGCTCTTACCTCTGACAGGCCACAGGGGGCATGCAGAGCCTTTCTGCATGTGCTTTTTGGGCACTCGGATAAAGACCCCCTGTCCAGGCCTTTGTTTAGGATATTTGGCCCATGGAGAAATGAGGCTGGAATCACCTGGGAGGGATAGAGGCTTCAACTGGAAGGAGGAGTGACCTGAACTCCAGGTTGTGGGCCTACGCTTTGTTCCCATGCAGCACCTCGTTAGTGGTGACTGAGGCCTGGAAGTCAGGGGCCTTGGTGACCAAGTGTTGAGTGGACAGGAGGAGCTAAGGGAGGTGAGGGGCATCTCTCCAGTACTGACCCCTCCCCATGCCCAAATCAATGCCCTCTATCAGCTCAGACACAGCCCCACCCAGCAGCAGTGCGGGTCAGGAAGGGCAAATGCAGTCGGCACGGATCTGCTCCATAGTCTCCACCTCACTTCGTCTCGGGTTGAGGGGAGTGAGTCCCCACAGCACTGATATGATATCCTGTCAGCTGAGAACATCCAGCTTGATTTAGACAGATAAGGTGGGACATCTCTAGGGCATGGTGTGTGGAGCAGTGCCATCCCTCTGTGGCAGCGAGCCAAGCAATAAACCAGAATGTGCAAAACCTGCGTCCCAGAATCACCATTCCTGGAGGAAAAGCCTATATTGTCAAGATGCCCACAACTAAATTAACCCAAACATTCCACCCAGCCTCGAAAAACCAGTAGAACTTTGACATTAATACACTAACCCTCAGTTCTATACGGAAATGTGTAAGAATAGCCAAATAATGTAACGTGCGGTCATTGAGAGAGAGAAGCCCGTCAGAACAAATGGAACCAAGTCCAGAAACATGTTTGTCTAGGCGCAAGATGCCAGCATGTGTGTCAGCCAGGGAAGCAGACCAGGAGGAGATATTAAGATTTAAAACCCAGCTCTGTAGCTCAGGCCTATAATTTGAGCGCTTTGGGAGGCTGAGGTGGGAGAATCACTTGAGCCCAGGAGTTTGAGGCAGCAGTAAGCTATGATCGTGCCACTGCATTCCAGCCTGGATGACAGAGCAAGACCCCATCTCAAAAAAAAAAAAAAAAGTGCTCAGATGCACCCTTACATGAAGCCACCTTTGGCACAGCTTCCAAGACTGGCCAGGCCTCACTCAGGACCATGGGTCCCAGCCATAGCTCAGTTTCCACTGCCTGAGTGGCACAGAGTCCTCAGTCCAGTCTCTATTGGGTCTCAGATCCCCCGATCATGCCCCTTCTGCCCAACCTCTGCCCCATTATGGCCTCCACTGACCACAGCCTCTTCCACCTTCCCAAAGGGACCACTGCTCATGTTCTCCAGCCCACAGGAGTGCCTGCTTCTCCAGGCAGCCCACCCTGCTAGCTCTGGGCTCTATGTAGAAGAGCTGGGAAGGCTGGATCCCGCCACTGAGTTCAGTCTCGGGGGTCTCCACCCATGCTAGGCTTCCACTGATGGGACATAAGTGGCCTGAGGGTTGTTTACATCCACACAAGAGCCCCATGGTGACCAGGAATGGGGTTCTGAGAGGTTACATGACTTGCCCAGGGTCCCAGAGCTGGCTAGAATTCCTGCACTGCCACATTTGGGCCTCCCAGTTGGGGGTCCGGACACCCCTCTGCATCTACCAGGCTGAGAAACACGTGTCTGCTGCAGCTTCCTCCCAGTGACTTATAGCAGCTGCAAATTTTTGGGGGGCCTTCTACGGGGCCCACCACAGCAGGGAGCCAAGAACTCTTAACAGAGCCCTGTGTTCTCTCTCCGCCCCCTTCAGCTCCGAACTCATGTACTAGCTGCTCTGATGTAAAAACAGACCTTGGTGAGGATGTTGGGACTCTGGCCAGTAGCCCAGGCCTTCAGGAATCAGGTGATGTCAATCTGGAGAGGAGGTGCCTGCTGCGGGGAGCAAGCATGGGCCAGGGTCCTGGCCCCCTGCAGGGGTAGCCCCTCTTCCTTCCCATGGTCCCATCTGAAGGCATCCAGGGTAGAGTGCAGTGTTCAGCTGTGTCCTGGGGTCCAGGAAAGCCAAGGAGAAGTTGCTCCACCTGCTGTCCACCAGGTACCCCAGCAGAGAACAGCCTCAGCCCACCCCAGCCCAGCACCAGATCCCAGGGACTGATCCACCTGTAAGAGGGCAGCATGGGACTGCCCCCATTGCCCCCAGAGAGTCCCCTCAGTCATGGGCTCTGACCAGGGTGCAGGTGGGCCCAGCAGGCTGGCCCAGCATGGGTGTGGCTGCCCATTGGTCCTCTGAAGAGCCTCAGGGGCTTGTGGCAGCAGGTGTATGTCTGGGCTTGGAAGCAGAGGATGTCCCGCAGCCAGAAGGCAGGGGGCACTTGTTTTGCATTCCAGTCCTCTGCAAGGACAGGGACCCCAGGCTCTGGGCACCCCAGCTCTGCCCACCCTACACCCACAGCCTACCACCATTTGGCCCAGGCAAGTTGCCCCAGCTCCCACAGAGGGAGCCACCCTTCCCACCTCCTGATGTTTGCCCACCCCAGTCAAGTTCCATTCTGGAAAAACCCTCCACATCCTTGGGAAGGCACCTCCTCCTTGACTCCTTTCCAGTGCTATCATCCCCACGTTCATTTTCTACCTATCATTGGATGCAGAGACCCGCTTCTTCCCTGGGCCAGGGCTGCTCTGGAGGCAGGGAGGTTGTGACCAGGCTGTGGGGTATAGCAGAGCACCGGGTATAGACCAGACTCCCCAGGCACACCTGGGCAGAGAAGTCAGAGACCCACAGGTGAATGCCCCTCTTTCCAGCCCCACCCACCTCACAGGCAGAAAGAGGGAGGCTTCACAAGGAGGTTGAGGTAAATAGGGAGCCCGGGTCACCTCTGTCTGATCTCCTGCCCTCCTGGGACAAAGCCAGAGGTTGGAGCTGGGAGGTGTTGAGAGCCCTGGCCCAGCCCTGGTTTCACTGATGAGGCTCAGGGAGGGGCTGGGTCAGCCTAAGTCACTGGGTCCATAAGGAAGGGCCCTTTCCATAACCCAGGACCCTAGAGCTAGCCGAGGCCACATCCCTTTCCCACGTAGACCAAGTAGGGGCATGAACTGGCTTCTGGCTTCTAAGGCCGAGGCCCAGCACACCTCTCCCTCCCCTTGCCTGCAGCTGTTGTCACACATCAAAAGTGCTTTTTTTCCCCCAAGGTGCTGGAGGCGCAGCTCCTTGGGCTGGACCAGGTGGCCAATCCAAACAAGTCCTTGTGTGTCCCCCACCAGCCAGGAATTCTCATGCCATGCAGCAGCTGGGGGCACTAGGATACCCTGGGGGATTCCAGGGATGAGCCCTCCCTGAGGCTCCTACAGCAGCACTGCCACCCCCAGACCTGCCACCAGCTCCGTTTCCATGCAGCCTTCAAGAACCTGGCCCCTCACACACACCTGCCCCACTCCTCACACCTGGCTTTCCTGTGAAACGTGGAACTGGTTCCACCTGGGCCAGCTGGAGAAGGGCCTCAGGAAATCACCATTTAGGGGGTTCGTTCCAATCATTCATTCATTTATTCACCAAATACCCACTGTCCACCTTTCTGTACCAGGCCAGAGGTGATGGGTCAAGCAGAACACATGTCCCAAGGAGCTTTCCTCTCTTTAGAGACAGGCAGGTGGACTCTCACACCATGAGGTGCCCTCTGGGCTAGGGGGTGCCCAGGGCTGGATGCAGGGGCGGCCCTCGCCCACAGGAGGTGCTGGTGGGTACTGACGTGGAGGCCACCAGGGGGTGAGGGTGTCCAGACAGAGGACCTAGCATGTGCCCAGGCCCAGGGTGTGACCGGGGGCAGGTGCAGGGCTGCTGTATCTGGAAGGCTTCCTGGCTCTGCCAATGATAGGCTGTGGCTGGATCAGGCTTCATGTCAATTTTTAACATTTAATAAATTTTGATTATGTAACTAAACATTGTGATAAAAATTGTGAAATATAAAAGCTAAAAACACAAAAACCAGCAAACCCCTTCTCTCCCCAAGTAACTACTTCAACAGTATTTTCAGACTTTTTTTCTCATGTATCTGCAGCTATAAACATAAGCTGCACAAGATAGTATCCTTCCCCATATTCTACTTTGGAGCTGGATTTTTCACTCAGCAGTGAATAGAGGCAGGCTTTAAACAGGCCACGCATTGTGAGGGCCCTGGGAAAGGAGACTGACCATGTTGCTGGGTGACCTTGGGCAAGTCTCGCCCTCCTCAGAGCCTGGATTTCCTCAGTCCGGTGAAGGGCAGGAAGGGCTGCAGTAGGACTACATCAGCGCTTCCCAAACTCAGAACCGCCACGTGGAGCTGTGTGAGCTGTCACTGCACAACCCCAGGGGCAGGAGCATTCTTGTCACGGCCTCTGTGAGTGGGGCTCCTGCCCAAAAGTGTGCTGTGCCAACCTGGGGCCCACAGGAGGATTTTAGGCGATATGCGGATGAATTGATTTTTACCATTTCCTTCTATCTGTAGTGAATGAGACCGATTCTCACCGGGAGGGCGTGTTAAACCACAGGTCGCTGAACCCACGCCTCAGAGGTTCTGATTCAGGAGGTCTGGGGTGGCGCCTGAGAATCTGCATTTCTAACAAGTTCTCAGCTGATGGGGATGCTGATGCTGCTGGCTCAGGGACCACACTCTGAGAACCACTAACCACAAGTTTCCTTTTATTCATTTATTTATTTAAGGCAGGGTTTTGCTCTGTCACCCAGGCTGGAGTATAATGATGCAATCACAGCTCACTGCAGCCTTGACCTCCCAGGCTCAAGCAATCCTCCTGCCTCACTTCTTGAGTAGCTGAAACCACAGGTGCATGCCTCCACGCTGGATTTTTTTTGTTTTTTGTAGAGACGGAGTTTCACCATGTTGCTCAGGCTGGTCTCAAACTCCTGGACTCAAGCAATTCACCTGCCTTGGCCTCCTAAAGCAAAAGTTTCCTTTTTAAATACATTTATTTAGGTTTTAAAAATGAGTTGACTTAAAGCACAGGAATAGATCTTCAACACTAACCACTGGGGAAATGCAAATTAAAACCACAGTAAGATATTACTACAGATCTATTAGAACAGCTCAAATCAAGCATAGTGATAGTATCAAATATTGGTGAGGATGCAGACAAAACTAACTCTCATACATCGCTGGTGGGAATATAAAATTTTACAGACACTCTAGAAAATAGTTTGGCAGCTTCTTTAGTTAAACATACACCTCAATATATGACCTAGCAATTGCTTCTGGGCATTTGTACCAGAAAATAAAACTGATTTTTGCACAAAAACTCATACATGATTGTTCATGGCAGATTTATTTGTAATAGTCCCAAACTGGAAACAACCAAATACTCCCCAATAGGTGAATGGTTAAGCAAACTGCTACATCTATTCTATGAAATACTATTCAACAATAAAAAGGGAGCCAGGCATGATGGCTCATGCGTGTAAACTCAGTGCTTTGGGAGGCCGAGGCAGGCAGATCACCTGAGGTCAGGAGTTCGAGGCCAGCCTGACCAACATGGTGTAACCCTATCTCTACTAAAAATACAAAAAGTTAGCTGGACATGGTGGCGGGCACCTGTAATCCCAGCTGCTCAGGAGGCTGGGGCAGGAGAATTGCTTGAACCTGGGAGGCAGAGGTTGCAGTGAGCTGAGATCACACCATTGCACTGGGCAACAAGAGCAAAACTTCATCTCCAAAACAAAAAAACAAAAAGCCAGCTATGATGATGGGTGCCCATAATTCCAGCTACTCAGGAGGCTGAGGCAGGAGAATTGCTTGAACACAGGAGGTGGAGGTTGCAGTGAGCTGAGATCGCGCCACTGCATTCCAGCCTGGGTGACAGAGTGAGACACCATCTCAAACAGAAAAAAACAATAAGGAACATGCACAACTTGGATGGATCTCAAAGGGCATTTGCTGAGTAGAAAAAAAAAAAAAGCCAGTCTCAAAAGGCCACATACTGTGTGATTCCATTTATACAATGTTCTTTTCTTCTTTGGTTTTGTTTTATTTTGTTTTTGAGATGAACTCTCACTCTGTGGCCCACACTGGAGGGCAGTGGCATGATCTCGATTCACTGCAGCCTCTGCCTCCCGGGTTCAAGTGATTCTCATGCTTCAGTCTCCCAAGTAGCTGGGAGTACAGGCACGCACCATCATGCCTGGCTAATTTTTGTATTTTTACTAGAGACAGGGTTTTGCCATGTTGGCCAGGCTGGTCTCAAACTCAAGGCCACAACAGTTCCACCTGCCTCAGCCTCCCAAAGTGCTGGGATTATAGGTGTGAGCCACCGTGCCAGGCCTTCATTCATTCATTCATTGAGAGATTCTCACCCTGTCTCTCAGGCTGGACTGCAGTGGTAGGGTCACTGTAGCCCCCACCTCCCAGGTTCAAGTGATTCTCCTGCCTCAGCCTCCCAAGTAGCTGGAACTACAAGCTGGTGCCACCACGCCTGGCTAATTGTTGCATTTTATAATGTTCTTGAAGTGAAAAGATTATAAAGACAGAAAGCAGATTAGTGGTTGCCAGGAGTAGGAATAGTGGAGGGGAAGAGCCAGGAATGAGTGCAGAGGAATAGCAGGAGGGGGATTTTCATGGTGGTGGAACAGTTCTGTGTCTTGATTGTAGTGGTGGTTAAAGGAGTCTACATATGTGATTAAATGGCATAGACATGACATTGTTAGATATTGTCCTACATTTATACAAAATAGAACCTTTGGAGGAAGCTGAGTGAAGAGTACATGAAACCTCTCTGTACCATCTTTGAAATTTCCTCTGAATCTATATTTCCAAATAAAAGGTTAAAATTTGTAAAGTTGCTTTAGACAAAAATATTAAAAATAATATTGATTCTATGCAGGTCTGGCAAACCTTTGACACATTGAATGACTGGCATCTCTAACCCATCCAATGCACAATTGCCCCTGGCCAGGCCCTGTCCTAGGCTAGGTCACCTGCTGGAAGATAGGACTCTGGACTCTCTCCTGCTTGGCTTTGGGGTAGAGATGCTAGATAAAATATAGGACACCCAGTTGAATTTAGATTTCTGATAAAAAATCAACTTTTTTTTAGTAAGTACGTACCATGCATATTTAGGACATACTTATACTAAAACTTATTTCTCTCTATTCTTTTTTCACCATCCTTCACAGGTGTTGATATTTCTCTAAATTCTTTAATGTATGTACAGTTACTTTAAAGCTCTTGCCTAATAATTCTAATGTGTGAGCCATTTATGGGTCTTTTCTTTTTCTTTTTCTTTTTTTTTTTTTTTTTTTGAGATGGAGTTTTGCTCTTGTAGCCCAGGCTGGAGTACAATGGCGCCATCTCAGCTTGCTGCAACCTCCACCTCACCTGGCTGGTCTTGAATTCCTGACCTCAGGTGATCTGCCTGCCTCAGCCTCCCAAAGTGCTGGGATTACAGGTGTGAGCCACCATGCCTGGCCCTTTTTGTTTGTTTGTTTCTTTGAGATAAGGTCTCACTCTGTTGTCCAGGCTGGAGTGCAGTGGCATGATCTCAGCTCACTGCAACCTCCACTTCCCAGGCTCAAGCCATCCTTCCACCTCAGCCTTCCAAGTAGCTGGGACCACAGGCACATGCCACCAGCAGTCCTGGCTGGTTTCGTGGAAGACAATTTTTCCACAGACGGGGTTGGGGGTGGTGGTTACGGTATGAAACTGTTCCACTTCAGATCATCAGGCATTAGATTCTCATAAAGAGTGTGAAACCTAGATCCCTCGCATGTGCAGTTCACATTAGGGTTCACACTTCTAGGAGAATCTAATGCCTGCTGATCTGATGGGGGGCGGAGCTCTGGCAGTAATGCTCGCTGCCCACCACTCACTTCCTGCTGCGCAGCCTGGTTCCTAACAGGTCACTGACTGGTAGAGCCCACAGCCTGGGGGTTATGGACCCCCACACACCACCACACCCAACTCATTTTTGAATTTTTAGTAGAGATGAGGTTTTGCCATGTTGCCCAGGCTGGTCTCGAAGTCTTGAGCTCAAGTGATCTACTTGCCTTGGCCTCCCAAAGTGCTGGGATTACAGGCATGAGCCACCATGCATGGTGGGTCTGTTCGTATTGACTGGTTTTCTCTTAATTTTAGGATGTATTTTCTCACTTTTTCACTTATCTAGTAAGTATTTCTTGATCTGTTGGACATTGTGAACCTTCATTGTAGAGATATGGATTATGTTATCCTACTCTAGTGTTGAGTTTTGTTTTGCAGGGAATTAAATTACTGATGGGTTAACTTGATCATGTGTGTCAAGGCTACATTTTAGGCTTTGTTAGGGTGAGCTGTTTTTCAGTTTTGCCCTTATTCCTAGGGAATCTTCCTTAATCCCAAGGCATGGCCTTCTAGGCCCTCTGTGAATGTCTGGGATATTCATCAAGACCTGAGATTCCAAGAGTGGAGACTCTGGTTGAGCCAGAATTCGGGTGTATCCCCAGCACTCTGTGACCACTGAAATCGATGTTTAGCTTTCAGCTCCCCATCGGCTGTTCTGTGCTGGGCCTTGCAGAGTCTCAATCCACACATTCGTAGTTTGGGATTTGGCCAAGGACCTGCAACAACCTCTATAAGATTTCTGGGGCTCCTTCTCTGCAACTCCGTCCTTTCTGATACTCTGCCACACACATTTTAGCAGCCCTGAGTGGCAGTCCCTGTTTCCTCCACCAAACAAGACTGATCCTCTTGGCTTGGACTCTGCTTCCTCATGCTGTCATTGAGGGTTTGGAAACTTTCCCCACCAGAAAAATGTAGCAGTCACTTCATGTGATTCCCTTCTCTCAGTTTGTACCTGGAACTGCCTATTGCCCAATGCCTGAAGACAATTTCTTCATGTACTTTGTCCAGCTTTGTAGTTGTTTATGCTGGGAGACCATCATCAATTCAGGTACTCCATCATGGCCACAATTCGAAGTATGATTAATATCATATTCATTCTATTCTAAAAGTAGAGAAGACAAAGACCAACAATTCTAAGAAAAATTGAAAAAATATATGAAAGTTCAAAGAAAAATGCAAATGCCACTGACACACAGGAAAAAATGTTTAACTTCACTGATAATAAGAAAGATACAATTTTAGGCTGGGCGCAGTGGCTCACACCTGTAATCCCAGCACTTTGGGAGGCTGAGGTGGGAGGATCACTTGAGGCCACGAAGTGTAGGTGGCAGTGAGCTGAGATGGTGCCACTTGGGGTGACAGAGTGAGATCCTGTCTCAAAAAAAAAAAAAAGATATATAAACAACATCCTGCAACCTCTACATGTGGCCATGATTGATAACAGGGACCAGATTTGCCTCCCACCTTGAACAACTAGAAAAATGGAACAACATATATAAAACAATAGTTTTCGGACATTGGAGAACAGGTCGAGCAGAACTATGATCCCTAAAAGAAGGTGAACCCTACAGTGTCCTCAGTTTACTGCCGGAAGCAATCACAGGCTCCAACACAGCAGGGGAAATCCAAAGTCCAGTGACGTGTACACCACTCTTGAGCTGTTTTCTATTAACCTCCAGGTCCTTCAGGCCAGCCCTCCTGGGGCTCTGCCTTGGGAATTGGTATTGGTAACAAAGGGAATAGAGAGGAACATGCATAGAGCTCTCCATTTAGACTGACATATTCACACTGGGTTCCAGTTTCAGCTGAGAGACTGTAAGCACATCGCTAGCCCACTCTAATCCTGTATCCTAGCTGTGTAATCACCTATTTCCCATCAATTGCAAGGCTGGAGAGAAAAGTGCCCACTCTGGCCAGTACACAGTAGGAGCTTAGTAAGCTTAAGCTCGCTTGCTTCCCCACTATCCTAACGTATTAGGGGAAAGACAGAGATGTGGGGAATGGCACCTGGGAGGCTCCAGCTGTATGCTTCACAATCCTACCAATGAAAAATCTGAATTAGGCTTCAGTTTCCCTTCTACAAAATGAGACAGGACAGGAGTGGGTAGGAAGAGGAGGAGCTGGGCTTTGTTGGTTTAAGCTGGGCCCTTCTGATTCTGTAACGTGAACTTCACTGTTGGGTCCAGCCCATTCCCCTGCCGGGGCTTCGCGTGCTCTGTCTTTTGGCCAAGTCCAAGTCTGTCCAGGGTTGGGGTGGGGAGAAGCAGTTCCCCCATATAACCTGCAGGTGGCACCAGAGCCGCGCGGGAACCGAGGGTTCTGTTCCAGCCTTCCTGGAGACTCGGGCAGGGTGGGGTAGGGCGAGGCAGAGGTGGTGCACACCGCTCAGCTGGGCAGCGGCACGCAGCTGTGGATCAGCCCACACCGTTTAAAATGGACACATGGGTCGTCCGGCTAATTTCCTCTCTTTGGTAGGGTGAGCATATGCTTTATCATCCAAATCCAGACACTTCGGAAAGTGAAAGGGGGCACTATCATAATTGCACCAGGATAGTCATAACCTTAGCTGTACCTTGCAAACCAGAACCTCTGGTCACCCTACTGTCTGATCACTTTTTCTTCCTTGTTTCTATTCTTTTAATTGTTTTTTTCTTTTTAAACACACAGCGTTTTCTTTCCCCAAGGCCCACTGTTTTTGAAAATGCTGTTGCATTCGTGATATTTTCGACCAGGCAACATCTGCCTTGGCATCTTGAGTCTGAACAGTCTCTCTGAACCCATCCCAAAGGCTGGTTTTAGCTTCCAGTCAGAAGATTCTGTTCTTGGCTTGCCATCTCCATGACTCAAGAATTAAAGATGTCAGATGTGGAACAGTGACCCTTATATCAACTCTGGTGCCTCTTTGCTACATTTATTCCTGCAAATTTTTATTTGTTTGTTTGTTTGTTTGTTTTGAGACGGAGTCTCGTTCTGTTGCCCAGGCTGGAGTGCAGTGGCACAATCAGGTCACTGCAACCTTCGCCTTCTGGTTCCAGTGATTCTCATGCCTCAGCCTCCCAAGTAGCTGGTACTATAGGCGTCCACCACCACGCCTGGTTGATTTTTGTATCTTTAGAAGAGATGGGGTTTCACCCCGTTGGCCAGGCTGGTCAGAAACTCCTGACCTCAGGTGATTTGCCCGCCTCAGCCTCCCTAAGTGCTGGGATTACAGGCCTGAGCCACTGCACCTGGCCGTATTCCTATGGTTTTGTTCTGAGTGCTCATGTCCTTTGTCTCTTTGAATTTACGTATATTGGTTTATTGAATTGCAAGTAGACAAGTCCCATTAAGCGCAATTCTTATGTTTCCAAGATCATCTCATTACTCCATTCAACCCCAAATTAGCATGCCTTTTATCCCCTTGTTTCTGAACCCTCTTCACTTAATAGTCTCATAAACATCCATCCATTGCAAAAAGGACTCTAACTTTTCTCACTTCCATTTTTAGTTGATTCATTGCTATCCAAGTAATGATTTGTCTGGGGGAGTCATTAGTAGAGTACAACTCTACATTGAGTAGAGAATTGTGCTCTTAAATTTATTTTTATAGTTGGATTCTGCTAGTTAATATCTCTCTGTCATTCTCACATTGCAACTAATGACTATGGGTTTCTGTCTCAACCTAAAATCTAGGTTAGAAATTTGGTTTTATGTGAATAAGATATTCATAGATAATGTGAGAAAAAAATTAACTTACTGAAACTTTTCTCAGTTAAGAATGACATTCGTGGTCACAAATATGTATGTAAGCAAGTGGAAAACTGGGCTGTAAATATATAAACTGAAAATATTATGTTTAGAGACAAGATTTTTCTTTTTTCTTCTTTTTTAGTAAAGTATATTTGCTATGGTTGGAATGATTGTGTCTCCTCCAAAATTCATGTTGGAACTTAAACCCCAATGTGATAGCATTAGGAGGTGGAGTCTTTAGGAGATGATTAAGTCATGAGGGAGGAGCCCCCACATGGATGGGATTAGTGACCTTATGAAAGGGCTTGAGGGAGCCACCTACCTCAGTTTTCTTCTTTTGTTTTTCTGTCCTTTCCACACATTGTTCAAAGTGCCATATTGGCAGTCCCCAAAACATGGCTAAATCTCACATGATTCCATGGATTAGTTTCACCTGTTCTTGAACTTCATATAAATGGAATCAGTATGTGCACGTTTGTGGCTGGCTTCTTTCATTCAATATAATCCTGTGAGATTTAACCACGTTTTGGGTACTGGTAGCTGTTTATTTTTCTGGTTGTGTAGTTTTCCATATTTCATTTATTACCCTGCTATTTTTGTCTCTAACTCAGTGTCTTTTGGGGCCTATTGGTCCTTTTTAGCTAGATTGATATTAAGCGTCTTCTTATCAGTGGAGCTTAGGACATTTTAGAAGATGAAAGCCTAATAACCCCAAGCCCCCCAATCTTAAGCCAAGTTTCCTCCTCACGCCTGCTTCAGTTGCTCTTCTTCTTGTGGTATTTTTTCCCTCACAAAACTGATGGAAATTAAGAAACCCAAAAGCTCTTCATCATGTTATCAGCTTAGGGACGCTTGTCATCTGAATAACTGGGTAGATATTTATCATCTGAAATGTTAAAATAACTAGAGCAAACACTTATATAGCACTGACTGCTGTTCACAGTGCTTTACATATATTATTTTCCTCAAAACAGCTCTGTGAAATAGACACTATTATTGTCATTCCCACATTTTAGATGGGGAAATGGAGGCACAGAGAGACCATGTAACCTTGCCAAGGTGGTAGGGCCAGGACTTGAACCTGTGTTTTCTGGTTTTAGAGCCTGCACCCTTCACCACCACACCATATTGTGTAGCATGATACTTCCTGTGGTTAAAGTATTTTCTTCTATTACCTTGGGAGCATTTTCTGAATAATTTGAATCTTATAAATTTGCTTCAAAGAATACAAGTAAATTGAACTGAAAGATCTAATATAGAATGTGTGGCATTTGTGAATAAATTATAGGACTCTCTGGTTTTAAATAATAATTATTTGCTTATCTTGTGACTTTTGTCGGCAGGGCTGTAATGTGCTCACCTCATTTTCCTTCTCTTCAACAGGAGGAGATGGGCTCAGAGACAGGCACGATTTATCATAAAATCTCATCACACTTTCCCTCACCATCTGGAAGCTGGAGATAGGTTTGTGAAATCTTGATTGAGAAGAGTTAAATGCCACTTGTAGAATAATAAGTTTAAGAAAGATGGTTTTGGCTGGGCATGGTGGCTCACGCCTGTAAGCCCAGCACTTTGGGAGGCTGAGGCAGGGGGATCATGAGGTCAGATCGAGACCATCCTGGCTAACGCGGTGAAACTCTGTCTCTACTAAAAATACAAAAAATTAGCCAGGCGTGGTGGACACCTGTAGTCCCAGGTACTCGGGAGGCTGAGGCAGGAGAATGGCATGAACCCAGGAGGCAGAGCTCGCAGTGAGCCGAGATTGCGCCACTGCACTTCAGCCTGGGCAACAGAGCCAGACTCTGCCTCAAAAAAAAAAAAAAAAAAAAAAAAAAAAAAAAAAAAAGATAGATGGTTTTACTCGCCAGTTCTGCTGCACAGAGTCCTGCACGTTTTGGCAGTTAACATATGTGATCGACAGTTATCATGGTTCTAGAAGAAATTATTTTCCAGTTGTATTCTGCTGCTAAAGTGCTATATTTCTTTATAGATGAACTAATTAATTCTTGGTCACTTGTTTTTCATCAGATATTTCTCTGCCTCTTTATGCTGTGCTTTGTCTTTTTATGTCCAGCCCCAGGTTTCTTCTTCTAATTGCAGGAAGATCATTGAAATTTTCTCTCTCTCTCAAACTCCTGGGCTCAAGTGATCCTCCTTCATCTGCCTCCTGAGTAGCTGGCATTACAGGTGTGCACCGCTGAACAGATACACACATATACAGCCATACTTACAGACAAACATCCACATATATACACAAACGCACAGAGACATACACATATCCACACATACTCATTAGATGTACATTTACACACACAAACACACATGTGCACACACACACACATATACACACCTTGTTTCCATCTTCTCAGGACTCAGGGCTCTCAGAGAGTGGAAAGAGTCTTGTACCATGAGTCCAGGATCGACTGTGCAACCTTGCCCCAGCGTCTTCCCTCTTGAGATCTTGTTTATAATAATATCCTTACCCACCAATTAGGGTTATTTTGAAGACAAAACAGAAAGGATAACAGAGTGATGGCAATGTTGTATAGTTTCAAATAAAAATTAACGTTGACCAAAAAGAGGTCTGACCTTTGTCCTAGACTCCTGGGAGGTAATCTTCGACACATAATGCCTAATAGGAGTATCTTTGCCTGGGGATCTTGGATCATAATGGATAGTCTAATAATGAGATTTAGGGTGGGGTCTAGCCAGGCCAGGAAATCCGACTAAGAGATTTAGAGTCTGGGCTTTAGGTCACCCCTGGAAGGACTGGAAACTGAAAACTGAGAGGATCCACATGGACAATCAAGCATGCCTCTGTGATGAAGTTCCAGTAAAAACCCTGAACACTGAGGCTTGAGGGAGTCTCTCTGGCTGGGAATACTCCATGTGTATTGGCACATATCAAAGCCGGAAGGGTAATGCACTGCCAGACTGAGAAGACTACAATAAATACCTAACTCTTCAATGCTCAGGCATTGAATATCCACAAGCATCAAGACCATCCAGGAAAACATGACCTCACCAAACAACCTAATTAAAGCACCAGGGACCAATCATAGAAAAACAGAGATATGTGACCTTCCAGACAGAGAATTCAAAATAGTGGTTTCAGGGAAACTCAAAGAAATTAAAGATAGCACAGAGAAAGAATTTGGAATTCTATCAGATAAATTTAACAATGAGATTGAAGTAATTAAAAAGAATCAAGCAGAAATTCTGGGGATAAAAATGCAGTTGACATAATAATGCATCAGAGTCTCTTAATAGTGGAATCAATTAAGCAGAAGAAAAAATTAGTGAGCTTGAAGACAAACAATTTGAAAGTACACAATTAGAGGAGACAAAAAAATTTTAAACAATGAAGCACGCCCACAAGATCTAGAAATAGCCTCAAAAAGGCAAAGCCAAGAGTTATTGGCCTTAAAGAGGAAGTAGAGAAATAGACAGAGGTAGAACATTTATTCAAAAGGATAATAATGGAGAACTTCCCAAACCTACAGAAAGCTATAAATATTCAAGTCAAGAAGGTTATAGGACACCAAGCAGATTTAACCCAAAGAAGACTAGCTGAAGGCATTTAATATTCAAACTTCCAAAGGTCAAGGATAAAGAAATGATCCTAAAGCAGCAAGAGAAAAGGAACAAATAACATACAATGGAGCTCTAATATATCTGGCAGCAGACTTTCAGTGGAAACCTTACAGGCCAGGAGAGAGTGCTATGATATACGTGATGGGCTGAAGGGAAAAAAAAAAAAAACTTTTACCCTAGAATAATATATCCAGCGAAAATATCCTTCAAACATGAAGGAGAAATAAACTTTCCCAGACAAAAACAAAAGCTGAGGGATTTCACCAGCAGACCTATCCTACAAGAAATGCTAAAGGAAGGTCTTCAATCAGAAACAAAAGGACATTAATGAGGAATAAGACATCATCTGAAGGTACAAAACTCACTGGTAATAGTAAGTACACAGAAAAACACAGAGTATTATAACACTGTAATTGTGGTGTGCAAACAGCTCTTAAGTAGAAAGACTGAAAGATGAGGCCAGGCACAGTGGCTCATGCCTGTAATCCCAGCACTTTGGGAGGCTGAGGTGGGTGGATCACGAGGTCAGGTGATCGAGACCATCTTGGCTAATATGGTGAAACCCCATCTCTACTAAAAATACAAAAAAAAAAAAAAAAAAATAGCTGGGCATTGTCATGGCATGCGCCTGTAGTCTCAGCTACCTGGGAGGCTGAGGCAGGAGAATCACTTGAACCCAGGAGGTAGAGGTTGCAGTGAGCCGAGATGGTGCCACTGCACTCCAGCCTAGGTGACAGAGCAAGACTCTGTCTCAAAAAAACAACAAAAACTAAAAGATGAACCAAACAAAAACAATAACTACAACAACTTTTCAAGACACAGACAGTACAATAAGATATAACTAGAAACAACAACAAGTTAAAAAGCAGAGGGACAAATTTAAAGTGTAGAGTTTTGGTAAGTTTTCTTTTTGCTTGTTTGTTTGTTCCTTTATGCAAGCAGCGTAAAGTTATCAGTTTAAAACAATGGGTGATAAGATAGTACTGCAAGCCTTGTGGTAACCTCAAAAAAAAAAAAAAAATACGCAATGAATACACAAAAAAACCAAAAGCAAGAGGTTAAATCATACCACCAGAGAAAATCACCTTCACCAAAAGGACGATAGGAAGGAGGAAAGAAGAAAGAGAAAACCACAACCACCAGAAAACAAATAACAAAATGGCAAGAGTAAGTCCTTACTGATCAATAATCACCTTGAATGTTAATGGACTAAACTCTCCAATCAAAACTGTTATGGAAAGAACTGTTATGGAGCAGTTCTCCCCGTCCCCACCCACATCATTTTTCATCAACTCTAGATGAGCTAAGGGCCCCCAAATGCCTTAGGCTTAGCATTCCTTGGGGCGAAGTCCCTTCTTGCTCAGAGTCTAAAAGACAAGTAGTGACACTGTTTCTGCCTGATAGGCCTTCAGTCTCCAGAGTGGAGAATCTGCCTTTGTGTGAGGTCTTAGTAAGAAAAGCTAGGAGCCAGATCATATCCTCTCTCACCCTGCTGCATCCAGGGAGTGTGCATGTGACTTACTCAGCCAACCCAATGCTGTTTCCTTGCACGTGGAAATTTGAGTGAGAAAGGTGGGGAAACGAGATGGTTGTAGCACCACCAGAGGTCATGGGGTGGGGAGGCTGAACTGTTTCTGCTAAGAGACTGTTATTGTGGTTCTTGGGGCCTTCCTCTTTGTTTCTTGGGTCCTAACTGTTCTCAAGCCTGATCCATCAGCTCCCTTCTATTCTGTCAGTTCCCTGACAGTCTTTCAATAAGTCCCTTTTACTTAAGTTAGCCAGATTAGTTCTCAAGCTTTTAACCAAGAATGCTTCCTGGTGGAACAGAGCCTCTCTCACCCCTGTGGTTTGGCCAATAGAGAAAGGAATCTCTTGGGGGAGCAACCTTGAACTTCGCTTTGTTTCCAGGCTTGCCCCACTGTGGCAGGCTGGTCTTAGGGTACTGCCTCAGCCACCAGGACCCTTCTCAGTAGGATCATTCACCATATATTGGTCTTAAGTGTGACTTTCTCTCTGTCTCATGTAGGATAGTTGACACTGGCAAGGACCAGCTTCCCAGAATCAGACACAGAGGAGATGGCTTCTCTAGGACTCTCCAGTAACAAGCTAGTGCCAGTTCTTGTGGTGAAGGGTTGACATAGTTTAGGAACAGAGAGGTAAATGAACTCATGGACTGCTGGAAAGTTTTAGCTGTGCATCCCCATCCTCCCCTGCATCTTTTCCCTTTTGCATACATTTCCATTCCTGGTAAGGATGGACACGTCGGGAAACCCATCTTTGTTAATATAATGTCATCCCAAAAAAATCACTGGAGGGGTTGTGGCCTGGAGTTCTGCATCCGGGGGCTTAGTGCAGATTTCTCAGGCTGGCCTGAAGGTGGTGCTGTTTGCATGTGGTCAGTCTGGACTGATAAAGATACTATCAGGGTATTGGATAAGATTCACTAGATAAACTTAACTTTGCATTTCTGTATCTGGATTAAAGAGGTTAATTAGTGAAAACCACGTGAATTTCACTTCATTGGAGTGGGCAGAGGATTTTCTAACACAAAACTCAGATGTTATAAAAAGACAAGATTAACAAATTTGATTGCATAAAAACTTCCAATTTCTATAGCAGAAAACAGCAAACTGAGAAATAGTAACAACTATTGTGACAAAGAGATAATTTTCTTAATATACAAAGAGCTCTTACAAATAAATCCAATTAAAAATGGGAAAAGGACCGGGCACGGTGGCTCATGCCTCCCAGCAGTCTGGACCAAAGTAAATGTGAGATGCAAGTGGGGCAGCAAGGAATGGTGGACACAGACATTGCCTGTGTCTCCTCTGCTCACACGCAGGCTCCTTTGTCCCATCAGACCTTGCTTACTGGCCGGGTGCGGTAACTCACACCTGTAATCCCAGCACTTTGGGAGGCTGAGGTGAGTGCATCACTTGAGATCAGGAGTTGGAGACCAGCCTGGCCAACATGGTGAGACCCCTTCTCTACTGAAAATACAAAAATTAGCTGGGTGTGGTGGCAGATGCCTGTAATCCCAGCTATTCAGGAGCCTGAGGCAGGAGAATTGCTTGAACCCGGGAGGCAGAGGCTGCAGTGAGCCAAGATCGTGCCACTGTACTCCAGCCTGGGCAACAAAAGCAAAAAAAACTCCGTCTCAAAAAAAAAAAAAAAATAGAATATGGCAACAGCAGAGCATTGTACACCTGCCCCACTTCTCCCCACTCTCCATTGCTTTTTCCTAGGCAACCACCTTCAAACTTAACACTGTTAGCTTTTTCTTGTATTTATTTTCCTATTTCCAAAAAGCATTGCTAGACTCTCATTTATTGATTTTCCAGTTTAGATATTATCTGGAAGGTTGGGATTTAGCACCCTTGCATCACTTCCTGTATGTGCATTTGTCCCCTCACCTTTCATCCCAATTTTGTGTTAACATATTTGGATTAAGTCCACATTCCACGTTTTCATTATTATGGCTGTAAATCTTGATGGCTGAACTAAGTGTTGTAATAAGATGGCATTTCTGTTTTTTGTTTGTTTTTTGAGAGTCTCATTCTGTTGCCCCAGCTGGAGTACAGTGGTGCAGTCTCAGCTCACTGCAGCCTCCGCCTCCTGGGTTCAAGTGATTCTCATGCCTCAGCCTCCCAAGTAGCTGGGATTACAGGCACCTGCCGCCCCCACTCAGCTAATTTTGTATTTTTAGTAGAGACGGGGTTTCCATGTTGGCCAGGCTGGTCTCGAACTCCTGACCTCGAGTGATTTGCCACCTTGGCCTCCAAAAGTGCTGGGATTATAGGCATGAGCTACCGTGCCCCATCTAGATGGCATTTCTTTTTAAGAACAGTTTTTTTTGTGCTTTGTTTTCCTTGCTTCTCCAGGCCTTCCAGATCCTTTAATAGTTTTATAAGATGTCTCTTAATCCAGTTTTCCCAAAGGTAATCCCTACCAGATAATCCAGCAGTTCCCTTCTTTCCTGGACCCTCCTCCCAACTTCCCTCGGTCCTCTAGTTTAGACTAGATGCTTTCTAGGCCTGCCCCAAAATATTTATGGAGGGTCTTCCTGTTTCTTGGATCCCATGCTACTTTTTTTATGGGGAGGTACCTTTTTTTTTTTTTAATTTGTTTTGGTGGAGCACATCCTCAAGTAGCTTTCTGAGAAAGAGTGCATGGAGGTAAATGGTTTGCCCATCTCAAAGTGTCTTTATTCTTTGCTCACATCTGATTGATATTTTGATTTGATATCAACCTCTGAGTTGAAAGTGACTCTTCTTCAGAATGTTGAAGGCATTTTTCTGTTGTCTTCTAGCTTCCAACATTGCTCTGAAGAGGTCCCATACCATTCTGATTTGAATGTGACCTTTTACAAAATCTGGAAGCTTTTAGGACTCTCTCTCTTTCTCTCTTTTTGGTGATTTTAAATTTTACAATATATGCCTTGGCCTATTTTAATTTGAGGGAGCACTCATTGGACTGTTTTAATCTAGAAACTTGTGCCCTTCGGTTCTTGAACTGTTGTTGTATTATTTATTTGATAACTTTCTTACATTTTCTCTTTTTGGAACCCTTAATATTCACCTATTTTCTCACTTTCTTATTTTTAAATGTTTTATATTTTTCATCTTTGTTTTCCTTTCTCCTTCCTTCCTTCCTTCTTTCTTCTTTCTTTCCTTTCCTTTCCTTTCCTTTTCTTTTCTTTGTTTCCTTTCTTTCTTTCTTTTGAGACAGGGTCTTGCTTTGTTGCCCAGGCTGGAGTGCAGTGCCACAATCATGGCTCACTGCAGCTCGAGCTGCCAGGCACAAGAGATCCTCCTGCCTCAGCATCCCAAGTAGCTGGGGCTACAGGTGTGTGCCACCACACCCAGCTAATTTTTTCAATTTTTTGTAGAGATGGGGTTTTGCCATGTTGCTCAGGCTGGGCTTGAACTCCTGGACTCCTCCCTCATCCTCCCAAAGTTCTGGGATTACGGGCGTGAGCCAGCATGCCCAGCCATCTCTTTCTGTCTTCTAGGAGGTATCTGATTCATCTTTACTTTACAATCCTATTAAATTTTTGAATTTTTTCATCGTACTTTTAATTTCTTAAACTTTCTCATTCACTAAATACACATTGAGTTCACATCTGAAATACTTGGGACCAGAAGTGTTTTAGATTTTGGATTTTTTTTTTTATTTTGGAGTATTTGCATTATACTTAGCAGTTCAGAATCCCCAGTCTGAAAGTCCAAAATCTGAAGTGCTCCAAAGAGCATTTCCTCTGAGCATCATGTTAGTGCTCAAAAGTTTTGGATTTTGGAGCATTTGGATTTTGGGATTGGAGATGCTCAATCTGTGCACCTTTTGATCCTATTCTTGTTTCATGGGTACAGTATGTTCTCTTATCTCTGTGAGGTTATTACTTACATGGATTTGACTTTTTTCTTCTGTTCCCTGAAATGTTTTTCTTTCCTTTGGGTTATTTTAAAAATACATATTTGTTTCATGTTAACAGTTTTCTTGTCCAGGTGCAGTGGCTCATGCCTGTAATCCCAGCACTTAGGGAGGCCGAGGCAGGCTAGCCCGGCCAACATGGTGAAACCCTATCTCTACTAAACAAAAATACAAAAAAAATTAGCCAAGCACGGTTGCTGGTGCCTGTAATCGCAGCTACTCAGGAGGCTGAGGCAGGAGAATCGCTTGAACCCGGGAGGCAGAGGCTGCAGTGAACCGAGATTGCGCCACTGTACTCCAGCCTGGGCAAAAGAGAGAAACTGTCTCAAAAAAAAGTTTTCTTAAAATGCATTGGCTGTATTTCATATATAGCAAGGAGATGCAGAGACACTAATTGGGCAGTTTGTGGACTTGGGCAGGACTTTTCCAAGTCTCTGCTGAAAGACTGGTTCAGATGGGGCTATTTTGGGAAGATCCTCTAATGTCAGTCACTGAGGTCATTTTTCTGAGTGAACCAGTTTCCCCAGAGAACAATCCTCTCGACTTTTCCTGGGAGAGTGTATGTCTGGCTGCAGCATCCAAGTGGGGAAGGGGCTTGGCATGTTTCTTACCCTTCAATGTATAGACTTTTGCTTGTCCCCTTTTCTCTGTAGGTCCTTCTGCCTTGGGCCTTCATGTATGTCTACCATTCCTGGGCCAGAGCCTCCTGGTTCACCCTCCCCAGGGAGTGATCCCCGGCCCTCTGCTGGGTGGCAGGTGGCCATCACTTGGCTACTCAGGGTTGGGGAGGGGATCTAGGGTCTGATCGGTTCTTACAGACTTTCAGCCCTACTGTCTTCAGCCCTCCTGGCACTAAGGCCCTGAGGGGTCCCTGGAAACTCCATTCCTGAGCCTTTCCGGGCTTCTCCTTCTGGGTGGTTCCTCCCTGCAGGCAATTGGCTCTCAGCTTTTATCACTCTACCAAGTCAGCTACTACCTGGCCATCTGCTTCCCAGCTTCCAGAATCTTGTTGACATCCTTCATTACCCATCATCACCCCTTATGGATTTATGCCTTGTTTATTTCCTCCACTGTCATCATAGTGGAGTTTTGGAAGGGAGCAGCAATAAATCTGTCTGCTCAACGTGCCATGTTTTTCTAGAAGTCCACTCACTATGGGGCTTAAGCAGGGATGTGACTAGGTCCATTAGCGATGTAAGAGCAAGGATGCTGGCCTCCAGTGGAAGAGGGAGTACTGGGGTGGGGGGATTGGAAGCAGAGAAGAGTTTTGTTTGGTGGTTAGACTGGCCATGCATGGTGGCTCATGCCTGTAATCCCAGCACCTTGGGAGACTGAGGCAGGCGGATCCCTTGAGGTCAGGAGTTCGAGACCAGCCTGGCCAACATGGTGAAACCCCGTCTCTACTAAAAATACAAAAATCACCTGGGTGTGGTGGTGCATGCCTATAATCCCAGCTACTCGGGAGGCTGAGGCAGGAGAATTGCTTGAACCTGGGAGGCAGAGGTTGCAGTGAGCCAAGATCATGCCACTGCAGTTCAGCTTGGACGACAGAGCAAGACTGTCTTGGGGAAAAAAAAGAACCTAGACTGTGGCCCAGGCTTCTACCTGTGTTGGCAGACAAGTTATATTAGCTCTTAAGCCTCAAAAAATGGACATGATGATGGGCCTGCCTTGTGCATGTGATATGAGGAATAAGTGAGAAAACGCATGCAGTGCTTAGCACAGTGCCTGCCACACAGTAAGCATTTCACGCACACTCATTACTATTCCTTCCACTGTTACCAAGTGATAGATAGGATGGACTTGAACCAGGGAAGTGGCCTGAAGGTGGGGAGGAGGGTGTGTCTCCTTCCCCAGAGAGAGGCAGAGAATGAGAGAATGGCTTCAGAAAATCAGAATAGTAGCTGCCCCCACAGCACCCCCAGGGCTTGTTCCCAGCTGCCCCGACCCAGGGTGCCGCCCAACAGCCTGGTTCTAGGACAGACAGACAGACAAGTCTGTCCTCATTCAGCTGCTGGAATGCTTGAGGGACTTGGCTCGGGGCCTGGGGTGAGGGTGAGAGGACAGGGTGAGAGTCAGAGCCAGCCGGGGCCTCCCAGAGCCTTGGCACCAGGGAGAGCCAGACAGAAGCAGAGCAATACGTGCCTCCCCAGGGGAGCGGGCCCCTCCCCAATGGAGGGGCGTTTGGGAGGAAGAATAACCCCTTCTTCCCAAGGTCCTTTTGCACTTTCACCTTTGCATCCTGGGAGTCAGGTAGCAGGGCCCTCCCAAGGCCCAGGAGGTGGAAGGAAGAGGGTGTGCGGAGGTGGGGAGGGTGGCAGCAGCCTGTCTTCCAGCCTGCAGCCTTTGGTCTCCTTGATGGGGGTGGGACAGGAGAGACAGGATGGGCCCCACCCAAGCAGGTTGGGGGACAGAATGAGTGAGATTCACCGAAAGTGCCAAACAGTCAGGCAGTGTTTCTAGGACTTGGGGGCGTCGCAGAGGCACTCACAGACCACCCTCTCATCCTAGCTGGTCCTGAAGCCCTTTGGCTTCCTGCATATAGATGCTTATCCAGCCAGGTAGACCCACAGGGCTGAATCCAAACTCGTTCTTGCTGTGTCCACAGACTCCATGTCCATCAGGCCCTGTGTGTGGGGACCGTGGTAAAGGAGACAGACCTCCAGGTGCCTGTCCTCCAGGCCCTCACACCATGGGGAGATGGACAGATGACAGTTGGGGATGATTGGCACTGAGGCATGCAGTCCTCGTGGGTCTGTAGGAATGGGGAGAGGGGCACCAAGCCCTCCTGGGTTCAGGAACAGTGACTCGGAGAAGGAGCCTGCCTTCTAAAGGCCAGCTTCCACGCCGAGGAAGAAGGGTGCTGCTGTAAGTGGAGGGCAGGCTGGGCAGAGGCCAGGGCCATGCGAGTATAGGGTGGGGCAGAAGAACCCTCAGGAGGTGGTGGGGGGGCACTGGAGGGTAGCTTCTGGAGCTTGTCCAAGAGGGTTGACCTGAAGAACTCTAAGAACCTTTCCGGACTGACAGGTGCTTTAAGGGACCCTGGGGAGAGGTCACAGCATTTCACCAGTGTCAACTTGGACCTGGGTGGGGAGGAGGGGAGGCCCTGGTCCCTGCTTTCCTCAAAGCCAGCATTTCTACAGGGAGAGAGGCAGGCTGGGTCACATGTGGGGTCCTTCACTTCACCCCGTGGACCCCCCATTCAGTGACTTCATGACCAGATCCCAGGGGTGGCCAGGGGAGCGGGCCCCCAGGTCTCTCCTGTCAGTGGCAGGCAGCTCTTTGCAGTCTCAAAGTGAGAGTGAGGCTTCTGACCGGAGTCACCTACTGTCTCCTTTGACCTCTTGTGGGACTGCCCAGCCCCGCTATAATTAGCTTAAGGAGGGGCGTGGAGGGGAAGGGCTGACGGGTTTGGGGATCCGGGTGTGTCGGCAGCGCAGAGGACCTGGCAGTGAGCCTGCCAGAGGAAGGAAGGGCTGGCTGCCGGCCGCCTGTGTGATTTTTCCCAAGAAGACACTGCTATTTATACCCCTGTAGCTTGGGATCAGCCTCTTGTAGATGAGGACGTGAAGGCCCAAGGCCACACAGCATCTATAGCCAGGCAAAGAGTAGAACTTGGGTTTCTGACTCCCAAGACAGCACCTCGGCCTGATTCTCACAGTGGATTCTGTGAGGGTCGCCTCATGCTCCCGACTTCTCCCACACACCCAGGGTGGGCTGAGAGGTTGTTGTGGCTTCAGCTGCCCAACAGCAGGCCCGCAGGAGCCACATGTGCAGCGAGTCAGCACTGGGGCAGCCAGGAAGCAGAAGGGCTGGGCTGCAGCCCAGGGACTGTTGGTGCCGGGATGAGGTGCATTGGACCCCTCAGCCCCTGGGTCAGAGGACCCCCTGGCTGGGATGGGTGAGCCCCCAGTCTACCTCCTCGAGCCACGGAATGCTAGCGGGAAGGAGGGAGCCCAGGGCCAGCTGACCCCACCACCCGCTGCTGACACTCTGCCCCGGGTGCAGGCCCAGGAAGGCTCAAGGAGCCCCAAGCCCCAGGAGCACTTGGGGACACTCCTTTCTCCCCGCCAGGCCTCACTGCCATGGTTTTGAACTTGTATCTGGGGTGAAGTATTTGAGGCCAGGCTCGCGGTTGAATGGGAGGAGCCTGGCACTGCAGGCAGCCCAGTGAGTAGACACAGCCTGGTGCAGGCAGCCTGGGCATGGCTCCAGATCCTGGCCATCACATCTCTCTTGCGCGACCCAGGGCAAGTGACATATGGGCCCTGAGTGCATGAGGGGAGATGATGGTAGAGTCTGCCCAGGATGTTGTGAGGAGCAAATGAGAGGGTATGCACCCGGGACCAGCCTGGCACGTGGTCATCTTGGGCACTAGGACTGCATCCAGCAGCTGCTCATCTGCCAACGCCCATGTTAGAGGATCTGTTTCCAGCCAGCATGGGCAGTCTGAGTGATTCCAGGAGGATTCCAGGGTTCTCAGTAGAAGTCTGGTCACCTTGGCTTTCTTCTCCGCAGCTCTGGGCAGGGCCAGGGGCCTGTCACTGGTCGGGGGACTTAGGAGACCACGCAAACACCCACTCCACCCTGGGTCTCCAAGCTGCCAGGCCCCCTCTGAAATCTGGGCTTCGGGATTCCATGGTCTGATCCACCCTCCCAGCCCCTCTCCACACCTGCCTTCAGTAGTCTTGGCCCTGTTTCCTGAACCTTTTGTGTTCTCCCAGCCTCTCTACATCTCAGAGTGTCTCTTTCTCTCCCTGCTGGACTCCAGAATCCATCACCTTTGCCCTTCTTCCCTGTGCAACCCCCCCACCCCCATCCCAATCAGGACTGTATGCTCATCCTGGCCCTCTGGCCTGGCGCCACCTGCCCTAAGGCCACCCAGACTGGAGAACTGGAGGGTTGGTGCCTCCCCATCTCCCCTGCCTGGCTAGAGGCCCCAGGTCCCACGGGTCCTGCCTCCCTCCATTGCTTCTGCCCAAGTCGTGGCTGCCTGGGTCATCCCCAGCCCTGCAAGTCTGCGTGGCTCAATTCTCCCCAGCCACTGCTGCCCCCAGAGGGCCCCAAACCTTCCTCCAGTTCCTCCAGGACAGCAATGAGCCGTGGGTGGGGTGGTCAGCATGCCAGGGCACTCCTACTAAGCTGTAGTGGTACCCACCTAAGGTCCAGCAGGGGCAGCAGGCTGGTCACTGGTCCCAGAAGCAACAGCATGCCCGAGGGCTGTAAAGAGTGAGGCAGGGGCAGAAGCATGTGCCAGCCGGGCCTGGGCCGCCCTCCCCAGGGCCCCCGCCTCCATGCTCACTGCCTCGTGGTGTTGGGGCTGGGCAGCCTTGTCTTCGCCACACCGCAGCAGCAGGAGTATGTGGTGGATACAGATGGCACCTGCTCATGTCTGCCAGTTTCCCCGCCATCGCTGCCAGGGAATGCCAGCTGGAAGAAGGCAGGAGTAGATAGGGTATGACAGAGGCCGGAGGCCAGCCCTGTTGGGGAGTGGGGGAAACAGGACAGGCATGCCTGCCCTGGGCTCTCTCCCAGGGGAGGGGCTGCTTTCCAGACCTCGCCTTTCCACAGATGACCTGAGGTCTTCTGCCTGGGTGGGGCCGTCGGAGGCTCTGTTGTGTCAACTGTGATGTGATGTTCTCCAGATCCTTGTCGGGCCTGGCTTCCAGGATCTGGGCTCAGACACGGAGGTTGCAGGGTCGGAGAGCAGGGCCACATGACGGCTTGGCGGTCCTTCCGAGGGAAGGGCCCTGACAACGTGTGCAGAGGCCTGGGGTTGGGGTTGGGGTTGTTTAGCCAGCTGGAGTGCCCAGGAGGTGAGATGACAGAGGCCGGGAGGGCCTGTGCTGCTGGCTGCGGGTGGAGGATCGGCTGAGCCGAGCAGGGAGGCTGGAGTTTCCTACAGTTGCAGGGCTCTGTGCCCCCTCCCGCCTCTCCTCCTCTCCCGGCCCCACCAAGCCTTCTCCGATGGGTCTCACAGGCTGCGCCCCCTGCATCCTCCCATCCCATCTCTAGCCATGGATGGGGCCTGTGCCTGGACGACCCTCCTGCCAAGGACATCATCGACTTCCCCTTGGTGCTGCCTGGCATCCCCTATGCTGTGAGCCACCAGTGCCGCCTCCAGTACGGGGCCTACTCTGCCTTCTGCGAGGACATGGATGTGAGTGGGGCCGGTGTGGGTGTGGGGGTGTGGGGACCTGGCAGGAGGGCTCAGGGGGCAGCTCTCACCAGCCCGTGGATGCCAGCCTGGGAGCAACCTCTCCTGGCCTGGGCTGCGCCCCCGAGTGACACTGTGAGACGTCAAGTGGCCTGTGGGAGAGGCCAGGGATAGGTGGCCACAGACCCAGCTCTGAATTCTGGGTCAACCATGGACCGACTGTGACCCTTCGGACAAGTCCCTTCGCCTCTCTGGAGCTGGCTCATAAGAGGGAAAAGGAACCCCTGTGGAGAGGGTCTATTTATCCTGGCGAAGATCGCCTGAAGTGATCTTCTAACAGGAGTGTTTCCAGAGGAGGCGCTGGGCCGGGAGAGGTGTGGACAGCTGGGGACCGCTCTGAGCAGCGCAGCCCCGGGCGCCCCACACCACCACATGGTCCGGGGAGGAAGGTGGGAGCAGGCACACAAGAAGGAACCTCTGGGGGTCTGTGGGCCCCTGCCATGTGGAGGGGTGCCCAGGGGACCCTTGGGGACAGGGAGGGGGGCAGGGTGGGTGGCAGCACTGGGTAGGGTGTGAGGGTATGGCCCATGCCCTCCTTCTCGCGGAATGTCTGCCACACACTCTGGTGCTCTGTGGGGACCACCTGTCACTCCAAGCTGGATGCAGCCATGGACGGCACCCGGTTGGGGGTGTCCCCAGTCCCGGCGGTGGGTGTGTGAGAGACTAGACCTCCTGCTGTGGCCGGGCCCTGGGGTCAGCCTCGGCTCACAGTCTTGCCTGTGCTTGTAGCAGAGCCCCAAGCTCTCTGCAGCCCAAGCCCCCGTCTGCAAAGTGGAGGCATTGGGGCCAGGGTTTGATTCCATGATTCCCCAGGGTGTCTTCAGCTGAGTCAGCATGTGGGCTGTTTTACTCCCCGCTCAGCTCCTCCATGTGGCCTGGGTCACAAATGATTGTGATGATTGTGAGGAGGCCTCTCTCACCTTCCATCCTTCCCCTCTGTGCCTTTCGCAGCCTTCCCACCCACCTTGTTCTCACTAGGGTGAGGATGACTGATAGGCTTGGGGGTGGGGTGGCTCTACCTCCGTCTGTCTCGGTAGTGGTGTCTCAATGGGGAGTGCGTACCCGTGGGCTTCCGGCCCGAGGCCGTGGATGGTGGCTGGTCCAGCTGGAGCGCCTGGTCCATCTGCTCATGGAGCTGTGGCATGGGCGTACAGAGCGCCGAGCGGCAGTGCACGCAGCCTACGTGAGTGTGGGGCCCAGGGTGCCCTTGGGCAGTGGGACAGAGGGACCCAAACAGTCAGCCGATTGCAGGAGCTTGGCTCTGTCCCAGCCCCTGGCTCTTAGAAGTGTCCTCATAATGGTCAGTCCGAGTGTCCAGGCCACCTTGAGTCACTTTCAAGGAGTGTTCTGGGGGCTGACAGGGTCCCCACTGCTGACCCCTTTGCAGAGACTGCTGACCCCTTTGCAGAGAGGGGACACTGAGGCCCAGAGACTGGAGAGACTCATCAGAGGCCACATGGCAAAGCAGTTGCTGGCTGGAAGGAGGCAGGAGAGGGCAGTGGGGAAGAGCATGGGCCCTGGACCTTAGATGGCTCAGGATTTGAATCCCCTCTTCACCCCTTCTCTGGGCCTTCGTTTCCCCATCTGTATAATAGCAGTGCCCATCCAGTAAAGTTGTAGTCAGGGGCAAATGCGGTTTACGCAGGCCAGGTCCTCAGCCCTGCAGCTCATCTGTAGTGGGCACTCAGCGGGAGGGGCTTCTTGGCCTCAGGGACACAGCGAGAGTCTGAGATGAGACTGGGGGCAGCTGGGAGGATGGGACAGCACTGAAGGGGTGGCCTGAGGTGAGTGACTTCACTTCTCTGGGCCTCTGTTTCCCCATCTAAACGGGGGTGCGCAGGGGGTGTGAAGATCTGGTGAGACGTACAGGCCAGTGGTACTGTAGACCGAGGCACTACCCGGCTGATCTTCACTTCAGGAGGCCACCCGGGGCAGGCATGGGGTTCACAGCCAGCCCCACCCAGGGCCCTGCGCTTACCCAAGACTGGCCTGTGCCCCTCCCTGCCTCCTGGCCTCCAGGTCTGAGCTGGGTGGGGGCCAGCGACCCTGGCCTAGATGCAGAGGATTTTAGGAGCTGTGCTAGGTCAGACCTTTCAGCTGGCTGGGGCGCTGGGCGCTTCCTTTAGACCCGGGCTGGGGGTACTGCCACCAGGAGGAAGGCTGAGGACTCAAGGGCTCGTTAGGATGCTGGTATCATGGGCTGAAGACTCAGAGCAGTCCCTCCAGCCAGTGCCAGTCATGCCTGCAGCTTGTCCCAGCTTCTCAACAGCCCTCTGCAGAAGCAGCCCCAAACCCCACTTTATACATGAGGAAACTGAGGCCCAGAGGGTGGCCGAAGACTTGCCCACGGTCACACAGCAGGTTGGGGGCAGAGCTCAGGCTTCCTGCTGCCACCTCCCCGCAGGTCCTTACAAACAGGGAGGGTGTGTCTGGGCCAGAGGGTGGGCAACCCAAGGGAGGGGAGCAGCGTGCACAAAGCTGGGTGGCAGGGATCTCACGGTGTGGATGCAGGAGGAAGCTGCTTGCTCTGGGCTGTGGCCATGCAGTAGCACTCACTGGGCCCTCACTGGGGCCCACCCCGGTTCTCCCCACAGGCCCAAATACAAAGGCAGATACTGTGTGGGTGAGCGGAAGCGCTTCCGCCTCTGCAACCTGCAGGCCTGCTCCGCTGGCCGCCCCTCCTTCCGCCACGTCCAGTGCAGCCACTTTGACGCTATGCTCTACAAGGGCCAGCTGCACACATGGGTGCCCGTGGTCAATGACGGTGAGTGCTGCCTCCCATGGAGACACTGAGGCTCAGAGGGCTGGTGGGGGTGTGTGGGTCCAAGGTTACCCTGTGATGCGAGCAGGAAGGCCCAGTCTCCACCCCAAGCCTGGGCCGCTCCCACTGTCCCCTGGGGCTGCTGCTCGCCCCTAGCTCCCCAGTCTGCAGCCTTGCAGATAGCTATCAGCCCAGCCGGAGCCTCCAGCATGTTGGTGCTACTTGGGAGCCTCCAGCCTGCCATGGATGTGTGTCACTCCTGGCACTGGGGACCCTCCCAGTCAGGCCTCGCCCCCCTGCGTCTCCTTGGATGCCTCCACCAGTACCGCCCCAGCCAGGAAACCAGAGCCCAGGCAGTGGCTTGACCTCTTGCTGGCTGGCTGACCCCAGGCAGTGGTTTGCTCCCTGATAGAAGGGATTAAATGAGGTGGCACAGATGACACAGAGGGCTCTGAGCCGCGAAGAGTAGCCCTCAGTGTGTGGTAACAATTTCTATTCTTATTTTTAATAACAATGACGGCCTCTCCTCTTTGCCCATGTCCCCAGCGACCTACTTGTCCCTGCTTCTTGCCCTCTAAGCCTCTGGGGTATCAAGGCCTGGGCTCCGAGGAGGACCAGGAGGGAGGTGCCAATCCCCAGTGCCTTTGACGTTGAAATTCCCTGCACGCGCTGCTCAGGAGCCCGTGGCGTGTCAGATCCCCTGCCTGCCCGCAGCCTCTGCAGAACTCTTCCCTTCTCTTGTCTCATGTGATGCTCATGACATGCCTTTAAGGGAGGGGTGGGTCTCCTCGTCTCACATCTGAGGAAACTGAGGCTTAGGGAAGTAGAGAGGTTCACCTGGGTCAGAGGCACAGCTGAGGTGGGGCAGGGCCAGAGAGAGGCCTCCCGACCCCAACTCCCAGCTTTCTCCTCCTGACCCTGGCTGGCCCCCGGGGCTGGGGCCACAGAGGGCTGGCCGCCAGCACCAGGGCCCTCCCCTCCTCGTGTGTTGCAGAACGTGGGCTGTGACTTCGAGATTGACTCCGGTGCTATGGAGGACCGCTGTGGTGTGTGCCACGGCAACGGCTCCACCTGCCACACCGTGAGCGGGACCTTCGAGGAGGCCGAGGGCCTGGGTATGGGGTGGGACCGCTGTGGGGAGGGGTGTGCTCTTCATCTGGTGGCCCCTTCCCCATCTCCCCTGGGCCCATGTCCTTGGCCCATGTCCTTGGCCTCGTGGTCCCCACCCAGCCTAGAGACGGCTAAGCAGGGAAGCCTTGCTGGGGTGGATTCTTGCAGGAGTCAGGGGACCCCTGGCCCACGTGCAGAGACCTGCCCCCATGGGGAGTCCTCCTGTCCCAGAGACCCAGCTTGTGTGTGGCCCCTGGGCCTTTCCAGTCATGGTAGTCTCCTCCTGAAGCTTCTGAGACCCCAGCTCTGTGCCCTCACCTCCGGTCTATTTTGCACACGTTGATCAAGTACTGACTGTGTGCTAGGTGATGGGGATATGCAGGTGAAGCACTTAGTCCTGCAGGGGGACAGAACCTTCTGGTGTGACCATTACAGTGGAGGGAGGCCCAGAGGGCTGTGGGAGCACTGAGGAAGAAGGTCCTGGCCTGGGGAAGTCAGGGAAGGTTTCCTGTAGGAGGCGGAAGTCGAGCTGAATCATAAAACTCAGAAGAGATGGAAAGGGCATTCCAAATGGAGGAAAGAGCTTGTGCCAGAGCCTGGAGGCAAGAAGGGAAGGCAGGGCCAGCTATGGGGCCTTGAGTGCCAGGCTGAGAAGCTTAGATTTCATCCCAGAGATGCAGTGCAGTGTGGTGGATAAAGCACTGGCCGTGGAGGCTGCTCATACCGCAGCAGGATGTTCATGTACGTTACTATCCCCTTCTGCCTCACTTTGCTCATCTGTAAAATGGGGATAACAATAGTACCTATGCTATAGGGCCATTACCCATGAGCTTACACATGTGAGGTGCTGAGAGTAGTGCCTGGCACGTGATGGGTGTGATGGAAGTGAATGAATAAAAGCAGGCCGCATGGGGATGAGGAGGGTGTCCCAGGAGAAAGGCCTGGGCACTTTGGCCTTTTTAGAAAGAAGATGCCAGCCGGCCCTTAGAGTAGGGGATGGATCCAGCCTTGTGATGAGACCAGTTTAGGTCCCCAAGAGAGGGGTGATGGGGCATGGCCACGGGGTCAGGATTTTGTGGCACCTCTGCGAGGTTTTGGTGACCCATGACAGATCCGAGCAATTTAGGGAGCTCAGACTTTAAAGCTAATGGCGAAATCTTTGGCATCAGCAGGCGGAGGCAAGTGGGGAGAGACATGAGGGGAGCAGGTAGGGATAAGCAACCTTCTCACCCTGGGCACAACCTATGCACAACCCTTGGCTGACAGGGTATGTGGACGTGGGGCTGATCCCAGCCGGCGCACGCGAGATCCGCCTCCAGGAGGTTGCCGAAGCTGCCAACTTCCTGGCACTGCGGAGCGAGGACCCGGAGAAGTACTTCCTCAATGATGGCTGGACCATCCAGTGGAACGGGGGCTACCAGGTGGCAGGGACCACCTTCACATACGCACGCAGGGGCAACTGGGAGAACCTCACGTCCCCGGGTCCCACCAAGGAGCCTGTCTGGATCCAGGTGCCTGCCTCCCGTGGCCCAGGCTGGGGGAGCAGAGGCGGAGTCCCTAGGCCCAGCACCCTCCATGGCAGGTCTCGTCCTGGAGGAGTGAGCCCTGGTTCAGTCACAGAGCTTGGCTCTGAGCCCAGCCCTCCTGCTGCGGCCTCTACCTCGGTTTCCCCATCTTTAAAATGGCCCAGTCGTGTAGCTGCAGTTCACAGAGGTGGCTGGCATCGGCTCCTTTAGGACTGGGTGGATGGAGAAGACACCTCATGCTAGTGGGCCCCCGCCTGCCAACCCAGCTGCTGTTCTAGGAAAGCAACCCCGGGGTACACTACGAGCACACCATCCACAGGGAGGCAGGTGGCCACAGCGAGGTCCCGCTGCCCAAGTTCTCCTGGCACTGTGGGCCCTGGACCAAGTGCACAGTCACCTGCGGCAGAGGTGAGAAGTGGGGCAGGCACAGCCCCACCAGCACGGGCTTTGTCTCTAGACAGGGACACTGGCTTCAGCTCCCAGCTCACTGCTGGGCTACCATGGGTTTGGAAGTTTGCTTCTCTGAGCCTCAGTTCCCCATCTGTGAGATGAGGCTAGCGATTGCCCTGTGTCCCAGGCCCGCTGGGAGGGTACATGGATGAGGCAGGTGGGTGCTGGCTTGCGGTGCGTGCTCAGTGTGCTCCAGCTCTTGGTGTTCTCCTTCCAGGGGACACAGCTCCCCCTCGATTTTGTCCTTGCTCAGTTCTGGCAGGTCTTGTACCTGCATTTCTGCAGCGTCCCGGAGACCAGCCCAGGCCCCTCACCACACTGACTTATTTCCCTGAACTGTTTATAAAAAGTAGGGCAATTTCATTAACTCCGACTCTTCCTTCCCGTATTTCCCGTCTCCCCCCATGCTCCTCAGTCTCCCCTCTCTCTGTCTCTTTGTCTCCTCTCCACTGTTCCTCAGTCTCTCCTCTGCCCCTCCGTCTACCCCCATGCCTCTCAGTCTCCCCCCCGCCCCCCAGTACCCCCCCGCCCCTTGGTCTTCCTCCCCCAACTCAGTCTCCCCTGCCGTTCCTTGGTCTCCCCACATCTCAGTCTCCCCCTTTGTCTCTTAGTCTTCCCCTTTTCCCCTCAGTCTTCCCATGGTTGACACTCAGTGTCCTCAGGGTCTCAGAATCGGGAATCTGAGATACATTTCAGCATTCCTTCAAATGCTATTATGATGACAAAGTGAAACTGGAGAACTGGGCAGTTACCTTCCAAAGCTAGGAAACCCATTTTATCTAATACAGCTGTCTTTATTTATTTATTTGATTTTATTTGAGATGGAGTCTTGCTCTGTTGCCCAGGCTGCAGTGCAATGGCGTGATCTCAGCTCACTGCAGCCTCCGCCTCCCAGGTTCCAGCAGTTCTCCTGCCTCAGCCTCCCGAGTAGCTGGGATTTACAGGCACACGCCACCATGCCTGGCTTATTTTTTATTATTAGTAGAGACAGGGTTTCACCATGTTGGCCGGGCTGGTCTCGAACTCCTGATGTCAGGTGATTCGCCAGCCTTGGCCTCCCATAGTGTTGGGATTACAGGCGTGAGCCACTGCGCCTGGCCTAATACGGGTGTCTTTAAATGGACAAACTTGAAAACCAACAAATAGACTTGCAGCACTAGACATTTGGGGAATTGTCTTTCAGCAAATTGGCTGCTTCGCAGGTGGACCACTTGGGAGCCTCTGCAGAGGCAAGTGCCCTGTGGTGGCTGGAACAGACAGGGGTTCTTTGTCTCAGGCAGGAAGTTCCAGGTGCACAGTCCAAGCTGGCGGGACCTGGAACTGACTGGACCTCAGCCACATCGTCCTTGCCACAGCAGCCTCCCCTTCACTCCTGCTTGCCACAGATGGTGTCCTCCCTTCCAGGGCTCTTGCAGTGTTCTGGGCAGGAAGAAGGAGAGGGGAAAGGGCTGAATCCCAGCAAGGGACTTGTGCCTTTTTCTCCCAAGCCAGGACTGTCCCAGACCCCCCTAGTTGCAAGGGAGCGTCAGTGGGGTGTGTTTTCAGCAGGTCCCATTGCTGCCTTGAGCAAAATTGGAATCTGTTGGTGAGGAAAGAGGGGAATGAGTGTGGGACTGGCAGCTCGGGGGAGGGACAACTTACTCTCGGGACCACGGGGCAGGGGGTGGAGCAGAGAAGGCAGAGCCACCAGCAGAGGGGGTCCTGCAGCTGGGCTTCAACAGGCAGTATGGAAGTGAGTGTCCAAGGTGAGGAGCGTGGCTGTGCAAAGTCCCCAGGGTGGGCGGTGGCAGAGGGTGTGAAGGACAGGAGCAGTGCCAAGGCTGGTGTGGGGGTGGGGAGCAGGGGCTGTCCCTTCATGCCCCATTTCTTGTCCAGACGTTCTCTGAGCCATTGGGAAGGGTGTGGATGGTGGGACGGCCTTGACGCCACGGCTGGGTTTGCATGCTAGCAGCAGCTGGCATGGATCGAGCTCTTAGGATGTGCCGGGCAAGGGCCGAGCCTACACATGCAAGAACACATGCAGTCCTCCCTCCAGGGCTTGGAGGAGGCAGGATTGTTGCTCCCACTTCACAGAGGAGGACACTGAGGTTCAGAGAGGCCAAATGAGCTGCCCATGGTTTCAGCTAGGAAGCAGAGGGTCTGGGCACCCAACCCACTAAAACTCCACACTCTGCCACCCCTCCAGGCACAGCCAGAGGGGAGGCTACATAGGAGAAAAGGGGGTGTATGAGAACCAGGAGGACAGCGAGGAGGTGACGGTGGAGGTCTGCCTTCATCCTGACACAGGCAGTAAGGTGCTGTTCTGGCAGAGAGAGTGTCTTTGGGTCTTGGGCGGTGGGCACCTGGGTGCCAGTCCCAGGCTGAGCCCCATGGCCCCTAGGTGTGCAGAGGCAGAGTGTGTACTGCTCAGAGCGGCAGGCAGGACCTGTGGACGAGGAGCACTGTCATCCCCTGGGCCGGCCTGATGACCGCCAGAGGAAGTGCAGCGAGCAGCCCTGCCCTGCCAGGTGAGCCCACCCCCATCGCCTGCCAACTCCCCACCCCCAGGTGTCCTGGGTCTGCCACAGGCCCCTACATCTGGGTCCCTGGAGACCCCGGGGGGGAGCAGAGGGAGCTGGGCTTTCATTCTCTTCCCAAGGCTGAAGCCCTAACCCCAGGTCACCCCTCACCCCAGGTCACCCCTCACCCCAGCCTAGGCCAGCCTGGGCCAGCCTGGACACCTGTGGTCCTCTTCTTTGGATCCCTGGATGTGGAAATAGGCCTCAGGTCATGCTCAGTTTCCCTGAGGGGAGGGTGGCAGGAGCAGAGGGGCTGTGCTATGTCACCAGGCTTTGAGGTCAAGAAACTTACCTGGGCTTGGATCTCTGGAGAATCAACCACTGGCCTCAGTCCCAGCTCTACCCAAACCCTGAAGGCCTGGAAGCCCATTCCCTGCTGGTGAGCCTGCTGAAGAGCCTGCTGATGCCACCCGTCTGATGCCATGCTGATGCCACCCATGTGCCCCCGCCAGGTGGTGGGCAGGTGAGTGGCAGCCGTGCTCCAGCTCCTGCGGGGCCTGGGGGCCTCTCCTGCCGGGCCATGCTCTGCATCCGCAGCATGGGGCTGGATGAGCAGAGTGCCTTGGGGCCACCCGCCTGTGAACACTTCCCTGGCCCCCTACTGAAACCCCTTGCAACTGCCATGTGCCCTGTCTGGCTACCTGGGCTGTGGGGAACTGGTTTCAGTTGAGCGTGGGATGGGAGAGGGCCCACCTCCAGCTCCACCCTTGGTCTTCGGCTATCGGGAGGCAGACAGCCTTCCTGGAGCCCTCGTGGGTGGGAGGGAGTCTGGGCATTCCAGGGTCCAGCCCCTGACTAAAGCCTCAGGGATCAGGAAGCCCCTGGCAAGCATGGCCATAGTCATGGCCTTGAGCTGGGCAGGGCCAGAGAGGGCTGGCTGGGGTCTCTGCCACTCCTAAGCCCCCTCACCCTGGCTTCCCCTGCAGTGCTCAGTGACATGTGGGGAGGGCACTCAGCGCCGAAATGTCCTCTGCACCAATGACATCGGTGTCCCCTGTGACGAGGCCCAGCAGCCAGCTAGCAAAGTCACCTGCTCTCTGCCACTCTGTTAATGGCCCCTGGGCACACTGGGCCCTGAAGGCTCAGGCAGCGGCTCCTCCAGCCACGAGCTCTTCAATGAGGCTGACTTCATCCCGCGCCACCTGGCCCCACGCCCTTCACCTGCCTCATCACCCAAGCCAGGCACCATGGGCAACGCCATTGAGGAGGAGGCTCCAGAGCTGGACCTGCCGGGGCCCATGTTGGTGGACGACTTCTACTATGACTACAATTGCATCAACTTCCACGAGGATCTGTCCTATGGGCCCTCTGAGGAACCCGATCTAGACCTGGTGGGGACAGGGGACCGGACACCCCCACCACACAGCCATCCTGCACCCTCCACGGGTAGCCCCGTGCCTGCCACAGAGCCTCCTGCAGCCAAGGAGGAGGGGGCACCGGGACCTTGGTCCCTTAGCCCTTGGCCCAGCCAGGCCGGCTGCTTCCCATCCCCGCCCTCAGAGCAGACCCCTGGGAACCCTTTGATCAATTTCCTGCCTGAGGAAGATGCCCCCATAGGGGCCCCAGATCTTGGGCTCTCCAGCCTGCCCTGGCCCAGGGTTTCTACCGATGGCCTGCAGACACTTGCTGCCCCTGATAGCCAAAATGATTTCCCAGTTAGCAAGGACAGCCAGAGCCAGCTGCCCCCTCCATGGCGGGGCAGGACCAATGAGGTTTTCAAGGATGATGAACCCGAGGGCCGTGGAGCACCCCACCTGCCCCCGAGACCCAGCCCCACGCTGCCCCCTTTGTCCTGTCGGCAGCACCCACTCCTCTCCTAGTCCCGACGCGGCGGAGCTGTGGACAGGAGGGATAGTGGCCTGGGAGCCAGCTCTGGAGGGTGGTCTGGGGCCTGTGGACAGTGAACTGTGGCCCACTGTTGGGGTGGCTTCTCTCCTTCCTCCTCCCATAGCCCCTCTGCCAGAGATGAAGGTCAGGGACAGTTCCCTGGAGCCGGGGACTCCCTCCTTCCCAACCCCAGGACCAGGCTCATGGGACCTGCAGACTGTGGCAGTGTGGGGGACCTTCCTCCCCACAACCCTGACTGGCCTCGGGCACATGCCTGAGCCTGCCCTGAACCCAGGACCCAAGGGTCAGCCTGAGTCCCTCAGCCCTGAGGTGCCCCTGAGCTCTAGGCTGCTGTCCACACCAGCTTGGGACAGCCCCGCCAACAGCCACAGAGCCCCTGAGACCCAGCCACTGCCTCCCAGCCTGGCTGAAGCGGGGCCCCCCGCGGACCCGTTGGTTGTCAGGAACGCCAGCTGGCAAGCGGGAAACTGGAGCGAGGCAAGTGGTGTGGGCTGGGCGGGCAGGGAGTTTGCGGGGGACCTTGGTGACTGTTTCTTCACTGAAAATGAGCAGAGTGGGACACGGGCCGTCTGTCTCGCCTCCCTCGGGGAAGGGGTTCCCAGGATTTAGGGGGGTGAGGGGACCCCGGGGCCCATTCCTGGGCAGCACAGCGGGCCTCAGGGAAGGCAGGGGCAGGCACACTCTGGCAGCACAGCACGCCCCAGGATGGAGCTGGCTCAGACAGCTGTGCAGTGGGGAGGGTCCCCGCGTGGCCGCCGGCCCCGCAGCTTCCCTGAGGTTCTGCCTGGCTCCTCCAGGCTGGGCTCAGCCCACTGCCACCTGGCTCCGCCCTCCTCTAGCAGTGACCTGCAGGGGTCTGAGCTGCAAGAAAGAAGCTGGCTAGTGCCCCTCCCTGGGTCCCCAGATGGTCACTGCAGGAGAAGAAGCTTCTGTTCAGATCCCTAATTTGGAGGTGGGATGGGGTAGGCTGAAGCTTTACTCAGCGATTTGGCTGCTGGCACCAGGACCCAGCCTTCCTTCCCTGGTGCCTCTGGGAAGCCATGAGGATGGTCAGGATAGCTGGTCAGGGGTGCCCACAGGGTCCCCTCCCCCCACCTCTGCACCAATGACGCTGGAACACAGGCCCTTTGTCCCATGTGAGCAGGGATGGTTGGTTGCTGGGGGGATTTGACTTCTCATCCTCACAGTCTTCCTGGGAGGTGGGTGGAGGAGCCTATTTTGCAAATAAGGAAACTGAGGCCCAGAAGAGGGCCCCTGTCCTGCTGAGGTCTCCTGTCTTGCTGAGGTCTCGCTAGCCTAGGTGGGTAGTTTCCTGGCTGTGGAGGCCTGGTGGGGATGGGATCTGCCTGGCTTTCACGGGTCTGTTCCCCGCAGTGCTCTACCACCTGCGGCCTGGGTGTGGTCTGGAGGCCGGTGCGCTGTAGCTCTGGCCGGGATGAGGACTGTACCCCCGCTGGCCGGCCCCAGCCTGCCCGCCACTGCCACCTGCAGCCCTGTGCCACCTGGCACTCAGGCAACTGGAGTAAGGTGCGTGAGGATGGAGCCAGGACAGGCATTCCCAGGGCATGGGGTGGAGCCCTGGTTCCCCACGGCCTGTGTTCCGAGAGCGGCAGGGAAGGGGAGGGCTCCAGGCTGCACGTCTGTGTGCCCGATCTCACTGGATTCTGAATCTCTTGGGAGTCTTCTCATCTTTGTCTGGCTTGGCCTGTCTCCTTTTCTCTGTATCTTTGACCCCATCTGGACTTGTCTTTCACTAGCTTGCCTTTGTTCTTCCCTTTCTCTGTCTGTCCCAGCCCATGGCAGTCTCTGGCCATGCCACCTTTTGCCTGGGGCCTGCCAGCCTTGGCCTCTCGCTGGGGTTCTTCAGATATTTCCCCGGGCTGGGGCGTGGGTCTGATGCCTTTCCCGCCACATGCCTCACAGGGTCACACCCGTGGGCCTGCACGTGGGTGTCTTGGTCCCCAGTGCTCGCGCAGCTGCGGTGGAGGTTCCTCAGTGCAGGACGTGCAGTGTGTGGATACACGGGACCTCTGGACACTGCAGCCCTTCCATTGTCAGCCCGGGCCTGCCAAACCGCCTGCACACCGGCCCTGCGGGGCCCAGCCCTGCCTCAGCTGTTACACATCTTCCTGGAGGGAGGTGAGGCCTGGGGGTTCAGATCGGGGGAGGGGATGCCCTCAGACCCTGGCTGTGCCCTGACTCCTTCCCTGCCCACCCAGTGCTCCGAGGCCTGTGGCGGTGGTGAGCAGCAGCATCTGGTGACTTGCCCGGAGCCAGGCCTCTGCGAGGAGGCGCTGAGACCCAACACCACCTGGCCCTGCAACACCCACCCCTGCACGCAGTGGGTGGTGGGGCCCTGGGGCCAGGTGAGCCGGGCTGTGGCGGGGAGCAGGGAGCAAGTGCTTGGTAGCACCTGGTCAGTCCTGGGTTGGGTGAAGGAGCTGTGGAGTGTGTGCTGTGAGCCAGGCTCTCTGTGGCCCCTGCACATGCAGCAGTGACTGGACAGCCCTGCCATGCTGGCGCTCACACCTGCCAGGGAAAAACGGACAAGGAAAGGGCACATGTGTTATGATGTCAGGGAAGGCCTTCTGAGGAGGGGCCTGGGGTTGAGACCCGAGGGGAGGAGTCAGTGATGCCAAGGACACGGAATCGAGGGGACAGCAGGTGTGAAGTCTGAGGCAGGAATGTCGAGCTTGGGGCGATCAGGGAGCCCAGCAAAGGCCAGCGGCAGAAGGGGGCGTTAAGAGGGGCCTCGGATGGGCAGGATACCTTCTGCTGGGCCTGTTTGGAACTGAGGGGTTCAGAAATCTCAGGTTTGGGCCCTGAGCTGGGTCCTGGAGTCAGCTGGGCCAGCGTTTGAGTCTTTGTCCCACTGGCTGCTGAGTGACTGGGCAGGTTGCTTTGCTTTGCTGGGTCACTGTTTTCTCATCTGTAAAATTGGAACAGCTTAGGAGAGGAGGGTCAGAAGGATTAAATGAAGGAACGTAATGAAGCACAGGGCTGGGCACAGCACGACACTGGCAGAGACTCAGCGCATGTTCAGGGCTGATAACAACGAAGCCTGGCGGGCTGGGCCCCGGCTGTGAAACTGTCTCCTGCCCTCCTGCCCATGGGCTGCGGCAGGTCCTCTGCCCTGTCCCTCGGGCACAGTGGTGTCTCGCCCACATCTCTGCCCACTGCTGCATCAGGGCTCCATCCCGGGGCCCCTGCCCAGGCTTCTCAGGCATGTCCTGTGTGAGGGGCTCACTGCCCTGCAGCCCCGAGGGCTGTCCCACGGTTCTCATGCCCCTTCCCTCTGCAGGAGCCAATCCCACAAGTGAGAGTGGGGTTCCGGCACCAAGTGGGCTCTAGGAATGGGACCAGGTCCTCCAGGAAGCACTGAGAGGGCGGCTGGGAGCAAGGCCAGGCCAGTCAGGCACAGGGCACAGGGACGGCTTCCCAGAGGAGGTGTCCCTGCCCCCACTGCTAGGGCTGGCCCTGGAGACAGTCATTCCTCCCCTGCTCCCCCCAGTGCTCAGCCCCCTGTGGCAGTGGCGTCCAGCGGCGCCTAGTCAAGTGTGTCAACACCCAGACAGGGCTGCCCGAGGAAGACAGTGACCAGTGTGGCCATGAGGCCTGGCCTGAGAGCTCCCGGCCGTGTGGCACCGAGGATTGTGAGCCCATCGAGTCTCCCCGTGAGTCCCCTGACCCCAGGCTCCCTGCTGAAGTGAGGTAGGGTGGGGAGGGTGATGGGGAAATGGTGTCGTCAAACCATTGTGCCCACGGCACTGGCTGGTTCCATCTGTAGTCTGGGCTCAGGAGCCACATGGCCACTGAAAATCCTGATGCCACAGGATGCCTTGCCGGAGGCTGGGCTGTGCTGGGAGTCAGTCAAGGGGTGTCCCAGCCACACAACATCCTGCAGGCAGCTGTCTGGCCTCAGGGGAGAAGAGGGAGTGGCCCTGGCCCCTGAGTTGCTGTGTGAACCTGGGTAAGCTCTTTCTCCTCTAGGTCTCAGTCTTCCCACAGTGAAGCCAGGGATGGCCCTGAGGCTGTGTGAAAACAGCCTGGGTGAGACCCTGTCCTTAACCCTGATCTTAACCCTGACCTATCTATTCCCTGGCTAGAGGACTGCCTAGAGTGAGCAATAGAACCACATGAAGGGCCTCCCTCCCCTGCCCCCAACATGCGCGCGCACACACACACACACACACACACACACACACACACTTCCTCCAGCTGCAGCTGCTCCCAGCAGTGCTGAGGGCAGGAAACGGGGTGGCCCTGGAGTGTCACCTGGGATCCCCTCACCAGCTGTGTGGCCTTGGGCTCCCATTTCCCTCTCAGGGCCTTCATGTGCTGAATAAAGGGGCTGCCAAGCCCCATCCTTGCATAAATGAGGTCTGGGCATGAAGGGCACAGCACTGCGTGGGCATCCAGGTGGTGCTCAGGGAAGGCAGCTTTCTCCCCTCCCCCACAGCCACTGTCATCCCCAATTGCAAGGTCAGGGAGAGGGCCTGGGGCTGACCCTGCCAGTCCAAGGAATCCAGAAACTGTGGCATGAACAGCTGCGTCCCCTGTGCTATTGGCTGGCTGCTCCCTGACCCTAGAAAAGAGTCCTCAGCCAGGGCACTCACGCTGACATTCGGGGCCTCCTGCGATCTCCCCGGTCTGCCTTCTCCGCTTGTCCAACGCAGCCTTCTTTACCTGCACCGGCTCCTGGGCAGCCCTCATTCGGGCTCAGAGTGGCCCCTGCCATGCCTCGCTGCCCTGCCTCTGGCAGGGGTGGCCTTCCTGCCTCAAACCCCATTACCTCAAGGTCCAGTGGCAGTGCCCCCACCCTGTCCTGCCTGCCCTCAGCACGCACCCAGCCAGCATCTCAGAGCACTCCTATGTGCTGCCTGAGCTGGGTGCTGGCACCACGTCTCTCACCTTTATGGCTAGGGCTGGCCACAGGGAGCGGGGTGGTTATGATCCCAGTGGGGGAGGACCAGATGGGGCAGAGAACAGAAACTGAGGCCCCTGGGGGCCTAGAACCAAGGACGGATGGCCCAGGAGGCTCTGGGCTTGCAAGGTCTCCCAGGGGCGGGTGTGAGTGGGCTGCAGGGAGTGGGCTATGGGGGCTGGTTAGGTGGCTGAACTAGAAGCTGTCCTAAGTGAGTTTTCTGCCATCAGTGAACAGTGGAGGGGGGCTGGGAAGGTGTCCTGGACTTTGAGATCTGGAATTCCCAGATGTTCTGCTGGTCTGTGGGACAGTTGGTGGGACATGTGGAAAGCTGGGAAACGCGTGTGTGTGTGCTCACTGCAGTGACACAGCATGGCCATATCCGTTTGCTGTGGAGGTGGGGTTGACAGAGGAGAGAACCGAGGCCCAAGAGGTGAAGCAGCTTGTCTGAGGTCACCCCGGGCGACCAGGATGCAGGCCTGCAGATGTGCACTTTGGAGCTCTGCCTGGAGCTGGGGTGGAGGAGCCTGCCTGCTGCCTCGTGCCCTCTGCCGGGCCTGGGGGATGTCCCAGGCCCAGGGCTGGCTGCTGTCCTCCTGCTCCTCTTGCTGGAGTAAGCAGGGCCTGGGGTTTGTTAGCAGCAGCGGCAGCAGCAGGAGCAAGGCTAGGAGGCTGGAAACAAGCCACATCCCAAAATAGCTCTGATAACCATGGGGCAGGAGGGCCCAGCCAAGCCTCAGCCCTGACAAGCACAGCCTGCAGCTGGCCTCCCTCCCCACTGGGCCTGGGCTCAGTCCCTGGTTTCCACTGATGGCCTGTAAGGCCCACTCACTCTAGGCTTTGTGGCCCACCTGAGAAGTGGGAGGCTGGCCTGGGAGATGGGACCCTGTGACTCAGAACCCGAGGCTGTGTACAGCCCCCGTGGCTGGAGGTGGTCACAGAGGCCTGGCAGGATAGGTGCACTGGAGCAGGGGGAGGTGGCGGGAGTGGACGGCAGAGGTTGCTGCAGGCTGGCAGGAGGCCCCTGGGACCTCAGTTCTGTGCCAGGATCTGTCGGGGAATACCAGGGGTGAGCAAGTATGGAGATGGGGTGGCAGGGTGTCACCCTGGGCAGGCTCTTTTATGGGCATGTGAGGGGGTCAGGGTGGGGTCTCAAGACCTTTCCTCCAGAAACTTCAGCCCAGCAGCGCCCGTTCTTGAATCCTGGGGTTGGCCATGAGCAGGTGGGACAGAAATAGCAACAGCTGGAGACGTGTGACCTTGAAACCGGGGCACTCTGCTTGGTGGGGAGCTGCTGGAGCCTCCTTAAGGTGGTTGGGGTGGGGAGCCAGGTTCTGATGCCCCCCCCGCCCCCCCACCCCCCCCAATCCCCCGCCCCCCCACTCCCCCCACTCCCCCCCACTCCCCCCCCACTCCACTCCCCCCCACTCCCCCCCCACTCCCCCCCACTCCCCCCACTCCCCCCACTCCCCCCACTCCAGGCTATAAGCGGGACCACCTGTCCTTCAGGTTCTGCGAGACGCTGCACCTAGTGGGCTGCTGCCAGCTGCCCACTGTCCGCACCCACTGCTGCCGCTCGTGCTCTCCGCCCAGCCACGGCGCCCGCTCCCGAGGCCATCAGCGGGTTGCCTGCCACTGACCGTGCCAGGATGCACAGACCGACCAACAGACCTCAGTGCCCACCATGGGCTGTGGCGGAGCTCCTGCCCCCTACGCCCTACGCCCTACGCCCTAATGGTGCTAACCCCCTCTCACTATCCAGCGGCAGGCTGGGGACCTCCTCCCCCCTCAAAAAAAGTATTTTTTTATTCTAACAGTTTGTGTAACATTTATTATGATTTTACATAAATGAGCATCTACCATTCCAAAGCACAGCATGACTTCATCTTGGATTTGGAGAATCTTAAAAGTGAGAAACTCTTCCCCCCACTCCTCTGCCCAAAACTCCACCGCCACAGCACCTCGGCAGGCGCGGCTTTTCACCTGCTCCTCTGGGGCAGATCTGCAGGGTACAGAGCAGCAAACAAGTCCGTGAGAGCATGGCGTCTGGTGAGGCACGGGCCTTGGAAGCTGGGGGGCTGCTGCCCAGGGAGGGCTATCTGCGGAGGGTCGGGTTCTGGGGGCAGGAAGGTCTTCCGGGCAGGGGCACAGCTTGGCCCTTACTTGCTGCCTGCCTCTAGCTCGGCTCCCAGCTTTCCCTGGGGCCCCACTCTGTGGTCCTCAGAGACCTGTTCCACAGGGATTGGGCCCACCTTGTCACTTGCAGGACTGCCCCTTGGAGTGATGGGGACTGGGGCCCCCAGGGGCACCTCCCTGGGCCTGTTGTATCTGTTGACTCTTCTGCAAAAAGTAGACAGAGAAGAGAGCAGGCTGGCCCGCTGTGCTCTACTGTGTCTGTCCCAGGACTCGGAAGGTAGGGAGGGAGCGTGGCCAGGGCGGCTGCCTGCAGGTGCGTGTCCTGCTGCTCCCCAACTCAACATGCTCACCTCATTTCACACCAACAAGCCCCATCCTCAGAGGAGGAGCCCAAGGCTCTGAGAGGAAGTAACTGGCCCAAGGGCACATGCCCTGGTGACACAGGCCCATCCTAGGCCCTGACTGCCCACCTCCAAGTTCCAGGCCACCCTGAGCAGGCCCCAGTGGCAGCTTTGCACAGAGAGGGCAGCCTGCCAGAGTTCACACAGGAAAGCAAGTTGCTGGGCAAGCTAGAGTGAGTCCCAGCCCCGCTGTGCTGCCCGAGGGTAGAGGAGCGTCAGGCGTGCTTCCTGTCTGTCTGCAGCAGCCCGGCTGGCCCAAAGAGACTCTAGGGACCCAAGCTCTGAGTCATGGCTTCCCAGGCCTTAGTCAGAACGGCCCCTGGTGGCACTCCCTTCCAAGGGGTGGGGAGCAGGGCCTGTCGACTTGCTCCTGACCCACACACGGAGCCAGTCCCTGTCCCAGCTCTGCCCCAGCTCTGCCGCCGCCGCTCTGCTGCGTGACTCCAGGAACCCCCAGCCTCGCTGAATCCATGTCCGCAGAAGAGAAAAGCCTGCCAGGCCTTGGCCTGCCCTGTCTGGGAATCCTTGCTGGAGCCACCCCGAAACACCCCTATGGGAACCCCTTTGGTCTTTATCATTCTTGGGTGTTTTCCACTGATGACTGCGGGTGTGCCCAGTGGCAGCTGGGCCTGAGCTGTCAGCCCAGGCAGGAGACAAACAAGCCTGTGACTCAGGCAGGGCATGGCACAGCTGGCGGAAGGAGGCATGCCTGTTCTTTGTGGCTGGGCGGGGGGTTATCCGGACACAGGGAGTCTCCAGCTTCCGGCTTTCCCACCTCGGTGCCCCCAGCCCACACCTGCAGCTTGGCCATGGTTCTTGGGGCCTCCCAAGGCTGCCCCTGCTGGCAAAGGCATCCTGATGCACCCGCCCCAGGGTGAGCCAAGGGCAGAGACACCCAGAAACGCCAGGCTGGAAGGTTGGAGAGCCCCTCCTCGCCCCCCGCAACACCAATAAGCCCTGCCCCACCCTCCAAGCCCTTGGGGTGAGCCCCATCACCAGTGACTATAACTGAATTTCAATGCAGAATATTATACAAATTAGTAGTTTATTTCTTCCTTTAGTATTACAGTTCCAAAACGTAACTTGAAGGTCAGCACAGGAGCTGCTGTGATATAAAAGGAGAGAGTCACCTGGCGCCCCCTGCAGTCCTCCAGTTGCCCAGCAGCAGTGGGACGTTCAGTGGCACACAGTGGGTCTCTGTATGGCCTCCCACCTGCAAGGACTTCCCCGGGCAGGCCCAGCTGCCCAGAAGCCCCGGAACACACAGGAAGACAACACTATAGGATGGCAGGTGGGGATCTGTGCAATACAAACATGTAGCTAGAAAACCCAACCGAGGATCTGTCTAGAATACTTCCGATATCAATATACCGTAGTTGAAACCAGAACCGTCTCCAGCTGTCAGCAGTCTTGGCGGCTACTGTACAGCTGTCAGCATGACTACAGGCAGCGCCCGAGGCTATCTGGGGTAAGAAGTGGGCCTGCACATCACATCGGTGAGTCAGTGAGAGTCAGGGCCAGAGGGAAAAGCAACTCGGAGGCTGAGGCTGGCACAGATACACACAAGGGAGTCACACACATAACATAATAACTTGTTATATAAAATAGATATGTGGAATCTAGAAACACCTTGAGAAAATAGCCTATAAAAATATAAACTGTAGTGAGAGTGTACAAAAGTATTAACAGAGGTTCAACCCATAAAAAACCCCATCCATTTAAAAGTTGGCAATTCCTAGCAGGTGTTGGGAGGGAGCTCCCCTCGGTCCTGGTGCGCACGTTTGGACAGGCCTTTGGGTTTCCCAGCTGGCAGGGTCCCCCTTGCAGGGGCCACGGGCTGGGTGTTGGGGTGAAGGTTCAGAGGAGGAACAGCAGCTTGGGGCAGCCCCTGTCAGAAGGGCCCCCTGCCATGGCAGCCAGTGGAGGCCAGGGACCTTCAGGGCACTGGAGGGGACAGAGCAGCTCTTTCCTCAGTGACCCGAGGGAGGGGAAGTGTTAGCGCAAAAGAGTGGGGCCCACAGTCCTGGAAGGAGGAGTTGGCTCCGTCCCGTTCCCAAACTTTAACCAGGCGGAGCCGCCCTCTCTTGCCTTCTGGACACGCATCACTTGATTCCAGGCAGGAGAACCTCTGAGAAAGTGTCCCCAGTCCCTTTCCTCCAGGAACTCTCCTGCTGTCGCACACACACACTGCCCGGCAGCTGCTGACAACTGCCTGGAAACACTAACATACCACCGTGGGTTGCAGCCACGACGGGCCCCTGGTCAGGTGCATCTCTCAGGGCAAACTGGACAACACGAGCCTGTCCCTAAAGGCAGCTCTTAGCCCCAGGACATGGCAGTGTGTGCTGGCATGTTCCAGGGGCCATTGGCTCGGAAAGTAAAACCTCAGGGCCCAGCCCCATTCCTGCTGCACCTCCTCAGCAGCCGCCCCCCAGGCTGACAGCTGTCGTTTCACGATGGGCTGAGGGGTGGGGGGGGTTCCAACACTTGATTCGAGCAGACTGCAACGCCCAGCTCACAGGACAACTGAAGGAGTCAGACCTCAAACTGCTGCTCTCAAAGACAAAGACAATGACAAAACCCATTTTTGATGCCTGAAAAGAGGCAAAGGCTTCTGGCTAAATATAGAGGCCAGCTCCGTCTACCCAGTGAAACATTAGTGGAGTTGGTTAAAGACACGAAGCCGGAGCTCACTCTAGCATGTGCTGAAACACCAACTTTGCCGTGGCATTGCCAAAAAGTTGACAGCAAAAAATAGGAAAAATACTTCTTAAAACTGCATTGCTTCAATTCTTAGTCTCAGTGTGTTCACAACAAAGGATGATTTCCAGTTTTTTTCGGGTAATATGAAACATTCCACTGAGATCATTTATCTTGTATTTTCATAACACTGTGCCAGAAAACATCCTCTCACATCTACGCATCAGGGATGGTCTAGAGCGATTAAGCAAAAACAAGCTCCTTGCTCAAAGCCTCTCCCCAGCCTTCAGAAAGGCAGTCCTCTGAGTTCCCAGAAACTGCTGTGTCAGAGGCAACAGTGCCCCTGCATCCTGGCAGAGAACAAGGATGTTCCAGGCAGTGGTGGGGTGGGCACACATCTGGGAGAGCTCACCCAAGCCTGCCCCAAGCAAAAAAGTTTCCCAGCCCCAGGCACTGGCAGCCGGCCTCCTGCACAACCCAGGCAGGTGGAGACACCAGGAGCACTGGCCATCCCCAAGGAGGCCATGGTTTTCAGCTGTCCAAGAGCGTTCACGCTGCGGCTGCACCACTGCCCTGCAAAGCACCCCCGAAAACATTCCTCCATCCCCTCAACCAAGGCCAGCCCAGGCGTGGGCCTGCTTTGCAATATGACGGTCCACTGTTTACTTGGAATCCCATCCCATCGTACTTGGTGAATGATTTCCACAAGTCAAGAAGGGCATTCCACAGAATCTCACAGAGCCATGCCTGGCACGGGGCAAGCTGGGGACAGAGCAGCCCAGTGATCTGCAAACACAGGCTGGCCATGAGAAGTGAGGGTGGGTGTCTGGGCAGCCAGGCCCTCCCCATGCAGGCTGGAAGACACTGATGGAAGGGTTGCGTGTGGAAGAGCAAAGGCTATTCTAGAAATGGGGCATGGCTGGCAGCTTAAAGCCACTGGTGGGAGGTTCACAGGCTTTCCTACAGTGGCCATTTCTGAACAAGGGATGTGCCTGCTTTTCTAAGGCAGCCCCTTTTCATACCAACCTTATGCCTGAGGCAGCAACCCTCTGGCCTACAGGTGCCTAAAGCACAGCTGGCATCCTTTATAGCACTGCCATTCAAAACCACACACCACTGCCCACTATGTACAGGAGAGAGAATATGGGGAGATGCCCAGCAAAGCAAGGTTTCAGAGGGTCAGAGCACCGACAGGCTGACGGAGGCTGGAAACAGGCTCTTGCAAATAGCCACTGGTAAGCCTGAGGATCCACCAACCAGGCAGAAAGCGTGACTGAGATACGTGTAACCAAAAGCATGGCACGGAAATGGTTGTAAACAGATTAGACCTCCCACCCCTGCCCCCCGCACAGTGGGAAATGAGGAAGGGCAGCCTGGCTTGGGACATCTGCCCAGCAGATCCCCAGAGGACACACACGTTACATTCTGGCTTTTAAGTGCACTTTCACCCTTTGGGCACACTTTGGTTGTGAAGGAAGGAAGAGCAGCATCCCGAGCCCACTCAGGTATCCTCCTCCTCGTCACTGACCAGCTCACCCTTGTCAGGGCTGGTGTCCCGCTCACGCAGGAAGTCCTCACGGATGGCCTCCAGCTCGGTCAGCTCCAGCCGGACTTTCTCCAAGTGGTAGGCGCGTCGGTTCCGGATCTGGCGTAGGGGGAAAGGGTTCAGGTCCCCAAAGGAGATACTGATCAGCTTCCTGGCAGGACGCAGGGGAGAGACAAGAGAATCAGCGGCGCTCCAGAGAGTGCTCACACACAGCCCTCACAGGCATAGCAGGTGGCCTGGGGCAGGGTGGGAAGAGCGCTGGCCAGGCTTGGGGCCTGATGTAGGGGATGAGGCCCACCTTCTGTAGAGAGGTGACAAAGCACAATGGCCCAGCCAGGGGCAGGCTCAGAATGACGACCTGGACTCCAGCTCTGCCACATGCTTGCTGTGTGACTGAAGTCACCCCCCTTTTCTGGCCTCTGATCTTCATCTGCACACTGGGGTAAGAGTAGTGCCACCTCCTAGGGTGTGGGATTACTCGTGTTCCCACACATAAGCCCTGAGAAGAGCTCCCGGCACTTGCATGGTGATGGCAGGTATGTCTTCATCCTTGGGCGGGCATGAGGCCTGGCACCGGGCACGAGTCCGGGACGTCTGTGTCCCAGGACTCATTGACTGGGAATGAACACAGGCCCAGGCAGTCCTGGCGATGACTGTCAGACCCAGTTGGCAATGTGACAAGTGTCCAGATGCAGTCTACAGAGAAATGTGCAGCTTGTGGGTTTCACATCCCCAGGTCAAGGCTCCAATTTTCAATAAAAATGTTAAGGTTATGATCCACTTGCTCCTAACCACTGGTCAGTGGCTTAATAAAAACAAGACCAAAAGCTGTCCTGAGGCCTGGCTATGGATTTGTAGCACTAATGGGTCAGCCACACTGGTCTCTGGGGATCACAAAATAGGCCAGTTCCTAGGGCCACCTTCTTCCCCTCTCTGGATTCTGCCAGGCCCCAAATGCTTTGTATCCACCAACATGGGCTCATGCGCTTCCCTGTCAACCAAAGGCCCAACAGACTCACCAGCCCCAGGAAAAGCTGTGATGAAACAGAAATGCCCCGAAGGACTTCCTGCCTGTCCCCATCAGAGCAGGCCATTTGCTCCTGCTGCCGTCGGCTGCGTGGGCTCCTTTTAACACAAGGCACACACGAGGGTGCAACCTTTTATGTTTCAAAACACCCACTACTACCTGGACATGCTTAACTCTCGTCCAGAGGCTTAAGGTCAGAAAGGCCAGCTTTATTTAAATTCTGAATTCCCCAGTGTGTGTTCTGGAACACGGGAGCACCAGAGAACAGAGAACGCCCAAGCACAGGGGTCCCCGCGTGTGGATTTCTCGGGTTCCGCCTCCTGCCTGGCTCTGCAGACCAGGCTGCCAGCCCCAGCAGGCGGGAGGAGGCTCCGTGTGAATGGGGCACAGGGTCCCCACCACCAGTCCTTTCTCCCCAACAGCTGTCAGCTCACAGCCCCCACAAACCCCAAACCTACGGCGCCCAACCCTCCTGTGCTGCAGAACACGAGCCCGAAGTATAATTCTTCATTTGTTCCTCAGTCAGGAGCTGACAGAGGCCCCTCGGCCCAGGCTGGCACCCGGGACGCCAGACCCCACCTCTGCCTCAGGCCTGGAAGGTTCCTCTGGGAAATGAGAAGGTGCCCCATGGTCAGCTAAATTTGGGAGACGATGCTCAGCGCCTTAAAAGGCTCCTAGAAGTCCTGCTGCAGAACATGGTTCAATCCTGTGTAACTCCCGTCTCCTGAATGCAGCTGACCACACAACTCCCTCCCTGTGTTTCTGAAGGCCGATCGCTGTGCTGCAGGACTGGCCTCCTTGCAACCACTAGTCTGGGGAGCTCATTAAAACACTGAGGCTCTAGCCCAGAGGCGGATTATGGGCCCTTGCAGTCTTGATAACAGCGGGGAGCCTGCCGCCGCCTTGGCACTCCTTAAAGCACCTGTTGGTGTGGCGACCCTGCTTTCTAAAGCAAGCTGCAGGGGAGACCGTACCGCGAGCCACTCAGAAGGAGGCGCTGCAGGACCATGCAAGGCCCAGCAGTGTGGGAGGGGCCAGGTTGGCCTGCGGTGCCAGGGAAGGGCGGGCACTCACCAGAGCCACGCCCACTCACCTCCGCTCCTCCTGGCAGCGCCTGGGACCCAGTACAGAACTGAGGGCAGCGGCGCTCCCAACACAGCCCTAGCTGTTGGCATGGGCGAGCTCACTCCCTGTCACTCTCGGCAATCCTGACCCAACACGAGATGAACAGAAACCCTCCAGGCTCACCGCAGGACTCAGAATCAAACTTTCCCCAGCAAATATGATTCCCATATCCCTCCTCATTTGGCAGAAATCAGGGCACTGTTGTTGGTGCTATTAGTAAGCCTGAAACTATTACAAACCCACTCCCCAATAAAAGACTCTAAAAATAGCGACGACCTCCAGGAAGCCTGGCATGGCCTCAGCCAGCACCTCAGCTCCCATTGTCCAAATCGGCTCTCAGGGTCAGAGCAGCCAACAGCTGCAGTCCAGGGGACATACAGACGAGGATGGCCCAGAACAGGCAATGACTGTGTGGTCAGGGAGGGTTCCCGAACACCTGGCCTCCCAGGCCAGAAACTCAGGGGTCCTCCAAGTCAAATTCCTCCCTCCCTCTCTTCAATCTACCCCCCTTCTCCATCTGTGGGACCACCTACCTCCAGGCCACCACCTCTCCCCCTAGAGCCCTCTAACAGCCACCAGTCCTGCCCCAATCTGACCTGTCTGTCTCTTGCCTAACCCTGCAGGACTTCCCAGCACTCAGGATGAAGCCTCAAGTCCTGAGAGAAGTCTGCAATCACCCTGACAGCCCAGCTCTGCTATGGCCCAGCCACACTGGCACCAGCCGGGCTGAGCTGCCTCCACACTTCCCCAAACACACGTGCCCCACAGCTCTGCGCCACCACTCCTGAAGGACCCCCTGTCCCCATACTGTTTCCTTGCTGCCCCTTGCCCAGCTTATTTGGCCTTTCTCCGGCCTGGGATCCCTCTACCACAGCATGGATCAAACGATGCGCAACAGTGTCCCCAGCAAGGTCTTCCAGGACAGGCCTTACTCTCCATCTGTCATCCTCAGTGCCCAGCACAGACCCTACCACAAAGCAGGTACTCAGTAAATGCTTTCTAGACAAATGAAACTATTGCTGTTCGTTGTTGGGATTTATGTTTGTAGGATAAAGGACAGAATCCTCATCTCAGTTCCTCCTAGGTAAGGCTACTTGGGGCTCACACCCCTTGCTCTCTTTTCCCTGGAAAGCAATGCCCTCTCCAACACTGTACACCGGGGATGGCTCTGAGTTGGAAGACAGCAAGGACAGGCTGCTCTCAAGGAGGCAGGGGTCAGGCTTCCTGCTCTCCTTGACATCTGAGAACTCCCCAGGACTCACCTAGCATCAAGGATAGTGCGAGTGAAGTAGCGGAGATACTTAAATATAGACATCGAATCTTGCAATTTCAAAATCTCCTCTTCCTTGTACTTAAAAAGTGCCAGAGCAAAACGGAAAATAACCTGTGGAATAAACAGGGAAATCTGTTAGTGGAAAAACCCTGTGGGTCCAGGCACAAGGCTGGACTCCAGGGGGGTGCTGGCCCTACTGGGGACAGGGGGACATGGCTTGCACGGTCCCCGCCCTGGGGAAAGACTATTGACCTGAGGGGCAATTTTCACTGGCTAGGCCAAGACTCCTTTATTACAGGAAAATAAACCCTGCTGGTTTTCAACAACACATCAGCCCAAACCAAAAATCTCCTTATAGGAGATCTTTGTGGAATCCTTTCATACTCAGAAAACACTTCTAGTCAATAAAGCATAAAGAACAAACATAAGGAATCATTTTAAAATAAAACCAAAATCAAGGTTTTCTGATTCTGAAACTCTTAGAAAGTCCCACCTACAGAGGCTGTTTCCATCTCAACTGGTGCACTTTTGAAGATAGCGAAGGAGTTTTTTTTAAATTTTATTTTTATTTTTGAGATACAGTCTTGCTCTGCCACCCAGGCTGGAATGCAGCAGTGCAATCTTGGCTCACTGCAACCTCTGCCTCCCAGGTTCAAGTGATTCTCCTGCCTCAGCCTCCTGAGTAGCTGGGACTACAGGCGCCCGCCACCACACCCAGCTATTTGTGTATTTTGAGTACAGATGGGGTTTCACCATGTTAGCCACGATGGTCTCCATCTCCTGACCTCATGATCCACCCACCTCGGCCTCCCAAAGTGCTAGGATTACAAGTGTCAGCCACTGTGCCTGGCCTTTCTTTTTTTTTTTTTTAATTTGTGTTTGGGGTACATTAGAGGTTAGAGGGAATGGACTCCTGGTAGTCTTGCAAGTTCAAGCAGCTTTGGAACAAACTGCTTTCCCCATATCTAAGGGCCTGTACTTTCTCTAATTTAGTTTGTTTTCTGGGTCTTGCTGTGTTGCCCAGGCTATATTTTAACTCCTCAGCTCAAATGATCCTCCTACCTCAGCCTCCCAAGTAGCTGAGACAATTGGCACATGCCACTGTGCCCGGCTAAGGTAAAGAATAAATTGAGAAGAGTAACTAGAAGACTAGGGAGGGGCCTCCACTCCATTACAAACACCTGTTTATACAATTAGGGTTTAATATGTAAATATATTCCTTATTCAAAAACTGATTTTTAAAAAACATACAACAGAGCGGGTGGGAGGCTCATGGGCAGTAAGGCTCTGAAGTTGGCTCCCCCAAGTTAGTCCCCCTCATTAGCCCCCCTAATCCCCTGCTTATTAGATCTCTGGGCCTCCATCTCCTCCTCCATATGATGGGGTAACACCACCAGCCATTTGACAGATGGTGAGGCTCAGGCTCAAACTGTAAGCCATAGCTCCCAGCGCCTATCACAGGGCTTGATGTGGGTTGAATGTTTCTGATACATGAACAAATGACTGTGGTTTCCTGATACCCTGGACCCAGATCTAGTGCAGGCCGTGCTGAGATCCCTTGGGCACCATGGTAACCCTCATAAGTTCCAGGTGAGCCAGCCGCTCTACCGCCACCAACGCTGCTGACGGTTGTCAAGTGTGTATATCTGAAAATAGCTGAGCTGAGCTAACTCACCTTTGGTCCTTCATAAAGGAAAGAGTCCCATATTTTAAAGAGGATGTCACTAACGACACTATCCACAAATACCACCAGAAACCAGTTGAAAGTGATGAGAGTGTAGTCGACTTTGTACTGTTCAAAGTGGCCATGCAACCGAGGCAGCTTCTCACTCATAAGGTCTCTGAACACCCGCTGGTCCACCTGGAGAGGGAACAAAGGGGAGAAGTGTATCAGGCCTGCCAGGTCACCGGGTAAGCAGACGAGCAGACGCGCAACCTGAGAGCCTGGGGGTGGAGCCCAAGTGACAGCAGCACAACTGTTCCAAATGCACCGTGGGGCCCATCACGGAGCCAGACTACTATGTTCCAGCAGCGCTGACCTCGTGCACTGCAGGTACACACCGAGTGTCCGCTGAACAGCATGCTTTCCACAGGGCATGGGAGTAGGGGAGTCTGTAACCTGAAACCAACTCCTGCACTCAAAATGCCCTGGGAAATAGGCCACTGCAAGCAGCAGGTAGGACAGTCAGCCTTGCCAATCCACAAGTAAATACGTGAGATGTTGACACAAAGGGCCACAAACTAGAATCCTGGGCAGATGGGGATTCTGCTTCCAAAAAGGAAGCAGCATCACCACATCCATTCAACAAACATTTGCTGGGCTGCATGTGCAGTGGGGGTGGCGAGGACTCCGGCGTCACATGAACCTGAGTCTGAATCTCAGCTCTACCACTTACTAGCTGGGTGGCTTTTAGCAAATTATGCTCTAAACGGCTCTGTGCCTCATCTGGAAAATAGTTAATTACCTCTCTCTTACTGGACTACTGTGAGGATTAAATGAGGCTTATATAAACTACCTGCGCACGACAGACGAGCAATACCTGGTTACTGCCACTCTGTGTCAGGCACGGGGCCAGTGCTGGGCAGAGCGTTGAATAAAGTTCAACCCTGACCTCAAGGAGTTAAAAGATGAGAAGGGAAGGCCAGACACGTGGACCATCCTAACCATGGCCAGGCCCTGGTAACGATGTGTTCATACAGCCCTGTGGAACCATGGACAGGTCCCCGCCAAGCACTGAGGAGAAACCGCTCCTACAGCTAGAGCTCAGGCTTCCAGGCAGGAGGGCTGGGAGGTGAGGCAGCACAGCCAGGCAGAAGCTGGCCACAGACACCCCTGCGTCACACTGAGGAGTCAAGACGCTATCCTGTCAGCCAGGGGCTTTCCTAGCCAGGGGCTTTCCTCACAAAAAAACATGCATCTTCAACCATCACCCACTCCACGTGAACCGGTATGCACGTGTACAAAACAGAAACAAATGTTTCACAAAACAATACTTAATCTCACACAGTGGACTACACTTTGATGCTTTTAATTCTAATCAATTGGACAATTGGATTTTATGGGAAAAAAATAAAAATAAAAACCTAGTACCAACCTACTAAACCAATTTCTCTATCCATAGTGTAAAAAACAACTATAGTCATCCCTTGGTGTATACACAAAAAGCTGGCCCTCCGTATAAGAGGGTTTCACATCCTGTGAATACTGTATTTTCAATCTGTGTGTAGTTGAAAAAATCCACATGTAAGTGGACCCATGCAGTTCAAACCCACGTTGTTCAAGGGTTAACTGTACATATTTTCCTATACTTCATGCCCAGCCAGGAGCTGCCTTTCAGGAGCTGTAAAGTGGCAAGGGAGATGGACGGCTCACTGTAAGACCAGCTAATGATGATGTAATTCATTCAGCCTGGAGTATCCAGCTGCAGACGTCCAAGAGGGAGGGGCATATCAGCTGGCCCTGACATGGGAGAAGATCCTTGTACACATCTCTTCTCCCAACTAGGAGGCAGACTGTGCCTCACTCTTAAGGCTGCTCGGGTGCTTGGCGGAGGGCTGGTGTGGAGCAGGCTGCCAGGAAACGCTTGCTCTGGCCTCTGTTCAAGCTCCCTCCTCCACTGAGCTCTGGAGGACATGGAATGACTGTGTCATTCATCTCTGTGTCCTCAGCACCTAGCAAGGTCCTGGCACAGAACATGCACTCAAAGCATGGAATGAATGGAAAAGCTGACAAGCATGTGGACTGCAGTAGCAGTGGGCACGGGGCTCGGGCACTTGGTTCTGGCAGGAGGCAGTTTGACAGTGATTGGCAAAGCCCAGTGCTCAGGGTTGACAGCACACTCAAAGCTATCCGCATTTTAAGAGCCACCTTACGCAATGGCCATCGATAAGTGGGAGGATAATTAAACACATTCTAGCACCCACCTGATGGAATATTAGGCCACCAAATAGGATGGGTACACAGTATAAAATGACATGGGAAAATGCTCATGCTATAATGTGAACAAGCCAGGATACACTGTGCTCTCAATTTGGATACCTATGTGAACTAGGGGGAGAAAAGCAAAAGGAAATACATCAAAATGCTAACCACGGTTCTCCAGTTGGTAGAATAACAGGCAATTTTCATTTTCTTCTTAACATCTTTCTATACTGCCTGACTTCTGTTTAGTGATCATCTATTACTTGTATAGTCAGGGGGGAAAAAGTCTCCTTAGATTTTACATTTATGTTTATGTGACAATGTGATGCAAATTTTATCTTAAATCCAGACATTTAAAATAGGTCTTCCCCTATAACAATACTACCAACTTTTATTGAGTTTTTACAATGTTCTAAGCATTACATTCAACTTTTTTTAATGCATCATCTCAATTCAACCTCAAAAGTCTATGTGAGGGGGGTATTACTCTCATCTTACATATGGGGAAACTGAGGCACAGAGATGTTAAATGATGTGTCCAAGCTCCACAGCTCACAGGAGGTAGGGCCTGGGTTGTGATCTACTACATGTGACCCTCCCCCCAAGTTCCTAACCAATGTGCTTGACCACACCTCAATGGAATTAAGAAAGATCAATGCTTCATTTTTCTTATTCTGAAACATTGAGTCATTTGATATTTTAAATTTGAGTCTTTGAAAGCTATTAGCTTTCAGGTGCCCATGAACACACAAAACTTTCTTTACTGACCCTCTAATCCCACCCGACTGACTGCTGCCTCTTCCTGTTGCTGTTCATTTCCTACACACCAACGCAACAGAACAATACATTTCTTGGGTAATTAGCAAGTGAAGCAATCACAGGGAGACCAGATGAGCTTCTCCTGGGATCCACTGACATCTGAGAAACTGGGACAGGGACCTGAAGGGGGCAGCTGTGGCGAAAGCCCACCCTCTGGGAAGGTGAGAGCTCCAGCTCTCTTGCCATCCTCCTGTGATGTTCTAGGAGGCCGTGGGCACAGACAGGCAAGTTTAGGCCCAGAGTTGCAGAGGCCTGAGTTCAAACCCCAGCTCAGCCCCTCATCGGTGGCACCTCAGGCAAATTGCTTATTAGTGTCTTCGGCTCCCAGTTTTCTCCCAAGTCAAATAGGGATACTGATGGCTCAAGCGTGCAGGCTCTGTGCAGTTGTACAGCTGCTGGCACGGGGCCAGGGCTCAGTAAATGCCAACTCTCTTTCCCTGGTCAAAGAGTAGCTCATGTAAGTTCAAACATTTACTGTGTGGGGTGCCAGGCATACAGGAAAAGGAAAAAGAAAGAAAAAGGAAAGACAGGGCCGTGGCCCTCAGGTACCACTGACTAGCTGGAGGACAAGCAGGCACACAAGGATGATCCAATCAGGTGGCCACTGTCCTGGAGGCCTGCACCCGAGCAGCGGGAACAGCAGCAGGGGCCCGTGCCTGCCTTGGGGCGGGAAGGACCACTCACAAAGGAGATGGCCTGTGTGCTAAGGCTGCACAGGAGCTTCCCAGGGAGATGAGCGATGGGATGTTGTTCCAGTAGAGGGATTATGTAGGAGAGTACCCAGAGGATGGGCATGCCCAGAGAACACACGCCCCATCAGCGGGCAGGAAGGAGGGCCCTGGCAGCGTTCGAAGGCATCTTTACCCTGAGGAGCCCCAGACAACAGCAGCAGAGGGATGAGACTGAATACCTGAGTGAGACAGAGGTTAAACTGGAGCTGTGGGTGAGTGGCAGCAGGAAGAAAGGAGAGAGGCAACTGCAGTGATGGAGACAGGCCGGTGGCCCCACTGTGGTGAAAGGGACAAAAAGGGGACACAGATGTAAGCTTCCAGGCAGGCGGCAGCACTAGAAATGGTGACGACAGGGATACAGGGGAAGGAGGCAGGAGTCCAGGATGGCTTGAGTTTCCAGCCTGGGGAGCTAGAGATGTGAGGAGCACAGGCGGGAACAGGAGGCAATAATGAGGACCCTCCCTCCAAAGGCAGAAATGCGAATGCAAAGAACACTTGCTCAGGGTCCAGCCAGGAAAACAGAAATCCCTCTAAATATGTGTCACAGAGTGAATGTCATCCAGGGGCTGGCCACACTGGTGAGAGAAAAGCTGAGAAGCCAAACAGCTGACAGTGAGGCAGCCCAGAGTTATAGCAAGGGCAGAAAGCCACCCTGCAGGGGAGCAATGAAGGGAGCCGGTGGGGTCAGCTGTTGGCACAGAGGACCCACCGGACAGGAGCTGGGCACAGAGGAGACAAAGCCACCTTCAGAGGCAGTGCCCGAGATGGGGAGAGGGAAAACCCCTTCAGTCCCTCCTGTCACCCTTCAGTCTCCTGCCAGCACCTCCCGCTGGCCTGCAGGGCCAGGCCTTGCAACACCAAGTGGTGCAGGAGAAGGGCAAGGAGAGGCTGTGAGCAGGCAGGCCAGGCGGGGGCACAGACCTGGAGAAGAGACACGAGACAGGGCAGGCACACACGGGGACAGCTGTGGCTAAGAGAGAAGCTGCCTGAGTCTGGGCCACATGCGAAGGGCCGGCTTACGGGGAAGCCAGTGCTGGCAGCAGCCCCAGCCCAGCCTAGGGATGATTCAAGGGCCAAGGATCTGGTCCAGGGCCAGGACTGTCCCAAGCAAAGGCAGAAACACTGGGCTCTCCCAGCCCTTATCACTCTGCCCTGGCCCCTGGCGTCAGACTCCAGGTGTGGATGGCATGAAATGCGCCACTCAGACTCCCACTGCAGGAGGTGACTGCAGGCCCCACTGCTGCCCCTCTGGTGCATCACCACGTTCATTCCCAGCAGCAGGGCATGGGTGCGGCAGCGGCAGGAATGCAGCCCATCTGTGGAGGCAGGTGCCTTGGTCACTGCCCTTGGCTTGAGGGCTCCCCACTGGCCCTGCCCAGACTTCCTCAGGACTGCATGGTGGTCACTGCACAGGGTCTGGGACTCTCCTCCCCATCCTCCTCCCTTCCTGGGGCTGGAACTTCTCTGTCCCTTGTCCTCCACAGGGGCTTCCCCCCGCCGAAGTCTCTGGTTTGTCTCATTCCAGCCTGACATTGCTTCTTGAGAGCCTGAGCTAACACACCAGTCACCCAAGCACACCTGGATTATGACTCAGCCCACTGGTAGGCCTGTGTCCGGGGAAGACAGTGCAGAGCAGTGAACACAATGTTAGGCCTGCAGGACGGGTCTGTCTCTGCTGGTTCGCAGGGGGCTGAATGAGCCCAACTCGGCCTCAGTCACAAACAGCAGGCCATGACTGGGGACAGCCTCTGAGATGTGGCCTGCTGTCTTCAGGAATCAGTCTCTGAAGTCACATACACAAAGCAACCCCTCACCCTGACCGCAGGTTTAATTCAGGTCACATTTCAGCTGCAATTCTAAAAGTGGTGACTAAAACACAGAATTTTCAGAACTACCTGGGATCCTAAAAGAGTCTTTGTATAATAGTCTCGAGGCATGAAAACTTCCACTATGGTAACGAGACACCAGAAAGCATCTTCTTGTTCCAGGTACAGGAGGGCCACTGCCACCAACCTACAAGCAAAGGGAGGACAAGATGAGAGCCCAGGCACAGACAGCTGCTACTACAGTCTCCACAGAGACCATCTGCTTTAAGCCACTTTTTCTCTCATGGCCAAAATTATTTCTAGTTCTCCAATAAAGAATAATAAGGACCTGGCTTAATGGCTCACGCCTATTATACTAGCACTCTGGGAGGCCAAGACAGGAAGATCACTTGAGGCTAGGAGTTTAAGACCAGCCTGGGCAACATAGCAAGACTCCATCTCTAAAAAAACAAAAAACCAAAAATCAGCCAGGAGTAGCGACGCACACCTGTAGTCCTAGCTACCCAGTAGGCTGAGGCAGGAGGATCACTTGAGCCCAGGAGGTGGAGGCTACAGTGAATGATAATCGCACTACTGCACTCCAGCCTGTGCAACAGAACAAGACCTTGTCTCATTAAAAAAAAAAAAGGAGGGGGTGCATTTCCTAAAATTTGAGAAGCAAAGCTACTTTTCCCCACTTTCATTTGGTTTTTGTTCAAAGATGAAATTGTTTCCCAATGATCAGCCAGCCTCATTAAAAAAAAGTTTTCATTATAAGATTTTTGCGGCTGGGCGCAATGGCTCACGCCTGTAATCCCAGCACTTTGGGAGGCCGAGGCGGGCAGATCACGAGGTCAGGAGATTGAGACCATCCTGGCTGACACGGTGAAACCCTGTCTCTACTAAAGATACAAAAAAATTAGCCAGGCGCGGTGGCGGGCGCCTGTAGTCCAAGCTACCTGGGAGGCTGAGGCAGGAGAATGGCGTGAACCCGGGAGGCAGAGCTTGCAGTGAGCCGAGATAGCTCCACTGCACTCCGGCCTGGGCGAGAGAGCCAGACTCCGTCTCAAAAAAAAAAAAAAAAAAAGATTTTTGCAAATGCAGCTGATTCTTTGAGTTCATCAAGAAGTTCCAAATAACCCTTTTATGCACAAAAATTCCAGATGTGAATGTAAGTAACAAAGAATACAGAATGGTTTAAAACAGCTTTCCCAACACCATCCTGCTTCCAGGCTGAAGGAATAAAATGGGCTGCAGATGAGGGCACCCCAAAGGAGCTAACAGCGCTGTGCCCACTGCATGCACAGCAGGGGAAGAGGACCATGTGTCTCACTTGCTTTGTTGTTCATAACGGAAACTGGGGTCAGCTATTTACATGCTGTCACTAATCAATAGCCCTGGTATGGCTCCAAGCGGGAATCTGGAGCAGCAGGATGGAAAGGAAGAGGTGAGAGAAAGGCCTCCCTCTACTCAGCTGAAATCCAAAACTTCTGCCCATCACACGAAGCTTATAAGCAACACTCATGGGAAAATCCCTGAAGCCATTTCTCAGAATATTTTTCTTAGATAAAACTATAATGAACTCATCTCAAATTAAATGGAAAAAAAGTCCAGGAAGGGGATGTCTCAAGTATGCAGGGATGGGATGGAAAGGAGAATGGTGACCACTGGCAGAGACAGAGGAGAGAAAAACAAGACACGCAAGCAGAGACACCAAATTGAGAGACAGGACTCGATGGCGCCAGGAGAAGGGGTAGAGAGTCTGAAAGCGACAGAGCCTTTGAGGACATCACTTAAATTCACCAATATTCCAGATGACAGGTCTGAATCACCATCATCTAGACAAGGCTACAGTTGTCCTTCTAAAGTTCTGGGTGCTCAGAAGCCATGAACATGTACCAAATACTGTGAAGAAAAAAATCCCAAAGAATTACAATTCAGAGGTTTTAACGGTGGTGAGGGCGGAAGTGTAGACAGAAAGCTTCAATTATCTGGAAGTGTCATTTATGTAGGAAAAAACTGATTCCATGACAATGCCAGATAAATGGAGCATTACTGTACCCCAAACAGGCATACTCAAGTCCTCACCAGGACCCTGAGTTTCACGGGTTTCCAGCTTCCAGGAATTTTTAGATTGAGTATGCAATGTGAATGGTGGCTTTAAGCAAAACAAAACTGCTTTATTAGGCAGGATCCTACTTACAGGCTTTTTAAAAGTGGAGACTGTCTAGGAGTAGCTATAGTCCCTTTCACCTTCTGAGGGCACATAGAGAGGCTGCCCTATCCTCACCACCACAGAGACAATGACTTACTGAAAACCATTTGGTTTCAGGTCTTAACCAAATAACATTCCAGCTTAAAATCCTTTCTTCCTGCAGTACTCTCATTTCAGACACAAATAGAAAACCCTTACCTGGAGGTCAATACCTGGCATGGAGCAGGAGCAAAAAAGGCCTGTGGGCAGCCATAACAAACGTCAGCACTCAGAACTCCAGCTCATGCATGGCTTACAGAATTCCTAAGGTACACATGCAGAACTTTTTCATTCTTACTTTATCCATATCTTTTTTTTTTTTTTTTTTGAGACAGGGTCTCACTGTGTTGCCCAGGCTGGAGTGTAGTGGTGTGATCACAGCTCACCGCAGCCTCAACCTCCTGGGCTCAAGCGATCCTCCCACCTCAACCTCCCAAGTAGCTGGGATTAGAGGCACATGCCACCATGCCCAGCTAATTTTTTGGTTTTTTTTTTTTTTTTTTTTTTAGACAGAGTCTCGCTCTGTTGTTCAGGCTGGAGTGCAGTGGTGCAATGCTGGCTCACTGCAACATCTGCCTCCCGGGTTCAAGTGATTCTCTTACCTCAGCCTCCCGAGTAGCTGGGATTACAGGCATGTGCCACCGTCTGGCAAATTTTTGTATTTTTAGTAGAGACAGGGTCTCACCATATTGGCCAGGCTGGTCTTGAACTCCTGACCTCAGGTGATCCGCCTGCCTCGACCTCCCAAAGTGCCAGGATTACAGGTGTGACCCACCGCACACAGCCAATTTTTTTGTAGGGACGGGGTTTCACCATGTTGCCCAGGCTGGTTTCAAACTCCCGGGCTCAAGCGATCCTTCCACCTTGGCCTCCCAAAGTGTTGGGATTACAGGTGTGAGCCACTGCACTGGACCTTTATCCATATTTTTAACAAGCCTGCTTACCTACTTTCATTACACAGAAATATAAATGGACAACTGCAAGGACAGCAGTAAGCAGAAAGCGCGCCAGCCAGGTAAGAAGCAGTCACAGCAAAGTCCAGTGACAGGAAGAGCTTTGTGGGGAGCAAACCTCAGTCCTCCTGAGGTCTTGTCCCATCCCTGCACAGCTCAGGAGGATGAGCCTACATCACCCAGAAAACATGAGAGGCTTTTCGGCATCCTCTGCCTATGGAAGTAGGGAAGTAGGCAAGACCTGTTAAAAGTTCTAGTTTAAAAGGAAACAAGTTTAAGTCCATGAAGGGCTAAGTTTCAGTCAGCTGAATAATTGTTTGGGGCAACCTCTTGATTCACAAAAAGATCCTGTATACTGCATAAACAACGGGTGACCACCAATTTCCACTCCATGCATTACAAACTAATAAAATCAAACTTCTGATCAAAACCCGAGTGCGATGAGAACAAACAGGAAAAAATGAGACTCCAAGTAGTTTCAAATGAATTTAACTCTTGTGTTCTTAATACTTTCTAAAAGCATGCTTTTTCTCTCAGTTCTTCTAGAACTGGGGATATTGTGTAATGAAAACTGGCTTGCTGCAACTACTTTTTTCTCTTAAAATATTGACTTTTCTTGGCCAACCAGGAAGGGAGGGAGCTGCCAGGCAGCACCGGTGCCTACAAGTTGCCTAATGGCAAATGGGAACATTTTGTGCTGTGCACCCACCTGTTTAGGCCTTGACAGTAGCCGATATCTGGATTCCGCCAGGAGAAGGCGAGGAGGACATTGCGTAACTTCTGTATGCCTTCTGAGGTGGGGCAGGAGTAATGTTTGTTGTTGGGCAGAGTTCGCAGCAAGTCCAGCTCAATCTGCTTGGAGGCTGGGTTCTGTTTCTCCAGCGCCTTCTGCAGCAAGGTCTGGAAGTGGCCAGGCTCAGTGTTGTCCTTGAACTTCCTGGTGTGACGGTCCACACACCACTTCCACACCTTGGAACGGTGCTCGTGGGGAATGCCCGCACGGATGAGGTTTTTTAACTCTGGAGAGCACATCATCTCCCTGTTCACTGTACTTGCAAAATAGTTTTCCCACTTGACCCCAGTGGAGACTTCCTGGTTTTCTGTGAGGTAGAGAGTCTTCAGATCCAACGCGCGGACCTTGGCAACCAATTTCTCTTCCTCATCATCCTCAGGTACAGTCCTGAACCCATAAATATCATATTCACTGTTGATAAAAACAAAAGGAAAAATTAAAATGACAAAGTTTTAGCAACAAAGACCAATGCAACAGAAATAGAGAGTCTAGAAACCAAATCAGGCACACGTGGTACTTTGAACTATGAGAAGCATTTCAAATCAGTGAGGATATAATCGACTTCTCAGTATATAAAGCTAGGAGGACTGGCTATCTATATGCAAAAATTAAATTAGATATCTACTTGACACTATACAGGGAAAAAAAACAATCCCAAACAGTTTAACACTGAAAATATGAAACGCATGGAAGAAAACGCAGGCAACAGCACAAAAACAAGATTGATAAATTTGGCTACATTAATATATGTGTATGTTTCTTTATCATATATATACACTACATATGTATAACTTTATGCTTAAAAATATCATTTTAAAAGATTAAAAAAAAACAAAGAATGTATTTATAAGCTATTAGGGATAAGGATGTTCACGTCCCAGTTATTGGAACCTGTGGCTGTTTTACATTACATGGCAATAGGAATGTTGTTAATGGAACGTTAATGCAGTTAAGACTACAGAACTTAAAACAAGGAGATTATTTGGGATATCTGGGTGGGCCCAAATATCCTCATGAGCCCTTCAAAGTGGAAGAGTCAGTCAGAGAAATGTCAGGCAGGAGAGACGGGAGGTGTGAGAGGGGCTGGACCTGCTGCTGCTGCCCCGAAGATGGGAAAAGGGGCCACAGGCCAAAGAATGCAGGGGGCTCTAGAAGACGCCAACCACAGCTGACAGCCAGCAAGGAAATAGCGACCTAGTCCTACGAATGACTGCAAGGAACTATATTCCACCAACAACTTAAATTATCCCAGAACCTTCAGAAAAAAATGCAGCCCTTAATTAAACTTGGATTTTAATCCAATGAGACCCATGTTGGGCTACTGACCTACAGAACTATTAAGTGACAAATTTGTGTTGTTTTAAGCCACTATGTTTATGATAATTTGTTGTACCAGTAAAAGAAAACTACTACAAAGGCCTTTCACACACTGCTGCTGAGCGTAAACTTACTCAAGCACTTTGGAAATCAGATCTAGCAAGCAGAGTTAAAGGTATGTATTTTCTATACACTAGGAATTCCACTTCCAGTCTGCACCCTAGAGAAACTCTCTCACGTGGGCACATGGGAATATGGACCATGATGGTCCTTGCATCACTGTAACAAGGAAAAATGGAAAGAACCTAAATGTCCTCCATGAGGGGAAGGAATAAAGACACCATGGTAGATTCATACAATGATGTTCTACAAAGAAGGTAAACATGCTCAGTCGTGTGCATTTGTAGTACCAGCTATTTGGGAGGCTGATGTAGGAGAACTGCTTGAGCCCACCAGGAGGTCGAGGCCAGCCAGGGCAACAGACTGAGAGACCTCATCTCTTAAAAAAAATAGCTCAGGAGTAACTTGTATCAACCTGGATAATTTCAGAAAATAATGTTGAAGGAAATAAGTTCAAAATGATATGTATCTGGGATTAGTATGTAAAAAGGTATCATCAGTCAGAAATACACACTGAAGTATTTTACAGGTGGAATGACGTGACGTCTGGCATTTGCTTTAAAATATTCCAGAAAAGGCTGGGTGCGGTGGCTGACACCGGTAATCCCAGCACTTTGGGAGGCCGAGGCAGGCAGATCACAAGGTCAGGAGATCGAGACCATCCTGGCTAACACGGTGAAACCCTGTCTCTGCTAAAAATACAAAAAATTAGCCGGGCGTGGTGGTGGGCGCCTGTAGTCCCAGCCACTCAGGAGGCTGAGGCAGGAGAATGGCGTGAACCCGGGAGGCGGAGCTTGCAGTGAGCTAAGATTGTGCCACTGTACTCCAGCCTGGGCAACAGCGCGAGACTCTGTCTCAAAAAAACAAAATAAAACAAAACAAAACAATAAAATAAAATAAAATATTCCAGAAAAAAACTGTGGGGAGTGAGGAGGTAAAATGAAACTATATTGGCAAAACATTAACAATTGCTCAAGTTAGTTGCACACAGGGGTATATGTTACATAATTCTGTCTACTTCTTTGTATGTTTTAAATTTTCCATAAGAAAAAGTTGAAAATAAACCAATATATATGGTTATTTCACTTATATATAAAATTTGAACACACAATATAAATAGTAAGAGCACAAAACGCTTTTGCATGGGAAGAACACACAGCACGTTTAGAAGCGCTCCAAGAGCTCACAGAAGTTAACAGCCACCACGATGAGCAAAGCAGCAATGCCCAGCGTACTGGTGGAGCTACTGCACCTGGGAACCCGACTATCCAGGCTGAGGGCCTGTCCTCACCACTCACAGGCTGGGTGACTCTGGGCAAGTTATATCACTTCCATACTCCGCTTCTTCACTTGTAAAGTGAGGATAAAAACACTCACCTCACTGAACATTAAGTACAACTCTGCACATAAAACCCTTAGCACAGCTCCTGGCACATGGCAAACATCCATAAAAGTGTTTAGTAAAGATGGTGTTGGGTACTTTCTGAGCATATTTCTGTCATCTGAGTAGCCCAAACAATGCAGGCTGGTGCTGTAAGCTCAGAGAAGGGAAAGGTCATGTCAAACTGAAGCAAGGCTTCACCTGGGCCTACAGGGGTGGGGCAGGAGAAGCAAGGAGACTGCAGTAAGCAAGGCCTAGACACAGGGCTGGTCCTGAGTCGTGGAAACAAGAGGCTGAACTGCGTGAATCTGTAGATTTCTCCTGGTTCAAGTATTTCATGAGTCTCATATTTTTTAGAAGACAGGTTATGAGAGGGTTCTTAATCCAAGATCCATCATTGGCTTCCAGATTTAGTGCTTTCCCCAAAAATATATGGGGGGTGTGTGTGTGTGTAAGCTCAGTTCCCCACTTAAGGGTCCCTTTGTTTTGAACCACCTGTGGGTAGGGCTATGTTTTAGGAGAAGGTTCCTATTCCTTGGAAGACTGGCTCCTCCTGAAGTAAGGAAGGATCAGAAGGAAGGCTCCCTTACTTACACGAAAAATAGGTCTTGCAATCAGAAGACCTGTGGTAAGTCCCCGCTCTATGACTTGATTACTAGGGGAGAATGAAGACATTACCGTTCTGCTGACCTGACAGCATTTGTCATGAGCACCAAATGAGACACACAGTTGTGTACGGCTCTCTGCGAATGGTTCCTGCTGTTGAAAAAGGGACTTCAGAAATGGGGTGCACTACCCTCAACAGTCACTAGCACATTTACCTGACAAGATGAGGTTTAACAAATGCTTGCTCCGGCTGCTCTTGGCTCTCAACCTGCAGAGCATCCTCCAGCAACTGGGCTATGACCTCCCGGGTGGGCCCCTGGTCTTCTGAGCACACTGGTGTCTTCATTTCTTGGAGCAATATCAGGTATTTACTTTCTATCTGGCAGAGCTTGGCTTCCAGGCTAGAATACTGCAGAGAATGTGGTGGTTACCTCCATTCAGACAGAGACACAGGAAGAGCAATCTTTAGGTACGCAAATGACCAGTGAACAACAAACCCAAAACTATTAGGAAGTGAGCCAGAGACAGACTGTAGCAAAGACAAGAAATTAATTTATGCCACAGACCACCTTTCATGTTTAAAATGGCCTGCAGTGGGTTCCTCTCTTCCTTATAGAAGGAGTGCTGATAATCAGACCTCTGGATGCCAACAAATGCATCACCTCTGGACAGAGGTGGAGAGAGCAGCAGGAACCAGGCTACATGCCAATTACTGAGGTCCAGCTCGGTGCCATCTGGCACATGGCCCATGAGTGGCCACTCCATGCTATACCCATTCTTTCTTAGGACACTGTGGTCCAGGACTAGCTCCCATCTGCCACCTTATCAGACAAATCAAATATACCCTAGAAAACATGCAGGAATAAGGTCTGGGAAGATGCTTCAAGTTCTGTTCAAAAAAGTATATCAGGTATATAACAGCTGTTGACAAGTATCATTTGATTACAGCTCATTTGATGACAGCTGAAATGTTTGTGGTCCCATTACACTTTGTGCAAAGCCCCTTCCAGCCATAATCATATCTGACTTTCACACCAACCCTATTGGGTTCACAGAGGAGGCATTTACCTCACCATCTCCATAAATACAAAACTGAACAGCATAAATCAAAACCCAAATAATCTTAATTTAGGTGACCTTATAATTATGTACTTACTTTGTTTTCTTCAAAATCTATTAAAAATGCTTATGAACAAAGGTACACAAAGAAAGCAATACCTTATGTTCTTTTTTTAACTAGAGAAACTGAACACATTTTCTGTAGCTTCTCATTCTTACTTATCCAGTTTATGTGAAAAACTCACATCTCACGGCATTTATCTGTCTTCATCAGAGATAATAAAATGAGACTAACTATACAGCTCTATGTATTATATGTATTTTAAATATATTTTGTTATCAGTAACCACATCTCTCCAAGCCTGGGAGTTGAACCGCTTTGTAAAGCATGCTTATTTTTAATGGTTTCCTAACCTTACCTCCCACCAGGTAATAGAATCCACCTATCCTGACCCACCTTTGCCATCAGATCCCTCTCTCTCCTTTCTGCATTTCTTCGTAGAGCTGAGAGTTCCAAAATCTCCTTATTTAGAAATTTGTTTTGGGTTTTGTACCCCTGTAGATTATCCTGTTAGAAAAAAAAAAAATCCCTGAATTCACATTGGTTGAATATTGACTAATTAATTACCCTATGTAGTCAGTAGCTTGCTGCTTCACCAATCAAATAGCCCTGCTAAGTTAGAGTAAGTTCTAAAGAACTAGAAGTTGTTAAAAGGCACTTCCTAATTAATCTTTTTGGCCATTTACAGTAGTAGAAGGCAGGCAGGCATGACTGCCGTAACGGAGATGGAGAAGATATTTTTATTTAATTGTGGTAGTTTTTCTCAACTGATGACAGGAGAAATAAATATGACATATTCCTAAATCTATGCAAATATTTTATCTATCCATATTCCATATTCATTGAGGTGGTTAAAAAAAAGCAATACCTTACTTTTTTTTAAACTAGAGAAACTGAACATATTTTCTGAAGGTTCTCATCTTCACTTATCCAGTTTACGTAAAAAAAGTCTACATACATATACAGCCCATAACTAAAAATCACTCTTAATAACAAATCCTATGACCTAAAACGTATAAGGCACGTAAGAGAACATATTCTTCAACACTGAAAAATTTCAAACTTACAGAAAAGTTGAAAGAAAAGTACAATGAACACAATATAGCCTTCACCTAAATTAGCCAATTGTTAACCTTTGCCTATTTGCTTTCTGTCTATAAAAGAACATAACAAGCTGGTGACAAGTTCTGCCGAGTCCAACTTTGAGAGCAGGTCGGGGCAGGACACATGTCATATTGGCTTCAGCCCTTGAAACTCCAAGCAAGAAAGCTGAAAGGATCCAACAGCAACAAAAAGCAAACCAAAAAGGGGGTGAAGTGTTTTCATGTAAAACACTGAAAATGAAGCTCAGAAAACTTCCTTAGACTTTCCTAATAATAAAAACAATGAACTGAAGAAGCTGCTAAGGATACTAAACCGAATCACCTCTGAGCAGTGACTTCTAAATGTTCTTTACAAATTTAGTCTTTTATAAATGTGTCTCTTCTCCCCCAGCTTCTGTTTCTCTTTTATAATCTGACAGGCTGGTGTGTGAGGTTCCTAATCTCCCAGTCACAGAAGAAATTATGTTCAAGACAGCTCAAACGGCAGGCCAGGGTAGTCAAGACAGACTCTGGTGATATCACAAGCAGGAGACTGCTGCCGCTCCCCAGAGATGCGGCTACAGAAACTCCCCATCGCCAAACAAGAAACCACCACGGGATTATACCACTTCCCCCATAAAATGCAGAAGAACTGAAAATGGTTCAATGTTCCCTTTAATCACTAACATTTACGGAGCACTTGCGATGGGTTACAGGTGCCCCGTGCTAGGCATGTGAGATTCCTAATCTTGTTTAAAACTCCAACTCTTAGGCAGCCATTCTCACCATCTTTATTTTTGAGGTGAAGAATTGAGCCATAGAAAGCTGCCCAGTTACTGTCTAGCCTGCAAATCAGACTTCTGAGAGCCAGACCAGTGGGCTCTTAGCTCCATGGTCTCAGGCCCGACTCCCACTAGAACTTCGATAGGCATCATACTCAGCCTGAGCACATTCAAGTACTTGTCACGTCATGACAAGTACTTGAAATGTTGAATGTTGGACTTCCTTTTCTCACCTGAATCTCCTTTCTACTGGTGTCTTAAAAGCTTTTTTTTTTTTAAAGAAACAAGGTTGGCTGGGAATGGTGACTCATGCCTGTAATCCCAGCACTTTGGGAGGCCAAGGCAAGAGGATCACTTGAGGCCAGGAGTTTGAGACCAGCCTGGCTAACATGGCGAAACCCTGTCTCTACTAAAAATACAAAAAAAATTTAGCCAGACGTGATAGCGCACACCTATAGTCCCAGCTACCCTTTCTGAGGCATGAGAATCACTTGACCCCAGGAGGTGGAGGCTGCAGTGAGCCAAGATCATGCCACTGCACTCCAAACTGGGTGAAATAGTGAGACTCTGTATCAAAAAAAAAAAAAGGGGGGGGGAGACAGGGTCTCACTCTTGCCCAGGCTGGAGTGCAGTAGCATGGTCATAGCTCACTGCAGCCTCGAACTCCTGGGCATAAGTGATCCTCCCACCTCAACCTCCTGAGTAGCTAGGACCAAAGGCATGGCCACCACACCCAGCTAATGTTTTTTGTAGAGATGAGATCTCACTATGTTGCCCAGGCTGGTCTCAAACTCTTGGCCTTAAGTGATCCTCTTGCCTCGGCCTCCCAAAGCACTGGGATTACAGGTATGAGCTATTGCACCTGGCCAAAGGTCTCATATTTGGAAACATTAAGCAAACATATTACTAAAAGGCAGGTCAGCCAAAGGAAAGCTGGCTGGAGGGCAACTGAAGAAAGCACTCAACAGTGATGGATAGAGACTGAGTGATACAAGGTGGGGTCAGTGAAAGCAAGTAACATCAGCCGCCATGTATGTCTTTAACTTAAAACTTGTGTTACAGTCTAAGTAAGTCCTGATCATTTATATTACAGATACTTTCTCTAGAACGATGATGATCACAGCAACAACACCTAACAGTGAAGACCTTATGAGGAGCCAGGCACTGTGTGAGGGAGGGCTTTACATGGATTACCGCCTGTAACCCTCACAATACCTATGAGGAAAATAAGCACTATTTCACAGACAAATACACTGAGGCAGAGACATGAATTCACCTGGCCAAGTCAGAGGTCCTAAGTGGTGATCTGGGTTTGAATCCAACCTGGGCTGGCTCCAGAGGCCATGCTCAATGTAAAGCATCACCCCACGCTGTTCCACATCCCCTTCCCTCCTGGTGCTTGCTCCAGTTGTCATTTTGCTTTTCTGTTTGTGCCTCTAAACTAAACTGTGAGGCCCAGGAGTGCAGTGCCTGTGTACCCGTGCAGAGTAAAAGGGTGGGCACACAGCTGGATGCATAGATGAGCTGGAAGAAGGAGAAGCTGTAGGCACGGAGGTATTCATGGAACAGCAAACGCAGGAAGAAAGACAAGGATGAAGTAAATGATAACACAAAGGATGGACAACACTGAAATCGCTAATGAAAGCAATATGGAAGTGCTGGGGCCACAGTGTTGAATGGAACAATCCGAAAGTCCATACACTTCAAAAATGGAAGAATTACGGAAACACAGAAAAGGATTGGAAGGAAACATGGAGAAATAATGACTTAAATCACTAGGGTGGCAAAATCCTAGGACCAATGTTTATTCCTGCCTCGGAATACTATAGAAACAAAAAGCATTAGACCACACCAAAAAAAGTTAACAAATTCCAAATGGCAGAAATCTTTACAGGCAGCATCCACTGACAATAAAGCATGAAAACTGGTCAAGAACAGCAATAGCAAAAAAGATATATAAACATATCTTTAAAATTAAAAATATATAAAATATACTTTAAATAAATATATCTTAAATATATATATTTTTCCACTTAGACATTTAAATTTGGAATCAGAAGTAGGAATCAATATTTCTTCCTCAACCATACCCTGTCTAGAGCTGAAGGGCTATGAGGGAACACACACGAGAACACCCACTTCTGTCAGTGCGCTCCCTCTTTCTCCCTGGAGCCTTTCCAGTTCTCCCAGTGCCACTGCAGAGGAGACCTGCATGAGGTGTGAACACCTTCTGCATTGCAGAGGGACCCCCAGCACTGGCAATAACAGAGCAATGTCAGAAAGCATGAGGTCATGGACCCAGGCAGGCCTCAACTGTCTCACCTGGAATCCACCTAACAACCACTTTGCCTCTTCATCGTCTGTCGCCACATCACCTCACAATTGTGATATGTTGGGGCCACAGGCTTGTTAAGTTGTTAAAAATTGCTAAACTTGTTAAGTTGAGAAATGTTGGAGGAAAAAAACTTCATGGCTCAAAACCACTCCACCCATTATGCTGCAAAAAGAAAAGAGGAGGGAATGTCCTGTTCTGACAGCGCTGTATCCCGATCAGCTCCGTTAGCTGTCTACAGAAGGAGCTGCATAGTCGCCACAGCCACGAAGCATAACCTCCACGCACACCCTGGCTCGCTCCCCGGGAAAACCTGCTCCACACGTCTCCCCCACTGCCAAGTGTCACGCACGCCCTGGAAACCCACCACTATAGTATTGTTCTACGCACTACAGAAATAGACACACTTGCAAAATAAAAATTTCACCTGTCTGCTGGATGCAATGGCTCATGCCTGTAATCTCAGCATTCTGAGGCCAAGGCAGGCAGATCACTTGAGCTCAGGAGTTCAAGACTAGCCCAGGCAACACGGCGAAACTCTGTCTCTACTAAAAATATAAAAATGAGCTGGGTGTGGTGACATATGCCTCTAGTCCCAGCTACTCAGGAGGCTGAGGCTGGAGGATTTCTTGAGCCAGGGAGGTTAAGGCTGCAGTGAGCTGAGATTGCACTACTGCATTCCAGCCTGGGCAAAAGAGCAAGACACTGTCTCAAAAAAAATAAATACATAAAAATAAAAATTTCTGTTTTCATTAAGTAATCCCAAAATGTGTATTATTGATGGGTATATATTTAGGGTCATGTATATTCAATGTTGTGTACATTAAAAAACCCAACTTCCATTGGCAATGCTAACCAAGACCTCTTATTAAAAAAACAAACAAACAAAAACCACAAAGCCTATTTTTTTTTTCTTGCAACGGGGTCTCACTTTGTCATCCAGGCTGGAGTGTGGTGTGAGGATCTCCGCTCACTGCAGCCTTGCTCTGCTTTCCAGGGCTCAAGCAATCCTCCCACTTCAGCCTCTTGAGTAGTTGGGACCACAAGTGCAAGCCACCATGCCTGGCCATTTTTTTTTTTGTATAGAGACGGGGGTTTCACTATGTTGCCTACACTGGTCTCAAATTCCTGGGCTCAAGCAATGTGCCCACCTCAGTCACCCAAAGTGCTGCTATCACAGGCGTGAGCCACTATGCACAGCCAACTTTTTTTTTTTTAAATAGTAGATATAAGTGTAAAGTATTGAGACCAGAGGTTTTCTTGTTGTTTTGGATTTTCTCATTCATAAATCCTCTGGGCCTCACATATCCAATGGGTGTTGTCAGTGAGAAGTGGTCACTATGGGGACCATGTACATATTCCAGCCATGCTGCCATGATTCCGGTGTTTTTACTTCTGTTTTGGAATTATCTTCAGGGTCCCTAGCATGCCTATCATTCCCTCACTCAATGCATCGCCTGAAAGGTACTGCTAGGCATGAAGCAAATACTCAGTAACAACCTGGACAGCAGCAAACCTCTGCCCTCCAAGGACAAGCTCCATCCAGAGCCAAACACCCTCGGAGACACATTATTTGCAAGATGAGGGTGGCCAGGTGAGGGACGCCTTGGGGCTAGGTGAGACCAGTAGCTACAGACATGTCTGGGGTCTGCTGGGGTCAAACAGGCTATACTTGATGCCCCATGTCCTGGGGGCCACTTGTCCACCTAAAACCTCTCCCACAAAGTCTCAAGAACCGGTGGCAGCAAGAATGTTATGATCCTCCCTGTGGCCTCCCCTCTGAATCATTAGGCTTCTCTACAGGCAAGAAGAGAAATGCAGGCTGCCCCCACCTCTCACAAATGCTGTGTGTTCCTCCTACCGCATCAGCTGGTCACCACCCCAGGCATGACTAGGAGGGTCACTTCTGTTCAGGCAATAGCCTCCCAGCCTAAGGGCTAGCCCAGAGAAGGACACGGGGAGGAAAGCTGTCCTTCCTACTGAGTGTCAGGACCCTCCCATCTTGGGTGCTGGGGGCACTGACTCTGAACAGGCCCTCTTCCCAGGCCTACTTGGAAGCTGGAGTCCGCTTCCCCAGCTAACCCCATACTAGCTGTTAGGAGCAATGCTCCCAAACCAGGCATCCACTAGGTCCTGCAGCAAGCTGTGCAAATTAAGTTTGTGTGTGATTTCATGCACACAGGAGAGGCAAGAAACAGCCTCCATATGATACAAGGGATAATGAAGTACTAAGGGTGGTATATATAGAAAGAGAAGTCTTAGTTGCCTGAAAACAAGGGAGGGGAAGGATTTGAAACTGTTCAAAGCAACAGCAAGAGTTTCCTTTTCCAAGGAAGCTCCACAGAAGATTAATGATTATTTGATGGTAAGTCCTGTTACACTTGTGGGGAAAAAAAATAAGTGTGCAGCTGTTCTGCCGTCACACCAAATCAGCTCACGGAGGCCAGGCCTCTGGGGTGACATCGGTGGTCTCTCATGCCAATCACCAGAGCCCCTGCCCCACTCTTACTTTCAGCCTGTCCAGTTCCAGCTGGTCCCTGGCAACAGGCACAACCGAAGGGGAGCTGGGCGCCACGGTGGGAGGAGGCCCGTTGCCCTCGCCCTCGCTGAGCTTGATGATGACCTCGTCCTTGGCTTGGATGGTCTCCATGAGCATTCCCAGCTGCTCGTTGAGCTCGCCCACTTTGCTCTTCAGCGTCCTTACTTCCTGCTGAAGACTCTCCTTCTCCAAGCTGAACCTCTCCAGCTGGCTGGTAAGGCCCAGAATCTGATCATCCTTTTGGTGCAGAAGCTCGAGCGTGTCCTTTGGGACCCCCTCACAGAGCCGGCTGCTTGTGAAATACTTGTCATACTGGGATGACCGGACTGTCTGCTGGAGCAGTCGAACAAGCTCCTGGGAGCCAAAAGGAGAATGGAGTGAAGGGTGAAAAGAGCAAGGAGAGGAGGAAAAGCAGAAATCATGACATTACATGGAGTAATCGACAGAGTTTGAGGAAATGTAGAAACTTTACTGGAAACATTTTAATACTGAACTTCCTCTTGAAGGATCTCAAAAATAGAGGAAAAAAATATTTACTCCATAAAGACTGTCTGTAGAGAACAGTAATAGGAAACAGGAAATAATGGACATGTCCACTATAATTAGCAATGGTATCCAGTAAATGTCATGGGTATTAAAAAACCTGTGCTCTAAGAGTCACTGAACTGCTGAACAATTAAATGTAATTAGATCTGATTAGTTCAAGAAACCATTGTTGAATAGGATGCAGAAACTCTTTTTAATGACTGTTAAAGAACTCTGGGCTGAAACTGTGTTTAGGGAGATTCAACCTCAGGGGCAGGACTGGGCTGTGGTGCAGACAGCAACCTCCTCTGTCCTCCTTTGAGAGATCTTCACTCTCCTTGCAAATGCAAACACCTCTGAACCAATGATCAAGCACAGCAGCTGTGCCTAGATGACCGCCATGGCAATATGAAACCTCCAGGGGAAAAGCAACTCCTGGGAAACAAAGCTGTCCCCAGAAAGACTCAGGGAAACATAAATTGGGCTTTACTCCTCCCGTCCTTGGCCTGCTGAGGTGGGGTAAGACAGAAGCCAGAAGAAGAAGTTACCTTCTGACTGGACAGGTCTTTCTTTAACTGTTCCAGCTCTTCCTGCTGGCTCTGGACCTGCAGTTGCATTTCGGAGGCCGGCTTCCTGATGCTGACGCTGCCACTGCCTGATGTGCCTTCACTTGAAGGGTCACCACTGCTGTGACGATTTTTGTACGACCCAATTATGTCTTTCAAAGGGCGCTTTCCTTTGTAGGGGTTACGTCCAAAATCAAAGGGGAATCCTGAGCCAGTTACTCCTACATAAAAATAAAACTTGTATTTTATTATTATTATTATTATTTTTGAGACGGAGTGTCGGTCTGTCGCCCAGGCTGGAGTGCAGTGGCGCAATGTCGGCTCACTGTAAGCTCCGCCTCCCAGGTTCATGCCATTCTCCTGCCTCAGCCTCCCGAGTAGCTGGGACTACAAGCACCCGCCACCATGCCTGGCTAATTTTTTGTATTTTCAGTAGAGATGAGGTTTCACTGTGTTAGCCAGGATGGTCTTGATCTCCTGACGTTGTGATCCTTCCTCCTCGGCCTCCCGAAGTGTTGGGATTACAGGCGTGAGCCACCGTGCCCGGCCAAAACTTGTATTTTAAACAAAAACCACATCTTCCTTTTGGAAACTATAACAAAATAAAGCATCCCCACAAATCATCCTCCAGGGAGTTTGGCATTCACCACCTTAAGAACTACAGGAGATTGATGACTCTGCCCCCACTGCATTCTAGATAGTAACCAACATGCTTCAGCCAGAGATGATTGATTCCCCCCACTGGATCCTTCCTTGGAAGACTGTATCACAGGATCATTTTTCATGGAAAACTAAGACATACTAAGCATCCTATTTTTGCTAATTTGTCCTTAGCAAAAAAGCAAAAACACTCAAATGTATGTTGGTTTTTGTTGTTTTTTTTTTTTTAACATACAAACATTGCTATACTTTGAATGTGTCCCCCAAAGTTTATGTGTTAGAAATTTAATCCTCAATGTAACAGTATTGGCAAGTGAGGCCTAATAACAGGTGATTAGGTCATGAGGACTCTGCCCCTGTGAATGGATTAATGTTGTTATCACCAGGGTGGGTTAGTTATCACCAGAGCAGGTTTGCAATAAAAACAAGTTTGGTCCCCTGGCTCTCCCTCACCCTTGCCCTCTCTTGCTCTCTTTCTCTCTTGCCTTCCACCAAGGGACTATACAAAACAAAGGCTCTCCCCAGATGCCAGTGCCATGCTTTTGGACTTCTAGCCCCAGAACCATGAGCCAAATAAATTTCTGTTCATTATAAATTACTCAGCCTATGGTATTCTGTTTTAACAGTATAAAACAAACTAAGACATGCATGTTTTAAAGCATAACTAGATTCCCCTTCTTAAAAAATGGGTATTTGGGGACAGGCATGGTGGCTCACGCCTGTAATCCCAGCACTTTGCGAGGCCGAGGCAGGTGGATCACCTGAGGTCGGGAGTTCGAGACCAGCCTGACCAACATGGAGAAACCCTGTCTCTACTAAATATGCGTGGTGGTGCATGCCTGTAATCCCAGCTACTCAGGAGGCTGAGGCAGGAGAATCACTTGAACCCGGGAGGCAAAGTTTGCAGTGAGCCAAGATCACGTCATTGCACTCCAGCCTAGGCAACAAGAGCGAATCTCCATCTCAAAAAAAAAAAAAAAAGAGTATTCGGGAATACCGTCAGGCCAGGCACAGTGGTATGTACCTGTGGTCCCAGCTATTGGAGGCTAAGGCAGGAGGATAGCTTAGGCCTAGAAGTTCAAGGCCAGCCTAGGCAACACAGATACTCCATCACTAAAAAAGAAAAAAAAAATACTATGGGATCTAAATAAATTTTAGTGTAGATAGATTGAAATATATATACTCACATTATAAAGAGGAGACACAAGGGAGCATATAAGTGTGATTTATATAAAGTTAGGAAACAGGCAGAACCAACCTGCACTGTTAGGAATCAGTACAGTGGTTCCCTGGGGCGGGGTAGTGACTGGAAAGGGCACGGGGATGGCAGCTGGTTCCTAGGGTGCTGGCATCGTCCTCCTTCTTGAAGTGAGTGCTGGTTTCATGGGTGTATTCAATTTGTGACAATTCACTGAGCTATACATTTCTGATTTGGGGACTTTTCTGTATGTTATACATCAATAAAAAGTTTACTTAAAGATACGGGAAAATACAAGGAAGGGTAGTTCACTTTCTGTGAATAACATGGACAAGTTGGAGGGCTGATTATCGGAGCCATTTCAGGAAATACCCATGAAGAGAGTAAGATCAAAGTCTAGTGACATCTTTGTCTCTCCCTCTCTATCACATAAACTCCCCTCAAAGGGGATGAAGGGTTAGGCAGAGGGCTAAGAAGGCTGTCATCCGTCAAGAAAACAGTCTCCAAGGTGCAGGGAGTTTCTCCTCCCGTCCCAACTCACTAAGCACTCCCGATTCTTCCTCCCCAGTCCTGCTCACATTCATCCTTCTATTTCACCCTCAGTCTCTACTGGAAGTCACAGCCAACAGTACTTATTTTCAATAACCCAAATCCCCAGTTTTAATCTCTTTTTTTCCAGGTAGCATTATCAGCTCGTACTGAGCCCCTCTTCTGGGCACTCTCACTGGCCTTGCCATGCATTAGGTAATTCAGCACATTCAGTGTGGCCACATTCTACACCATGTCACACTGGGCCAGTGGGTTCTACACCAGGATCCTATGGAGCACAGGTAAGCTCCCTCTCACAGCAAATCATGACAGTCCTTTTCCAGGAGACAGAAAAAATATTTCCTTTCCTAAGTGCTTACTCTCGCAATAAAGGTTTCCTCAAATCCTGCACCCTATTCCTGCTGGCCCATGCTAGAATCAGGCATAAGGTGGAATTTCAAAATTACTTATTGTTATTTTATGTTTAAAACATCAATATTCTCCTAATGAATTAATAAATCTAGGACTGTGGCCAGGCACGGTGGCTCATGGCTGTAATCTCAGTACTTTGGGAGACCGAGGTGGACAAATCACCTGAGGTCAAGAGTTCAAGACCAGCCTGGCCAACATGATGAAACCCTGTCTCTACTAAAAATAAAAAAATTAGCCAGGCATTGTGGTGGGCACCTGTAATACCAGTTACTCAGGAGGCTGAGGCAGAATCGCTTAACCCGGAAGGCGGAGGTTGCAATGAGCCGAGATCGCGCCACTGCACTCCACCCTGGGTGACAGAGCGAGACTCCGTCTCAATAAATAAAATAAATAAATCTAGGATTGTAAATGAATGTTAAAAGCATCAGGCAAAAAGGCTGATGGAGAATTTTATGAATGAATCAAGATGACAACGCTAAATCCTGATCAATCTTAATATCAAAAGAGAGAAACCAGACATGATGTGGCTTCAGATGCGATACGATAGGAAGCACGCAGCATCTCCCCACCAAAACAGCATTCCTGTCGAATCAGAAGTCAACCCTGAATCTGGGCAGGCCTCCGGCTCTAACTGCCCGTATACAGGAATTACATGGGACAGAGAAGCATGTTAAATGACCCCACAGAAATACAATCAGCAAACCCAGATGTGGGAGACTCCTCAGCACGAAGACCTGGTTTCTTCAACAAATGTGGCAAAGGAGGGGGAAGGGAAAAAAAGCCAGGGAGCTGTTTAGATTAAAAGAGACCTAAGAAGACATCAATTAAATACAATGTGTGGGTCTTGTTTGAATCCTCATTTGAACAAACTGGCTGTAAACAGACACTTAGGGAACAATTAAGGAATTAAATAATACTAAGGATTTATTGTAACTGTAAATATAATAAAGAAGTTGTGGTTATAATTTTTTTTTTTTTTTGAGACAGAGTCTCGGTCTGTCACCCAGGCTAGAGTGCAGTGGCGCGATCTCCACTCACTGCAAGCTCTACCTCCCAGGTTCACGCCATTCTCCTGCCTCAGCCTCCCAAGTAGCTGGGACTACAGGCGCCCCCCACCACGCCCAGCTAATTTTTTTGTATTTTTAGTAGAGATGGAGTTTCACCATGTTAGCCAGGATGGTCTCGATCTCCTGACCTCGTGATCTGCCCACCCTCAGCCTCCCAAAGTGCTGGGATTACAGGCGTAAGCCACCACGCCTGGCCAGTTATAATTTTTCTAAAAGAGTCATTATCTCTTAGAGGTACATACTATAGCATTTGCAGATGCAGTTGCAGATTGCAATTAAATAATATTAAGGATTTATTGTAACTATAAATATAATAAAGAAGTTGTAGTTATAATTTTTTTAAAGAGTCATTATCTCTTAGAGATACATACTGAAGTATTTGCAGATGCAATGGATTAATGCCTACAATAATAATCCAGCTGACAGTGGGTGCAGGGAGGTGCAGGAGCTTAGAGACGGAGAAGGAAGAAGAGAGACCATAGTTCACATTGTAGAAGCTGGATGATGTGTGTACACCAGAATTCATGAGACTATATTCTCTTTTGTGTACATTTCAAATTTCTATAAAGTTTTTTAAAATCAGTATTTCCATAAAGAGGATCATGACTTCCAAGTCTGCTATCTCCCTCAAAAAACTGAGCCATTGGACTAGACAGTCATTTATTTCTTATAACGTTTATTAAATAATTTTTTAAGCCTTTATGTTTTAAGTCCGACAAAGAGAATGCAAGCCCCCATTGGTCCTTATGCTTCTCGAAATACCTGCTAATAATGTGTCTCCACATCACTGGTGGTTAACAGATGGCAGTACAGAGAATGACAGACAACAGGAAGTACATTGATACCTTTGTTTCCTTCAGGGGTCAGCTTCTTCTTTTCTTCCTGTACTATGGACTCCTCTAGGTCCTTAGGGGTTGGGTCTAAAAGTTCCCACTCTTCATTGGTATAAAACACAGTCCTCCGACTATCATTATGTCCTCTCCCAGGACGGAAAGAAGACATCGAATTCCTGTTGGGAAAAACAATATGTGTTATTAACAAAAACAAAAGTAAAACAAAACGTAATCTCATGTATATAGGATTGGCAAAAATTTAAATATCTAATGATACCAAATGTTGGTGAGGATACGGAGAAATGGGGATTCCCTTTTTTTTTTTGAAATGGAGTCCCCCTCTGTCACCCAGGCTGGAGTACAGTGGTGCAATCTTGGCTCACTGCAACCTCTGCCTCCTGGGTTCAAGCAATTCGCCTGCCTCAGCCTCCCTGAGTAGCTGGGATTACAGGCTGCACCACCATGCCCAGCTAATTTTTTTTTTAATTATTTTTAGTAGAGATGGGGTTTCACCATGTTGGCCAGGCTGGGCTCGAACTCTTGACCTCAAGGTGATCTGCCCACCTCGGCCTCCCAAAGTGCTGGGATTACAGGCGTGAGCCACCTCACCCAATCGAAATGGGGATTCTTATACACTGCTGGTGGGATTATAAATTGATACTATTACCATGCAGAGGAACTCAGCAAGGTACTGTTAAGTTGAAGAGGTGCCTACCCCTAACACCCAGTATTTGCTAAAAGAAATTCTTACATATGTGCACAAGGAGACACAAGCAAAAACATTCACTGCAGCATTGTTCATATTAGAAAAAAATAAAAAGGTACAACAACCTAAACATTCATGAACAGGAGAATAAACTGTGGCATATTCATATAGTCAAGTACTATACAGCACTTAAAATTAACTCATTCATCCACCAATTATTGATTGAGCCTACAACATGCCAGGCAATATTCTAGATGCTTGGAATATCCCAGTGAACAAAACACAGCAAGATTATTATTCTTGTGGAATGTACATTTCAGCCAAAGCTATACGTATCATAGGGATAAACATTTTTTAAACACTGAAAGAAAAAGAAAATGGAAGAATTATAGGTACAGCATGATACTGTTTTACACCTTCAGATTATACTATTAACAGAGACTACTTATGGATACATATATATGTAGCAAAACTATTTTTTTAAGTCCACACATAAATTACAATTATCAAATACAGAATATTGGCCACCTCTGTAAAGGTAAAGAAGAATAGGATCAAGAAGAGAGGATTTAGCCAGGTGCCATGGCTAATGCCTGTAATCCCAGTACTTTGGGAGACTGAGGTGGGCATATCACCTGAGGTCAGGAGTTTAAGACCAGCCTGGCCAACATGGCGAAACTCTGTCTCTACTAAAAACACAAAAATTAGCTGGGTGTGGTGGTGCACACCTGTAGTCCCAGCTACTCGGGAGGCTGAGGCACAAGAATCACTTGAACCTGGGAGGCGGAGGTTACAGTGAGAAGAGATCACCCCACTGCACTCCAGCCTGGGCGATAGAGCAAGACTCTGTCTCCAAAAAAAAAAAAAAAAAAAAAGAGAGAGAGAGAGGATTTTAGTAAAGTTCTGTTTTTAAAAATGCAGTGGAAATATGACAAAACTATAAAAATGAGTCATGGCTATCTGAGTAATCAATATACTTGTCTGTGTGCTAAAAATATTTCATTAAAAGTTTTAAAAAGTAGGTTAAGATTTCTGCTTCCAGTGAAGATGGAATAACAAGGACTAGATTTACCCTCCCCGGTGAAAACTAAAGAACTGAAAAAAAAATTAAAAATACAGGAAACCATGGTTTTTGGATATTGGCCATCAGGCAGCACAGGACACTGATCCTGAGAGAGGGAAAGCCAATGAGGTAAGCCCACCTTACTGCCTGGAGACAGTTTCCAGGCCAGGCTGCAGGCAGGGAAAACCCAGGAGGAGCCCAGCATCTCTCTGAGATGAGAAGATAGAGTGGAGACTCTCAAGGCAGTTGCAGCTCATAGAGCAGAGTACTAGAGAGAAGAGAGCTGCACAGAGGGAGTGTCACAGAGATCTTAGATGGTATCCCCAAGTCTTCAACCGAGTACTGATTGTGGCTTCGATGTAAGAAAGCTATCCGAGGACAGGGAGAGAACCAACTGAGAGAAGCAAAGGAAACCATCCCTGAGCCTCACACGGGACCGGGAATAGTGCCTAGTCTCACCAGTCAGAGTGGAAAACCTCATAATTCACAGGGCATCAGAAAGATTACTGAGAAAGGCTACTGATGGTATCCCTAAAGCCTGTGCTCATCCTACCAAGCAAAGCTTAAAAGCAAACTTCAAAAGGATCAAACTGTTCCAGAGTCATTTAATACATCCGAGAACAAAGCCCAATAATATTTATAGCAATAAAAAAAATATATATATATATATCCAGCACACAAAAAGGTAAAATTCACAACATCTGGTATTCAATTTTAAAAATGACCAGGCATGCACGAAGTGGGAAGTACAAGTCACAATGAGGAAAAAAAATCAATCAACAGAAACAGACCAGAAACAACAAAAGATAAAATTAGCAGACAGGGACTCTAAAAGTTATAACTGTATTCTTTATGTTCTAAAAGCTAGAAAAAAAAGAATAAACATCTTAGAGACATAGAAAATTAAAAAAAAAAGATTTAAATAAAATTTCCAAAGATAAAACTACAATGCCTACGATGAAAAACATGCTAAATGGGAACAAGAGCAGAGTAGGTATTGTGGAAGGAAAGACTAGAAAATTGGATGACCCTGCAATAGAAACAACCTAAAACGAAACAGAAATATGACCTAAAATGAAACAGAAAAACAACAAATGAAAAAAAGGAAGGATGGATGGACCAATGAGTCGGTCACTGAAGGGGACGAGAAGGGGAAGAGATGGAATAAAAGTATGTGAAGAAATAATGACCAAAAATTTTTCTAAATCTGATGTAAACCATCAATCCACAGACAAAAGAAGCTCAACAAACTTCAAGCACAAAAATCATGAAGAAAACTGTATCAAGGCATATCATAATCAAATTGCCTAATACAAATAATATTTAAAGTTTTAAGTATAACCCTAATTTGCAAAAGAAATAAAGGAAGTCAAATTTTTATAGTTAAACTGTCAAAAGGTAAGAGGCATGTGTTCATTATGAAGAGACATCTTAATTCATTTGAGCAGTCGGTAAGTGGAGTGCTGAGGAGAGGACATGCTCACATGAACCACCTTACTTATACGCACACACATACATACTTATATTCTCTTACTTAATAGACCCATCCTTATCCCTAAAGCAATAAAAGGAATAAAATACGAAAACACCAAACAATATAGGTAAGTCTCCAAAAACGTTAAGTGAAAGAAGACACACAGGAGACTATAAGGAGTATGATTCCATTTATATAAAAATTTTTAAAACTCAAAGCTATAGTGACGGAAAGCGGATCAGAGGTTGCCCAGGGCCGGGTATTAAGGGAAGGGATCAACCGCAAAGGAACGTGAAGGAATTTTTAAAGGTGTAGAAATGTTCTATTTTTCTTTATTATGGAGGTGTTTACATCGCTGTGTATAATTTCTTAAATTCATCAGCCTATTCACCTAAAATAGGTGAACTTATTGGAGGTAAATTATAACTCAATGAAGTTATTAAAATAAACATGCAAATAAATAAGGAAGAGGAAGAAATGTATCATTTGGTGTTTTCTGAGGTGGATTAAAGGAAAGGGGGGAAAAGGTGGCTTTACCTCTAGTTTGAATCAGACAGATGATATTCTCATGTAAAACAGTCATTTCTCAATGTGTTTTTTAAAGCATATCATTTTTCCTTTTTACTTGTACTTTAAACATTCAGAAGAATACAGAGAAATTATATAACACGCTTATGTTCTCATCACGCTATCACAGTATATGGATGTATGGCCTTTGGCTAACTGCTTTAACAAAGAGTCACCAGAAACCAGCAATTATGCCTGTTTAGAACTGACACTCACTTTCTCATAGTTTATTTACTTAGGACCAACACGGAGCTGGTAAACGACGTATAGCATCTTGCACGTGCTATTTATTTCCTGTCTCTTCTAGAGCCTGGCACTGTGCCACACATCTTCACAGACAACTGCATAGAAGGATTCTAGTCAATTCCCCATGGTAACCCAATGAGCAAGATACTGTATAAAGTCTGATTTTATAAAAATTATAAAATTGTAGAGAAAACTATTTCAAAATAGCTGCTCAAAAAGAAAACTCTCACAAATGCTGGCTATACTTCTGTTCATTTTTTTGACATGACTGGTTCATCACTTCACAGGGCACTGGGACACCGCTGGACCCACTGCACCATGACTTTTCAGTGGCCCTGCCTACAGCAAGGATCTCACAGGAGCCTTCCCTCAGGTGGCATGTGACTACCACCACCGTCAATTTTAGGAGTTAAATTCTCCTTACCATTTGCCCTAGCTGTCAAACTGTGCTCCTCAGCTCTGGTTCCTAAAGGGTGAATGCAGGAAAGAGAAATAAGAGCAGGGACACCCCCACACGGCCTGGGGAGAGAGAACAGTAATTTCAGTGACTTAGAACTGCCACACACCCTCCTTCCTCCCACCGCGGTTTTGGGTTTCCAGCCTGTTGCAAGCCTGAGTCGTACGCTGCCGTGCTCTCACCTGCAGCTGAGGGACAGCCTTGCTGGAGGTGCGGTGCTACTTGTCAAGTCCTGGATAAGAGAGAAATGGAATCAGGCTCAAAGTGAAAGCCTCTTGAAGCTGAAACAGTATATAGCCAATTCCTGTTTTTGCTCTTATGTGGCAAAACCCAATTCTAGGACTGTGCAACAAGGGGGTCATTACAGTGCAGACTTCTCAGACACACTCACCCTGTCTGCTCTGGCCCACAGAGGCCTCGGTGGCAACTACGTGTCCTGCCTGTGTACTCCATGAGGAGTTCACAGCTGGTTTAAATGGAGGCGTTTTTTTAGCTGGTGTTAGAGGCTGTTCTATGACAGTATTTGCTGTTTAAAGACCGCAGTCTCATTTGACAGATCTTTGAGAGGCCTACTGTGTTCTCCCAGGCAGCGTGCCAGGTGCCCACCTATAAACACTCAGCTGCTCTGATCTGAAATAGAAAGTGAGGCACCACGAAGCAGCAAAACAGCACCTTGTCAGGGGCAGTGGTCAGCCTGAGCTTTTTAAAACAAACACCAGCAATCTGTATCATCGTTAAGAAAACCTCTTTCCGGTGGAGGTCTGCACAGTTTAAAATGTCTAACTAAAACAGTAATAACTCGTTCGACATTCGTTTGGATTCTGATAACAAGCTAGAATTTACAAGTTGACAGAATTGTTGGGAAATGTTCCATCAAATTTCTTCCAAGTTAACCCCTCCACAAACCGCCTGCACAGCCAGGTTTCAGGCAAAACCACAACCTCTTCAGCAGGTGGACGACACTGCCAAGGCAGAGGTTTGCACTTGCCAGGACTTTGTGCACAGGAGGGAAGCAGGCTACCACTGCTTCCAGCTCCTTCCCTCCCTCCAGACTACAGGCCCTGTTAAGGGAAACAAAGGTGGCGGGGCAGGGAGGAGGTTGTGTGGGGGGGTTTCCTCTGACTGGCAACAGCCATCTCAATAAAGCTGACTCAGTATTTCCTCCTCTACAAATTAATTCCTCAAATATATTCTCACAAGGGCACAGAGACGTATGTACAAGAATATCAGAACAATGCTATTTGAAATGACAGAAAAGTAGAAACAAGCAGATGTCCATGGCTAGGAAACTGCTTAAATAACTTAGGGCACATTCCTATAACCGAATTCTGTTAGAACAAGAGCTCTAGTAAGGGCTAACAAGTTTGGACATTCCAGATAAGTGCCTATATAATGTGTCAGCTCAAAGGGGCATGGCAGGTGGCCCTACACTCTCCACCACTGCTGACCCCTCCTGACCCATCTGCTGGTGAGAGCACAGCTTTGGTGCAAGTGGGCCTCATGACATGGTAAATACAGATAAGCCATGTCTGAGCGAAGAGTGAGCATTCTAAGTCCCTGAAGTAGCTATGCACTGACATAGTGGATACTGTACAATCCCTCTAAGTCACATACACACAGAGCGAAGTTCAGGGTGCAGACATAAGTACCTTCAGTTCTAGTGGTGACTTCTGGGAAGTGGACTTAAAAGGACTTTCATTTTTAACTGTGTACCCCTCAGCAATGATTGATTTTTCTTTTTATACGCATGCACGCTTATTGCAATGAAGTACAAACACACAACTAAGAAGGCAGGCCAAATGGGGAAGCTGTCAGGTGGCAGGCCTGCAAGCCAGGTCACTTGCTATGGTTTGAATATCTCCTCCAAAACTCATGTTGAAATGTAATAATCATTGTGACGGTATTAAGAGGTGGGACCATTAAGAGGTGATTAGGCCATGAAGGCTCAGTCTTCACGAATGGATTAACACCGTTATCTGGGGAGTGGGCCTAGATTCAACTACAGAAGAGGAGACAGCAATGTGGCCAAGGAAGCAGTGATTTAGAGCAAGGCAGCCACAGGCCAAGGAATACCAGCAGCCACCAGAAGCTGAAGGAGGCCAGGAACTAACTCTGCCCTGGAGCCTCTGAAGAAAGCAGTCCTGCCAACACCTTAACTTAGGCCTAGTGAAGCTGAGTTTGAATTTCTGGCCTCCCAAACTATCAAACAATAAATAGGTGCTGTTTTAAGCCACCAGTGTTATGGTCACTTGTTATAGCAGCCAGAGCAAATTAACACAATTACTCTCTAGTAAGCTATCGTCCTTCAAACCAAGGACTTCGAGAGGCTGCTTTCTGTTGTGGTCCAGGCTTCAGCTGGCATTCAAGTTTGGAGCATTAACGTCCAAAGTCAGAATATATTTACTTCTGATATGATGTCTTTTGGTCTTGAGGACCTGGAAAGGTGTCATCAGAAAGACAGTTTCCAAAATACTCTAGACATTTACCTGGACAGATGAGTACATCACCCTTCCAATTTTAAGACATCAGAGCAAACACCTAATAAACATGCACAGCCTCAAAGAAACCAAACATCTAAGAAACAATATTCTTACTGTAGAACTTTCAGACAGGTACAGCTCCACAGGTTCCCTACTGTCCAAAGGGCAGACACCCCCACCCCTTCACCCTGGGAGTCCCTGGCCTCCTCAGCTCCTCTTCTATCCTCACCCCCTTAGCACCCTACGCACCTGGCACCAGAACCCATGCCACTCTTGAGACACACCCTGTTCTGACTTCCTTGCCTCTGCATGGGTGTCCTTGCACTTGCATTCCCCTTTGGACAGTCCCTCTCCATCTCTCAAGCCCTTTAAGCCAAAACTCATCTTCACAGCAAAACCATCACCGGCCTCTCCCACAACCCACACTGCAAAGAATAAGCACTTCTTCCTGGTGTGCCCAGGTAGGCCGTGACATACTGGGTTCAGCCTTGAACCGCACCCTACAGCCCCTGTGGCAGGACTCACGGGCTCGCCTGCCTGTCTTCCTGAAGAACCTTAAACAGCTGACAGCGGGGAGGGACAGCCTCTTACCCAAGGGAACATCCTCAGCCCCATCCCATAGTGGAGGGGAGAGGAAGATGCAGCAGGGTGGGAGGGAGGGCCAGCTGCCCAGCCAGGCAGTCCTGCAGAACGGGCTTCTCAAATGCAGGTGATGACCCACTGGGGGCCAGGACATCAATTAAGGAGTGAGGAAATCAATTTTGAGGGTCATGACAAGCATTTTTTTAGTATTAGAAGAGAAAATACTACTTAGCTTTACTACATGTAGCAGTGGAATTTTTCTTTCAGTTTTATTTACATAACAACAGTATACATTTACATACAAAGATGTGTATTTTCTGCTGTCAGTTCCCAGTCAAAAAAGTGAACAATGCTGTGTCAGAAGGTAACATCCTGCCCAGGAAGCCAAACAGAAAGAAAAGTGCTGAGAGGAACTGTCGTCCTGCTAGGGAAGGGAGTGTGGCACAAGGGCAGGTGGGTGTGGGCAGACCCCCCCACGAGTATAAAGGGCAGAGGATGAGAAGCCCCCAAGCAGCGGGAGCAAGAGCAGCAGAGCAACTCTGCCCCTGGAAGGGTCTGGAGCCTTCCCTCATCACTCTTCCTCAAGTCGGTGCTGGACACCCACCATGAGCCAGGCAGTGTGAGGTGCTGGGGTAAACCAGAGACAAGACAGATAGGGTCCCTGCCCCATGGAGCTCCCAGCCTTGCAAGAGAGCTGGACCACAGACAAGTACACAAAGAAATACAGAAACTACAGGGCTATGAAGGAGAAGCACGGCAGTGAGGAGTGGGAGGAACAGAGAAGGCTTCTCTGAAGAATGAGCAGAAGTAACCAGAGAAGACAGAGCCCTCCCTGCAATGGGACAGCCTGAGGCAGGGCCTGTTGGGAAGACATACACCTGAAGAACTGAAAGAAGTCAAGTGGGCCTGCAACAGAGGAAATGACAGGGGTCAGACCCCACGGGACCCTGAAGGCCATGTTCAGCAGCACAGCCTTCAGCCTAAGGCAATGAGAAGCCTCTGAAAGGCTGAGGCAGTCGATTGAATTGATTCAGGTCCCTTAGAATTGGGTCCCTGCAACAGGTGGACCCAGCACAGGCACAGGATGCAGACAGGTGCCCTTCCTCAGCCCCCAACTCTAAATACAACCGGAGACATGGCCCAATTGCTCCCTTGGTGGCCCTGGACAAGACATTAAAGTTCTCTGAGCCTCAGCTTGCCATGCTGAGTCATGGTGAAAGGTCTCCGAGTCTACAGGCCAAAGCCACTGGTCCTCTCATGACCGCAGTGATTTCCATGGAACAGTGTCATACACCGATGGCCCTTCTGATATGTGGGCCCCTGGGAGCATGTGAATGGATCAAGACCAAGAGGACTACTGGGACATAATTGCTAAGCACGACTTCATGCTCCTGGGGGCTATCAGAAAAGACCAGGTGCCATTGCACCACTGCAGAAACACACACACACCCCAGCCAACTTCCTGCAACTGCTGAAACTCCATGGGCCAAAGAGCAAGTTGCCTTCCTTTCTGCTTCCTTCTCCAGAAGTCCTGGCTTAAAAAATGTCTGTGTGAGGCAGCAGCATGGTGACTACATGCCTTGTCTTTCTTGGCAGACATAGCTGTGCCTTCCAACAAGGAAAATCACAAGTACCACATTACGGCTCCGGGACAGGAAAAACTTCCCCTAATTCACCAAACATCCGGGTGCCTGCTTTGGGCTGCGCCGGGCCCTCTGCTACGAACTGGGGCTGAAGAGAGGAGTCACTGTCATGACTTTACGGTCCTAGACACTAAAACCATAATAGATTCTTGGGAACCCCCGCCATGCTCACAAATAACTCTTTCTACCAGGCCTGAGGGAGTCAAGAGAGAAGCAAAAACAAAGGATCAGAGCGGGGCCAACTGCAGGGCCCGCAGAAGACCTATGGGAGGCAGGCCTGGAAGGATGAGCACACCTTCCCGGCTAGCTCAGCCCTTACACCTGCATTGAGAAAGGCACCCCATCCACCTGACTCAAGGAAGTGGAGACTCACTTCACCTACTGGCTCAAAAGAGACAGGGTAACAACAGTGGCAGCAATACCAGCAGGCCTGGGTTGTGTAGCCACCATTTACTGAGCACTTACAATGACACTGTGCTAGGCAGTTCTTATTTATAACCTTAACACTCACTCCCACCCATCCAGTAGAGAGGCTTACTACACACACACACACACACACACACACACACACACGCAATTTACTGATGGAGAAAATAAAGCTCAGAGAAGTTAAGTCACTAGCTCAACATCACACACCCAATAAGTAGCAGGACTGGGATTCCAAAACCTGGGCTGACTACAATATCCACAATGTGACCCCACTCTTGAACAGAACTAGAGCTGGACCCCAGGAGCCAGAGGTCCACATCAGGCCCAGCCTAGCACCCAGAGATGGGCGCACAGTCCAGGCCACAAAGCCACAGAACTTTGCTGACTGCTGTCAGCGCTGCTGCAGCCTAAGCACACCTCCTACATACACTGAAAATACACGCTCAACCGCCACACAGGCTTCCAATGCACGCTCACACGTGTGCTCAGGCATGCGCTTTCTCACTCTTGCTTGCGCACTCCCACCCCTGAGTATGCACATACACACATGGACTGGCCAGAATTTCAGCAGAGACCTAGTTCCTTCACCTGGTGTGATTTGGACTGTTGAAAAGTTAAATGAAAAATGTGGTTAAAGCAGGAATCCATATAAAAGGAACTTAAAACAAACACATGCACCTGTAAAGGTGTATGTAAATGTGCACTCATCTGCCAGTCTACTGATACACACCAGCCAAAGCCTCTTCTTGGAATCTGGGGATACTGGGCATGGTGACACGTGCCTAAATTTCCAGCTACTCGGGGGGCTGAGGTGTGAGGATCACTTGAGCCCAGAAGTTCAAGGGTTCAGTAAGCCAAGATCATGCCACTACACTCCAGCCTGGGTGACAAAGTAGAGACCCTGTCTCAAAAAATGAAAAAAGAAAAGAAAGGAAAGGAAAGGGGAGAAAGAAAGAGAGAAAGTGAGAGAGAAAGAAAGAGAGAGAGAAAGAAAAAGAAAGAAAGGAAGAGAAAGAAAGAAAGAGAAAGAAAAAGAAAAGAAAGAAAGAAAGGGGGGGAGGGAGGGAGGAAGGAAGGAGAGAGAAAAGGAAGGAAGGAAGGAAAGAAGGGAGGGAGGGAGAGAGGAAGAGAGAAAGAAAGAAAGAAGGAAGGAAGGAAAGAAAGAAAGAAAAAGCAAGAAAGAAGGAAAGAAAGAAAAAAGAAAGAAAGAAAGGAAGAAAGAAAGAAAGAAAGAAAGAAAGAGAGAGAGAGAGAAAGAAAGAAAGAAAGAAAAGGGAGGCAGGGAGGGAGGAAGGAAGAGATCAATCTGGGGATACTAACTGCAGTTCTCTGTTATCTTTCTTGGGCAAATCACATCCATTAAGACATCAGCTAACTTTCCCAATTTTGTTTGTTTCTTATTAAAAAGTGGAACAAGGCCTAACAGTTGTGAAACAATCTAAGCATAAAATCTTACAGGGTTTTAAGTTTTTTTTCTTTGATTTTTCACGATCATGTCACCCACATCCTCACAGCAATTTTTTCAGTGACTCACCTTTATCAAATTTTCCCTAAGCATTCAACTTATTTTTCCTAGAAACAACAATTCCTTTTTTATATTTCACGGGTTTAGTAAATATCTCATTGAATTACATAATTACAATAATAAGTACAACGGGCATTAACCAGTGAGGAACAAACCCAGCTGATTCTTGGTAGGTCTGTAGCTCAGCTGGTGGGGGCAGCAGGGACACAGGTGCCCTGAAGTGGCCCATTTGGTCTCATGCAGTCAGTCAGTGAGGACCATGGCTCTACTGAGGAACCTTAAAATGTCAGTTCATCAGGGGAGCTAGTTAAGAGAGTTTCAACTATACTGATAAATAGAATAAAAGAATAAACCTTCATTTATCTTTTAAGCCTTGACCATAATGTTGACAGCATTTTGAGTGCATTAAAAAATACAATTTTTGAGCCATTCATTTATAATACAGTAATCTATTTTAGGGTCACTAAAGTCTGTCTGTGCACCTAAGGCATTTTATTTAAAACTTCATAAAGCATGCCATAAGTAAAAACAAACAAAAGAAAAACAAAAAACCATAAACACTTAAGATTCATATGCCAGTCAATAAGCATTAGTGTCTACAGAAAGTGGTCCCAAAAACCTCTGTGAAGAATGGCTTTGTCATGAGCTGTGCCTCCACCAGCAACAGCAACAACTAACACTCGCCTAGTACTTCCTAAGTGCCAGGGACTGTTCTAAGCAGTTTACACATATGAATTCATCATCATGCTATCAATCTCATGATGTATGATTATTATCTTCATATTACAAATGAGAAACGGAGGCACAGAATATTAAGTAACTTGCCCAAGTTATCCAGCTACTAAGTGGCATAGCTGGGAGTTGAACTCAGGCAGCCTGGTTCTTAATCACTGTGTTACACGGCAAAGGCACAGCTGATAGAAGATAACTCCTACACTAGATTTTTCACCCTGAATGTGATCTGTCAGCTGTGACAGGCAGAAGTGACAGGCGTTCACTTTCCTAGGCAGGAGGCACTCAATCATCATCCATGTTCCTATGCTCAAGGACATGGAAAACACCCAGCATTACAGGTCTATTTCCACCTCATTCCATTATCTCACTTTGAGGGCAGATGACACAGCTTAGGTATGAAAATCTGGCAAATCAATAGTCCCCCAAATGTGTTCTTATGATGAAAGGGGGAAGGAGCACTGGGTCCCCAATTAGGAGACCTGGGTGTGTGTTCAGCTCGGCCACACACTTGCTATGTGATCTTGAGCAAGTCACTTTACCTCTCTAAGCCTCAACCTTTTAACATGTGGAATGAAGGGAGGCTCTCAGTGGTTTTCTGACACTTTTAGGAGCACAGATCCCTTTCTTTACTGAGAAGCCCAATACTTTGAAACAGAGGAAATCAGTGGTTCTCAAGCTGCAGGTACCTAGGGAAGGCAGCCCCACTGTGCCTCCCGGATGACCCCTCCCCATCCCCTGGGTGCTGGGAGATGACTGGACTTAATCAGATGGCACAGGGCAGACAGGCACATGGTGAGCAGAGGTTCTGGGATGAAGAGGAAGGCACAGAATGGCCGGAACACAGAGGCTCACAAAGTGCTAATACTGGGAACAGCTGCCCAAGGAAGAGACTAATGTCGTATCGTTGAGAACCTCAAATATCAGACCAAAGAGTTTGGAGCTGCACTTGCAGGCTGAGGGCTATCAGCGTAGGGAGATGACATGATCAGAGCTGACTCAAGAGAGAAAACAGCAAAAAGCCGATGAATGGGAGCAGAGCAGGACCAAGAAGGTGGGACTGCAGCCACAAGCCAGGATGAGGAAGGAAGGCAGGGCCCACTACAGTGATCACCCTCACAAGTGCTGGTCTTCTGAGGTCTGAGTACCCCTGACATTCAGCTCCAATATAACCTATATATATCCTATATATCCCACTCAGCTTCAATATAAACCTATGCCTTAAAAACTAAAAACACACAGAAAATAACTTTATCATACTGAATTCAACCACGAAGGTACAAAAAAGAAAGCAGTTACAGCAAAGAGGCTACTTTTTAAAACAGTGTGTCCTTGGATGGTAGCTTCTAAGAACACCCCAGCCCCATCCTGAAAAACCAGTGGGACCCCTTATGGAGCTCAGCTGGCCAACTGCATAGTGACCACTGGCTTGGACTCTACAGGACAGCAAGAAACTTCCAAGTCTCCCACAACGCACTGCCACTACAACCTTTCTCTTTTTTCATTTTTTCTTTTTTTTGAGACAGGGTTTCACCACGTTGCCCAGGCTGGAGTGCAGTGATGCGAACTCAGCTCACTGCAGCCTCGACCTCTTGGCCTCAAGTGATTTTCCCACCTCAGCCTCCAAGTAATTGGGACCGCAGGCATGCATCACCACCCCCAGCTAATGGATAAACAAAATATGGCACATTCATATATGGGAATATTATTTGGCCATAAAAGGAAATGAAGCACTGATAGTTGCTACAGCATGGATGAATCTTGAAAATATTATGCTAACGGAAAGAAGCCAGACACAAAGGTATGCACGGTGCCATTTATATGAAATGTCCACAATAAACAAATTCATAAGCCAGGGGCAGTGGCTCATGTAATCCCAGCACTTTGGGAGGCCAAGGTAGGATTGCTTGAGCCCAGAAGTTGAGACCAGCCCGTGCAAGATAGAGGGAACCCTGTCTCTACAAAATAAATAAATAAATAAAATATTAGCCGGGCATGGTGGTGCACACCTGTAGTCCCAGCTACTCTGGAAGCTGAGGTAGGAGGATTGCTTCGTTCAAGGCTGCAGTCAGCCATGAACCACGCAACTGCATGCCAGCCTGGGTAACAGAACAAGACCTTATCTTAAAAAAAAAAAAAAAACCCACCAAAAAACAAATTCATAGAGATAGAAAGTTGATTAGGAGTTGCCTACGGCTGAGGGTTGACAGAGGAGAAGGGGTTGGGGGAAATGAGAAGGAACTGCTAATGTAATGAGTTTCTTTTTGGATCGATGAAAACATTTAAAAATTGATTGTGGTGATGGAAGCACAACTCTGTGAATATACCAAAAATCATTGAATTGTACATTTTAAATGGGTGAATTGTACAGTGTGTGAATTGTATATCAATAAAGTTCTTCTTTAAAAAACAAGTCAACCATAGTGGCACATGCCTGTAGTCCCAACTACTCAAGAGGCTGAGGCAGGAGGATCACTTGAGCCCAGGACTTGAGACCAGCCTGGGCAACACAGCAAGACCTCATCTCATAAAAACCAACCAAACGAACAAAAACCAACCCACCTCTACTCTCACTAGCCCATGCACAAACAGAGAATGGAAATCCAGAGCACAGGACGTGGCCAGCCTAGTGTCTTGGAGAGGGGACTAGGCCCTAGGCACAAGAAGCCCCAGCTCTGCAGCCTGGAAGAATTGTGACCTCAGACACATACTCTCCTTCAGCCAGTTTCAGTCTCTGTAAAATGTCAGCCATATGACCTACTTCACAGAGTTGAGCAATTAAATTAAACCGTTTAAGTGTGAAACTGTTTGGCATAGTGTCAGACACAGAATAAGCATGTAATACAAGCTAAAACCACAATGATCTATGGGAAAGTATGATGTAAACAACAAAGGCCTTTGTAAGTGTAAGATAGTTTTATAACTTCATTTATAAAATTATAACATACATTATCAGAAACAACCCATTTTCAATTTCATATGCTGCTTTCTAAAGACTCACTTGAGCTCATTGCCCCACTGTTTCAAAGAGTAAAAATTAATGGAATTTGGATGCCCTGGGGCGGGCTGATTTGCAGCTTGTTCTCCCACCAGCTCTCCAGGCACAGTCTCCACAGCTAGGACATTTCTGGCTTTTTCTGCAGAAGCATTTGGGTGTGGGTAAATTAAATCTGAAAAAAAAGGTAAACAAATGTCAGTTACTCAAAGCTTCCACACGAAACTTGACATCCCACATAAAACACTGACTTGACATACTATATAAAAATCTAAACTATGTAATAGTATATTTTTAATGTATACTACATAAAAACATAATCTGTGGGTAACTCTGATGTTCTGAAACCATCTTCATCTAAACAGATCCATGTTTCTCAAAGGAAGGTTGTGACATGCCTCAAACCACCAAGTATTAACAGTGTTGGCCCAGAGAAAGCAAAGGCTAGAATTTTCCTCCAGTACTGCAGACCAATAACCCTCACCATAAACCCGTCATCAAAGTCCAATCACCTGTACTGATAAGAAACAATTTCCAGGATAAACTGTTATATAAGAAAAGCAAGGTGCAGATCAGATTATACAAGGGTCCCTTTTCTCTAAGAAAGTGGGAGAAATACAAATATAAATGTATTTGCTTGTAAAGAGTGACAGTGAAAAAATAAAGTTTGCACATCACAGAATAGCAGTTCAGTAAATTCACAAGCAAACATACTGATGCTAAAGCATGATGAAACTTCACAACACATCTTTAAAATGTAAACTTTTGAAATAGTTAAGGTGGAAATGATATGATGGTCAGGATTTACTTCAAAATAGCAACATTTTGTTACTTAACAAATACATAGTAATATTTGCTTCAGGTAACATGTTATTTGCTTGAAAATAACAAAGCAGGGTATCAATGAAACGAGGGGTAATTACTGTTCCAACTACCTAATAAACCTAGAGGTAATATTATGTTATTCTTCGTATATGTTTAAAATTTCCCATAATAAAAAGTTACTTAAAATTTTTTTGTTTTTGATAAAAACATTTTTCTTTTTTTTTCCCCCATAGACGGAGTTTTGCTCTTGTTGCCCAGGACAGAATGCAATGGCGCGGTCTCGGCTCACTGCAACCTCCTCCTCCTGGGTTCAAGCGATTCTTCTGCCTCAGCCTCCCAAGTAGCTGGGATTACAGGCACCCAGCACCACACCTGGCTAATTTTTGTATTTTTAGTACAGACGAGGTTTCACCATGTTGGCCAGGCTGGTCGCGAACTCCTGACCTCAGGTGATCCACCCGTCTCGGCCTCCCAAAGTGCTGGGATTACAGGCATGAGCCACTGTGCCCGGCTGATAAAAACATTTCTAACTACAAATACTTTGTATTCTTCCAAATAACATAATCTGCACTGGTATTTCAGTGGTAGAATTATCCCATGCCGAATGGCATAATCTCTCTGAGAATAGGACATGCTTATAAACAGAATTCAATATTACTTTACAATAATCAATTTGATCTACACTTCTTTTTAAAATATCTCTATATCAACAAAATCAACCATCTCTTTCTGTGAAATCAGAATTGACTGCTGACCACTGATATTCAAGAAAAATTATTTTCTCTTTTTTTTTTTGAGATAGGGTCTCAGTGAACACGACTCACTGCAGCCTCAACCTCCCAGGCTCATGCAATCCTCTTGCTTCAGCCTACCAAGTAGCTGGGACTACAGGCACGCACGATGCCCAGCTAATTTTTGTATTTTTTTTTTCTTTTGTAGAGACAGGGTTTGCCATATTGCCCAAACTAGTCTTGAATGCCTGGGTTCAAGCAATTCTTCCACCTTGGCGTCCCAAAGTGCTGGGAATACAGGCATAAGCCACTGTACCCAGCCAAGAAAAATTCGTTTCTAATCAGAGAAGCACACAATCAGAGTCAGCAAGAACAGGTCTCTGGTAAAGGTCACTGAGCACTGGTAAAGGAAACAGAGAGCAGGCATTCCTGTGCTGCGCAGGCTTGGAGAGCAACGTCCTGAATGCCACATGATGGGCCTGCACTGTGTAGGCAGGTTCTGACTTGACCACAATCAGTGTAGGAAGGGCTTCAAGAACACACTGGGGAAGTATCTTGGGCATGGCATGAGTAAACAAGTGCTGTGTATCTATCAGGGTAATTTGGCTCTGGCCAGGAGAGTCAATGCATGGCTTACAGTAGGGTTCTGACTAAGAAAAGCAAGACGGTGTGCTGGGAACAGAAGAATTACAGACTTGGTAACAGAGTATACACTTTTTTTTTTTTTTTTTTGAGACTGGGTCTCACTCTGTCACTAAGGCCTGGAGTGCAGTGGTGTGATCACGGCTCACTGCAGCCTCTTGAGTCAAGAGGCAAGAAGTTACAAATAACCACAGATTGCCAGTTCTTGGTTTTACTATCATGTATTAAGCACTAGGCACCGAGGGCACAACAACCAATGAGACAGAGCTTTCCCCGTAAAGGAGAACACATCCAGGAGAGAGACATAAGTAAAACAGTAACATGTCAAGCTCCAAGTCACTACAGAATAAATACATTGAGTCGTTGGGATCCAGACCCTTCCTGTGAGTCTTAGGGTTCCAGGAGATGCCTGGGGGACTTCTAGAGGGAAAAGAGGATGGGGGCCCCATGCTCAGCTTCATCCTCAGCAGTTCCTCCTTCACTCTTTTATATACTAGGGTTGCCTTTAAGATTTCATTTGGAAAAGAGGTTCCAGTAAACAAAAGAAAAAAAAGTTCAAACACCACTAATCCAGTCCAGTCTCCCTACCTACTTTCTCCATCAGGACACTAGAGTCCAGAGCCAGGGCCAGAACCCAGACACCTGCCCCTGCAGTATACAAATATTGCAAGGCAGGTAGAGATGAGTGTACCTACTAGAGAGCACAGTGTCTGGAGTGGGGGGCAGGGGGTGCTCAATGTTGGTGACACCATGTGTCAGTCTACAGGCACATGGGGTAAAGGTGCAGCTCAAACTCCTTTACTTCAAAGGCTGGTCTTACAATCATCATCACAATTCTAAGCCAAGTCAGGAAATAAACACAACAAACTGTACAGATTTCTGTTACAGGCTGAGTCCAGCCTCTTCTTCCTGTGTGGGCTAGTAGCAAGGTGATGAACGGCCCCTCTGCGAGACTGGACTGTCAAATGCTCATGTGGCAAAGTGCCTATTACCAAGAAAACCCCAGGCCTTGCAGCAACCCACAGCCCATACTGGAAATACTTCCTGAGGAACTCAGAGGCCCCAAGGAGGGGTGGAGAAAAGGGACCAGAGACCAGGGAGGAACACGTTGGAGGAAAATTTCTAAAAGTAATTATCTGACTTGAAAAAGAAGCTCTTTTCCAGCTTAATACATTTTTGCTGTTACTGTTATTTTTGTCTGGTTTTTGGTTTTTAAGAGACCACGTGAGATTTACTTAATGAAAAGCAGAGCTGCTGGCTTCTCCTCAATACATGTCCTAACATTAGCATGCAGGAAACCGCCTCAAGGAGGACACTAAGGGAAAACACAAACTAGGACATGGCAACATTTCCTCGAAGATTTTAAGAGGCTGGACTAGTGTTCATGAACATGTCTTTTGTCTTACAGCTTCAGTGGGGAAAGAAAGTCTGTGCCTGACGGTTTTTGGTGTTTAGACCTCTGTCTTTTTTAAACATTTTCAAATGCCTAAATGAAAACTCTGAGGGAGTTTCCGACTGCATTGTTCCCATTTCCTAGGTTCTGATTCCAGCACTGCCTCTAAATCCAGTGTGAACCCGGGCAGTCTCAGCCTCCCTGGTCTCCAAGAGCCCTTCCCACTTACTGCATTCTAACACATGATGCTCAAAGTCTCCTCCTAATGGGACTCCCCGCACAGGGGCGGCTCCTGCCTACAACCGGACTGCCTCAGTGAGTCTTCCCTCTCCTCTCCTGCTGTCTCAGTCAGGCCTAGGTGCTCCGCCAGCAACCTCTGCAGAGCACAGAACTGTGTACAGTGGGAGAATTCTCATAAAACTCAACCCAGGCTTGCAGCTGCATCCAAGAAAGGAGAAAAGAACACTGGGAAAGGGTTGTACCCATATGCATCAAAGCACACAGCAAACGAAAGTCTGGGTGTCAACACTGGGAGTTGGAGGAAGACAGGGTGGGTTTAATCTGAAAAAAATTTTTTTATTTATCAATGTGAGTTTTAATACAGATTGTGAAGGACCCAGTCAGGAGGAATAGAAATATCTTCCAAGTGAGGACATAGCATACATCTAAGTACCAGAAAAAAGGGGCAGCCAACCACCAGGTCCTGAGAGGCCCCAGGATGGGCCAGTCCATATGTCTGGTTAATTGCTCATTTGCCTGTCCCCTACCCCCATCAAGGACACAACTCTGTGAGAACTGAACCTCTATCTGATTTGCTAACAGCTGCATATCCAACACCTAGCATAGAGGAGTGACTTAATAAATATTGGTTAAATGACCAAATTAATCCATAAAAGACAAGAACTTGCTAACATGGCATGGGACAAAAGGCCAATTGGGCAGAAGGCAGCAAAGGCCCCTGCAGTTCTTGAGTGGGTTTATACTCATCATACTTCCTGACTTTCCTCTCTCCTGCCACCTTGCCTCTGACAGATGCCCTGAATTGGGGTGGGGGTTTCCCTGGGGTGGGGGTTTCCCTCTTTTCCTTTCCCATTCCTCCCTGTTCTCCTGCAATCTGGCTCAGCCACCACCCCACCCCCATTCACAGCCACATCAATCCCTGTATTCACCTGCACCAAGTCCCACCAAATCTAGGCTGAGGATGTCTCTGCTGACACCAAATTGCAAGCCTGTTCCACATAGACTCCTTTCCAACCCTCTCTAGCAGGCTCCTCCGAGACAGAACTGCAATCTAACCCCACTCAGCATCTCCCTCACATCCTCCCTCCCACAGTCACATTCTTTCACAACCTGACTTTCACAGACTGGTTCAGAGAGCATCTTGCTTTACAGATGGGGAAATTATGATGTGCTCAAGGTCCCATAAGCTCTCCCCATGCTGCCTCTCAGATACAACACTGGTAACTACCATGACTGATACTTCACAAGAACGCATGGTATTTTGCAGCATTTTACAAGGATTACACAAAAGCACAGCTTCCTTGATCTCTGTATGGAATCACGACATTAAAGGATGATGTGTAATTCCTGTGGCACTGCCAACGCGGGGCCTGCATTCCACCTGATGGCTTTCCTTCTGGCAGCTCTCTACACCCTGCATCCTGCACCGAGAGCACTGCTCAGGCTGCCTGAGGACTGAAAGTTACAGCTACTCCTCCCACGCCATCCCCTTGCACACAAGCTGTTAAAAGTGTAACAGTTCAACTAACCAATGCAGCTGCTTCAGGGGAGGAAATGTGTGGTCATCCTTCAAACTGTCTTCACAATACAATTTTCTGCAAGAAATACCATCCATATTCAAACAGGCACTTGGGCATTTGAGCCTGCTATGACCATGAGTGCTTTAGTACTCATGAACTTTCAAGAAGTTTTTTAAAAAAGCAGGGTGTTGTTATCCCTGGCTTGTTTTCTTATTAGTTTATGTGGGGAATGAAGTAAACGGAATGTGCTAGACATACATCCTGTAATGAGGCTATTAGCCATTTATGGGCACCTCCTTTGGGTTCTAGCTACCTCATTCTCAACAGCTATAAAGGTTTATAGACACCTGATTGTATCTTTATGCAAATTACTCTTTTATGTTGAAACTAGGTCTTTATCTATCCAGACACAGAAGACAATGTAGAATGGTATTTGAGGCATGGCATGCCTTCAGAGGGCAGGCTACAAAATAGAGGGCAGACAGAACAGATACTGACTAATAATAAAGCTGCAAGTTCCAATCACACAGGAAAGTCTCTTACTCAACACAGATTCTAGAAAAAAAATTAATGTAAGCAACTATGTGACAGTGCTGGCTCCTTAATGAATATTCAATCCAGCTTTTCCTTACTTATAGACCTTGGTTTTGATCGTGGCCATATGCTCAGCTAAAATACTTGGCTTCCCAGACTCCTTCCAGCTAGGAATGGCCATATGACAGTTCCAGCCAATGATGCATAAGCCACAGGTTTCTGGGAAAGCATTCTCCTTTTGATGTAAGTGCCACCCCCAGGGGCAGCTAGCATGAGCAGGAAAGCTAATACACTCTAGCAATGGAAAATACAGAGTCAGAGACAGCTTGGGCCCTTCAGTGGCACTAGTGAGTAGCTATGCCAGCCACAAACTGCTTATCATGTGAGACAAATTACTCCCTATGTGTAAGTCCTTATTAGTAAGGTTTCCTGTTAATTACAACTAAACATAATGCTAACCCTTTCAAAATGATATCATCTCATATATATGTATACAATATATATGTGTATATACACATACATATGGCTCTTTACACTTAACAATGCAGTTTCCCATTTGATCTTTATAACAACTATGAAGAGGGGTGAACAAACTTCAATTCCCAGAGCCACAGTTTCCTAACCCTGTACTACAGGATACGTGACTTACTTAGAGTCTGACAACTAGTAAATATCCCCAAGACTCACAGGCCCACAGGGCTTCTTCCACCAGGTAGAGCTGCCTTCTAAGATATACAACTAGCTATCAGTGCAAAACGTTAATCCCCTATATCTTTCTCCATATTGACTTTAGGTGCTAGGAGGGTCCTGATGGGTGATGCCCACTAGACTACAAATCAAAATGTTCCAAACAACTGGGTGACTACGAGACAATACTAGGAAAAGTTTTATTTTTAATGCAAATCAGTTATAAAAACATTCTTCTTTAATTCTTACTAGAGTAGGCTAAGCTGAGCAGATAACAACAAGCATGGCTTTAGAAACTTCACAGAGCACTGCCATATAACACATCACAATTTATCTTTGAACCAGATTTTATCTCTGACGATAAAACAAAAGGGGCTAAAATACAGCCTTTTCTTCTTGACTTCCTGCTTTAGATTTTTTGACTTCCTGAACCATTATAGCCTCACATACTGCTCTGGGGCCCAAAGTTTCATTCCTTGTTCTTCGAAGCTATCTAAAAATTAATAGAAGTCTAATGTTACAGTCATTTCTATCTATAAAATCTTCAAAGGCACTCCACTGCTCTTAGGTTAAAGTCCAAAATCCCAAGACCAGCAGTCTAGGCTCTCCCCCAGCTCTGGCTCTGGGTCCCAGGTGTGCCCCCAGGTTCAGCTCACTCCCCACAACTGCTTCCAGCCAGTAGCCATCCTGACTGCAGCTCTGGGAAGGCACTGCAGTTCAGCCCTGTCATCTGACTCCCCTCCTCTCTACCTAGCTAGTTCCTGGCCATCCTCCAGGCCTTGGCTTAGATGCACTTCCTCAGAGAGGCCCTAACTGCCAGAAACTATGCACAGCCCACTTACAGCCCATGGTACCAGCATGCACCCTTCCCTCACATTTCTCTCATTTTTTCTCTGCACAACCACCCTGCTTGACTAGAAATTCTGTGAGGAGAGGGACAAAGCTCATCTTGAGTGCCGACTTTGCTGAATGAATGAGTAAATGTCAGGTGGCATTTACTCAAATGCTAAATTCCATACCTGGAGTCCCCATATCAAAGGAGGAGAAACAAATATGGGCTTCAGATGTTTTCTCTGGCTCTCCAATCACAGCATTTTGGCTTAGAAGGAGGAAGGACAGCTGTTATAAAGAGACTATAGGGCTAGGCACTACTTCTTTGTCCTCCTTTCGGTTTAATATCCCTGAGTCTTTGCTAGAAAGAAGCACTTGGTGCCCTCAGAACAAAGGAACTGAGGCAAATCAAGCACCTCCTGTGCCAAAGGCACTGGCTATGCTCATGAACCCTGCCTGTTCCCACAGGGTTTCCAAATGTTCCAAGTGACTGAGACACTCAGTTAGGAGCTCCTTTTGAGTGAAAAGCACTATAAGAGTGGCTTTCAAAACAACTCAGTTAACAGTGACTCGACTCTGAACGAAACATAAGGGCGCATAAAGTTGAAAATAAAGGCATGATCTCAGAACCTGGAATAGTCAGAGCGCTAAGACAGTCGTGAAAGTGACTCAAAAACTCTCACAGAAAACATATTAATAGGTACAAAGCATATATAGTAATTTATCACTGATAAGAGGGTTAACCTGCTGAAAAATACTGGGACAAGTAAAAACAAGACTGACAAATTTGGAGACGAAAAATTCATCTAAGAATGCCTTTGTTTCTGGAGTAAATCAGCCACACGTGCCAACACCATCCTTGGTGGGACAGGCAACTCGGATGCAGCCCTGTGTTCTGCTGAGCAGAGGGTCCCACGGGTTTTAGGAAGTGAAGAAATCTCTTTATGAAACTGTTAGAACTAGTCCTTACTGTTGTCTACTCCTTTTAATGTACGCTCCGTGTGTCTTCCAAAAATACTAATACAATGGCCTGGGCTTTTTAGACCTTACTTCAGAGCTCAGGAGGCTGTTTTGTTTGTTTGTTTGTTTTTCTGGATGTGTTATTTTCCCTGTATGAAGAGTGGGGGCCAAAAAACAGTCCCATCTCCACAGTCTTTGCAATGGGGTAGGATGGGCAGCAAATAATTGTTGTTCTGTTCTTTCTAGAGGTTATCTCCATGCTGCAAATGGCCAGGGATTACCCTGAGTTACAGAAATGCCATGAATCCAGGATAGAATGAAATCAATGTTTGAAGGTTAAAGTCTTCCTAAGAAACACTAGAGAATTACAAGTGGAATGATCTGAGAATACCTTCCTAGTGTATACAAACACCTGTCAATCTTGGCAAGTCTGCCCAAGCATGACTATCTAGGCATGAGTGCTTCATCATTAGGTGTAGTAGAAAGGCTGGCCCTGCAGTCAGAACTAGACTTACAGCACCACAACTTACCACATGCTGACCTTAGTCGTATCTTCCATATGCTTGGCACTGGCCTTGCCTGATTCCAAGGCTGTCACTGGGCTTGCATAAGCTTTGTACATGGAGGCGCTGGGTAACTGTGGAATGCTGTCCACTCATAAGGTAGCATCATTATTATTTTCTTTCTAAATTCATTTTCATTCACTGCTAAGTTCATATGTGGTATCGAATGGCTTACACAAAGAACTGACCCAGCTCCCCTTTATTTCTGCCTTACCAGTGTTATCTCTGGCTACAAGACCCTTAGGAAAATCCCCGGGAGTTGGAGAGGTCCTGCTGTCCCACTTGACCATGTCAAGACTGTTACAATATTCCCATCTCTTCTGCTGAAGCTCCTGTAACCAGTAAGTCATGAGTTGACGATTGGGAGCCTAGAAAGAGGGAGGGGAAAAACATGTTATGGCCACCAGTAATATGAAGAGCTTAAAAAATATTATGTCTCATGAGTAGACTGTTCAGCTTGCCATGTGAGAGTTAAGATGAACAGATCAAGGAAACTTCAGTTACAAGATTAGTAGCTTTTGCTCATGATGAGTTGGTCAAGCAAATAGCAATTGTAACATGAAGAACTGAACCCAATTAACAAGAAGTCTTTTTAAATTCTGAAATTAAAGAATAATGCAGTATAACATTTTCCTCAAAACCGTTTAGGAAGATGTGATAATACTGCTGCTCTTTTACTCTGAGCAACTACAAATTCCATCTTCAAAAATAAAATCTGACATAGGTATGAAAGACGGCCTTGCCAAATCACATCAAATAATGATATTTAAACTCCATCAGCATCTGAGAGTATACAAAGAAAACTGCAGATTAAAAACGAGCTGGCACTCCTATTAAAATGGCTAATATTTCAAAAAGTTGACAATGCCAAGTGCTGACAAGGGTGCAGGGCAGCTAGTACTTTCATAAGCTGCAGGTGGAATGCAACATGGTGCAGCTACTTTAGAAAACAGTTTAGCAATTCCTTATAAAGTTAAACATACACTTACCAAGTAACCTGGCAAGCCCATCCCTACATATCCACCCAAGAGGAATGAAAACATATTCACACAAAGACCTGTATGTGAATGTTTATAGAGGTTTTATTCATAATTGCCAAAAAAAATGAGAACTTTGTCTGGAGAAAGGATTAAAAAAAACTGGTACATCTATACAATAATATACTATTTAGCAATAAAAAGGAGCACACTATTGATTCCTACTACATGGATAAATATTAAATGCATATTGCCAAGTGAAAGAAGCCTGACCCAAATGGTTATATACTGTATGATGCCACTTATGTAACACCCTGAGAAGGCAAAATTGTCAGGACAGAAAACAAATATGTGGTTGCCAGGGCTTGGCAGGGAGGGGAGCAGCTGACTACAAAGCGGCAGCACAAGAATTTGTGGGTGACAGAACTGCTATGTATCATGGTTCTGGGTAAAGTCATGATTCTACACATTTGTCCAAAATCACAGAATTATATACACAAAGAGTGAATATCATTAAAAAAAAAATCAACCAAGATGGGGGAGAGGACCCAGAACAATGAACCTAAATATAAATAAACTAGACTGCAGGTATGGGTCAAGGTCTCCAGGCTGCCCCCAGCAAAGGAGTCCCAAGAAGAAGGAAAGCTGCCATGACACGATTATGGGAACTTCATCAACACTGGCATCCAGTGACATGTGCAGACATCAGACACAGTGGTTGCCAAGATCAGAGGCAGTGAAGAAAATGGCTCTGCAGGCCTGACAGCAAGAGATAGCCCTAGACCAAACTACTACTACCTCCAAGCAAAGGATAACCTGTGGGTGCTGTGACCACAACCTGGGTCTTTTTAGTGATACTTGCACACCTGGCCCCAGTTAAAGAAAAGGATCTTTGGGTATTTTCATTACAGGATCTTTGGGTATTTTACAGAAAGTTCTTCCAACTATACCAGCCAAGTTGCCATTTCATCCATTCATTTAACCAACATTTGCTGAGCACCTATCAGGTACCCAGACCTGGGGCCTGGCCTAGTGAGAAAGACAGGAAAAAACAACCAGTAGTTTCCATGTTGCATTAAGTGCTATGACAGAAAGCAGAGCAGGCGACGCGGGGCTGGCGTGACTGGAGAGCACTGGGGAAGGACACATAGCCAAAGAGGGGAGGTGCAGCAAAGGACAAGGTACTCAAAGTTCAGGACACCTGCCATAGGCAGGTTCAAAAGCTTCAAAGTATAGGTTTAATGTCTATCTTCTCCAAGAAACAAACTCCAAGTTGTCTCCATTTCTCTAGCATCTAGCTCAGTGTCAGGCACATAGTAGGTCAGTATTTACTGAATACATATATGAAGGAATAAGTGAATGAATGAATAATCAGAAAATGATACAGGAGAACTTGGTCTTAAAGGGGAAGCAGGCAGTGGCCAGAGGAAAAGAGATTCCAGGGAGAGAGAGAAGTGTCTACAAAAGAACAAAGGTCAGAGAGCAGGAGTGAGGTGAGGTCAGTGAGTGGCAAGGACCTGGCCCTGAAGGGACTTGTGTGCCTTCCTAAAGAGATGGAATGGGGAACTTAGCAGGGCACTGACATTATTAGACAAAGGTACTGCTGGTGAAAATGGTGGTGAGGGAAAGGCAGGTGCACAGTTTGCATAGGAGGAGATTAGTTCAGGCCAGAGGCCGTGAGCCCACTTGGGAGATCCATGAATTGCAGCCTGGAGTTTGGGAGGCAGGCTGGTTGCAGTGCAGACACAGGAGCTCAGCCTGGCCCTGGGGCGGGGCAAAGAGCACACAAGCATTTCCACAGGAAGGGAGAGAAGAGTCACTAGGCAAGTCAGGAACTGAGAGACACAACCAGAGCCAAATTCAGAGCCCAAAGCCCACCCAGTCCTCCTCTTTTTTTTTTTTTTTTTTTTTTTTTTTTTTTGCAGATGAGGGGACAGAGGCCCAGAAAGGGAAGTGACTTGTCTAGGTCATACAGGGAGTCAATACTGTGAGCCCAGTCTGCCAAACCCCCAACCCTTAGAGGCAAGTGTGTGTTTGGGTGGGGGAATGTGCGTGTGTGGTCCTCCCACCAGCTCCCTGACTACCTGGCCCCTCCATCCCCATGCCACAGGTGAGCTAAGCACCCTGGGAGCCTTCTGCTCCAGCCAGGGAGGTGCCCAGACACTTCCTCTTGTTCAGCCTGCATATGCAGCTGTGTTTCTATTTATGCTCGGGAGCCACAGGCTGCTAGAGAAGCTGGCACATACTCACTAGGGCATATCTGAACCAACCTCTCCAGCTGCCTCTGACAATGCAGGCACCATGAAAAATCTGCTTTTTACAAGAAATCCTTTTCACTTTAAATCTTTGAGTATTAAATGTAACTGGGAAACAATCAGTAACCTCTGAGTCATCTCTCACTAAATTCCTGAGGCAAAACTTTTAGATCACATGCTTTCAATGACTGATATTTTATCATATTGTAGAAATTTGGTCAATAAGATGGGCAAAATCTGGTTAACAAGTCAGTTAATCAAGACACTGATTAACTGGGTTTGTTTCCTTTCAAAAAAAAAACCTAAACAGGCTGCTATGGCGGCTCACACCTGTAATCTCAGCACTTTGGGAGGCCGAGGCAGGCGGATCACCTGAGGTCAGGAGTTCGAGACCAGCCTAGCCAACATGGTGAAACCCCGTCTCTACTAAAAGTATTTTTAAAAATTAGCCAGGCGTGGTGGTGGGTGCCCGTAATCCCAGCTACTTGGGAGGCTGAGGCAGGAGAACTGCTTGAACCCAGGAAACGGAGGTTGCAGTGAGCCGACACGGTGCCACTGCACTCCAGCCTGGGCGACAGTGAGACTCTGTCTCAAAGAAAAAAAAAAATCTAGAGATCACTAGAAGACTTTTGACTTCAATCCCCAATTAGCTAGTAAAAGGCTGGGGGCCAGACTGTCTGAAATGGCTCTGGGGCATGTGCTTTGACAGAAAAGCCCCAAAGGGCCTTTTCTGAAGACAGCTGAAACCCAAAGACAGAAACACACACAGGTTCTAAGACTGAGCACCACTAAAAGTACAACACAGCAAAATCAGCAGAAATCCAAAAAGCCTCTGCGTTTTTTATCTGGTATCTTTTAGCAAAGGACTAAATGGAGATTCGGCTCAGGCCTAATTAAATGTATAATCACAAACCAGCCTCTTTATCGCCCCAGTCCCAGGAAATTGGTTCAGATCTGCCCTGTACCAACACAGTAGCCCTAGCCAGACGTGACTACTGAGCACATGAGAGATGGCCAGTGCCACATAAAATCTTTTGGATACACTGAATAAATACGATAGTATTAAAATTAATTTTACTGGTTTAATGTGGCTCATTGAAAATTTAAAAGTATATTATGTGGCTCACATCTTATCTTTACTGAACAGTGCTGGTCTACACTACAATGGCAAATATATTCCATTTTGAGAGCCAAGGTTGGTGGGAGATCTGGCTTGGCAGGAAACAGTACCTCAGGATTATAACATAAGCCAAGGGCATGGGGTCCACGGGGGTGTGGGGCAGCCAACACCATTGCCCTTCTACAGCACTTTACAACTCAAGATAACTTCTCTCTTTAAACAGGCGCCTCCATATCTCCAACCACCCCATGGTCCATTAATGTCCAAGGAGAGGCCAACATTCTTTAGGAACCCAGGCATCTGCTGGTCTGGCCCCAGCTATAGTGCCTTTATTCAGTGCTCCAAAAGTGGGGCGAGTAGGACCTTTGAGTGATCTGGCTGCACAGACAACGCCTTGCTAGGTCTATCACCAGGAGTTCCCTCCGCTGAGCCTCAGCTCAGCTGGTGACAATGAGCCAGTCAGCGCAGAAGCTAACGGCCAGGACCACACAGCATTCACCAAAGACACGCCCGCCGGAGGAGTGAGGACCGGGAAGGATCACCATCTGCCCCCCACCCCTCAGAATGACCAAAATGCTGTGGTCCCAAGTTCTGGAGAGCCAGACAGGCATTCCACTCATGCTAGAAGAAACAGTGACAAGGCAGAGCTCCACAGATCAGCAGAGAATTGGGAGCCGATGCCAGGCAAGCACCCAGCAAGAAGCCAGGTGCTGGTGTGTGCTGTCTGATGCCTTACCTAGGCCAGCTCCTGAGTCTCCCCTAACACCCGTCTCTCCAGCTCCTTCCTCCTCACCCTTCAAGGTCCAATGCAAAGGCCACCTCTTCAGAGCAGGTTTCCCTGACCTGGGTGTGCATTTTGTCTCCCCTAACACCAGTCTCCTCAGCTCCTTCCTACTCACCCTTCAAGATCCAATGCAAAGGCCACCTCTTCAGAGCAGGTTTCCCTGATCTGGGTGTACATTTTGTCTCCATTCTCTGAATAGGGAGCTCAGAGAATCTTGTAGCCCAGGTAACCCTCCCATGGAGGTGAGGGCACTCCCTGTGTGTTCCTCACTAACCCAAGTTCCTTAAAGGCAGAGACCAGACCTGCTGGTCTCAATACGATCCAAGATGTCTTGCACAGTGTCCTGAATATAAACACTCAAATATCTGACTCATCCTCTCATGTTCAATTGTTGCTACTTCCTCAATACTGCTGAAATCCCAGGTCAAATATGGCACCAATCCCAATATGAGACCAAGCTGAACATCTTGGAAAGCCATTGTAGTTGTCTCCTACATGGCTGCATGAACGTCCTGGGTGAGGGAGAGGGGCAGACAAGGATTGGGTGGGCACAATTCTACAGGACAGCCATCTGCTGCCTTTGGGGGCCAAGACATGAGGCACCAGCTCGGAGAATAAAAGCAAGCCATCCACATTCTGCTTGAGGTGGGAATGCAGTCCTTGACAGCTGGCTGAGAAGTACCATGTGATGCCCCAGCTGCTCCCACAAGCTGCTGTCCCCAGGTCTCCAGTAGCTCAAAACCCAGAAGCCCACTCTTGTGTGAGACAGGCCCTGGCCACCTGTTCCTCCTCTTGGGCCCCAGAGACTCCCCTCAGCCTCCCACCAGCTCTCAACTTGATGCTTAGACAAGTCCCACAATAAAGTTGTTTGATTACAAGTTAACTGATTTCAATACACGTATATTATGGGCCCACTCTCAGCAGGAAGTACATGATTGTGAGGACAGGGGCTGGAGTAGCAACCCAGCAGCATCTACAGGGAGTCGGGCCTCATCATCTCCACTAAACAACAAGTTTATCTAAGCTTTTATTCCCTTTAGTAAACAATGTCCACCTATCAAAATTTACCACATTTTAGAAGCTATACTAATGTTCACATTCTTTGACCCACAATTCTATTCCTGGGAATGTAGCTAAAGTAGTCCAAAAGAGGAAAAAGGGACAACACCATGTACATAAAGTGTTCATTTGCTTAACAAATGTTTATTAAGAGCCTAACTTGGGCCAAGTCCAGTAGTTAGCACTAAGAATACAGAACTGGATGAGATCTGGTTAATTCCTACCTCTGAGATATTCACCGCAAGCAAACATTTTCCTTTATGCCAACAATAAACAGTGGGAAACAAGTTTATAATTACAATCAACATAAAATGCCTAGGTATCCAATTAAGAAATCCAGAGGCCAGGCGCAGTGGCTCATGCCAGTAATCTTAGCCCTTTGGGAGGCCCAGGTGGGTGAATCACTTGGGCTCAGGAGTTTGAGACCAGCCTGAGCAACATGGTGAAACCACATCACTACAAAAAAAAAAAAAAAAAATTAGCCAGGCATGGTGGCGTGTGCTTGTAGTACCAGCTACTCAGGAGGCTGAAGTTAGATGATCCCTTGAGCCCAGGAGACAGAGTTTGCAGTGAGCCGAGATCTGTACCCAGCCTGGGCGACAGAGCAAGACCTATCTCTTGGTTGGGCACTGTGGCTCACTCCTGTAATCCCAGCACTTTGGGAGGCCGAGACAGGCAGATCACCTGAAGTCAGAAGTTCGAGACCAGCCTGGCCAACATGGTGAAACCTCGTCTCTATTAAAAATACCAAAATTAGCCAGGTGTGGTGGCACACTCCTGTAATCCCAGCTACTCGGGAGGCCGAGACAGGAGAATCGTTTACACCCAGGAAGCGGAGGTTGCAGTGAGCCGAGATCGCGCCACTGCACTCCAGCCTGGGCAACAACAGTGAAACTCTGTCTCAAAATGAAATCAGAAGACCCTGTCTCTTTAAAATATAATAATAATAGGCCAGGCACAGTGGCTCATGCCTGTAATCCCAGCACTACGGGAGACAGAGGCAGGCAGATTGCTTGAGCCCCGGAGTTCAAGATCAGCCTGGGCAATATGGTAAAACCTCGTCTCTATTAGAAATATAAATTTACCAGGTGTGGTGGCACACTCCTGTAATCCCAGCTACTTGGGAGGCTGAGGCAGGAGAATCATTTAAACCTGGGAGGCAGAGATTACAGTGAGCCAAGATTGTGCCATTGCACTCCAACCTAGGCAACAAGAGCAAAACTCCATATCAAAAACAAAACAAAAGACCCTGTCTCTTAAAAATATAATAATAATAGGCCAGGCACAGTGGCTGACACCTATAATCCCAGCACTTTGGGAGGCAGAGGCAGGCAGATCGCTTGAACCGAGGAGTTCAAGACCAGCCTGGCCAACATGGTGAAATCCCCTCTCTACAAAAAGTACAAAAATTAGCCAGGTGTGGTGGTGCATGCCTGTAGTCCCAGCTACTCAGAAGGCTGACGTGGGAGAATTTCTTGAGCCCAGGAGGTTGAAGCTGCAGTGAGCCATAACTGTACCACTGTACTCCAGGCTGGGTGACAGAGCGAGACCCTGTCTCCAAAAATATATATATAATTTATATATATATTATATATAATAGCATTAGGACAACTGGTCAAATACCTGGAAAAAAAATAAGTGATGCCCTGGGTGAGAAACCTATCATCAGAGAAAATAATTTCAAATTCAATTCATGATTTAATAAACTAATGAATTTAATAAAAACCATTAAATGAATGAATTTAATAAATTTAATAAAAACCATTAAATTAGAAAAAAAAAGCCTGTATAATTAAAATTAAGTTCCTGTCTCTTTCTGCCTCTTACAACAACAGTTGTATAGATTTCCACCAAATTATAAAGGTATGGAAGGGATGACAGGACTTAAATCAAGCAATGTGGCACAGCAGAAATTCACACGGGAAGGTTTAGCTAAAACTGAAGTATAAACAGCAGCCACAAGACTCTATGCAGAAAATGAATGCCATGTGCACCATGATGCACTAGACGAGGAAAACAAAACACTCTGTCAAGACCGAGCCCAAAACTGAAAGCTAGAAGGACAGACACTTCAAACTGTAAGCCCCGGAGCTGCTTCTCCCACGGGCAACCCTGCAAGCCGTCTCCAGGCAGCAGGGAGTCACTGATTATAAGAGGGCTGATTAGTCTCCCCAGCAGCACAAGAAACTGCTGTCCTAACATTTCTATTCTCTTGGAAGGTAAAGGGCTTTCTAAACCCACAAAGAAAGCAAAGCAAAGAAAATATGTGTCTAAAACACTACAAATAAATTAATAGACAATGACGAACTGAAAAAAGACCAAACAACTTCAAAGTCACTAAGCATGGTGTAGAGTTTCACACCACTATAGCTTTGCAGGGCTCTTCACTCTTCCTGGACTGTGGGAAGTCCTGTTTGTCTGGTGAGATCCCATTAATCTTTAGTTTTAAAAAACAACAACATATTTTAGACTTATATTTCAAATAATAACAATCTACATCTGCTGAGGAGAATTTGGAAAACACAGGAAAGCAAAGAAGAAAATAAAATGAACATAGCTGCATCACCAGAAATAACCTCCATCAATACTTTGGTATTTCCAAACATCTTTCTACCCATAAATGTATAGAAAATTCTCTACCCATATATTTTCTACCAATTTTCTAGCCAATTGGTAGAAAACCAATTTTCTTTATAAAACTGTATTAAAATTATATAGACTCTTCCATAATATATATTTGCATATTATATTAGACACCATCAATTAAACAATTACTGTGTGCCAGACACTATGCTTTCGCTTTATACACACTGTCATTTAACCCTCGTAACTAACTCTCCCCAAACAGTATCATCTGCTTGCCCATGGACCCTGGAGCCTAACTACCAAGGTTCAAATCCCAGCTCTGCTACTGGCTGGCTATGTTAGGTATGTTACATAAATTGTCTGGGCCTCGGATTCCTTGCTGGTAAAATTGAAATAATAATAATAGGAACCTACTTCATGGTATTGAAAATTAATTAGTTAACATGTGTTAAGCTCAAAAGGGTGTTTGGCACAAAGTACTCATTAGGTATCAACTATCTATATTATCATGTTTACCGATAACCCACTTAACATGTGTTAAGCTCAGAAGAGTATTTGGCACAAAGTACTCGTGTATCAACTGTCTATATTATCATGTTTACCCATGATAACCCACTTAACATCTGTTAAGCTCAGAAGAGTATTTGGCACAAAGTACTCACTGTGTATCAACTACCTATATTATCATGTTTACCCAAAATCTCATAGCCACTTGGCACAGTCAAAACTCAAACCTGAGTCTGCATTACTTGCTATCAAGGGGAAGGATGAGAGAGCATGTCCAAGACAAAATCAATCCTCTCAGCATTTTAGCAGAAATCACAAGTTCCTCTATGGTTTTTCTCAAATATTGAAATGCTGATGGCCTCAATCAATAGCAAAGTTCAAATAAAAGCCTCTAGGTTGGCTTCAGGGACAAATAAAACTATATCAGATGCTGGTCCCCACATCAGTAGAGAAGGTCCTCTGGACATTAAATCTAGAGGGGTCAGCATAGTGTCACTGGGAGAGGGCATGACCATCAGTCTATGATGGCCAACATGGTTCCACTCTTAATCACAACTCTGCTCTAAGGGTGTTTCTCAAAAATAGACTGCTGTGAGCAATAACAACACCACACACAAGCAAATATGGAGAGGACAGAAACTTCTCCAGTCTGATATAATAGAATCGCCAGGTCTCCTATTCCTAAGGACTCCCTTGTCAGTCTCTCAGATTCATGCATCCTGACAGTCTCAGAGTCATCTACCCCTGGGCCTCTGGGTCTCCAGATTCATCTACCCCTGGGCCTCTGGGTCTCCAGATTCATCTACCCCTGGGCCTCTGCAACAGCTTCCTAACTGGACTTGCTGTCTCAGTCTCTCCTCTCCAAACTCTCTTCTGACACCAAGCCAATGAAGTCATATATGTCGCATGCTTAAAACTCTCTCATGGCTTCCAAGTGTCAAGAAATCTGGCCCACACTGCCCCACACTCCACAGAACTATAACCTTTCTCCCACACAAAAGGCCCACAAAAGCCTTCACAATCTCTGCTCCTACTGCACTAACACCTCCCTAACAAATTCCCACTCACTCAAGACCCAGTTCAAACATCTCATCTGTAAGGCCAGCCAACATCCCTTATACAACCAAACGATCATTCCTCCAACACGCTCTATGTGACGCACACCATCTCAATCACCCACTTAGGGTTATGAACTCTGGGTTCCTTCCCAAAGGGTCAGGTCCTACCATGTTTATTAGCCAAAAGAACAACATAACCAACAATCACGAAGGAGCCACAGGAAGGAAAATATATATACAGAATAGGTCAAGTCTGCATACCTTCTAGAAAGCAATTTAAATTACATGGATAATTTTGGGTATCCATTTCTGAAAAGAATGCGATGGCTGCTCATAATGAAGGAATTTTTGTTTCTTAAACTCAAGGAAGATATTTGGATCTCTAAGAAATGTCTAAAGTAATTTCTTCCATAAGCAATAAAAAGCACAAGAATATTGTAAGCAGCCTGGTAATACAAAACAAAATTCAAATGGAAAACAGACTCTAACCCCGAATCTGATAAATAACTCTAGGTTCCAAATTTTTTCCTGAGTGTTTCAAAATCATGAGCCTGGAAACAATCTCAAGGGATCTGGCCCAGCACCAATGGAAAAAAAAAATGTATTTTTTTCCCCAGGAAGGTTTTGAAATCTTCTGTTTCAGCCCAGCAACAGAGACTAAGAAGGCAAATACTGGATCTCCTGGCTCCTTGGAAAATGGAATACAAGGTCACAAACCTCCATTCCTCTACTGAACATAACAAATTCTCCTTTCGTATCTTTTAAAATTGCTATCTTAAAATTAGCATTCATATGTCTTACAAAATAATTGTATCTTATTAAAATAGTTCTAATCTAGCCCCTTTCAAAGGCTGAGCACACACCTAGAACCCATAATCAATTTCCCGGAAGAGTCTGTGTTGAGGTGGGCAGTCATTCCCTGGGAAGATGCCACATTCATCATCCATTCTGGTAGGTGGTGGTCTGAGGAGTTCTGCCATCTCTAACACTCAAGCACCCCTTTTAAAAAGCAAACACCTTGAGAGAAAAGCCATTTCTTAAACCCATATTCAGCAAATACATTTTTAAGCAAATACCATTTAACAGAGATTAGCAACTAAGGGTAATGGACTAGAAGAATAGGGCCTACAACTAGAACAAAGAAGAGCAAATGTGAGTTCACTGGAAAGTGGGCAATGAAAACAACTGGGCTTGTGAGGGATCTGGCCACATCAAAGCCTCTCACAGCCCAGGCCACCCAGCTGGGCTGAGCCACAGATTTCATCAAGACAAGGGCAAGGACAAGGCCACTCTCCGGACATGCTCGTCCCTACAGGAAATGTAGAAGCCTGTCAAAATACTTTCTGTTTCAGAGAGAAAGGGAGCACGAGGCCTCCAAGTGACCACAGGGCTACATTCCTATGGTTCCCTCTCAGCTCTGCCATTGCACAATGTGAGAGAGCCAAGGATGAGCTCAGGATAAATAACAACTCCTGCAGCCACAGCCTGTAGCCTATTGGATGGTCTTGCTCCACCTCTGCCCACATTGGCTTCCACACACTATGCAATACCACATTATTCTGCTTGATGTTTTTCAACTAAAACTAGGGCAAAAGAATGACTGACTTAACATGAAGTTTTAGGAAACGGAGTTGGGACAGGTTCCCAGGCTCCACCCACCAGAGATTTGGGAGGCAGTGGAGCCAGGTACCAGGAACCCGCCTAGTCTTTCAGTGAATTTACAGGAATGTTTGGGAACCACGGTGATTTCTAACAGTGTTTTAAGGTGGAGTTGGTGTCTCAGGAGTATCAGATGGTCGTCCTATATCATTGTTACCCACTTCTCTCTGGTGAAAAGCTGAGGGATCTGAAAGTACTTACCAGCTCTTTGGTGGTGGTGATCATTGCAATTCACCCTCCCAGAAATACCGAAAGATGCCAAGTGAACACTGTTCCCTCCTGGAGCCTCCCTCTGAATGCTCAGGAAGGAACCCTAGCACGTAGGGTCTGCCAGCCACCATGATCAGCAAAGGGGACAGAAACCTTGGGGCCAATGGAGAATTGGGCCAAAAGCCACTCCTCTGCAGCATAGAAACTCAGAATGCAAAGAAGATATGCAGCTATAAACCACAGAGAGTCAACCCGAGGATGGAGGGCTCACACTTCACTGGTCTTCACCCAAGCAGTTTAGTTATTTCTAGTCCACTTAGAAAGCCACCATCATACAGGGTCAGTCTTTTCTTCACAGCCAAAGAGAACATTCATCATCGGGAGGAGAGCAGTGTTTCACAGGGAAGCCACAGAGATCTGCAGCAGAAGGGCTGGGATGCTGGAAAGAAAGGCAGATTCCTGAGGCCCACTCTGGCCTGCCAACTAAAGCAGAATCTCCAGGGGACGAACCCCACAATCTGCATTTTAACAGAACCCAGGAGGAGTCTTTTCCACACAAAATTTAAGAACTGCGGTTCTGAGGGAGATATTTTCCTTTAAAAGACAGAAACAAAAAAAGTCTTATCAGCATGTTACCTCTACAACAGTATATACAAGAGAGCTGTGTAAACAGTATAAAAAGTGGTTCACTTCTAAGGCCAGAGGGTATGCCTTACAGAGCAGAATGAAAAGATACAGCCATCTGCCAACTGCCTGTTTTCCTTTGACGAACCAAAGAGAAAACCAAAGCCACCTCCAAAGAGAAGCCCTCTCAAAAGGGATGCACCAGGCCTCAATCTCTGCCAGGGAAACATCACTGATGCCTCCTATCAAGTCAACCCCCACTGGAAGTTTATAACCTATGCTGTTAATTTCCAACCTCCATGTGACTAAACTTCTTAAATCTGTGCCCCAACACAAAATGGTTAAAGGTACAATTTGAGTCTCCATATACAACTACTAAAAAAAGAATAAGCCCAATTTTCTACTAATGGATTACGACAGATATATAAAGCAAGTATCATCAAACTGCTGGGTTTAAAATGGTAAAATATCGTTCATGTGTTTGGAGAAGGAGAAGGTTTCAGTGGTAGGGTAGCTAGCTGTGGGACTCAGTTTCCTCTCTGTATCACACATGGGAAGGGGGCTGATCTCTGAGGGCCTCTCCAGTTCTAACTTTGGGATAATGACCCTTGAGCAAAAATAATGAATGCCTTCCTCCAGCTCCCAGAGCCACCTATTGACAATGCCCTAATCACACCCAAAACAGACACAGAAGCTCCCTGAGGCCAGAGGCAAAGCTTGACTCCTGCTCAACAAAGTCTGTTTGGTGAATGGCCAGTTGGCTGCATCCATTTAGAAAGCTGGCCACCTTCTCTGCAAGCACAGCCTCTCCTGAACACCAGAGAGCTGGAGAGGAAAATGAATACTGGGCTTGCTGCCTAGAAATAATTCCTATAATCCAAGATCAACATCTCTGATAACATTAGCCTGCCCACCTCCAGGCCACGGCCAGGCCTGCCATCTGACACTCAGCAACACAAGTCCCAGCCCAGGGGCAGTCTGCTCAAGGAAAGTCTGCTGGTACAGTAGCACTGGCCTAGGAAAGGGGCAGAAAGAAGAAGCACACAGGATCTCAGCTACCAAATCCCCACTTCTCACACTGGATTCTAGTTCTCCCAGGCAATCTCTGCAAAGGCTAAGAAAATGGCCAAGCATGCAAACTCATTAGAAGATGGTGATTCCCAGCTTACAGGGAACACATGTTGCTGATCAAACAGGAACTAAGTCTTTGAGCAGCTACACAATTATACCAACATTTACTAACTCCCTTGTCCCATCTTCTTCAGGGAGCTTTCTTGATAATCAGTTATACAGAACTCTCCAATTCTGCAGTGTTCACCAAAATTATTACACAAATCACAGATTTCTGGCCCTGGGCCATATCCAGATTAGTATTTTACATATGGATGCCCCCTCCCCTTCCTTTACTATGGAGAAGTGCCAGACTTCTCAGAATCAAAAAACTTGCAGACATGTGATATTTATCTCAGTGCTGAATACTACAGACAAACATGGGCCTCTTCAATGTTTTTTTCAAAACTCTTACAATTCTTTGATTATATCAGATGCTAAGCTATTTTTAAAGTTAACACTACAGTTTCTTAAATCAATGGAAAATTTTCACTGCTGTATTTGCAGCAAGCAGCATAGTGCTTAGAATATGATAGATGCTCAAAAATATTTGCTGAGTAAATGGACACTACAAACGTCCGTTTCACCATGAAATGAAAGCACACACACCACACCCACACACACACACACACACACACACACACACACACACAGAGGATATGAGGGCTTAAAGCATGCATTTAGCCAACAAGCATCTAACAGGTGCTGGGATCCTCTAAGTATGAAAGGCACAGTAGTGAAATACACTGACAAAATATCCTAGGAGGTGATGCTCTGGTAGGACACAACAGCAGACACTCAAAGACTAGACCAGGAGCAAAACCATCCTGAATCTGTAGCCGACTGAGGGCCTCCTGTGCTGGCTGGTGAGCTACTGCCTGCTGGACAATCACGAAAGCCACAGTCTCCCCAGGGATCCTCTCAGCTTCTTGCCCCTCACATGGCCTCACATATCTGAATGCCAAGATGTTTACTGAACTGAGCACTCCAGGCAAAGTACTTCACAGAACACTAGTTACAAGCCACTAACTAGTCACCACTACCCAGTTTACCATTTCCACATTGCATTCACTCTGTGAAAGCAAACAAAACCCAGCTGAGGGCTGGCCTGACAGGATATGGGTGAACACCCGATCACATGTCATTAAGATCCCACTACATAAATACCAGAACCGAAAATTGCTAATGAAAATGCCTCTCCCTCTCCCAAACTGACAGTCACTTCTACAATGGTGGGGGTCTTTTTCTTTCTTTAGAGGAAGGGGGTGTTACTGTTTGTATTTTGTTCTGACTGGAGGTGGGAAGTCTGCACCCCAGTGGCTCAAAGGTAAAAGCAACTGATCGAGGAGACTGGTCCACCCCCCTCAGACGTGAGGTGGGAGCTGGTACATCTGAATACTCCTTCCATTTCTCAAGAAATCGTCATCTCCACAGAGGAAGGAAACTGGTAATGTGCATATGAGCAAAGCAAGTGCAGCAGGAGAGAAGTCAATGCCGGGGGCCATTAGGAATGCTTCAGGAAAGGAAGTCCACCAGGGCGGGCCGGCCCTAGCCACACACACACCTGCCAAAGCGAGCTTCACCCATCACAACACCCACCACTCAGAAACAAAATTAAGAAGCAACTGCTCAAGATAGGTTCAGCTTTGCATTTATCTACTTTTAAATCTGTTTGCCAGTACATAACATATAAATACATCAACCCTTTGTACCCAACACGATAATCCTCTAACTTAGTTACATAAAAATACTAGGCATGACCAAACCATCAGTGCCACAGTCCAAACGTGTGTCCCCGCAAAATTCACGTGTTGAGACCCAGTCCCCAAGATGATAGTACTAAGAGGGAAGCCTTGTGGGAAGTGATTTAAGTCATGAGGGCAGAGCCCTCTGGAATGAGATCAGGGTCCTTATGAAAGAGGCCAGAGTGGTAAAAGGAATTTGAGGAGAAAAATACATTTAGATAGATAGATACATACATACATATATACAAACATACATAGATGGAGGCCCCAGAAGGAACTTGTCTGTCCCCTTCTGCTATGAGGACACCACTAGAAGGCACCACCTCTAAAGCAGAGTGAGCCCTCACCAGACACCAAATCTGCTGGTGCCTTCATCTTGGGCTTCCCAGCCTCCAGAACTATGAGAAATAAATTTCTGTTGTTTATAAGCTACCCTGTCTACGGTATTTTTTCACAGCAGCACAAATGGCCTAAAACAATCTATCTGGGAGCAGAAGAAAGAAAACAAAAACCTATTTGTCAAACCCTGCTTAAAACTCTTTACTGACTCTAGCTCTTAAGATGAAGACCAAAATCCTGCCCTGGCCCAAGGCCTGCCTCTTCCAAAGGCTATGTCCCCTTCACTCCTAGTTGCCACCAGGCACTCCTTGAGTCCCACATGCAACCAGCACCCCCACCTAAGGGCCTCTGCTTATGCCATTTCCTCTCCCTACAACACTTGACTTCCTCCTCTCCACCCCCACCCCCGCTCCAGTCAACACCAACTCATCCTTTGAGTCTCAGCTCAAATGTCGCTTCTTCAGGAAAGTCTTTCCTAGCCCTCCACCAACCATAAACCAGATCAAGATCCTGAACTATACATGCATTGCATATCTTTCCTTTCAAACTTCCTAGCACTGGTTGGTGTTTGTTATATTTTATTAACGTCTGTCCCCCCCACCTACTGAAAGCTCCAGGAGGACAGGGACTGTTTGTCTTGTCCAGTCATATCCCCAGTGCCTAAGCACACACAGTGAGTGAATGAGTGGGAAGCTCCTGAGGCCTTCCTAGAACACAAGTCAGTGAACTACAGCCTGCGGTCATTTCCAGTCTCTGCCTATTTCTGTACAATCTACAAGGCAAGGGCAGTTTTAACATTTTTATTTTGCTATTTTATTTTTTTGAAACAGGGTCTCCCTCTGTCACCCAGGCTGGAGTACAGTGGAGCAAACACAGCTCACTGCAATGTCCACCTCCTGGGATCAAGCAGTCCTCCTGCCTCAGCCTCCCAAGTAGCTGGGACTAAAGACATGTGCCATCATGCCTGGCTAGTTTGTTTTTTGTTTTGAGACAGAGTTTCGCTCTTGTCGCCCAGGCTGGAGTGCAATGGCGCCACCTCAGCTTGCTGCAACCTCTGTTTCCTGGGTTCAAGCAATTCTCCTGCCTCAGCCTCCCAAGCAGCTGGGATTACAGGCATCCGCCACCACACCCAGCTAATTTTGTATTTTTAGTAGAGACAGGGTCTCACCATGCTGGTCAGGCTGGTCTCAAACTCCTGACCTCAAGTGATCCACCCACCTCGGCTTCCCAAAGTGCTGGGATTACAGGCGTGAGCCACCACATCCAGCCACACCTGGCTAGTTTTTTTTAATTTTTGTAGGGATAGGGTCTCACTTTGTTGCCTAGGCTGGTCTCGAACTATTGGTATCAAGTGATCCTCCCATTTCGGCCTCCCAAAGTGCTGGGATTACAGGAGTGAGCCACTGTGCCCAGCTAACATTTTTAAATGGTTGAAAAAAATCAAAAGAATATTTTGCGAAATGTGAAAATTATATGAAATCCAAATTTCAGAGTCCATAACTAAAAGTTAAAACACAGCTATACTCATTCTGTGGTTGTTTCTGTACTACAACAGCATAGTGACAGATATGGCAGAGTGCGCAAAACCTAAAATAGTATGTGGCCCTTTACATAAAAAGTTTGCCTCTGCTATAACAGTGTCCTTGGAGTCCTGACCATGGGCATGAAATATATGAGACCCGAAAATATGGAACTGACTGTAAGCTCTCTCCTCTGGGGAAGGGTGAGTCATAACCCCCTTTTGGATTCCTGATGTCTGTTAAATTCAGTGGGCATTCACTGAATGGCTGCCACCTCCATGACATGAGGCAAGAATGGCATGTAATACACCTGTATATTTGGGAGTTCTGGCTGATCACTTCTAAAGGGTCAGGGCTCACACCAAAACCAGTGCTTACTGGGTGACCATTTTCTATTCATTCATGCAACAAATGTCTACCTGGGCACCTTACCTTAGTCGGTTCAGGCTGTTATAACAAAAACACCACAGACTAAGTGGCTTAAACAACAGAAATTTACTCAGTTCTGAAGGCTGGAATGTCCAAAATCAAGGTGCTGGTCAATTTGGTTCCTGGCGGGGGCCCTCTTCCTGGTTTGCAAAGGAATGCCTTTTTGCTGTATCCTCATAGGTGGAAGGGGAGATCATCTCTCCAGGGTCTCTTTTTATAAAGGCACTAATCCCATTCGTGAAGGCTCCACCCTCATGAGTTAATTACCTCCCAAAGGCCCCACCTCTAAATATCATCACACTGGGAGCTGGCACTTCAACATACGAATTTTTCAGGAACACAAACACTAGTTTATAGCATGTCTCCTTTGTGCCAGATACTGTTGCAGGAGCTGAGGATACACACAGTCCTTAGGGAGCTTACCCTCTGGTTAGCAGGAAATAGGATGGAGACTCCCCTGCAATGAGGACTGTGTGAGGCAGTGGGAGAGGGAGACGGAATGCCACTGTGATATCACAAGCACAATACTGGACTTGCCTTGAAGGAACTTACTAATTGGAAAGCCATGAAAAGTTAAATTCCCATAACTTAAAGAGTTAAATAATGCTTCAAGACTGAGCAGATGCCCTAGGGCAGAACAGCTTAGAAGAACCAAACAGCAAAGGAGGCTGGTTCACCACATCTATTTTGCACTGAAAACAATATGATTACCCAAGCCGACAAATGTTTGTCATTAAGAGAAATTTCAACACCAGGGAATGTGCATTCCCACAAAAGTGGTTAAGAATAGGGGTACACAGCTATTCAGTTACGTGTGGCTCAGAAACCAGTACACATGTCTATTTAGCACCAAGCACCTACGGAGGGAGGAATTCATTTGCTGACGGTCTGATGACGCTCTCTTGCTCCAAAGTCTGCAGAGATCTGGAAGATCAAGGCTGTTTAAGCTTCACCCTCGGTCAGTCACATGCTCTCCTTCCCCTAAGTGCCTCAGATTCCAGTAAAGCTCTGTGAGAAGCCTCCAGCACCCCTACACACAGAGAGAGACGCACACAGGAAGCATCAGCCTCTGCTAGACCCTTGCAGCAGTTTCCAGACATGTCCAGCAAAAGGTACTAGGCATCCTGGTAAAGAACTGGGCAGTAAAATGTTCCCTTGTGATACCCACTATCCAAAAAGGACAGATATTAAATGCAATAGAAGGAAAGACTACTACTACGCCTTATCCGATCCCCAACAAAGTCAAAAAAAAGCAGACTTGTCAGAACAGACAATACAATTAGATACTACACATTTTAGACATTCACTATTCCTGGAGCCTCTACTTTCAGAGAGGGTCTGAGTCTAGCTTCATGATGTTGGCAAAATCACATCCCCTCTCTAGCCTCTATTACCTCATAAGGCACCAGATCAAATCCCTAAGTTTGGGAATAGAGGAGTTTCCCAAGAAATTCCTATATCAGCTTTCATTAAGACTTACATAGAAAAACATTTTGAAAAAGCCCAACAAAACCACAGCTTCTCCAGAGAGAGCTGAAAGACACTTTTAAATAAGAAAAACATATGATAATAGAATAAGAAAAGTGCTGATTTTTCTTTACTTTTTAACCCTCTGTGATAAGAAATGGTATTTGTAAAATTATATACCACTAGCTGAAGTCTGAGCAGGGCTAAATCCTAACTTAAAATCCTTAGAAATCAGGGTCTCCTCTATGGCTGGGCAGCCCTAAAGTGAAACATTAAGGCTTAAGGGAATCAGTTCTTGCATTTGAAAGACGAAAAGGAAGATAAATTGGTAATTTCCATACTTACACCATAAAGATTTTACTCCTACAGCTCAAAAGAAATAACTGTACAATGAAATTTAATTTTCTTAAAACACACGCCTGGCTGGGTGCGGTGGCTCATATCTGTAACCCCAGCACTTTGAGAGGCAGAGGCAGGTGGATCACGAGGTCAGGAGTTCGAGACCAGCCTGGCCAATATGGTGAAACCCCGTCTCTACTAAAAATACAAAAATTAGCTGGGAGCGGTGGCACGCGCCTATAGTCCCTCAGCTCGGAAGGCTGAGGCAGGAGAATTGCTTGAACCCGGGAGCCAGAGGTTGCAGTTAGCAGAGACTGTGCCACTGCACTCCAGCCTGGGCGACACAGCAAGACTCTGTTTCAAAAAAAAAAAGGGAGCAGGGTTTTAGAGTCGGGGTGTTTTTTGCTTGTTTGTTTGTTTGTTTGTTTGTTTTTAAGGTGGAGTCTCACTCTGTCGCTCAGGCTGGAGTGCAGTGGTGTGATCTCGGCTCACTGCAACCTCCGCCTCCCGGGTTCATGCAATTCTCCTGCCTCAGCCTCGCGAGCAGCTGGGACTACAGCGTGCGCCACCATGCCCAGCCAATTTTTGTATTTTTAGTAGAGATGGGGTTTCACCATATTGGCCAGGCTGGTCTCGAACTCCTGACCTCAAGTGATCCACTCGCCTCGGCCTCCCAAAGTGCTGGGATTACAGGCATGAGCCACCACGCCCGGCCTTCTCCTCCCTTCTTCCAGAAAGCCTTGCCTGATTTCCATTCCCATTGTTGTATACAGCCAACACTCGGTACTATCTTATTCTGTGACCAATTTAATTTTACATGTCAAAATATTCCTCCATTGTCAGTAACCCAAAGGAAAATGTATTTCCTTTCTTTAAAAAAAGAAATATTCTGAACCTACAAAAAGATGGATAGCATAATAGGACAAACACTGATATACCTATGACCCAGTCCAAGAAATAAAACACTGCAAAACAGGAGAAGCCCTGAGGCACCCATTCCCAATCACATCCTCCCTCTTCCCATCACAGGCAACCACTACCTGGAAACCAGAGCTCATCAGCCCCATAAAGCTCTTCCCCTCGCGAAAGAGCATACATCCTTATGATCTGTAGTACTGTTTCACATGATCTTCCTAACCTTTCTATAAGTGGTATCATTCTGAACACAATCAGTGTGTAACTTACTTCTTGTTCAATTTTATTGTTTGTGAGAGTAATCCACGTTGACACCTATAGCTCTAGTACCTTTGTTTACTACTGCATAATATTCCACTATATGAATACACTACATATTTGGCCAAAGACACTGCTTGATGTTTCATATGCCATGTAGTGCCTACTATTTTCCATACCACTATGGAAAATGCGCCAGCCATTTTCCATAACATTCTCCAGAATCCTCACAGCCACCTAATGAGGAAGGTATGATTCCCACTAGACCAAAGAGGAAACTGGAGCAGGGAACTGGTGTAATTTGTCCAATATGTGTGAGCAGCAGACTCCTGCTTCAAGTTCAAGTCCATCGAAGTTTAAAGCCACACTTCTGACAATGCGCCTTGTAACCCTGCTTATGTAGATTCTTATTTATTATTTTTTTTTTAATTTTTTTTGAGATGGAGTCTCACTCTGTCACCCAGGCTGAGTGCAGTGGCGCGATCTCTGCTCACTGCAAGCTCTTCCTCCCGGGTTCACGCCATTCTCCTGCCTCAGCCTCCCGAATAACTGGGACTACAGGCACCCGCCACCATGCCTGGCTAATTTTTTGTATATTTAATAGACATGGGGTGTCACCGTGTTAGCCAGGATGGTCTCGAGCTCCTGACCTCGTGATCCACCCGTCTCGGCCTCCCAAAGTGCTGGGATTACAGGAGATTCAGATTATTTTAATGAAAAAAACTGATAGAGTTCTACAGTCATCTGGGAAAAATGTGAAACACGATGCTCTATTTTCTTTAACAAACATCCCACAGGAAATTCGTCCGACACAGGGACAGCCCGTATGTACACTGAGGAAGAGCCTCTGCCTTTGGCAAAGGTCTCCCACTAGGGTCATTACCAAGTTTATACAGGCACTCTCTAAGTAAGCCTGTGTAGGACTGCAACCCGAGTTGGTTTTCTTTGGGGAAACAGGCTGTCTGCACCCACTTACAGACAGGACAGGGGAGCCCAAGAGAACATGGGAATCAGATCCTGCTTGAACTGGCAAAAGCTGAGTCAGCAAAGCTCTAAGAACATCTCCAGGGAGCAGCTCCAGCTGTTAGCAGCTCTGGGGGTCTGAGGAACAGTCCTCAGCTCACAAGGCCAGGAGTTTGCCTAGTCTGCTCTCCGTGTGGCCAGCTTTGAGAGCACTTTCATACATCCCAGCCCAACCCTGTTGCTCTGGAGAAAGCCCAACCTGGAATACGGAAGAGGAGTGAGAGTGAGGGTGGAGACTCACAGAAACCAGGCAGGGAGCAAAGCCTGGAAAAAGGATACCCAGCTCCAGGCCTGGGCCCAGATCCCTCCAGATGCTCAAAGCAGGTGGGCCCCTAGGAGGTGACAGTCTAGTCCCCCAGAACTCCCAAGGACAGGGGAGGCCTTTCAGCACCAGGACTCCTGACTCTACTCTCCTGCTTCTACACTGTATCTCTCATTTTGTCTGTCCACTGGAGGATTAAGGGAGCCTCAAAGGAGCAAGGCATAACTGGCTGAAAAGACCCCCTCCCACCCATCCTGGACAAAGCAAGGAGGAAGAACACAGGATCTGCCACCTACTGGCTGTGTGACCTTAGCTGGAGCATCCCCGTCCACTCTGGAGGAAAATGTAGTGGACTGTCTCTAAGGGCCCTGCCATCTGACTCTTTCTGTCTACAGTGCTAAATGCACTCTGGCTCACGCCTGGCATCCCAGCACTTTGGGAAGCTGGATGGGGAGGATGGTTTCGGCCCAGGAGTTCGAGACTAGCCTGGGCAACATAGTGAGACCCCCGTTTCTTTAAAAAAAAAAAAAAATTTAATTAGCCAGGCGTGGTGGCCCGCACCTGTGGTCCCAGCTACTTGGGAGGCTGAGGTGGGAGGATCTCTTGAGCCCAGGCATGGAGGCTGCAGTGAGCCGAGATCGCACCCCTGCACTCCAGCCTGGACAACAGAACAAGATCCTGTCTCAAAAAGAATAAATAAACAAATAAATAAAAGCACTGACATTTACTGAGCAGTTTAAAGTATAATTCATTTAATCCCAACACCCCATGAGGTAGATACTACTGTTATCCCATTTTACAGAGGAGGCCGCTGCAGCCCAGAGCGGTTCACTGAGGTACCAAGGCCATAGGCAAAGTTCTAAAGGAGGCCCCAGGGGTAGAAGCCTACGCTCACGGATGCCTGGGAAGGCTGCACAGGACATCCACGGGATGGTGGGGGTCGGGAGACACCAGAGACTGGCCCGAGGTTAGGCGCAGAGGGAGATAATGGGTCAAGGTGTCTGAGAAAGGAGACGGGGCTTGGTAGCCCCAGCGAGACTGGCCTAAGCCCAGATAGTGGGGAGGAGATAGGAACGAGGGCGGGATGTGGAGAAGCAGGGAAAGGCAGGCCGACGTGGGCAGGGGCGAGGAGGCCTTGGAGGAAGGAGGGTGGATGGCGCAAGCCAGTGGCGGAGGCAGGGGACGCCGGCGGAAGCGCGCGGGCGGCTTTGGGGCGAGCGGTCCCACCTTGAGCACCGTGACGGCTCCCGCGCTGTGCACCTGGAAGTGCGCGGGCGGCTCCGTGCCCGGCTCCGCCGCCTCGTCGGGGCCCTGGTAGCTGAAGCAGGCGTCCGCGATGTCCAAGTGGCCGAGGGGCAGCGCGTCCTGCGGACTCTTGAAATAGTAAAGGTAGCAGCGGCGCGCGTCGAACACGAACCAGCGGCTGCGGTAGCCACGCAGGGGGCCCTTGCCCGACAGCTTCTGCAGATAGCCACACAGCCGCGCTGGCTCCCGCGCCGGACCCGCCCCGGGCTCCGCGGCCGCCCCCTGCGCCGCGCCCTCGCCGCCGCCGCCGCCCTCCTCCGCCCGGGCTCCGGCCCCCGGCATCGCTACCGCGCGCCAACCGTAGGCGCCCGCGCCCTGCGCCTCCGCGCCGCGGCCGCTGCGCCCCCTACCCCCTCCGCACCGCCCCTTCGCTCCGCACGGCCCGCGGGCGCGCAAAGCACCCTGGGACTTGTAGTCTCGCCCCCGCCCGCCCGCCGGCCGTTGCCCCCTCAGCCCCCGGAGGCAGGGTCCTGCGACCAGCACCCCGCGGGTCAGTTGCCTTCGTGCCACCTGGGCTCCAAGTCCTCGCCCTGCCGGATGAAGCAATGGTCTATTTCTTTATGGCAGTGTAGGTACATGGGAGTGTGCATCTCTCAAAACCCAGCGGAGTGTCCGCTTAAAACTGCATTTCACACTGTGTATCTTATTCTAAAAACTTGATATTTAAATCTCCCTCCTGCCAGAGTCTCAAGCTAATATTGTAAAAATGAGACAGCCTATTGCCTGGTGCTGAGTGGGTGCTCAGTAAATATTTGCAGAATTCATGAAAGCCAAAGCGTTTCCTGCCTCTCCAGACCTCAGTTCATTTATTGAATTCAACATATATTTATTGAGCGCCTTCTGAATGCCGGGTACGGTTCTGTATGCCAGGCCCTGGCGGATACAGCAGTGAACAAACCAATCATTCTCCTGCCCTCGTGGAGGTTATATTCTAGTAAGGCAGGGAGGTGACACACAAGAAAGCAGATAAAAGTAATGTGTGCTATGTTGTATAAATGCCGTGATGACATGTAAATGATTACCGCTTAAAATAGCACCTAGTATTTATCAGTGCTTTATAGACTAACTTATTTGAACACTCACAACCTGAGAAGGCAAATCTATTGCTTTGTAATAAAGCAAAGAGAAAGAATGAATAAGACCAAGTATTTGCTAGCACAACAGGGTGACTACAGTCAAAAATAATATAATTGTACGTTTAAAAATAACCAAAAGAGTATAATACAGACGCGGTGGTTCACGCCTGTAATCCCAGCAGTTTGGGAGGCCGAGGTGGGTGGATCACCTGAGGTCGGGAGTTCGAGACCAGCCTGACCAACATGAAGAAACCCTGTCTCTACTAAAAATACAAAATTAGCTGGGCGTGGTGGTGCATGCCTGTAATCCCAGCTACTCGGGAGGCTGAAGCAAGAGAATCTCTTGAACCCCGGAGGTGGAGGTTGCAGTGAGCCGAGGTTGCGCCATTGCACTCCAGCCTGGGCAACAAGAGCAAAACTCTGTCTAAAAAGAAAAAAAAAAGTATAATAGGATTGTTTGTAACACAAAGGATAAATGCTTGAGGTGATGGATACCTTACTTACCCTGATTTGATTATTATGCATTGCATGCCTGTATTAAAATATCTCATGTAACCCATAAATATATACACCTACTATGTTCCCACAAGAATAAAAAATAAGTAAAAAGCAAAGTGAGAGGATGAAGTGATGGGGGGCAGATAGCAGGCTGCTGCCCCAGGACAGGCAAGGAGGCTGGTCTGATCCTGTGACATGGAGCACAAACCCAGATGATGGGAGGGACAGGGGCAACCAGAAATGTGGGTGAAGCATTCCAGGGAGAGGGAATAGTGAGTACAAGAGCTCACTTTATTCAAAGGAAAAAGGAAGTGTATAGCTACATAGCTACATTTGTGAAAGCCCAAACCAAATATCTCACCCTCATAGATTTGCATGTTTTATACAGACACACTGAAAGACCCAGGTGGAAAACTGACCTTTCTGAGCTGGACAGGGACACAAATTAGACTGCCTGTTTGGAGCCACCCAGGTAGGAAGGGCAGGTTCTGGGTCCTCACCCAGCCTGCCGACTCTCTGCAGGCCCTAAAGTGGCACCACGCAAGCATTCCTTTCCTGGGGCCCATCAGAGGTGTGGCTGACCTCTCCACCTGTCTTTGAGCACAATCAGCACAGTGTTAAGGACTGGGCTCTGACTTCACACTGACCAGATGTGTCTCCTAGCTCTGCCACTTACCAGAGGCATGACCTTGGGCAAGTGATTTAACCTCTCTGGGCCTCAGTCTCTTCATTTATAAAACAGGGTTGATAAATACAAGTAGCTATCTCGTGCTGTTGTTATTGAAAGGGTTACGTGAGAAATGCATATGAAAGTGCTTAGCACGGTGCCTCACACATAGTAAGCACTCAGCACATATCAGCTGTTATTATTATCATCTTGCAGTTAACACCGATGTCTTCCTCATCAGTCAGCAGATTCGGAGAGGGGGAATCCAACAGTCAGACCGGGCCCAGACAAGGGAGGCCAGACACTGCGGTGCTGCGGGAGTGGAGTGGGCTGCTCTCGGGAGCAAGGGGTCCCAAGTTCAATTTGGGCCTCACCATGTATGTAAAAGGGGCTGTGACTAATTGGCTTGTGGGGTAGGCAGTCAGGGTGAGGTCTGACCTTGAAATACTGTGGGAAAGGGAAGAGCTGGGAGAACCCGGTCTGTATTGCCATGGTACAGGGAGGCAACAGGACAGGGGAGGGTGTAGCCCATCTCTCCTAGATCTATCAGTAAGTTATAAGGAAGTGGGGGTGGCCATGACCTGTGGTCCCAGTGGACAGGACCAAGCCCCATGAGGTGTCTCACGGGGGCCGATGTCTGCTAGGCCCGAGGAAGGCATCCTTCACAGGCACAAGCCACGAGCCCCCCTCCTGGACTAAGAGTCTGGGCTGGCTGGCCAGGGCTAGGCAGATGGGACGGGACAGGGGTGCTGTTTTAAGCGGTAATCATCTACATGTCATCACGGCATTTATACAACATAGCACACATTACTTTTATCTGCTTTCTTGTGTGTCACCTCCCTGCCTTACTAGAATATAATCTCCACGAGGGTAGGAGAATGATTGGTTTGTTCACTGCTGTATCCGCCAGGGCCTGGCATGCAGAACCGTACCTGCTGTCTGTGCCCCTCAGTGGGCAAGCTGGACTTCAGCCTGACTCCCCTACACCTGAGCCTCCAATCCTTCCCTGGTCACCCAGCACAGATGAGCTGGGGCCATTTTAAAATGCTTGCAGGGCTGAGTGTGGTGGCTCACGCCTGTAATCCCAGCACTTTGGGAGGCCAAGGAGGGCAGATCACAAGGTCAGGAGTTTGAGACCTGCCTGGGCAACATGGTGAAAACCAATCTCTACTAAAAATACAAAAATGAGCCAGGCACGGTGGCACGTGCCTGTAATCCCAGCTACTCAGGAGGCCGAGGCAGGAGAATCGCTTGAGTCTGGGAGGAGGAGGTTGCAGTGAACCAAGATCGTGCCACTGCACTCCAGCCTGGGTAACAGAGCAAGGCTCTGTCTCAAAATAATAATAATAATAAAAATAAATAAAATGCTTGTAAGCCACTGCCCTCTTCCTTCTGGAGGCCACACCTGACATCATATCAAACATATTAAAATGCTCTACATCCCGTAGTAAACATATACATAATTTTTGCTATGAAAATGTTTTCAGGAATATCCATAATTGTGCTCTTGATATTATCTAATTATGAGTTTTCATTTTCATTTTTAATTGGCTGATTTCTTGGCAATCATCGTGTCTGTGTGGGAATTTTGGCCAAGTGAGAGAAACCTAACCTAGAAATTGTTCTCAAATGTAATGACCTTTTTTTTTTTTTTTTTTTTGGAGATGGGTCTCATTGTGTCACCCAGGCTGGAGTGCGGTGACGCTACCTCAACTCACTGCAACCTCCCCCTCCTGGGCTCAGGCAATCCTCCCACCTCAGCCTCCTGAGTAGCTGGAACCACAGGTGTGCGCAGCACCACGCTCAGCTAATTTTTGTATTTTTTGTAGAGATAGGTCTCTGCTATGTTGCCCAGGCTGGTCTCAAACTCCTGGTCTCAAGTGATCCTCCCACCTTGGCCTCCCAGAGTGCTGGGATTAAGGCATGAGCCAAGGTGCCCAGCTCTGTTATGACATTTTTATGATGACTATAAAGGTGACATGTTACATTTGTAGACATTTAATTAGATGTTCATTAATTCTAATTTTGCTGTTTTTCTTGGGTTTTAGAGCCAATACATTTTTCTTAGGCCACAAACATTTCACAGGCCTCTCAAGCAGGCAGGCCCAGGCACTGAGCTTTTTAGTATATTAGGGGATAAACTGGCCTGGCCCCTGCCTCGGTCTGGCCGGGTCCAGAATATGGCCCTCTGAGGAGGCTGCACAGACACAGGCCTGAGTCCCCAGTGAGAGTGGTAAAGTATGGAGGCCTCAAAGCCAACAGCAATGTCTCAGGAGGGTCCCCTGGAGGGCCCTGAGTCTCTGTCTACCCGACCAGGCTTAGGAAGTGGCCCAAGCCTTCCAAGGATCCCTAGAGCCTCCAGAATCAACCCTAAAACCCTCTTGACTCTCTAGACCTCCCCCAGGCCCCTCTTCCCCACTGACTCTCTCAAGACCCTGCTGAAATGCTTTTTATTTCGTGAACAAACCCTTCTCCCCTCATTCCTAGGGCCATGAGCTGAGGAGAACTAGGCAATGGGGCTTTATCTCATCTCTCTTAGTACCTCCATCTTCAGTCTGGACAATGTTTATAGTTTATGTAAATAGATATAGCTTCAGTTCTTCCCAAGGGCCTCCTACATGGAAATGTTGGGGCTGTCTCTGGTGGCTCCTAATTCCCTGAAACCCTTCGTAAATGGTTTGTTGACATCTGCAGTTCCTGAGGTCTCTTAGATTAAACAGTGATGTCCTGTGGTCAGGGCCAGCTTTATACAGCCTGTGTACCTTCCCTGCATCTAGTACAGGCATGAGAGGTGTTGAGGGGTCTGCCCTGCATGCCCATGTAAGCCCCTGCTTCCTCGAGCCGTCCAGGAACCCAGTGACCAGAAGGAAGTAACCACCCAGGAGGAAGTAGCTGGTGTTTACTGAAAAGGGGAAATTTGGGCAGTAAACTTGCTCCTACATGGCCAGCCTCTGGGAAAACCCTAGGGGAACACAGAGCCAGTGACTCATCCTAGGTCAGTCTCCCCAGAGTTGGTAGCATGTGCCCAGAGGCCTCTGAAGAAGCACTCACTGCACACTGCCTTTGTAGCTGTCAGACTCCAGGGAGACAGAGCTGGCCGAGATGCTGACCTCCCGTTGGAGGAGTGCACAGATCTGCAGGAGGCCCAGAGAGGAAAACAGCCTTATCACCTGTATGCTGTATGCCCCAGGGCATGTCCCTGCCCTCTCTGGGCTGCAGTTTTCCACCTGCACAACAAGGAGACGGATGGCTAAGTGATGTCCAAAGGCCTGCCCCTGCCTGCTCAGAAACACAACAGTGGCCTGAGACACAGCTGTGAGGGCCTGCAGTCATTCTTCCCACAGCTCTGCAGGCCAGTGGAGGCTATGCTCTTTTCAGTCCCACTGCTCAAAGCCCTCTGGACTGTTGCAGCCATCACAACCAAGCTGCCCCATCCCCTCAGGGCTCCACTCCATCTACAGGCTTGGCTGCCCACTGCAGTTGGTGCAAACATGACCCCTTTGAGGTGACACTTTTGCATCCTATGACCCTGGGCCCTGAAGGAGAAGCAGCCCTAATCGTCACCCCCATCCGGGGCACAAATGAAGGCCTTGTGTCCCTGAGGCAGACAGAAGCAGAGATAGCTGTGTTACTTGGGGGTTGGACAATGCTATCCTCGTAGGTCCTTGTGAAGGAAGTTGGCCTGATGAGGAGGGGATGGGGTGGGTGAAGAAGGTTGGGGGACTGGAGCTGTGAATGGGCCGAGCGCTGGAGGGCTAGGGGCAGGGCAGAGAAGAGCAAGCCCATCCTCAGAGCAGAGGATGCTTTGACCAGAGCACACAGCTGCCACAGGGAGACCCCAGACCAGAGAGAGGGCTTTCCAGGTATGTCCGCAAAGCTCTGAAAGGGGGCACCCTGCACCAAGCCTACTGCCCTGGTGGGAGGTTGTTGGGGGTACTGGGGCAGGGGTAGGGTGGTGGGGGAGTGGTTTCAAAATAAAGAAGGGGGCTGGGCCTGATGGCTCACACCTGTAATCCTAGCACTTTGAGAGGCTGAGGCGAGTGGATCACTTGAGCTCAGGAGTTTGAGACCAGTCTGGGCAACATGGCAAAACCCCATCTCTACAAAAAATTAGCTGGGCATGGTGGTGCATGCCTATAGTCCCAGCTACTTGGGGGTCTGAGGCAGGAGGATTGCTTGAGCCCAGGAAGTCAAGGTTGCAGCGAGCTGAGATTGCGCCACTGCACTCCAGCCTGGGTGACAAAGTGAGACCCTGTCTCTAAGTAAATAAATAAGGAACTATGGGCGCTTGGGCCAATCTCCCAGCCTCTCTGTGCCTCAGATTCCTCATCTGTACAATGGGGCATAATAACATTTACCCCTTAGAGCTGCTAGGGGCTTAAATGAGCCAGTAAATGCAAAACACTGGACACAGTCGCTGACGTACAACAAGTCTCAGTTTGGTAACTAATTCATTTAACAAACATCCCTGGCTCCTGCTCTTTGCCTCTGGCTGGTGATGGGTGGTGCTGAAAACTCACCACAAGACTAGGCCTGGCCCCACTGCAGGAAGCTCTCAGTTTTGTCAGGTGGGACAGCCTCAGAGAGAACAGCCCCAGCAAGGGAGCCCAGGGCTCTCAGACCATCTTGGACTGTGGACTCTGGCTTCCAGTAGGCCTCATTTCCCTACCAAATTGGCAGTCAAATTTGCATACCTCCTGGCTCTTTTTCTGAGAGGGAACAAATCTGAGGTGCTGGCCAATCTCCCAGCCCTGGGGCCAGGGGACCGAGGCTCAGACAGATGGAGGTCTGGGTGTCTCTGGGAGCTGATAGAGGGTAGAGGGTTGGCAGGGGCTTGGTACCAGGCAGTCAAGCCCAGCATGGGAGACAGGGAGAGTCACACTGCCCCAGGAGCAGGGGAGCACTAGACCCTGAGGAGGCAATGGGCCGCAGCTGCAGAGGCCTTGTGTCCTTCCTGTTACCACCCTGTTCCCAGGGCCTGGCGCCCGGCCCAGCACAGCGTAGTCCCCTCTGCCTTCACCTTTCTGCTTCCTAGAGGCCCTCATGCTGTCCCCTTCCCAGTGCCCCCATCACTCAGCCAAATCTGATCTCGGACACTTCCACCCTTCCCACACAAGCAGCAGGGACTAAAACCTACTTTGAGGCCAAGTCTGGAAGGTGGGGCATTTTAACTGACAGCTTAAAGAGATGCTGTTCTGATGGTGGAAGTTCAGGCATTCTTCTGGTTGGGCGAAGGGGTCTACGAAAGGAGTTTACGGCGTACTTATGTGAGCAAAGCAATGAAGAGGGAAGCGGGAAGAAGGCAGTCAGGATACATGAAGACAGGCACAGAAAAGACCCAGAAGAAGTAGATTCTGGAGTGGGAGGAATGTTTTTAAATGTGTTTCTTATTTGGAAGTTTGACTACATTGACTATTAATTTTGAATTAATGCATTTTTAAAGTATTTAAAGAATTTGGGTAGCAGGGAAAATGGCTGGAGCAATGGCATGGGAGGAGGATGCAGCATGTATAGGGGAGGAGGATGGGGTACGAGATTCTCGACTTGGCCCTGCCATGGACTTACTCCTTGTCTTGGACAGGCCATTTCCATTCTTGAGTTTCAGTGTCCCTGTCTTTATAATGGGAAAAAATGGGGACAGTAATGCTACCTTGTATACCTGCTATAAAGATGAAAGGAAATCATGTATGTGTGTATGTGAAGTACTTGGCACCTGGTAAGGGCTCAAAATCATTAGGAATCTACGGAGGACCTCTGTTTTCCCAGCTGTAAAGTGAGGGGAAGGGAGACAGGGATAGGACTAAATTGAGGAGCAAGCCCAGGGGCCCCAGCTGCCCAAGTTGCTAGGTGTACCAGGTCTCTGCAGCTGGGCCCCACGGTGGCCATCTGGCCTCCAAAAGGCTGTAGAATGAGGGTTCTCAAAATTATGGTCCTTGGCCCCTTGTCTTCCCTATGGTCCCTAAACTGATCCCAAAATCTCGTCCCTTCTCCAGCTGTCATGAGCAAACAGCAAGCAACTCTGAAGAATTTCACTTTTACATGGGACTCAGAAATACTCACTAGTGAGTCTGGATTATCTATAGCAAAATTAACTTGCGTCTTGTTCTTGCTGCTGAAACTGAGAGGTACACTGACAAGGGAGCCTCTCTGATCTAAGGGGTGGTTTTCCGCTCTGGGCTGTCAGGAGCAGAGACTACAGGCCCAGAGCCCCCCAGATGGGTGCTTTATGGCGCAGATGAGGTTGGCAATGTTTTTAAGACCGTGGTAGGTCCAGGGCACTCTCACCTTTGGAGTCTCCATCTCACTACTATCAAATATATGTAATTTTTAAATGGCATGGCCATATTTTACAATAAAAATATATATGTCTTTTGCTTTAAGCTTTTTGGAAAGGATTATTCTTATGATTTTGCTTTTGAAATGATTTGGCCTTGAGGAATTCATTTCACTTGCAATTGGTAATGATTTCTTGGCAGTCTTCTTGCACACTTGAGGATTTTTGTGAGCTAAGATAATCTGGCCTCCAAACCATTTTCAGATGTGATGAAACTTTTATGAATACGAAATGAAGCTGATGCAATATTACATAGTATAGACATTTACTTATACATTTATTCATTGTGATTTTGCATTTTTCTCCTTTTGAATTTTGGAGCCAATACTGGTTGTTTGTTTGTTTGTTTCTTCCAGGTCTCAGATCTTTTTATAGGCCCTTGGAAAGTTCCCAGCCCAGTACCTGGCCATTGTCCTAAGGATAAAATAGAACCACCTGTGTTTGGTGGGAGAAGGGCTGAGGGGGACCTCTCTGGACACTGCCCTCCCCAACCAGCAGCCATGTAGAAAGATGGCAAGACGAAGTCACTCAGTGGCCTTGAGGGACCAAAAGGATCACGATAACATTGGTGACTTCTCTGGACCAGCCATAGCCCTCTCCGCTGGTTTTTCCTGCATGCTGGGGGCCTCAAAATGACTGAAATTGAAAATATTATTCATTCATTTATTCAGTATTTACTGAGCCATAAATCAATACAACGCTTAACGAAAGCAATTTGGCATCATCTGCTAAAATGACAACTGCAAATACCCTTTGATTCAGCGATTCCACTTTCGAGAATGTGTTTCATGGATGTATTTATTCTTACACTTAATCAAATCCATATAAGGTTATCCATTGCTGCATTTTCAGGAATTAAAAAAAATTGGAAACAACTCAAATGACCATCAATAGAGGACTGGTTACAAAAATTATTATGTATTCATACAATGGAATAATATGCAGCTGTGAAAATAAGAATGGCACCCCTCTCTTTAGTCTTGTGGAAGGAGTGCCAAGATACACTGTTGAATTTTTTTTACAAGGCAAGGTGCAGAATGCTGTATAGTACTCTATCTTTTATGTAAGAAGGTGAGGAAAATAATATACACACTTGGCTGGGCGCAGTAGCTCATGCCTATAATCCCAACACCTTTAGTCCCAGCTACTCAAGAGGCTGAGGTGTGGGAGGATTGCTTGAGCCCAGGAGGTTGAGGGTGCAGTGAGCTGTGGTTGCACCACTGCACTCCAGCCTGGCCAACAGAGCAAGGCTTTGTCTCAAAAAAAGAAAAGAAGAGAAGAGAAGAGAAGGGAAAAAGAAAAGAAAAGAAAAAATATACATACTTATTTGGATGTACATAAACCCAGGAAGGACATTCAAGGAACAACTAACAGTGGTTATCTATGGGAATGAAATGTGGTTAGTAACTGGGTGGATGGGGTTAAATGCCTGGAGGAAAAATATTTTTACTGGTATCTTTTTATATTTGTCTTTTTAAATATTATGTTGATTTATCGTCTACTTGAATAATGAATTAAAATATATTTACTGAAGGCCAGGTACGGTGGTTCACGCCTGTAATCCCAGCACTTTGGGAGGCCAAAGCAGGTGGATCACCTGGGGTCAGGAGTTTGAGACCAGCTTGGCCAATGTGACAAAACCCCATCTCTATTAAAAATACAAAAATTAGCCAGGTGTGGTGGTGCATGCCTGTAGTCCCACCTACTTGGGTGGCTGAGGCAGGAAAATCGCTTTCACCTGGGAGTTGGAGGTTGCAATGAGTCAAGATCATGTCCACTATACTCCATCCTGGGCAACAGAGTGATACTCTCTCTCAAAAATAACATAAAATAACAGCATAAAACAAACCTACTGAGCATCTACCTGTGCCAAGCACTATTCTAGGTAAGGAATACAGTGGAAAATGAGATAGACAAATTGAGAAAAAAGAAATAGGATCATCCATTCTTCACTCCCCAGTGTTATAGAACTAATTCAGGCCTATTAACGAAACAACTTAGCGCTATGAAAATGTAATGTGCATAGACTAACACAGGCACATGACAAGCATTTACGGAAAAGTCCACTTAGGTGTTCCATCACCAGGCTCTGCCGGCAGCACTTGGCAATGAACGTAGCTTCTGCACAGGCTCAGAAAGAGAAGTGAAAGAGTCAGTGCTTGGTTAGGGCACATTCAGTGGGCCTTCATCGAAACGGCTGGAGAGACACTACCTCTGAGCAGCTTTCTGGAGAAACCTCAACCTGCTTCCTGAAAGGGCAAGCCAGGCTGAACACCTTCAGTAGATAGTCATTTGTGGGATAATCCATTACCATCTATTTGCGCTATAGGAAAAGCAGCCTTTTGAGAGAGGAGAACTTAGGACAGGGAAGTTTTGCTAGGGATAGGGACTTCGAATTCTGGGGACTTCCCAGTCCCGGGGATGACTTGCAGCTGTGGGTGAATCATGATGGCCACTGATATCTATTGCATATGCGCTGAGCCTCCCAGCCACTTCACTGCATAGATTAGCTCTGAGAATTCCTGAAACCTACCAGGTAGGTACTTTTTCTCCCTTCTATTTTTATAGATGAAGAAACAGACACAGTGAAGTCACAGAGCCAACAAGTAAGGGAGCTGGGATGCTAAGCCAATAAGTCTGACTCCAGAGCCTGAAGTCTTCTACTCCCTCTCCCTGTACCTCTGGGCCCCAGGTGGAGAAGGAGAGCAGGACTACTGCAGTGTTCTTTCTATGCCCAGGCCTCAGCACCCAGTAGGTGACCACACGTATTGAAATGAACAATGACACAAAGAGCACCGTCAAGAACAACCTTTTCCTACCCCGACCCTTCTTCATGGAGCTCACCTGGGCCTTGCCCCTCCCCAGCCCCACATTTCCACTGAGTATAGAGACCCGCCTTATTTGCCTGACTTTGGAATCTGACCTCTGGCCCGTAGCCATCCTGGGCTCTGCCTCCTTTTGTACATAAAGCCTTTGTCTTCTTAGGAAAATGACCAGGTTCTGCCCATAAAAGTATCCAGCCTGAAAGGAAGGTGGAGAGAGAGTGCATCATGGAAAATTATAGAAATGCATTTCTTTGCATTTGAATACTTATAGGATCTCACTTTTGGCAGCAAACCGACTCTGGGTTAGACCCCAGCATCCTTAGCCTTTTTGTGCCATGGACCTCTTTGTATGTGACGAAGCCTATGGACTTCTCAGAATAGACTCTTTTAAGTGCACAAAATAAAATACAGAGAGCAATGGAAATAAATTATATCGAAATAGGGTTTATAAAAATATTTGTGATATTACATGATATGTTTTATTGGCACATTAAATAACAAGATCCAGAGTTGGGTCTAATTACTGTAATTTTGAGGTAATGATGAGCAAAAATGATATCCCAAGAGTCCACAACAGCTGTAGTGTAATATGAAAATATCTGTTATTTCTGTTGGTAACAAAGTAACAGGTGCTGCTAACCCAGTGAGGTTTGTTCCCAGCATCATTCACCATGGAAGGAAATGCTGAATTCAATGAAAGGTTAGGGAAAATCAAGATGTAATCTTCCTCCTCCCTGTCTTGCCCAGTTTTTTTTTTTTTTTTTTTTTTTGCCATGGTCTTGCTCTGTTGCCCAGGCTGGAGTGCAGTGGTGCAATCATTGCTCACCGCAGCCTCAACCTCCTGGGCTCAAGCGATCCTTCCACCCCAGCCTCCTAAGTAGCTGGAACCACAGGTGTACACCACCACACCTGGCTAATTTATTTTTATTTTTATTTTTTTTAGTAGAGACGGGGCCTTGCTATGTTTCCCAGGGTAGTCTTGAACTCCTGAGCTCAAGCAATCCTCCTGCCTTGGTGTCCCAAAGTGCTGGGATTATAGGTGTGAGCCATCATGCCCAGCCCCCTTTCTCATTTTAAAGAGTTCCAGTCCTTGTCAGCCCAGGCCTGGGATTTCCGTTCTGATGCCATTATATCCCTGGCTTATGTTTGTGACAGGGAAGACCAATTAGCAAGCATGCGAATGATGGTTCCCTTAGGATGTCCCCTGGCAAGAGTTGACTCCTCCAGTGTCAAGGCTGGGAATTAATGGTTTATAAAAGTGATGTTCCTAGTAGTAGACCCTCCAAGAACACTTACTATGTGCCTATGTGCTTGTCCTTGTGAGAAAAGCACTATCTGTAGTAATTCACCCCATCCCCAGGTGAGCTAAGTATGGTTACCCTTTTCACAGATGGGGAAAATGTGGCTGAGAGATGAGAAAGAGCTCAGGAGATCAAGACCATCCTGGCTAACACGGTAAAACCCCGTCTCTACTAAAAATACAAAAAATTAGCCAGGCATGGTGGCACGCGCCTGTAGTCCCAGCTACTCAGGAGGCTGAGGCAGGAAAATCGCTTGAACCCAGGAGGCAGAGGTTGCAGTGAACGGAGATCGTGCCACTGCATTCCAGCCTGGGCGACAGAGCGAGGCTCTGTCTCTAAATAAATAAATAAATAAGATGAGAAAGAGCTGCCCAGATTGAGATCACAGGTTTGCCTCATGTCCTTGCGTGTTCTCTACACTATAAGCCTCACACACACCCTCACAGGCATTTTTATCTTGATTTCAGATAACCCATGATGATGTTGTAATAATAACAATAATTATAATTATCAACAGGAGCAGACCTTCTGTATTTCAGAATCTTGCATCACCATCATCATCATCATCATCATCATCATCATCATCATCATCAAATTAATAGCTAATCCTAGTCACTATGTTATTCCACACACTGTTCTAAGGATTTAACTAATCTAACCTTCCTAACAGCAGGACAAGTTAGATCATTTGGTTAAGGTCATATAGCTAGTATGCTGGAATTTGAACCAAGGAAATCTGGCTGTAACACCCTCATTTTTTTAAACTTTTTCACTGAAGTAGAACATAGACATAGAAAAATGCATGAACCATGAATCTTCACACAGTGAGCACTCTCACTCAACTCACTCAATCCACACTCACTCAACCCACCAACCAGATCAAGAAACAGAACACTGTCAGCACCAGCAGCTTTTCGCTCCCCACCCAGTCCCCAAGGTAACCACTATCTTAACTTCTATCGCCATTGATTAGTTCTGCCTTTTTCTTTTTAGATACAGGGGCTCACTATGTTGCCCAGGCTGGCCATGAACTCCTGGCCTCAAGTGATCCTCCCACCTTGTGCTCCCAAAGTACTGGGATTACAGGTCTGGCCTCAAGGAAAAATGAAACCAAGCATCTCTGTCTTACTTCAGAATGAGTTAGACAGAGATAGTTATATATCAAGGGCTTTAAGCAGGGGAAATGACAACAAATCACTTCAGTCATATTGTAACAGTACCTGCATCCTATTTTTGAACTTATATAAATGCCCCTTCATTATCAACCATTATGCCCTCTCACTTAGTCCTCATAATGACCCTAGAGTCTAGAAAATAGCTTTGCCTCATGCCCATTTTACAGATGAGGAAATTGAGTTCTCTGCAACAATTTAGTAAGTTTCTTGAGACCCCACGTCAGTCCCAGCTACTTGCCCAGGGTGGTCTCACATCAGTGTGTGGTGGAAGTGGGAGTATCACCAAGATCCTTGAGGCTGACTGCACCATCTGCTGCCTTACCATCCACCCGGCCTGGATTTCTGCTAGGAAACTCAGAAACACATTAGATACTCAGGGATGTTTGTGTGAACAAATGGTCCCATTGCCCTAACTGCTCCAAAGCTTCCTACCACAGGCCTATCCCTGCCTTTCCAGGGGACCCATCTACTCCAAAGTCCCCTCTCTGTTAAAACGACATGAGCTTCTGTTTTTTCTTCAAAATCTGCAACAAAGTCCCACCTCTTCGTCTTTGCACATGCTTTCCCCCTGCTGACAAGAGTCTACTCCCCTAGGTACATGCTTGGCTTCCTCCTTCACTGTTCAGTGTCACCTCCTGGACAAGGCTGACCCCGACCCCTGACTCTGTGTCTGCATAATGCAGCCCATGTGCTCTCTTGTTCTTCTGCCTTTGTCTTGGAGTGCTTATTCCATTTGACTCTATATTCTACACATATATTTGTTTGTCTCCCTCTAGAATGTATGTGCCATGAGGGCAAAGTGCTGTTTTATTCACTGCTTTATTCCCAGGGCCCAGATTTACATGGCACACAGTAAGGACTCAATAAATCTTGAGTGGATGGAAGACTTGGTTAGCACAGAACTTCTCCATCAAAATAAAAATAGCCTCCACGAAGGAAGGATACCTAGAATTTAAATCCACTGCTTTGCTCCCAGGGGCAGTGCTGTGGACTTTTGCCAGGGTCTGATCTTTAGTTGTGACAAAGACAGGAGGTTGTGGGGAACAGGGCCAAACCCAGTGAGGTAGCTTATCTGCTGGCCAGGAAGCCACGGAGGGCCTTCCCTACCCCTCTCAGGCTGCTACGGTGATTGTTCCCCCATGTCTGCAGCCAGCCAAGGTGCCCCACCCCAAAGCATCAGAGGAGAGAACCAGCCACCAGCCCAGAGGTGACAATGGGGCTGCTGTGTGCTATGGGCCCTTGGGTAGGGCACGGGCTCAGGCAAATGAGCCAGAGCACACGCAGATATAGAGGCATGTGCACTGGCTGCGCTCTGCTTCCACTCTGGTGCCTGCCAGCATGGAGGACAGCCTAAAGCAGCTCAGCCTGGGGAGAGATCCTGAGGGGGCAGGGGACAGCCAGGCCCTGGCTGAGCTCCAGGAGCTTGCCCTGAAGTGGTTCATGGAGACACAGGCCCCCTTCATTCTGCAGAACGGTGCCCTGCCTCCCTGGTTTCATGGATTCATCACCCGCAAGTAAGGCTGCTTCTACCCACAGGTCCCTCATAGCCCACAGCCCCTTGGGGCTGAGAAAATGGTCTGGGAACTCTGGATCAGACTGGTTCCCATCCTTTCCCTGGGCTAGGCAGGGGCCCTTGGAGGCGGGGGGCAGGGGAACAGACTGAGGAGCGCCACATCCTCTGGTGGTGGCTTCTGTAGGCAGAGTCGGGGAGGGCAACGGCCTCTACTTTAGTACAAGTTGAGGATGGCTGGGGCTGCCAGGCTGCCAGAGGACAGAAAGAGGGCCAGGCCCTGACTTGATGAGTAACTAGGGGACCATATCTTTTATCGTCCAAACCGGAACACTATTAGTAACTAAGCTAGGAGAACCGTCATAAATGGGGCCATCCCAGGCAAACCTGGATGCATGGTTATCCTAGGTATAAAGGCCAAGATACAGGTTTGGCTTTCTATTTGGGCTGGGTCTCCAAGCAGCCAAAACACCTGATGAAGGAATGGCAAATCCAGCCAGTCCTTAGGTCCTGGCACAGCACCTGCACAGAGCCAGGGCCAGCTTTATGGTCACTGACTCGTGCAGCAGCACAGGGTCAAAAGGGCTCCACATTTGGTTTAATGCTCTGCTGTCACTGTCTGGAAACTCTAAATCGTTTTGAACCAGGGGCCCCATGTTTTCATTTAGCACCTGGTCCTGCAAATGATTTAGCTGCGTAGAACAGGCGCTCGGTATTTGGTGAGTAAGTGAGTGAGGGAATACATATCTGGTCTGTGTACTGCCAAACCACAAGACAGCTGGAACTTTTCTTCATGCCTCCAAAGTATTTGGCACCATGTGGAAAATCTCTGTAACTGCCTGGGATTGAAGGGGACAGGAAGAGGAATGAGTCCCTTTTAGCTGCTTCAGACACAGCAGCATCTTCTCCCTGCAGAAGCTTGTGTGTAGTGCACATCCTGCAGCACTGTACACAGTGGTTCTGAGGGAGGGACTCCCCACTAAACCTCAACATCTCCAGCTGTGTGGATTTATTCTTGCTACACAACCATCCAGGTGGAGAGTGGGTGGCCAGGGTCAGCAACCAATGTGCCTGCTAGTGAGGCTGCAGTGGGGAGTTGGGGGGGTTGCATATGGCTTCAGACCCTGACCCAGCCCCAGACAGTCTTGAACTTAATCATTTGGGCTCAGATAGGCCACATGCTGAACCCTGACAGGCCACAGACCCATCCACAGGTCTGAGTGGCTCCTCTATAAAGGGTTGGAGGTCTGGAACCCAAAGGCATGGCCAGCAGGGATTCCAAGAGAGGCCTAAGTCAGGCTGCACCTGCTGCCATTAGGGCACAGACCCCAGCTAATGGCATGTCTTCTGCCCAGGCAGACGGAGCAGCTACTCAGGGACAAAGCTCTTGGTTCCTTCCTTATCCGCCTCAGTGACCGAGCCACTGGCTACATCTTGTCCTACAGGTAAGAGGGGAAGCCCTCTGGGCAAGCAAGCTCATCCTACCATAACCTAGCCTTGCAGATTAGTGCAGAGGCCCCACTGGCCCAAATTGCCTAGATTTCCCTGGGTCCTGACTCCTGAATCCCTCAATCATCCATCACATGCTCAGCAGACACTTCCTGAGCAGCACTGGCCATATACTAGGGATGAAGACACGGCCTTCAAAGGAGGTGAGTGGGGTTCGGGGAGGCTTCACAGAGGTGAACTTTGAGCCTAGGATAGAAGGAAGAATACAAGTTGCTAGGCAGAAAGGAGGGTGTGGTTGGGGTTTAGGAGGGTATCTCTGGTAGATGGAACGCCATGTGCAAAAATACAGAGGCATGAAAGACAAGGGTGCTGGGGGAGCTGCAGGGTGCTGGGGGAGCTGCAGGTTGCTGGGTGCAGCAGAACACTTGGTTCCTTTGGAGGAATGCCTGGAAGGGAGGGTGGAAAAAGCTTAGAATGGCCTTGGATGCCTGGCTAAGTCTGTAGACCATGAAGGATGATCTGGTTCAATGTATTTGCATAGGTCCTTTAGGCAGCCTATGGAGAGAGGACTGGAAGTCAGAGCTGGAGGTGTGGGGGCACTGGGGACTCCTGCAATTGCCTGGATGTGAGATAATGAGGTCTAGGCTAGGGTAAGACAGTGGGGATAGAGAGAAGGAGACAAGGTAGCGAGGACAAAGGCAAAGATGGTGATGTCAGATCTTGTCCCAAGAGTAGGTTGGTCAGGACGGGGAATTCAGAGGAGGTAAGAAGGCTTCCCTAAGTAGGGAGGGAGGCCAGGGCTCCAGAGTAAACTTAAAAGGCTTCAGATTCTGATTCAAAATTGTCACATATTCAGACTGCCCCAGTTCAAACCCTTACCTTGAGCAAGTTACTTTGCTTCTCTGTTCCCCCGTTTCCTCATCTGTAAAATGGGAATATGATAGTACCTGCTTCATAGGCTTGATGAAAGTGTGCAATCAGTTGATACGTTTAAAACTGTTTAACACAATGCATAAAATGTAGTAAGGACTTTAAATAAATGTTAATCATTGTTAAAATATTTTTATTCTGTGTGCCAGACACTGTGCTAGGCATTTTGAAATATACTAACTCAGTAGTTTTCAAATGTCTTTTGAGCTTTGGGGATTTTTTTATTTTCTTTTGTTTTGTTTCTTCCCAGGTGAGATCTTAGGGAGAATACTAACTTATAAAAGAGACCAAAGTGGGACCGCCCAAAGGTATACAAATAGAAAAATTAACAGAATAGAGTCCCAAAATAGTCCCAAATGTTTGGTTACCAGATTTACAACAGAGGCATCACTGCAATTCCGTGGGGGAAAGGCTTGTTTTTTCAATAATTGGTGCAGGAGCAATTGGATATCTAAATGGAAAACAATTACTGCTACCTCATACCATACATGAAAATTAATTAATTCTAGATGGATCGTAGATCCAAGAAAGAAAAGCAAAACAATACCATTTCTAGAAGAAAACAGGAAAACATTGTCATAGGTAAATGAAAATGCCTTTGAAAATGAGAGGCCAAGTTTTTTTAAACAGGACACAAAAAGCGCTAATCTTAAAAGAGTGATTAACTTGATTTCCTTAAAATTAAGAATTTTTTAAAATTTATTTATTTATTTATTTATTTTTTGGAGACAGAGTCTCGCTCTCTCGCTCTGGCTGGAGTGCAGTGGCGCGATCTCTGCTCACTGCCACCTTTGCCTCCCGGGTTCAAGCAATTCTCCTGTCTCAGCCTCCCAACTAGCTGGGACTACAGGCACACGCCACCACACCCAGCTAATTTTTGTATTTTTAGTAGAGATGGGGTTTCACCATATTGGTCAGGCTGGTCTCAATCTCCTGACCTTGGGTGATCCACCTGCCTCAGCCTCCCAAAGTGCTGGGATTACAGGCGTGAGCCACTGCACCTAGCCAAAATTAAGAATTTTTATAATTCTTATAAAGAGATATTATTAAGAGAAGAAAAAGGTCAGGGTGCAGTCTTGAAGAAGTTATCTATTAGAATACAAATATCTAACAAAGGACTCAAATCCAGAATATATAAAGAACTCCTACAAATAAATAAGCAAAAATAGATAATTCAATAAGTAAAAGCAAAAGAACTGAGCAGGCACTTTACCAAAAAGAAAAACCCAGAAGGCCCATAAGCATATGAAAACATGTTCAGCATCATTAGCTATCAGGGAAACACAAATTAAAGCCACAATGGATGGCTATAATGGAAAGACAGAATATGTGGAACAACTGGAGCTCTCATACATTGCAATAATTTTATTTTATTTTTGAGATGGAGTTTCACTCTTGTCACCTAGCTGGAGTGCAATGGCACAATCTCAGCCCACTGCAACCTCCGCCTCCAGGGTTCAAGCAATTTTCCTACCTCAGCCTCCAGAGTAGCTGGGATTACAGGCAACCACCACGACACCGGCTATTTTTTTTTTTTTAATTTTTAGTAGAGATGGGGTTTCACTATATTGATCAAGCTGGTCTTGAACTCCTGACCTCAAGTGATTTGCCTGCCTCGGCCCCTCAAAGTGCTGGGATTACAGGCATGAGCCACTGCACCTGGCGCATTGCAATAATTTTAGAAAGCAATTTGGCATGATTTACTAAAGCCAAACACGGGTGTACCCTTGACCCATCAACTCTACTCCTTGGTATATTCACATCAGAAATGAGTACATATTCACCAAAAGATATGCACAAGAATGCTCACAGCAGCTTTATTTATAACAGCCCAAATCCGGAAACTACCTAAATGTCTATCATCAGAATAGGTACATGGTGGATTTTTCATTAACTAGAATACTACATATAAATGAGAAAAAAAAGAAACTAATTCTACTTGGACATGAATCAATCTCCAAGATATAATGTTGAGTGAAATGTGCTAGACACAAAAGAGAAGTATTATAGAAGTTCTCTAATGGGCAAGACTAATCTATGCTGATAGGCGTCGGAATGGTGGCTACCTTTAGGGGGCATTGACTGGATGGGAGCGCAAGTAGGTCTTCTGGGGGCTGGAAGGGTTTTGTATCTTGACCTGAGTGGCAGTTACATGGGAGGGTTCCTATATGGAAATTCATCAAGCTGCACATTTATAATGTACACACATCACTGTGTAGAGGTTATTCTTCTAGGAAAAAGGGAGATGAAGAGGGTAGGATTTTAGGGTGGGACTTTACAGGCCGAAGAGGGGGTGGGAGCTGGAACTCCATCATTGCAGCAGGGTGGGGAGTAGGGTGAGGTTGAGTTGTACAGGTGCAGGGTTGGATCCTGTCTTTATTTAAAACTTTGGTGTTTTGTTCATTGTGGATTTTTTTCATATATTTTGATTTTCTAAAATACTGCGTTATTAGTTTTCTTTATTGAGTTTTTTGGTGCCCCTTTAAATTTCGCACCTAAGATGAGTGCCTCACTTGCCTCACTCCAGTCACAGCCGTGCTCTCCCTGACTCCACCAGAGCAGGCTTAGGTACTTCCCAGGATCCCAGGGCTCCACGGTTTGAAAACCTCTCCGTAGCTTCCTGATGAACACACCATGGCTCCAAGTGGGGTACAGTGGCCCCAGGTCAGGCAGGTCTGTTCTGGATCAAGAGCTGGGACCCCTCACCTGCACCCAGGCACAGAGCTCAGACCCTGGGCCAAGGCTGGGCTGCCTGTGACCAGCAGCCCCAGACCACAAGCACTTGTGTTGCAGGGGCAGTGATCGCTGCCGACATTTTGTCATCAACCAGCTTCGAAACCGGCGTTACATCATCTCAGGAGACACCCAGAGCCACAGCACCCTGGCTGAGCTTGTGCACCATTACCAGGAGGCACAGCTCGAGCCCTTCAAAGAGATGCTGACTGCTGCCTGCCCCCGGGTAGGCGCCCCACTTCCCCAGGGTGAGGGTGGCAGGGCAGAGAGCCCAGGCCTGGGGTATCCATCACTCAGACATACTCCTTTTCAAGCCCTCCCTATTTACTATCACCCAGGGGCACTTGGTGTGGGGTCATGATCCCTATTGGAAAAAGGGAGACTGTGGCAATGTCTTACCTGAGGTCAGAGACCTGGTGGGAATGTTGCAGTCTCTTACCAGCAGTCTCAGGCAGGCAGCTGGAGACTGGCTGGGCATGTGTGACCACATACCTGCCGTATCCGCATGCTCCCAGCCAGAGGACAATGATCTGTATGATGCCATCACCCGGGGCCTCCACCAGACCATCGTGGACCCAGAAAACCCACCTGCCACGGCATTCCTCACAGTGGTCCCCGACAAGGCCGCCAGCCCCCGCTCTTCTCCAAAGCCCCAGGTCTCCTTCCTCCATGCACAGAAAAGCCTGGATGTGAGTCCCCGGAACCTCTCCCAGGAGGAAAGCATGGAGGTGAGGAGCATTATGGGCCACCTAGAGTCAGGGTTGCCAGACCAGGGATGTGGGTGCCATGCTCCCAGTCAGACCCTGAGGCCAGGCCAGCCACTCCCTCCGGCTGTGGAGGGTGAGCCAGGCCCAGAGGTGCGGACCCAGCTTGGAATCACCCAGGGTTCACCCGTGCCATGGCCTGCCTGTGGCCAGTTAGATTTGGTTCAAGCCTTGGCTTGGCCATTTTCTAGCGATGTGGCTTTAGGCGAGTCACATAATTTCTCTGAGCCTCAGTTTACCATGCCTGAGGTTCTTGTGAAGCTTGAATGAGAAAATGGATATGAAATGCCTGAATATCCCTTAGTAAGCTGTAGCATGGGGTGCCTGTGAGTCAATATTTTATTCTTCTCCATAGCACCCCATGGACTCAGAAAGATTTTTCTTTTCTTTTTTTTTTTTGAGACAGAGTCTCGCTGCAATGCCCAGGCTGGAGTGCAATGGTGCAATCTCAGCTCACTGCAATCTCCGCCGTCTCCTGGGTTCAAGTGATTCTCCTGCCTCAGCCACCCGAGGAGCTGGGATTACAGGCACCTGCCACCACACCCGTCTAATTTTTGTATTTTTGGTAGTAACAGGGTTTCAACATATTGGCCAGGCTGGTCTTGAACTCTTGACCTCAAGTGATCCGCCCGCCTTGGCTAAAGTGCTGGGATTACAGGCATGAGCCACTGTGCCCAGCCATTTTTATTTTTATTTTTGAGACAGAGTCTCGCTCTGTTACCCAGACTAGAGGGCAGTGGCACCATCTCGGCTCACTGCAATCTCTGCATCCTGGATCCAAGTGATTTCCCCTGCCTGCGCCTCCTGAGTAGCTGGGATTACAGGTGCACGCCACCATGCCTGGCTAATTTTTTTTTTTTTTTTTTGTATTTTTAGTAGAGACGGGTTTTCGCCATGTTGGCCAGGCTGGACTTGAACTCTTGACTTCAGGTGATCCGCCTACCTCGGCCTCCCAAAGTGCTAGGATTACAAGCGTGAGCCACAGCGCTTGGCCGAAGGATTTTTCTTTATATCAGATCACAGCATGCCAACAGCTTCTCCTCATATTTAGAATAAAACCTAAACACTTCACTGGGGCCCACAAGAGCCTCACCAGATGCCCTGCTACCCTCTGCTTCTTCACTGGAGGCTTCAGTGAGGCCTTTTCATTGGCTTCTTTGGCCTTCTAGATCATCCTTGAACATACCAACCTTGCTCCCACCTCAGGGCCTCTGCACTGGCTCTACCATCTGCCTGCAATGCTCTTCCTACAAGATATCTGCATGGTTTACACTCTAACTGCATTCCATTCTCTTCTTAAATATCACCTCCTCAGAAAGGCCCACCTACATGACAGAAAATGTTGCCTTCCCCACCTGCCGTTCTCTCTATCCCATGACCCTGCTTCGTTCTTTGTAGCACTGATCATGCCCCCACACTCCATTGTCTTGTGATATATTCACCCATCATATAGCACATCAAACCATATTGTGCTACACAGCGCAGCAGTAGGCTGCCCATCTCCCAGATTAGAATATAAACTCCCAAGAGTTAGTCTTGCTCACCAGAGTCCTTGGCACCTAGGACACTGTCTGGCACATAGTTGGTGCTCACTAAATATTTGTCAAATGAGTGATGGACTTGGAGATGGGCCATTCTGAAGGGAAATGCAGCAGTGAGTGGGTTTGGGGCCACTGAGGGACCAGTGGACCACAATGGAGGTGGGAGGAGCACGGGAAGGGAAAGTTGGGTGGGAGTGCTGGTGACCCAAGGCCTTGAATGCCAAGGTAAAGTACGAGTCCTAGGCCGGGTGTGGTGGCTCACACCTGTAATCCCAGCACTTTGGGAGGCTGAGACGGGTGGATCACCTGAGGTCAGGAGTTCGAGACCAGCCTGGCCAACTTGGGGAAAACCTGTCTCTACAAAAATACAAAAATTACCTGGGCATGATGGTGGGAGCCTGTAATCCCAGCTACTCAGGAGGCTGAGGCAGGAGAATAGCTTGAACCCAAGAGGCTGAGGTTGTAATGAGCTGAGATTGCGCCACTGCACTATAGCCTGGGCAACACAGCAAGACTCCATCTCAAAAAACAAACAAAAAAAAGAACAAGTTCTAGAGCATGAGCGCTGGAAGGGACCCTGAGTGTCATGTATCCAACCCTTGCATGTACGGGCAGGAGGACTATAGCCAAGACAGGGGGCCTCGGCTTATCTGAGAGAGTTTTTACTGGAGGGCATCTTAGTGATGGGCTGCCCCTTAAGAGTTTCTCTGTCCCTGTCTCCCCAGGCTCCCATCAGAGTGTCTCCACTCCCTGAGAAGAGTTCCTCCCTCCTGGAAGAGTCTTTTGGAGGCCCCAGTGACATCATCTATGCAGACCTGAGGAGGATGAACCAGGCACGGCTAGGCTTGGGCACAGAGGGGTCCGGCAGGCATGGGCCAGTTCCAGCTGGCAGCCAGGCCTACTCCCCAGGCAGGGAGGCCCAAAGGAGACTCTCAGATGGAGAACAGAACAGGCCTGATGGCCTGGGGCCTGTCCTTTCTGGGGTGAGCCCAGACCAGGGTCCCACAGAGTCTCCCACTTCCTGGGGATGTTCTGATGCCATGGGATCCCTGGGGGCTACCTGGAGGCAGGAGTTTCCAAAGCTGAGCCAAGAGGCTCAGCCCTGCTCCCAGGGCAGCTCTGCAGATATCTATGAGTTCATCGGGACAGAAGGCCTCCTGCAAGAGGCCAGGGACACACCAGACCAAGAAGGCAGCACCTATGAGCAGATCCCAGCTTGCTGGGGTGGCCCAGCCAGGGCCCCACATCCTGGGGCCAGTCCCACATATAGCCCATGGGTCCATGGCTACAAGAGGATCTCAGGGACCCCAGAGCTCTCAGAGCCTGGGAACACCTATGAACAGATCCCAGCAACCAAGAGCAAGGAGACTGGACGGACACACAAGGTGAGCTCCATGATGGGGTGGGGCGGCTCCCAGCCCTTAGAGAGCACCTGGTGGTAGGAGACAACCTGAAGCCCCCAGGCATAGGCAGGTCAGGTCACCGCCACTGCCTGGAAGTACACAGAATTTTCCAGCCCTAATATCTGCCTAGAAGTGGTGGTGGTGGTGGTGGTGGGAGAGGCAGCTGCTAGATTTGGATGTAAGATGGGGGCTTCCAGGCCCTTCTAAGGGCATTCTCTACAGCAGATCAGGGTTCCCATCCCCTCCGTCTCAGCCTCTGCAGGGGTCTTAGCGCCTCTGGGAGCAGGAGAATGGCCCCTTTGCTCCTACTCCCTCACCTTGTAGCTTTGGGCAAGACAAATTCCAGGACAACCAGTTAAACCTGAATTACAGATAAACAACAAATATTTTTGAGGCCAGGCATGGTGGCTCATGTCTGTAATCCTAGCCCTTTGGGAGGCTGAGGCAGGTGGATTGCTTGAGCTTGGGAGTTTGAGACCAGCCTGGGCAACATGGCAAAATCCCATCTCTATGAAAAAATACAAAAAATTGCCAGGCGTGGTGGCCTGTAGTCTCAGCTACCTGGGGGGCAGAAGCAGGAGGATGGCTTGAACCTGGGAGGTTAAAGTTGCAATGGGTCAAGATTGCACCACTGCACTCCAGCCTGGGAGACAAAGTGAGACCCTGTTTAAAAAAACAAACAAAAAACCAAACCAAAACAAAACAAAAACCATTTTAAAGTATGTCTTAAATACCACAATTATTCCTTTGTTTATCCGAAATTTAAATTTAACTGGCATCTATATTCTTGTTTAGCAACCCCACCCAGGACCTCCATTTCCTCATCTGTAAAATGGGCTGATCCTCTGCTTGTATCCAGGGGTAGGTGCCCAGAGGATAATGCTAGACACCCTCTCCTGCTCAGAACACAGCCCAGAGAGGGCTCTTGATGAACAGAGCTATTATTCTGAGGATCTCTGGGGTGGTGGTGGTGGTAGTGGTGGTGGTGGTATTGGTGGCAGAGGCAGCTGCTAGATTTGGGTGTAAGCTGGGGGCTTCCAGGACCTTCTAAGGGCTTTCTGTGCAGCAGACCAGGGGTCCTTTCCCCTCCCTCTCAGTTTCTGCAGGGGTCTGATAAGTAAGGAAGAGAGGGGACCAGGAGTGTGGAGAGCGGTGGCCAGGAGTGGGGCTGGTTCAGGGTTCTCAGGGAGGCAGATGAACTCTCTGGAGCCCTCGGTCCCAACTACACTCTGCCTATACCCAGAGACAATAAAACCTGAGAGTCCCTTCCCCATGGGCAAGTCCTCTGATCTCAGTCAGGCACACGCGGATCTTCCTGCCTGGGCTCCTGGTGGAAAGATCTTCCTGGGAAGTGCTGACGGCTCCTCCCTCAGGGCAGGGCTGTGCCCACACACCCCATGGATAGCAGCCTTTGAGATCCTCACTCTCTGGGGACCACAGACCTGGCAGTGGAGACCCTCAGAAGCCACATCCCATGTCTGCTCTTTCCCTGCGGCTGCCCCATGTCCTCTCCCATCTCTGTGGGCCTGGGTACAGCTTCACCCCACCCTACCTCGGACACCAGTGCATCCTGAGGCCCCCAGCTGTGGGTCAGGGGAGACCAGGGCACTCCAGGGAGGTAAGGTGAGGCTCGCCACCCTTTCTACCCTCCTTCTTCCCCTTCTCTCCTTAGCCAGAAGAGGGTGAACCCTGCATCTGAAATTGGGGAGCTAAAGGTGGGATTTCGGGCACTGGGAGAGGCTTGTGGAATCAACTATCAGAATTCCAACCTGGCCTCATGTCCTAGGCTTGGGCCCCCAACCCAAGGTCAATGAGGGGTCCTCGGAGCCTGGGTCTTTCCCTCCCTGTCCAGCGACCCCAGGCCCCAGTATCTCCTCCTTCCTTGCAGCCTGACAAGCTTCGGAGGCTCTTCTTCACGTACAGGAAGCACAAATTCTGAGGGCCTGGCATCCGGCAGCCCACCAGTGGGTTTCCTGGTACCCAGGCCATGCCAGGGGTTATCGCAAAGGCCTCAGCTCACTTGAAGGCACCCTTTGGATCTTGAGACTCATCCAGCCTGCTACAGAACTAGGCTCCGAGACAGCCGAGGTGCCTGCCTGAGAGCAGGTGGAAGAGGACCTTGCAGGTGCCTGCAGCTCCTGGCTATGTCCTGCTTTCCTTGTGCCTCCCATCCATGCACAGGAGGGACTGGAGAGGAATGAGATTGGCCAAAGGCAGGGGTCACCACCCCCATTTCCCAGATAAGCATGCTGAGGCCCAGGCAGACTGACTGAACCTGCCTCCCACTACTGAGCACTTACCGAATGTGTGGCAGGCTGTGTGCTAGCACAGACACCTTTCTAACTGGCCAAGTGACATCATGCAATTGCTACCGAGAACAAAACCAGTTCCCCTCCTTGCGGCCCCATCAGCGAAAAGGAGGGGAGGGCCAGAAGCCACATCCTCTGCTTCAGGCCTCTTCGCTCCAGCTGTACCCTCAGGTCAGGCTGGCTCTTCCTGGAACTCTGTCCCTCAGGAAACTTCCTGTTTTGTGTGTCACTTCCCTTCCTATCCACATGTCCCCTTCTCTATAAGGGTGGACAGCTGGCTTGCTACCCCACTCCCAACAACCCCCAGGCCTGGGATGCAGAAAACAGGACTGATCATCTCCAGAGAGAACACCATACGTGCCCCTCCTCCCTGCCCTGACCCTGGGCAGAGCGGGCTCAGGTTGCATTTGTGGGAAATCTACTCTTAGTGACCACTTGGCTATGCAGCTTTTCCTGAAATATAGGCCTGTAAGAGTCCCTCCCTCCTTGGGGGTTTAAGGATTGAGACTGAAGCAACTGTCCCTGTGCCTGAGTGGTTAGCACTCCCAAATGTTAACCAGAGATACTGTCAGGGAATTCACGGAAGGTTCGGGGCATGAATGTGTTTTCCTCCCGATGGCACACGCACTGAAATCAAAGTTAGTGCCTAAAGCAGGAGGCACTGCCTAATGCCGAGAGGTGAGACACCAATGGTGGGATTTCAAGGATCAGAAGCAAAGGTACCCTCAAACATTTCCTAACATTAGCATACATGGAGAGCAAAGGGATGCAAAAGTGTTTTACTACCAGGAGTTCACAAATCTGTGGACAGCACACCAGTGAGGATTCCACGGTGTTGGGGAGGCAGGCAGGGTGGTACTCATGACCCAGAGGCAGAGACAGGAGCAAGAGCCCTTGGGCCCACTGCACCCACAGCTTCACATTGTGAAGGAGGCCGGGAGAAGGGGAACAGGCAGGGGTGGGAAGCAGCCCAACCTTGGGTTTTGGAAAAAGATTGCATAGCTCGTTAAAACCCTGACCTCTTTTTTTTTTTTCCGCTCTGTCCTGGGTGACCAGGGTGTCTGCCAGCACTTGGACACGTCAGACCCCACCACCTCCTGTTGGGTTATCTGCTTTTCCCTCTTTGGGGGGGTGGGGAGCATTTCTGGAGTAGGAAAGGACTGGGGCATGGGGCGGGGTGCGGAGGGCCTGGAGAGAGGCCATGGGTCCCGGGGCTGGACCACAGCGGGGCTGTGGGAAGGGTCCTAACCTTCACAGGCCCCCTTCCTGGTTAAGGTTTTTTTTTTGCTGAAAGGGCCACAGGATATATTTGTGGTGTAAACCCCAGAGGCTGCCACTGCTTTCCTGGGGAGCTTGGAGGCCACACCCATGTGACTGCAGGGCAGGATGGTGGACTTCTAGGCCCCTACAGCCTCGGCAGTGTCCTCAGATCCGGATGTGGAAAGTGCTAGAAAGAGAGAAAGGGCAAGAGAGGGTGAGAGGCCCTGGGTCGGGCAGGTAAAGGCTCCTCAGGGAAAAGCACAGCAGGCCCCAGCCCCATGCTGGACAGTGCCTCATTAGGGAACCCTGCATAGTGGATGCAGGTAATCAACACTGGGGGAAGACGGAGGAACAGCGGTGCCCAGGGAGTTCTGCCCCCACTTATCACTGAAGGGGCCCCCAGGTCTTCAACCTTCCCCCTGCAGGGGACAAAGGCCAGTCACACGTCTAGGGCAAGGGTGGCTTGAACGTGACCTCCTGCTTCCTGGCCGCACACCACTGCTCACAAATAGCGAGTGATAGGGGCCTCAGCCCCAACATCCCGGCCTGCCCTGCTCTGCCCTGCCCAAGCCCGGCCCCTGTAGTGGCAGCACCTGAGGAAGTCAGGGGCCTTGGCAATCATGTCCTCGAAGTCAGCAAAGCCCAGCTTGCCGTCACCGTCCAAGTCAGCCTCCTCAATGACCTTGTCGCACACAAGCACCACCTCCTCCTCATCCAGCTCTGACTTAGTGAGCCGGGCCAGCGTCAGCTCCAGGTCCTCCTTGCAGATGAAGTTGTCAGTGTTGAAGTCTGTAGGGCAGGGGTTGGACATGTTCAAGTCCAGGCTGCGTGCACCCAGGGACCCCTACACTATAGCTCTTCCTCCTAGCTGGCCCCACTACCTCCACCAGCTTCTGATGTCCCCAGAGCATCTCCATGCACACTCTTGGGATACTGGATCCCTGCCCCCAAGAGGGCTTACCCACCAGGCATCGCTTAAACACCCACATCCACCACCAACAACAACCCCACAATGACTAAACCACATCCTGAAGCAGGTCAAAAGTCCAAATCTGAGGTTTCCTGAGAACTTCAGGCTTAGGCCAGATAGCCCTTCCTGGCCTTAGCCCACAGTGGACCCAGTGTTCCCTTTAGACTTCTAGAGCTAAGGAAACTAAGGCCCAAAAAGGCCATGCGATTGAATCAAGGTGGGAGAGCCACTCGGAGATGGAGCAGGGATTCTGACTAGGGCCTATGGGACTCTAAGACCCATGTTTTCTAAACTGCACCCCGTTGCCTCAGTGGTGTGTGACCAGAAGACACGGTGGGTCAGGAGACTCAAAATCAAAAGACCCTTAGAGAGGGGCCTGTGCCTGGCCTTTGTGCACACAGAGCAGGGAACATGGTTTGATTCTACCCAGCAAAAGGCACTACCACTGCCCCAAAGCACAGCAAAATGGTTCAGAGGACCGAGCCATGCCTGGCCACATCAAAGTGAACTCTCTCTTCTTACATTTTGAGCCCAACTACCAGATCTGCGCATGTGCTGTTTCTTCTGCCTGGGGTCCCTTCCCAGCAAACTCCTGGTCATCCTTCAAATTTTGGCTCACACATCACCTCCCAGTGGCGGGGCTTTCTAGCGATAAGGGTCCTCTTCCCCGCAAATGAGCTTCTGTTGCCCATTGGCAAACTCTGACATTAATGGTAGTGACAAAGACCCATCATGTGAGCATTATATGCTCTTTCTCATTTAATTTTCAAAACAAAACTATGAGGCAGGCACAATTGAATCTCCACTATACACATGAAGAAACAGAGAGGTGGCCAGGCGCGGTGGTTCACGCCTGTAATCCCAGCACTTTGCGAGTCCGAGGTGGGTGGATCACGAGGCCAGGAGATTGAGACCATCCTGGCTAACACGGTGAAACCCCGTCTCTACTAAAAATACAAAAAAAAAAAAATTAGCCGGGCGTGGTGGTGGACGCCTGTAGTCCCAGCTACTCAGGAGGCTGAAGCAGGAGAATGGCGTGAACCCAGGAGGCGGAGCTTGCAGTGAGCTGAGATCGCACCACTGCACTCCAGCCTCGTTGACAGAGCGAGACTCTATCTCAAAAATAAAAAAAGAAACAGGGAGGTGAAAAGGAGAGGTACCTGCCTGAGGTCACATCCCGGTCATTGTTGGACCCTAGAGCCCAAGCTCTTGGGGTGACTCTGCCCTGTCTATCTCTGCAGAGGCCTGGGCACAACTCTAGGGTATGCGTCAGGGAGTATTCATCTCTGCCCATGGCATGGGACATAGCAAATCTCTGGAAAGATTTGCTGGCTGGCTGGCTGAATTCCTGTGGCCATTTAACCTGAGTAAACTGAGGCTCAGAAGTGAGATGATCATTGTTGCAAATGAGGCCCCAGGCCTCCCCAGCGCCAGACTAGGAGGGCCCTGGCTGCCTCTCCCCACTCCACCCCCAGCCTAGAGCAGCAAGGAAGCCACAGTTCTTCCATGTATTCCTGTGCCCACCCGGTCCATGCGATCTGCACGCCCCTGTCTTGGGCAGACAGCAGCCCGTCCCAGGAGCAATGCTATGGGGTCCAAGACCGGGCGGATGTTGGGTGGAATCTGAGAAGCTTTTTACATGAGCCATGTGGGCATAGTTTGTGGAGGGCAGACTGGCAGGTATTTTCTTTCTAATATGCAAGCAAAACGTGGGTGCACAGACAGAAACCAAAGTCCTCTGAAATAAACATGATAACTAGAAAGTGAAACGTCAGTCTGGGCGTGGTGGCTCACACCTGTAATCACAGCACTTTGGGAGGCCAAGGCAGGCAGATCACCTGAGGTCGGGAGTTCGAGACCAGCCTGACCAACATGGTGAAACCCCATCTCTACTAAAATTACAAAAATTAGCCAGGTGTAGTGGCGGGCACCTGTAATCTCAGCTACTCAGGAGGCTGAGGCAGGAGAATCGTTTGAACTTGGGAGGCTGAGGCAAGAGAATCGCTTGAACCCGGGAGGCAGAGGTTGCAGTGAGCCGAGATCACACGATTGCACTCCAGCCTGGGCGACAGTGGGACTCTGTCTCAAAAAAAAAAAAAAAAAAGAAAAGAAAAGAAAAAAGAAAGCAAAATGTCAGCCCCTGATAGGCCCTGCTGCCTTTGGGATCCAGTGTCTGATCAAACGTGCTGAGGACAGGAGCTTTGACCTTGACTCTTCAGGTCCAAGTTGGGTCCCAGCCCCTTCCTAGGCCTTAGGCATCTCAACTGAGGTCTATCTGAGGATTTGACACCAGTCCCCATGGGTCTGTCAGGCCAGCAGAGGGGGTGAGCTCGTGGGTATGAAGTTTTCTCCCTGTGGCTGTGGGAGAAGCATGAGTCCTTGGCTCATGAGTGCCCGCCGCCCTCTGGTGGCTGGTGAGACAGCCAGCCTGAGGGCAGAGCTGGGCGGGGTGAATCCAGGTGGCCCTACCTCAGGCAGTATTCGGGGGGGCTCCAGAGGCCCCCCTGCAGGCCTGGCCTTACCACCATGGCCTAGGCAGCCTCTCTGGCTCCTCCATTTTACACCTCAAAGCTGCTGAGTGATCCTTCTAGAAAACAGAGCTGCCCTTCCTCACTGGAAACCTTGCAGTGGCCCTGGTGTCTGGATCACTAGGTCCAAACTCTGTGGCTGGCTCCCACAGCCTGGCCCCAGATTCTCTCCAGACTCATACCGCCCCCTGTCCCACCACCTTCCAAGTTCCTCCCATCTCCTTATCAAGCTCTGCGCTTCCCTGTGTCTGCATGGGCTGCGCCCTCTGTCAGGTCTGCCAGCCCCCTCTTCTCCAGTCCAAGCCTCTGCTAGTCCCTGCTTAAAGGTCATGCCTGGGACCCCTCTCACACTAACCACCCGACCTGGGATGGGTGAGTCCCTCCCTCCTTCGTTCTCAGGACCCTCACAGATGTCTCTCAGGGACTGATCGTCTCCCTTGGCCACCCCACTGGACAGGCACTCTTCAGAGGACAGATCAGCTTCACTGTTCTTGGTGTCCCTAGGGCAGGAGCCAGTAGTAACCAGACAGCCTAAGGGCCCCACATGTTCCCCCACCGCATATTCAGGCCCCCTCCTCTAGCCCTGGTTACCATAGATCTTGAAGGCATAGTTTGCCTTGAGCTCTCGGGGAGCCGACTCGCAGAGCACGGAAAACATGTCCACAAAGTCGTTGAAAGTGAGGTTCCCCTCACCATCCTCGGAAAACGCCGCCACGATCCTTTCTTTGAAGGGATTCTCCTGAAGAAAACACACACAGCAATCACTGTGGGTGCAGGATAAGCAGGAGGGCCCCGGAGCCAGACTGTGGACAGCCTGTGTGACCCTGGAGGAGTGACCAAATCCCTCTGAGCCTCGGTTTCCCCATCTGTAAAAAGGGAATAATAATAACACCTTCTTAATTGGGTTGTGATGGGATTAAATGAGCTAAAGTATGTAAGGTGTTGGTACCAGGCCCGGCACATGTAAGAGCTCAGGAAGCATTCTACTGGGTCATGTCACATCATTAAGATGGGCACAGCCAGGGACAGTGGTGCACGCCTGTAGTCCCGCTATTTGGGAGACTGAGGTGGAGGAATCACTTGAGCCCAGGAGTTTGAGGCTTCAGTGAGCCATGATCGTCCCACTGCACTCCAGCCTGGGCGACAGAGCAAGACCATGTCTCCAAAAAAAAAAAAAAAAAAAAATGCTGAGCACAGCCAGTGTGTTATCACTGGAGGCACTGCCTCATCTGAAGCAGAAGCAGAAGCACAGATTCGTCCTGTTACCCAGAAGAGCACACAGAGGCTCTGCCTGGATGTGTAGGGCTCTGTCCCCAGCAGAAGAAGATGACAGCCCAGGGCACTGGTGGCCCTCAGCTCAGGCCGTGTCAGGCCAGGATCGTGGGAGGTGGATGTGGGGTCAGATAACTGGACCAGTCAAGCAGCAAGAGCCATACAGCCAGTTCAGGCCCAGGTCTGCTGTCACTCTGCTCCTGTGAATTCTCCCCTAGACCACCTTGGATGCTGCCTCTCCCAGGGAGCTGTACACGGATGCCTTCCTAGATCCCCAAATCACTCATCCTGCAGCCCTTCCATCCCAACTGAGCTAGCGCTTGGCTAGCGCCATTCCGTGCCCAGCCCAGGCCAGTGCGGGAGGCTCAGAGACAGACCACTTGGGTCCTACCCATGAGTGTCTCACCTGCTCCAGCAACCCTCTGAGCTTGCTCTTGAGCCCCTTGCTGGGCCAGACGGGGTGCTGGTCCAGGGCTGAGCCTGGGGCCCATTGTCTCTCAGGACTGAGGTCACAACCAGAGTGCAGGCCCCAAGTGGATGCCATATAGCACTCTGACTCCACCTTCAAGCCACACATCCCAGGCCTGGCAAGGGGCTACTGACGAAGTCCCACTGCAATGGGGAGTTGTGCCCCAAATGCCTTCTTAATGCTGAATGCACTTTACATATTATGGATAAGGAACTCATGAAACGAAACATTCAGATATATATGGTCTGAGGATCAGCAGCATCAGTCTCACCTGGGAACTTGCTCGAAAAGCAGAATCCTGACTCTACTCCACATGTACTGAGCCTGAATTGGCATTTGGACAAGATCCCTGGGGAGTTTAAAATTAAATTTTAACAGGTACGTTAAAGTCTGAGAAATGATGCTATGGATGACCACCATGCTGACCTCAGTGAGAAGCCACAGCCAGACAACGGGGAGACAGAAAAGTTATCTAACAAAGCAGACACAGGTCTGCCAACTACAGCAGGCTTGGGGCCACTTAACAAAGGGACAAGCAAATGAGCACAAGCCCATGGCCTGCAGTTGGGTGGCCACTGATGTACAGCACCCTTACAGAGCCCACATAGCTTATTTATTCAGAGTACAGATGAGGAAACTGAGGCACAGAGAGGTTCTGTGATCTGCTCAGAGCCACGCAGACACAAAGGGTGGAGCTGGGTTCAGCCTAGACCTGGGGGCCTCTGCTGCTGGTCCAGAGGCACAGATCCCCTGCTCGCCAGCAAGAGGTCCTGCACATACCCGGAGCTCTGGCATCTGGATGATGAGGCTCATGGGCACGTGGACGATGGGGCTCTTCCTGTAGTCCATTGGGACGAGGTTGGGGGCCAGCTCATAGAATCGCGAATGCAGCCTTGGAGGAAAGCAGAGAAAAAGCGCTGGAGGGGGTGCCATCCCTAAGCCCCAGCAGCCCGGTGCTGTCCTGCCTAGGCCTCTGCCTCTGCAGAACATCCTCAGCCAGGACCAGGTAAGGGGCCAATGGGAGGCTCTCTGCTCTGCCCACAGGGTGTGAAGTTGGGAGGGAGGTGAGTTCTGCCCAGACCTCTGTGCTGATAACCAGGTTGTGTCCAGGCCTCCCTATTTCCACCACACCCACCCCATCAGCACCACCACCATCACTCCTTGGGCCTGGGTCCAAATCTTTTAATTTTTTCTCCTTTGGGCTCTCATAAGGGTTTTCTATGCTCAGGATACTGTGCTAAGCACTTAACACATCACCTAATTTAATCCTCCTCCACATCACTGTGCAGACAGATGCATCCTGACCCCAGCTTACTGCTCAGCAAACAGGGCTGAAGAGGTTAAGAGTGATTTGTCTAAGGCCACATAACTAGGGAGCATCAAGGGCCATGGGTTGAGCCCAAGATGGGAAATCCAAGCAGAAACTCTTAGCCACTCTTCCCCCTTACACTCCTGAGGGTCCATCAAAGCCTGGGCCCACTTCGTGGCCCCACCACCCCAACTTAAGCCCTGAGGGTTGGGTCTCTCTGGGAGAGCTCTCAGCAGTCCTCACACCCTCAGGAAGCCCCTATGAATGGGTCACCCATAAACTCTCTAACTGGGGGCCATCGGGACCCAGGCTGCTACCCTGGTGGGCCTGGCCCTCCCTCCTCACTGATGGGTCAGGTCCCTAGCTCCTGTCCCAGCCTCCAGGAAATCAAGCCCACCTCAACAAGCTGCATGGACCCTCAAAGGTGTAAGGCATCCTGGCACTGTCTCACTTGGAAGCTCCCTTCCTCCCCGCCCCCTGCCCATTATTCAGTCTTTCTTTGCCCTATGTCCACTTGTCCAGGTCCCTGTCATCCCAGAGAATAGCCCCCCATCCCAAGACAGGTACAAATTGTATTTAGATGACATTGTGAGCTGCATGTGGTGGCCTATGCCTGTAAACCCAGTGTTTTGGGAGGCTGAGGTGGGAGGACCACTTGAGGCCCAGAGTTTGAGACCAGCCTAGGCAACACAGCAAGACCCTGTCTCTACAAAAATGAAAAAAAAATTAGCTGGATATCGTGGCTCAGTCATAGCTACTTGGGAGGCTGAGGCTGGAGGATCACTTGAGCTTGAGCCCAGGAGTTGGAGGCTGCAGTGAGCTATGATTGCCCCACTGCATTCCAGCCTGGGCAACAGAGCGAGACCCTGCCTCTAAAAACAAAAATTGTGTCCATTAAGTGCTGCCATGGGTGGGACAAGTGTAAGGGGCATTGACTGTGGGCTGAGGTAGGTAACCTGCCTAAAGTGATGTCCTAGGCTGCTGGTGAATGGATTAGGTATGACCCTGTATCTCCCAGGCTTGGGCCGGCCCTGCCACCCCCAAAGCCAGATCAGCCCAGGTCTCCTTTTAAGTGGCTTGACCCTGTGACACACCCCAGGCCCACCTTTATCAAGCCATTCAGCACAGCCACCCAACCTTCCTTGGGTTCTACCAGTTCTTGTGGTCCTGCTGCCTACTGTCCTTAGCAAGGCACCTGACTACTTACCCAGCTCAAACAGATAATAACACCAGCTATCGTTTAGCAAGTGCTTACTCTGTGCCAGGCCCTGAACTAATCTTCTCTGTGGATTGCTTTACTTATTTTAATCCCCAAATCACCCTGAGAGGTAGATATTAGTCTCCCATTTTCAGGTAGGGAAAACTGAGGCTCAAGAATCAAGTGTCTTCCCCATCCTACACAGCCAATGAGCAGTGGGAACAGGACTTGAACCCAGGACCTCTGGACACCAACCACTTGGCTCCTCCCTGCAAGTCAAGCCCTGGTAAGCACATCATCTGCTGGTTCAGAGCCTGTCCAGGGCAAATGAACAGTAAAATGCCACATGCCCACTTTGCCAGTCGCACATTCCTATAAAAGGGTCTGAAATTACAAGGATGTGCCATGACTTGGAGACAGAGCAGGAGGGGAAAACCCCTAAACTTGTACTTTGGGTGGGAGGAGGCTCAGCAAATGCCAGGGCGGTGGGATCAAGCTGAGACTCTCCACAAGAGGGCACTCAAGGACTTTCTTTGCTCCTATTTCTTGCATAGAGGAAAACTACTTTTTTTTTTTTACACTGTCCCCAAATAAGGAACAACCACTTGTTTCAAAATTCATGCATCTTCTTTCTTTCTTTCTTTCTTTTTTTTTTTTGAGACGGAGTCTCGCTCTGTCGCCCAGGCTAGAGTACAGTGGCGCGATCTCGGCTCACTGCAAGCTCCGCCTCCCGGGTTCAGGCCATTCTCCTGCCTCAGCCTCCTGAGTAGCTGGGACTACAGGCGCCTGCCACAATGCCCGGCACATTTTTTGTACTTTTAGTAGAGATGGGGTTTCACCGTGTTAGCCAGGATGGTCTCAATCTCCTGACCTCATGATCCGCCCACCTCGGCCTCCCAAAGTGCTGGGATTACAAGGCATCTTCTTTCATAATTCATGCATCTGGTACTTTGACATATCCATTGTGCTTCCAACTGCTACATTTCCCACTTGACCTTGACCCCACCTCATATGTGGCAGTGTGATGTTGGAGTGTTTCTAGGGGTTGGCCTACACCTCTGAAGTTTTGTGGGATGGCTGCAGCAGGAGCATGAAGTCAGGCTGAGGTTGGAGCCCTGCCTACACCTCTCATTAGCAGTGTGGGTAAGTGGGTTAATCCACTGAAGGATAAGTTTCTCTATCAGTAAAGCAGGGGCTATTCTACTGTTCTCACCCCTGGATGTTCATAAAACCACTGGCCTTCAACTGGCAGCTTTTAGCATGCTGCCTGCCACGTCAGAGGCTCCCTGGAAGGGGTGGACTAGGGAGAGAGGCTATGGGTGCTTGGCAGGGTTGAGGAGGTATCCTCTGGGGTGGGAAGGCCAGCTTCTACCCTGGGACACAGATCTGTTCTAAAACAGTAACTAAAATCACATTGGAATTTTTCTTTAAAGAAAAATCCAAGGAGAATTTGAAAACCCAAATCACTGTGAAAGAAACTCTAAGCATTGTCAAAGAACCACATCTCTGTCACCTCTCCCCCAATAAAGGGCACTGAATTCAAGAAGAGTTATATATTAGTCCTACTGTAACATCCAGGACCAGAAACCATACTTACGCTACTTGAACTGCCCCCGAGTATGAGGCAAGAAATGTGAAAACTCTCACTTTATTTTACAAAGTTAACAAGAACCCTGATACAAGAACCTAATATGTAGCATCCAGAATGGACCAATGGCACTTGCATAGATAGATGAAAAAGTCTTATAAAATAACATACTGGGGGCCAGGCACAGTGGCTCATGACTGTAATCTAAATGTGCTTTGGGAGGCCAAAGTGAGAGAATTGCATGAGGCCAGGAGCTTGAGACCAGCCTGAGCAATGTAGTGAGACCATGTCTCTACAAAAAAAAAAAAAAAATTAAAAATTAGGTGGATGTGGTGATATGCATCAGTAGTCCTAGCTACTCAGGAGGCTAAAGTAGGAGGATCTCTAGCCTGGGCAACAGAGTGAGACCCTGTCTCTAAAAAAAAAAAAGATAAGTAAAGAAAGAAAAAAATAGCATACTGGTAAATCAAATCTAAGACTTTAAAAGAATAATATGTTAGGATCATGTAGGATTTATTCCAGAATGCAAAGATAGTTCAATATTTGGAAATCTGTGGCTACAAATCATATTAAGCAAAAAACATTTTGACCAATTTGATAGATGCATTTATGACTGTATATGTGAATACAGAAAAATATCTGAGAAGTTATATACTACATGTTTACACTGATAGTCCCTGGGAGGTGGGAGTAGAGAAATGTGAAAAGAAGGAGGCTAACTTTTACTTGTTATTTCACCTACTTCTCAATTATTTGAAATTTTAGAAGTAATTATTTATTTATTTATTTATTTTTTGAGACAGAGTCTCGCTCTTTCGCCCAGGCTGGAGTGCAGTGGCGCAATCTTGGCTCACTGCAACCTCTGCCTCCAGGGTTCAAGTGATTTTCTCATGCCTCGGCCTCCCAAGTAGCTGGAATTACAGGGGCATGCGACCACACTCGGCTGATTTTTTTATATTTTTAGTAGAGATGGGGTTTCGTCATGCTGGCCAGGCTGGTCTCGAACTCCTGACCTCAAGTGATCCACCACATCATCCTCTCAAAGTGCTGAGATTACAAGCATGAGCCACCGCACCTGGTCAAAAGTATTTTAAAGTATATGTTGTTTTGTCAATTAAAAAAACTTAAAATTCTTAGTAAAACAGAAACAAAAGGAGTTTCTGCTTAGGAGCAGAAACAAAAGGGTATCTCCTTCTCTTTTTTTTTTTTTTTTTTTTTTTTTGAGTCTTGCACTGTCACCCAGGCTGGAGTGCAGTGGCTCAATCTCAGCTCACTGCAGCCTCCGCCTCCTGGGTTCAAGCAATTTTCCTGCCTCAACCTCCTGAGTAGCTGGGACTACAGGCGCCCGCCACCACACCCGGCTAATTTTTGTATATACTGGGGATATACCCATCAATGTGGGATGCCTATAATCACCATTATTATATAACATTTCTCCCCAGGAGCACTAATCAATGTACTATTCGCCATCCAGGTCCATGAGTTCTGCATATGTGAGTCAACTGAAGACAGAAAATATTTGGAAAAAAAAAATTGCATCTACGCTAAACATGTATAGATTTTTTTTCTTGTCATTATTCCTTAAACAATACAGTATAGCAACTCTTTACACAGCATTTACATTGTATTAGGTGTTATAAGTAATGTAGTAATGATTTAAAGTATACAGGAGGTGCCGATTTAAAGTATATAGGAGGGGCTGGGCACGGTGGCTTACACCTGCAATCTCAGCACTTTGGGAGGCCGAGGCGAGCCAATCACTTGAGCCTAGGAGTTTTGAGACCAGCGTGGGCAAAACAGTGTCACCCTTGTCTCTACAAAAAATATATATATATAAATTAGTCAGGCATGGTGGTATGTGCCTATAGTCCCAGCTACTTGGGAGGCAGAGGTGGGAGGACCACTTGAGCCCAGGAGTTTGAGGCTGCAGTGAGCCATGATCGCACCACTGCACTCCAGACTGGGCGACAGAGATCCTGCCTGACAAAAAAAAAAAAAAATTATACAGAAGGATGTGCAAAGTGGATAAGGTTATATGCAAATAATATGCCATTTTATATAGGGACTTAAGCATTTGCAGTTTTTGGTATCCTTGGGAGGTCCTAGAACCTATCCCCCACAGATACTGAGAGAGGAATGTAATTAGTTAAGACAGTAAAATAGTACACTTAAATACTGGAGAGGAGGCAAGTTACCATTTACTGGAAAACCAAAAATAATTAGCTTAAAGACTATTTGAAATAGAAAGAGTTCAGAAGCCTTTCTACACAATAGTTTTTCTATTATGTATTAACATTAGCCTTTTCAAAAGTAGGATTTGGCTGAGTGCAGTGGCTCATGCCTGTAATCCCAGTGCTTTGGGAGGCCAAGGGGAAAGGATTGCTTGAGGCCAGGAGTTTGAGACCAGCCTGGGCAACACAGTGAGACTGTTTCTATAATTTTTTTTAATTAAAAAAAATGAATTCACAATTTAAAAGAACCAAAAAAAAAAACACAACTAAGTATAAAATTGGTATAAAATGTACTAATTTTGAAGTATCAAAAAAACCATGAAAGTTTAACAAAAGATATAAAAATATTTTAGGTACTTAGATAACTATTGTGCATTCCTGATCGGAAAGACTTAATGCTGTAATGATGACGATGATCTGTTCATTTTTCTATAAAATGAATATGACCCTAATCAAAACCTGCAAATGATCTATTTGGGATCTAGCCAGCCCAATTCAAAAGTGTGTTTGGTTAAGTGTTTCTTCAAGCTACTGGCAAAAAAAAAAAAAAAAAAAAAAAAAAAAAGTTTGTTTAAAAGAATAAATGTAGGAGTGTTGCAGGGGAACCCTGAAAAAAAAGAGAAACTGGGGAAACATTTTTCCCTATCAGGTATTAAAACAGTTTAAAGCTATAATAAGGACAATGTATGAAACAGACATTGGCATTTACAAGGCAGACTAGTAGAAGTGGTAGATCCCAATGTAAATGAGAATGAGCCCATGACACAGCATTTGAAATCAATGGGGAAAAGATTAATTCCTCTGAAAGTCACAAACCAGCAATCCACCATTCATGCCTAGTTTCCATATAGCATTTTAAAATAATTAAATTACGTCGAAATAATAAATTTAGAATTTTGCTGCCACCATATACAGATTGAAAGATCTTACACTATAAACCTGGGTTTCTTAATCAAGATGGTCTGAATTCCCCCAAGGCAACAACTAGCTGGGGCTAAGGAGCAGCTATTTCTGCAGGTGTCCGTTCTAAAGAGTTCCCACCCGACTAGACAGCTTCATTTATTTACAGTGCATGCTGGCCCCCCTGACAGGCAGCTGAGCTTCAGACTCTTGGGTTATTCACTGAATGATCTGGGGTCAGAAGACAAAAAGCATATAACAGCAGTGGGAGGAAAAAGCAAAAGTCTTAAAAATATCCATTATCTTTGATCAGGAAATTTGTTGGAAATACCCATATATGTGCAGTTATGTGAATGGTACCACAAGAATATTCACTGAAGTACAAATTAAAATCGTGAAAAGCTGGAAATCTAAATGTTCAACTATACAAATTAAGAAATATCCATTAAATGCAGCCATTTAAAATATTGTATCAGAATATCTAATGATATTGAAAGTTGTTCGCAAGATGTTAAATGAAAAAAGCAGAAGGTACAGTATAATCCCATTTTTTTTAAAAAAGCTTGTATATATTTATATACTCACAAAAAGAAAGACTAAGAGGAAGGCTGGTCACTAAAATGTTAGTGATTATCTTGGGTAGTAGGGGGACAGTAAGATCTTTTTTCTTATCTTTTTTTAACTTTAAAAATTGTGATAAATGGCTGGGCAGTGGCTCACGCCTGTAATCCCAGCACTTTGGAAGCCCAAGGCGGGCAGATCATGAGGTCAGGAGTTTGAGACCAGCCTGACCAACATGGTGAAACCCGTCTCTACTAAAATACAAAAAACAGCCTGGCCTGGTGGCGCGTGCCTATAACCCCAGCTACTCAGGAGGCTGAGGCAGGAGAATTGCTTGAACCCAGGAGGCAGAGGTTGCAGTGAGCCGAGATCGCGCCATTGCACTCCAGCCTGGGTGACAGAGCCAGACTCCGTCTCAAAAAAAAAAAAAAAAAAATTGTGATAAAATAACAGAAAATTTACCATCTTAATTATTAGTTTTTCTAAATTGTGGTAAAATGCACATGCCATAAAGTGTACCATCTTAACCATTTTGATGGGTACAGTTCAGTGGCATATTAAATATGTTCACATTATTATGCAACCATCACCACCACTGATCCACCTCCAGAACTCTCTCCATCTTCCAAAACTGAAACTCTGTACTAATCAATAAGTTCCCATTCCCCCTCCTCCCAGCCCCTGGCAACCACTATTCTACTTTCTGTTTCTAAGAATTTGACTACTTGGCTAGGCCTGGTGGCTCATGCCTGTAATCCTAGCACTTTGGGAGGCAGAAGCGGGTGGATCATTTGAGGTCAGGAGTTCGAGATCAGCTTGGCCAACAAGGTGAACCCCATCTCTACTAAAAATACAAAAATTAGCCGAGCGTGTTGGTACACGCCTGTAATCCCAGCTAATTGGGTGGCTGAGGCAGGAGAATTGCTTGAACCTGGGAGGCAGAGATTGCAGCGAGACACAGACTTTAAAAAAAAAAAAAAAAGAATTTGACTACTCTAGGTACCTCATGTAAGTGGAATCGTATATGTCATTTTGTGACTGCTTATTTCACTGTGCATAATGTCCTTAAGGTCCATCCATGTTGTAGCATGGGTCAGACTCTCCTTCCTTTTGCAGGTTGAATAGTGTTTTATTGTCTGTCTATACCGTGTTTGGTTCATCTATTCATTTGCTGATGGATTGCTTCCACCTTTTGTGAATAATGCTGCTATGATTGTGGGTGTACAAACATCTCAAGACTCTGCTTTCAATTCTTTTGGGTATATACCCAGAAGTAGAATTGCTGGATCATGTGGTGATTTTATTTGTAAGTGTTTGAGGATCCATCATACTGTTTTCTTTAGCTTTCTTATCTACTTTTACAATTTGCCTAAGGAAAAGCAATTTTAAGCATATATATACTTTTTTTTTTTTGAGATGGAGTCTCGCTTTGTAGCCCAGGCTGGAGTGAAGTGGCATGATCTCGGCTCACTGCAACCTCCGCCTCCTGGGTCCCGGTTCAAGCAATTCTCCTGCCTCAGCCTCCTGAGTAGCTGGGACTACAGGAACACACCACCATGCCCAGCTAATTTTTGTATTTTCAGTAGAGTTGGGGTTTCACCATGTTGGCCAGGCTGGTCTTGAACTCCTGACCTCATGATCCACCCGCCTCAGCCTCCCAAAGTGCTGAGATTAAAGGAGTGAGCCACTGCGCCTGGCCAATTTTAAGCATATTACAAAACAATACCATCTGCCTTTTTTTTTTTTTGAGTCAGAGTCTTGCTCTGTTGCCCAGGCTGGTGTGCAGTGGTGCAATCTCAACTCACTGCGGTCTCAACCTCCTGGGCTCCAGCACTTCTCCCACCTCAGCCTCCCAAGGAGCTGGGACTACAGGCACACACCACCAGACCTGGCTAATTTCTGTATTTTTTTTTTAGAGACAGGGGTCTCACCATGTTGGCCAGACTGGTCACAAACCCCTGAGTTCATGTAATCCACCGGCCTCGGCCTCTCAAAGTGCTAGGATTACAGGTGTGAGCCAACGTACCCGACCACAATCTGACTTTTTGATAAACACATACAAAAGAAAAACACTGGCATAATATATACCAAAAGATTAACAGCCTTATTTCTGGGTCATAGGCTTACAGGTAATTTTTTTTGTCTTCTCTTGACTGGCTTCATTTTCTAATTTTTCTACAATCATTATGTATATGTGTAGTAAGTAATTAAAATAGGTTACACAAAGTTTTTAAAAGGTTGAGAAAATAAACAATAAAATAACAAGTAGGCAAATACCTTGGAGTGCTGGCTGGGTGGGCCTCTCTGTGTACCAAGGGGACAAGGACTACTGTCCCGCTGATTAAAGAGCACAGCCTAATTAGGGCACAAGGGAAGTTGAAGTGCTAAGCTCTTACCTATAAAAAGCAAGGTGACTGAATAGGGTGGGCTGCCCACTCGGCCTCAATGTGGGAATGCAGGAGCTGTGTCCTGGGGAGCAATCGGATCTACCTGGGTGGGGGCAGGGCAGAGGGAAGGAGAATTGGAGGCGGGCTATCTGTGACTCGGTATCACTGCCCCAAAGTTGCCACAGAGCTGGGCCCCAACCTGCAAAGAAAAACCTCCTGCTCAAGTTTCCTCCTAGCCATCTGGTCAGTACGCAGGGAGCAGCTTACCAAGAAAACCATCCTGGTGGGGGTGGGGAGTAGCATCCCTGAAAGGCCCTTGGGAGCAGGGAAGATGAGCATGGCCTGGGGCTGGATAGCCTGGCTCTGCAGCTGACTTTGCCCTCTCTGGGCTCCAGGCCTCAGTTTTGTCACCCGGACCTGAGATGTGAACAGTGGAGAGGGCTCTCCTGGAGGGGCAGTCAGTCATGCTGGCCTCTCCACAGAGAAGGCTGGAGAAAAGCGAAGGGGGGTGAAACTGGAATTGAGCCATCATGGCCATGCCTGTTCCCTCTAGGGACAGGCAATCCCGAATCTGTCTTGTCTTAACTACCCTTCCCTGAGGGTGGACAGGTGGGCAGCAAACTCCAGGTAGCTCTTTTCATGTTTAATAACACCATCACCCAGCCCTCCCAGACACAGGGGCCTGTGAGAAAACAGCTCCTGCAAGCAATGTCATCCCCATGCTGCAGACGGGGCCTCAGGCTTGGGTTTTGCTCTGGTGTTGAATTACAGAGCCTAGGGTCCTGATGCGTGCAGAGGGGTGCAGGCCAGGGCTGTGGGGAGCCAGGACGCCTCTCCTCAAGCCCTCTCACCTGCCTGGAGCCCCTCATTTTCCAAGGGGCCAGGGATACCCCTGATATGGTTTGGCTGTGTCCCTACCCAAATCTCATCTTGAATTGTAGTTCCCATAATCCCTACGTGTCATGGGAGGGACCTGGTGGGAGGTAATTGAATCATGGGGGCAGTTACCCCGAGGCTGTTCTCATGATAGTGAGTTCTCACGAGATCTGATGGTTTTATAAGGGGCTTCTCCCCCTTTGCCCAGCACTTCTCTTTCCTGCCGCCATGTGAGGAAGGATGTGTTTGCCTCCCCTTCTGCCATGATTGTAAGTTTCCTGAGGCCTCCCCAGCCATGTGGAGCCATGAATCAATTAAACCTCTTTCCTTTATAAATTACCCAGTCTCAGGCAGTTCTTTATAGCAGCATGAGAATGGACTAAAACAACCACCAAAGGCCCATCATATTGGATCGGATTCCCGGACTGGCCTTCAAGCTCCTCTCTCCTCTTCCCCACACAGGCAATCTTGCTGCTGTCAATGAGACCACGGGAGGATGGGGGTGGGAGTGGGAGCAGGAGAAGCTGGCCTGTGTCTCACCTCTGCTGCTCCCCAGCCTGGAATGTTCTCCCTCAGCCAATCCTACCTGTCTTTCACCCACACACTCTTCATATGGTCACTGGTGGCTAACAGGTGCCATGCTCCCTGTTAGTCCTGCCTGATCACAAGTCTGGTGGGGAGCTGGGCCCCTGGGTCCAGGAACCCAAGGAGCCCCTAACAGGCTGTTAGAGCAGCTGGGATAGCACTAGGGTGGCAGGGTGTTGGGGGTGCTTATAAAGGAGATGATTCTGGAGTTGGGTCTGGAAGGATGCATAGCAATGCTGTGGGCAGAGGAGAGGCGAAGGACACTCCAGGGAGTGGAGATAGCCAGTGCAAAGGCCGAGGCAAGGGGCTTTTGTTGCCAGAATGAAAATGGCCGTGGGCCTCAGAAGACAGGCAGCTTGGGCTTGGCATCTACAAAGGTAGGGAACCCGAAGCTCCCTGTGAGGCTCAAATGAGGCTCCATGCCAAGAACTCTGAAAGGTAAAAGGTGCCACAAGAATGCCAGGGGTGACAGCTTTGTTATTCCAATACCGAGAGCCATCCTGTCGAAATGGGGACCTCACCCCTGACATCTCTCAAGCTACAGGGCAAATCCCACTTATCAAACACTATACCCCAGTGTTGCTGCCTCTCGGCAATGCTATGAGGGTAGGTTTCACTATCCCTATTATACAGAAGAAAACTGAGGCTCAGGGAAGGTCAAATGGTTGCCCAAGGCCACAGATGCCAGGTCTACTGATGCCAGGCCTGGAGGCTTTGCCCCTTGCTCAGACTCTCTAAGGTGGTGGAAGTGGGGTATCCCCTGCCCATGCAGGTGACAGGTTGGAATAGCAGCCTGGGTAGAGAGGAAAGCCGAGAGGCACTGCCTGAATGAGCAGAATGGTTAGGGCAGTGACAAGCTGCAGCACAGCTCTCTTGGGAAGCTGCAATGGGCTCTGGTCCCAGCCTGACCATCGATCTCCAGGGCAAGTGATCCTGGGACTTTGCTGGCTTTTAGTGCCACCCAGGCAGAGGGGCCTAGTGAGGCCCGTGGGGCAGTTTTCTTGGTATTCAGTGATTCCTGCTCACCCACTGGTCCTGGGGTTCTGAGGCTGCCGATCCCCTTTATCTTTCCCATCCAGGTCCACCCCCACCCCCATCAACACCAAGGAGAAGGGCTGTCCTGGGAAGAAGCAGAGCCCTGATGAATAGCTCAGGGGTGGTGGCCATGCCCTCAACTTTTAGACGTCCTAGGAGTGGAAGAACATCAAAGCTAGAGCCAAAGGGCCCTTAGGGACCCCTGGTCTAACAGACAGGGACTCCCTGCTATACCAGGACCCAGGATGCAGTGAAATAGCAAGGGACCTGGAGTCAGAGGCTGGGTCTTGAGTCCCTGGCTCTGTGACTTTAGCCAAGTTGCTAAGCTCCATCTGTCAAATGGGGATAAATGGATTCTCTTGTTACAAGGTCACAATGAGGATTAAATAAGAATGTGCCGGAAACTACCCACCTGAAAGCTCATAGTAAGTAGATGTTCATTCCCCAGCAGGAGGATCTGGGCCCTGGGAGGAGTGGGAAGCTCTAACTCCATCCTAGCCCAGTGGCCGAGTGGGGACCTGAATGTGGCTCCTGATACATGCTGATGCTCTGCCTCAGCCCCAGGAGCACAGCCAGCCCATGTGGGGTGCCCCAGCCTCACCCCGGCCCCAGTCCCAGTCCCAACAGGGTGAACGAGAAGCCACACTTACTTGAGGATGTCCTTCTTATTGAAGAAGGTGCAGTCCTGTTGAGGGAAAACACACAACACACAGTCAGTGTGCGGCTCCCAGACTTTCTTCCTCAGAGGCCTCGATGCCACAGGGCTCACAGGGGATAGCTCCGGACTGGGGACAGAAGAGTCACTACTATCCCTTTCCACCTTGCCCTCACCCACTGGGGACAGCTGGCTCTAGTAGGTATAGAAAATGCCTCCCAAAACCTTTATCCATCCTGGGCTAGGCCTAAGGAGCTTAGTGCATGGTGGGGGGCTGTAGCATGCTTTAGGGTACACATGTAGGAGGAAGATGAATGCTCACAGGTATGCGTGGCTGATTTGAGTGCCAGTGGGATACACTGGGGGATGACAGGGAGGTGGCTGGGAGACAACTCCGAATGAGGACCCACAGGGCCACCTCGTGTAGCTGCATGGGGTGCCATCCTCACTGTAGCCCTGAGCATGGTGCTAGGGGGGTTGTGCAGTCCCAGGCTCAGAGACTGAGAGTTCCAGGCACATAGACTGGGGAAGCATCAGTATATACTTGGTGTCTGAAGCCAGAAAGGGATGAGGTCACCCAGAGAAGGGAGTGAAGAGGCCAGGGAGATATGGGAGGGAGAAACGTGGGCAGGGGGAACCAGGTAGCATCTGGGGTAGAGGTGAGGGTAGGGGCTGCTGGGGATCCCCAGGTAAGCATTACTCCAGGTGGGGGGCAGCACTTGGCTCCTAGGGCCATCCAGATGACAAACTCATCTCGGAGGGGTCCTGTCTTTGTTTAGATGAACTGCCTCTATCCACAGCTTGGCCTGCCCAAGGTGAGTATCAACCACTGGGAGTCAGTGACAATGGCCACTATGCCAGCCCTTGGTGAAAAGTATAGAGGTGAAGAGGACCCAGCACTTTGTAAAATGCCCAACCGTAAAGGGCTTTTGTGCACCTCCCCTGCTGTTTAGCTCCTCCGCCTTTGTCCACTGTTACAGCATGAAGCAAGAAGGCCTCCTAGGTCTGCAGAGCCCAGAGCCCATAGGGCCTCCTGGGGCCATAAGCTGACCAGAGCCAGCTCTGATGAGGAGTGAATGGCTGAAACTCAGGCCTGCAAACAGCCAGGCTTGCCCTGAATGAGACCTGAAGCCGCTGGACATCAGGGCAATTGGATTGCGTGTTAAGAGGCCCAAAGAGAGGACGCCTGCAGGATGCACACAACATCTGGGGTTTCCACTGGGTGCCTTCGGGAGAGCTGAAAAGGGGAGAGCTGGTGGGAATTTCCAGGCCCCATTTGGCCCAACAAGTCTGTCCTTCTAAGCTGCTGCTCCCTGGGAGTTAGACTAAGGATCCATGCTGGCTTCTTGGAAACACGAGGGGTTCTCCTGGGGGTCTCAGCTTTGCTTTTGACAGTGGTTCCTCTGTAGGAGCCCAGAAAGGCTCAGGCTGGGGAAGCAGTGCCCCCTGCTCCTCACCCAACACAGACAGAAAACTCCCTACTTAGCAGGCCTCAGGCACAGACAGGCTGGAGACACAGTGGGCTGATTTATCAGCAAACTCCAGAAACATGGTGCAGAATGTGGACTTCCCTCCACCCCAGGGCCGTTTCCATGGTCTAAGGTGCCCAGTGAGAAGGGCCAGGGCTCTCCCACCTAGCCTGGAGGAGGCAGTCAGCAGAACTGGAAATGGGGAGAGGTCCCAACTCCTGCTCTCTTCCCCCCGATCTGTCCTCCTTCCCCTCCCCTCTTCTCTCTCCTATCCCATGTGTTGGAAAGGAACTATCCAGGTCCTGATTCAAGGGTTCTCCTGACAAAAGATGCAAACACTTCCCCTATAACCCTGCTCCCTGTCACAATTACTTACACCTCCCTACATCAATGGTCCTCACGCTGTGGCTCCTGGACCAGCAGCATCAGCCTCACTGGGAACTTGGTGAAAATGTAGATTCTTAGGCTCCACTCCAGATCTCTTGAATCAGAAACTCTGTGGGTGGGGTCCAGGGATCTGCACTTTAAAAAACCCTCCCAATGATGCTGATGCATGTTGAAGTGTGAGGAAGTCTGCTCTAGAGCAGAATCACTTGGGGGACTGTTTAGGATACCTGTGTCCCCCATCCCTCAGCAGACCCCAGACAAATTGTAGAGAAATCCCCAAGGATGGATCCAGGCATTGGCTGTTTTCAAAGCCACTCAGGTGGTCCCAACGTGCAACCCAGGCTGAAAACCACATCACAACCAGTACATGATGTACCATGCACCTGGCACCTGGGGCTCTAAATATCCAATTTTTCTTAATCCTTATCATTAGCCAATGGGGGTGGGCATTATCTCTCTATCTTAAAGATGGGCAACTTGAGACTCAGCAAAGTTGAGTAGCTTGCCTTAAGTTGCACACACAGCCCAGGAGGGCTGGGAATGGAACTTAGGCCTCTGTGCTTCCCTTTCCCCTGCCCCCCCCCCTTTTTTTTTTGAGACGGAGTCTTGCTCTGTCACCCAGGCTGGAGTACAGTGGCATGATCTCAGCTCACTGCAACCTCCGCCTCCTGGGTTCAAGTGATTCTCCTGTCTCAGCCTTCCAAGTAGCTGGGATTACAGGCATGCGCCACCATGCCTGGCTAATTTTTGTATTCTTAGTATAGAGATGGGGTTTCACCATATTGGTCAGGCTGGTCTCGAACTCCTGACCTCAGGTGTTCACCCAACTAGGCTTCCCAAAGTGCCGGGATTATAGGCATGAGCTACCACGCATAGCCTTCTTTTTTTCTTTTTAATGGGAGTAGACCTTGGGGCCCTCACTGGCAAGGAAGCAGAGGCAAGAAAAGATCCTCTGTGCTTCTTGGCCACTGCCTATGACTACAAACAGAGCCATGACCACTGTACACCAGCCACTCCATGTCCTGCGTCTGCTGTGTATTCCTATACTTATACACAGCAGGTGCTTAATACAGGCTTGTGGGATGAGTGACCAGACTTTTCCATCTATGCCTTCCACAGCAGTTACGTTATTTCAGTGGCTGCAGAGTCCCTGCCTAGTCTTAATCTTTCTTCTCTTTCTGAACATTTAGTAACACCTATTTCTTGGTTTTAACATCACTGACAAAACTGCCATGAACCTGCTCATCAACTGATGTTTCACTTTTTCTTCTGTTCACTTGTTTCCCTGGGACTCACCCCAAGGAGGCAGTGCACAGGTAGTGAATATGGCAGGTGTTCTTAAAAGCTTCTCAGGGCTCAGGGTGGCCTAGAAGTGTGGCAGGGGAAAAGGTTTGGTAGTCAGGGTCAAATTCTAGTCTAGCTTCAGACCCTTAGGCAAGTCATTCTCCTTTCTGAGCCTCAGTTTCTGCATCTGTAAAGTGGAAATAGGCCTCTCTGAAGGGGACAGTGTGAAGAGCAAATGAGATAAGGTACAGGAAGTCTATAGGCCCCAGCTGATAGGAAAGAGTACAACAGCTCCATCCACCACCCAGGTCCCAAAGGCATCTCCCCAGAGTCGGTAGCTCTGCTGTCTTTCCCTTCTCTGGAGTCACCAAACACCCTGCCCACCACTACACCCTCAGCTGCCCTGGGAGCTACAGCCCTATGTCTGAAGGAACCCTTTCTTACACTTTTGGAGAGCAAGTGCCCCATCACTGCTTGGTTCCTGACAGTACACAGGGACACAGGGACAGGTCTTCCGGCAAAGGTCAGGTCTGGGTCATGAGGAGTGGAAGGGAGGGAAGGAGAGAGGGGGCCTAACCCAGGAGTGATGGGCTCTCAGAACATTGGCAGCAGAAAACAGGACAGGCTGGGCTTTTACAGTAGAAGCCCAGACGTTTTCCCAGTTAAGGCTTGAGTTCTGCCTCCGAGCCTATATTCACCCTATTCCCCAACTGGAGTGCCCTCTCCTCTTTCTCCAGGTTGTCCAAACCCTTTCTCCAAAGCTCAACTCAAGGGTGACTTGTTCCAGGTAACCCACCTGCCTCCCATCTCCTACATGCCTGGTCTGCCTGTGCCAGCTGTCAGGAGCCGAGCCATGGGCCCTCCCAGCTCTAATGGAAATGGCTCTCCATCCAGCTCTGCCAGCTCAGGCCTCAGCACTGCCCAGGGGACCATCACACGGCTCAAGGTCAGTCTCCAGTGATCTTAGTTGATCCCCACAAGAACCCTGTGACATGAGCACAGCTGGGTTAGTAGTTCCCATTTTAGAGGTGGAGACACTTAGGCCCAGAAGGGAACAGTGGCTTGCTAAGGCCCACAGCATCAACTACCCAGCTGACTTGAATCTAGGGCTTCAGAATCTTTGTCTAGAGTTCTTTGCTCTCCTGGAGCCACGCCTTAACAAATATTTGTTCATTCATTTGACAACATCCTCCAAACATCTCTTTTGTGCCTGGACAGAGGCCATACAAGAAGGAAGCTGGAGTGTAAACAGTGAGGTGCCCAGTATAAACCATTCTGTGGCCACACAAGGGACTGGGGATGTATATGTGTCAGGCTCCCTGAGTACTCCCAGCTGAATGGATTGGTGGAGAGAGAGTCAGGGAGCCCGTCCCAAAGAGGTGAGGCCTGGCCTGGACAGAAAGATGGGCCAGACTAGGTTAGCAAAGGAGCAGGGAGAGCAGCAGGAGAACAAGGGCCAGAGGTGAGGGAGGGCTTGGCTAGAAGCCCTTCAGTGTGCCTAAAACTTTGGGTGCAAAGGGAAAGGGAGTAAGAAATGAGGCTGGAGGCCCGGCGCGGTGGCTCACACCTGTAATCCCAACACTCTGGGAGGCCAAGGCAGGTGGATCACCTGAGGTCAGGAGTTTGAGACCAGCCTGGCCAACATGGCAAAACCCTGTTTTTACTAAAAATACAAAAATTAGATGGGCATGGTGGTGGGTGCCTGTAATCCCAGCTACTTGGGAGGCTGAGGCAGGGAAAATTGCTTGAACCTGGGAGGCGGAGCTGGGATGCGGAGGTTGCAGTGAGCCGAGATCACACCACTGCACTCCAGCCTGGGTGACAGGGCGAGCGAGACTCCGTCTCAAAAAAAAAAAAAAGGAAGAGAAAGAAAGAGATGAAGGAAGAGTGAGAGAACTAAGAGGGCGGGTGGCTGGAGGGGGATGGGCAGGAGGGGCGCAGGAGGGAGCAGTCAGACCTCCAGTTTGCAGGAGACTGAGCAGGCCTAGCCCAGGGCCCTGGCTGTCGTGATGGAGGAGGGGACCTCCAGGTGACCCACAAAAGAGGCTGAGTCACAGGCCTTGTTCTTAACTGAAAACATGGGCTGAGGGAGAGCAGAGAGTTGAAATGGCTGGAGGAGCAGCAGTGGGTGTTGGAGAGGCTGTGACCCCTGTTTTGGAGTTTGAGGGGTCTGGGGGATGGCCGTACAATGCAGAGGAGTGTTCTGGACAGAAGCTTAAATGTTGGGAATCACCGGCACCGGGAACCAAGAGGGTGCACCCTGCCCAGGAAAGGTTAGACTACCAGGCTGGGAGGTCCCAAGAAACCCTAGGTGTCACTTAGGGGAGAGGGTGCTGTAACTCAGGCTCACCCCCACTCAGCCCGGGCTGGCAATGGCTGGCTGGAGAGCCAGAGGGTAGGAGATGTGGGGCTCTCAGGTTTCACAGCTCTCATTTCTCCCACCCCGCCTGGCAGGGTCTAGCTAGGCTCTGGCAAAGAATCAGAACATAACACTGGGACTGGCTCCGATGAGTAACCCAATGCCAGGCTGGTTGGAGTGGGAACCTGGGCTCCCCACCCCCATGAAGCTACTCCTCACTTCTGAGCATGGCTTGCCTGCTTGCCCCTGCCCACTCCCAAGCCTTTATCCACGCTGTCCCCTCCACCTGGAATGCCTCCTCTGGGCCCCACTGGGCAAAACCCGACCTATCTTCCCAAGGCCTGCTCAAGTGCTGTATCGTTTCTGGACTTTGTCCCCCTTCCCTGCTGGCCTCCCACTGCCCACTAGTGCCCTTCCCTAGAACACACTCCACCACCTGCCTCTATCACAAGGGCCACACACTGGAGGTGAGAGTCTGTCTCTGAGTGTCTGAGACTGAGTGCCTTGGGAACAAAAAGCACACATGGCCCAGCCCAGCCCACTCCCAACTAAAGAAGTGAGCCTAGGAGTCAAGATTCGAAATCCTGTGTGAGCCCTGAATGGCTCCTCAGCCTCTGTTTACACGTCTGTAAAATGGGCTAATAATCCACCTCACTGTGATGATCAAGTGAGTTGATGCGTAGAGGGCATCAATTACTGTGCCTGGTACACAGCAGGTGCTCCATAAATGCGTCTCCCCTCTTCCTTCCCAGGGCCTCACCTGGGGAGCTGAGAAATCCATTACTGACAACTAGGGCTTCTAGGAGGAGAAGGGGCCTTTGTTTTACCTTCACCCACATCAGAGGACCCACACTTCACACCTGCTTTCCTTCACAGCCAAAGTAAGCACTGATGAAGGCAACAAGTGCCTATGGAGACCCTGTTGGTGTTCCTCCTGCCCAGTTACACAGGCCACAACACAATCCTGCCCCCTCCGCCTGGGGAGTCAGGGGAGAGGCATCAGATGTGGGACTTGAAGGGTGAAAGAGATCCTCTGGAGGGGGGAAAGGCATCCAGGCCCAGGAAATGGCATGGGCAGAGGGAGAGAGGGAGGGAGGAATGAGCCTGGTGAGCTGGAGCAACTGCAAATGGTTTTAAGGCGGCTGCCATGCAGAGGGCAGGGAAGGGACCTGGGGAGACTGAGGCTGCAGAGATAAGCTGAGCAATTGGCCAGGGCTCCGGGTAAGCCAAGGGGTTGGGCTTCATCCTGCAACCACAGCGAAGTTTTTACCTGGGTGGGACGGTATTGGGATTCCAGATCTGGAAAGCTGGCTCTGGAGGCAGGAAAACCTAGAAAGGTCTAAGGAGGTGGCTACTGAGGGCCTAAGGGAGCTGGGAGAGGTGGCCCTGGAAGGCTGCTACCGGGCTTGCGTTCTTGCTCCAGTTATCTCCATGCTGGGGTCAGAAGGAGCGAACCCCAGCCGATAAACAAGACAGTCCCAAGGGAAGACTGCATGTGGGGACTGATGCACCCCACTCCTAGACCAGACAGGACGCCAGCTCTCATTTCTGCTTTACAGAGACTCGCTCTCCTGGGCTCCTTCCTGGGGCTGGGGGGCAGGGAGCGGGGAGGGCGGTCCTCCGTCCAGCCTAGTTTACTGACTCCCTCTCCGGGCCAGATGGGCGCTGGAATGGGTGGCTGGAGAGGGGTTCGGGTCCTGCCTAGGGCGAGAGTAGCTGGAGAGAGGCGCGCCTGAGAGGTTCTTCCAACTGGAAAGAGCTCTTATTCCACCGGTGGGGAAACTGAGGCACGGCGAGGGGAAGTCACCGGCCCAAGGTCACGCGTCGAGCTGAAGGCAGAGGCAGGGTTTGAACCTGGGAGAGCTGGCTCTCGGGAGGCCTCGGCCAGCGACCGAGAAAAGGGAGGGGCGGCGGGGCGGCGGGGCCTGTGTTGGGGGCCGGGCGCGCCGAGCTCACCTGGTAGTTGTCTAGCTGCTCTTCGGTGAAGATGGTCTGCTTGTTCCCCATGGTGGCCGCCGCGCCGCCGCTCGCCCGCCCGGGCTCCGACTCCCATCAGCGGCCGCCAGACCCGGAGCCAGCGCCCCGTGCCCGCGGCCCTCGGCAGCCCCGCGGCTGGCAGCGGCCCACGGTGGCCGGACCCTTCCCGCCCCGCAGCTCGCCTGGAGGAGGCGCGCGGGGGTCTCGGAGGCGGGGACGGGAACCCGGAGCGGCAGCGACTCCGCCGCCGGCGGGAAGAGGGCGGGGCACCCGGCTCCGCGGCTGCAGCGCGCCCGGGTCCCGGCAGGAGGCGACCTGGCCCCGGGAGACGCTGCCCGGCACGAACCCTTGGCTCCCGCGGCCGGAAGTGCTGGGGGCGCGCGGGGGTCTCGGAGGCGGGGACAAAGACCCGGAGCGGCGGCGACTCCGCCCCGCAGCAGGAAGAGGTGTGAGCCCGGGTCCCGCCGTGGGAGTCCAGGTCGCACGGCGTGAGGGTGCGGGGCCTGGGAAAAAACCCTCTCGAGGCGGGCAGTGGGGCGAGTGGCGCCCCTTGACCTGGGGCGGGGGCGGCAGCGAGGACTGTGAGTGCGTGGATCTAGCTGGGGCCGGGCTCCGCCACCGTCTCGCGTCGCGACCTTGGTCAAGCCCTTACCCGGGCCCTGTCCCTCTGGGGAGAAGGAGGGGGTCAGTCAAGCTGACATCTGAGGCCCTCCCGGCCAGGCCTCGGGAAGCCCATCTGGCCTTTGGGCGCGGCCTAGGCAGGGCATCTCAGACCTTCTGTGTTCCTTAGGGAGCAGGACAGGATTTACTTGGCTTGGTTACAAACGTGAGACTTGAGAGGATTTAAAGGACTTGACTGTGTCCACAGAAGTGTGACAAAGGCCAAGACATTTTTTGGAGCTTTTAAGCAGATGCCATTGTAAGGGAAGCAGGACTTTACCTCTGCCCTCCTAGGGTCTTTGGCTGGGCTTGAGAATTAATTTGGCATAAGACAGATTAAGGGGAGAAAAACAGATTTAATACAAGTTTTACATGACGTGGAAGCCCTCATAAGGAAATGAAGACCCTGAGAACTGGCAAAATCTAAATACTTTTTTTTTTTTTTGAGATGGAGTCTCCCTCTGTCGCCCAGGCTGGAGTGCAGTAGCGCGATCTTGGCTCGCTACAACCTCCGCCTCCTGGGTTCAAGCGATTCTTCTGCCTCAGCCTCCCCTAGTAGGTGGGACTACAGGGGCATGCCACCACACCCAGCTAATTTTTTTTTGTATTTTTAGTAGAGAGAGGTTTCACCATGTTGGCTGGGCTGGTCTCGAAATCTTGACCTCAGGTGATCCACCTGCCTCAGCCTCCCGAAGTGCTAGGATTAGAGGCCTGAGTCACCACGCCCGGCCAATTATTGTATTTTTTTTGTAGAGATGGGGTTTTGCCGTGTTGCCCAGGCTGGTTTTGAATTCCCAGGCTCGAGCAATCCACCCACTTTGGCTTCTCACCCAAAGTGCTGGGATTATAGGATGTGAGCCATCATGCCCGGCCTCATCTCCTGTTTTTTAGAAAAAGAAGGATGATCAAGAGTGCCCTTCTTGCATCTGCTATTTTTCAAGTGCCTTTAACTCAAATACTCAATATGCCAGAGCAGCATATGTTGTGGTGGCATGTTCTGAACTCCTTCCCCATCCACCAAATGGAGTCACCGCTATCTTTTTGGGGTCCAGCCCATACAACTGTTATTTCTAAACTCAGGACAACTGAATCAGTAGGTATTATCTCCATATTATAGGCAAAGAGTTGGGCTGAGAGAGGTTCAGTAACTTGCCCAGGGTCCCACAGCTGGGAATTAGTAGAACCTGGACTGGACCCAGGCACTGGCTCAACATACCATTCCACAACTGCCAGTGGACTTTGAAGAGATCAGGATTTTTTTTTATTTATATATATAAAAAAAAATAGAGATGGAGTCTCACTATGTTGTCCAGGCTGGTCTCCAACTCCCAGGTTCAAGTGATCCTTCTGCCTTGGCCTCCCAAAGTACTAGGATTACAGGCGTGAGCCACCATGCCTGGGCGAGATCAAGACTTTATGCTTTAAAATGCGTGGTTTGTTACTTTAGGATAGTGGTTCTGAAACCACCTGGGAGCATGTATCAAAATTACTTGGGAGGCTGCACCCCTAGATTTTCTGATTTAGAAGGTCTGGGGTGGCTAAGAATGTGGGTATCGAAAGGGTTCCTGGGTGACACTGATGCAGCTGGTCTTGGAACCATACTTTGAGAGTGCTTAGGCTGCTGAAGCTTGTGGGTTCTGATGGGAACAGGGCTTCAAGTTTGGCAGATGATCCCTCATGCTTTTAGTTTTCTTTTATATCTGAGGCTACTGGTTGGGGTTTTCCAACCTTATTTTGCCACTCCCTGGTGAGAACAGCAGCCATCAGCTAAACAGACATGTCACCCTGTTAAAATCACAAGAGTCTTCAGAGGCACCATCAATTGCTATCAGAGGGGTAAGAAGCAATTCATTAGCCTGGGGATTGGTGACCAGCCTTCAGGGGTCACCTCACCATCTTTTCATCATTGTGGACACATGCAATAGGGGCCTAACCCATGGGAAAGAAGGCAGGATGTGTCCCCAGAGATTTGGAGCATGTGGAATTTTAGAGCAGAGAAGGCACATTTAAAAGATTCTCTCTTCTGTACCTCCCCTTTTTCCTGTGTTGGAGTTGGGGAAAAGGAAACCCTTTTGAAACCACATAACCACTATTACACAAGTTTTCCTTCTTCCCATCTTATTAGATTCCACACTGTGCATGAACAAGCCAGAATTCTGTGTGTTCAGATCCTGCTCTGGCGCATTCTTGTACAATTGCTAACATGCTGCTTATTTGCATACCAGGTGTTCCAGGTAGAAAATCTGGAACCTATACAAAGAGGACTGTGTTTTCAGTCCCGGGAGCCCTTCCTCTCATAGGAGAGAAATAGAGGTAACCAACTGAACTAGAAAATTCCTCTCAAAAATCCTTTTAGGCCAGGTGCGGTGGCTCACACCTGTAATCCCAACACTTTGGGAGGCCGACACAGACGGATCACCTGAGGTCAGGAGTTTGAGACCAGCCTGGTCAACATGGCGAAACCCTGTCTCTGCTAAAAATACAAAAAATTGGCCTGGCGTGGTGGCGTGCCTGTAGTCCCAGCTACTCAGGAGGCTGAGGCAGGAGGATCACTTGAACCCGAGAGGCAGAGGTTGCTGTGAGCCAAGATCGTGCCATTGCACTCCAGCCGGGGCGACAAGAGCGAAACTCCATCTCAAAAAAAAAAAAAAATCTTTTTGGATCATTATTACCATGGCCTATCTGAAGCTCTCTCTCTTGAGCAATGCTGTGAGGAGGGGCAAGGAACACAATTCCCATGTTACAGATAAGAAACCTGGGGCTCAGAGAGGCCAAATGACTTGCCTGATGCCCCCCAGCTGGGAAGTGGCAAAGCAAAGCTCTAACGTCGTTCTCTGATTCCAAATCCTGTGCTTTAGCTGCTCCCTGATGTTGAGTGTGGTCCCTGAGGAGCAGAGTGTGTGTGTTTGCTGGGAGGGAGGATGGGCCGAGGGAGAAGAATAAAACATTACTGATTACTTATCTAGTGCCCAGAATTGTACTGGATGTGCTATATTTACTGAATTTGATTATTCCACAATAGCCTCCTCAGTCTGTGGAGTTTCATATTATTATCCCATTTCACAGGTGAAGAAATAGTTTCAGAGAAGGTGACTTGCCCAAGGTCACATAGCTGGTAACAGGTAGATTTAAATCTGGGCCCTGACTCTTTTCTTTTCTTTTTTCTTTTTTTTTTTTTTTTTTTTTGAGACAGTCTTACTCTGTCGCCCAGGGGCATGATCTCAGCTCACTGCAACCTCTGCCTCCCGGGTTTAAGTGATTCTTCTGCCTCAGCCTCCTGAGTAGCTGGGACTACAGGTGGGAGCCACCACACCCAGCTAATTTTTGTATTTTTAATAGAGACGGTGTTTCACCATGTTGGCCAGGCTGGTCTCGAACTCCTGACCTCCTCAGCCTCCCAAAGTTGGGATTACAGGCATGAGCCACCGTGCCCTGCCGGACTCTTCTCTTGATCACACAGTCTAGGACAGGGAAACGTGGTTACCAGTGTTTAAAGGGGGCTGACTCCTTGTCAATTGCAGTCTTGTAAATAATGTAAAAGGAAAAGGCAGCAGGGGTGCCAGATACTCATTAAATGTTAGCTTATTTTTTTTCATTTCTGATTCACACAATGAAGTTTATTTTAAAATTTGGAAGGAAAACAGGAATAAATGCTACCAAGTGCTTCTTTGGGATGAGAGGTCATCTTGACCTGCTGCCCAAGTGCTCGTTTGTGATGATGATGCACTTTGTGATCAAGATGACCTCTCATCCCAGAGAAGCCTTGTAGCATTTACTGCAGAACAACTCAATCTGCAAGTTGTTCTTCTAAGACTTAGAATCTAGATAGATCTTTTTGTTTGTTTGTTTTTGTTTTGTTTTGTTTTTTTGAGACGGAGTCTCGCTCTGTCGCCCAGGCTGGAGTGCAGTGGCGCGATCTTGGCTCACTGCAAGCTCCGCCTCCTGGGTTCCTGCCATTCTCCTGCCTCAGCCTCTTAAGTAGCTGGGACTGCAGGCGCCTGCCACCATGCCCAGCTATTTTTTTGTATTTTTAGTAGAGACGGGGTTTCACTGTGTTAGCCAGGATGGTCTTGATCTCCTGACCCTGTGATCCGCCCGTCTCAGCCTGAATCTAGGTAGATCTTAATGACAGAGATGGAAGATCCCTGGGCCCAAGGTCTGGGTGGGACCATCTCTTAAAGTAAACGAAGCCTGCAGCCTGTCTTCTAGCAGCTCTGTGGGCCCTGTGAGTCATTCCCCAGTCCTCCACTCAAATCCTTTACTATCCCACCTCTACTTTTTATCAGCTCAGGACCCCACCTGCTATCTTGGCTCATGGGAATCTTCTCTATCTTAGGGGCAATTCAAATCTTACTCTTATCTTTACCTATAAAGCATTGTCATCTTGGCGTCTTCCCTGACATGGCTGTGATTTATAGTGTGTGAGCAGTTACTAGGTCTGCCTCAGTCTCTCTCTCTTTCTCTCTCTCTCCCTCTCTCTCTCACACACACATACCCTGCAACCCCTTGTTTAACCTGGCCTATATCCTAGCACTGAACAGCTTGTCTCTGTTTCTCTAGCATTTTGCACATAGTAGGTTCTTAATGAGTATTTGGTGGATAAATAAATACACACCCTGGGACTGTTTTTTTTTTTGTCCTGAGGAGGGTTATTTTTCCCTCTCAAACACTAAGAAACAGGAGGGCTGGGACCAGGGCTGGGACCACATGTTCGTCTGTATCCCCAGACACAGAGGAATCTCCCAGGGTCTAGCACATGGTCTTAGCAAATGTAAAATCAACACCCTTTAAAAGAGTACATTTTCCTGGACCTGTTCATACATTTAATCAACTAGATCCCCAAATATTCTGACTTGAAAAAGATTTTCTTACTGGAGGATTTAGTGACCAGTCGTTTAGCGCAGAGCCAACAGAATGAAACCCCTTTCTCTCTTCCGGGAGACTGACCTGCCCTAGAGCCTTCCCCAGAAGCTACTCTGGATGTGAGAAGTTACTGGATGGCTCAAATGGGACCCCAGCTGGATGGCGACTGTCCTGTTGTTGAGGGAGGAGGGGGTCAATTTCCTCCACAAATCTGCTTCTTCTGGATCGTGTCCCACCCACCTCTTGGATGCCTTTGACATCTTTGGAGGCACCCTTGATTTCTCTCCTTCCCTCAGACCCCTCAGTCCATTAGCACAGCCAGTCATATCTAGAAGCCAGCCACTTCTTAGCACTCCATTGCTATCACTGTGGTCCACGCCCCCCTCACCTCTCTCCTGTTATGGCCGTATCTATCATGAAATGACCTAAACCAATTCATCCACAACTAGGTTCATTTTACTGCAGATCTCAGTAATCTCCAGTAATGAGTGGTAGGTAGGGGTGTTGTGTTTCCTTCCACAAACCTTGCTATGAGGGGGTCTGAGGCAAGCAAGTCTCAGACTGAAGTCCACACCTTGTACCATCACTTATCAGCAAGCAGGTCCCCAACAGTCATATAACCTTCTCTATGAGCTCAATGAAGGCCTAGCTCCCTGACCTTTTGCATATTTCAATAAACTTTCCTCTTGAAAGATTTAGTTCAGGCTGGGTGCAGTGCTCATGCCTATAATCCCAGTACCTTGGGAGGCTGAGGCAGGAGGATCACTTGAGCTCAGGAGTTTGAGACCAGCCTGGGCAACATAGTGAGAACCCCATCTCTAAAAAAAATACAAAAAATAGCTGGACGTGGTGGCACACGCCTGTAGTCCCAACTACTCAGGAGGCTGAGGTGGGAAGATCACTTGAGCCTGAGGGGTTGAGGCCGCAGTGAGCTGAGATTGCACCACTGCACTCCAGCCTGAGCAACAGAGTGAGACTCTGTCTCAGAAAATAGGGGGGAGGGATTTCATTCAAGGAAGTTGCAAACAATATTTAAGGAGCAAGATTTGAACAACCTTCAATTTGGGATCAGGCAACTGCATTCTTACTCAGAAGCTTGAACCTGACCAGACGGACTCCTAAGACCTAGACCCCATCAAAACTCCCTAGGTTTTTGTGTCCTGTCTGTCTGTGTAAGGGCAGAGGTACTTGGACAACCCTTCACATATCTAAAATACCACTCATTTGATCAATGGACAATTATTTCAGCCATCCATTTTGCTAATGAACAGACCCTCTGCTGCTGGAATGGCATCAAGACAGCTGAAGCCCTTGTGGAAGGGTCTCTGGAGTGTGGGCTTCTGGGTAAAGTCCCAACTGCTTCTAGAATGGCCTCTCTCAAAGTGTGATCGTGGGTCTCCTGGGGTCTCTGGGATCTTTTCAGAGAGTCTGCAAGGGCAACAATATCTCATAATAATACTGAGACATTATTTGCCTTTTTCATTCTCATTTTCTCACAAGTGTAGAGTGAAGATTTCCAGAAGTTATATGGGTATGTGATATTGCAACAGGTTGAATGAAGAAGCAAATGTGAGAATCCAGCAGTTTTCTATTTTGTTTTTGTTTTTTTGAGACAGAGTCTCGCTCTGTCACCCAGGCTGGAGTGCAGTGGTGTGATCTCTGCTCCCTGCAAGCTCTGCCTCCCGGGTTCATGCCATTCTCCTGCCTCAGACTCCCGCCCGGCTAATTTTTTTGTATTTTTAGTAGACACAGGGTTTCACCATGTTAGCCAGGATGGTCTCGATCTCCTGACCTCGTGATCCGCCTGCCTCAGCCTCCCAAAGTGCTGGGATTACAGGTGTGAGCCACTGTGCCCAGCCCGAGCAGTTTTCTATTAAGCCAAGCTCTAAAGACATTTGCAAGCATGTAAAACAATGCCACTCTTCTCAATAAATATTTTTGTCTTCAAATATATGATTATTTTTCATAAAAGTCTGTTAACTAAGCCAACATATAATGGTTTTGTCTTTGCAGTGGGTAGGAAGAACCCATCGGGTGATTACACTTGCCAAGCTTTCAGTATCAGAGAGGAAGGTGGGGGTGTCCGTAGGGTGAAAATAGCACCCCAAATGTCTTAGATCCTCATACTTTTTTTTTGAGATGGAGTCTCACTCTGCCACCCAGGCTGGAGTGTAGTGATGTAATCTCGGCTCACTGCAACCTTGGCCTCTCAGGTTCAAGCAATTCTTATGCCTCAGCCTCCTGAGTAGCTAGGACTACAGGCGCCCACCACCATGCCCAGCTAATTTTTTTTTTTTTTTGTATTTTTTTTGTATTTTTTTTTTTTGTAGAGCTAGGGTTTCACCATGTTGGCCAAGCTGGTCTTGAACTCCTTACCTCAGGTGATCCGCCCACCTCGGCCTCCCAAAGTGCTGGGATTACAGGCGTGAGCCACCGCAACTGGCCAGATCCTCATACTTTTTAAGAACAGGCTGCTTTCATCATCAAGAGGAGCTCTTCATCACACTTAAGGTGGTTCTGCAAGACCTCTGGGAGAATCCCAGTGAGCTGGGGTCCCTGTGTCTGTAGAGGCCTGGCATCATGGTTTACACAAAAGGAACAAAAGAAACTACCTGGGAATCCCTTAACCCTTCCCAAGCTCTATCAACTCAGGTCACATTGATGTCTCTGAAGCATCTTGTCATAATATGAACTGTCTTCCAGAGCTATCTTTGTGGCTCTCCCAGGCTACTATGGGTTCCTCAGAGGCAGGCCCTGAATGATTAGATGTTCATTTCTGTGTTTGGAGGATTGTTGGGAAGTTTGTGTAGGGAGGGTTCTCATTTAATCAGTTTCCCTGCATCTTCTGATCTGATCAGCCCAGGAGAATGGGAGCTTCAGCAGGTCTGTGTGACCGCAACCATTCTTGTGTTGCTATAAAGAAATACCTGAGACTGGGTAATTTATAAAGAGGTTTAATTGGTTCATGGTTCTGCAGGCTGTGCAGGAAACATGGCTTCTGATGAGGCCTCAGGAAGCTTTTATTCTCGGCAGAAGGTGAAACAGCAGCTTGCGTAACACAGGTGGAAAGCAGGAGCAAGGGGGAGGTGCCATACACTTTTAAATGACCAGATCGCACTATAACTCACTATCACAAAGACAGCACCAAGCCATGGGGGACCTGGCCCCAAACACCTTCCACCAGGCCCCACCTCTAGCATTGGGGATTACACTTCAACATGAGATTTGGGCGGGGACAAATATCCAAAGTATATCAAAGTCTTTTGTCATTCTATTAGCTTCAGCTTACTCAAACATCTTTAAAGATGTTATAAGGTGTCACATTAATCAGAGAGTCTTCTGAATTCTCCGTGGGAGTGTTAATAACTCCATTTTACAGGTGAGAGAATGGAAGGTCAAATTCACACATCTGGAGAGTGTCAATGTGAGAACTGGGACCCAGGTTTGCCTGGAGGATCTTCCACTATTGCCCTGGCACCTATACTGAGAATAAATGTTGTCCCTTTGAAAGGGGCAGCTAGTTCCTTTGTTCACCCCAGAGACTATGAGAATAGGCTTTCAAGTATTTACTCCATTAACCTTGCAGCCCAAGGCTCAGCTACTCCAGGAAGAGAGAGGGACTGGGAGTCAGTATCTGCTTTGAGGGAAGTTTTATCACTTTTTATAGCAACCTCTGAACTTGACCCATGGACTTAGGCAGATAGAGCAAAGCCAGTCCCTGCAGTATAAACAGATGGGAGATAAGTCAGGTCAATTTGATTTGATCAACACCCCTGATTGCATTTATTTCCTTATTTCTAGGCTGGCTCCAGAGATGCTATCCCCAAATGGGCCTCTGGAGGACAAATCTTTTGGTGAACATTCATTAAGCAAAATAATGCACTTATGAGTAAAGCACATGGTGACTTGGATGGTGTGCCATTACCTCCCCAGGACAGAGTCCAAACTGCTTGCCATGATAGGTGCATGTGGTCTGGATCCTGCCTTTCCCCACTTCTTCCCACCTGGCCCTTTGTTCCTGGTATCCTTTCTGCCTGGCACTCCTTTTCCTTCCCTTCTTTCTGTTTGGAAAATTGGCCTCCCTTAAGTCTTGTCTGCTTGTAACAATCTCTGCTTTAACCCCCATGACACTCTCATCTCCCCTAGTTCTTGAGGTACCCCAGGCTTAGAGGACCCACAGACCCTGGAATCCATATTACAGCATTTGTTTCAGTGGATTGGGATCAACTGTTTGAATATTTACCCTCTAGATCAGTGTTCGTATGGGAGGGATACTGCTCCCTAAGGAATGTTTTGAGCTGTATGGGTGTTTTGTGGATGCAATGACAAGAGGGTACTATTTCCACTTAGTGCCTGGGTTTTGGGGATGCTGATGTTCTGTAATGCCGGGACAATCCTGCCCACTGGAGAATGTCTCATGTCCTGCAGGACCTTGAGGAGATCAACCAGATACTCCTGTAGGAAACAAACCTGTTTATAATGACCTGAGCTTGGAACCCAACTCTGTTTTATAAATAAACTCCTTTTTGTGTGATCTTAACATATGTTCAGTTATCCAGGAATGCAAATCAAGGGAAGACTAAAATTTACTTTGTTCAAAACTTTAACAAGACTCGATCACCATTTTGGAGGTAACATCGGAGATGGCAACGTGACTTGTGATTGAGAAAGAAGAAATTAACCCAGATGCCTGTGGCAACTAAGAATTTTGCTTGATGTGGCCTGGTGCAGCAGCTCATGCCTGTAATCCCAACACTTTAGGAGGCTGAGGCGGGAGGATTGCTTGAGCCCAGGAGTTCCAGACTAGCCTGAGCAACATAGCAAGACCCTATCTCTACAAAAAATTAAAAAGTTAGCTGGGAGTGGTGGCTCATGACTGCATTCCCAGCTACTTGGGAGGCTGAAGTAGGAGGATTGCTTGACCCTGTCTCAAAAAAAAGAAAGAAAAAGAATTTTGCTTGACCCCATACAACACACCTGTATTCATCTGCATTTGTGAACGTCACCATCACTGTGATTCATGGTCTATTAACATCTACTTTTTTAGCTCTTATTTTTAAATGTCAAAGATAAAAACTGTGGCCTGAATATTATCATACCTCTCTCAAATCCAAACTTACTTGTTATAAGTAGGTGCAAGCATGTGACTGCTTCATAATGTCTTTTAGAGTTTAGGCCTGAGCATTTATGTATTGAAACCCATTATTTTATTACAGTATTCCTTTTATTTCTCTTTCATATTACAGTAGCAGCATTATATTGATTTTGTTTTTTCATTATGTGTATAAGTGGTTTAGATTATCCATGAATTTCGTTTCAGTATGGTAAAGAGGATATTCAAAATATTTGTTATAAAAAGGGAGCATCTGGCAGCATTGAGAACCACTCTAAGGTTCAGGAGGCAGGGACTTCGCCTCCCCTGGGTTACTCCATTCTTCTTTGTGCCTAGCATAGGGCCTGGAATATCACAGATGCACAAAGAATCTTTTCTGAATGAGTGATGAAGGAATTGAGGCTGATACTCTGGTTTGGTAACCACCTAGGTATGTGATGAGGCCCTCTGCTGAGATGGGAACACAGGAGAGAGGGCAGGTTTTGGGGAGAGTAATGAGTTCAGTTTTCATTGTGAAAGTTTGGAGAGCCCTGGAATTTCTAGGTGGAGAGGCCTGAGGCCCAGGGCTGTGTGGGCCTTGATTTCTCTCAAGGCCACAGAAGAGTGGAAAGTGCAAAGTCGTAGTAACAGTTCATCTCTTTAGTCAGTAATCATTGCTGAGTCTCTCCATGCAGGATGAATAGACCAGTGAGAGCTGCCCATGAGGTGTCTCCCTCCTCCTGTGGTGATCTGTGTACCTGCCCAGGCCCTCAGAGGCTAGGAGCTCCTCCAAGGTAGGGGATAGAAATCCTTCATCTCTAGCCCCTCTGACTTCCTGCCCCATCCTGACATAGTAGGTGGCTCGGCAATGATAGCTGGAGGGACCACGCAGTAAAACCCATCTGTGGAAACACATGTATTCAGAGCAACTTTTTTTGGCCTGAAGTCACTGCAGTGGAACATTTGGGAGCAAGTTTCCCCAGGGCCCAGCTCCTTCCCGCTAGGCTCTGCCATGCCTCCTGTTTATTAACAGGGAGGCGTGACAAAGGGAAAAATCTCCTGATTGAAGACTCATCTCAGACATCTTTTCACTCCTCTAGGGAAGGGTGCAATTCTGGGCTTTAATGACATATGACGGGGCAGGCAGTAGAGGTGTTGCGCATTTTAGGCAATACATGTGCTGCTAGAAAGTTGAGGTATAGGGACTTTTTAGGAACACAATTTTTATTGACAAGTAACCTTTCAAGAACAATAAAGAAAATCAGAAAGAAAACCTATGTTCATAGCAGCATCATTCATAATAGCGAAAACAACTCAAATGGCCATCAACTGACGAACGTATGAATAAAATGTGGTCTATTCATGTGATGGAATATAACTTGACCGTCATGAGGAATGAAGGACTGATGCATGCTATGATATGGATAAGTCTTGAAAACATCATGCTAAATGAAAGAAGCCAGACACAAGAGACCAGATATTTTATGACTCCGTTTATATGAAATGCCCAGAGTAGGTGAATACATTGGGATGTAAAAGAGATTGGTGGTTGCCAGGGTCTGGGAGAGGGGAGATGGGGAGTGGCTGATGGAACAAGCCATATGGAAAAGCATTCCAGGCATTGGGAGCAGTAAGTGCAAAGGCCCTGCAGTGGGAGGAAGCATGGCCGATTAAAGAACAGCAAGGAGGTAGGTCGGCTTCAAGGGAGACAGTGGTGGGGGAGAAGCTCAGAGAGGGGCTAGCAGGACTAGACCCTTTAGGGCTTTATGGGGCACTGCCAGGGCATTGCCTTTTACTTGGAGAGAGACAGGATGTCGCTGGCAGCTTTGGGCAGAGAAGGATGTATCTGTCTTATGTTTGAACACAATCCCTCTGGCAGGAGATGGATTTTAAGGGGTAGAAGTAGGGAAGCCAGTTTGGGGGCCACTGTGTTGGTTCAGGCAAGAGGTAACTCTGACTTGGACCCTGGTGGCAGCAGCTGCCAAGGGGAAAAGTGTCCAAAACTGAACCTATTTTGAAAACAGCTCATCTTCAGGCTTTTGGCCTCAGCAACTAGAAGGCTGGAGTTGAATTTTATTGGGTGGGGGAATTCTGTGGGAGGGAGCAGGTTTCCTTCTACTCTTTGTTCACATATAAAAAGAAGTTATAAGAGAACATAGATAATAGTTTAAATTTTTATTTTTTTCTGAACATTCAACCATAAACATTTATCAAGATGCTAAAGTCTTCATAATACTCACTTTAAAAATGTTTTTTTTGGCCAGGCGCGGTCGCTCATGCCTGTAATCCCAGCACTTGGGAGGCCGAGGCAGGCGGATCACGAGGTCAGGAGATCAAGACCACCCTGGCTAACATGGTGAAACCCTGTCTCTACTAAAAATACAAAAAATTAGCTGAGCATGGTGGCGGGCGCCTGTAGTTCCAGCTACTTGGGAGGCTGAGGCAGGAGAATGGCATGAACGCAGGAGAATGGCGTGAACCCAGGAGGCGGAGCTTGCAGTGAGCCAAGACAGCGCCACTGCACTCCAGCCTGGGCGACAGAGCCAGACTCCATCTCAAAAAAAAAAATTATTTTTTAATTTTATTTTTAGAGATAAGGTCTTCCTCTGTCATCCAGGCTGGAGTGCAGTGGTGCAATCATGGCTCACTGTAGCCTCTAACTCCTGGGCTCAAGTGAGCCTTCCACCTCAGCCTCCCAAGTGGCTGGGACTACAGGTACATGCCACCATGCCTGGCTAAATTTTTATATTTTGTAGAGACTATGTCTTGCTATGTTGCCCAGGCTGGTCTTCAACTCCTGGCCTCAAGTGATCACCTCGGCCTCCCAAAGTGCTGGGATTGCAGATGTGAACCACCATGCCAGGCCATTGATCACTTTTGAAGGCTGCATGATGGTCCACTTCATTCATTTCCCCTAAATTACATAACCATTTCTTCTGTTAATCATTTAGACTGCTTTTTTCTCTTTTTAGTTTTCAAAATTAAGGATAATTGTATAATGAATATCTTTGTGTTGATGGCTTTTTCTTTCTGGATTTTTTTCCCCAAGAGTTTAATTCTCAGGAATGGATTTACTAGGTGAAAGAGTAAGAACAGTTAATGTCTCTCTTAAGACACATTGCTAAACTGTTTTCCAAAGAGATTGTGGAAATGTATAAGGCCAGCCAAGCAGTGCGCCATAAATTGGATGGTATAAGGCATTGCATTTTATTAATATTTTTAAATAAAAATAATTTTTTTTAGAAATTTGCATGCATTTGACTATTGTTAAGATTGAACATTTATTTAAAAGTTTATTTGGCTGTGAATTGATTATTCAGGTCCTTTTCCCGTTTTGTTTTGTTTTTTTTTTTCCCGAGACGGAGTCTTACTCAGTCACCCAGGCTGGAGTGCAGTGGTGTGATCTCGCCTCACTGCAACTTCCACCTCCCAGGTTCAAGTGATTCTCCTGCCTCAGCCTCCCCAGTAGCTGGGACTACAGGTGTGCACCACCATGCCTCCCTAAGTTTTGTATTTTTAGTAGAGAGGGGGTTTTACTATGTTAACCAGGCTGGTCTTGACCTCCTGACCTTGTGATCTGCCCGCCTCGGCCTCCAAAAGTGCTGGGATTACAGGAATGAGCCACCATGCCCGGCCTATGTTTTTTGTTTTGTTTTGTTTGAGACAGAGTCTTACTCTGTCGCCCAGGCTGGAGTGCAGTGGCACGATCTCGGCTCACTGCAACCTCGGCCTCCCAGGTTCAAGCAGTTCTCTGCCTCAGCCTCCTTTGTAGCTGGGATTACAGGTACCCGCCACCACGCCCAGCTAATTTTTTGTATTTTTAGTAGAGACAGGCTTTCACCATCTTGGCCAGGCTGGTCTTGAACTCCGGACCTCGTGATCCACCCACCTCTGCCTCCCAAAGTGCTGGGATTACAGGCGTGAGCCACCGCGCCCAGTCCCCTTTTCCCATTTATTTACTAAAGTCCTAATACCTTCTTTACCAATTTGTTGGATCTTTTCCTAACTTAGAGATAGGGATGAACCCTTTGCCAATCATATCTTTAATGAAAATAATATTTTAAATAAAGTAGGAAAACTGTTGAAATGAATTTCTTTTGTAACAAAAAATAAACATTTGGTATGTGAATAATGTATATTCTGTTTTGCTGATTTATTCACTTAAAAATTGCTATCTTGATTTTATTATTTATTTATTTGACACAGAGTCTCGCTCTGTCACCCAGGTTGGAGTGCAGTGGTGCGATCTTGGATCACTGCAATCTCCGCCTCCCAGGTTCAAGTGATTCTCCTGCCTCAGCGTCCTGAGTAGCTGGGACTACAGATGCACACCACCACCCCTGGCTAATTTTTGTTACTTTTAGGAGAGATGGGGTTTCACCATATTGGCCAGGCTGGTCTCAAACTCCTGACCTCAGGCGATCCACCCACCTCTGCCTCCCAAAGTGCTGCGATTACAGGAGTGAGCCACCGCACCTGGCCTCTTGATTTTAAAATCTTTTTTTTTTTCCTTAGAGTGAAGCACACCTGGATTGGATAGTGCTTGTTATTACAGATAAGGGTGCACTTTCTAGATTCTTCTCCTGAGTGGCAAAGTTTTCCCACCGTCTTGTCCAAACATACTTTGCTGATGGTATCTCTGGGCACTACACAGTGCAAGGGACAAGGAAAAAGGGCTTTTCCAGAGGAGAGTGACCTGCATCTTGGAGGAACTCTAGAACATGTTCGAGGAATGGTGACTGGGGCTTCTGGAGCCAAGGGCTGACTCAGGGAACAGATCTCAGCTCAAGGTGAGGTCATTTCTGTTTCCTGCATGTCCCTCCAGCTGCTGACATTTTACCTCTTCAAGGACTGATTCAAATGCCATCTCCATTGTGCAATCTTCCTTGATCACCCCCCAACTTCCATCTGAGACTTCTGAGTTTCTCCCTCACTAGATCTGGAGGGTAGGAGTGGGTCTTGTTCATTTTTTGTTCTCACAGTGCACTTGCTAGAGAATGGCTTGGGAAGCCTTTGTAGGATTGGACTGGCCCTCAGCGAAAGTTCAGCAGTTAGGAGAACTGCCTTAGTACTTAGGAAGCTTCCTAGTGTGAATGCCAGCATCATCACTTACTAGCTGTACTTCAGTTTTCTCATAGGGTTGTTGTGAAGATTAAATGAAGACTGGACAAAGTCAGTCAATGTTTATTTCACAATCACTGAGCAGCAAGTATTCCTTGTGTACCAGTCTCTGTTCCAGAAACAACGTCATAAGAGATCATCAAGATTATCTCTGGACTTAAGGCATATCTTCTCTCTATCTCTTTTGAGACAGAGTCTCGCTCTGTCACCCAGACTGGAGTGCAGTGGCATGATCTCGGCTCACTGCAACCTCTGCCTCGTGGGTTCAAGCGATTCTGATGCCTCAGTCTCCTGAGTCACTGGGATTATAGGCATGTGCCAACACGCCCAACTAATTTTTGTATTTTTAGTAGAGACAGGGTTTTGCCATGTTGGCCAGGCTGGTCTCCAACTCCTGACTTCAAGTGATCCACCTGCGTCGGCCACCCAAAGTGTTGGGATTACAGGCGTGAGTCACCACGCCTGGCCCAAAGCTTATCTTCTCAATGGCACACAGCAGAAGAGAATGTGATGTTTCCCAGGAGAGGTGGGAGCCAAGTGCTAGAGGGCTCTGAGTAAGGAGAGGGGGACACATTCGTGGGTCTTGGGGGCTTTTACAACTTTTACTACTTCCCAACATGTAAGCTGAGTCTTGACAAGGAGCTAGAATTTCAGCCAGTAGAAGTGGGGCAAGAGGGCATTGAGGCTGAGGGAATGGCACGACCATAGGCACGGAGAGGTAAAATATGGGAAGCATTTGGGGGCTGGCCAGCAGTCCTAGTTGGCAGGCGCTCCAGGTCTTTGGGGCTGGAAGGAGTGGTGGGAAATCAGGCTGAAAAAAGACAGTGGTGTGAGAGGAGAGTGCAAGGGAGAGCCAGGAGGTTTCAGAGCCGGGGCGAGCCCTGGTCAGAGCTGTGCCTGAAGGGGAGGGCAGGTTGGCAGGTGAAGAGGCTGTTGTAAGAGCCTGGGCCTGAGGTGGTCTGGCCCGAAGGAGGGCAGGGGTGACATTGGGGATGGAGGAACTGTGGGAGAACACTTCAGGATGGGACTGCCAGGGCCTGATGAGGGGAAGGGGCCCAATGGAAAGGGGTTGATAAAAGCCCTCCTTCCTGACAAGGCCACAGACTTAGCTGCAGTTTATTATTTAGGTCATAAAAGCTCTTGGGATCACTTCTCTACTGCACTCATCACCTCTCTGGGTGGGTAGGCAGCTCCTCTCTGGATAGAACTCTTCCCAGGGTAGGGTAGCAGAGACCTGGTTTAAACACCTGACCTCCCCTGGCACCCAGCTAGAGGCCTGGCCATCAGCAGGAACTCAGGAGTTTGTGATGGACAGGGAGAGGACAAGGGGAAAGGTGAGTATGGATGTTATTTCTTCAGAGAAGCATTCCCTGACCTCCAGGTTAGGTTTGAATCAGGTTGCCTGATTTTGCCTTGCCATAGCTCCTTGCTCTTTTGCTTCTTGGCGCAACAGTTTTAATGACATGTGTGTGACACTTGATTGAAGCCTGTCTTTCCTACTGGACACTAAGCCCCAGCACTTAAAACAGTGCCTGGTGTCTAGTTGACCCTCAGAAATATTTGTTGAGCTAAATAGACAGATTAGTAGTTGCCTGGGATTGAGGACAGGAGCGGGATTGACTATAAACGGACACAAGGAACATTTTCATATGCTCAAAAACTGGATTGTGGTGATGGTTGTGCAACTGTTTACATTTACTAAAAATCATCAAACTGTACACTTACAGTGAGTAAATGTTACTATATATACATTATACCTCAATAAAGCTGGTAAAAAATAAAATTCGGCCAGTCGCAGTGGCTCACTTTGTGAGCCTGGGGCAAGCAGATCGCTTGAACTCTGGAGTTCCAGACCAGCCTGAGCAACATAGCGAGGCCCCATCTCTACGGAGAAAAAAAAAAAAAAAAAAAAAGAAAAAGAAAAGAAAAAACAAAGTTGGGCTGGGCTTAGTAATTACTTGATCCCAGGAGGTCGAGGCTTTGTAGTGAACCTGTTCGCGCTACTGCACTCCAGCCTGGGCGACAGAGTGAGACCCGGTCTCAAAAAAAAAAAAAAAATCAAAATTTGTGGAATAAGAAAATTATGTGTCTTTCTCCACGGGATTGTAAATTCTATGAGGAGCGCTATATCCCCAAGATCCTAGAACATTAATCAGCACCTAGTAGGTGTGGAACAAACGTCTTACCTTAACAGCGAGTCAATGAACCAGGGAGGGGAGGAAGAAGCTTTCCCGGAGATGCCGGCCCCTCAGTTTCCGGGTTCGCCTGGCGCTCAGCCAGGCCAGTCACAGAGAGACGAGCCCGGCGATTCGCCAGCGGAATGTCCAGGGGCGGGGCAGCGAGCGAGCGCGAAGCAATCCTGAGGCGGTCTAGGGGGCGGGGCGTTCAGGGGGCGTGGCCGTGCAGGGGCGGGCTCCGAGCGTGGGGTGGGCGCTTGCGCACTGCCGCTGCGGCTGTTGCTGCGGAGCCAGGAGGGGAAGCGATGGCTGGGCCCGCGTGGATCTCTAAGGTGAGCGCTGGCAGGCCGGCGTGTGGCAGGCAGGCAGGCCGCGAGGGCTGGCAGGAGAGCCGGTCGCGTGCCGGGTGTGGGCGGGCGCGTGGGCCAGACAGGGAGGCGGTGGCTGCCCGCGGGGACAGCTTGGGAGCCGGTCCTGGTCGCCCGTGCCCCGCGCTCCGTGGCCGGCTCGCAGTGTATGGGCCGCCCCGGGCCGGGTCAGCAGCGCAGAGGCGGGGACGGCGTCAAGGTCAAGGCGGGGGGGCGCCGGCCCTGCTCCTGCCGAGACCCGGCTGCCGTCACCCGCATCCGCCCAGGCCAGAGCCCAGGCTTCGCGCCGAGCCCGGGAAGGTCACGGGAGCCTCTGTCCCGGCTCCGCCATCCGGGCCGCTTCCCCGGCTGCGGCCCTGCTGCGGGACTGATCCCCTCAGCACTGCCCACACCTCTCATCCGCTGTCTGCGCGGCCCTTGGCCGGGGAACCGCAGGTGCCACGGGCACTGGCGTTGAGCTTGGGAGGTTTTCCCAGGTGAGAGAATCCGGGGGCCCTTTTCCCTATCAGATTGTTTTCCCTTTGGCGCTCTTCCCAGTCAGACCTCTAGTGCTCTTGTAGCTATTTCCCCTTCATAGGATAGGGCATCTTACACCTCGGAATTACCGTCTGAACCTTCGGAGAGAGAGACCAGCAGAGCCTTCCTTTTACCTTTCATTGGTGGGAATCCTGCAATCTGGAGCGCTTTAGCTCTCCTTGACAGCTCAGATGCCAGAGCTGGAAAGGGTTTCAGATCATCTATGCAGTTCCGTAGCTTCTCAGTGGAACTAACCTGTGCCTGAAGAAGAATTTGCTCAAGGTCACACAGGAGGTCGGTGTCAGAGCAGGGAGAGGAACCTAGGTGTCTTGGTTCCCATTTCCCAAGGTCACATAGCAAATGATGGTACAGGCCATCAGGCCTCAAGTCTCCTGTTGCTATGAAAGGGTGGTCCCCTAGAAATCTATAAACAATTTAACGTTTTTCTGTAAGTTTGATACTACTTTTCTCCCATTTTTTCGGTTTAAAGAGAGGTCCAGAGATGCACTGTTATTTAAGGAAAAGATCTCTGTACTGGAATTTAGGAGTCTCAGATTTAAATCCTAGCAATGCCACTGATTGGCTGTGTGACCCTAAGCAAATTACTAAACATCTCTAAGCCTTAATATGCCCATCTGTGAATATCTATACTTACATCACAGAATTGTTTGAGTATTAAATAAAATAATGTATGTGAAAGCACTTGGTATGTACAGAAGGAAAACAAAAATCTGAAGCTTTCTTATCAATATGTTTATCTGTCTCCAACAGACAGTGGTTTTCATGGGCATCATTAACTGGTTTTTTTGTTCAATAACTAGATTCTACTTTGTCACCCTCTTCAGACCCAGATTTGCTTGTGATGATAACTCTTATGTCACATTTGCTCCTAAAAGTAAAGCAACTTCTGTGTCACTGTGAAAACTGAACTCAGTCCTTTAATCTCTGAACTTACATTTAACACCCAATTCATCTTTGGTAGGTACATTTGCCTTCACAGTGAGGCACTAAAGCAACACTTGATAATGATTGTGCTGGTAAATCTGTTTTGCCTTTAGTGTGATCTGCATGAAAAAACCCTCATAGTAGGTATTCAGAAAGTGTTGGGTTGTGGAGTCAGAAGATGAGGTTCTCTGACATGCACTCCCTGTGTGACCTTTGGCAGAGTCATTTGACTTCTGGGCCAGCTTCTCACTTTAGGGATTGGAGCAGAAGGTGGCTCAGAGGCTGACCCCAGGATGGTGGAGGTGCTGAGCTGGATGCCGGTTTCAATCAGGACAGTTCCTCTGTTGAGTTTCCATTTCAGGTTGTGGCCAGGCATGGTGGCTCATGCCTGTAATTCTAGCACTTTGGGAGGCCAAAGTGGGCGGATCACTTGAGGTCGGGAGTTCAAGACCAGCCTGGCCAACATGGCGAAACCCCATCTCTACTAAAAATACAAAAATTTGCTGGGCGTGGTGGCGCACGCCTGTAATCCCAGCTACTCGGGAGGCTGAGGCAGGAGAGTCACTTGAACCCAGGAGGTGGAGGCTGCGGTGAGAGGAGATCATGCTCCTACCTGGGTAACAGCAAGACTCTGTCTCAAAAAAAAAAAAGATTTTTTTTTTAAAACCCATCTCAGAACCCATGTACAACACTATTTACATGTTTTTAAGTTAAAAAGGAAATGAGTTGTGGATTAAGATGGCCCACGACCTGAAGTCCAAAGTTCAGGGTTTTGGTCCAGGCTTCATGAACCTGGCCTCAGTTTCCTCATCTGAAAAGTGCCAATAATGCCTATCTCTACAGGTTTTATATAAATAAAATGATGTGAGATATATATATATATATGCATATGAGTATTCTATAAAGTAGAAGTCCTGCCATCTCAGCCTTCCATGAAGCTGGGACTACTGGTGTGTGCCACCATACCTGGCTAACATTTAAAATTTTTTTTGTAGAGGTAGGGTCTCACTCTGTTGTCTAGGCTGATTGGTCAGGTCTTCTGTCACAGAGACATAAGCTAGTTTTGTGTGAATGTCTTTTCCCTCTTTTTTGGGCTGGGAGAGGAGAAAGGACTCATGTCAATTTTTTTTTTTTTTTTTTTTTTTTTTGAGACAGAGTTTTGCTCCTGTTGCCCAGGCTGGAGTGGAATGGTGAGATCTTGGCTCACTGCAACCTCCACCTCCTGGGTTCAAGCGATTCTCCTGCCTGAGCCTCCCAAGTAGCTGGGATTACAGGCACCCACCATCACACCCAGCTGATTTTTGTATTTTTATTAGAGACAGGGTTTCACCATGTTGGCCAGGCTGGTCTTGAACCCTGACCTCAGGTGATCCACCGGCCTCAGCCTCCCAAAGTGCTGGGATTACAAGCGTGAGGCACTGCGCCCGGCCTTTTTTTTTTTTTTTTTTTTGAGATGGAGTTTTGCTCTTGTCACCCAGGCTAGAGTGCAATGGCGCGATCTTGGCTCACCGCAACCTCTGCCTCCTGGGTTCAAGTGATTCTCCTCCCTCAGCCTCCTGAATAGCTGGGATTACAGGCATGTGCCACCACGCCTGGCTAATTTTGTATTTTTAGTAGAGACAGGGTTTCTCCATGTTAGTCAGGCTGGTCTTGAACTCCTGACCTCAGGTGATTTGCCTGCCTCAGCCTCCCAAAGTGCTGGGATTACAGGCGTGAGCCACCGCATCCGGCCTCATGTCACTTTTATGCTCTGCTTGTCACGAAGTAACCTTTAAATGGTGCTTTGGAAAATTTTATTTTACTTAAAGTTCTGGGTCATTGTGATGACTTAGGTGCAGTACTGCTTTATTCTAAGATCATGCAAGAGAGATGACAAACATGGAAAAGACTGGTCCTTAAAGAAGATCATTGCAAGTATTAAGGCTACTTGTTGGCTTGGAAACTCTTCAGATAGAGATGTGACTGAGGCTGGACTCAGTTTTGTTTGATTGTTGTTTTGTTTTTTTTTAAATTATTGAATACCTTCTATGAGCCAGGGACTGTTCTAGACACTAGATACAACAGTGAACAAAACACAAATCCTTACACTCCTGGGTTTACATTGCTGCCCCCAGCATATGCAGGTAGGATGGGTTTACATTTTAAAATCAGTTGTTTGAGTCGGGTCTTTTTCATTCTTTCTTTCTTTTTTTCTTTTTTTTGTCCATTACCTAGGCTGGAGTGCAGTGGCATAATCATAGCTCACAGAAGCCTCAAGCTCCTGGGCTCAAGCAGTCCTGAGCTCAAGCCGACTTAGCCTCCCATGTAGCTGAGACCATTGGTGTGCACCACCATACCTGGCTAATTTTGTAGAGACAGGGTCTCACTTTGTTGCACAGCCTGGTTGGTTGGGTCTTCTGTCACAAGGACATGAGTTTTGTGTGAATGTCTTTTCCTTCTTTTTTGTTCAGGGAGAGGAGAAAGGACACATGTCAATTTTCTTGTCACAAAGTAGCCTTTAAATGGCCTCCCTTCCAATAGCCCACTCGCTGGTGGATGAATCATGCCCTAGGATTAACATTTTGGCCAATGGTTTTGGCATTCTTTTGGATTTGGCCCAGTCTTATTTTCAATGCAGAGTCATGACTATAGATACCAGAAGATTAGAGAATAAAATTCATTCATACCTTTCTTGGCTGTTGGTTGTTACCAATAAATATTTCAGCAAAGGTTCAGACCCCAGAAAAAAACATCAAGATAGGATATAACAAATGTGTCTTTGCTCATGTATCTAGCAGGAGAAAAAGTTACTTTTTAAAAAATTTAATGCAGCCGGGTGTGGTGGCTCATGCCTGTAATCCCAGCACTTTGGGTGTCCAAGGCAGGTGGATCACCTGAGGTCAGGAGTTTGAGACCAGCCGGGCCAACATGGAGAAACCCTGTCTCTACTAAAAATACAACAAGATTAGCCGGGCATGGTGGTGCATCCCTGTAATCCCAGCTACTTTCAGGAGGCTGAGGCAAACCCAGGAGGTGGTGGTTGCAGTGAGCCGAGATTGCACCATTGCACTCCAGCCTGGGCAACAAGAGTGAAACTCTGTCTCAAAAAAAAAAAAATTTAATGCATTTTAATACCTTTGGTCTATGTACCCAGTTTCTTTTTTTATATTGTTTATAATAATGTAGTATGACTTTGTACCAGTTCTCAAGGACTAAGTTATTAAAGTTTATAATAAACCTTTAAAATTTATATTTCTGGCATATGATGTTAATTGGAGAGAGAAAAAAAAAAAAAAACACGTACCAGTGGTAATATCTTGGTGTGGTGGGATTACTGGGTAACTTTTATTTTATATTTTGTATCTTTTCCTAGTCCCAGCAAACTGACAGTAATGACCACATTACCTATATTATCAGAAGAAGCAGTAATTTATTTAAAATCTTTATTCTGTATGGCATGGGCATCAGATGGTATTAAATAAACTTTCTTAGATTTTACTATAAAGTGTAATTTCTTAATATTCACAGAATAGATATAATGTATAATTGAAGGAGCACTGGACCAGGAGTCAGAAGACCTGTATGTGGGTTTCCATTTTGCCAATTATTCGCTGTGTGACCTTAGGCAAATGCTTTTCTTTGGGACCAGCATCTCCGCTTATGAAATAAGCAAGTTGCCAGGTGTCGTGGTGCACACCTGTAATCCCACCTACTCAGGAGGCTGAGGCAAGAGGGTCACTTGAGCCCAGGAGTTGGAGACTGCAGTGAGTTATGATTGTGCCTTTGAATAGTCACTGCACTCCATCCTGGGCAACCTAGGGAGACCCCATCTCAAAAAGCCTAAAACAACAACAAGAAATAAGTGAGTTGTGCTCTGGATTTCATGAGGAACATCCTGGCTCTAAAATTAATGGTAATTTTCTTAGAATATATGTTACCCCTAAATTGACCGAATGGTCAAGAATGTTGGCACAAAATGATCCACTCATCTGAGAAGAATCTGTATGTTGAGCTGAAAAAGTAGTTTTATTCTACCTTCAACATCTTTTATTTGACAACTTATATTCGTTAAATTGACTTTGAAAATATACAGTACTCAATCTAAAGTAAAAATCTGAGTATTTAGGCTTTCAAATCTGAGATAGCTTGCCACATTGAGCTAATACATGAGATTTGTATTCCTGGGAAGCTACTGAATATATCTGTGCCAAGTTGCAGCATTACCATCCATCAGGACTTCCTCGCTCTTGTTTACTGTATGTGGTTTAATTCTGTGTGTGATATTTCTCTGTTGATATTAATATAGGTCTCTCGGCTGCTGGGGGCATTCCACAACCCAAAACAGGTGACCAGAGGTTTTACTGGTGGTGTGAGTATAATTATGTCTTTTATTTTTTCCTTTTAGAAGTTTCTCAAGAAAGATGCTCTAACATATTTATTATATAGCATTTTATCTCCATTCATTTAGAATTTGGGAAAATTGGCCATATTTATAATGTATGTTGAAATTACTGGCTGACATGCACAAATCTGTTAGGTTACTTGCGCATTTGAAAGAATTATCTTACAGCTGGCTATGTAAGTTTGTCACATTAATATCTTGAGGGAGCCTTGTTAAAAATAGAAAGTACCCTTGAGCCTGTTATTTTATTTCACAATCTCATTTTGGTGAGACAGCTTTTTTCAAAACTAGTACAAGTTGAGAGAAAATTGTTGAGAAGCTTCAAAACCTGCTTTGCATTTTTATTTTATGGGCTTCCCTAAACCCAGTAGATTGAGTGCCAATTAGGAATGCCTCGAACATCTATAAGCCTTGTAGGCTTATACTTGCCTTATATAGGCTTTGTAGACTATCACAGTAGTAGATCATCTATTGTTCATTAAATCTGCTGCTTTTAGAATTCCCAGCATCAGAATTCTGTGCTTTAAAAGCTGATACCACATTTTTGGAACATTCTAAGACTGTGGGTCAGTGACTTCCTATTTGTTTTGATCCCCGCCCCGCCTTTTATGGAATCTGATTTGGATTTCATAATTCCTATACTCCCATATAACATCTATGCCGTGAAAGATTTATAAGACCATAGTACATTTTTTCCTCCATTTACTTTCTGTATTGTGGAAGAAAAGCAGATTTTCTGGTGACTGGATGACATTTATTATTACATGTTGGGAGAACAGGAAGAAGTAGCCAAAGCGTTCTTTTGGCTCTGCTTATGCCAAAAATGCAGGATGGGGCTTGCACTTCAAGCTCAAGGATAGCCATGCTAGCATTTCAAACGCATTCTGAAAGCTAATAAGATGATCATTGCTCTCTGCTATTATTTAATTTTCAGGCTATTTATTTGAAAAAAAAATTAGCTTGATGGAGGAGGTTATTTTTGAAGAAATAAGAGGATGTATTAATTTTTTTAAAGACTTCTTCAACCCGAGAAAACTGGTATGAGCCTTAGCCCTGGCTAAGACTGAGGTGGGAGATTTGCTTAAGGCCAGGAGTTCGAGGCTGCAGTGAGCTGTGATCACACCTGTGAGTAGCCACTGTGCTCCTGCCTGGCAATGTAGTGAGTCCTCATCTCTAAAAAATAAAAATTGAAAATTAGAAAAATGAAAAAAATAAAAATGTTTCTTCAGTTGTACAGAAACTAATCAGAAATAATTAGTCCACGTATCTGGGCAGACATCATTGGAAGGCAAAGGACCAAGGAAACTTGAATTAGTGACTTTTTAAAAATGCAGTTCAAGCAACTAGAACTGAAAAAAAGCCAAGCCCCTAGGTGGGGTAAAGTCCCAAGATAATAAAATATGTGGTTCCCAAATGGAAAAAGAGGTGCTGATCTTCTCCCTTACATATTTTTATTTCTGCATTTGAAATGCTGGCTTCGTTTTGCCTGAAGCCTTAGAATAAATCATTGCTGTTACATTATAAAAACAATAATTGTCATTCTAAGTGTGACTCAGGCTTTGCAGGTATGATGACATATACTATTCTTTTTGGTTGCAGATCAACTTTGCCAAGCTTATGTAGATTACTCTTAGATTTAAGCAGACAGTTTTATAGAGGAACTAAGAAAAAAATGGAAGCTCTCTTGATAAAAAGTCTGATTTTCCCTGAGTACCAAAACAGACCTCAGTAATATTTTGGAAATGTGTCTGAAAATGTTTTGCAAGACTGAAGAAGTTGCATGAGAAGCTTTCCAGGATCACAATGGAAAGGAAAGGAAAACACTTGCCTTCATGAGAAACCGTCTAAATTTTAGTGAGAGAACATTGTTAATTTTTTGTTGTTGTTGTCTTTGGTTTAAAAGATTTGAATTAATTGGTCTCTTTGCAGCTTGTCTGAAAAGAAATATCAATTAGGAAATCTACTTGGTAGTTTAATTTATTTTCGTTTTATGTAAAGAGTATCATTTGGTTCTTTTTAAAACCTCTGAACTCAGGTAAAGAGTAGGATTGCAGAGTCTCTCCTCTGTTGATTCCTGCCTCCCCTTTGATGACCCCCGGGGAGGTATGTTTGTTTTCTTAACAGCATTTGAATCTTCCTGAGACATCTCATAAAGTGGATTTCTCTGTCAAAATATTCTTTTTTAAGCCTTCAAAAACAAAAATTCTTACTGTCTTCTTTGATGATTTCTTATGTTCAGGTTCAGACAGTAACTTTAATTCCAGGAGATGGTATTGGCCCAGAAATTTCAGCTGCAGTTATGAAGATTTTTGATGCTGCCAAAGTAAGTGGGCTTAAAAAATACATTTAATGATGACTCACTGAAAAGTTTTCTTAGCCAGTTGGATTCTGTGAACTTTTAGGATGCATTGTACCCATTTCTATGAAATTTAGTCAGGTCTGTTGTTAATCTCCACCGATTGTCACTTTAACAGTGTGTGTCTCAGTGTTTGCTACTGCCATTATTTCTTTCTTTCTTTTTTTTTTTTTTTTAAATTTAGAGATGAGGTCTCGCTCTATTCCCAGGCTGGTCTTGAACTCTGGGGCTCAAGCGATCCTCCCACCTTCACCTCCCAAAGTGCTTGGATTATAGGCGTGAGCCACCGCACCTGGCTGGCTGCTCCTGTTGTTGATAGTTTAAACTCCTGCATTGGCATCAGTTATATGTAAAGTAATCAAAGTAGTACTGCAGTATTTGTGGATCTTTAAGTCCTGCTTGGGTTTAAGATCTTTTAAGCCCTGCCAAATCACCCACCTTTTTGCAAAAAATAAAATAAAATAAGACTAGAATTGCTGTTTCCAAAATCTATACAGGCGCTTTTGAAATAATCTCTTTAAAATAAAATTTCTGATGTGTTATCAAGAATGGAATGTTATTACTTCTAACAGCTGAGCCTTTGATACAGGTAGATAATTTAAAAATTCTGTAAGTGGATTCAGCTGTAAGCTGCTTGTGAACAGCACCGTGTCTGTCTGAGCTCGTGTCCTAGGACATGTTCAGTGTGCTAGCTGTATACACATGAAGGATGTAGGTAGAGAGAAAGGGATGCTTGTTTATACCTCCAACTGGTACATTCATAGGTTATGCAATACATACATACATATATATATATATATTTTTTTTTTTTTTTTTTTTTTTTTTTTTTGAGACAGAGTTTTGCTCTTGTTGCCCAGGCTGAAGTGCGATGGAGCAATCTCGGCTCACTGCAACCTCTGCCTCCCGGGTTCAAGCGATTCTCCTGTCTCAGCCTCCCAAGTAGCTGGGATTACAGGCACATGCCACCACGCCTGGCTAATTTTTTTATTTTTAGTAGAGACAGGGTTTCATCATATTGGTCAGGCTGGTCTCGAACTCCTGACCTCAGGTGATCTGCCCACCTTGGCCTCTGCACCGGGCCTGGCCTATATATATATTTTAAACAATGTAATATTGTTTTTTAAAAACAGCTTTATGGAGATATCATTCATCCTTTATTTTTTATTTTTATGTTTCATTTGTTTTGAGACATTGTTTCGCTCTTGTTGCACAGGCTGGAGTGCAATGGCATGATCTTGGCTCACTGCAACCTCCGTCTCCCAGGTTCAAGCTATTCTTCTGCCTCAGCTTCCCGAGCAGCTGGGATTACAGGTGCCTGCCACCACGCCCAGCTGATTTTTGTATTTTTAGTAGAGGCGGGGTTTCACCATGTTGGCTAGGCTGGGCTGGAACTCCTGACCTCAGGTGATCCACCCACCTTGGCTTCCCAAAGTGCAGGGATTACAGGCGTGAGCCACCACACTGGGCCTAATTCATCCTTTTAAAATGTACCTTTCAATCCAGTGGTTTTTAGTACATTCACAGAGTTATGCAACCATCACCACAATCTAATTTTGGACCATTTTCCTCACCGAAAAAGAAACCCCATACCCTATGCAGTCGCTCCCCATTTCGTCTCTCTCCCTCCCTACCCCCTCCTCCTTTTTCTTCCCCCACCCTAGGCAGCCAACCACTCATCTACTTTCTGTATCTGTAGATTTGCCTATTTGGGACATTTCATATAAATAGAATCTTATAATATATGGTCTTTTATGATTGGCTTCTTTCACTTAGCATGATGTTTTTAAGTTTCATCCATGTATCAGTACTATATGATGTTTCTGTGAACCATATTCCTCTGCTACTTATGATATTCTAACTATAGCCACTGTTAAGAGCCCTTGTGAAAAGAAATAAGTGGGCAGGTGGTAGCTGGGAGTGATGACTGGGCACAGATAATGTAGAGAATCCCTCTGGGCCTGCTAGAGAATGACATCTCTTCTTGCATGCCAGGAACCTTCTGGACCTTTACTGTTTTTAGCAGTCACATCCAAAGTTGAAAAAGGGCTGGGCCCGGTAGCTCACGTCTGTAATCCCAGCACTTTGGGAGGCCGAAGTGGGCAGATCACCTGAGGTCAGTAGTTTGAGACCAGCCTGGCCAATATGGTGAGACCCTGTCTCTACAAAAAAAATACAAAAAAATTAGCTGGGTGTGGTGGTGGGCGCCTGTAATCCCAGCTACTCAGGAGGCTGAGGCATGAGAATCGCTGGAACCTGGGAGGCGGAGGTTATAGTGAGCCAAGATTGTGCCGCTGCACTCTAGCCTAGGCGACAGAGCGGGACTCTATCTCAAAAACGAAGTTGAAAAAGTTTGTTCATCATTGCAGTATGAATGCCAGTTTCCTTTAAGTCTCTCCAGCTCACTGTGCTCTGTGATGTGGCATCTAGGCACCTATTCAGTGGGAGGAGCGGAACGTCACTGCCATTCAAGGACCTGGAGGAAAGTGGATGATCCCTTCAGAGGCTAAAGAGTCCATGGATAAGAACAAGATGGGCTTGAAAGGTAGCACTGAAGTAGAGACGGGGGTTTTTACAGATTTCCGCTACAGGGGTTACTTAGTTTTGAAAATTTATGCATTTAAACTGAATAAGGCCTGGCCATCTGTGAAGGTAACGCCATTCTTTTATGAAGTAACTACTCATAGTAAGATGTTTTATTCATTTGGGACATTTTTTTCCCCCAGTAAAAAACATTAAAGTATTACTGGATGATGCCAAATAACAGTATCTCTATTTAATCTTCAACTATATATATCTTTTGCTTAATTTTTACATTTGTATATTTATTTATTTACTTAATTTTTTTGTGACAGAGTCTCGCTCTGTTGCCCAGGCTGGAGTGCAGTGGTGTGATCACAGCTCACTGCAGCCTTGACCTCCTGAGCTCAAGCAGTCCTCCCACCTCAGCCGCCCGAGTGGCTAGGACTACAGGTGTGCCACCATGCCCAACTAATTTTTTAAAAAGTTTTTTGTAGAGATGGGGTCTCACTATGTTTCCCAGGCTGATCTGGAATACCTAAGCTCAAGCAATCCTTCTGCCTCTGCCTCCCAAAGTGCTGGGATTACAGGCCTGACTTAGCCACTGTGCCTGGCCTACATTTTTATTATTATTTTAATTAATACATGTTTAAGGCCATAATTCAAAAATACTAGCATGTGGTAGATTTAAATTCAGCATAGGCTTTATTTTTATATTTTTTGAGAGTCTCGCTCTGTTGCCCAGGCTGGAGTGCAGTGCCGTGATCTCGGCTCACTACAACCTCCGCCTTCTGGATTCAAGCTATTCTCCTGCCTCAGCCTCCTAAGTAGCTGGGATTACAGGCACACACCACAACGCCCAGCTAATTTTTGTATTTTTAGTAGAGACAGGGTTTCCCCATGTTGGCCAGGCTGGTCTTGGACTCCTGACCTCAAGCGATCCGCCTGCCTTGGCCTCCCAAAGTGTTGGGATTACAGGCCTGAGACTGTAGGCCAGAGCAAGCATAGGCTTTAAAGCCACAGACAGAACCAACATTGAATCTCATCTCTGCTACTTACTGGCTAGAAGGCTTGGGCAAATTTTTTATTCTTATTTTTTCTTTTTTCGTCATTTTTAAATGACAGTAACAGAGTTGCTGTTGTACGGGGTGATGATAAGGATTATATCATGTCAAGCACATGATTACAATGCTTGATCCTCAGGAAGTTCTGAAGATAAGAAACGCAGTTAATGTTCCAGAAAGCTCCCGTGAGGAAGTGTTCCTCCTTCATTTGAATCTCAGGTAGAGAGTGAACTAGAGGCAGAACACATTTCACAAGGTAGCCGAGGTGGGTTAGTAGGTCACACGTGAGACCAGAATTCCTTCTAGTGTCATCTGGGTTTTCTTCTGTATAACAGGCCCTTTGAAGACCCCAATAGCAGCCGGTCACCCATCTATGAATTTACTGCTGCGCAAAACATTTGACCTTTACGCGAATGTCCGACCATGTGTCTCTATCGAAGGCTATAAAACCCCTTACACCGATGTAAATATTGTGACCATTCGAGAGAACACAGAAGGAGAATACAGTGGAATTGAGCATGTGGTATGTTCACTCCAGATTCTTTTTTATTCCTGCTTGGACTGCTTTCTGTGCATCTGGGACCCCAGAGACAGATCTGCTTTATCTCTGTGAGGAGTTGTGGGTGTTTGTCTTGGTGCTGGGTGTCTGGCTGACAGTACTCAAACAAATGTAAGGCATGGTGGTTCGCGTCACAAGCTTGGGAATATGCCCTCTGAATTTTGAATCCCCCACTTCACAGGTGCGCTCTTCCGCAGATGACTGTCTCTGCATCTCAGTTTTCTTCATCTGTGCAGTGGGGCTCATAATACTTACCTCTTAGGGCTGGAGTTAACATGAACCCCATTGTCGTAGCAGTGTGTGTGATTAGTCATGCTAGCTGGCACTGTGCAGGCCTGCCACAAATGTTACTGTCTACTCCCCACCCTCTGTCTCCCACTGCGTTGCTGTCACACTCTTTCCAGCAAGGTGGGACTTCCTGTCTTGCAGATTGTTGATGGAGTCGTGCAGAGTATCAAGCTCATCACCGAGGGGGCGAGCAAGCGCATTGCTGAGTTTGCCTTTGAGTATGCCCGGAACAACCACCGGAGCAACGTCACGGCGGTGCACAAAGCCAACATCATGTGAGCTCCTTGCGGGGGCCGGCACCCCATCTTGCTTTGTTGTGGGAGAGCAGTGACAGGGCTTCCCTTTCTCCTCTTCAGCTTGTTCCTTGATTCCTAATATCTTTGAAAAAGAACTTTGTAACAATCCAAAGATACGGCATCTCTCTTCTGTCGGAGTCTCCTCTTTTCTCCTCTGTTTTTTTTTTTTTTTTTTGAGACGGAGTCTCTTTCTGTTGCCCAGGCTGGAGTGCAGTGGCGCGATCTTGGCTCACTGCAACCTCCGCCTCCCGGGTTCCAGCAATTCTCTTGCCTCAGCTTCCCGAGTCACTGGGACTACAGGCACATGCCACCATGACCGGCTAATTTTTGTATTTTCAGTGGAGATGGGGTTTCACCATGTTGGCCAGGCTGGTCTCAAACTCCTGACCTTAAGTGATCCGCTCGCCTTGGGCTCCCAAAGTGCTAGGATTACAGGCATGAGCCTCTGCGCCCGGCCTGGAGTCTCCTGTTTACTGCGCCTCCCTGGGCGAATGACAGGAGCAAATGAGGAGGGGATGGTGATTCAGGTCCTGGAAGCTCAAGGAAGGACTGAGGGTTATCAGGAAAGGAAATTGGAGCCTCGGGGTCCCCAGATGCTGTGGCCATCAGCAGAGGCCACATAGCGTACGTTTTAGAAGTGGAATAGTGGGAGGCTTAAAGTAGTGCTAACAATACCTGATGTGTTACTCCAGCAACTTAAATTCTCATCCAGAGGCTGTTAAAGTCCTCTGAATATATTAACAGTTTTCCTAACCTAAGAAAAGCATTGAACATGCAAAATAGTAAAACTATTTAAATTACTATGTTAACCTTTTAAAGCAATTTTAATAATATTAGTGGGTATTTCTTCATTCTTGTTAGATAACACTATAAAAATATAGTCTTCTCTGTTATGATCAAACTATTTTACATTTTTACTCTTTTATACTTTCAGAAGGATCCTAAAACATTTTCAGCTTATATTTTATTAACTACCTAAGAAATAATTTTATTGTAATTGGGATCAGGTAGCTTGGCTTCTGGAACTTAAATGTCTTGAACTTACTTTACTTCTTTGATTTGATTCTTTTCTTTCTGTAAGACTTTTTTTTCAGCAGTTTTTATTTGATTAAATACAGGCGGATGTCAGATGGGCTTTTTCTACAAAAATGCAGGGAAGTTGCAGAAAGCTGTAAAGATATTAAATTTAATGAGATGTACCTTGATACAGTATGTTTGAATGTAAGTATATATTCACACTTACCTGCTACTTTTTATGGTGAATGGTGTCTGTGTGTTGTGGGGATGCAGATTTTGATTACTAAATGCACAAATGTATTCCTTGTAGATGGTACAAGATCCTTCCCAATTTGATGTTCTTGTTATGCCAAATTTGTATGGAGACATCCTTAGGTGAGTCTGGCTGCAACCTATTTATTTTAGCCTATGATTTACTTATAAACATCCTAAAATAATTATGGCTTAACATTTTCAATTGAGTATTGTGAAATAGAGTATTTGTTGTAACATATGAATTGAATTCTAACAGTTCAGGTTGTGATATGAATGATTACATGTTGGGTGGCTTGTTCCTTCATTGATTTGCCAAATCATTGCTGGGCTCTTTCTCCCTAATCATTATTAGGTCACTCTTCCCAGTTTTTAAATGTTTGATTGATTGATTGATTTTAAGGTTTTGTTATGTATAGCTAGGTAGGTGGGTGGTCATTGTTACTATTTTTTGGTAACTTTTGACATAATTTCAGACTTACAGAAAAGTTGTAAGAATAGTACAAAGAATTCCCTTGTACTCAGCACCCTGATTCCACATTCTCCAGATGTCAGCATTTTATCACATTTACTTTATTACTCCTTCCCACTTTCCCTCCCTTCCTCTTCCTCCTCTCCTTTGTCTGTGCTTCTCTCTCTCTCTCTCTCCCCCCCCGACACACACAGACATAAGATGTTGGCCAAATGGTGATTTTCATTTTTTTTTTTTTTTTGAGGCAGAGTCTTGCTCTGTCGCCTAGGCTGGAGTGCAGTGGCACAATCTCGGCTCACTGCAACCTCTACCTCCCAGGTTCGAGTGATTCTCCTGCCTCCCCTGAGTAGTTGGTATTATTACAGGTGCACACCACCACACCTGGCTAATTTTTGTATTTTTAGTAGGGACGGGGTTTCGCCATGTTGGCCAGGCTGGTCTGGAACTCCTGACCTCAAGTGATCTGCCCACCTTGGCCTCCCAAAGTGCTGGGATTACAGGCATGAGCCACTGAGCCCAGCTGTGGACATGGTTTTCTGTTTTATTCAGTGATATATCCATCATCATAATCATGAATATTGATGCATAGGTTGTCCTAACTTGGCTGATGGGGGTCCCTTCACCATGTCTTCTGTGTCCTTTAGACACGGCCCTTTGTTCTTTGAGCCTTGCCTTGCTTTCTGACACAGTAAGATGCTCGAGGCTCATCTGTATTTTCCTAACCTTTGCCCTGGAATCAGCCATTTATCCAAGGAATGCTACTTCCTTTTAGTGGAGAATGATAATTAAAAACTAAAATCTGGGTGCTAGGTGAGATGTTTTATTTTTAAAAACATTCTTTGAAATGCTTTTCTTCCGCTAGTGACTTGTGTGCAGGATTGATCGGAGGTCTCGGTGTGACACCAAGTGGCAACATTGGAGCCAATGGGGTTGCAATTTTTGAGTCGGTAAGGACCCTGACACCTGAAACAGAACTCAGGTCAGAACAGCGTGTGAACTCAGGAGGAGTTATCTGTATAAGTATGCTTTAACTCCAGTTTTTCAAATTGTCAAAACAAAATGATGCTTTTTTTTTTTCTCGAGACGGAGTCTCGCTCTGTCACCCACGCTGGAGTACAGTGGTGCGATCTTGGCTCACTGCAACCTCTGCCTCCCAGGTTCAAGTGATTCTCCTGCCTCAGCCTCTCAAGTAGCTGGGATTACAGGTGTGAGCCACCACACCTGGCTAATTTTTGTATTTTAGTAGAGATGGGGTTTCACCATGTTGGCCAGGCTGTTCTTGAACTCCTGATCTCAGATGATCCATCCGCCTTGGCCTCCCAAAGTTGCTGGGATTACAGGTGTGAGCCATTGCACCCAGCCTATGTTTGTTTTTATATACACCCATATATAAACATATATATATGTTTGGTTTATCTCTTCATTTCCCTCCAGGTATTTATTATGTATCCTTCCTTCCTTAAAATATTTTACCAAAAATTGACTGAAAAAGATTGTTGGTCCATATTTTTATACTTAAAAAAATTACTTTAGCTCTTTATTTCTCCAAGTCTTTATTTATTTATTTATTTATTTTTGAGCTAGGGCCTTGTTCTGTCACCCAGGCTGGAGTACACTGGTGTGATCATAGCTCACTGCAGGCTTGAACTGCTAGGCTTAAGCAATCCTCCTGCCTCAGCCTCCCAAGTAGCTGGCACTGTAGTCAGGCACCACCATGCCTGGCTAATTGCTAATTTTTTTGTAGAAATGGGGTCTCACTATGTTGCCCAGGCTGGTCTTGAACTCCTGGCCTCAAGTGATCTTCTTGCCTTGGCCTATCAACGTGTTGCGATTACAGGTGTGAGCTATCACGCCCAACCCAGACTTTATTTCTTCAGTCCATATCAGATGAATTGCACGCAGTAGCTTTCAGTGCATATTTTGTATTGCTGAGGAAAGATGGTTAAGACTCCAGCTTCCCCAGAAGAGGACTGTTAGTTTTTGTCTCTCCCTTGATGATGCTACTTTTCCCGATGTGTAGGTTCATGGGACGGCTCCAGACATTGCAGGCAAGGACATGGCGAATCCCACAGCCCTCCTGCTCAGTGCCGTGATGATGCTGCGCCACATGGGACTTTTTGACCATGCTGCAAGAATTGAGGCTGCGTGTTTTGCTACAATTAAGGACGGAAAGGTAACAGGAATCTTGATTTACTTGTGCTGGGTAAAATGCATTGCTTCCATGTGTTTTATCTGAGTGAAAGGGACAGTGACAGATAATAGTTCTCAGGCGGGCCCAAGCATTTGATGTTGAACAAGGATTCTTAACGTGGGTCCCAGATTGAACAGGGTATGTGTGCACATGTGTGCATTTTCTGAGGTGAGGATCTAGATATTTCATCCAAAAAAAGTTAAGCAGCACTGATGTATAGACATCAGTGTACAGTGGAAAGGTCAGTGGTTTGGGAGGCAGCATCAGGTGCACGCCCAATTATCCTATTGTTAGCTGTGTGACCTTGGCCAAGTTCATTGATTTTTTTTGAGACAGAGTCTTGCTCTGTCACCCAGGCTGGGGTGCAGTGTCATAATCTTGGCTCACTGCAACCTGCACCTCCCGGGTTCAAGCAGTTCTCCTGCCTCAGCCTCCCTAGTAGCTGGGATTACAGGCGTGTGCCACCACACCCAGCTAATTTTTGTATTTTTAGTAGAGATGGGGTTTCACCATGCTGGCCAGGTTGGTCTCGAACTCCTGAGCTCAAGTGATCCTCCCGCCCCAGCCTCCCAAAGTGCTGGGATTACAGGCATGAGCCACCACACCCGGCCAAGTTCATTGATTTTTATAGACAACTTTTTACTCTTCACAACAAACGTCTGTTGAGTGTACCTTATAAGGTGTGAAGAGTAAAATGATGAATAGGGTAAGATGCTGAGCCTCAAGGAGCTGGGAATCTAGTGGCAGATACAGATGCAGATGTACCTCTAATACAATAGTCTTATATGTTACACTGTGTGCATCTATAATACAAAAGCAATACAGAAGTTTTATAAAAGTAATAACTAATATTAATTGAATACTTATGCAACTTTTAAGTTCTTTATATATCATCTCAGCAAAGTTTTTCTATAACTCTTTGAAGTAGATGCTATAATTCCATTTTATAGATGAGGAAACTGAGGTACAGAGAGAATAAATAATATGTCCAAGGTTTTACAGCTCCTAAATGACCCAAGTTGGTATTAACACGCAGTCTGGGCCTTACCCAACAAGCTCCACCGCCTCGGTAAGCAATTGTGGCCTGTGGAAGAAGTGTCGCGGGCTATTCCGAAGTTAGAGGAAATAATGCACTTGAAGACTCATCCCTAATTTGAGGTCCTTTTTAACAAAAATTGTGAAAAATATGCATAACATAAAATTTGCCATTTTAGCCGTATTTAGGTATACAGTTCAATAATGTTAAGTACATTCACATTGTAATGTAACCATCACCATCAGTCATCTCCAGACCAGTTTCATTTTCTCAAACTGAGACTCTGCACCCGTTAAACAGTAACTTTCCCTTCCCCCTCCCATCCTCTGACACCTGCCATTCTGCTTCCTGTCTCTATGAATTTGACTACTCTAGGTACCTCATGTAAGTGGAATCATACAGTATTTGTCCTTTGAGTCTGGCTTATTTCACTTAGCGTAATATCTTCAAAGTTGGTCCCTTCTTTTAAAAAAATTCTGTAATTTGAAATTATATCGTGTGGCCAAAATACAAGAAATTCAGGCTTGTTTTTAACAGCCTGATAGTCACATTGGAGGTCATATGATTTTCTTATTCTTTAAAGTTATATTTGGGAAGTTATAATCTACAGCCCAGTAGAGAGGTGCCTGAATTACATAGTGGGCCCTTTTATTGTGTAGGATGGAAAGATAAAGAGAATTAAATATATTGGGGTCTGTATGCAGGAAAGAAAGGATAAGCTGGTAGAACAGATCAGTTGTATGGGAGGCTTTCTTTCCTAAAGAGGGAGGTTTAAGAGTTAATGATTTAGGCAGGTGTGGTGGTGCATGCCTGTAGTTGCAGCTATAGGCTGAGGCAGGAGGATCACCTTAGCCTCTGAGTTCAAGACCAGCCTGGGCCACATAGTGAGACCCCGTCTCTTAAAAAAAAAAAAAAGAGTTAATGATTTAAATATTTCTTTCGTATTTGTGTCCCAGCCTCCAAAAATAGATCAGATACAAAAATTAGTTGGGTATGGTGGCATGCACTTGTAATTCCAGCTATTCAGGACGCTGAGGCAGGAGAATCGCTTGAACCCAGGAGGCAGAGGTTGTGGTGAGCTGGGATCGTGCCACTGCACTCCAGCCTGGGCAACAGAGTGAGACTCCATCTAAAAAAAAAATAATAATAAAAACAAAAATAGATCAAAATATGTCTCAGGTCTATTCCTGAGACATATTTCCCAAGGATTTTTATGAAACTTCTTATTTAGATTCGCTTTTATTTAAATATCCATGACCAACTAATCTGGGTTAGGGTCTATTGTGTGAACAAAGGGAAAATTTTGGTAAAGCTCCCTGCCTCCCTTTGCATCAAGAGCACCTTATTCTTTGCAGAGTGCTGTTGTATACACTATGAGATTGGATCCCGATCCTCCTGGGCTGGGTAGATGGTGGTGGAGTGGTTCCTCACTTTGAAATGAGGAACTAAATGAAAGAGCAGCCGAGTAACTTGCCCAGGTGGCATCTCACTGAGGGCTTTAAAATCTCCTTGGTTTAGTTTAGTTTGCGGATACATCTTTTATTTTTGCTTTTTCCTTTTCTCAGAGCTTGACAAAAGATTTGGGAGGCAATGCAAAATGCTCAGACTTCACAGAGGAAATCTGTCGCCGAGTAAAAGATTTAGATTAACACTTCTACAACTGGCATTTACATCAGTCACTCTAAATGGACACCACATGAACCTCTGTTTAGAATACCTACGTATGTATGCATTGGTTTGCTTGTTTCTTGACAGTACATTTTTAGATCTGGCCTTTTCTTAACAAAATCTGTGCAAAAGATGCAGGTGGATGTCCCTAGGTCTGTTTTCAAAGAACTTTTTCCAAGTGCTTGTTTTATTTATTAAGTGTCTACCTGGTAAATGTTTTTTTTGTAAACTCTGAGTGGACTGTATCATTTGCTATTCTAAACCATTTTACACTTAAGTTAAAATAGTTTCTCTTCAGCTGTAAATAACAGGATACAGAATTAACAAGAGAAAATGTCTAACTTTTTAAGAAAAACCTTATTTTCTTCGGTTTTTGAAAAACATAATGGAAATAAAACAGGATATTGACATAATAGCACAAAATGACACTCTTCTAAAACTAAATGGGCACAAGAGAATTTTCCTGGGAAAGTTCACATCAAAAAGAGTGAATGTGGTATATTTCTAAATGATATGGAAAATAGAGACAGATTTGTCCTTTACAGAAATTACTGAGTGTGAATAAAAACTTCAGATCCAAGAAATATATAATGAGAGATATAATTTTTGTTAATAAGACAAAGGTAATATATTGGATACAAAGACACAAATGTATTGTGTGTTCAATTATTTTGTTGTCTTGAGATTTAATATTCTTTCCAAGAGCTTTTAATGAAGCAGAGAGCTAGTACTTCATTTTCACTGGATACATTTTCAGCATCATGAGTTGTCACAGCCTCTGAGCCCCTGATCTGAAGCCAGAAGGGCTGAGTGTATTGTAAACTTATTCTTGCATGTTGCTGTCTGGGAATGGACCACACTACAGCAGGTAGTTCTGGGGGCGATACTGCCGAAAGGCCCGAACACATGTATTTTGGCTGCAATTGAGGAACTTGGGATGCTATTAATTTTGTATTTCAGCAACTGCCCCTTCTCCTATCCCAAAGCACCAATTACTGCCCTCTGCCTCAGCAGTACCAGTATAAGATGACATTCCAAAGACTGGAGGCAACTCAGCCTGAGTTAATTCACAAAATTATGCCATGCTGGGGCTTGAGCTTGAGCTTGGGCTTAGGCTTGGGCTCAGCTTTTGACCCTCAGGCATCTCCTTTCCCTTCCTGTCTTCCTCTCCCTTCTCCTCTGCTGCAGCATGATTTTCTTAATCTTCAGACACTCACTATTTTCATGAACAGTTACCCTCTGTCCCCACAACCAAAGACAACTCATGGCCTCCTTTGGCCCTTGTGTAACATTGCAAACCTGTGGCTTTGCAAAATGTACCCAGGTCACAAGGGGATTTTTTTTTTTTTAGCAATGATATCCCTGTCTGGGTCACTTTTTAAGCTTGTAACCGCCCCCCCAGACTTATAATCTTAAATGTATTTTCCTTTGTTTAAGCTGCTGCTTCCTCTGTTTCATTGGATTGTGCCAGTTATCAGTGGCTCTTGGGTTCAAAGTAATAAAGAATTCCAAAACTGAGATGTTTGCTTTCTCTACCTGTTTCCTGTTCAGATGCCTTCGGTCATTTTGGCTCAGCTTGCTACTGAGAATGGCTGCTTCCCGTATTCAGAATGGAAGTGGGGTGGTCTGGTGGCGACAGGCTAACGTAGAGCTGGCTGCTTTTATGAGAATGCGCCACTTGACCCCATCCTGCACCTTTGTTTATTCCAGGGCACTAATGGTCACTCGCATGCCCGCTGTGCACAGTCCTGTGAGTTAAATGCCCACTACTCTCTGCACTGGTCCCACCTGCTCAATTGACAAAAAAAATCAGGTCCTTGTTGACAGTTCTGTTAAAAGGTTTAATATTCAAATTATACATTAAATAGAATCAAACAGGCAGCAGCAGTTTTATTAAGCATCAAGTCAGTTGGCATGTGGGTGGCGGAGTGCCTGGTAATGGAATAATAGGGTCGGCGATGCCCGCCAAGATTCCAGAGTAAGTCAGGTCGCTAGGTGAGTTGTGACTGATTGCTTTTCCTGCAGCGCACGTGAGCAGTATCAGCCATCTCTCTCCTACCCGCTCCACAGCCTACTGCTGGCTGTCCTGTATGTGAGCTAGCAGCTTTTTAATCTACCTGGAACTAAGGCCAAAAATTATCAGCCCTTTCGTTCTGGAAGGAGAGCTGATCTCATTTGTCACCTGAACAAAAAGCAATACTTAAACTGAATTAAAACTACCCACACGTGAAGCTTCTTGGAATTGTCAGCTATTGTTGGCGTAAGACCTGGTAAATGTAGAGCCAGTGCTGTGCCCTGACCTGGAGATCTAACAGACTTGGCAGAAATGCCTGTGCCCAGACTGAAGAGACCTGGGGCTCAGGAAGAGGCTCGGAACGCCTGCCCTCTATTCTATAGAAACTGCAGGCATAGGCCCTGATTACATTTTTTGCTCTTGGTAAAAGGAGTCAATGATACCTTTGTACTTCTCCAAAACTGTGAGCCGTTTCAGTTTCATCGTGGGACCTAAAAGGGAAATGAGAAGAAATGAGTGAGGCCCAGGCTCTGAGAACTCTGAGAATGTGTGTGGTAAAGACTCACACTCAGTCCTATATATAACTCAGGAATTAAGCCAGATAATCAGGACCGTCAGTAGCCAGCCTCCAAGACAGTGATCGCTCCTGGTATTCATATGGCTTGTGTGTAGTCTCCTGTGTTATACCACTGGTTGTGGCCAGTGGAGTATAGATGAAGGGTTGGTATGTCACCTCTGAGAATAGGTTATAAAAGATCAGTTTCTTTTATACACATAGGAAAGTAGTGTAAGCTACATCTGCCTTTTCCTTGACCTGTACCCAGTTTTGACCCTCAGTCCATTTTCTCTGAAATGGATTTATTTGTTCCATCTCTTGAATGAATAAATTGTTGAAGCAATTAAAAAATAGACTAGGTTTCTGTCTTGGGCTTTCTCTTGGACCATTCTTCCTGGGCAAGCCGGCTGCCATGTTGTGAGGATACACAGCCCATGAGAGGCCCACTGGCCACACACGGATGTTTCTGGCCAGCAGACAGCAAGGAGCTGAGGCCTGCCGACAGCCACGTAAGTGAGCGCGGAGGTGAGCCTCAGCTGCAAGTGACTGCACCCAGCTCACATTGACTGTAATCCCGTGAGACCCAAGCCAGAACCACTCAGCTAAGCTGTTCCTGGATTCTTGACCCATAGAAATGTGGATAATAAATGTTTACTGCTTTAGGCTGCTACATTTTTGGGGTCATTTGTTACACAGCAATGTATTAGATAGCTAGTACACATCATCTCTGCATTTTTGTGAACGTTTATACAACGTTGGACATTATGCTTTGATGGTTGTGATGGGGGTAGGGGAAGCCCAGGTTATGGGGAGCCTCTGCCATGGTCTTTATGAGAGGTCTTCCCCTAATTACTTTTCTTAACCTTGATTTATCCCCCAAAAGCAAGTTTGAAAGAGCTCTGATTTGAGGTCCTGGGTAGCTTAAAGTGCCTAACTCACTCTTGACTGTGTAACTGGAAACTTTCTGTGTTAAAGTCATTATATTAACTGCTTAGTGAAGACATCTTCTGTCTCTCTGACCTTGCGTTCAATATGCTGGCAGCAGACAGCCAGATAAGCTCAAGGTCTCTGATTGCAGCTCAGCTTTGCTGTAGACAATTGCATCTGGGTTCAGCCGTGATGGATTTGAGGGAATCACACTGGCATAACCATTTCTACCTCTCCTGTTCTATGAACATCCCATGAACATCTCTTGGCTACAGCCAAGAGTGACTTCAGCTGAGGCTGCACCAGAGCCCTCTCCTGGTTCTGTGGGCAGTGGTCCGGAACAGCCTTATCCCTTTGTCACACAAGCTGACTTTCCGGAAGATCACAGTACTCTCACCCCTAGAACCACGTGACTCCAGGCTGAACACTAGCAGGGCCTTGGTGTTGGCCTGGTAGTTCCATTGTGATTTTCGGAGAAAACAGTCCCATAGTCAAGGCCAAGTTAAATGTCATGTTCAGATTAGAAAGTTCTAGCACATATCAGCTGGGCGCAGTGGCTCACGCCTGTAATCCCAGCACTTTGGGAGGCCGAGGCGGGCGGATCACCTGAGGTCGGGAGTTCGAGACCAGCCTGACCAACATGGAGAAACCATGTCTCTACTAAAAATACAAAATTAGCCGGGCATGGTGGCCCATGCCTGTAATCCCAGCTACTCGGGAGGCTGAGGCAGGAGAATCACTTGAACCCGCGAGGTGCAGGTTGCAGTGAGCCAAGGTCGTGCCATTGCTCTCTAGCCTGGGTGACACAGCGAGACTCCATCTCAAAAAAAAAAAAAAAAAAAAAAAAAGGAAGTTCTAGCACATATCTTATACATTCAACAGACTCCACATAACCACAAGCCCATGCATGGAGCCATCAATGTCCTCTAACAGGAAGTAGATGGGTGTCACCCAGATTCCTGCCATGACCTTCTCTTTGCCGTGGCTGCTTCCTAACAGGCACCTCCTAGGCACTGCCATGGCCTCTGCCTTCCCACACAGCCCTTGCAATGGTGAAAAGGAAAAACCTACCCAACTCTCCACCCGAAATGGAGAAGTCTCTCTCGAGAATGGCCCACTTCTGGATGTGGTAGGGCCGGGCCGCCGCGTTCATGTTGACCCTCCGGATCCCCTCTTCGATGGCCTGGTACACGGCCTCATCCTTCTTCTCTATGATCTCGGACACTGTGGTGGCTCTGCTGCCCACCCTCTGGCAGAACTCCATAGCTTGTTCAGTCAGATTATCAGTCTGGTCAGAGGTGTCTGGGTCCAGAGTGCACTGAAAAGCCAGAGATCAGATGAGGACCAAGCCTTACCCAACAAGACGTAAGCCCTGGTCCTGGAGGAGGTCTTACTGCTGTCGGCAAGGGTGTGAATCATGTGAGCTCTGTTTCAAAGAGACGGTTCTAGAATGAGTAGCTGCTACTGTGTTGAGCCTCGTGTTATTGTGGAAGGAGCAGTGATCTGAGAATTAGAAGAGCTCGGTCAGTGACGTCATTGTCTGTAAAGCAGGGACGGTAACTCCTGCCTGTCTACCACCCTGGGGTCCAAGTACCTGCAGAGAGCAATGAGGGAGGGCAGCAGCACTTTGTAGACGGGAAAGTGCCAGTAACATGTAAAGGATCATCACGGTGGCTTATGTGGGACAGAAGGAATTTCCACGTGCCACAGTTTTTCCTACAGTGCAGGCAGCACGGACTTGAGTCATTCCAGAATGAAGCCATGAGATCTGGATGTGCCCTGTGCTGAATGTGGCTTCTGCCAGCCAGACCCACAGACCCCCTCACTGGCTGCTCCTTCTGAGCTGGAGCCCCCCAGACACACCTTCAAGGTGAGCAGCATGGACAGGAACTTCCTCTGGTCCCCAATGAGCATGGCGTTGCTGATGATGGGCAGCTCCATCTTCACGGCCTCCTCGATGGGCACAGGGGGCACATTCTCCCCACCAGCTGTGATGATTAATTCTGGGGAGGCAAGGCCAGGCCCCCGGCACAGAATGTAGTCCAGGTGCCCCAGCTGAACCACAACCCAAGCCTCAACCACAACCCGGAAGCCTCAGCACAGCTGGAGATGCCCCCTTTCTGGGAGCCAAGAAGCAGTGGCAGGCCCTCCAAAGCAACTCACACCTGCTTGGGGGCTGGTGGCAGCACCCCGACGACAAATGCTCACCCAAGTTTCCCTCTCCTCGGCTTGTCATCCACGACTCAGCCTGCTCAGACATCTCATCCATGGCCCCCTTCTGCCAGTCCCAGTTCCTGCCCCCAAATAGCCCGTGTCATTTCCCTTCCCTGCCTTTGCTTAATAACTACCATCCCTGTCACTCACACAGCACTCACCACCATGCTAAGCACTTCACATGCAGTAATTCATTTAACTGTCACAATAAACCAATAATGAAGCAGACACTCTTATTGTTTTGCAGATGAGGAAACTGAGGCACAGAGACGTTCAGTAACTTGTCCAAGCTCACATGCTAATAAGTGGCAGAGCTAAGGTTTTAAATCCAGTCCATTTCCAGAGCCCATGCTCTCACCTGCCCTGCTAGGATGGCTCTCCCCTTGCTTGTACCCTTCTCCCTGGAAGGTCCTCTCCCCTTCTTTCCTTCTGTCCAACAGACTGCCAGGCACTCAGTGCCCTAGCCTGCTGTTGTCTGATAGTACTGATGGCTTACTTCTAGGCTAGATGGCAATAAATTCAATAAAATAAATTTAACGAATGTACATTGACTAATTTTAGTGAGACTGTACTCCTGTCCCTCATTTCTATCTAATTCAAAAAAGATTAATTGGTCACATTCTGTGCACAGGTCCTGTGCTGACATCAGGCACAGAATAGAACAAGGCTGCCCATGGCTGCAAGGAGCCCACAGTGCAGCGGGGCAGTGAGACAGAGGGAGGCACAGGGGCTGCAGGGCCAGGGCAGGGAGGCACCAGGCCCAGCTGCATGCTAAACATGAACGGGAGTTGGCAGGCAGAGGGCAGGACAGAAGCTGAAGCTCACAGGCCTTAAGGGAACTGCAGGTAGCAAGTGAGACAGAGGCTGGAGAGGAGCAGGGAAGATCTTAGAGGCCTCCAGTGCTGGCTCAGGAGCTGGATTGTGTGCAGGCAGCTGGGAATTACTGAATGGTGTGAGATCAAAGTTTTAGGGTACTCTGGTAGCTGGGGTGAAGAGTGGTTATTCAGGGACAGGCTGGCTAGAGAGGAATCCATGGCAAGTGTCTATATGATCAGGGTTTGTCTAGGACAGCAGAAGTCAGGTGAAGAGGAGAAGACAGACTCTGGAAATGTGGGAAGACAAAAACCCAGCCTCCCCAAAATATGCCTCATCATTGCTACCTCATTCCTGCCCTTTTCTCCTCACTACGGCCCTCTGCATTCTTACCAGCATCTTTTACCATTAGTAAATGATTAAAAAAAACCCTTAGCAAACTAAGGCTAGAAAGGAACTTCTTTAATCAGATAAGGAACATCTAAAAATTTTTACAGCAAACATACTTTTTTTAAGATTTAATAATTTTTTTTTAAATAAATAGAGACAGGATCTCACTATGTTGCCCAGGCTGGTCTCGAATTCCTGAGCTCAAGCAATCCTCCTGCCTCAGCCTCCCAAAGTACTGGGATTGCAGGTGTAGGCCACTGTGCTCAGCCAAACATACTTAATGATAAGTTAGTGAATGCTTCTCCCCTGAGATCAGGAACAAAACAAGGATGACCACTATCACCACTTCTATTCAACACTGTCCTGGAGGTCCTAACCTGTGCAACATGGGAAGAAAAAAATTCATCTGCTATTTGCAGATGATATAGTTGTGTCCATAGGAAATTCAAAAGAATATACACATTACTGGATTGAATATGTGGTCTGATCAAATGATCCACAAAAGGTCATTTGATACAAAGCCAATATGCAAAAAGCAGTTGTATTTCTATATACCAGCAGCAAACAAATAGGAGAAAAAAAATTTTGCGGCAACATCTGAGCTGAAAAAAAAATTTTAAGTGATATTATTTAAAATACCTTAAAAAATTCTTAGAAGTAAATATAAGGAAAGATGTGCAAAAATCTCTACACTAGAAAACATAGGCTGGATGCAGTGGCTCACACCTATAATCCCAGCACTTTAGGAAGCTGAGGCAGGAGGATGGCTTGAGCTCAGGAGCTCAAGACCAGCCTGGGCAACATGGCAAAACCCTGTCTCTACAAAAATAAAAAATTAGCCAGTTGTGGTGGCTTGCACCTGTGGTCCCAGCTACTTGAGAGGCTGAGGCTGGACCGGAGGATCACTTGAGCCCAGGAGGTAGAAGTTGCAGTGATCCGAGATCACGCCAGTGCACTCCAGCCTGGGCAACAAAGCGAGACCCTGTTTCAAAAATAAATAAATAAATAAATAGGTAAATAAATAAATAGCACATTATTGAGAGAAACTTAAAAAGACCTAAGTAAATGGAGAGATTTATCATATTTGTGAATTGGAAGAGACAATACTATAAACATGTATTTTTCTCACCAAATTGATCTATAGATTCAATGAAATCAAAATCAAAATTCCACCCAGTTTTTGAGGAAACATATAATGATTCTAAAATTCATATGGAAATGAAAATGGCCAAGAATAGCCAAGGTCATCTTGAAGAAGAAGAAGACCAAGGCTGTAGGACTTAGCCGGATATCTATCCCTGTCATAAAGCTATAGAAATTAAGACACTGGGTATTGGTGCACGGATAGGCGAATAGACCAAGGGAACAGAATAGAGTCCACACATAGACCTCTCATAGACAGTCACTTCATAAAGGACAAAGGTATCACTGCAAGGCCATGGGGAAAGGATGCTGTGTCCGTTGGATATGTATTTGGAGAAAAGCTATTTGGACCCTTACCTCTCACTATACTAGTTCTAAAAGGAGGGCCGGCTCTGGTTGAATTTGGTTTTCTGGCTACTATCCTCCCCCATGCAGGGATGTGGGTCCCCTCATCGGCCATTACAAAGAGGCACACTAGGCGGCGCCCATGGCACATCCAAGCAGTCACCTGTTGCTCCCGGGGTCTCACTGGAGGGTACCTCCAGGGCTCATCAGCCTGCACATCCCAGGGCCCAAACGCCACCGCGACCTTTTGTCCCTCCCTGGGGTGGCCGAGCCTCCATGGCCATCAGTTGGGTCCTGGGCATGGTCGCACACTGCCTGCATGATGTCCACAAAGTAGTTTACCCACTCAACTTAGCTTCAGTTTCCCCCATGAAGCCCTGGTGCAGGATTCCCACGTGGATGCTGCGGGCATGACACCAACTTGGGTGAAGCAGGCAGAACATTCTTCCACAGAGGCATCCCCAACTATTTCTGTCTCTGTGGGAAGTTTGTCTTATTTTAAATTTTATATCCAATTTGCATTCTATTCCCCATCATATCCATGTTTGCATATAAAAATACATAATACTTACGCTCCTGAATCTTCTGGAAAGACTTGCCTTGTTTCTCTAGGGGTCTGATTTCCAGCTCTGCCATTTACTAGCTGGGTGACCTTAGGCAAGTTACTTAACCTCTCTGGATGTCCTCATTAGCAAGTTAAGGTTAATAAGTACCTGCCCCATAGGAGAGTGGAGTAAATAAAACGATGTCACTAAAGGTGCCATCTTAATAAAGGCTCAAGACCAGCAGCTGGTGTAAACAGTGCTGGCAGTGGAATTCCTGCTCCCACCCCACTGCAGCTGTCCAGGGCGCTTGCCTTTTTTTGTTTGTTTGTTTTGGTTTTGTTTTTGGAGACAGAGTCTAGCTCTGTCTCCCAGGCTGGTGTGCAAAGAGGCAATCTCAGCTCACTGCAACCTCTGCCTCCCGGGTTCAAGTAATTCTCGTGCCTCAGCCTCCCGAATAGCTGGGATTACAGGTGCATGCCACCACGCCCAGCTAATTTTTCGTGTGTTTTTAGTAGAGATGGGGTTTCGCTGTGCTGCCCAGGGTGGTCTTGAACTCCTGAGCTCAGACAATCTGCCCGCCTTGGCCTCCCAAAGTGCTGGGATTACAGGCATGAGCCACCGTGCCTGGCCTGGGGTGCTCACCTTTGAGGCGCCCAGTGATGTAGAGGAAGCCATCGGCGTCCAGGCGGCCAGCATCACCCGTGTGCAGCCAGCCTTCCTCGTCGATGGCCTCACAAGTCTTGTCCTCCATGTTCAGGTAGCCCATGAATATGGTGCGGCCCCACAGGCAGATCTCGCCAATGCCCTCTGCGTCCTGGTTCACCAGCTTCACCCGACAGCCGGGCACCAACTTGCCTGAGCTGGCGAGGGAGGGGCCGGGAGACTGGTCAGAGGGAGCCGTCTCCTCCAAGCCCCCACTGGGGAGCCGGGGTCCCAACTGCTCGGTCTTCACTGATTGCTAGAAGGTATCCCCTCACAGGGCTTTTGTATTTTTACAGGGGACTTACAGCTGAAAGGTAGAGCCAAGTAAAGGGTTTTAGGGAATGAAGGAAGGAAGGAACAAATGAAATGGTAATGGTAGAACTTGGAGCACTGTGATAGGCTGGCAGGGAGAGGAGATATTTAATCATAATAGATGATCCTGCAAATCACTCCCCAGAACTGACCGCCCTCACCGTCCATTAGGAGGCTGGCCTGGTCCCCCCAACTCCTACCCCAGCTGGCCCCTGGGCCATCTGCTCTCCTAGAACACACTGGAGCACACCCCACTCCAAAAGAGGGAGGGGCCAGAGGAAAACTGCTCCATAGGTTCAGGGGGCACCTGGGCTATGCAGGCTGTTTTCAACCACAGACTCACGACACGGTGGCAGAGGCCACTCCTACTAGACTGAGGATAAGCTAGGGACTTGGCCCAAGATGGCATTGTTGGCTCTCAGGGGCTCCATAGCCCAGTGGCCAGGTCTCTGGGACCCAACTGGCATGCAAAGAGAAGGGGATCCCCAGGGCACTCAGCAGGCGGGCACAAAGTACCAGCAAGGGCGCATGGGTGTGCATGTGTGTGGCAGCCTCGAGCCTCACCTGTACAGCCGGTAGTTGTAGGGACTGGACATGAAGTGGGGGCCTGAGGTCTCACTGAGGCCGTAGCCCGCATACAAGCGGATGTTGAGACCCAGGAAGAAGTGCTGTGTCTCTGCCATCATGGGGGCCGCTCCATAGAAGTTCTTTTGACACTTGGCAAATCCCAGTGCCTGGCGAACCTTGGCTAGCACCAGGTAATCTGCCAGTCTGGTTGTGAAGGGCTTCAGGTCGCTGGTGGGAGAGGGAGAATGGTTCACAGAAGAAATCACACACACACACACACACACACACACATACACACATTAAAAGGGTGGTATGGTGGTATTCAGTGAGAACACCCTGGCTCGGCCATTCCAGTTGTCTGTTCCAGTTGGTTGGTTTGAATATTGAACCTGCCCGTGAACATGCATGCAGATGTAGGTATGCAGGCACATGGTTGTGTGCAAATATGTCTTGACCCAGGAAGTCAAACAGATTCAGCTGTGTACAGGTGTACGGGCAACAACACAGACACATGCCATTTTGCACACACAATACACATGCACAGAAACTTGAAGTATGTATTCATGTATACACATGTACAAACGTGGGACCCCAGTGAAGCCCACAAATGCTTTGTTCGTGCATGTTCATGTTTCGTGTCTGTGCAAATGAAGCTGTGGATGCACAGATATGTGCACACATCTCATGAAACATACCATTTCACAGGCACATGGGGAATGGAAACTACTTCTAAATTGAAACCAAGCCAGCTTTACGTCACTGACCCTCCATAGAACTATGTGGGAATTTTGAAAGCTATAGAAAGATAGAAAGGGCAAAATATCTGAGGGGTCACTTGGGATGCTGAAAAGGCCGGAAAGGCTAAGTCCTGATCACTGTGGCCCCTTCTCCAGCCACTTACTGAGGTCAGGAGACCTCAGGAGATTGTGCCAGAAGCTGCTCCTAGGGAGGTGAATTTCACTTCAGAGAAAGCAAGTTACTCCTCCCAGTCAGAATCCAAAGGTGGAGCGACTGTCCCCAGCAGGCCCTGGGAAACGCACAGGAGCTCAAGCCCAGTCATTGATGGGGCCTCTGCACGGGGTCTCCAGAGCTGCCCGGCCACTGGAACCGGGACAGGCATGGCGTATCAGACCCTCACTGTGTTTTGGGTTATGACCCAGCCCACTCTCTCCCCAGGCCTCCCGCCCGTGGGCCCTCTGTACCTGCCGGGGCAGGTGAGGTTCTGCTCCAAGGTCACCGACATGGCCCACAGCAGCATCTTTCGCCGGATGAAGCCAGACTGAGCCGCCACCTCCTGGATGCGCTCCATGATCTTCTCCCATACCCGGGGCACCCCCATGTGTGATGTGGGCTCCACCTCCCGCAGCGTGTTCACCAGGCTCCCCTGTTCACACCAGAAGAGGCAGGCCTGTTGGGTCAGGGGCATCTGGGGCCCAGGGGTCCCCTCTTACCAGCCAGGCATGCCGGTGGCACACACATGCTCCAACGGGCACCCACACACACCTGCACGCAAGGGTGGCACATACTGTTTCCTCAATGGCTGTCGCCTTGCTTTTTGCTCACAGAACCCTGGTGGCAGGCAGCAGTCAGGCAGCCAGTGCTGACCTCAGTCTCATCCCAGCCCTGAGCATGGCAACTCTCCATGAGTCTAACTTAGACACAAGAATCCCATTCCCCTCGGCAGCATATGGTTTGAGAACAGACAGGTGACACTTTGGGACACTGAGATGCTGGTGGAGGGAAACTTGCTGGGGGGTTTCTGGGAAAGTTTTCCTCACAGTTAAAATAAGGGTCCAAAGAACAGGTATATCCTGTGAAGCTGGGATTCAGGGAAGGGCTGTAGCCTTCTGGTGATACTCTGAGGATGCCCGTCCTTGATCGTGTCACAAGTCCCGCGAACCACTCTGACTCGACCTTATGTAATGGCATCAGGTTTCTTTTTTTTTTTTTTTTTTTTTTTTGAGACTGGGCCATGCTGTTGCCCAGGCTGGAGTACAGTGGCGTGATCTCGGCTCACTGCAAGCTCCACCTCCTGGGTTCACGCCATTCTCCTGCCTCAGCCTCCCTAGTAGCTGGGACTACAGGCACCTGCCACCACTCCCATCTAATTTTTTGTATTTTCAGTAGAGATGGGGTTTCACCGTGTTAGCCAGGATGGTCTTGATCTCCTGACCTCGTGATGTGCCTGCCTCGGCCTCCCAAAGTGCTGGGATTACAGGCGTGAGCCACCGTGCCCGGCCTAGTTTCCCTTCTTGTTTGGTCATTCGAGTCAGGCTGTGCCCACTGCAGCTGACAGAATTCTGACTGATACATGCACAGGAACAGCACACACACAAATGCACTCAGGGCCCACAGACACATGTGGACGTGGCCTGGCACACGGGCTCAGACGGACACACGGTAAAGGCAGACTGACCTTCAGGGCGTCGGGTTCGGCAAAGCAAACCTGGGCCCCCCACTGGATGCCTGTCCACAGGTCGTAGATCTGGGCGGCAATATGGCTGAGGGGCAGGTAGCTGACTACCACCTCCTGCTGGACTTCTGCCGGCCGGATGTCACCGGCCTGGCTGCCGTACCGTGCCGTCCACGTGATCTGGAGGACAAGTAGATGGATCCCAGCAGTGTCCACAAGCCAGCCCTGGCGGTGCTCACAACTGTGGCCACCCTGGGGGCCAGCCCCAGTGTGGTGCCCCCTGTGGCGATTCTGCAGGCTCTGAAAACCCCAGGACAGGCCTCCCCTCCCCCTTGCTGAGCTCAGTCTGGGCCACAGATTGATGGGCTGTTCTACCTATCCCAGCTCCTAGAGCAGAGGGGCCCAAGGAGCTTTCCCAGGGGCTACTGGGGCAGAGCCATGGCCCAGATCCACCCATAACCCCCTTGCACCCCCCCCACCCCACCGGGCATCTGTCCTACATTGTCTTGACTCAGCATCACGCCCTTGGGGTTCCCAGTGGTGCCGGAAGTGTAGACTAGCACACAGCACTGGTTGGGCTGCTGGGTGTCAATGATGGCGTCCAGGGCTTCCTCAGGCACTTCATTCCCCAGCTCCATGAATTCCTCCATCTGTAGCCAGATGCAGGGAGCAGGCAGGCTAGGTCAGCTGGGTGGGCCCAATAGGCCCCACCTGGCGCCCAGGGCCCCACTGCCCATACCGTGTACACATTGGCCATCTTGTTTGGAGGAGGTTCTTTATATATCACGACTGCCTTTAGATGTGGCAACTGTTTCCAGATCTGCATTGACAGGAAAAATAGATCAGGTTTCAGTAAGAGAAATGTCACCTTCTAAAAAGTACCCCATCTCCCTGTGTGAGTCGGCTTAGTAAAGGTCTCTGGGTGCCCCGTCTCTGACCTTCGACCCCAGCAGGACAACTGCCACCCTTCACCCATAGTTTCCCTCCTGAGAACTTGGGAGCAGTAAAGGTGGGGATAGCCAGGGGACTGGGGATGACTCCCCATTGAAGGAAAACCACCAAACAAGCTGGGGCTTGGTTGAACAAACCATGATCCAGCCACACAATGGAGTAGTGCTATGTGACTGTAGGAGAAAGAGGGAGAGGAGCAGAGGGCAGAGGAGAGAGGGAGAGAATTCTATGTGCAGAGAGTGAGTGGTTTCTAGGATATATTATTAAGTGAAAAAAGGAAGTTTACAATATGCGCATAGTATGCTATATTTGTGTAAGAAAGGGGTGCAATGTAAATATATGTATGCAAACAAGTATTTACTTATGTTTACAAAAAGAGGCCGGGTGTGGTGGCTCACGCCTGTAATCCCAGCACTTTGGGAGGCCAAGGTGGGAGGGTCATTTGAGGTCAGGAGTTCGAGACCAGCCTGGTCAACATGGTGAAACCCTGTTTCTACTAAAAATACAAAAATTAGCCGGGTGTGGTGGTGCATGCCTGTAATCCCAGCTACTCGGGAGACTGAGGCACGAGACTCGCTTGAGCCCGGGAGGCAGAGGTTGCAGTGAGCCGAGATTGCTCCTCGGCACTCCAGAGAGAGACTCTGTCTCAAAACAAACAAACAAAAAGAAACTCGAAGGTTAAACCAAAACCTGATTGAATTCACTGTGTATAGGAAGAGCGGGAATAAAGGGAAGAAGAAAGGGATGGAAGCAAAAATTCTTTGAGTGTTATCTCACATGATTTTGACTTTGGAATCATGTAAATGTCTTAACCATTTGAAAAATAAAGTTATATGTAAAAGGAAGTCAGGTGTGGTGGCTCATGCCTGTGATCCCAGCTACTTGGGAGGCTGAGGCAGAAGGATTGCTTGAGGCCAGGAGTTTGAGACCAGCCTGGGCAATATAGTGAGGCCGTATCTTTGGGGCGGGGCGGGTGGGGCGGGGAACACTACAAAATTTTTAGAAAGGGAAAAAATGAGTTCCTAAAACTTGAAAACACTCTGAAAGAAATAAGTTAGCCCAAGATCAAGGAACCAGAAGAAAAAAAAAGAAAGAAATGAATTAGACTACATACTAAGTTAGTAACATAACCACACACACACAGAATTACATCAAGATCAAGGAATTTTATAATAGTACACTTTGATTCCTCTTTTTCAGTGGCACTCTAAAGGCAAAAAGGAATTTCAAATTCTATGCAATAGTCTTATTGGTTTCTGGGGTTTTGTTTTGTTGGTTTTGTTTGTTTTGTTTTGGAGACAGGTTCTTGCTCTATGGTATGATCATGGCCCACTGCAGCCTCAAACCCCTGGGCTCCCATGATCCTGCCTCAGCCTCCCGAGTAGCTGGGACTACATGTTCACACCACCACATGTCGCTAATTAAATTTTTCCTTTTTTTTTTTGTAGAGACAGGGGGGTCTCACTATGTTGCCCAGGCTGATCTTGAACTCCTGGGCTCAAGAGATCCTTCTGCCTTGGCCTCCCAAAGTGCTGGGATTATACGAATGAGCTGCTGCACCTGGCCTTATTGTTGGTAATAATACTGATAATACTATTTCAAAATTATTTGATATATACTGTAGGATTATGTTAATCCTATAAGGAACTAAGATTTTAAGGTAAAATAAAAGAAATACAAGAATAAATAAAGTAAGCTAAAACCTCACAATATAACATTTGAAAAGTTATAGAAATAACAGAAATATCAGTGTGAACTCCTGATTTTTTGCTAAAATATATATTCCTGAGACTTCTGATTCTGATCACAAGGGAGTAACATCCATCGTTGCACTGTAAATACTAGGAAACTGGACAAATAGAATAGCTGGGTGGGCCCAGCAGGCCCCAGCTGGCGCCCAGGGCCCCAGTGCCCATACGGTGTACACATTGGCCATCTTGTTTGGAGAGAAAGCAATTGTTTTCAGATACTGGACTACAGACAGCTCAGGACTGATATCCCTGAGAGAGGGAAACAGATGGGGTGAGCCTCTAAGTGTGCCCCAGCTTTCTGCCCAGGGGCAATTTTTGAGCTATGGGAGAGACAGACAGAGGGAGAGAGAGGGAGAGAGAGGGAGAGAAAGGGGCGGAGGGGAGGGAGAGAGAGAGAGAGAGAGAGAGAGAGAGGAATACAGAACCCAGTTGTCTTACTGAGTTGAGGTGACCAAGATCAGAACTCAGGAAAGCTGAGGCGGCTAGAATTTGTGAGATAGAATACCAGCAGACAGGAGAGAACTATATAGAGAAAGAGTTCTAGAAATTCTTTTAGGGTCTTTGATTGACTCCCCATCTGCTCATGCATAGGGTGAAACTCCATGAAGCTGGAGGAAGACCAATGACCAGGGCTGGAAGTCAAACAGCAGCTGATGTAGGAATTGCTCATGTTTCCCCCCACCAGCATGGAGGGACCCCATCAGGCATTAAGCAGAGCCCAGAAGGGTCATGTCTTAGTGATGAGGCTAAATTAGCCTTAGAGTAAAGACTACCTAAAGGCCTGGCCTAAAAAGCCTTAAACATAGCCTCAAAATAAAGTTCAGAAAGAAAAAAAAATGGAAAAAAATTACTTGTGGGACAATATCAAAAAATCAAATATACATGTAATTGGAGTCCCAGAAAATTTTTTTAATTGAAAAACAGTCTGAGAAATTTTCAAATATAAATTGGTGGATTAAAACTATAAATCTACCAATTTCAGAAGGTGAATGACTCCTAAGCAGAATAAACACAAAGAAAACCACCTTAGGATACAACATAACCAAATTGCTGAAAATCAGCAAAAAAGGAAAAAAATCTTAAAAGCAGCCAGAAAAACAAAACACTATGTGGAGAGGAACGAAAATAAGATATCGTAGACGTCTTGTTAGAAATGATGCAAATAGAAAACATTGAAATGAAATATTTAAAGTGCTGAAAGAAAAAAAAACCCACCCTGTGAACCCATAAATCTAAATCAGATAAAATGACTTTTAAAAAATGAACAGAAAAACAAGCACCTTTTCAGACAAAGACAAGCTGAAAGAATGTATTGCCATCAGACCTGTATTATAAGAAATGTTAAAGAAAAGTTCTTAGTCTCTTTGTAGGTCACTCAGGACTTGCTTTATGAATCTGGGTGCTCCTGTATTGGGTGCATATATGTTTAGGATAGTTAGCTCTTCTTGTTGAATTGACCCCTTTACCATTATGTAATGGCCTTCTTTGTCTCTTTTGATCTTTGTTGGTTTAAAGTCTGTTTTATCAGAGACTAGGCTTAGACTCCCACACAATAATAATGGGAGACTTTAACACCCCATTGTCAACATTAGATCAACGAGACAGAAAGTTAACAAGGATACCCAGGAATTGAACTCAGCTCTGCACCAAGCGGACCTAATAGACATCTACAGAACTCTCCACCCCAAATCAACAGAATATACATTTTTTTCAGCACCACACCACACCTATTCCAAAACTGACCACGTAGTTGGAAGTAAAGCTCTCCTCAGCAAATGTAAAAGATCAGAAATTATAGAAACTGTCTCTCAGACCACAGTGCAATCAAACTAGAACTCAGAATTAAGAAACTCACTCAAAACTGCTCAACTACATGGAAACTGAACAACCTGCTCCTGAATGACTACTGGGTACATAACGAAACAAAGGCAGAAATAAAGATGTTCTTTGAAACCAACGAGAACAAAGACACAACATACCAGAATCTCTGGGACACATTCAAAGCAGTGTGTAGAGGGAAATTTATAGCACTAAATGCCCACAAGAGAAAGCAGGAAAGATCCAGAATTGACACCCTAACATCACAATTAAAAGAACTAGAAAAGCAAGAGCAAACACATTCAAAAGCTAGCAGAAGGCAAGAAATAACTAAAATCAAAGCAGAACTGAATGAAATAGAGACACAAAAAACCCTTCAAAAAATTAATGAATCCAGGAGCTGGTTTTTTGAAAGGATCAACAAAATTGATAGACCGCTAGCAAGACTAATAAAGAAGAAAAGAGAGAAGAATCAAATAGACACAATAAAAAATGATAAAGGGGATATCACCACCAATCCCACAGAAATACAAACTACCATCAGAGAATACTACAAACACCTCTACTCAAATAAACTAGAAAATCTACAAGAAATGGATACTTTCCTTGACACATACACCCTCCCAAGACTAAACCAGGAAGAAGTTGACTCTCTGAATAGACCAATAACAGGCTCTGAAATTGTGGCAATAATCAATAGCTTACCAACCAAAAAGAGTCCAGGACCAGATGGATTCACAGCCGAATTCTATCAGAGGTACAAGGAGGAGCTGATACCATTCCTTCTGAAACTATTCCAATCAACAGAAAAAGAGGGAATCCTCCCTAACTCATTTTATGAGGCCAGCATCATCCTGATACCAAAGCCTGGCAGAGACACAACCAAAAAAGAGAATTTTAGACCAATATCCTTGATGAACATTGATGCAAAAATCCTCAATAAAATACTGGCAAACCAAATCCAGCAGCACATCAAAAAGCTTATCCACCATGATCAAGTGGGCTTCATCCCTGGAATGCAAGGCTGGTTCAATATATGCAAATCAATAAATGTAATCCAGCATATAAACAGAACCAAAGACAAAAACCACATGATTATCTCAATAGATGCAGAAAAGGCCTTTGACAAAATTCAACAACCCTTCATGATAAAAACTCTCAATAAATTAGGTATTGATGGGATGTATCTCAAAATAATAAGAGCTATCTATGACAAACCCACAGCCAATATCATGCTGAATGGGCAAAAACTGGAAGCATTCCCTTTGAAAACTGGCACAAGACAGGGATGCCCTCTCTCACCACTCCTATTCAACATTGTGTTGGAAGTTCTGGCCAGGGCAATTAGGCAGGAGAAGGAAATAAAGGGTATTCAATTAGGGAAAGAGGAAGTCAAATTGTCCCTGTTTGCAGATGACATGATTGTATATCTAGAAAACCCCATTGTCTCAGCCCAAAATCTCCTTAAGCTGATAAGCAACTTCAGCAAAGTCTCAGGATACAAAATCAATGTACAAAAATCACAAGCATTCTTATACCCCAATAACAGACAAACAGAGAGTCAAATCATGCGTGAACTCCCATTCACAATTGCTTCAAAGAGAATAAAATACCTAGGAATTCAACTTACAAGGGACGTGAAGGACCTCTTCAAGGAGAAGTACAAACCACTGCTCAAGGAAATAAAAGAGGATACAAACAAATGGAAGAACATTCCATGCTCATGGGTAGGAAGAATCAATATCATGAAAATGGCCATACTGCCCAAGGTAATTTACAGATTCAATGCCATCCCATCAAGCTACCAATGACTTTCTTCACAGAATTGGAAAAAACTACTTTAAAGTTCATATGGAACCAAAAAAGAGCCTGCATCGCCAAGTCAATCCTAAGCCAAAAGAACAAAGCTGGAGGCATCACACTACCTGACTTCAAACTACACTACAAGGCTACAGTAACCAAAACAGCATGGTACTGGTACCAAAACAGAGATATAGATCAATGGAACAGAACAGAGCCCTCAGAAATAACACCGCATATCTACAACTATCTGATCTTTGACAAACCTGAGAAAAACAAGCAATGGGGAAAGGATTCCCTATTTAATAAATGGTGCTGGGAAAACTGGCTAGCCATATGTAGAAAGCTGAAACTGGATCCCTTCCTTACACCTTATACAAAAATTAATTCAAGATGGATTAAAGACTTAAACGTTAGACCTAAAACCATAAAAACCCTAGAAGAAAACCTAGGCATTACCATTCAGGACATAGGCATGGGCAAGGACTTCATGTCTAAAACACCAAAAGCAATGGCAACAAAAGCCAAAATTGACAAATGGGATCTAATTAAAGAGCTTCTGCACAGCAAAAGAAACTACCATCAGAGTGAACAGGCAACCTACAAAATGGGAGAAAATTTTCGCAACCTACTCATCTGACAAAGGGCTAATATCCAGAATCTACAATGAACTCAAACAAATTTACAAGAAAAAAACAAACAACCCCATCAAAAAGTGGGCGAAGGACATGAACAGACACTTCTCAAAAGAAGACATCTATGCAGCCAAAAAACACATGAAAAAATGCTCACCATCACTGGCCATCAGAGAAATGCAAATCAAAACCACAATGAGATACCATCTCACACCAGTTAGAATGGCAATCATTAAAAAGTCAGGAAACAGCAGGTGCTGGAGAGGACGTGGAGAAATAGGAACACTTTTACACTGTTGGTGGGACTGTAAACTAGTTCAACCCTTGTGGAAGTCAGTGTGCCGATTCCTCAGGGATCTAGAACTAGAAATACCATTTGACCCAGCCATCCCATTACTGGGTATATACCCAAAGGACTATAAATCATACTGCTATAAAGACACATGCACACGTATGTTTATTGCGGCACTATTCACAATAGCAAAGACTTGGAACCAACCCAAATGTCCAACAATGATAGACTGGATTAAGAAAATGTGGCACATATACACCATGGAATACTATGCAGCCATAAAAAATGATGAGTTCATGTCCTTTGTAGGGACATGGGTGAAATGGGAAATCATCATTCTCAGTAAACTATCGCAAGAACAAAAAAACCAAACACCACATACTCTCACTCATAGGTGGGAACTGAACAATGGGAACACATGGACACAGGAAGGGGAACATCACACTCTGGGGACTGTTGTGGGGTGGGGTGAGGGGGGAGGGATAGCTTTAGGAGATAGACCTAATGCTAAATGACGAGTTAATGGGTGCAGCACACCAGCATGGCACATGTATACATATGTAACTAACCTGCACATTGTGCACATGTACCCTAAAACTTAAAGTATAATAATAATAAAATAAAATAAATAAAAATAAATTTAAAAAAGTAATTGGCAATAATAAGTTTTGGTCTGTACATTTCATACATAAATGTGGGATGTTGAATATAAAAGAACAAACAGAATAGTTGTAATAAAATACTAATACAAATCTTTAAAAAAAAAGAAAAGTTCTTAAGGCTGAAAAGATGATATCAGATAAAAACTTGGATCTACATAAAGGAAGACAGAGTATCAGAAATGGCAAAAATGTGGGTAAATATGAAACATATTATTTCCTTCTTTAAAATTTTCTCTGAAAGATACTCAGCTGGACTGGGTGCAGTGGCTCACGCCTGTAATCTTAGTACTTTGGGAAGCCGAGGTGGGCAAATTGCTTGAGCCCAGGAATTTGAGATGAGCCTGGGCAACATAGCAAGACTCTTGTCTCTACAAAAAATACAAAAATTCAGCTGTTGTCATCCATTTTACTTCTATAGAGGTTATAAACCCCACAAACATTGTTATTACTCTTGATTTCAACAGTTGAGTATCTTTCCTTCTTTCTTTTTGTTTTTTTAAGACAGGGTCTAACTCTGTCACCCAGGCCAGAGTGTAGTGTTGCAATCATGGCTCACTGCAGCCTCACATGCCTGTAGTCCCAGCTACTTGGGAGGCTGAGGTGGGAGGATTGCTTGAGCCCAGGAGGTTGAGGCTGCAGTGAGCCATGATTGCACCACTGCACTCCAGTCTGGGTGACAAAGTGAGACCCTGTCTTAAAAAAAAAAAAGAAAAAAGAAAGAAAGATACTCAACTGTTGAAAGCAAGAGTAATAACAATGTTTGTGGGGTTTATAACCTCTATAGAAGTAAAATGGATGACGACAGCTGAAAGGATGGGAGGGGAAGTGGAAGTATACTGTTGTATGGTTCCACATTTCATGGGAACTGGTATCTTGGAGAGTACACTGTGATAAGTTAAAGATGCATATTGTAAAATCAGAGCAAACACTGATATAGTAACAAAGGATAGCTAATAAGCCACTGAAGATCAAATGGAAGACCAAAAGAAAACAAGATAAAAAAGACAAAAAAGTCAGGAAAGAGGAGAAAAGGAACAAAGAATAGATGGGACAAATAAAAAAATAGCCAAATGGTGGCTATTTATACAAATTTCATCAGATTGGATAAAAGGGCAAGACTCAACTATGTGCTGTCTACAAGAAACTCACTTTAAATATAAAGACACAGCTAGGTTAAAATTAAAAGAACACAAAAATACATAATGCAAACATTAATTATCAGAAACCTGGAGTGGCTATATTAATTTGAGGCAAAATACTTTTGGAACAAGAATTATTACCAGGGATAAGGAGGAACATTTCTTAATGATCAAGGGTTAATTTATCAAGAAAACATAATAATCTAAACACGTATATGCCTAATAACAGAGCTCCAAAATACATAAAGCAAAACCTAATAGAACCGGAAGGAAAAATAGATGTCTACCATAATAATTGGAGATTTCCACATTCCCTTTCTTAGTATTTGATAGAGCAAGAAGACAGAAAATCAATAGAGATACAGAAGACAACATTAAAATACTACCAACCAACTTGATTTAATTAACATTTATAGAACCTTCTAGCCAACAACTGCAGAGTACACATTCTTTCAAATATGCATGGAACATTCACCAAAATTGATCATTATTCTATCACACCTACTCTGTACAAACAGAGTGTCTCAGGTACCAAAGAGCCCCAGGTAATGAGGGAAAGTTCTTTCTTTGGAGAATTCCAGCCAATGAATTAGAAATTCAACATTTTGCTACACCTAATAAAATAATTAATTTCAGGCAAACATCATCAAGGGATGCTAAAACCATCAGGAGAAAGGTTGATGGGGAATTTCACAGTGGAAGAAGAGAAGGTGGTCATGAAGAAGCCCAACATAACTGAAAGTAGTACCACCTGCCATCATGTGCCTCTTGAGGCGGTGCATTATGAAGGACATGGTATCACCTATGGGGTGACATAATGATTTAAAAGCACTTATATGGTGCTGCCATGGGTTGAATTGTCTCCCCCTCCACAACCCGCCGCAAAGAGATATGCCAAAGCCCTCATAGCTGGTACCTCCAAGTGTGACCTTATGTGGAAATAGGGTCTTTATGGAGGTAATGAAGTTAAAACAAAGTCATTAGGGTGGGCTTGGATCCAATATTCCTGGTGTCCTTATAGAAATGGGAAATTTGGACACAGACAGACACAGAAGGACGACGACGTGAAGACACTGTGAGAACGCCAGCTGAGGATGAAGGCAGAGGCCTGGGTGATGCGTCTACAAGCCAAGGAACACAAAAATGGCCAGCCAACCCCAGAAGCCACCCTTTTCCAGCAGCCTTGGCAAATGAATACAAGTGCCCACCAAGAGTCAGACACTGGTCTAAGAGTTACCCTCATACCAGCCCTTCCAGGTGACCTCTGCGGCTGTCACCATCCTCCCCAAGGCCACACTGCATTTGAGCTCTGGCAGGTCCAGCCCAAGTGTGTGTGTTCACCCACTTCTCTACACCACCTCTGAGTTTAAACCCTGCTCAGAGGCCTTTGTACGTCTATCCAGGCAGCTCTGAGGTCTTCCCGGGGCTTCATTTTATTTTGCCGTGAGCCAGAAGTTCTTGGCCTGGGCTGCCCACAGCCTCACCTGAGGCTATTTTCAAACTCACTCTGATTTGGGGATGCCCTCCAAGAGGTTCTGCCTCAAGGGTCTGGGCTGCAGCCTGGGTCTCCCCCAAGGATTCTGGCGCTGCCCTGCTGGTATCCCCCAAGGATACTGGCCCCACTTGCTTTTCTCTTTCAGGCTTCAGGAAACTTCTCCACTAGAAATGAGGATAGGCACCTGCTCTGGCTCCTCTGGGGATCCAGATCGCATAGTCTTGGAAGGTTGGAGACCATTTGTCCCACCCTCGGGCACAGATGGAAGGTGTGGCCCAGGTGACATCTCCAGAATCACAGGCAAGCCAACAAGTCAGTCTCTGAGGACTCCCTTGGGATGCAGGGAGCCCTTGAATGCCTTAAAGGCTGTTGGGTTCAGCTGGGACAGAGAGGTGTCCCCAGGCCACCACACCCCAGTATGGTGCATGCAGGGACAGAGCCAGTTAGGGGTGTGCCTTAGATCAGGAGGCATCATCAATGCTCCAGAAAAGCCCCCGCTGGCTCTAGAGGCACTCTGAGCTCCTGCTCTGCCCAAACTGTGTCTGACTTGGCTCAACCCCCACCCTGTGGCAGCCCTCACCACCCCCCATCACCCTGTTCCTCACCTAGACTTGAGTGCTCAAGATGTCACAGCCCTAAGCCACTCACCTGCACATAACCCTTCCACTGCCAGAGGACCCCGGCCCCCACAGCTCTTGCTTCCCTTTAGGGGAGACCCTGTCCCAAAGAGAAAGCCATGGAAGGCAGTGGCTGGACAGGAGTCCTACCCAAGGCCTTATCACCACTTCTGGGGCATGTCCCTTGAGCCTCCATTTCCTTGCCTGTCAAATGGGTAAGTAGCCGTTGCCCTGCCTTGCTTGCTGTGTATGCATTAGAGGGTTGCCGTTGAGGATGAGGACACTCTGGATGGAGGGCGGGAAGGTTCCGTGTGAGTTGGAGTGGAGGTGCATGGGGATACCCAGCATCTGACCCCATGCCCACTGCCTCTTCCCCAAACCTTCAGGATCTTTTCCAGCTGCTTCTGCGTGTCGACCATGATGACATTGGCGCAGCAGTCATAAGCGATGTACTGGCAGGCCTCTGGGGAGCTGGTGGTGTAGATGCCAGTGACGATGCCACTGTAGGAGACCCAGGAAGATTCACCTTAGGGGAGGTGCAGAGGGGCCACCCCCTTCCCCCACCCCCACATCTGTAGCCCCCAGACCCAGAGAGCTCCCATAGCCTGGCAGGAGGGGCTCCCAAGGCACCTGAGCACCTCCTCCCCTGCAGAGAGGGCGCCAGATGCAGGTCCACCAGAAGGCCCCAGGGAGGAGGCAGGATGGTGGGGAGTGGGTGGGGGCTGCTAAAAAGAGATAAGGACCCTCCCCTACCCTCTGCCCACTGCCAACCCCCTGGAGACCCCGTCCCTGCCCCCGCCACTCACCCTGCAAATACTGTGCCCACTGCCGAGAAGAACCACTCCGGGGAGTTGAAGCCGAGGATGGCCACACTGTGGGCCTGCTTCAGGCCGAGCTCCAGGTCAAAGGCAGACAGGCCAGGTCAGCCGGGCAGGGACTGGGACCCTCATGCCCCTCTCAGAGCCCCCACCCAGACTGCAGGGGACCTGCAGGCTCCACCCTCCCAGGGTCCCCTCAGTCAGAGAATCCCCTTGGAGGAGAAGGGGTTGGTCACTCAACAGCCCTCACTGCCCCTCCCAGGGCCTTCCCAGCGAGTCTGTCCGGCCCCTCAGCCCAGCACACTGGGCTTCCAGCCCACCCTGAATGTGATCACAAATGAAAAGTGAGTAACAAGTGCTTGGCACATGGTAGGGGCTCAGCAAATAAAAGCTCAGTACGGGGCCCAGCATGGAGTATCAGCCCCACGCACAATGACAGCTTTTACAGTTATTGTTCCTAAGAGCCTTGCCCAGTGGGCAGTTGGAGAGGAGGCCTGTGAGGCCCAGAGCTGGGAGGCACATCTGGGGAGGGGCAAGGCCTTGCCATGAGGGGCCCCCTTACCTTCAGGAAGCCCTTGGCGGCTCTGCGGGCGAGCAGGTAGTATTGGGAGTAGGAGATGTGTTCCCACTTGTCCTGGCGCTTGAAGCCCAAAGCGATGAGGTCCCCATACTTATCCAGGGCCTCGTAGAACATCCGATGCACAGTGTAGGGAAGCTGTGGGCAGCTGGGGTCTATGCGCAGGCGCACCCGCCCATCGGCCCGAGTCGTCCACAGCGCCTCCTCTGTGGGGTGGGGGAGACCACAGCTTGGATCATGCCAGCCTGGGGACACTTGTCCTGCCCTGGGCAGAGCTCGCAGCCCGTCTGGTGCTGACAATGCCTTGGGTCCTCGGCCTTGAGGCTGGCAGGCCAGGGTAGACTGGGGTAGACTGGGGTAGGCTGGGAGACCGCCTAGAGGAGGAGGTCTGACTCAGCCTTGAAGGAAGAGCAAAGTTTAGGGATGCAGCAAGGAAGAGGAGAGGAAATAACTGGAGGACAGACGGAAGTCCTAGACACTCTGTTCCTTCTTTTATCCCAATTGGAATTTGCCTCCCAAGGTTGGGCAGTGGAACTGTCAGATCTCCAGGTGCCTTCAGGGTATCTGTCTTTCCCTGCCCTCCTGTGAACAGGTTGGGGACAGATCCAGCTAGACAGAAGGTCAAAGCACCAAAGAGAACGACCCTCCCGAGGGTCTGGAGGAGACTGAAAACCATCAGCCCTGCTCTCCAGCCTGAAGTCTCCCAGTCTCAGAAAATAACAACAGTCTTTGCTCATTCTCCTCCTACAAATGAGGTGTCTCATTTAGTCTTCACAGCATGGGTTTGGAGAGCTCCACTGCACAGACGGGGCAGCTGCAGCTCAGAGAGGTTCAGTCATTTATCGAAGATCACACATCAAGGAAGTGCAGGGTCAGGATTTGAACTCAGGTGTACCTGATTCCACAGCTCACACTTAGGACATTGTCTGGGGTGCCACCCTGCCTTTAAGAGTCAGAGGCTTACTCTGTGTATGGTGGGTGGGAACAGAGGTCTACCACTTAGTATGCAAGACTTGGACAAGCCACTGAACCACTGAGTCAATTTCAGGGGAAAGATGAGGACTCAGTTCTCAGGGTGGACATGAGGATCAAGAGAAAGGGTGTATATGAAGAAGCTTTGACCTATGGCTGGTGCTCCATAAATGCACATTTTCCTTCTTCCTCTTTTTTCCAAATTTGCAAAGGAAGCTTGGATGGGTGGTCTGGACCCTTTGGTCCCGTGAGACGTCCTTTCCTTGGGGCAAGGGTGGTGGTTCCATGATGATGGTGGGAAGGGATGAGGGCTGGCCAGGACAGGTGGGGCTGCCCTGCCACCTGCTGGCCAGACCCACCTCGCCTATTCTCCTGTCACCGGTCCTTCCCTGAGGCAGACAAATGAACTAGATGAGCTTGTTCCTCCTCTTTGACACTCTTAGGTTGCATGCAGACTCAGGTTGGCAGAAAGAGGTAAAGATCTGGGGGCTGGGACAGGAGAGCCCATTCCTCCTCCTGTGGAGGGCCGGAAGTAGGGATGACAAGGACATATCCAGACCCAAACGGGATACATGGCAGCCTGCAGGAAATGCAGGCGGGACAGGGGAGGGTGCCAGAGAGGTGCTTGGCACCTCTGTATGGCAGAGGTTAAGACCTTCTGGGATGGATGCCCATGCCACTGGCCATGAGGGAGCCCTGAGCCTTCAGGTAGTGGCGTGAGTCAAGGGCCACTAGGCCCCGTCCAATCACTCCTCAGACCTCTCCAAGCCTTGCCCCATATCCCGGGATGCTAGCCTGGTGGACCCCGCTGATCTGCCTCTTCAGAGCCTCTAACTGTTGCATTTTGCTAAAGTCCATGCCCAGACCAGAAAGTCAGGTACACCTGGGTTCAAAAACCTCAATTCTGCCTCTGTGTGCTGTTTGACCTAACAAACCATTCTCTCAGCTGCATCTTCATCACCTGCAAATGTGAGGGGTTGATGAGGACATGGGGACACAGAAGCCCTCATACAGTGCTGGTGGGAATGAGATGGGACAGCCATGTGGGAAAACAGGTTAGCAGTTTCTTAAAGAGTTAAACATAAAACTACAGTACGACCCAACAACTCCACTCTTAGGTATCTACCCAAGAGAAATAAAAACACATGTCCCCACGAAGACTTACACACAGATGTTCTTCACAGCATTGTTTATGAGTCAAAAAATTGAAACAACCCAAATGTCCACTGACTGGTAAATGAAAAACAAAATGTGGTCAGAGAGTAGAATGCTATTCAGCTCTGAAAAGGAACAAAGTGGCCTGGTGCAGTGGCTCGCACCTGTAAACATGTGAGGAGACTGAGGCGGGGTATCACTTGAGCCCAGGAGTTCAAGACCAGCCTGGGCAACATAGTGAGACCCTATCTCTAAAAAAAAAAAAAATTAGCAGGGCATGGTGTTGTGTGCCTGTATTCCCAGCTACTTGGGAGGCTGAGGTGGGAGGATTGTTTGAGTATGGGAGGTCAAGGCTGCAGTGAGCCATGATTGCACCACTGCACTCCAGCCTGGACAACGGAGTGAGACCCAGCCTCAGAAAAAAAATTAAATCAAATTAAATAATAAATTAAAAAAATATAAAAAGGAATAAAGTATTGATAGAGGCTACAACATGGATGAAACTCAAAAACATGTTCAGTGAAAGAAGCCAGGTGCGAAAAAGGAAAGGCAGAAAAGATAGAAAGCAGATTCGTGTTTGCCCCGGGCTGGAGGTGGGAGTGGGGAGTGACCGTGGAATAGGCACAAGAGATCTTTTTGGGGTGAAGGAAATGTCCCAACATTGGATTGTGGGGATGTTTTGCAACTCTGTAAATTTGCTAAAAATAATCAAATTGTGCACTTAAAATGGGTAAATTTCATGGCATATAAATTATAGCTCAATAAAGCTACTTAAGAAAAACAGAGAGAGGGCCCGCATGGTGGCTTACGCCTGTAATCCTAGCACTTTGGGAGGCCAAAGTGGGCGGATCACTTGAGGCCGGGAGTTAAAGACCAGCCTGAGCAACATGGTGAAACCCTGTCTCTACTAAAAATACAAAAATTTGCTGGTGGTGGTGGTGCACATCTGTAATCCCAACTACTTGGGAAGCTGAGGCATGAGAATTGCTTGAACCCGGGAGGTGGAGGTTGCAGTGAGCTGAGATCGCACCACTGCCCTCCAGCCTGGGCGATAGAGCAAGACTCTGTCTTTAAAAAAAAAAAAAAAAAAAAAAAATAGAATGTTGACCCCCCACAAAGTGGTGCAAGAATCTTGTGCAATGGCCCTCAGAGCATGCCCAGGGCCTGGCATCCAGTTGCCTCTCAGTGGTTATTAGTTCTCTTCCCTCCCCTGGCACAGATTCCTCCTACGCCTGGACTACAGAAAAGGTGACTTTCTCCCGTGGGCACATCTAGAAGCTCACGCTCCTCTGTATTCACCTGTTCACCCAGGTTGCCAAGAAGAGCAGAGGTGAGTCTTGGGATCTCCAAGCCAAACGTTTTAACTTGAGCATTTATAATCTCTTTTTTCTTTCCTTTTTTTTGACATGGAGTCTCACTCACTATATTGCCCAGGCTGGAGTGCAGTGGTGCGATCTGGGCTCCTTGCAACCTCCACCTCCTGGGTTCAAGCAATTCTTCTGTCTCAGCCTCCCGAGTAGCTGGGACTACAGGCATGCACCACCATGTCTGGCTAATTTTTTTTGTATTTTTTGGTGGAGACAGGGTTTCACTGTGTTGGCCAGGCTGGTCTCGAACTCCTGGCCTCAAGTGATTGACCTGCCTTGGCCTCCCAAAGTGCTGGGATTACAGGCGTGAGCCACCGTGCCCAGCCACTATAATCTCTTTTTTTGTTTTTGAGACAAAGTCTCACTCTGTCGCCCAGGCTGGAATGCAGTGGCACGATCTTGGCTCACTGCAACCTCTGCCTCCTGGGTTCAAGTGATTCTCCTGCCTCAGCCTCCCAAGTAGCTGGGATTACAGGTGCCCGCCACCATGCCTGGCTAATTTTTGCATTTTTTAGTAGAGATGGCGTTTCGCCATGTTGGCCAGGCTGGTCTTGAACTCCTGACCTCAGGTGATCTGCCTGCCTCGGCCTCCCAAAGTGCTGGGATTACAGGCATGAGCCACCGTGCCTGGCCTATAATCTCTTTTTAATGACAAAAATATGCATACTTGTTCCAAGAAATATGAAACAATTTAGCAGTCTATGACAGAAAAAGTGATAGGCCCTCTTTCTACAAATATTCATACAAGGACTTAGGTTTTATTTTGTTGTTGCAATTGCTTTTTATGAAAAATAAGGTGGCAGGGGAGAGAGATCATCTTATTAATGTATTAATCACAGGTAGCAAACCCAAAATGCTCATGGGACCAGGCGGGTAGTGTATCAGCATCATAGTAAATAATGTATAGTAATACATAATAAATGAATGAAGTGGCCCAGGATTTGCAAATGAAACCAGAGGCAGTCTTCTTTTCCAGGAAGAAATGAGCTCCCTCTCATTTTCCTTTAGACACATGGCCCTTGGAGTCCACCTTTTGTTTCTCTGCTTTTTATAGAGACATGGAACAGCGCAATATTTTTCTTTTCTTTTCTTTTCTTTCTTTCTTTTTCCTTCCTTCCTTCCTTCTTTTTTTGAGACAGGGTCTCATTCTGTCACCCAGGGCTCAAAAGATCCTCCAGTCTTAGCCTCCTGAGTAGCTGAGACCACAGATGCACAGCACTAAGCCCAGCTAATTTTTTTTGTATTTTTGGTAGAGACGTGGGGGTTAGCCATGTTGCCCAGGCTGGTATCGAACTCCTGAGTTCAAACGATCCTCCAGCCTTGGCCTCCCAAAGTGCTAGGATTACAGGCATGAGCCACTGTGCCTGGCCATATTTTTCTATTACGCAAAAAACTACAGGCCAAGTGCAGTGGCTCACGCTTGTAATCACAGCACTTTGGGAGGCCAAGGCAGGATTGCTTGAGGCCAAAAGTTGCAGACAGCTTGAACAATAGAGAGACCTTGTCTCTACAAAAAGTAGATCTTATCTCTACAAAAATTTATCCAGGTGTGTGAAGTATGTAAAGTAACGCATATGCTAATTAGATCAATTTAGCCATTCCACAAAGTAACGGGGACCACAGGTGCATGCCACCATTCCCAGCTTTTTTTTTTTTTTTTCTAGTAGAGACAAGGTCTTGCTATGTTGCCCAGGCTGGTCTTGAACTCCTGGTCTCAAGCAATCCTCCTACCTTGACCTCCCAAAGTGCTGGGATTACAGGTGTGAGCCACTGCGTCCAGCCAAATATATGTTTTAAATCATATGAATCAAATCAAACCTAGCCATTAGCCAAATCATCCATCTTTAACGTTGGTGATATTAACATGCCTGCCTCATTGTGTGCATGCTGTGTGGCTGCGTTGTACTCCACGGTTGGGCCCTCTCATAATTTACTCCGCCACTCTCCACTGAAGGACGCTCAAGTGGTATCCAGCCTCCAGCCCTCCTTCTCGGTTTAGATTATTAGAAGGAGGTTTACCGGATCAAGAGAAAAGAGTGTTTAAAATCTTGATGGACATTTTGGACAGAATTCTTCACCTAATTTCTCCTCTCCCATCAGCTACATGGTTCTGTCTTTTTCCTGTTTCCTCTTCCATGGAGCCTGTGCTTTTGTGTCAGGTCATCTCATATCCTTCCTGGAAGGAGGGAATGAGGCATGGGAAGGGAAGGAAGGTTCATAGGTCTGCAATGTCAGTCTCCTATTAGTCCAGCTGTTTCATGACAGGGACAAGAGCCCTAGCTCTGGAGGACCCCTTGTCACCCTTGGGAAGGGTGACAAGGCCTCCTGGCCAGCTGCATGACCCAGCCCTTTCTCTGCACAAGCTCAGCTGAGCCAGCAGGACCTGTCTGAGCCCCTAGACCAGCTGGAAGAGGAGATTCTGGTGGGAAGGAGGCTGCCCCTGCCCTCGCTGAGGCCCCGATCATCTCTTGCTTACTGCTTACTGAGCCCCTGCCATGCGCCATGCCATTCTTTGCCCATCACCACTGTCACCTCCCAACTAAAGAGTTGAGTGGCAGAGCTGGCATCCAAACCCCCACAGTTCCATACCCAAGTCTGCTGTTCCCACAGGGGTGCTGCCTCTCACGGTGAACTTCAAGGAAGACCCCGGCACCACATCTCCCATCTCCTCTGGGAAAGGACTATCATGCCTCCCGCCAAGTCCTGTGACAGGTTCAGGCTGGGTGACCTTGGGCAGCCATGACCTCCAGCCACCGGCCTTTTCCCACACTCCTGAGACTCCCAGAGTGACCTTGCTAAATCCAGGTCTGACCTGCTCAAAAGCCCCCGATGGCTCTCATTGACCACAGGGAGACGTCTATACCAGGGCTTCTAAGGCAGGCCCTCCCCAAGGGGCTCGCTTACCTTTCCCAGCCTCAACATACACCTTTCCTTACAGCCAACCTGAACTGCTCCCAGTTCCCTTTGGTTCCCCGTCTCTGTGCCTTTGCCTGTGCTGCGACTCTGCCTGCAATGCCCTTCCCTCCATCACATGCCCACACTTTACCGCTCTTCAAGGACCACGTGTTGCCTCCTCACTAAAGACTCCCATCCTGAGCCTAATGGAGGATGGGGTCATGGTCGGGGCTGCCTCTCCCACCACCCTGGAGCTCTGGAAGTCAGATTCCCTCCTCTCTGGGTCCTGGCTACCAGCAGCAACCCGGCCTCCAGCAGAGGCCAGGGGCCTCTTCTTTGGGGAAGAATGAGCTGAACTCTGCCCCACCCTAGTCCCAGGAGGGCTGGAGACCCAGTGACTGTGTGTCTAGAGGACTCAGGCCTTCATCTCTCCCCCACCTCACCCTTGCCCCCCAGGGAGGCCAATGAGGACACAGGACACATTGTGCTTAAGCACAGAGACAGGCTCACAGAGCGGGTATCTACCCAAGCAGGACACGCCAGCCTCCTTTCCCATCTTGCACCCCTGAGAGACTTAGGTAGGGCCTGCCCTGCTCATTGTCCTTCTGACCTGGGCCCACCACAGCTCAGTGGCCTCAGCCTTGGGTGCCAGCTGCCAAGCTCACTCCTGCCCTTCAGAGCTGAAAGAAGGGAAGACAGATGCATCTTCTAGCCTGGGGTGTGCAATCCTCCCCCTTCTTCTCATGTCCATGTGTTCCCACCCGTGGGCTCTGCTCACACCGTGTCCTCTGCCAATCTCCCTCTCTATAGAAGAAGAAGTCTCTGGACAATGAGTTAGAAGGGCTGGGCCTGGGTTTTAGCTACTGGCAAGGTACGCCAAATGCAAGGCAGAACGGTCAGAAGGGGTTGCCCACAGCTGTTGAGCCTTGGACATTGGCCCTGCGACCCCGACAACATGCATGAGACCGGAGCTGCAAGCCCTGGCCAGAGGCTCATGAAGTTGCTGTGCAGGAGCACTGCTCAGTGGGAGTGCTCCCTGTAGGTGGTGACAGAAAATTAGAGTCTCTCCTGCAGAGTTTGGAAGCCACTTGCAGAGATCAGGATGGCTGAGCTGAGACAATGGGGTGGTGGAAGTCACAGCATAGTGAGTGGAGTGCACAGAAGCAGGTGGCGGCAGTAGGGCAGGGAGAAACTGAATTGCAGCAATGCTGGTTGTCACCTGAGCAGGGAGCCAGGAAGGTCCATTCTTCCCATTCCCTGCTAGGCTTTTTCTTTTTACTTTTATGTTCTTTCCTATTATTATTATTATTATTACTATTTGAGACAGAGTCTTGCTCTGTCACCAGGCTGGAGTGCTGTGGCACTATCTCGGCTCACTGCAACCCCTGCCTCCTGGGTTCAAGCGATTCCCCCGCCTCAGCCTCCCGAGTAGCTGGGACTACAGGTGCGTGACACCACGCCCAGCTAATTTTTTGTATTTTAGTAGAGACGGGGTATCACTATGTTGGCCAGGCTGGTCTCGATCTCCTGACCTCATGATCTGCCCACCTCAGCCTCCCAAAGTGGTAGGATTACAGGCGTGAGCCACCACTCCCGGCCTCCTCCTAGCCTCTTTCTAAGCTTCTTTTCTTCCCTGCCTTTCCTCACAATAACCCACATCTCCTGAAGCCATCTGAACTCATCTCCTAACCTCCCTCTCTCCCTAGGTTTCTCCTAAAAGGAAAGAACTTGAAGCAGCAAAAATACAATCAGGCAAACAGACAATATCCACTGTCTGGAAGGTGCAGTGCAGTGCAGAACATGAACTGGTACAGCTTTGTTGGGGGCAACTGGCAATATATATCCAAAGGCTTGAAACAGAAACATCCTTGCACTTAGCAATCATACTTTCTGGAAGTTACTCAAGGGAAGCAATCAGAGACATGTACAGCGAGAATGTGGAGATGGATATCCATACAGCAACGTGTCTATTAGCAAAGCCATTGGAAACAACCCGAATGTCCAACAGGGGACTGGTCTCTTATTCAGTTCATTATGGTAGAGCCGTATCATGGATTCCCATGCAGCCATTAAAATAAAGTACAAAAAGAATATTTAATGACATATGGAAATGTTCACAGTATAACATCAAGTGAAAAGGGGAGCAAAAAAGGGCATACAGAAATGCATAGACCACACTGAAAAGATCTGTATCGAGAGACTTAGGAAATCAGGATGACTGCCAGTCCTTAAAGTAGTCCTCATCTCCCCTTTGTGCTCCACCAACAGGGCACAACCATCAGCTCTGTCCCATGCCCAAACTAAGATCAGTGCAACCATCAGCTCTGTCCCATGCCCAAACTAAGATCACTGCTGTAGTAACAGCCAAGAACGGGGCCAGGACACAATCAAGGTCTCTGTTGCCCAGCAAGGCACCCAGATCCCAACAGGAGCTGACTCCAAAAGGCAACCAACGACTAGATCTACAGCGCAGTGGAGAACCCAGAAAGCTCGCTGCCTGCTGCCAATGCAGCACCACCAGCACACTGCCCGCCCACCAAGTGCCAAGTCAGCTGAGAGCTGGGGGGTAGGCTTTCCCAGGCAAGGTTGGCACTCTCTGCCGCCTCCCTCTCCCTCTGCCGCTTCCTCCCTCTGCCACTTGTCTTGGCCTGACCCTGGCTTGTATCTTATCAATCCACCCTTTATGCTGGGGGCCACTGGGCAGGCAGGGAGCTGTGTTCTCTGGGGTTCTGGAATAAAGGCGTCTAAAGAGCAAAGGCAGTCACTCAATTAGCCGGGAAGGAAAACAACACAAGAGCAGAGAGCGGGAGGCTGGGGCTGTTTTCCGTGGTCTGTGGGAAAGGCTGCAGGAAAGTAGCTTCTTGTGCAGATGGAGGAATAACTGGTGTTGAGGAAGAGGTGGGTCTCAGGCCTAGGACAGATCTCTCTCCGAGAACGGTCCTGCAGGGCACTGACCCCAGAGGCCCTCCTCCAAAGGCCAGGCAGGAACCAGCCCCAGGAGGGCCCCTCTCTCCAACACGGGACCCTGTGCTGAGGGCCAGCCCAATGCAAGGCACTCTCAGGGATACAGAAGAGGAAGAGGCCACATTGGCCCCAGGACATGAAGAGAGATAAGGACAAGACCTAGCACAGAAGGGTCTGTCAGCTGTTCAGTAGTTCCTCTGTGTCTGAGGGGAGAGGGCCCCTGCAGCTGCCACTCCCGGCCTTCTCAATGGGGACTGAAGAGCTCTGAGTTCTGGCCACCACAGCAGAATGACCCTGGGCCTCAGTTTCCCCATCTGAATTACAATTGGGGTAGACAAGATGTTCTCTATACGCTTCTCCACAGTCATTGTTTTAGCTTTTTAAAATTGCCTCTAGGATTCCACTTGTCCAGGCCTGGACCACCGGGGTAAGGGACCTGAGATGGGCTTTACCTGCCCCTGTAAAGGTGAGCATGCTCAGGAGATGTGCAGGAGACCTCAGGCTGGGTCTCCATCCACTGGAGAGAAGCCGGGTCTGAGCAAGAACCCGGGCATCCCAGCCAGAAGCCCTGGGCTGGCCTGCCCCAGACCTGCCCCACATGGCAGGGTCCTAGGAGGGGACACCCAGGCAGTGTCTGAGGCTGTCCAGGCAGGGGCTGGGTGGGTGCCTTGACCCCTGCGGAAAATGTTTCTCTGAGGACCCCCAGAGGTTCCACTCATTTTGGCTGGCAGGGCCGGGATTACCTGTTTCCATATCATGGAGAAGGAATCACTGGCACTCATTTCCTCTGACCCTTGGAAAGCCTTTCCTGCCGGCCCCCATCGGAGGCTGCGGGGACAGGCAGGTCCTCTTGCCTTCCACTGTCCCAACGGCCTCCTCCTGCTACCCGGCCTCAAACTGTGAGCTTCTTGAGGACAAGCATTGTATCAGGCCTCTTTCTGGCTCCCTAGCGCATAGCTCCAGCCTGAAACACCACCCCTTGCAACATTTGGGAAGGGTGGGAGTGACGAACCGAGGGAGGCCCAGCAAATCCCTTGACCCACAAAGGGCTTCACTGGACTGGAGACAAGTGGGGCTGAGCACCTAGCTTCCCAATTGCAAAAGCTCCTTAGTGGGTGTGGGAGTTTCCTAGGGAGAAAGCGGGTGGGGAGCCAGCCCTGGCCAGCACCTCCAGCAGTTTCATCCCCAGCAGCTGCTCACCCCGGGTGCCCTCCCCTCTCTGTGGTCTCGATGCTGCCCTTCTCCTGCTGGGCTTCAAGCTCTATCTAGAAAGGCCTAGAAAGTAAAAAGTAATGTGTCTCCAGGGCCCAGTACAAGGCTGCCTTTGTGTGAAGGTCAGATTCCAGTGTCTCGGTGGCCTGACTTCGCACAGCTGCTTCCTGGGAGTACAGCCATCTGGAGAGCTCAGAGCTCAGCCTGGGGACCAGAGCTCAGGACCTCAAACTTTTTGGGACCTCAAAGAGATCTGGGAGCCTCCGAGGGCTCCAGAGTGAACCCTGATTCCTGTGTACAAGACTCAAAGAGCTCCCCAGAGGGGCTGCCAGTGTCTGCAGTTAGATGAAAGGGAGGCAGGGGCTGGCCAGACTTGTGGGGGCCAGACCTGGAAGACCAGACTGCATGATGCTATCTAGGTCCCAAAGAGGCAGTGTGGCCAGTTAAGAGTTCCACCTCTTACCAGCTGTGTGACTCTGAGAAAATCACTAACCCTCTCTGAGCTCCATTTCCTCTACCAAATAGGAGTGATAGATTTGTTTTCCCTGCTACTGATATGAAGATAAAAGGAAAGAATACAAGAAAGTCCCTTAGCACAGGGCTTGATTCTTCTTATTCAGGGCACAACTGTGTGAGGAAGGAGGACTTTCAGCTCTCCTAATCCCACGAATCCCTCCTCCCCAGCAGTCTTTGATAGGGATAGTTGGCTTTTCCCAATCTTATCAAAAATGCTTTGTGAAAGGGCAGCTTCAAGACCCCTCCCAATCTGTGCCAGCCCCAATCCCCCTTCTTGTACAGAGACTAGAGCCCAGGGCTCCCAAGCTTCTAGGGAGTCAATGAGAAAGAGTCCAAGCTCCGCTCCAGGCCTGGCACGCGGTGGACACGCCATCCATGAGAATCTGGAACTCACCCACGCTGTAGCGCAGAGGCTCCCCCTCCACCCCCAAGGACACCAGGGCTGCAGGACAGGGTGCTGGGCAGAGCATGGCCCCCGAGCCAGGTCTGTGGGAGCCCATGATGCCTGCTTAGCACTGCCCTGGGAAGCACCTGGGGTCCCTCGGTGGCCTCCGCTCTGGGCGCCTGCTGACAACCATGGTGCCTCCTTAGCCCCTCCCAAACCTCCCCTTTCTCTTTGTCACCAGCCCTGGAAGCTGAACTCCCAAGGGCAGAGCACTCAGTCCAGACCTCTAGGCCTAGAGGGAGCTTGAGGTTCTGAGGACAGCCACAGGTCCTTCTAATGCAAGAGGCCCACCTTGCCCCCACAGCTCCCAGAGGGAGCCCTCCTTCCTCAGCCTGTCCCTGCCCTTTACAGAGGACCTGTCTGCCCTCAGACTGGGGGTTCTTTGAGGGCAGGAAAGAAGATTGTCCGTCTCAGTCTCCTTCACAGCCCAGTGCACAGGGTGGAGGATCCTGGGGCACGCCCACCTTGGCCGTCCCTGCCAGTTTCCCAAAGTCCTGATACACTAGATCGTGATGGCCTTGTCACCTCCCTTACAGTTGCCCACCCAGGCCCTGCCTCGCCATTAAACTCAGGGCCTTCTCCCTGTCCCTCATCTGGCCCCTGGCTGCTCAGATGCCTCTACTCCAGCCCTGTCTGAAGGGACCCTCTCTGGGACTCCCTACCCTGCTTGTTTAAAACCTGCCCATGCTGCGTGTCTACTGCTGCACGGCTGCCAGACGACAGCCATTCAGATGAAGCCATTGAGGCCCGCAGGGCTGGGGATTATGTGTTTCTCCCTCGGGATGCCAGATGCTTTTCTGGGGCTCCAAGGGACACGGAGCCTCCCCCACAAATGGCTCCCTTCCTGCCCCTTGAATTGCAGGAATGCCTGTGCCATCACTCATACTCAGGACTTGCTGAGCTCCACGGTTTTGCTGTGGCCCAGGCCCCTGGTGCCAACACCTGCTCTTTGAGCACCCCAGAGAAGGGATTATAAAGTCTGGGGTGTCTGAGCCTAAGCCAGTTGGTGGGACCTGCCCTAGGTGGCTCAGCAAGTCAGCAAGATGCCTTGGAATCCTGGGAGGATGAACGTGGGAGGCTCCCGGGACCAAGCTGTCCCTGTTCCTGGCCTCTCTCCGGTGTCTTTCAAACCATTCTCAGAAACCAGTTGGTCCTCTTCTTGGCCCAGTCCCTTCTCCTTTATCTCTGAGGTGAGGGCAGGGGGCATGAGAGGAAACACCCACCCCCACAGCTCAGGCCAGATCCCTGCCAAAGCCACCCAAGACACTCGGCCTGGGAGAGCGGCAGCTGGTCTGGCAGCAGTGACCCTCTGTGCTGGGTATCTATTGTTTTCTTTTTGTTTTTAAATTTCTGTTGTTGCTACAATGTTGTTGTGCAGCCAATAAAAGTGCACAAAAGATGTATTATTATTATTATTATCATTTTGATGACTCTTCAGAGTCAGAGTAAATAACTCTGCCTTCCTTAAGGCACAATTATTTGATGGTGGAGATCAAGAAGATAACATGTAATGTTTCAAGCCTCCAAAACAAACCTTTCTAGCCTGCACCCGTCTGCCTGCCCCTTGCCCCAGTTAACCAGGCCAAAAATCCCAAGGCATTGCTTATCTGGGCTTTCTCCTGTCCCTCAGCAACCCTTTGCTGGAGCCCCAAGTTCCCAAGGCCTGGGCCCAGATGATGTCCTACCTGTCTCTCTATCTCTGGCCTCTCTTCTTCCCAGCTTTCTTGAAGAAGAAATCTCCCCATCCCTCATTCCTTTCCATCACGCCTGGCCCTGATGGCAGCCATGAAGGAAGGGGCTTGGTGGGGTCCCTGGGAGCGTGGAACCAGCAAGATCCCCAGCTGCTCCTTCCCGCAGTTCTGTGTGGTGGTCCCCCACACCACCCACCCCTCCAGCACACCCAGCACAGCACAGTTTCCCGCCCTGCCCCACCCTACCACCCCCAGCTGGCTTACCTGGAGCATCCCACTGGGCATTATTCACCTTCTCTGGCACTGAGAGCTCGAGAGCATGGTTCAGGGACTCTTTGGAGAGTGGCTGCCTGTCAGTCAGTGAGCTGGGGTGGTGAGGGGACCAGGAAAAACATTCATTAGAACGTGGGGGACCGGCCTGGGCTTAGGGACTCCGGCCTGGCACACATCTCAGCACCCCCAGGGGGACACTGGCACCTCTGTCTCCTGCAAATGCTGGGGCCATCCACAGAGGAGAACCCAGTGGGAGTCAGGGGACAAGACCTCAGTGGTTGTAGGGGCTGACCCTGCCCCCACCCAGCCTCCCTCCAGGCTCTAAGGGCTCAGGAGAAAGGGAATTCAAGGCCTTCTGTGCTCTACTTTGTGGTGTGACCCTGGGCAAGTTCATGCCTCTCTCGGGGTCTCAGCACCCCACCTGGATGAGGACGGGGCTAAGGTCCGCACTGGAGGATTCTGAATGCCACTCCTGGAGAGGGCAGACTTTTGGGGCGGGGGTTCCCCCATCTGTCACTCCCTGTACCCACCAGTCCCCAGCCATGCCCAGAAACTGAGTGGAGCTGCAGGTACTCATAGGGCTCTCAGGGGTCCTATTCCGGCCCCCCAGTGAGGGCCTCCCCTCTTCCATGTGCTTGTGGGTGCACCATGCACCCCATGTCTGTTCACTCCATGGAGAAGACAGACATAGACGGGTCCAGGGAGACCTGAGGCCCAGGGCCTGACCCAGATCCCCCTCGCCTCCCAGGCTCGGTGACCCTGGCTAAAGGGTCTCCCCTTCTGGCCAACCCAAGTTTCATGGGTTTCTGGGCTTTCATTATCCTTTCAGCCTGACTGCCCTTCAGCACCATTTTTCCTCAGAGTTCACCTGGCCAGACCTCAACCTCCTAGATGGCTGAGCAGCTGGATTTCAGTACACACTTTAGGACTGCAACAGGATTATAGAACTCCAGAGACACATTTCACAGTCAACAACTACGTAAACAGAATCCACTGGAGTTGTGCAGCATGCAACCTGTGCAGCTGGTCATGGTGTCCCTGAGGGTAGGACCCTGGCTCCAGGGAGCCCTGTCTGTCAGTTAGGGTGGGGCTAGCCCCATCCCTGCCCAGTTCCCAGGAAGCCGGGCCAATTACCTGCTTCTCACATTCAGCCTCACTCCTTGTCGGCACTGCAGGTTCCGAACAAAACTAAGTTTGTGAACACACCTAGGCCCACCTGGCAGCCATCTGCTTAAGAACCTGAGATAGGTTTTAAAGCGAAAGATATCAGAAGGTTATGAAGGGAGGGGGACGGGGAGAAGGGGGATGACTGGGGAACCAAGGTGGCGCCGTTCTTGCGAAATTTGTGAGCAAGGCCTGGGCCACAGGCCTGGAGCAGCCCTTCCATTGCTATGGCGACCCACTCCAGGGAGGTTGTGGAAAAACTGAAGAGATGGCAACGTGTGCTTCCGGGGCGAGGCCTCCTGTGCCGGGCAGACAGAGGCGTGTGAATGCTGCAGAACTCGTCCTACTGACTTTGGATCCTTGGTTACAGCTCTCTGGGATAGCCAGGTAGAAGCTGCCTCCACTTTGGGCCGCAATGTTACCAAATGGCCCCTGAGCTCTGGGTTCAGGCAGCGACGGCAAACGAGGGACACGTACACTGCTAGGCTCAGAGGCCTGCACTGTGATCATCTGGGGAAGACTGTGAACTTGGTTGATGTCCCTGCCCCATCTCAGCCTGTGTTCTCAGAGGACGGTGGACAGCACCCCAGGTTAGAGTTAGCAGCTCTAATCAGCCTCTGAGATCACCAGCTGGGCGGCCACCTCCACATTAGCCAGGCAGGAGGCTGTCCTTGGCTGTAATGTCCCACCATCTGAACTGCTTCCTCACAAACAAACCTGTTTTTAAATCCTCCTAATCAAAAGGTATGGGCAGCACTTCTCTCCCCACAGAAAATTAGTGTAAACTGGTTCTGGTTTTAAAATAGCTACACAAAGACTAAATGAAAAGACAGCCACCAAAGGAAGCCAAGGGTCAAGCGTACTTATCGTGATTAGAACCTTCTGTTTATAGGGACGATGAGGCTGTTGGCAGCACCTTCTTGCTGCGGGTGGGTGCCTTTTCCTGGAGGGGCAGCACCCAGTGCAGTGTCAAATTTCTTGTTGCTCAGACACTGATCTTGTCCAGCAACCATGGTCAATGAGAGGGTGGACCGTGGCCCTCTGCCAGCATCAGTTTAACAAGAACACCTTCCTTATCCCTGTGGCTGGCTCAAGGCACTGATTCAACTCTCTATGCCCTATGCTTACAGAATTTGGGGCGCATGATTAAAAGAATGTCAAAACCTAATTCTCCAAATGAATTAAGCCTGATCTTTTCCTCACTAGGGGCTTTGAGAGGTGGTCCCTTTGAAGAGATGTCATCCGAAATAGAATGTGCTAAACCTCCAGTAACTTCCTGCTCACACAGAGTTATAACCAGTAACAGGCTTTCCTGACCTGACTTGTCACACAGAAACAAGTGAAACTGCTCGGGCCATCTGCCTCTCCTCATTGTGAGTGCTGTCTCACACTCGTTGTTGTTCGTAATGGTCGTCTTTCAGTTTTTATTTTGTATGTATGTATTTATTTATATTTTGCAGACAGGGCCTTGCTCTGTTACCCAGGCTGGAGTGCAGGGGCACAATCACCACTCACTGCAACCTCAAACTCCTAGGCTCAAGCAATCCTCTCATCTCAGCTTCCTGAGTAGCTGGGACTACAGGACAGCACCACAAAACCTGGCTAATTTTTGTATTTTTTGTAGAGACAGGGTCTTGCTATGTTGCCAGGCCTGGTCTCCAACTCCTGGGCTCAAGCGATCCTCTAGCCTTGGCCTCCTAAAGTACTGGGATTATAGGCGCAAGTCACCATGCTCGGCCATTTTTTAGTTTTTAATCCTCTCCTCTGTGACTAGCAGTCACTTCTTGCTACTTTCAGTGTGCTGGCTTCTAGCAATTCATCTCACTCCTACATTGCCATTTCTTTTTGTAGCAGAATAGAAAACAAAACAGCCAAGCTCGTTAGAACTTAGGTTACATTGGGGGACAAGTTCCACAATGGAACCTATCATGTTTTCTTTGAAGAAAAGAAGCTAAGGTTTGGGAAGCTGCCCCTACTCTGTCTTAACTCCTCAAAAGCATTTTGGGCCCTTCTCCTGATTCTTGCTGCTATTCCAGGAAGGACAGGTGGCTGTAAATGATCCTACAGGTGAGTTGATATTACTGTCATTGTGATCATCATGAGCACGCCGAAGGCGATTAACATATTATTCCTGTCATTCTGGAAAATTATGCTCCTTCTGGAAGGCAATACTCCAGAGGTTGGCGGAAGTCACCTAACATGATTAATGACAATAATGGTGGAAGAACGGCCTGAGGAGGCTGACTGGCTTCTGTCTGCATTTTGAATTCCCAGGAGGAAGAAGAGCTTACAAGGTTGGCCCTTTTCACTCGTCTTTGAGGACGAGAACAAGGATTCATTCTCTGACCTCAGCTCACATAAGCACACTTTAAGCTCATCGCCTTGCTCTCCTTTCACAGAAAACAAAAACACTTTATCAGCAGCTACCCAGCAGCATGGGAACAAGAAAACAAAGGGCGTGTTTGAGCAAATATGATGTAAGATGTGTGGGGGGCAGAGGAGCCTGGGAGCGTCTGCACTGCGCCTTTCTCTTAACCATCTCTTGGTGGATTGGTGTCTCCTTACTCCTTCTACCTTGCCAGAGGAGCTGATGGGAACCATTTGCACACAGAGCCTCCCAAGCCTCCTTCAACTCCTCCTGCAGGAAGCCCTCCTAGATTTCCCCAACACCCTCTCACCCCTGTGGCCCTTGGATACTCAGGTTTGGGCTTTGATGGTCACACATGGCTTGACAGCTGGGGCCGCTTCTGATTCAGCTCTGTCCTCTGGCCATGAGTACTTACTGTTGGAGCTCAGTACATGTTGGTTGGACCTAAACCTTCTCAAGTTGTCACTATGTGTGTGACACATAAGTTGAGGAGGACCCTCATTTCCCATGTGAACGCTTCACGGATGAGGATCCGTTTCCCATTTATTTCTGTTACCCTTTCTTCTCACTCAGCCTTCAGCAGCCAGGCCACTGTTGTGTATGAAGTAGGTGCTCAATGAACGCTTTCTTGAAACAGGATAGCATCAAAGTTCACCAGTCTGTCTGCCTGCTTGGGCACAACTCACTTTACTAGCTATGTGGCCGAGTCACGGTTCCTCTCTGGCCCTCGGTTTTCTGCCCGTATCCTGTGGCTACTGCAAGGAGAAGGTGATATATAAGAAGTGCTTAGTACGTAGTCAGCTCTCATCATTATTACGCATGAGCTCTCATGGATCTTTGGGGGCTCAAGAAGAAAAGGATAACTTGGCAAGATTGAGAGGGTGACCAGCAGAATGAAAAAAACCCTAAACCCAAGTCTGGGGGTCCAGGTTGCGTGCCAACTACTTTCCCTGGGAGACTGGCTGCGGGGCAGGAGGCGGGGGAAGGTGGGCTCCTTGTTCCTTACGCAGTCCTCAGGATGGAGCTGGCAGACCTGAGCAGGAGCACCTCTGGCATGGTGCCTGGGGGGTGGCTGCAATCTGTGAGCTTGCCCAGGAGAGAGCCAGAACCTCAGAGAACATGTCACGGAGTCCCCCCGGGAGAGCCACAGCAGCCCCAGAGAGGCCCGGCTCCACCGGACCGCCCTGCAACAGAGATACAGCGTGAGTCACCGCTGGCAGCCTGGCTGGGCGAGGGGACAGCTGCCCTCTTTCCTGGCTATGACTCATCTGCTCCTGGGGTGGGACACCCTGCTGTAATTTATGGCCTCATAAGCCCAAACACCCTCAGAATCAATGGAGAATGCCTCGCAGGAGGTGGCTGCCTTGGGGCTGTGGTCTCCATTCCCCACAGCCAACTGATGAGCAAATAAAATCTCCAGGACTCCTGCTTTGCAGAGACTTCTGGCTACCATTCACCAGCCTCCCCATCACTTCTGGTAGTTCCCATCTCTCTCTGCTCAGCGGGCAAAGCAGAACTGACTCCCCAATGGCTGGAGAATGTTCTCCATGGAAGGTGTTGCCTAACTAGTTCCCCATATCCTAAAAACCCCAAACAGGGAGAGCAATGCCTCCTCCAAACCCCACAGTGCTAGTCACACAGGCCTGTGCACAGCCTGATGCTCCCAATAGCAACAATATAGTCTGCAATGGCGATTCACGCTAGCTTCCCCATCACCCTGCGTGGCGGACCCCACGCCCCCTGCTTCTCTTTAGTCTGCATGGACTGCCTCACTTCAAAGATTGGGCCTCTGGCAGCTCTCTCCTAATTGCCAATTCCCAGCCTGAAGACCCCCATAGAGGACTCACGGTAGAGGGTGTGCCTGGGGGTCTGGCTGCCCCAGGGTGCTCACCTTCCTCCTTCTTGCACCTGGCAGGCACAGGGCTCAGCAACCCCTCTGCTCCCTCAGCTAAGGCATGCTGAGTATGGGAGCCAGTCGCTGTGGATGCCCCAGGTTCCGGGTGATGAGGCAGTGGGGTTGGGCATGAGTGGGGACCCGCCCCAGCCTGCCCTAGGGCTGCTGTTGAGGTGTAGCCCCAGATACCTCTGACCTATATGGCACGGGACCCAGTTGCCCACCTGTGTGGCTCTTACATAAGAAGGGTGGGCGGCAGGAGAGGCAGTTTTTTGGCCGTCATCCTTGGCAGAGCCTTGGGAGACAGTTCCTGCCACTGGGTCCCCCAGGGCTGGGCGAGAAGCTCGTCTTTTTGTTTGGTTTGGTTCCTTACTAAGCACATGTACTATGCCGAGTGCCTTGTGTTGGCTTCTCCCATTCTCTCCACGGCCCTGCAATGTAGGTTTTATTAGTAGTCGCATTTTCCAAAAGAGGTGATAGAACGCTAGACTTGCTCAGTGTTGCCCAGGCAGCAAAAGACAGAGCCAGCATTGTGAACAGGGGTCTCCACGGCCTGCTCTGAAGCCAGGATGCTACGTACACAAGGTTTACCCAGTATGTGCATGTCATAAAACTTAGCCAACCATCCCAGCTCCCCCCATTCCCACAGGAGAGCCCCTGTTCCATGGTAACAAATATCCCTGCACCTTGCGCTGTGCCTTCTAATACCCCCTCCACCCTCTACCTCCTCCTTCACTACAGGGACTAGCCGGTCTGTGGCAGCAGCCAGCCCCCACCAGCATTTTCCTGCTTCCTGGAGTTTCCTGGGGGCTGTCCCTGGTGATCTGCCCACCTCTCAGCCCCCTCTCCCACTTAGGGAGCTCACACACTCCCTCATCTTTAATTATTACCTGCAAGCTACAACTCCCAAATTCCAAATTGCCTCTGGCGTGAGTGAGGTTTGGATGAGGTGAAAAAATGGAGGCAGCCCTAGCTAGTGTTAGGTGGAAATTTTAAGCCCTAATTATTATTATTATCTTTTGAGACAAAGTCTCACTCTGTTGCCCAGGCTGGAGTGCAGTGGCCCGATTTTGGCTTATTTCAAACTCCACCTCCCAGGTTTAAGTGATTCTCCTGCCTCAGCCTCCTGAGTAGCTGGGATTATAGGTGTGCACCACCGTACTTGGCTAATTTTTGTATTTTTAGTAGAGATGGGGTTTTGGCCATGGTGGCTAGGCTGGTCTTGAACTCCTGACCTCAAGAAATCTGCCTGCCTCAGCTTCCCAAAGTGCTGGGATTATAGGAGTGAGTCACTGCGCCCAGCCTCAGCCCTAATTTTAAGGCCAAGGAGCAGGGCACAGAGGCAGCAATTGGGACAGGGGTTGTTCAAGGTCCTCCACCTAGTCAGATGGCAAACGACTGTCAGATTGTTACCCTAAACTGGTAGGTCAATGCCAGCACTCTTAACTTCAAAAGAATTCTACCCTTCACCAAATTTCAATTACATCTCAGCAATTCTTGCCTATTGCCACTTCAGGACACCCTAACAGTTTGACTCGAATACTGGTCCTGAGCCTCTGATGCGTTAGGACCCCTTTTGAGAAGCTGCTGGGAGCCCCCCCATAGACCCCCATCAATGCACTTTGCACCCCAATGCTCTCTTGCTGTTTTTTGTTGTCACAGGACTTCGGAAGCCCATGCTATATTAACGACCCCAATCCTAGTGAATCCCAGAAAGGAATTCAGACCTCTCCTTTGTCCTGAAGAGCTAAAGATGAACTTGTTTCTCTTCTCCTCCTCCCTCTTCTGGTGAGGGCTGAGTCATGATGTTAATGAATGGAATTGTCACTGATACTTGACGTTGGTAGAGAATGACAAAAGAAATGTCCTCAAATGTCCTTCAAGGCTAGCTCTGGATGCACAGTGTCCAAACTGATGAGGTTTGAAAACCTCAACAGTGGCCAGGCATGGTGGCTCATGCCTGTAATCCCAACACTTTGGGAGGCCGAGGCGGGTGGATCACCTGAGGTCAAGAGTTCAAGACCAGCCTGGCCAACATGGTGAAACCCCGTCTCTACTAAAAATGCAAAATTAGCTGGGCGTGGTGGTGCATGCCTGTAATCCCAGCTACTTGGGAGGCTGAGGCAGGAGAATTGCTTGAACCTGGGAGGCAGAGGTTCCAGTGAGCCGAGATTGTGCCATTGCACTCCAGCCTGGGCAACAAGAGCAAAACTTCGAAAAAGAAAGAAAAGAAAAAAGAAGAGAAGGGAAGGGAAAAGAAAAAGAAGGAAAGAGAGAAAGAAAGAAAGAGAAAGAAAGAAAGAAAGAAAGAAAGAAAGAAAGAAAGAAAGAAAGAAAGAAAGAAAGAAAGAGAAAGAAAGAGAGAAAGGAAGGATGGAAGGAAGGAAACTTCAACAGTTATAATGCCAGCACATGGCTCATTCCAAGATCAGGAAGGCTTGGGAAATGTGTAATCTACCCTTTCGTCTCCTTACAAAACCCACTAGCTGACCTGCTGTGGTAGAGCCGCCTATGACACTTTTCAAAGCTCGCCTTCTCTGGGAGGGACCTCAGCCCTCATGCTTCTTCCTGGAGCTGCCCTGGCTGATCTCCTCCCAAGGCACTCAGCATTTAGAAACTGGGTATTGCTTTTTTAAAAAACATAATGGACTGTCATGAAATAAAAATATGAATTAAGTCCTCATTCCCAAAGTTGGAATTGATTTCTTCCTGCCCCAGTGACTGACAGTTCCCTGAGGATCCTCCTTCCTTCTATGAGTATTGATTTAGCACCTCCTCTGTGCCGGATGTTGCATGGGACGAGGGGGTATAAAGTGACAAAAATGGACACAGTCCCTGCCTCGAAGATTTAGAGATGATGGGATCGATGAACAAAGATGCATTCTTTGCAGGGTTGCTGGGCCCAGGCTTGGGGAGGGGGTATAATGATGTTAAAGGAAGAAAGCTGGCAAGGAGTAAAGGTCTGATTATTTCATGCGAGACAGCATGGGAGGCTAGCGCAGAGGAGAGGACTCAAGGCCAAGGTGATAGGCATGGACTGTGGACCATCCCCAGTCTCGGTTTTCCAGCTCACACGGGTGGGGTTTTGGGCTGAGCAGAGATCTGCTAGGGACCTATAATCTTTCAGAAAGGGTGAGGGCAGGGGTGGTTTAAGACATATCCCCCTAGAATCCACTAGGAAGAACATATTTGGAGCAGGCACCCTGGAGCCCTTGACTGACTGAAGCCCCCAGCCCAAGACCCCAAAGGAAGTGTGTTTGCTGAGAGGCCTCAACCCCCAAGGCTCATCTCAGCTCCACCTTGGCTCCTGCCTGGGTGGGTGGGGCAGCCCAGCCAGCTCACTTCTTACCCAGTTGGCAGTGCTCATAGTGTCCAACTCTGTCATGCCAAATCCCACAGCCTGCTGTATACAAATAAATGTGTCAGACATCAAGTTCCACTCCAAAGCCCTAAAGGAGTTGGCAAGCAGCCTGGCCGTACCCAAGACAAAGTTCTCTGGGCACCAGAACATCTGGCTTCTAGCCCAGGCTCTGTTTCAGTTTTGTGACCTTGGGCAAGTCCCTGGTTCATTCTGGGACTCTGTTTCCTCAGATATCACAGATAAAGGGCCTTCTCATTTTCTATCTGTGACTGGTCATCTAGGGCTCTGGGCTGGAATTCTGCTGCATCAGGTAGGGACAAGGCTGCAAAGTTGGGTGCTGCCAGGCCCCCCAGGCCCAAGGATGCAAAAGAAAACCAGACAGGAATAATCACAGTACTAGCTTGTAACTAACACATAACCAGCACTGCGTCTCAGACAATGTTTTATGCACCTTACACATGCAATCTTCGTAACAGCCCAATGAGGTACTATTAGCACCCTCACTTTACAGATGAGGAAACTGAGATACAGAGAAATTAGGGAAATTGACAAGGTCCTTTGGTTAGCAGAGTCACAATATATACTTGGGCAAGTGGGTTCCAGAGTTTATGCTCCTAACAAGCCAGCCATACCGAATAGTCTCAGGCCTGTTGGGTGACTGGGGTGGAGCAGGATAGGGACAAAGAATAGGGAGGTACAGAGAGTGAGGCACTTCAGGGTCCTCTAAACCCCTGCATCCACCATTCATCATCAGACCCTTTTGGAAAAATTTTTTTTTTTTTTTTTGAGATGGAGTCTTCACTCTGTCGCCCAGGCTGGAGTGCAGTGGTGCGATCTCGGCTCACTGCAACCACTGCCTCCTGGGTTCAAGCGATTCTCCTGCCTCAGCTCCCCGAGTAGCTGGGATTACAGGCACACGCCACCACACCCGGCTAATTTTTGTATTTTTAGTAGAGACGGGGTTTCACTACGTTGGTCAGGCTGGTCTCGTACTCCTGACCTCGTGATCCGCCTGCCTCGGCCTCCCAAAAGTGCTGGGATTACAGGCGTGAGCCACCGCACCCGGCCTGGAAAATGTTTTATATAAACCATGCGCATATATTAAATCGTAATCCAGGTGTTTTCATATGTTGTATTGATGACAGACACAGAGAACGGCCAGCTGGTGGTTTTGGTTACCACAGGAAGGGCAGTGCGATGCTCAAAGCTGACATAATTTCAGCCCAAAGCAAAGGCTACTAGAAAATCACCATCTCCCCATTGCTTGCCATTTTTATCCTAAGTACCGCAAGCGTGACTTTAGGTACTCCTCTCCTAGGAGGGCCTTACTTAACCCATTTGTAAAATGGGGAAAGGGTGGATGGGACGGCCTGTAAGTCCCAGCTCTCAAGATAGGTAATTCTCTACCTTTCTTCCAGGGAGATGAGAAGAAAGAACACTGCCTATTCCTCAGACTCCAGAGGAACTTTATGGGGGTGGGAGTGGGGGTAGGGGTGAAGCTGGGGTGAGGCTTCTGCCAGTGGAGGCATTGTGGGGGCATTGTGCTCTGCAGTGGGCTGGTTCTGGCTCACAGACTTGGTCCCTGCCGTGGAGGAGCCCAGGGTTTAAAGAGGAAGATAAAGACACACATACACAGCCTGTACACGTGAGAGGCAGCTCTGAATGTGGCAGGCAAAGGGGTCAGGCAGTGGGGACACAGAGCAGAAGGAGCCTGGCCTTTTAGGGGAATATTATTTCACTTTTTAAAAAGTGACAACTAACATTTGCTGAGCACTTAGTATGTGCCAGGCACTGTTCCAATTGCTTTACACAAATTAATTCATTTGATTATCTCCTATCAAGTGGGTACTGAATTACAATCCCTATTTTATGGGGAAATGGAAGCATAGAGAGATGAAGTAACTTGCTAAAGGTTATACAGATAGTAATGGGGATGATTGAGTTTCAAATCGAGGCAATCTGACTTCAGATTGCATCTCCCTTTTTTTTTTTGAGACGGAGTATCGCTCTCCTTTTTTTTTTTTTTTTTTTTTTGACGGAGTATCGCTGTGTTGCCTAGGCTGGAGTGCAGTGGCGCGATCTTGGCTCACTGCAACCTCTGCCTGCCGGGTTCAAGAAATTCTCCTGTCTCAGCCTCCCGAATAGCTGGGATCACAGGCGCCCACCACCATGCCTGGCTAATTTTTGTATTTTTAGTAGAGATGGGGTTCCACCACGTTGGCCAGGCTGGTCTCAAACTCCTGACCTCAGGTGATCTGCCCACCTCGGCCTCCCAAAGTGCTGGGATTACAGGCGTGAGCCACTGCACCCAGCTGCATCTTCTTAACCACTACTATATGCACTGCCTGAATTTAGGTGAAGCTCTATGAGGTCCTTGGCACCTCTCCATACAGCTCAGCAACACAGGATTTCCTAGGAAGCAATCGACTGGAATTGCTTAGCACAGTGGCTAAGATACTTGGTTATTGTGCATGGTGGTGCACACCTGTGATCCCAGCTACTTGGGAGGCTAAGGCAGGAGAATCGCTTGAACCTGGGAGGGGAGGTTGCAGTGAGCCGAGATTGTGCCACTGCATTCCAGCCTGGGTGACAGAGTAAGGCTTTGTCTCAAAAAAAAAAAAAAAAAAAGTGAACTTGAAGACAAAATAGTAGAAACTATTCAATCCAAAGGGTAGAGAGAGAACTATTTTTAACTTGAACAGCACAAAACATTATTGAATGAAATTAAGGAAGACCTAAATAAATGGAAAGATATCTCATGATCGAGAGACTTAATATTGTTAAGATGGTAATGCTCTCCAAATTTAACCACAGGTCAACACAATTTTAATCAAAATCTTAGCTGGCTTCTTTGCAGAAATTGACAAGCTAGTCCTAAAATTTGTATAAAAATTCAAGAAGACCTGGCCGGGCGCGGTGGCTAATGCCTGTAATCCCAGCACTTTGGGAGGCTGAGGCAGGCGGATCACAAGGTCAGGAGATCAAGACCATCCTGGCTAACATGGTGAAACCCCGTCTCTATTAAAAATACAAAAAATTAGCTGGGCGTGGGGGCGGGCACCTGTAGTCCCAGCTACTCAGAAGGCTGAGGCAGGAGAATGGCATGAACCTGGAGGCGGAGCTTGCAGTGAGCTGAGATCACACCACTGCACTCCAGAATCTGGGCAACAGAGTGAGACTCCGTCTCAAAAAACAAACAAACAAACAAAAAATTCAAGAGACCTAAAATAGTCAAAACATTCTTGAAAAAGAACAAAGTTGAAGGATTTGCACTTCCTGATTTCAAAACATTGAAAACCTACAGTAATTAAGACAATGAGGTACTGGCATAAGGACAGATATATAGGTGAATGAAATAGAATTAAGAATTCAGAAATCAACTCACATTTAAAGTGAACAGATTTTCAAGAAGGCTACCAAGACAATCCAATGGGAAAATATTTGTCTTTTCAACAAATAATGCTGGGACATGTGCCAAAAATAAATAAATAAAGTTAGATTCTTTCCTCATATCACACACAAAATTAACTCAAATGTATAAAAGATCTAAACCTAAATGCTAGAACTGTAAAAATATTAAAAGAAAATATTAATAAATCTTTGTGACCTTGTGTTAGGCAAGTTTTTTTTTAGATAAGGTTAAAAAGCGCACAAACAATAACAAATAAATTGGACTTCATCAAAATTAAAACCTGATGTGCTTCAAGGGACATCATCAAGAAAGTGAAAAATTAACCCACAGAATGGGAGAAAACATTTGCAAATCATACATGTGATAAGGAAATTATATCTAGAATATATAAGGAACTCTTACAACTCAATAATAAGAAGACAAATAATCCAGTTAAAACTGAGCAAAGGATTTGAATAGACATTTCTCCAAAGAAGATATGCAAATGGACAACAAGCACATTAAAAAATGCCTGGCATCATCAGCCACCAGGAAATGCAAATCAAAGTCACAATTAGATAGCACTTCATGCCTGGTAGGATGGCTATAAATAAGAAAATAAGAACAGTGTTGGCAAGGATGTGGAGAAATTAGAAACCTCCTATACTGCTGGTGGGAATGCAGATACTTTGGAATACCATCTGGCAGTTCCTCAAAAGGTTATACATAGAGTTACCATATGATCCAGCAATTCCACTCCTTTGTATATACCCAGGAAAATGAAAACAGATGTTCACACAAAGACTTGTACATAAATGTTCACAGCAGCACTTTTCATAATAGCCTAAATATTAAAACAACCCTGAAGGGGGCCCTGCCCCTCCACACCTCTGGGTATTTCTCATGAGGAGGGACGAGAGACTGAGAAAAGAAATAAGACACAGAGACAAAGATATAGAGAAAGAACAGTGGGCCCAGGGGACCGGTACACTCAGCATGTGAGGACCTGCACCGGCGCCGGTCTCTGAGTTCCCTCAGTATTGATTACTATTTTCACTATCTCGGTAAGGGGAGTGCAGCAGAATGGGGTGAACAGGGTGATGGTGGGGAGAAGATCAGCAAGGAAACATGCGAGTAACAGAATCCGTGTCATAAATAAGTTCAAGGGAAGGTACTGTGCCCAGACGTGCACGTAGGCTAGATTTATGTTTCTCTTTACCCAAACATCTCAGTGTAGCAAAGAGTAACAGAGCAGTATTTCTGCCAGCACATCTCACCTCCAGCCACAGGGCAGTTTTCTCCTATCTCAGAACAGAACGAATAGTTAGCTTTACACGAGACATTCCATTCCCAGGGACATACGGGAAACAGAGGCCTCAACTGCAAAGGGGCCTTCCTCTTTTACTAAACCTCCTCAGCACAGACCCCTTACAGGTGTCGGGCTGGGGGACAGTTAGGTCTTTCCCTTCCCATGAGGCCATATCTCAGGCTGTCTCAGTGGGGGGAAACTTTGGACAATACCCAGGCTTTCTTGGGCAGAGGTCCCTGCGGCTTTCTGCAGTACATCGTGTCCCTGGTTAATAGAGAATGTAAAATGGCGATGACTTTTACCAAGCATACTGCCTGCAAACATATTGTTAACAAGGCACATCCTGCACAGCCCTAAATCCCTTAAACCTTGATTCAATAAAGCACATGTTTCTGTGAGCACAGGGTTGGGGCTAAAGTCACAGATTAACAGCATCTCAAAGCAGAAACAATTTTTTCTTTGTACAGATCAAAATGGAGTTTCTTATGTCTTCCTTTTCTACATAGACACAGTAACAATCTGATCTCTCTCTTTTCCCCACACAACCCAAATGTCCATCAACTGAGGAATGGGTAAACAAAATGTGGTATGTTCACATAATGGAATATTATTTGGCCATAAAAAAATGAAGTACTGATACATGCTACAACATGGATGAATCTTGAAAACATTATGTTAAGAGAAAGAAGCCAGTCACAGTAGATCATATATTGTATTAGTCCACTTAAATGAAATGTCCAGAATAAGCAAATCTATAGAGACAAACAGTAGTAGATTTGTGGTTTCTTAGGGCTAGGGGGATTGAGGAGAAATAGGAAGTGACTACTAATGGGTATAGGGTTCCTTTTTAAGATAATGAAAATATTCTAAAATTAAGGTTGTAAGGCTGGATGTGGTGGCTGACGCCTGTAATTCCAGCACTTTGGGAGGCTGAAGTGGGAGGATCACTTGAGGGCAGGAGTTCAAGACCAGCTGGGCAACATGGTGAAACCCTGTCTCCACAAATAATAAAAAAATTAGCCAGACATGGTGACAGGTGCCTGCGGTCACAGCTACTTGGGAGGCTGAGGCAGGAAGATCACTTGAGCCCAGCCAGTGAGCCAGGTTTATGCAACTTCACTCCAGCCCAGGTGACCAAGCGAGATCCTGTCGCAAAATAATAACTAGAAAAAGATAATATTTTAAAAGCAACCAAAGCAGACGTGAGGTGGGATGGGGTGGGGAGGACATATTACATAAAAGGAAACTGATAGAAATGATAACTGACTTTTCCTAAGAAACAATGAAGATCAAAAGATACTGTAACAGTACATTTTAAAGTACTGAAATAAGTAAATGATCAAGCAAGAATTCTTTTCCAGTAAATATATCCTTGAAAAATAAGGTGAAAGAATGACATTTTTATTTAAATAGAAGATGGGAGGATTTGTCACCAGGAAACTGCTGAGGTGGCTTGAAATCTTACCTGCAAATTCTTTAACACTTGCCCCATCAATAGGTAGAATCTAATTTCCCTCTCTCAGAATCTGGGCTGGCCTTAGGACTGCCTTCTAACTAACACAACATATGGGAAGTAACCTATATGGCTTCTAAGGCTAAGTCAAAAAAGCAATGCAGTTGCCACCTGACTCTCTCAGGGCACATGCTTTTTGGATCCCTGACCCACCATGTCAGAAGTCTGGCTATCTTGAACGCGCGATGTTGGAGAGCATGTGAAGAAGCCACACAGAAATAGAGGCGCTGAACAATGAGAGCACATGGACATAGGGAGGGGCCTGTTGGGGGGTGGGGTGGGGGGAGAAAAACCATCAGGAAAAATAGCTAATGCACGCTGGGCTTAATACCTAGGTGATGGTTTGATAGGTACAGCAAACCACCATGGCACACATTTACCTATGTAACAAACCTGCACATCCTGCACATGTACCACAAAACCAAAAATGAAAATAAATTAAAAAAATAGAGACACGAAGGGCCCAGCTATTCCAAATCCTAGCTTAATGAGTCTATTTCAGGCACCAGATGTGATAAAGAAGACTTTGACAAGTCCCTAGCCTCAGCCACCAGCTGCCACGTCACAGACACTCAAATAGCTTATGGAGAGGCCCACTGGTAAAGAACTAAGGTCTCTGGCCAACAGCCAGTGTGGTAAGTTGAAAATGTCCCTCACAAGTTATCCACGTAGTGTTACCATGTGACCCAGCAAATGGAAAGCTGTTAAAATTAGCTTATATGGCAAAAACTTGGAAGAGATTTGAAGATATAATTAAATGAAGGATCTTGAGACTGAAAGATTATCTTGTATTATCCAGTTGGGCTCTAAATTCAATCACATGTATTCTTACAAGTGGGAGCAGAGAGAGATTTGACATGCACAGAAGAGAAACAACGTGACCACAGAGGCAGAGATGGGAGTGATGCAACTACAAGACAAGGGTGGAATGCTGGAGCACCAGGAGCTGGAAGAGGCAGGGAACAGATTCTGTCCTAGAGCCCCTGGAGGAAGAGCAGTCCTCCTGACACCTTGACTTTAGCCCACCGAAACCAATTTTGAACTTCTGTCTTCCAGAACTGGGGAAGAATAAATATCTGTTGTCTTAAGCCACCAAGTTTGTGGTAATTGTTACAGTGCAATGGAAAACTCACACATCCGGTGAGAAACAGGCTTGTCAACAACTTCATGAGTGAGGTTGAAAGCAGGTCTTCCCACTCCAGATGGCTGTTACCCTGGCTGACATCTGGACTGAAACATCATGAGAAACCCTGAGCCAGAACCACTCAGCTAAGTTGCTCCTGAATAACTGACCAATGGAAACCATGAGCAACAATAAGTGACTGTTATTGATTTAATGCACTACATTTTTGAATGATTTGTTAAGCAGCAATAGATAACTAGAACACCTTCACTACAAAAAATGCTGTAGAAATTTATTCAAGCTGGGCCGGGCGTGGTGGCTCACTCCTGTAATCCCAGCACTTTGGGAGGCCAAGGCAGGCAGATCACAAGATCAGGAGATCGAGGCCACCCTGGCTAACACGGTGAAACCCTGTCTCTACTAAAAATACAAAAAAAATTAGCCAGGCGTGGTGGCAGATACCTGTAGTCTCAGCTACTCAAGAGGCTGAGGCAGGAGAATGGCATGAACCCAGGAGGTGGAGGTTGCAGTGAGCCGAGATCGCGCCACTGCACTCCAGCCTGGGCGACAGAGCGAGACTCCGCCTCAAAAAAAAAAGAAATTTATTCAGGCTAAAGACACTTGTCCCTGATGGAAACATGAATATACAGAAAGGAATGGAGAGCACTATAAATGCTAAATATATTGGGAATAAAATAAGGATTTCCACTCTTATTATCTCTATTCAACATTACATTTGGAGATCCTAAAAGATGCAATAAGGCAAGAATTAAAAGGGAAAATGACTGGAAAGGAAGAAGTAAAACTTTTTATTAATAGCTACCAAAATTTTGAACATAAAAGTCTTAGGGGATCTACAAAAAAAAGTGTTGGAATTAATAAATAAATTTAGTAAGGTTGCAGGATATATGGTCAATATTAAAAAATCAATTATATTTATACTAACAGCAACTGACTAGAAAATTAAATTTAAAATACAGTTTTAGCTAGGCACAGTGGCTCACACCTGTAATCCCAGCACTTTGGGAGGCCAAGGCAGGTGGATCACCTGAGGTCAGGAGTTTGAGACCAACCTGGCCAACATGGTGAAACCCCATCTCTACTAAAATTACAAAAAATTAGCCAGGCATGTTGGTGGGCACCTGTAATTTCAGCTGCTTGGGAGGTTGAGGCAGGAGAATTGCTTGAACCTGGGAGGCAGAGATTGCAGTGAGCCGAGATCACGGCATTGCACTACAACCTGAGCAACAAGAGTGAAACTCTGTCTCAATAAATAAATAAATAAATAAATAAATAAATAAAAATAAATTAAAAAATAAAATAAATTACAGTTTTCATAGCAACAAAAACATAAAATTTCTAGAAATGTTTAAGAAAAAATGTGCAAGATACCTACACTGAAAGGTATAAAACATGGTTGAGACAAATCAAAGACCTCAATTAATGGAAATGCATACCATGTTCATGGATCAGATGATTCACCCAATTTGAAATATAGAGTCAATTTACTCCCAGTCAAATTTCAAACAGTCTTTTTTTAATCAACTGACAAGATGATTCTACATTTTACATAGAAGTACAAAGGATCTAGTATATTAGGAATCTATTATTATGTAACAAATATCCCAAAATGTAGTGGCTTAAAAAAAACAAACACTATCTCACAATTTCTATGGGTTAGGAATCTAGGCATGGGCTAGCTCTGGCTCAAAGTGTCTCATAGGGTTACTGTCAAACTGTCAACCAGGGCTGCAGTCTTCATATGAAGGCTCAGTGGAGGAGAATGAGCTTCCAAAAGCTGACTCATGTGATTGTTGGCAGGATTCAGTTCTTTGTAGGTTGTTGTCAATTCCTCCCTGAATGTTAGCTAGAGGTGTCCCTCAGGTCCTTACCACATGGGTCTGTCTTAGTGTGAGCAAGAAAGAAAATGAAAGAGAGCAATCAAAATGAAAGACACGGTATTTTTGTCGTCTAATCTCTGAAGTGAAATCCCATCACTTTTTGTAATTATACACTTTTAGTTATTTCAAAATGTACAATTAAATTGTTATTGACTACAGGGTTATTTTTATGGTCATAATAAAACTTATATAGAAATAAAAAAAAGAAATCCCACCACTTTTGCCATATTCTATGTTAGAAATGAATCACTAGATCCAGCCCACGTTCTAGGGTAGATGATTACACAAGAATCCAAAAGGCAAGAATATCAGAGGGCAAGAATCACTGAGCAATATCTTAGAGGCTGCATACTGCACCTAGCATAGACAAAACAATCTTGTAGGGGGAAATAATTCATGAAGTTAAAGGACCAACACTACCTGATTTCAAGATTTAGTATAAGGCTGTAGTAGTGGGCCAGGTGTAGTGGCTCCAGCCTGTTCATCCCAGCACTTTGGAAGGCCAAGGTGGGAAGATCGCTTCAGGCCAGGAGTTCAAGGCCAGCCTGGGCAATGTAGCAAGACTCCATCTCTACAAAAAAAAAAAAAACTTTTAAAAAGCTATAGAATGAAGACAGCATGATATTATATAAAGAAAGAGAAATAATTGCTCAATGGAAGAAAATCAAGAAATAGGCTGACACAAATGTGGTAAATTTTTGATAAAGGAGCCAAGCAATTTAATGTAGGAAATAGTAGAACACATAGAAAAATATATATATATATATAATATATATATATGACCTTGAAATAGCAAAGATTTCTTAGAGAGGGCACAATAGCACTAACCATAGAAGAAAAAAACTAGGTAAATTGGGCTTCATTAAATAAAAAAAAAATTTGCTCATCAAAAGACACACCATTGGCCAGGGGTGGTGGCTCACACCTGTAATCCCAGCACTCTGGGAGGCCGAGGAGGGCAGATCACTTGAGATCAGGAGTTCAAGACCAGACTGGGCAACATGGTGAAACCTGGTCTCTACTAAAAATACAAAACTTAGCTGGGCATGGTGCCACACGCCTGTAGTCCCAGCTACTTGAAGGCTGAGCCACGAGAATTGCTTGAACCTGGGAGGCAGAGGCTGCAGTGAGCCGATATCATGCCATTGCACTCCAGCCTGGGTGACAGAGCGAGACCCTGTCTCAAAAAAAAAAAAAAAAAAAAAAAAAAGATACACAATTAATAAAATGAAGATAAGCCACAAACTGGGAAAAAATATTTCCAATACATATATCTGACAAAATATAACCAGAATATATAAAGAATGCCTACAAATCAATAATAAAAGGATTAAGAACCCAATTACAAAATGAGCTAAAGATTTGAAAAGATAATTTACAAAAGAAGACATGGAAATAACCAATAAGCACATGAAAATATGCTCAATATCATTGATCATCAGGGAAATTTAAATTAAAATCACAGCAAGATATCACTATTCACCCACCAGAATGAAACTAAAAAGAGTAACAATACCCACTGTTGACAAAGATGTGGGAACTTCTGGCAGCTTCTTTAAGCACACACCTATCTTCTGATCCAGTAATTCTATTCCTAGGGATTTACCCAAGAAAATGAGAACATATGTCCACAAAAACACCTTATACAAGAATTTCATAGCAGCTTTACTCATAAAATCCTCAAACTGGAAACAACTCAAATGCCCATCAATAGATTAATGGATAAAAAAAATTGTAGTATAGCCACACAATGGAATTCTACTGAAACGTACAGACGAATGAACTACTGAGACACTTGGCAATACTGATCAATCTCACAAACATTTCGATGAGTGCAAGGAGCCAGACAAGTAACATTCTGTGTGATCCCAAGCATGCCATCCTCAAGAACACCTGGAACATTGGCTGTTCAGAACAGTGGTTACTTATGGGAAAGTGAGGGTGGAGATTGATTAATTGACTAATCTCTTGCCTTAGCCTCCTGAGTAGCTGGGATTATAGATGCATGCACCTCCACACCCAGCTGACATCTAAATTCTTATTTTACAGCTGCTCGGGGCCAGAGTCTGAGCTAGGCCCTAGATGTCCTTCACATGGTCACAACCTTTACAGTTTCCAAAGCACCTTCCCAGCCCTGTTCTAAAGTGTTCCTCACAGGCTCCTTTCCAAGGAGCCAGAATTGTCTGGGTAGGAGGCCAGAGCTGGGATCCAGGGGTCTCTCACAGGACCCAGTGTGAGATAGGGTTTTTTTCTACCACCACTGGCCCTAGATGAAACTGTGCTTTTGCGGAGCTGAAGAGGTAAGTAGTGAGTTCCCCTTCCCTAGAGGTAATCAGGTCAGAGTAGATTGATAATATGTGAATGTTGTAATACAGTGGGTTGGACTTAGTGACCTAAAAAACCTGCTTGCCTTGTACTCTGCCATTCAGGGGCTTGCCTGGAGACAGTGGGTTAGCTTTGGGCCCAGATCCTGACTTCAGGTCAGTTTGAGCTCTGCTGCCCCTGGCTAAAATCTCTGCAGCTCCTGAGAGGACTACCGCTGGCTTGGGCGGACTTGCATTCGGAAGTTATCCAGATCCGTACTCAGAAGTCTAGGACCAGGGTTGGTTTGCCCTAGAGACTCACGCTTTCCATGGATGTGCCTGACCCCTTTGATCTTGGGCTCTTGACACCAGCACCTTGATTTCCTGTGGCTTTTACATGATAGTCCCAAATCTGCCCTGTTCCCACTGGCTTTTAGTCTCTTGAACACTACAAGCTCCATCCCACCTCGGGGCCTTTGCACATGCTGTGCCCATTTCCTAGAAAGTTCTTCCCCTAGCCAACTCCTACTCCTGTTTCATGTCTCAGTTTAAATGTTGCTTTACCAGGAGAGCCTGCACCAACCCTCAAGACCAAGTCAGATCTTCGTTATATTCTATTTTTTTTAATTACCGACATTTTAAAAAAATGTTTGTATTGTGGTAAAATACACATAACATAAAATTTTCCATTTGAAATGTTTTTAAGTGTATAATTCAGTGGCATTGATTATATTCCCTTTTTTTTTTTTTATTCATTCATGGCACCTGTCACAATTACAGTTTAATTGTATAATTATTTGTTAATGTCTGTCTCCCCTGCAAGCATGCAAACTCCTTAAGGTAGAGACTTGTTTTTGTTTTGTTATATTCTTCAGTGCTTAGCGCAATGCCTGATTATTCTACAATAAACAATTTTGAATAAATGAATGCATTCTTAACAAAAACAAAGAAAAACAGTAAAGAAACAAAAACATGAAACAACTGTGTTTTTTACATAATGGGAAGTGGGCAGTGGGAGTGGGAAGAATTTCAGCACTAGAAAGCCCAGATAGTCCATGTTTAAGGACACTTGTGTTCTTTCAGTGACATTCGCCTTACGATTGCCCCTCGTAGGCTAGCACACCCCAGAGAGGCAGAGCGCACTCTCTGTCATCCTGGGAAAGCTCTGTCAGTGGGAACAGCCTTGCTCATGGGGCTTGTAGCAGCCTCCTGCGACCGTTCCACATCCCTGGCTCTTAGGGGGCTCCTCTCTGCACCCAGTCTTTGGGTAGGCAGCGCCGGGAGAGTCAGCTAGGAGCCCAGAGTGAGTGTGGTCACTTCAGAGCCTGACAGCCCTCCCTGGGCCAGATGGGACCCTTGGAGCTCCCAAGTCCTGGCCTCCTGCCTCCACCTCACCCCTAGTCCAGCCTGTACTCACTGCTGCTAGATTCACAAACCCCAAACCAGGCTCTCCCCAGGCTTCTGCTGCTTGCACCCCTCCCAGGGTTCCTGTCTGCCTCCTTCTTTGAGCCTGGCTGCCCTTAGTCTGGCCACGTCAGCCTCTCTAGGCCCAGGAGTTAGCCGGTCCCCAACCTGACCAGTCTCATGGCCACCCGTAACATCTTCACAATCATGCCTTTGGTCAGCACAGCGCCCTGCTTGCCATCCGGGCATCCACAGCCTTTCAAACACAGGATGGACTGTCCTCTTCTGAGGTTCCTTCCAAGCCCTTCCTCCACAATGGGCTTCCTTAGGCTCAGGGAGACCGGTGTCTCCACTGGACAGAGGGCTTCCCAGGGTCAGGACCCAGGCCCTGGGCAGGCTCAAGGGGTGTCCCTGATGGAGGGCATGGTCTACAGCCACAGCCTCAAGGGCACAGAACACAAGCTGCCAGAGCAGGGCCAGTGTTAGCTCAGACCCCACGGGTTTTGCCTCTCCTGGCCCTGGCCTGGCTGTTTCCTCCGGACACCTGCCCCAGTCACTGGGATCCAGCCCTGCAACTTGTGTGGCAGGGAAGGGAACTCTCGTGGGTCAGGCCAGGGTGCAAGCCCTCCTCGGGCTCTCAGCCTCCCCTTTCTTCCACCTCCTGTCTTCCCCTCTGCAACACTGGGAAGCAGGGGGAAGATAAGCCCCTCTCAGGCTATGGAGGAATGCAGACCCGCCTTTCCCCAGGAGCAGCCACCATGGCCACAAGGTCAGGGCAAACGGGCAGGACTGAGATAGAGCCCTTCTGATATGGTCTGGCTGTGTCCCCACCCAAATCTCATCTGGAATTCCCATGTGTTGTGAGACAGACCAGGTGGGAGGTAATTGCATCATGGGGGCAGGTCCTTCCCGTGCTGTTCTCGTTACAGTAAGTCGCACAAGATCTGAGGATTATTATAAGGGGGAGTTTTTCTGCTCAAGCTCTCGTCTTGTCTGCTGCCATGTGAGATGTGCCTTTCGTCTTCTGCCATGATTGTAAGGCCACCTCAGCCACATGGAACTGTAAGTCCAATAAACTTCTTTCTTTTGTAAACTTCCCCGTCTCAGGTATGTCTTTATCAGCAGCGGGAAAACAGACTAATACACCTTCCCTCCTGGAGTTGGCCCAGAGGAGCAGAGAAGCAGAAAGGGGCATCACAATGGTCACAACAATGATCTCTCTGCCTTATTTATCTAGTTTTTGAGACAGGGTCTTGCTGTGTCACCCAGGTGGAGTGCAGTGGTGCCATCATGGCTTGACCTCCCGGGCTCAATTGATTTTCCCACGTCAGCCTTCTGAGTAGCTGGGACCACAGGTATGTGCCACCACATCTGGCTAATTTTTTTTTCTTTTTTTGAGACGGAGTTTTATTCTTGTTGCCCAGGCTGGAGTGCAATGGCACGATCTCAGCTCACGGCAACCTCTGCCTCCCAGATTCAAGCAGTTCTCCTGCCTCAGCCTCTCAAGTAGCTGGGATTATAGGCATGCGCCACCACGCCTGGCTAATTTTTTTTTTTTTGTATTTTTTTAGTAGAGACGGGGTTTCTCCATGTGGGTCAGGCTGGTCTCGAACTCCTGACCTCAGGTGATCTGCCCACCTCGGCCTCCCAAAGTACGGGGATTACAGGTGTGAGCCACTGTGCTCAGCTTTTTTGTATTTTTTTAAGCAAATTTTTGTATTTTTTGTACAGACAGGGTTTCAACATGTTACCCAGGCTGGTCTCGAACTCCTGGGCTTAAACAATCCACCCATTTTGTCCTACCAAAGTGCCAGGATTACAGGTGTGAGCCACTGTGCCTAGCCTATTTTTTATTTTTATTATTTTTTTGAGACAGAGTCTTGCCCTGTAGTCCAGGCTAGAGTACAGTGGTTAATAGCTCATTGCAGCCTCACACTCCTGGGCTCAAGCGATCCTCCCACCTCAGCCTCCTGAGTAGGTGGGACTACAGGTGCACACTATCATGCCTGGCCAATTTTTAAATTTTTAGCAGAGACAAGGTCTTGCTTTGTTGCCCAGACTGGTCTTGAACTCCTGCACTCAAGCAATCTTCCTTCCTTGGCCTCCTAAAGTGCTAGAATTACAGGCATGAGCCACTGCACCTGGCTCTCTCTGACTTTAGAACAATGTTTTACAAGAATTAAGTTCTTTTCTCACAGCTGCTCTGCAAGAATGTCAGAGCAGGTTTAGCTTCCCTGTTTGACAGATGGGGAAACTGAGGCTCAGAGAAGGTATCTTGCCAAGGGTCACAGAATGGGTTAGGAGCAGAGCTGGACTGGAACCCAAGGCATGTGACCTCCAGCCTGCTGCTAAGAGTGTTGCTATGAGAGTTACTATGCCTGTGATGGGTAACTCTTATGCTTTGAAAACATTTTCATACACATTAGCTGATGGAATCCACCCAATTTTTCTGCAATGTCAATGAAGTTCAGGCGTTGTATATTTATTTGTACAGAGGATGCTATTGAGGCTCAGAAAGGTTAAACAATGTATCCAAAGTCACTCAGCAAGAAAGTAGTAGAACTGACACTCCAACTCTTGGGTTTTTAGCCTTTCTCTTTCCCTACGGGGTCCCAAGACCCATTTACCCTTTCAGGAGGGAGTCCTTCTCTGCACAAGCCTAGGGTTCTGCCTCAAGTTTGCCTACTTTCCTTCAGTGATGTCTGCAAAACAAGCCCAGTCCTCTGTGAGCTTTGCAGGGCACACAGGACCCTCTGCCACCCCTTTTCACCACAGGCCTGAGACACAGGCTCCTGTGGCCCTGAGCCCCACTTGGCCCCTCACTCACAGGGAGCAGAAGACCCTGAGATCCTGCAGACCTTGATTTTGTTTTCAAAGACTCCCCTGGCCCTGGCTGTCCTCATGCCTGTCTACCCCTGCTCTGGGCACATTTATTTCTTTTTCTTCTTTTTTTTTTTTTTGAGAAGGACTTTTGCTCTCGTGGCCCAGGCTGGAGTGCAGTGGCACGATCTTGACTCACTGCAATTTCCACCTCCCGGGTTCAAGCAATTCTCCTGCCTCAGCCTCCTGAGTAGCTGGGATTACAGGCACGTACCACCACCTGGCTGTTTGTATTTTTAGTAGAGACAGAGTTTCATCACATTGGGCAGGCTGGTCTCAGAACTCCTGACCTTGGGTGATCCACCCGACTCAGCCTCCCAAAGTGCTGGGATTACAGGCATGAGCCATCATGCATGGCCTCTGGACATATTTCGATGTGCTCCTCTGAGCATCTCGCCTGGCCTTCCTGCTCTCTGAGCCCACAGACCCCAGGGAGGAGGGGAGGTGCCAGGACACCGGGGCCCAGAGGAGATCCTGAATCTGCCCTTGGGTGAGGAAGTCAGTCCAGCTTTCTTCCAGGGGCCCTTGACCCTCTGTGCACCTGACCTATGCCCAGGGAGGGGCTTGCCCTCATGCTCTTGGAGGCTTTGCAGGGAAGAGTCCCTGCTTCTGGAAGAACAGGAGTCCACTTTGGATTAGCAGGGTTCTCTGGAGACCCAGGGCAGGGCCCAGATGCCAGCCCTCGGAGGGGCCTCTGCATCTCTGAGGCGCATTAACATCTGTTCCCATTTCCCTCTATCTTCCTTCCCCATAACCTTCCATCAGGACAGGGGCTGTAGTCTTGGTAGCTCAGACACTGGCAATTCCTCCCCATTACTACAGAGGACTTGGACCCTGGTATTTAGCCCCTGTCCTCCCCAGTTCTATGCTTCCGCCACCCAGACCTCTCCCATCCCCAAACTTCCTGTCTTGCTTTGTTAGGTCGTTCTCTCTGCCCACTGCTCTTGGCTCCACTCTGACCGTCAAGGTCCATCTCAGGCGCCCCAGTTAGAAACCTCCTTCTCTCTGCCCCTTCGCCTGCGCCCCTCCTGGACACAAATCACAGATGTTGGGGTCCTGGAGTTCCGTGTGTGTGCGTGTGCGCGTGCGCCTGCCTTCTTCCTGCCTTCTGGCCAGGGCATCCCAGGGCTGGGACTGAGTCTCATCTTCTCAGGATCCCCTACTCCCTGGATGGACAGGGCCTGGGCCAGGGTGGGCATTGGTGAATGCCTGATACGTTGAATCCACTTCCTCTAAATCACAGATTACTGGAATATATACAGTGGAAGGGCTTTAGGGAAACCTCAGCCACTGCACTCATATTCAGACAGGGAAGCTACAGCCCACGGAGGGCAAAGGCACTTGCCAAGGTCACGCAGCAAACTGGAGCGGGAACCTCTGGGTCCCCACCAAAACTTATCTGTCTTTGACCCCCGCAGGCAAAAGTCCCCCTTGAGGAGACAGGGAAACATTCTTGACTGAAAAATTCCTCCTCCATCCAACTGAGATCCAACTGGTCTCCAACTGCAGCCCCAGCTCATACCCCTGGGATGTGCCTCATTCTTTGATGAGCCTTTCTTAGCCATGCTAAGTAGCCCTCCAAATGACCAGTTCTTCCATCTTACGGATCGCCCAGATCCTTCCCTTCATTTCCCAGGTGAAGAAACTGAGGCTCAGAGAGAGAAGCAGCTTGCCCAAGTTCACACAGCAGAGCAAAGTCTAGAACTCGGCCCACAGGTGCAGTGTGCAGAAACCCAACCAATGACTTACCTGGTTTTCAATTTTTCTTGGGTGGTCCTCACAATCATGTCCTGCCGGCTCTCCTGTGGGGTCTCTCTGCTGTCCAGCATGCTGGGGTCCCCGTGTGGGCAGCCGTATCCAGCTCCAGAATTGCGTGGCATCTGCCTCGGGCTTCCACTGAAGACAGCTCAGTCACCCACTGAGAGAGGCTAGCCTTGAGTGAGCAGTGGGGGTGGGCATGGGGCAGGGGAGGCGGCAACTAGAGTGACCCAAAGAGGCTCATTTCCTCTCTATTTTTAGAAGCTCAAAAAAAATTGCTCCTCAGTGAAGTTTCTCAGAATTAAAACTTTCCTTTTCTTTGTGGTTTTGTTTCTCTCAAGATGAGGAGAATTTCAATGAAGCCAGTGTTCTTTTTGATGCAAATCCGCTCCGCTTCTCCCAGGAGGTCTGGCCAATGGGCTCAGGGCTTCTGGGCCCCCAGAAAACCTCCTCACTGGCTTTAAAAGGTCATAGTGGTTCTCAGCACAAATCCAGACCCAGATCCTGAAGTGGCTGCTACCCCTGGCTGCATACACTCTGCAACCTTGACTTGCGGTCTGCCGAATGCTGCCCTGGGAGGGATCTCACCCACTCAGTCCCCCTCCCCCAGGTCCTGCATGGAGGCTGGAGACCCAAGGAGGGAGCCCACCCCGGGGGAAGGAAGGAGACATTTCCAACACTGAGACCACGCCACATGGTCTATAGAAGCAGTTGCACTGAAGACATGATAGAGGCAACCGAGGAATGTGACTTTCCAGGGACACATGAATAGAAGCCTGGATCTGTCCCTTCTTCTAAAGGAAAGAAGCATGTTAAGGGGGGCGGGGGGGTTTCAGGCAGCCATAAAGAGATGGGAAATTCACACAGGACAAGGCCTTTTTCTGAATACCAAAAGTCTCCCCTCTAAGACCATGTATTCATTCCCCAGGGCTGCTGTAACAAAGTTCCACAAACTGGATAGCTTCAAACAACAGAAATGTATTCTCCCACGGCTCTGGAGGCCAGAAGTTGGAAATGAAGATGTGCGCAGGGCCACACTCCCTCTGGGGGCTGTGGGCAGACTCTTTCTTTGCTTCTCTCCCAGCTGCTGGGGGTCACTGGCCATCCTGGGTGTTCCTTGGCTTGCATGTGCATCTCTCCAGCCTCTGCCTCTGTCCTCACGTGGCTGTCTTTCCTCTGTGTCTATGCCTTAGTACATTTTCTGTTGCTATCACTGAATACCTCAGACTGGGTAATTCATAACGAAAATAGGTCGGGTGCGGAGGCTCATGCCTTTAATCCCAGCACTTTGGGAAGCCAAGGTGGGAGGATTGCTTGAGCGTAGGAGTTCAAGACCATCCTGGGCAACATAGTAAGACTTTGTCTCTTCAAAAAATAAAACAGAATTAGCTGGGTGCCACGCCGTGGTGTGCACCTGTGGTCCCAGCCACTTGGGAGGCTGAGGTGGGATGATCACTCAAGCCTGGGAGGTTGAGACTGTAGTGAGCCATGATTGCACCACTGCACTCCAGCCTGGGCAACCAGAGTGAGACCCTGCCTCAAAAATAAAACAAACAAACAAATTTAAAAAAACACCAAAACACACACACACACACACACACACACACACACACACAAAGAAATTGATTTCTTAAAGCTCTAGAGGCTGGAAGTCCAATATTAAGGTGCCAGCATCTGGTGAGGGCTTTCTTGCTACATCATAACGTGGAGGGCATCACATGGTGAGAGGGCAAGAGCGTGGTGCCAGCTCAGGTCTTTCTTCTCTTATAAAGTTTCCAGTTTCAACATGGGACCCCGCCCTGATGACCTTGCCTAACCCTAATTACCTCCCAAGGGCTCAACTTCCAATCAACATATGAATTTTGAGGTTAAGTTTCCAACATATGAAATTTGTTGGGAATTTTCCCACCATAGCAGTCTATGTTCCTATTTTCTCTTCTTACATGGACACCAGTCATTGGAGTAGGGCCTTCCCTGATGCCAAAGAACCTCATCTTAACTATATCTGCAGAGACCCTATTTTCAAACAAGATCACATTCTGAGGCTCTGGGTAGACATGAATTTGCTGGGGGACGCAATTAAAATCCATATACATTGTGTACAGGAGGTGTTAGTGGGGATACCTATGAGATGTCCCCAAGAAGAAATAGGTCCAGTTGGGCCACAGGTGATGCTGTCTGGTGAAGGCAGGTGACTGAGAAAAAGCTGGGCTGCCTTCTAACAAACTCAGGGCACAGGCCACAGGCCCCCAAATGCTGCCTTCCTAATGCTGTTGAAGGTACACTGAGCAGGTCGTCTGGGGTCTAGCTGCAAGGCCTGAATCTCCCACTGACACGCCCTCAACCACGATCTTGGGCAGATCTCGGCCCTCTCCTGGCCTCAGTTTTAACTGCTTGAATCATGAGGGTGATGGCCTGAGGTGGGCCAAAGTGGCCACCAGCTCCAACTGGACGTGAGAAGGTGATGGGGAGTCCTTTGCCCATGGGCTGATTGGAGGGATCGAATGAGTCACCACTGTAAGTGACAAGTCAGTGTCTCCCCACCCGAGGAGAATCATAATCAGAGAAAAAGACATAGAATGCTCAGCTCTGAAGTTCAAAAGCCTTGGTCAATATGAAAGCCTGGGAAGGTTCGGAAAAATGTGTAAGTTGTTCATTCCCAACTCCCCTTCCTTCCCCATCCCTCAGATTCTTATAGATCCAGGGAACCAGGAAGGGGAAGAGAGTCCAAACAGAAGCAAGGCCCTGGGGAGGGCCTTAAGAAGACCTCCCTTGGGCAGATCTTCCAGGTCTGAGCATATCAGGGACCTGAGGTGGCCCAAGAAAGCGACAGGGCCCCAGAGTGCTCAGCGCGGGCCACAGAGAAAAGATGGCTTCAAGGAACCAAAAGCAAAAAGGCCCGGCACACCCTCTCGCCAGGGCAGGCAGTGAACTGAGGGTCAGGTGGCTGCTGGAGGAGAAAGTTGGTGGGCTGGCAACAGAGGCTGATAGGAACAAGGTCATTCTGCAGTCACTGCGAGGAGGGCTGACCCCACCTGGGAACCAGGACAAAGGCAATATATCAACAGAAGCTCAAGGCTGGGACATGGTGCTGAAAAGGTCAGGCTGTAGTGGAGTCTGATTTGGCTGAACTTTTTAAATGGTTCATTTCATTTTGAAAAATAAATACAAGCAATATGCCAGTTATGTCCAGATTCCCTCTCTACTCTCTCCCCTGGTTCTGTCCCCAGAGCTGCCCTGTGTGAGCCTCCCTTGGGCTCCCGGCCTCTGGCCTCTGGTTGTCAGGCCAATGCCAGGTGGTGGCAGGACAGCAGAAGGTAGAGAGAAAGAAAGGTTGGAGTTTTTATTCCTCTCCTTCCCTCCCGGCTGGCCACACTTTTGGCAGCAGCAGCCCCTCCAGCCAGCTCTGGCCTCAGGGGGAACAGTTCCTCCCCAGCTCCTTCAGGTCAGAAGTGTCTACCTCCCTGCAGCTGCCTCACCATCCCCTGTGGCTCCCTTAACACTGTCCTCACCTGTCCCTTCATTTTCTTCACCTACCACTTTTAAGGGGCCATCTCTTGCAGAAAGAACCCTGATTGATACAGTGGAACATGAAAATGTACAAAGGGGACTAACTGCTTGATGGGTATGGGGTCTCCTTTTGGGGTGATGAACATGTTTTGAATCTAGATAGAGATGATGGTTGCACAGCACCGTGAATGTACTAAATGCCACTGAATTGTACACTTTTTTTTTTTGAGACAGGATCTCATTCTGTTGCTTAGGCTGGAACGCAGTGGTGCGACCGTAGCTCGCTGCAGCCTCAAACTCCCAGGCTCCAGTGATCCTCCCACCTCAGCCTCCTGAGTGGCTGGGGCTACAGGCATGTATCACCATGCCTGGCTAATTTTTAAATTTTTTTTGGAGAGACAAGGTCTTGCTATGTTTCCCAGGCTAGTCTTGAACTCCTAGCCTCAAAGGATCCTCCTGTCTCAGCCTCCCAAGGTACTGGGATTATAGGTGTGAGCCACCATGCCCAGCCATGAATCCTACACTTTAAAATGGTGAATTTAATGTTATGTGAATTTCACCTCAATACAATGTTTTAAAAAGTACAAAGGGCTTCATAGTAAAAATTAAATTTTCCTCCCACTTTTCTGTCCCTCTCCCCACCATCCTTCACTCATTTCTTTTCTCCAGAGCCACCACTGTTAAAAATTTCTTTTTTGCATCATTCTAGAAATATCTTGGATATATACAAATGCTAACATATGGCATACACAGTTTCGTGTCTTCTTATACTTGACAACATTTGCTGGAGAACTTTTCATATTTTTGCCTGGAGAACTTCCTGGTTCTCTTTTTGTGGGGTAGGTACAGCATTCCATGGAAGGGCTGGCCCGAGATGCATTTCAACAGCTCTGTAGGATGAACATTTAGGTTGTTTTCAGTCTTTTGCTGTTACAGATGAAGCTGTGATGAATAATCTTATCCTTGCGTGGTTCGTACTTGAGCTAGTCTATCTCTAGGATAAATTCCTAGAAATGGGACGCTAGGACTTGACTAAGTTTAAACTTGAAAATGACCGAGTTTTTGCGAAACTCTTATTGGGTCGGGGGGTCCTTGCTCCCAGAGCTCCCAAGATGGTGGCGGGCCGCTTCCAAGATGGTGGCAAGCCTTGTGTTCTCTGACCTGGGGTTCTTGGCCTCATGGATTCCAAGGAATGGAATCTTGGGCCATGTGGTGAGTGTTATCGCTCTATTAGAAGCCGTGGATCACGGAAGAGAACCGTGGAACCCAGTGACTAGCGTTCAGCTGGATTAGGACAAACCTGGGCACCTAGCTGTGCAGGAACAATGGCAAGCCTTTAGCCGGATCGGGAGCGGCAATGGGTGCCTCATTGGATCAGGAGCACAGTGGACACCCTGCCGGATCCAGACGGATGGCAGTCAGCAGCGGGTCTGCGACAGCGGCAAACAGCAGTGGTGGACGGCGAGCAAAAGCTCAGCTCGAGCGGTAACAAACATGGACCAGAAGAGAATTGCAAGATTTTTTTTTTTTTTTTTTGAGATGGAGTCTTGCTCTGTCGCCCAGGCTGGAGTGCAGTGGTGTGACCTAGGCTCACTGCAAGCTCCACCTCCTCAGGTTCACACCATTCTCCAACTCAGCCTCCCGAGTAGCTGGGACTACAGGAGCCCGCCACCATGCCCAGCTAATTTTTTTGTATTTTTATTAGTGACTGGGTTTCACCATGTCAGCCAGGATGGTCTCGATCTCCTGACCTCGTGATCTGCCCGCCTCAGGCTCCCAAAGTGCTGGGATTACAGGCGTAAGCCACCGTGCCCCACCAGTTGCAAGATTTAGTAGAGTGAAAACAGAGCTCCCATACAAAGGGAGGAGACCCAAAGTGGGTAGCCAGTTGCCAGCTGGAATGCCTGGGTTTATATCCCGATTGTCGTTCCTCCTGCTGTGCTCTCAGGCAATAGATGATTGGCTATTTCTTTACCTCCTGTTTTTGCCTAATTAGCATTTTAATGAGCTCTCTTTATTACCTGATTGGTCAGGTATGAGCTAAGTTGCAAGCCCCGTGTTTAAAGGTGGATGTGGCCATCTTCCCAGCTAGGCTTAGGGATTCTCAGTCGGCCTAGGAAATCCAGCTGGTCCTGTCTCTCAAAACCAACAGATTAAATGTCCTGCCATTAGGAGGAAGGGTGGAGAGCTGTAAAAAAAATTTTTTTTCCATTGAGTTACAGAAAATAAAACTGCAGTTTTGCCCACCTGAGTTTGTCGATTGAGGAAGTTTGTGCCTGCTATGCGTGTAAGGCCAAATGCCTCTGCACCAGCCTCTACTGTCATCGAAGTGATTGCTGCCCTCACTGGTTTTCAACTTCAAGAATTGGCTGGGTGTGGTGGCTCATGCCTAGCACTTTGGGAAGCTGAGGCAGGTTGACTGCCTGAGCTCAGGAGTTCGAGACCAGCCTGGGCAACACAGTGAAACCCCATCTCTACTAAAATACAAAAAATTAGCTGGCGTGGTGCTGTGCACCTGTAATCCCAGCTACTCAGGAGGCTGAGGCAGGAGAATTGCTAGAAGCCGGGAGGCGGAAGTTGCAGTGAGCCAAGATCACGCCACTGCACTCCAGCCTGGGCAACAGAGTGAGACTCCATCTCTTAAAAAAAAAAAAAAAAAAAATCAAGACCACTATTTTCCAATCAATTTCTTTACCACCTTCATTAGTTTTGCCATATTTGGTTTCCCCAGGGGTATAGTACATTATTTACTATTTTTCAACTCCATTTTATAATTTAAAAATGAAATAGCTTTATTCTAAGCAATTGAAGAACTTGTTATATAAATATATACAGATATTTCCCAATGCATGTTGAAATTAACATGAAACTACCTTTTCTTCTTTCTTTTTGAGAGATTGAGGGGGGGGTCTCATCATGTTGCTCGGGCTGGTCTTGAACTCCTGGGGTCAAGCAATCAGCCTGCCTCCCACAACAAAGAGATATTAAGTGTTTTGTTTTTGTTTTTAAAAGCCTTTAAAAAGGCTTGGGTGGGAGGGTCATTGCTGTATGTTTTCAGCATTAGCTTTTCTGGGCCACTTTTTTGTTATCATGCGTATGTATTACCAGGAGACGATTTTTTTTTTCTTTTTAAATTTCAAAATACTGCACCTGGGGCTCTGGATTGAGGCCTCGCAGTCGTCTCTGGGTGCAGGACGAGCAGGAGAACAATGGGCCTCTGCTGACCCCTGCTGGCCAGAGCGCCTCCCACCCACCCAGGTCTCCACAGGACTGGGATCTTGCGCCACTGCCTCCATCCCCAGAAACAGCCGTCCTTCCTCCCCTGCCCCCAGAAGGCCTCCGGCAGCCACCACAGTGTGCTCTGGACATCGAGTCTGGGGCCCGGCTGGGAGACCCTTGTGCTCCAGAGGGCGCTGAGGCTCTGGGCTGCATTTGTGTCCCCTCTGGCCCTGTCTACATCGAGTGGGTGGGGTGTGAGTCCTGGGATCAGAGTATCCTCCAGCTCTAGATAAAACCCGACTTTGGAAGGCCAAGGTGGGTGGATGACCTGAGGTCAGGAGTTCGAGACCGGTCTGACCAACATGGTAAAGCCCTGTCTCTACTAAAAATACAAAAATAAGCCAGGCGTGGTGGTGGGTGCCTGTAGTCCAAGCTACTCGGGAGGCTGAGGCAGGAGAATTGCTTGAACCCAGGCGGTGGAGGTTGCAGTGAGCCAAGGTTGCACCACTGCACTCCAGCCTGGGTGACAGAGACTCTGTCTCAAAAATAAATAAAATAAAATAGATAAAACCCAGAGATTTTTGGAGATTCAAACTCCTCTCCCAGGGACTCACATTCTCTGAGCTATGGGTCACCAGGGCAGAGCTTTCCTGAGAGGAGGGGCAGAAGAACGTAGCACATAGAGGATTCTAACCTGCCAGGACTGAGCTGGGAGTGGGCAATGGAGACCACGGAGGATGGAGGCCTTTGGAGGATTAGGGAAGGAGGAGGAAGGGAGGGAACCCAGATGTCTGGGCAACCTCTGCAGAGGAGGCACCTTCTTTTCTCACCTGGAAAGACCTGGATCAAGGGCCACGTGACCCGTATTCTCCAGATCTGCACCATATAGGGCAGGGGTGGAACACACTGGTTTTTGGATTTGCACCATGACCCAAGCCAAGTCACCTCTCTGAGTCTCAGTTTCCTCCTCTGTAAAATGGAGAGTCCTGATTACCAGGGGCAGAACCCCTAACTGAAACCAGCAGAGACAAAAAGGACCACGAGATGATGGGTGCAATGCAGGACAGGGTGAATAACTAAACACAAAGGGGCGAGGGGTGCTCTGCCACTGGGAAGGATCCCCCTTCTCCACCTCCCTTATGAGGGAGTGAATCTCATGGCTCACTCTGCACTGGCTCCCTCCTGTGGAGAGACCGGGGATAGGAAGACAGCCGTAAGTTCCCCGGCTTTCTCCCCTCAACAGAATGGTCCAAAGTGCAGCACACACAACCTGTCTGGGTCACCTACATGACATAGCAAAGAGCTATGTTTCCTTGTGCAATGAAGAACAGCTCAGAAATGCAACTACCTTCTATTTATTTGCTTTCCTTCCTTTTCTGCCTCATGTCTTTTTTTTTTCCCTGATTCTTGTGCCCTAGAATTCCACTTCCAATAAAGCCTTAGGACATAAACTTTGCCTTGGGCTCTGTTTTCTAGAGCATCTGGGATGAGATAGATGCTTATAAGCTGTTTGACCTTGGATACATGACTTAACCTCTCTGTGCTTCAGTTTTCTTATTTGTAAAATGGAGTCATGATTCCTAGTTCATGAGGTTGCAGTGAGTTAAGTCTACTGAAGGCACTTAGAGTGGTATGTAAACATCCAGTTAGAATTCATTGCCAGGTGCAGGGGCCTACACTTGTAATCCTGGCACTTTGAGAGGCTGAGGGGGGATTGCTTGAGTCCAGGAGCTTGAGACCAGCCTAGAGACCTTGTCTCTACAAAAAAAAAAAAAAAAAAATTAGTTGGGCATGGTGGCACATGCCAATAATCCCAGCTACTCAGGAGGCTGAAGCGGGGAGGACTGCTTGAGCCTGGGAGTTTTAGGCTGCAGTGGGCCAAGATTGTGGCACTGCACTCAGCCTGAATGACAGAGCAAGACCCCGTCTCAAAAAAAAAAAAAAAAGAAAACAGAAAAAAAAAGTTTTCGCTGTTTTTAGTATCCTCGGGCCTGAGAATGCTCTGGACATTGGGACAGAGGCAGCTCATTGGCAAAAAAAATGGAGATTTGAATGACTCTCCAGGGATCTCATCACGACAGAGCCACGCAGCTGAGGATGTCTGTTGCTACCCAGGCTGCACCTTCCACGCTGGCTGCCCCTGACCTTAGGCAGTGGCCTGAGGCTGGGGAAGGAACACTGGATTGAGAGTCAACAGGACTTGGTTCCAGCTTGCATGACCCTGGGGGAAGCCTCCACATCGCAGAAGCCCAGTTTCCTCACCTGTAAATGACTACATTGATTGAACAGAAACCCAGTGAGCACTTAGCCCAGATGGGGTCTGTGAATGTCACACCTGGAAGGGCTTAGAAACACTTCTAGCATTCTGCCTTCCTTTTAGATGAGAAAACTGGGGCCCTGAGAGAGGAAATAACCTGGCCAGGGCGAGGGAGAGGACTTGTGGATTAGACAGGGACAGAGGAGGTGTGGCAGGGGGAGGGGATATGCAAATTCCTTTCTCAGCGCCTGAGCACTAGCCTGGGAATACCTGGGAATAACTTCCTCTGGCACAGACCCCCAACATCAGGGACCTCAGAAAGCGGTATCTTTTCTGAATCTGGGGACCCCTCCAGGTTCGGCTTGGGCCAGCGGATGTGGCTGGGAATGGGAAGCCAAGGCCCAGGAGTCCTGGCAAACGGCCCAGACAGCCAGAAGCCAGGGCCAGCACAGGCTGGGGCAGATCAGTGCTGCTCACCAAGGGGCTGGACAGCCAAGCATGAAGAACTTGCTCCCCTGCTCAAACCCCATGTCCTACTTAATGACAAACTTCTAAGGCCAGGAAATGGGGGGCTGGGGGAACATCTTCAGCTGAGCCAGGCTGGGGCCCTCTGAGATTCCAGCTGAGTGTTGCCCCCACCCTCCTTGTTGATGTCCAGAGGGCAATTGCTGGGAAGAAAAGAGTGCCCAGATGAGTTTGCACTCAGGTGTGAGAGGTGCTTCCTGGACTTCCAGAACAAGGGAGGAGAGGGGAAGGAGGAGACACTGGTGTCCAGAGCCATGCCAGACATTCACCTCCAAGGCTTCATGTGTGCTTCATGACAGTCCTGCCAGAAGGCATTATTATAACCCTCCATTGTGCAAATAGGGACCTGAGAGGGCTGCGGCATGCCAACGTGCCATAGTAAGCCAGTTTCAGAACATACACAGGGTGACCTCTGACCCAGGCCTCTTATCTCCAGGGCCAAGGGTGGGGCAAGAGCTCAGAGGAGGGCTCTGCAGCTATAGGGTGATGAGTGCGTGGTGGTTGCATTGACCGTGGGAATGGGCCTTTCTCTGCTTGTTCTCAAGGAGACCAGAGGAACTCATCGTGCAGGGCAGTTACAGCTGAATGAATTCGTGCTCTTTTCTGTCATGTTACCCAAGGCTCTAAAAAAGTTTTTTTTTCCTTCTCCCCAAACAGGAATTTGATCACCCCAATAGACCACTCTTGCCTGGTAGGACTTTGGGAGCTTCATTATTTATGAGGGTCTCTCTCAGGCAGAACCCAACCAGACCTTGCCCCCACTCCAAGATAGAGCAAAGCCCCTATCACAGCCTGGAGAAGAGCTGCCATCCTGGATGCTTGGGAACAGCTGGAGTCAGCCTTGATCAGCCCTCTCTGAGGACTCAGGAGGGTCCTTGGCAAGAAGAGTCGTCCCATCCCCAGGAACCATCAGCATCTCTGATGTCCTTCAGAGCCTGAACATCTCGGTAAAGAACATTCACACTGCAGGGCCATGAAGGCCAAAGAGAGTGACACAAAGAGACACAAAGCCCTTTAGTTGCTACTTGAGGGCTGGGCCCAGGTAGAGATTGCAGACACCCCACCGCCTCCTCCCACTCCAGCTTCCCACATTTATCTCCTCTGGGAAGCCTTTCTAGACACCCCCACATTCCCCAACTTCCTCATATAGTCCATGGAGACTCCCCCACCGCCTGCTACTCTCAGCTAAACTGCCACTTCTGCTCAGCTTGGAGCCACAGGAGCCTGGCTTCTCTGCTGGCCTCGTGGTCTGACCACACTCAGACAGATGCGCATGAATAAATGTGACCATGTATCCATCCCTCCAACACAAATTAACAAGCACCTATCATTTGCAGGGAACACTTCGGGGGCACAGGGATGAATAATACTGGCGTACCTATGTGTCCCGAATTGGTGGGTTCTTGGTCTCACTGACTTCAAGACTGACGCCGCAGACCCTCGCGGTGAGTGTTACAGCTCTTAAGGGGGCGCGTCTGGAGTTTGTTCCTTCTGACGTTCGGATGTGTTCGGAGTTTCTTCCTTCTGGTGGGTTCGTGGTCTCGCTGGCTCAGGAGTGAAGCTGCAGACCTTCACGGTGAGTGTTACAGCTCTTAAAGTGGCGTCTCTGGAGTTGTTCATTCCTCCCCCGGGGGGCTCGCGGTCTTGCTGGCTTCAGGAATGAAGCTGCAGACTTTCCAGTGAGTGTTACAGCTCATAAAAGCAGCGTGGACCCAAAGACTGAGCAGTAGCAAGATTTATTGCAAAGAGCAAAAGAATAAAGCTTTCACAGCGTGGAAGGTGACCGGAGCGGGTTGCCACTGCTAGCTCGGGCAGCCTGCTTTTATTCTCTTATCTGGCCCCACCCACATCCTGCTGATTGGTAGAGCCCAGTGGTCTGTTTTGACAGGGCGCTGATTGGTGCGTTTACAATCCCTGAGCTAGACACAAAGGTTCTCCACATCCCCACCAGATTAGCTAGATACAGAGTGTGGACATAAAGGTTCTCCAAGGCCCCACCAGAGTAGCTAGATACAGAGTGTCGATTGGTGCATTCACAAACCCTGAGCTAGACACAGGGTGCTGATTGGTGTGTTTACAAACCTTGAGCTAGATACAGAGTGCTGATTGGTGTACTTACAATCCCTGAGCTAGACATAAAGGTTCTCCAAGGCCCCACCAGACTTAGGAGCCCAGCTGAGTTCACCCAGTGGATCCCGCACCCGGGCTGCAGGTGGAGCTGCCTGCCAGTCCCGCGCTGTGCGCCTGCACTCCTCAGCCCTTGGGTGTTCGATGGGACTGGGCGCTGTGGAGCAGGGGGTGGCGCTCGTCGAAGAGCCTCGGGCCGCACAGAAGCTCACGGAGGGGGTGGGAGGCTCAGGCATGGCGGGCTGCAGGTCCCGAGCCCTGCCCCACGGGAAGGCAGCTAAGGCCCAGCGAGAAATCGAGCGCAGCGCCGGTGGGCTGGCACTGCTGGGGGACCCAGTACACCCTCTGCAGCTGCTGGCCCGGGTGCTAAGCCCCTCATTGCCCGGGGCCGGCAGGGCCGGCCGGCTGCTCTGAGTGCAGGGCCCGCCAAGCCCACGCCCACCCGGAACTACAGCTGGCCTGCAAGCGCCTCGCCGTAGCCCCGGTTCCCGCTGGCGCCTCTCCTTCCACACCTCCCGACAAGCTGAGGGAGCCGGCTCCGGCCTTGGCCAGCCCAGAAAGGGGCTCCCACAGTGCAGCGGTGGGCTGAAGGGCTCCTCAAGTCCCGCCGGAGTGGTAGCCCAGCCAGAGGAGGCGCCGAGAGCGAGCAAGGGCTGTGAGGACTGCCAGCACGCTGTCACCTCTCGTAAGAAGTTACTAGAACTCCAGCTAGGAAGTGAGCCTTAGACATAACCAGCGAATGAAACAATACTGTTTTGTAAATCAAGTTTTTCTTGTGTCCCAGGCTCTGTGCTAAAGCATTTTATGCACATTCTCTCATTCAGTCCTCATGCAACCTTATCAAAACCACTATTATCGTTTTTTATAGACCAGGACACTAAGACACACAGATATTAACTTGCCTAAGGTGGCCAAAGGGGCAGCAAATGACAGAGCCAGGCTTTGCACCCAAGCAACACCACCTGTCAGAGCCACCAGCCGTGTATGGGACTGAGGAGAGACGGCCACTCTCACTGGCAGGATCAGGAGTGGCTTCCTGGTGAAGGTGACTTGTCAGTGGCGCCAGGATTGAAGGCACTGAGTTTTGGGCCATGAGAATTCTAGGAACAAAGGTAGAAAAGTGCAAGGCACATGGAGTGACTGAGGAGGACGGTGCCAGGCCAGGAGAGGAGGGTGTAGACCTGGATTGAGTGGAAGGAAATGCAGTTTCATAGGCTAGAGGCCTTGCTGCCAGGCTAAAGTTTGGGGGCTTGTGCTAGGCAGAATTATGGCCCCAAAGATGTCCATGTTTGGCTGGGTGCAGTGGCTCACACCTGTAATCCCAGCACTTTGGGAGGCCAGGGTGGGAAGATTGATTGAGCCCAGGAATTAAAGACCAGCCTGGGCAACATAGCGAGACCCTGTCTTTACAAAAAATTTTAAAAAGAAAATTAGCCAGGTGTGGTAGCGTGCACCTGTAGTCCCAGGTATTTGGAAGGGTGAGGTGGGAGGATCGCTTGAGCCATGGTTGTGCCACTGCACTCCAGCCTGGGTGACAGAGTGAGACTCCATCTCAAAGGAAGGGAGGGAGGGAGGGAGGGAAAGAAAGAAAGAGAGGAGGCCGTAAGCCAAGGAATGCAGGTGGCTTCTAGAAGCTGAAAAAGCAAGGAGACAGATTATCTATCCCCTAGAGCCTCCGGGAGGAATACAGCCCTGTGAACACCTTGATTTTTAGCTCAGTGAGACTTGCTTTGGATTTCTGACCTGTGTGATAAGTGTATGTTGTTTCAAACCACTAAGTGTGGTCATTTGCTAGAGCAGTTACAGGAAATTAATACAGCACCCTTACCTGAGCACCACATGGGCACTGGGGCTTCCAGCAACATTGTCCGATTGGCATTTTAGAAAGCTGGATTCAAATATTTACCAAGCTTTCTGCATGCCAGGACCATGCTAGGCCAAGGGGAGATAGTGCAAAAGAGAGGTGCAGCCCCTGCCTTGGGTGGGGCTGTAGCATCATTGGAGGCCACTCCAGCTGCCACACTGGATTAGAAGACAGTGCAGGATGAGCAGATTATCACTAACTGGCAGCCCAAACAGAAGCAGTTCCTAACTGGCAGCTGCAGAGCTTTTGTTTAATTGAGAAAAGACTTATCTGAAGGGCTCAGAGGAGAGCACTTTTCAACAGCTGTGCCAGAGCCAGCCCAGCAGCCACGTGGCTACAGCAAATTTATGCCATGGCTGTCCACTGCCCTTTCTCAGCAGGGCAGCCTAAGGGTCTCATAGGAATGAGGGGTGGGGTGGGGTGGGGGTCACCTGAGGTTTCTCAAAGCACCAAGCAGGAGTCTCCACTGGTGGGAGTAGTGTGCTGGAAGAAGGTAAGAGGGGCATTGAGGTGCCACCCCCAGCCCATACCCCAGTTCCACTCCCAAGGGTATATCCAAGAGAAGTGTGAACATACATGTGCTAAAATATACACCCCAGAATGTTTGTGGCAGAGTCATAATAGCCTCAAACTAGAAGCAACCCCAATGTCCACCAAGAGTAGAATGGGTGGCTAAACTGTGGTATGTTCCTACAACAGAACACTGAACAGCAATGAGAATGAATGAGCCATCATGAAACCCAGCAACATTGATAATTCTCACCAACTTGATATTGAGCAAATGAAGCCAGATACAAAAGATCTATTACATGGCTCTGTGTACTTAATGTTCACAAAGAGGCAAAATGAATCTGCATGCTGGAAGTCAGGATAGGGTTCCCCTGGGGCAACCTGGAGGGCATAGTGATTGGGAGATGGCACAGGGGCTTCTGGAGTGCTGGCAATGTTTTCTTTCTGATTCAGGGCGGGGGTTAAATAGGCGTGTCTGCTTTGTAACAATTTATTGTACTACACACTTATGGATTGTGCATTTTCTTTGTGTACCTTATATTATGGTAAGTTTATTTTTTAAATTATTAATGAATGTACTACAGTGCTGGGGGTTATTCTGGTGGCTGTGTGATGTAGGAGGCATTGGCTTAGAGTTAGAAGGCCCAGGTTCCAGCCTTAACGTGCCTAGATTATGATGCTGTGCACACTGGGCAAGTTGTGGCCCCTTTTTGGGTCTCAGTTTCCTCTATCCATGAATTGGGAGGGTGTATATGTGGGTTATATGATTTTTGCAGAAATTCAGCAGAATGCTGGAACTGTAGCTAACCTGAGTCCTTATTTTAAAGAGAGAGAGAGAGAGAGAGAAAGAGAGAGAGAGAGAGAGAGCCCAAGACTTTGTTGGAACTGGAGATGTTTTCCTGCTTCCTTGTTACAGTGGTCATGCGATGATTTGGCTCCATTACTAACGGCCCAATTATTTGACCTTGGCCTCAGAGACAGGTGTGTGGTGGACTGGAAAGAACATGGTGGGTTTTGGCAGGGTCCCCACTTTAGCTGTTCCTGAACTTGGGCAAATTACTGCACCTCCCGCACTCTTCCTTCTGTTACTAGTAAAGTGCAGGCGCCCATGCCCACCCTACTGGACGGATGGGAAGATGAAGTGAAAAATGCCCCCAGCTGTTGGAAGCTGGGAGCCCTGGGAAAGCAGACCCCACCTTTACAGATCACAGGGACCTTATCCTGAGAGCCTCACCTCACCAAGGGGGGCCTCAGGCCTGCCCCTGCCCATGAGGCCCAGAGAGTGGGGGTTGGGGAGGGATCGCAGGGTGAGGCGGCTGCTCTATGGCCCTCTGGCGAGGGGCCTGGGCTAATGCCTTGGGGGTCTGTCATCCCTTCCATGTGGTTTCCCACTGCCTTGTGTGAACAGCAGATGCCAGGAGAGCCTTGATAAGCTGAATGGAGGTCCAGCCTTTCATACTGCGCACAGCTCAGTATGAGAGGACATGAGAAATGGGTAAGGATCTTGACGTGTGAGAAACAGCTGGAGAAACTGCTGGAGTTGAAGCCAAGTCGCTCAGAGAAGACCCCAAGAGCCATGGGCCACTGCTTTTGCAAATCCAATGGACTCTCCGGATTCTCTGGCCTTTTGTGTGGAGGCTAGTGTTTCTCTGTCTCTGATTCGTTCTCAGAGAATCCAAATCTGCTTATTTTAAATGGTTTTCTTTTCTAACTACATAAGGCACATATGTTCCCGTAAAAAAACTGAAATGCATAGAAAAGCAAAATAAGAAAACAAGGCTGGGTGTGGTGGCTCATGCCTGTAATCCCAGCAGTTTTCGAGGTCGAGGTGGGTGGATCACCTGAGGTCAGGAGTTCGAGACCAGCCTGGCCAACATGGTGAAACCCCACTTCTACTAAAAATACAAAAATTAGCCAGGTGTGGTGGCGTGTGCCTGTAATCCCAGCTACTTGGGAGGCTGAGGCAGGAGAATCACTTGAACTGGGGAAACAGAGGTTGCAGTGAGCCGAGATTGTGCCATTGCACTCCAGACAGGGCGACAGAGCGAGACCCCGTCTCATTAAAAAAAAAAAAAAAAAGAAAAGAAAAAGAAAGTAAGACTCAGCCAGATGCAATGGTTCATGCTTGTAATCTCAATACTTTGGGAGGCCGAGGTGGGAGGATAGTATGAATCCAGGAGTTCGAGACCAGCCTGGGCAACATGGCAAGATGCTGTCTCTACAAAAAAATTTTTTTTAAAATTAGCTGGGTAGGGTGAAGCAAGACTTCAGTCCCAGCTACTAGGGAAGCTGAGGCGAGAGGATCACTTGAGTTTAGGAGGTTGAGGCTGCAGTGAGCCATGACTGGACCACTGCACTCCAGCCTGGGTGACAGACCAAGACCTGTTTCAAAAGAAAAGAAGACTCACTCATCATTTCATCATCTGGAGATTGCTATTGTTAACATTTTTGTGTATGTACTTCAGATTTATATATGTGATCACCAGGTATATTTGATCAGCCAGGATGTTTGGTTGCAGGCAACAGAAACTGGCTCTGGCTAGCTACATTAGTTAAGGCACAGTTGGCTGCTGTACTAGGAAAATCCCCAAATAACAGTTGCTTTATACAACACAAATGTATTTCTTGCCCACATAAAGCCCGACACAGTGGTTCCTGCTGGATAGAGGGGAGTGGAGGCAGCTCTGGATCACAGTCACTCAGTACAGGACCCAGGCCAAGGGTGGCCCCACCCATTCAATGCCTGGCTTCCTAGGTGACCAGCCAACATGTAGCTAGCAGGCGGGCGAAGAGAGCATGCAGAGGATTCTGCGGACCTGAAGGGGTGTCCATACTGTTCCTTCTCTTTCCGTTGGCCAGAATTCAGTCACATAGCCATACCTAACAAAAGGCTGTTGGAGGACTCGCAGAATTGACAGGAGGCTGGGGCACCAGGCTTGAGATTGAGCAGTTTCCAGGGAGCTCCAGGGAGTCAGGAAGCAGGAAGCAATACACATGGCGACCACCTCGTCAGCCAGGCAGAGCCCACCTGTCACCCCCAGCCCCATCACAGCTGTCAAGAATCGCCTCCAATTCCTCTTGGCTCCTCCAATTCCTCTTGATGTCACTCTCTCAGGATCCAGTGTCCTAGAAGAACGCATCTATCTTGTTAGGAATCCCCAGATCATGCCCTCATCCCTGGCCGCACCAGGGCCAGGAGAGGCCGGATCTTGTCCCTGAACCTTGTCATGGGAGGCAGGCATTTCCTATGGCTGGGCTCACCCCTCTCCCTCCCCAGGAGAGATAATTTCTTTTTTCTTCCGGTTTTATTGCAGTAGAATTGACCAAAAAATGTATACATATTTAAGGTGTACAATGTGATAATGTGATATATGTATACATTGTAAAGTGATTACCACAATCAAGCTAATGAACACATCCATCCGCTCATATAGTTACTTTTTGTGTGTGTGGTGAGGACACTTAAGATCTACTCTTAGAGAATTCCAAGTATGCAACACGCTATTATTAACTATAGTCACCATTCTGTTCATTAGATCCCCAAAACTTATTCCTCTTACAACTGAAGCTTTGTACCCTTTGACCAACATCTCCCCTTTCCTGTCCTCCACCCCTCACCCCTGGCAACCACCATTCTACTCTCTGCTATGAGTTTGATTTTTCAAGATTCCACATATAAGTGAGTTAAAGCAGTGTTTGTCAATACTGACAAATAGACAATTTTCTGAGGGCCTGTTGAGAAAGAGGATTGGTGCTGGACAGTCAAAAATAACAATGTTTTCTATTATCTCACTATACTGTGTTATTGGGTCTGGGATCCTGCCCATTCTGCCAGTGCCCCCACCCACCCACGCACCTGCTGAGTGGCCATAGCTGTCCTGGGTTTCTACAGCCACAGAGAGAAGTCAGAGCACCTGGGAAATGGAATTGCCCAGAAGCCTCATGGAAAGGAGCCATGTAGAGTCCAGGGTGGCTCAAAGCTGTAATGTCCCACAAGGTTCCCATGTTAAGCCCCCAAATACACCAAGACAACTTCCCCAGCCCTCTCCATCACCAACGCAACCCATGGCTGACAAAAAGCAGTGAGAGGAATAGGAAGAGAAAGGCTACAAATGCAAATTTCAGTTTGGAGGTGTTTTGTCTTTTATTTTATTTTATTTTTTGGTAGAGACAGGGTCTTACTATGTTGTCCAGGCTGGTCTTGAAGTCCTGGCCTCAAGCAATCCTCCTGCCTTGGCCTCCCAAAGTGCTGAGATTATAGGTGTGAGCCATTATGCCTGGCCTGACGTGTTTTGTCTTTAGGGAACCTCATTCCATGATTAACCAGGTCCTTGACACACTCCGAATCACTGTTTGAAACAGTAAGTGCACAAAAAAATGCTCAACATTGTTGGTTTCTAGGAAAATGCAAATTTAAAAACATGAGCTATGACTGCACATTCACCAGAAATGGCCAGAGTTAAAGACAGATGACCTGGTCCAGTGGCTCACACCTGTAATCCCAGCATTTTGGGAGGCTGAGGCAGGAGGATTGCACAAGCCCAGGAGTTCAAGACCAGCCTGGGCAACACAGTGAGACCCTATCTGTAAAAAAAAAAAAAAAAAAAAAAAAAAAAAAGGCCAGGTGCGATGGGTCAGGCCTGTAATTCCAGCACTTTGGGAGGCTGAGGCAGGCAGGTCACTTGAGGTCAGGAGTTCGAGACCAGCCTGGCCAACATGGTGAAACCCCGTCTCCACTAAAAATACAAAAATCAGCCAGGCTTAGTGGTGTGCGCCTGTAATCTCAACTACTCAGGAGGCTGAGGCACAAGAATTGCTTGAACCTGGGCAGAAGTTGCAGTGAGCCAAGATCGCACCATCGCACTCCAGCCTGGGTGACAGAGCGAAACTCAGTCTCAAAAAAAAAAATTATCCAGGCATGGTGGCATGCACCTGTGGTCCCAGTTACTTGAGAGGCTGAGGCAGGGGGATCACACTAGCCCAGTAGTTCGAGACCAGCCTGGGCAACATAGCAAGATCCCATCTCTAAAAAAGAAATTATCCAGGCATGGTGGCATGCACCTGTGTTCCCAGTTACTTGAGAGGCTGAGGTGGGAGGATAACTTAAGCCTGGGAGATAGAGGCTGCAGTGATCCATGATGATGCCACAGCATCCCAGCCTGGGTGACAGAGTGAGGCCTTGTCTCAATAAAAAATCTTGATAAATAAATAAAAGATACTCTGTAGTGCTGCCAAATATTCAGAGCAACTGGAACTCATCTACATGGCATACATATTCCATTGTATACAATGCAATAACCATTTTGAAAAACTGCTTAGCAGTTGTGAAATAATAAGAAATATACATGTTGGTTTCTGCCCCCAGTTCCTGGCCCAGAGCTACTAAAACTCTTGTAATTTCCTTAGGAAAATAGGAGTGCCAGGAGGATCTTTTGTTCTAATATTTAGTCTTTGATCCAGATTCCTAACACAGAGCTCCTACATCCCAGGGAATGTCCTGGGTGATAGGACCGTCTTTTGTTCTAACAAAGTGACTCTTCATGGGCTCCTGAATTGCCTCAAGATGACAGCTGGTTGCCAGGAGAACCAACCGTGCGATTAAAGAATGGAACTCGGCCAGTGTGGTGGCCCATTCCTATAATCCCAGCATTTTAGGAGGCTGAGGTGGGAGGATTGCTTGAGCACAGGAGTTCAAGACCAGCCTGGGCAACATAGTGAGTGAGACTTTATCTCTACTAAAAATAAAAAATTGGCTGCGTATGGTGGCATGAACTTGTAGTCCCAGCTACTCAGGAGGCTGAGGCAGGAGGATCACTTGAACCCGGGAGTTTGAGGTTGCAGTAAACTATGATTGAGCCACTGCACTCAAGTCTGGACAATATAGCAAGACTCTGTCTCTCTCAAAAAAAAAAAAAAAAAAAAAAAAAAAAGGAACTCCCAGCCCTGCCTCCCTGACCACCCTGGTGGAGGGCAGAAGGGCTGGAGATTGAGTTAATCACTGAGGCCAATGATGTAATCCATCATACCTATGTAATGAAGCCTCCATAACAGTTCAAATGGACAGGGTTCGGAAGAGCTTCCAGACAGCTGAACATGTGGAGGTTCCTGGAGGGTGGTGCATGCAGGGAGGGCATGGAAGCTCTGCTCCCCTCCCCACAGGCCTCGCTCCGTGCATCTTTTCCACGAATGCTGTTCATCTGCATTCTTCGTAACAGCCTGTATAATAAACTGGTAAACATAACTAAAGTGTTTCCGGAGTTCTATGAACTGCTCTAGCAAATTAATTGAACCCAAGGAGGGGGTTGTGGAAACCCCAATTCATAGCTGGCCAGAGGCACAGGTTGTGATTGGCATCTAAAGTGGGAGGGCATCTAAAGTCTTGCGATACTGACCTGTGGGGTCTGAGGCTATCTCCAGGTAGACAGTGTCAGAATTGAGTTAGAGGACACCCAGCTGATGTCCACTGCAGAACAGCTTGCTTGGTTGTCAGTGAGGCAAGACCTCACACAGCAGTAACACAGACACCTATTCTGTGACCCGGTAAATCCACTCTCAGGTATGAGAGTGGATGAGAAATGAAACCACACATTCACACAAAGATTCATGCAAGCAGCTTTATACATGGTAGACTGAAACAGTAAGCAACCCAAATGCCCATCATCAGGATAATGAATAAACACATCGTGGTATATCCATGCAATAGAATATTTCTCATCAGGACAAATGGACTAATGAGACAGACATGTAGGGCCATGGACAAATCTCAAAAAGGTGTAATGAATAAAAGAAACCAGACTAAAAACATCTCCTACCATATGGTTCCATTTATACGGAACTCAAGAATAGACAAATATAGTCTGTGGTGACAGAACTCAAAAGAATGCGGAAACTTTCAGGGGTGACAGAAGTACCTATATCTTGATCCAGGTGGTCACATAGGTCTACACATGTGAGCAGCCCACTTAAGCTTTGTGCATTTTACTGTATGTGATTTATATATAAAGTATTATGAAAATTTAAAAATTAATATAGGTGGTCCCCTTTCAGGTTACAATGGTCCCTTTCTGTGAATGCTTACCTGTCCCAGGCCTGGCTCCCCAGGTCTGCCCTCTGGTTCCTGGGTGTGTAGGAGGATTGACTGTTTCTTCCTGGATGCTGGACCACCCAAGGTGGGGACACCTGTCACCCAGTCCCAGCTGGTCCTGATGGCCTGCTCTGTGAGGCCTGCAGCAGGTGAACATGGGGCATTCTTTCTCTCCACTGTACAGGGACCCATGATTCCCTTATTGATTCAGCTGTTCCTCGGTCCTCATTGGCAAAGAATGGTATCATGTATTATTGTCTTAATTGGCATTTCTTGGATTAGTAGTGATAGTAGTGAGGCTGAGCTTCTAAAATATGGTTACTGGACATCTTTATCTATTTATTCAGAGCCTGACTTTATTTATTTATTTATTTATTTATTTATTTATTTATTTTTTGAGACAAGTTCTCACTCTGTTGCTCAGGCTGGAGTGCAGTGGTACATTCAGGGCTCACTGCAGCCTCAACCTCCCCAGCTCACTCAAGCAATCCTCCCACCTCAGCCTCCCAAGTAGCTGAAACTGCAGGTGCACACCACCACATCTGGGTAATTTTTTTCTATTTTTGTAGAGATAGGGTGTCACTATGCTGCCCGGGCTGGTCTCAAACTCCTGGACTCAAGCAATCCTCCTGCCTTGACCTCCCAAAGTGCTGGGATTATAGGTGACAGCCACCATGCCTGGCCAGAGCCTGACATTTTCTAGGGCCTGGTTCCACATAATGGTTAACAGCGAAAAAGAAAGGAAAGATGTATTTTTGCCAAGCAAGCATTTCTGAAGGATATATATATTTTTTGCAACAAGATTCTGTTCTTCTTTCTTCTGTGCCTTTCCCAGGAGGGAGTATCTTTTTGAGGGGTAATTTTTTGTGACAACAACGACAGTAACAATAAAAAATGGAACCATCTGCTCATCCAGACTCAGTAAAATTGGCTTGAATGCCTCAAATTTGACAGCCCACAGCACTCCAAAGCTTTCCTCACAATCCTGTGCATTCTCTGGGGCAGAGGGTTCCATGGCCCCCTCTGCAGGTGTTCACCCCCTCCTTCCACGTTCACTCTACCCTGCACACACACCCACACACACAAGCACCAAATATTTGTGAGTTTAGCAGACTGAAGATGGGCTGGGGTGGTGAGGAGACAGGAGGGCCTAGCAGGCTCACCTGATTCAAACCTATCTTCATCCTGCAGGCTCTTCTCTCTTCCCTCTCCCTCCTTTTCTTTTCTTTTTTTTTTTTTTTTTTTGAGACGGGGTCTTGCTCTGTGGCCCAGGTTGGAGTGCAATGGTGCTATCTCGGCTCACTGCAACCTCTGCCTCCCGGGTTCAAGTGATTCTTCTACCTCAGCCTCCTGAGTAGCTGGGATTACAGGTGTGCACCACCACACCCAGCTAATTTTTGTATTTTTAGTGGAGACAGGGTTTCGCCAGGTTGGCCAAGCTGGTCTCGAACTCCTGACCTCAGGTGATCTGCCTGACTTGGGCTCCCAAAGTGCTGGAATTACAGGCATGAGCTACCACGCCCAGCCCCCTCTCCCTCCTTGCTTCTTATTTTTCTCCCTCTTGAGAGCCTAACAAATTCCTTTCCCATGTCATGCCAGGAAGTTTTGCCATTATCTTTTAAGACCCTGGCCTTAGAATCTCAAATACCTTATCAATGTATTTTTTCCAAAGATAGTTCCCATTCTAAGAACAATTGAATGCCAGCTACTTAGAAGCACATTTAAAAATGTGACTCCACCATCATCATAATAGAATTGCAGTGTTTTTCTGCTTCTGAACAGATTTCAGGCTACTTCTCTCAACCTTCCAAGCTGGTGAACAGCACCACACTACTCTGACAGTGCAAACAGCGCTCTGAGGACTTGGAGCCAAGAAGGGTAAACTGAGTTCAGACCATGGAAAAACTTCAATGCCAGGGGAAGGATTTGGATTTCATTATTCTACTCAGTGATCCATCAAAGCTTCCAGAGTAGGTCTATGACTTCTGGAATGCAAGGAGAGTGACTGGAGAGGGCTAGGCAGAGGATGATGAGGGCTCACCTTAAAGCCAAGACAGGTCTGGGAGACTCTAAGGAACATCCACAAACTTTAATAATGGGGAAGGAGTGACAGAGGAGAGATGAGATGTCTCCAGGCTGGAGCCTGAGTATCTGAAGATGAAGTCAACTTTCCTTCCTGGTCTGGAATAGTCTGTAATTTTCTAGGCACCATACTTAACACCGGCCACTACTGCTGAGATAGGACTGGCCGAGGCTGAGGAAAGATCTGAAAAAAATCATTAAGTGTAGCTTTTACTGGACACACACACAAGGCACCCTATAACAAGGCACCCTATAACAGTGGCACTATTATGGTAAGTGTCTCAGCCAAGTTCCCCTGAAGGGTTTTCAGCCTCCCACCCTATTGGGCTTTTTGTATTTCCAAATAGAATCCTTCTAGGCAGATGCATGTATGGAGCTCTTTGTATCAAATAACAACAATGGCCAGTATTTATTGAACACTGTGCCAAGCACTGTCCAAGAGCTTTTCATCCTATAATTTATATACACACGTGTGGGTGTGTATACACACACACACACACACATAACCTTTTATATTCCTCACAACCCCCTGAGGTAGGTATTTTTTTACAGATAAGAAATTGAGGCAGAGAAGTTAAGTAACTTGCCCAAGGTCACGCAGCTAAGAAGTGATGGAGCCAGTATCACAACTGAAGCGCTGATGGGTTTATTTTCTGGAAAAAAACAAACTAGGAGACAGCAGAACAGGCCTGTGGCCCCAGCTTAACTGCAGACCAATACAAGCTTGAGCAGGCTTTTAAATATATACTCTTTCATGAGGATATTTTTGGGAGCAATAGATACGCTCACGTCTCGATTAAGATGGTGGTTTCATGGGTATATACATATATCGAAACTGATCAAGCAGTACACTTTAAATAGGTGCAATTCATTGTGTGTCAGCTGTTTTTATAAACTTTTTTTTTAAAAAAACTGATAGCTATTATATGATGGAATTAAAATATTTGTAATATTTCTACAGTAACTCTCAATTATCTTATGAGACTCCATTACGACATTCAAGCATATAAAATCCATGGTTCATTTCTGAATCTAAGGACTGCTTTGAGGATTTTGCTATGCCTCAGAGGAGCAAAATGTCTCCAAATTGAAACTGAGAGCTACAATGACTCAAGAAATGTTTTATAATCTGGCATTACTGAAAATAGAACACAAAGTATGCAAAGATGTTGTCTGTAACAACATAGAGATATTGCTGAAATAAAGTTAAAAAAATAAAATTTATGAAATAAATATACAACAAAAATTTTAAAGTACACCCCCCACCTTTGCTGCCCTAAGGATAAAATCCCACTCTGCCCTGAAGGCCATGCCCCCTCTCCATCACTGTTCCAGAAACACTGGTTCCTTTCTGGTTCTTCACACCTTGCGGCCTTCACACGTGCTGTTGCCTGTGCCTAGAACTCCCTAACCCGAGTCCTGCACGCCTGGCTCCTTCTCAACCTCCAGGATTCATGCGAAGGTCATCTCCTCCTTCTGACCACCCAGAATTCAAAAGGACACTTTTCCTTTGCTCCTACAGTTAGAGCTTTATTTCTAGATTTTTTCTTGTCCTCTGTGTGGGGGAGACAGGATCTGTTCCCCGGTGTGCTCCAAAGCCTCTTGCAACACTGGACACAAAAGGCACTTTACATATCTGTTGGAAGGATGGAGGGATGTCTTCTCTCTGGACTCTGGGACCTCAAAAGATGGGTGCCCTGATGAGAAAACCTCAGAATTTTGTCTCTAAAGCCCAAATATGTGGCAGGATGACCACTCCCTCACTTTCTTAGTTTTTTTCTCCCCAAACAGAGGCAGCCCCAACCTCTGGTGACAGCAACTCTGGGTAAAGGCCAAGTTCCAGGAAGAAGTGACTTCTCAGAGACCAGGCCCTAACCCACAGGAATGTAGCCAGGGGCTCAGGTTTTATTGTTCAAGCAAGGTGGCAACGGTTAACTACTTCAGTGTGAGTTCTTAGAAAATTCTATGGGTTGGAATGCTAGCAAAATCAGCCCGTGCTAGGGGTCACCCAAAGTGGTTGGAGTCAGATGTTGAGGTGCAGCTAGTCTCTGAGCTCCTCGAGGACAGGCATAACCTTAATCTAGTGCTGTATTGTTGGTTCCCAGCACAGAGCCAGACACATAGCTGCTGTGCACAAATCCTGTTGTGATGAAATCAATAAATTTCATCGTGAGAACACGTGCTTTCTGCACATGGTAAGCCCTTTACACATTGTCTCCATTCATCTGTACAATAATTCTGTGAAGCAGATGTTCTTATCCCCATTTTGCAAAGGAGGAAATGGATGTTCAGAGAAAGCTAATTTGCCCAGGGTCACACAGCCAGTGAGGGGCAAGGCCTCTCCAAGTGGAAATCCCTCCCAATATTAAAACAATGGCCTGAAATGACAACTGCTGTTTCGGGGGCCAATAAATTAATGTCCTCCCCTTGAAGTACTGGTCCCCCCCATTCCCAGCCTCTCTGCCACCCAGGCACTGTCTCCTCTACCCCTCGCTGCTCTGGCCTTGCATGATTTTGGTCCTCTCTGCTTTCTGGGTTCTCCTCTTGCTTCTCCGATGGCTGTTGCTCCTTCCACTTCCTAAAGACAGGCGCTCCCCAACGCTTTTCCTTGGAGCTCTCTTTCTCCTTCTATGCCCTCTCTCTGGGCTTGCCTCTACAAACCGGCATGCCCAGCTTGGGCCTCTCCCAGGAGGTCCAGATCCACCCAGCCCCCGGGGTCTGCTGCTAGTTACACCTCTCAGAACGCAGGTCCTGCTCTGAAACCTTCAATGGCTCCCCAGGGCCCAGGAGAGCAGCAAACTGCTCCTCAAGGCATTCAAGGCTCTAGCACACCTGTCCCTGCTTCCCTTCCAATTCAGAGCCTTCATCCATCTGTGCTCTCTGCCTTTATCCTGCTGTCCGTTCAGCATGGCTGCCCTCCCTTTCCCTGCTGCTAAAGGGAGCTCTAACTTCCTGGTCTATGGCACATGTCCCTCGTCCATGAAGTCCTTCCTGACCCCCCTCCCCAGGTAGGTGTGGCTTCTCCCTCTCAGAAGACTCCTTGAAGACCCCATCCCAGCATTCCTTGGGTAAAACCTACTTCCGTGCTTGCTTTGACTCTCCTTCTACACTGGGTCAGAAAGGAAGCCCCACACTGCATCAAGGGACAATGGCTGTTCTGTATAATGTGGCTTCTTTGTCTAAAAGTCTCCCCAACTGTAGAATGAGATGGTAGAACTGGATCAGCATTTCCCAAATTTCTGTCATTCAAGTATCACCACTGTTGCTTTATTCTTGTACTACAGGTACTATCATACACTTACTATTTATCTACTCTTTTTTAAAAGAATATAAAAAGGAAACCATACATTGCTTACTGTGAGTGGAAAGTCAGTGTCACTTTTAATAAAAGTTGCAGTAATGAAAAGGTCATCATGAAAATAAACACATAACTGACAAAATAAGAAATGTCTGTGTAATGCCTCCAATCCTCCCAAGCATAATTCTGGGAAATAATCTACTAGATTGTCAGAGGCTTTGTCTAAGATAAACAAAGCTGAACAGTAGTTAAAATTGTAAGGACAGAATTTAATCAGTCATAACTATTGCAATAGGGAAAACAATCTAGTATGAACTGAGCTCAATATCGATTTGTACGAAAAGTAATTGGGCATTTTGAAAAGAACATGAGGGAATAGGGAGAAGGACAAGCAGCAGTTTAACAGAATCAGGGAAGTGAAAAATGACAAAGGGTTGGTCAGTGTAAGTGACATTAGGCCAGCTGTGTCTGCTAGCTGCCAATTGCCAAAGTTAGGATGCCGTTCTCCCAAAGAGACTGGGAGACAGAAGCTCTATCCTCAGGTGTTGGATGAAACAAAAACACAGTAAATATTTTGGCAGCCTTGAGTTTTCTCAGGCAGGCACTTTAAGAGGGGGTAGTGGGGCCAGGGTCACCTTAGGTAGGGGCCCCCAACTCCTAGGCTGCGGACCAGTACTGGTCTGTGGCCTGTCAGGAACCAAGCAGTGGCATTAGATTCTCACAGGAGCTTGAAATCTGCTGTGAACTGTGCATGCGGGGGATCTAGGTTGCATGCTCCTTATAAGAATCTAACGCCTGATGATCTAAGGTGGAACAGTTTCATCCTCCATTTTTTTTTCTTTTTTGAGATAGAGTCTTTCTCTGTTGCCCAGGCTGGCATGCAGTAGCACAGTCTCAGCTCACTGCAACCTCTGCCTCCCGGGTTTAAGTGATTCTCCTATTTCAGCCTCCTGAGTAGCTGGGATTACAGGCACGTGCCACCACACCTGGCTAATTTTTGTATTTTTAGTAGAGACGGGGTTTCACCATGTTGGCCAGGCTGGTCTCAAACTCTTGAGCTCAAGTGATCTGCCCACTTCGACCTCCCAAAGTGCTGGGATTACAGGCCTGAGCCACCACACCTGGCCAAAAATATCTGATTTTACTAGACAATCCTATTGTTATTTATTTTTTATTTTTTGAGACAGAGTCTTGCTCTGTCACCCAGGCTGGAGTGCAGTGGTGTGATCTCAGCTCACTGCAGCCTCTGCCTCCCGGGTTCAAGCGATTCTTGTGCCTCAGCCTCCTGAGTAGCTGGGATTACAGGCGAGCACCACCATCCCTGGCTAATTTTTGTATTTTTAGTAGAGATGGAGTTTCACCAAGTTGGCCAGACTGGTCTTGAACTCGTGGCCTCAAGTGATCTGCCCACCTCGGCGTCCCAAAGTGCTGGGATTACAGGTGTGAGCCACCACGCCAGGCCTTCATCATAGAATTATTGCCCACCCCCACCACCCTGTCCGTGACAAAATCGTCTTCCATGAAACTGGTCTCTGGTGCCAAAAAGCCTGGGAACTGGTGATCTTAAGGATGTGACGTTGAATTATTAGAAACTGTGTTGCTGTCTGTTCAGTCTTTATAGGCCAAGACTGAAGCCTAGTTGAGAAGAGGGCTCATAGGAGCCTGGCTAAGTTCCATCAAGAAGAGAATCACTATCAGCTTCTATACCTTAGCCCCTGCCCGCACCCCCCCACCCCCAAAAAGCATCAATATTGTGACTATATACCAGGTGTTTCACAAAGTTATGAAGTAGTTATAATTAATATCCTCATTAAAAGGTTAAGAAAACTGAGGCTCAGAAAGGTTAAGTTGTCTGCCCAAGGTTCCACAGCCAGAAGTAGCAGTGCTGGGATTTGAACCTAGGTCTAAGTCTCACTGGTTCCAGAATTCACTGTCGTCCAAAGTGCATAGCTCCATTCTATGTTTCTAGGCTCTGTCTTTAAGCCATCCCTCTCCTGCACATGCCCATTTTACGAATGCCTATGGTCCCGAGTACTAAATCTGGACAAGTATGTGACCCTGGGCAGTGGATCTCGGCTCTGGCTGTACCACCTGGGGAGCTTGAAAAACACTGATGCCTGGGCCTCACCCCTAGAAGCTCTAAGGTAACAGGTGTGGAGTGCAACCCAGAGGGATTTTTAGAAGATTCCAGGTGATCTCTGTCAGGAGCCAGGTTTGAGACCCACTGCGCTAGGAGTCTTCACAGTTATCATCCCATTTGATGCTTATAAGAGCCCTGTGAGAAAGGCAGGCAAGTGGCAATCCCCATGTCCTGCTGACGAAGAAAAGTGTTGAGATGCTAAGGCTCAGACAGTAAGATCTGGATAGAAAACAAAGTTTCTGACCTCTAGCTCTGAGTTCTCTGCCTAAAGGTTCTGCTCTACAAGGCATAATTTAAAAAAAAAAAAAGCAACATCTCCAAGAAGAGCAGCTTAATTTCTCTTGTACAGTACAAGTCACTTCTCACCCCCATGGAACACATGGAGGAGAGGTAGTACCTGCTTCAGCCACAGTACCCAAAACAAGGCCAGGGCATCCCAGGGAGGTGAGCAGTGACCCCCCTTTCTGACAAACTGTTCCCCTGGCAGAAGCCAAGGGAGGGCTAGGGGACAGGGGCCTGCAATTCTGTGATAGCGTTGGGGCCTGCTTTCCACGCCCACTTTTCTGCAACGGTTTGTGATCTGGACTCCCTGAGCACCCGTTGGGAGCTGGGGGCAGCCTAGGGAAGTCGGGACCTACTCCTGTACCCTTCCAAGGCAAGCATCCTGGGCCACCTAGCCGTTTCAGGGTCCAGGCCATGGGACCCCCTGTGCATAACACTGGGCCCAACAGCCTGGTCGGGCCCTGATGTTTGCTCACTGATGATGTGCAGAGGAGAGGGGGCAGTTTCCCACTTCTGGGAGAAGAGAGGGCACTGTCGGCCCTTGGCAGACTTGGGGGGCGTCACTGCCCATATGTGGGGGACGTCACTGCTCACCTTGAGGGACTTAAGGGTTCCCAGTGGTGGGCATTCGAGAGGATACTGTCCACATCTGGGGCCAGCAAAGGACCCCTGTACCTCAACTGGAAGGCCAGAGGTTCACCTCAGCCTTGCAGTCATGAGGCAGCAGAGGGCCCCTACCCACTCCAACCCCCTAAAAAATGCAACAATCCCAGGCACACCTTAGGCCGCAGCCTGGCTGTGACCGAACAGACGGCGGCCACACCCCCGGGGAGAGGCCGGGTGGGGACCGCAGGGCGCAGCTCTCCCAGTCCCACCCTTCGGCGCAGGGCTCCGGCCAACACAGCCCTCCAGGCCGCCTACTCTCCAGCCAGCCGGCTCCACGGACCCACGGAAGGGCAAGGGGGCGGCCTCGGGGCGGCGGGACAGTTGTCGGAGGGCGCCCTCCAGGCCCAAGCCGCCTTCTCCGGCCCCCGCCATGGCCCGGGGCGGCAGTCAGAGCTGGAGCTCCGGGGAATCAGACGGGCAGCCAAAGGAGCAGACGCCCGAGAAGCCCAGGTGAGCGGCTGGGCCGCGCCGGACGGGCGTCGGGGGTCTGGGCCGCGAACCCGCCGCGGGGCCGCCGGAACCTCCGCGAAGGTTCTAGGCCTTTGTGGCGTCACCGTCTCCTTGCGGAAGCTTCCGCCGGCGCCGAATAAAACCCGCCGCGGAGGAGCCGGTGGCTCTAGTGCGGTGGAGCCAGGCGTGGAAGTCGGTCCGGCGCGGGGCGGGGGGCGGGCGGGAGCTACAAGCGGCGGCGGCGGCGGCGACCGTGACCGTGACGCGCGAGCGGGCGGCGGGGGCGCGGGCCAGGGGCGCGGGCCAGGGTGCCGGCAGGGGCGTCCGGGGCGCTCTGACCGGCCTCGCCCGCCCCCCCCGCAGACACAAGATGGTGAAGGAGACCCAGTACTATGACATCCTGGGCGTGAAGCCCAGCGCGTCCCCGGAGGAGATCAAGAAGGCCTATCGGAAGCTGGCGCTCAAGTACCACCCGGACAAGAACCCGGATGAGGGCGAGAAGGTGCGGGGCGGCGCGGGGCACGGGCCGGGCTCCCGAGGGGCCAAGGGTTATTAAGCCAGGAGCATTGAAGGCGACGGGAAACCTGAGCCGCGTTTGTTGGGGAGGCTGTCGCCAGGCGCCTCGGGGCCAGGCCGGGCAGAGGTGGCGGGAGACCCTGGGCGCCGTGCGGCGCGGTCGGTGGAGGGCGCTTCGCCCGCGGAGGAGGCATGTGGTGCGGCACTTGGGTCCCTCGCGAGTCCCTGCCGAGCCCATTCATTCCTCCATTCGCTCCACAAGTGTTTGGGTAGCCCCTGCCGTGCGCGCCGGACTAGTTCTCATAGGGTGTGTTGGTTCCCTGTGGGAGAGGCGGCCTGGGAATCGGGAAACTGAGGCACACACAAACAGTTGTTTACTTGCTGGGAACGACTGGCTCATATTCTCTGTTGATGCATAAACCCTAGGGATGAGTGTCTTTAATCTGAGCTGGTACCTTGGACAAACGCCGTGCCTCTCTTGAGAATGACTAGCTGGATTTGTTCTGTGCACCTACTGCCTACCTGATAAAAGCGTCAGATAGTGAATAATCCCATTTTCTTTATTAAACAGGGACACGGACATCTGCAACCTGACATCAGCTTGTACTCATATTCTGGGTTTTCGGTGACAAGTGACACACAGTTGATCATAAGTACCAATCATAGACTGAAAATGCTCTGCATTTTAGAGACAGAAGTTAAAAGCTTTTCCATCCTGTTTACAGAAAGTTTGCTTTTTATCTCTAAAGAGGCTCATGACCCACCTGAATAGGTGAATTGAAGGATGAGGCATTGCAAGGAAAGGCTGCTAACCCTCCCGTTCCTCCTTTCACTTCTTGCCATTTTCTTACAAAACTTTGGTTGTTCCGCATGGGTCTTGAGAGGTGGGGCCGTTATAGTAGCTGATAGCAGTGTCACTTGGGCCACGTTTGAAACCACACCAATCACCCATGTAGCATTTAAGACCTGTGGAAACGACGCTGGAATCAAAATACCTGTCTGTGTTAGTTGTTCCAAGCTGGAGAAAGCTACTTCAGGACGGTTGGCTGAATGGCAACAGTGATGGAATATTTATATTTAGCCACATGTGCTGAATGTGGCTGTCACAAGTTTAAAATGCTTTCCTGTAAGACCATTTGTCTGTTACTCACTTGCGTTCTTTCTCATCTATATTTAGATGGCTTACTGTAGCTTTTAAAGGCACTGGCGTTTTACATGGTGCTGGTGATTCATCCACCTGCTCCCTACATTCATTGTGGTCCGCTTCTGACAGTCTCCTTTAAGGAGAGCTTGTAGGCTTCTAATTTCACATTTCAGCAAGCTGGCTAAAGACATGTGGGAAAGCCTGACCCTGGATTCAGGTCAAATCTCAGCACTCACAAGAGTAAGTTCATGCCTCTGTGTATACAGTTAGAGCTGAATATGCTTTTGTTCTGAAGCTTTTATTTTTAAAAAATTAGACTTGACCTGTACTACATATGTGTAGGTTTCACCCTGTCTATACCTGTCTGGGCAGGTTGTTTGGTTTGTTTTAAACTAATATTTATTCATAGCCAGGCACTGAGTTAGTGTCACATAAATGAGGCCCTTGGCAGTGAGGTCTGGCAGGCCCATCAGCTTGGAGGGAAGGGTTCTGTGATGTGCCCATTGCCAGGAATACTTTCCTTCCTCTACCTTCATGGAAGGGGATAAAACTCTTTAGTTCTCAGCTAAAACATCTTCCAGGAGGCTGCCTCTGCCTCATAGACTGAACCACAGGCCCAACGTGCATCCTACTTTAATGGTGATTACTTGTTTGATTAACTGTATTCCTTTAATGGTGATTACTTGTTTGATAACTGTATTACCTGCCATAATGTAAGCAGGGCAGTGACTGTGCCCCCATGGCCACTTATGGGGTGAGTATCTAGCTGTGCAGGGTAGGTGCTAAAATGTTTGTTAGCTGGCTGAGTAAATGCACTTTAAAAAATTGTGTGTAGGAGGAGAGGGCCCTATAAAGGCACAAATTGGAAGGGAAATTGCAGTGAAAGGGATATTGGGAGGAGAGTGGCAATTTAGATCGGAAATCAAAGAGGATGAGGAGACTGGGGACACAATTTATAGAAACGGCTGTAGAGTTCCCCAGAGAGAGCTCATTCATTCATTCATTCATTCATTCAACAAATACCTCCTCTTCTGGTCCCCACTGTGTGCTGGGTGCACTGTGCAGGCCTTTTGTGAGTGTGTATGTGAGTGTGTGTGTGAGTGTGTATGTGAGTGTGTGAGTGTGTGAGTGTGTGTGTGAGTGTGTATGTGAGTGTGTATGTGTGTGTAGTTCTTTTCCACTTTATCACAGGTAGAACCTTTAAATTTTTTTTTCCTCCTAAGTTCGTCACTGTATTATTAACGTCTCTTCAAAAATAGACTACACCAGTTCTTTACCCCTTGCTGGGAAAACTGAGAAGGCCGTTGAAATGTTGGTCTTTGTTTTTTGCCCTGTTGTCCCCTGTTGCTAAGCATTGGGGCACCTTGTGTTTTTTGGGCACTCTGTATGGAGTCTGTACTTCTCTGCGGGTGTTTTTTTTTTGTTTTTTGTTTTTTTTGCAAGATGCATGGGTGGTAGGTAGTGGGTCACCAAGATAGTCCCTTTTAGGGGCAATGATGTGGGGTATATTCTTGGCTATTACCCTGTTGAGATGAGTTTGGTCTTTTGGTCAATTTCATTGTAACTTTTAGTTTGAATAATAGACTTTCAAGTTCAAAAATCAGAACATAGCAAACCATGCAGAAAATTTTAGAACACAGAGGGAAACCTACCAAGTACACATTATCCTAACCACTCTGTGCTTCTTTCCAAGCTTTCCCCAGTATGATCATACATGGCCATCCTGATACATAGACATTTTGTTTTCTTGTTTCCACTTAATATTTTATTATAAGTACTTTTCCCAAGTTGTTACGTAGTCTTCAAAGCCATTTTCCCCTCAGCTGTATAGTAATCCTGTTAAGGTTCTGTGGCAAATGATCATGGTCTGAAAGGCAAGCTCATCATAGCACTCGTCTCCCACTGGGAGAAGGGGGTCCGGGCCGGGAGCTGAATTAGACTTTGGAGTGCTGGGACCCTAGAGGATGGACTCCCTACTGGTAGTTGGAACCCCCATCCCATGTGAGATCTGGCCTCTGACTGAATGTCCCAAGCAACTGGGTACTCCTTTTCCATTCTTAGATCATTCTATTAAGTCTAAATGACATGTGAGTATCCAGGGTATTTGGTGAGTGTTTCCGGTGGACGTTCCCATGAAGTTATTTACCTAGTCCTGACCTGCAGATAGACGCAGAAACTGTCTAGGGGCAGCCTGGCCTAGTTGCTTTCTGATCTGTACCAGGCACCCAATCCTTACACTCTACCTCATGTTTTCTGCTGAGGAAAGGGATAGTAGTGAATGGTACTTACTTCTTCGCAGAAATGGTATGAGAATTAACATATCAAAAGATCTAGCTGCCTTATATATGATGCTGATGTCTTTTTAAGACTTTTCTAAATTGTAGTTTTTTAGCTATTTATTAGCTATTATTATTGGTTACTTATTAGATTTCAATCAGGGATCTGTAGAACAAGGGAATTAATGCCTCAAATTCCCTTGTTCTCTCTCTCAAATTCCTTATTTCATGGCACTTTTTTTCCCTGAATATTTTTTGGAGCCAGCTGCATTATAGGATCTGTTTATCTATATATCCATATTTGTCTCTCCGACTAAACTGTAGCCTCTGGAGGGCCAAGATCCTACCTCATTTATTTATTTCTGAGTTCCCAGAATCGAGCCATTCATCTAACAGGTATTTACCAAGTGCCTTCTACATGCCAGGCATGGTTCCAGGCTCAGTTAGACAGCAGTGGACAAAACCCCCCATCTTCATGGAGCTTATGTTGCAGTGGGGGCTACAGCATAAGCAGTAGATGATGCAGCTTGTTAGAAGGTGGTTCATGATATGGAGAAATATGCAGCAGTTGTGGGGGCTGGGAGGGTCTGAGGTGGGTTTGCAGTGTTAAAGCTGGATCACCAGGAGGCATCCCTGAGAAGGTGGTCTGTGAGCTAAGGCTGGAAAGAGATGAGTCGGGAGGCCGCACCAGGCTGAGGTGCCTCTGAGGCCCAGACTGCAGAGTTGAGGAACAGCAGGGAGCCTGCTGAAACTGGCATAGAATTGGGGTGGGGACACACAGGAGGAGAGGAAAGTACAGGTGCCAAGTTGGGCTTATAGATGAAAGTTAGGACTGGCTTTTACTCCCAGTGACGTGGGCCACCTTGTAGAGGTTTGAGCAGAGGATCGACCCAATTAGTGGGCTCGAGTGGAGAACACACTGAAAGCTGGGGTGAGGAGGGCACATGGAAGACCACGGAGGAGGCCACTGCAGTGGTCCAGGCCTGAGATGGTGCCTTCAGCCAGAGTGGATGTGGTGTGGTAAGAAGGAACAGATCTTGCATGTTTTCGCATTCTGATTTTATTTTAAAAATGTCCATATACCTGCAGAAAACATGAGTGATACAATGAACACCTATGTATTCTTCACCTAGCTTTACCAGTTATAAATAAGTTGTCACATTTGTTTTATCTATTATTATTATTACTGTTGGCTAAAGATTTTGGGAGGAAGCTACCTATAGCATAACCTTTCAGCCCTAAGTGCTGCGTGTTTCTCTTGGGCACAAGGACATCCTTGTACATAACCATAGTAAAGTTATCAAATTCAAGAAGTTTAACATTGGGAACAAAGATTCACATTTCTCCCATTGTTCCAATAATGTCCTTTGTAGCCATTTTTTTTTTTCTCCCCTGTGCAGGATCTGATCCAGGATCACACATTGTATTCGTTTTTTTCTATCTTTTAATTTTAGAGTATCTCTCAATTTGGGTTTTCTGATTCTTTTCGTACAATTGGGTTCCAGTGGTAACTTTTTGGCAGGAATGCTACACATGGGATATTGTGTCTGTCTTAGGGTACTGGAGATGCAAATGTGAAGGTAGCATCAGTGGGATTTGTTGACAGGTGAGATTGGCATTGCCAATAACTGTGATATGGGGAAGACTATGGGTGGGGCGGGGCTTTTGGGGGAGGATCAGGAGTATAGGTTTGTATCCAATGTCTGGCACGTGGTTAGATGCTCACAGATGCCTGTAGTTGAATTTCATTCTAGTAAACTAGTGAAATGATTCCCATGAGGAGGTGAGCCAGTGGTAATGCCCAGAGTCCTGGCTCTATCTGGTTAGAGGTTCACCCCTGGCACTGTCTCATGGTATCCTAGCTGGTCTCGACTTCCTGTCTGGTGCAGCCGGATTAGTGAGAAACTTTCCCTCTCTACTGGCTTCTCTCCCTTATTCTTATCGTGTCCCTACCACCAGTCCCTTAATATGTTTGCCCTGTGTTTCCCACTTTACCAAAGGAGTAGGTAGACAGGCAAGTCAGATTCCAGGTAGAGGATGTATAGACTGGCTAGTTCAAGGGTTTGGGGGCAGAATACCTCTATTACTTTGTATGTTTATATGGCAGGTTTGCTTAACAAAACAACTGAAACTTCTCTAAAAATCTCTCTCTCTCTCTCTTTTAAAGTTTAAACTCATATCCCAGGCATATGAAGTGCTTTCAGATCCAAAGAAAAGGGATGTTTATGACCAAGGCGGAGAGCAGGCAATTAAAGAAGGAGGCTCAGGCAGCCCCAGCTTCTCTTCACCCATGGACATCTTTGACATGTTCTTTGGTGGTGGTGGACGGATGGCTAGAGAGAGAAGAGGTAAATGCTTTTAAAGAAACATAAATAAGTTGTATGGTTTCCACAATTATACGTGTTGTTGGAATCAGGATAGATCATGCTTTAAAAGGATATGATTGGGCCAGGCGCGGTGGTTCATGTCTGTAATTTCAGCACTTTGGGAGGCCAAGGTGGGAGAATTGTTTTAGGCCAGGATTTCAAGACCAACCGGGGCAACATAGTGATACTCCCCATCTCAAAAAAAATAAAAATAAAAAACTTAGCCAGGCATGGTGACTCATGCCTGTAGTCTCCGCTACTTCTTGAGATGCTGAGGCTGGAGGAAAACTTGAGCCCAGGAAGTCGAGGCTGCAGTGAGCTCTCCAGCCTGCACGGCAGGGTGAGACCCTGTCTCAAACAAACAAACAAACAAACAAAAAACCCCACCAGGTACAATTGCCATGTTTTGAGATCATTAACTTTAAAGAGTTTATCACTTGTCTAGTGCTCAGGCTACCTGGAAACTCTTGGTAAATTTAGTAATTATCTGACACCCTCCAATACCATATGAAGTAGCGAATGGAGTGGTGGATAGAAAAGAGGAAGGTGAAGTTCATCGTGCCTTCTTTTCCTCTGTTGTTGGGGTCAGGCACCAGAGTGTGCTGAGGGATGTAGATGACGCCGCCTGTGGTTGTCAGTGATCCTTTACCGAGAGTGTTCCTCTCTCCTCTTGCCCACCCTCCCTTTGTGGCCCTCCATGTTCCCTGACCTGGGCGTGGGCTGCAGGCTCTCTAATTCTAGGTGGGTACTCTTGCCATGTTCAGTATGGCCTCATTTCCCAGCCTGCTCAGGGGATTTTCTAGGCAACAAAATTCATCTCTTTATGTTTTGAAATCTTTATAAATGACCTGCCTTTCTTTTCAGAATGCATTATGAGTAGTAGCAACTTCATCCCCAGGAGGTGAATGAGGAACTTCTTAGCCCTTAGCTCAATGGCCCCAGGCCACTGTTTTGACTTTCTCGGGATTTGTTCTTCCTAATTTTTCTGCATCTCACCTCTGCCAGGCTACGGGCTGTCACCTCTGTTGTTAGTAGTTGCTAATAGACTAGTTCCCATTCCCCCTGTTTAGTTTACTGTTGTCAGGCTGCTTTGGATCTTGAAACCAGAAAGATAACCAAGCGTATTACAATTCTGGATAAAGTCAGAAGAAATGAGCTCTGCCTTGGGGTTTAAGAAGTGTGGCTTTGGTCAGTGAGAGGCCCCTAGATAAATGAAGCTGCACTTGTTATCACATTGTAATTGACTTTGAGCTTGAAAAAGCTTGGGTGTCAATTCTGTGAACATAGAGTGCTGAAAATCACAAAGTGTTTATTAGGGAAAAATCCTTCCTCTGTCCTTTGAGCATATCGCCTGCTCCTATAATTGATGGTGTGGACATGATAAAACCTTGGGTACTTTGGGAGGCCGAGGTGGGTGGATCACGAGGTCAGGAGATCGAGACCATCCTGGCTAACATGGTGAAACCCCGTCTCTACTAAAAAATACAAAAACTTAGGTGGGCGCGGTGGCAGGCGCCTGTAGTCCCAGCTACTCGGGAGGCTGAGGCAGGAGAATGGCGTGAACCCAGGAGGCGGAGCTTGCAGTGAGCCAAGATCGCACCACTGCACTCCAGCCTGGGGACAGAGCAAGACTCTGTCTCAAAAACAAAACAAAACAAAAAAAACCTTGGGTATTCTCTTGTCCAGCTCCCTCACTGTCTTGAGATGAAAAACTTCATGCCCTTAATTAAGTCATCTCTCAAAGTTGGCAGCCAGTAAACCAGGACAGCTCATCTCAGTGACTGCAGGAGCTCCACGGGCAGCAGGGAGGGTCTTGATGCTGTCAGTCTTGACAGGCTGGCAGGTGCTGGAGCACACCCCCACCCTGTGGACTGAACACCCACTGTCCTGAGTTGCAGAAGCAAGATTTTGGCAGAGGAAAGAATTCCCATTTGGCCACCGGTTACAGAAGGGCTCAGAAAGTAAAGTGCTTTATGCCCAAGGAAGTGAAAGATCCAGAGACTTTGGCTGCCAAACATTTATGTATAGAAAGGACTCCTTTCATGGGGAAACTTAACCAATTTCGTGGGTTAATACTGCCTTTGGTTTCTCAATTAGTACTCTCCTTGTCCTCAGATTTGTTCTCAGAAAATAAAGGTGGAAAGTCTTTTTGTTGGCCTCTATAAATGATTGAATAATTAGCTCATAGCTAGAGAGGGTATTAGCTCTTGTTATTGGCTGAGGGCCAGAAGGATGGGCTGGGGTAATAGAAGCATTGCTTCCTGCAGGGAAGGGAGCGCATGACCCAGCCACAGTCTTGAGTCTCTGGAGACTTCATACAACTAAGGGTCATATGGGTGGTATTTAATACAATGGTATATTTCATTCAACGCCACTAATTTTTTTTCTCCCTTGCTAAGGCAAGAATGTTGTACACCAGTTATCTGTAACTCTTGAAGATCTATATAATGGAGTCACGAAGAAATTGGCCCTCCAGAAAAATGTAATTTGTGAGAAATGTGAAGGTAAAAATTAATTTTTGACTGAACCGCACAGTTCTGATCCCTTAGATTCAGAAACAATGCTTGTTTTATAGTTCAGGGAAAATAAGTTATCTTTTTTCAAATGCAAGGGTCAAGCAGAGATTACAAACAGGTGGCCTGAGGGCCACACTTCTTTGCCTGAATGAATGTTTTCTTTGGGCTGCACCTCTATTTGACATGTTGACAATTATTTCTTTTTATGTTTTTGTATTTTTTATTTTTATTATACTCTAAGTTTTAGGGTGCATGTGCACAACGTGCAGGTTTGTTACATATGTATACAGACAATTATTTTTAAAAATTAAAAATCAGACACTTGACCTCATCTAGGGGTTGGCAGACTTTTTCTGTAAAGAGCCAGATTTTAGGCTTTCCAGGCCATGGAGTCTTTTGTAGCTAGTTCACTCTGCCGTCATAGTACATAAATGAATGGACATGCCTATGTTCCAGTAAAGCTTTATTTACAAAACCAAGCAGTCTGGCCATGGTTTCTTGACCCCTGACTTAAATGTATATATAATTATTGTAATTTTTAAAAAACCTGAGTTTTCAAGAAAAGCCATGTCTGGTGACCCCAGCCTCACATTGTCCCACAGAGAGAATTGGCTGAGCTGGGTAGCTGCCACTATTGACAGAGCTTGTGTTGTCTAGATCGCCACAGCCCCAGCCTCCTCATTCATCTGTGGGCCTATGCGAGTTCCACCTGGGGTGGAAGAAAACACATTTGATGAAGCTAAAGTAATAAATTTGGATTGGTGCAGCCAAAATCACAAACGTTTGAGGTCAGATGTTAACATCTGGATGTTGTCTGCTTGGCTGGACTCCTCCAGACTCTTCTGCATTGTTTTTTATTATTGTAAATAGAATTCTAAGCCCATTGTCCAATGTGAGGGTTCCCTACCCTTCTGCCATGGCGCCCAGCAGGGACACTGGTAAGGGAAGAGCATGGCCCTCATTCCTGCCTCCCCTGACCCTGCAGGTGTTGGTGGGAAGAAGGGATCGGTGGAGAAGTGCCCGCTGTGCAAGGGGCGGGGGATGCAGATCCACATCCAGCAGATCGGGCCGGGCATGGTACAGCAGATCCAGACCGTGTGCATCGAGTGCAAGGGCCAGGGTGAGCGCATCAACCCCAAGGACCGCTGCGAGAGCTGCAGCGGGGCCAAGGTGATCCGTGAGAAGAAGATTATCGAGGTACATGTTGAAAAAGGTGAGGCTGCGCAGAGCTGGTGCTCCACACGGGCTGGAAATGCTGTCTGGGTGCTAATCGTGAGATACACAGACTAGATGTCAGGGAAGTGAGCTGTATCACAACATGTATTGGGTGTGCCATGAATTCCTCTTGTTTCCCAGTCTTCTCTTCACCCTTCCTGGCCTTATTTCCATTCCATGTCACCTGCCAAAGTGTTCTTGCTGAGGTTTACTTCCTTGAGATCACAGACAGCCTCTTTATGAGGTTTTCTAACGCTCTGAAAGTCTTACCTGGCCTTGGTTTGGGTTAGTTGCCATCTCCTGACATTCTCAAGCCATTCCTCTAGAATCTTTCGGAGTGTCTTCCTGGTCGCTTCTGATGCTCATTGGCCATAAGGGCTTGTGTAAGTGTTTGTGGCTGCATGTTCCCTTTCTCCACATTTCCCCATGTGCTGCATCAGATTCCCCCAAATACAGCACCTTCTCCTGCTATTCATTTTGCCTGATGCCATCATTTTAAGGCCTTTTTCCATTTTAGCTGTCCTCCAAGTATTCCGATGATTCTGTGGCTTTCCAATCCAGTAAATATATCCTAGATCAGAGATGAGACCAAAAGTAAAAGAATCAACAGCCAAACCGACACAGGTGTTATTAAAGGACTTACTGTTTAAACATGCCTAAACCCTGTGCCTTGAGTGTGCAAGCTGACTTATTAGAAAAGGACAGGGCTGGCTGACCTGTCCCTATCAGTCCCAAGTCATGCACCCTGTGCCCCGGGAAGTGGGCGGTGACCCTATGCTGGTGGTGTGGCATCACAGGCCCTGGGCAGGGAGTGCTGTGTAAACCTGGGATGTAGAGCCGCATTCCCCCACTCCCTGTGCATGCTGGGCTTGGCCCCACATTATGCCAAGGGAAGCGGGACCTCTTCTGTCATTGGCCATCCTAGCCACCCCTCCCTGCCTTGTGCCTGCATGAGGTTGGGAGACTTGATGAATAAAGAATCCCTGAAGGACTCTGTTCCTTCTTCAAAAGCTTTAAGGAAGCATGGTTTGTATGAGAAATGGCTAATCAGAAAGGGATGATGTTTCATAGGTATGAAAGATGGGCAAAAGATACTATTTCATGGAGAAGGAGATCAGGAGCCTGAGCTGGAGCCTGGTGATGTCATAATTGTGCTTGATCAGAAGGATCATAGTGTCTTTCAGAGACGAGGCCATGACTTGATCATGAAAATGAAAATTCAGCTTTCTGAAGCTCTTTGTGGCTTCAAGAAGACGATAAAAACATTGGACAATCGAATTCTTGTTATTACATCCAAAGCAGGTAATGTTTCAAAGTGTGTTTCCATTGATGTTCTGTATGTTTGGCATAATAATTCTGGCAAGTTAGCCTGATTTTTTTATTGCTACATAATATTTTACATATTGATGGGGTGCATGTGATACTTTGTCCCTTGCATAAAATGGGTAATGATCAAGCCACGTGTTTAGGGCATCTGTCGCCTTGAGTATTTATTTCTTTGTGTTGGGAATAGTTCCCCTGATTTCACATTTAAGGTCAAATTCTGTTACACAAATTAGTATGATGTGATTTTCTCTAAATTTAAAACTGTCCCTAATAACTCTGGATAATTTATAAAGTTCTTGTATATTCTCCTAGAAAAAATATTCAGTTGGGGGGAAAGTCTCAAATAAGAATCTTGGGGCTCTGAATTTTAGATGAATTCTGGCAATTAAACTTAAGTTTTTAAAAATTTATTTTTGTATAAGAAAACAGCTTAATAGGTGGTGTTTTTCTATCAAGTGGTGATTTGTGCTGATTCATCCACATGTTCCTGTAGCCTCTGTTGTTCATTACATGAGTTACATTTTAAAATAGAATTTTCCTGTAAGAAAGACTTTGCCTATCAGTTTATCCTTGGAGGTTTCCACAGGAATTGCTGGTCTGCACACACCCATGGGAGCCAGAGGGAGATGCCTCTAGGCCGAAAGGGTTCCTGAGGCCTGAGCTCAGCCCCCAACCCCCCTGTAGACACCAGGGCACTCATCTCCCAGGAGGGTTGGTGTGTTCACTGTAGTTGAGGGTTTGTGTGGGCACCAGAGCACCTGCCTAGAAGGGGCTGAGAAGGGAGAGAGGCCAGGCCAGGGACCTTGACTTGAAGCTGCTTCTGAATAGCACTAAGGTCAGCTGTGCATAGCAAAGAATGTCTGGATGGGTGTGGTGGCGGCTACGCCACCGAAGCAGCCTGGGCCCCAGCACCAGCCATTTGCAGTGTTGCTGTAGTCCCCTCACTGGCCGTGGGGCTGGGATTACCTTTTTCTATGGCCATTTGAGGTTTGGTGCAAAAGGGGTAGGTTCAGGGCAGGCAGGGAGGTAACCACCAATAAGCCTGCCCCCAGGGCAGTGGCAGCTGGAGATAAGACTCAAGTCTGGTGGGGTGACTGAGGCCTGGACTTCTGTTCCCTCCGT